>NC_000005.10:8760000-10010000 GCF_000001405.40 Homo sapiens | reverse complement strand
ACTCTTATTATATTGAAGTGTGTTCCTTTGATGCCTAGTTTATTAAGAGCTTATAACATGAATGGATGTTAAATTCTACTGAAAGTCTTTTCTGAGATAATCACAGTTTTTATTTTTAGTTCTGTTTATGTGATGAATCACATTTATTGATTTGCATATGTTGAATCAACCATGTATCCCAGGGAAAAAGGCTACTAGATCGTTGTCGATTACCTTTTTGATGTGCTACTGGATTTGGTTTGCTAGTATTTTGTTGAAGATTTTTGCATCTGTGTTCATCAAGGAAGTTGGCCTGAAGCTTTCTTTTTTTGTTGTGTTTCTGCCATTCTGGCCTCATAGAGTGAGTTAGGGAGGAGTTCTCCCTCCTCAATTTTTTTTGGAATAGTTTCAGTAGGAATGGTACTAGCTCTTCCTTATACATCTAGTAGAAATCTACTGTGAATCCAACTGGTTCTGGGCTTTTCTTGGTTAGTAGGCTTTTATTACAGATTCAATTTCAGAACTTGTTATTGGTCTGTTCAGGGATTCAATTTCTTCCTGGTTCAGCTTTGGGAAGTTGTATGTGTCCAGGAATTTATCTGTTTCTTCTAGATTTTCTAGTTTGTCTGCATATATTCATAGTAGTCCCTGATTTTTTTTTTTGTATTTCTGTGAGGTCAGTGGTAATGTCCCTTTTGTCATTTCTAATTGTGTTTATTTGAATCTTTTTTAAAATTTTTTAGTCTAGCTCGTGGTTTCTCTGTCTTATTTTTTCAAAGAACCAACTCTTAAATTCATTAATCTCTTTTTTTAATACGTTTTTTTTTTTTTTGCTTCTCAATCTTCTTCAGTTCAGCTCTGATTTTGGTTGTTTCCTGTTTTCTGTTAGTTTTGGGGTGAGCTTGCTCTTGCTCCTCTAGTTCTTCTAGTTCTGATGTTAGATTGTTAATTTGAGATCTTTCTAACTTTTTGATGTGGGCTTTTAGTGCTATAAACTTTCCTCTTGACACTGCTTTAGTTATGTCCCAGAGATTCTGGTATGTTTTATCTTTGTCCTCATTAGTTTCAAAGAATTTCTTGATTTCTTCTTTAATTTTATTATTTACTTAAAAGTCATTCAGGGGCAGGTTGCTTAATTTCCATGTCATTGTATGCTTTTTTTTATTTTTTATTTTTTTATTTTTATTTTTTATTATACTTTAAGTTTTAGAATACATGTGCACAACGTGCAGGTTTGTTACATATGTATACATGTGCCATATTGGTGTGCTGCACCCATTAACTCGTCATTTACATTAGGTATATCTCCTAATGCTATCCCTCCCCCCTCCCCCCACCCCACAACAGGCCCCACTGTGTGATGTTCCCCTTCCTGTGTCCATGTGTTCTCATTGTTCAATTCCCACCTATGAGTGAGAACATGCAGTGTTTGTTTTTTTGTCCTTGTGATAGTTTGCTGAGAATGATGGTTTCCAGCTTCATCCATGTCCCTACAAAGGACATGAACTCATCCTTTTTTATGGCTGCGTAGCATTCCATGGTGTATATGTGCCACATTTTGTTAGTCCAGTCTATCATTGTTGGACATTTGGGTTGGTTCCAAGTCTTTGCTATTGTGAATAGTGCCACAGTATACATATGTGTGCATGTGTCTTTATAACAGCATGATTTATAATCCTTTGGGTATATACCCAGTAATGGGATGGCTGGGTCAAATGGTATTTCTAGTTCTAGATCCTTGAGGAATTGCCACACTGACTTCCACAATGGTTGAACTAGTTTACAGTCCCACCAACAGTGTAAAAGTGTTCCTATTTCTCCACATCCTCTCCAGCACCTGTTGTTTCCTGACTTTTTAATGATCACCATTCTAACTGGTGTGAGATGGTATCTCATTGTGGTTTTGATTTGCATTTCTCTGATGACCAGTGATGATGAGCATTTCTTCATGTGTCTGTTGGCTGCATAAATGTCTTCTTTTGAGAAGTGTATGTTCGTATCCTTCACCCACTTGTTGATGGGGTTGTTTTTTTCTTATAAATTTGTTTGAGTTCTTTGTAGATTCTGGATATTAGCCCTTTGTCAGATGAGTAGATTGCAAAAATTTTCTCCCATTCTGTAGGTTGCCTGTTCACTCTGATGGTAGTTTCTTTTGCTGTGGAGAAGCTGTTTAGTTTAATTAGATCCCATTTATCAATTTTGGCTTTTGTTGCCATTGCTTTTGGTGTTTTAGACATGAAGTCCTTGCCCATGCCTATGTCCTGACTGGTATTGCCTAGGTTTTCTTCTAGGGTTTTTCTGGTTTTAGGTCTAACATTTAAGTCTTTAATCCATCTTGAGTTAATTTATGTATAAGCTGTAAGGAAGGGATCCAGTTTCAGCTTTCTACATATGGCTAGCCAGTTTTCCCAGCACCATTTATTAAATAGGGAATCCTTTCCCCAGTGCTTGTTTTTGTCAGGTTTGTCAAAGATCAGATGGCTGTAGATGTGTGGTGGTATTTCTGAGGCCTCTGTTCTGTTCCATTGGTCTATATCTCTGTTTTGGTACCAGTACCATGCTGTTTTTGTTACTGTAGCCTTGTAGTATAGTTTGAAGTCAGGTAGCATGATGCCTCCAGCTTTGTTCTTTTGACTTAGGATTGACTTGGCAATGCAGGCTTTTTTTTTTGGTTCCATATGAACTTTAAAGTAGTTTTTTCCAATTCTGTGAAGAAAGTCATTGGTAGCTTGATAGGGATGGCATTGAATCTATAAATTACCTTGGGCAGTATGGCCATTTTCACAATACTGATTCTTCCTACCCATGAGTATGGAATTTTCTTCCATTTGTTCGTATCCTCTTTTATTTCATTGAGTAGTGGTTTGTAGTTCTCCTTGAAGAGGTCCTTCACATCCTTTGTAAGTTGGATTCCTAGGTATTGTATTCTCTTTGAAGCAATTGTGAATGCGAGTTCACTCATGATTTGGCTCTCTGTTTGTCTGTTATTGGTGTATAAGAATGCTTGTGATTTTTGCACATTGATTTTGTATCCTGAGACTTTGCTGAAGTTGCTTATCAGTTTAAGGAGATTTGGGGCTGAGACAATGGGGTTTTCTAGATATACAATCATGTCATCTGCAAACAGGGACAATTTGACTTCCTCTTTTCCTAATTGAATACCCTTTATTTCCTTCTCCTGCCTGATTGCCCTGGCCAGAACTTCTAACACTATATTGAATAGGCGTGGTGAGAGAAGGCATCCCTGTCTTGTGCCAGTTTTCAAAGGGAATGCTTCCAGTTTTTGCACATTCAGTATCATATTGGCTGTGGGTTTGTCATAATAGCTCTTATTATTTTGAGATACATCCCATCAATACCTAATTTATTGAGAGTTTTTAGCATGAAGGGCTGTTGAATTTTGTCAAAGGCCTTTTCTGCATCTATTGAGATAATCATGTGTTTTTTTTCCTTGGTTCTGTTTATATGCAGGATTAAGTTTATGGATTTGTGTATGTTGAACCAGCCTTGCATCCCAGGGATGAAGCCCACTTGATCATGGTGGGTAAGTTTTTTGATGTGCTGCTGGATTCGGTTTGCCAGTATTTTATTGAGGATTTTTGCATCGATGTTCATCAGGGATATTGGTCTAAAATTCTCTTTTTTTGTTGTGTCTGTGCCAGGTTTTGGTATCAGGATGATGCTGGCCTCATAAAATGAGTTAGGGAGGATTCCCTCTTTTTCTCTTGATTGGAATAGTTTCAGAAGGAATGGTACCAGTTCCTCCTTGTACCTCTGGTAGAATTCAGCTGTGAATCCATCTGGTCCTGGACGTTTTTGATTGGTAGGCTATTAATTATTGCCTCAATTTCAGAACCTGTTATTGGTCTATTCAGAGATTCAACTTCTTCCTGGTTTAGTCTTGGGAGGGTGTATGTGTCGAGGAATTTATCCATTTCTTCTAGACTTTCAAGTTTATTTGAGTAGAGGTGTTTATAGTATTCTCTGATGGTAGTTTGTATTTCTGTGGGATTGGTGGTGATATCTCCTTTATCATTTTTTATTGCATCTATTTGATTCTTCTCTCTTTTCTTCTTTATTAGTCTTGCTAGCGGTCTATCAATTTTGTTGATCTTTTTAAAAAAACAGCTCCTGGATTCATTGATTTTTTGAAGGGTTTTTTGTGTCTCTATTTCCTTCAGTTCTGCTCTGATTTTAGTTATTTCTTGCCTTCTGCTAGCTTTTGAATGTGTTTGCTCTTGCTTCTCTAGTTCTTTTAATTGTGATGTTAGGGTGTCAATTTTAGGTCTTTCCTGCTTTCTCTTGTGGGCATTTAGTGCTATAAATTTCCCTCTACACACTGCTTTAAATGTGTCCCAGAGATTCCGGTATGTTGTGTCTTTGTTCTCACTGGTTTCAAAGAACATCTTTATTTCTGCCTTCATTTCGTTATGTACCCAGTAGTCATTCAGGAGCAGGTTGTTCAGTTTCCATGTAGTCGTGTGGTTTTGAGTGAGTTTCTTAATCCCAAGTTCTAGTTTGAATGCACTGTGGTCTGAGAGACAGTTTGTTATAATTTCTGTTCTTTTTTTTTTTGAGACGGAGTCTCGCTCTGTCGCCCAGGCTGGAGTGCAGTGGCGGGATCTCGGCTCACTGCAAGCTCCGCCTCCCGGGTTCACGCCATTCTCCTGCCTCAGCCTCCCAAGTAGCTAGGACTACAGGCGCCCGCCACTACGCCCGGCTATTTTTTGTAGTTTTAGTAGAGACGGGGTTTCACCGTTTTAGCCGGGATGGTCTCGATCTCCTGACCTCGTGATCCGCCCGCCTCGGCCTCCCAAAGTGCTGGGATTACAGGCGTGAGCCACCGCGCCTGGCAATTTCTGTTCTTTTACATTTGCTGAGGAGTGCTTTACTTCCAACTATGTGGTCAATTTTGGAAAAATGTGGCGTGGTGCTGAGAAGAATGTATATTCTGTTGATTTGGGGTGGAGAGTTCTGTAGATGTCTATTAGGTCTGCTTTGTACAGAGGTGAGTTCCATTCCTGGATATCCTTGTTAACTTTCTGTCTTGTTGATCTGTCTAATGTTGATAATGGGGTATTAATGTCTCCCATTATTATAATGTGGGAGTCTAAGTCACTTTGTAGGTGTCTAAGGACTTGCTTTATGAATCTGGGTGCTCCTGTATTGGGTGCATATATATTTAGGATAGTTAGTTGTTCTTGTTGAATTGATCCCTTTACCATTATGTAATGGCCTTCTTTGTCTCTTTTGATTTTTGTTGGTTTAAAATCTGTTTTATCAGAGACTAGGATTGCAACCCCTGCCTTATTTTGTTTTCCATTTGCTTGGTAGGTCTTCCTCCATTCCTTTATTTTGAGCCTATACGTGTCTTTGCACATGAGATGGGTCTCCTGAATACAGCACACTGATGGGTCTTGACTCTTTATCCAGTTTGCCAGTCTGTGTCTTTTAATTGGAGCATTTAGCCTATTTACATTTAAAGTTAATATTGTTATGTGTGAATTTGATCCTGTCATTATGATGTTAGCTGGTTATTTTGCTCATTAGTTGATGTAGTTTCTTCCTAGCATCGATGGTCTTTACAATTTGGCGTTTTTGCTGTGGCTTGTACCAGTTGTTCCTTTCCATGTTTAGTGCTTCCTTCAGGAGCTCTTGTAAGGCAGGCCTGGTGCTGACAAAATCTCTCAGCATTTGCTTGTCTGTAAAGTATTTTACTTCTCCTTCACTTATGAAGCTTAGTTTGGCTGGATATGAAATTCTGGGTTGAGAATTCTTTCCTTTAAGAATGTTGAATATTGGCCCCCACTCTCTTCTGGCCTTAGAGTTTCTTCAGAGAGATAAGCTGTTAGTCTGATGGGCTTCCCTTTGTGGTTAACCCAACCTTTCTCTCTGGCTGCCCTTAACATTTTTTCCTTCATTTCAACTTTGGTGATTCTGACAATTATGTGTCTTGGAGTTTCTCTTCTCGAGGAGTATCTTTGTGGCATTCTCTGTATTTCC
The DNA here is from genome assembly GCF_000001405.40 of Homo sapiens. Lineage (NCBI taxonomy): Eukaryota > Metazoa > Chordata > Mammalia > Primates > Hominidae > Homo > Homo sapiens. Next base: position 10,004,018 of record NC_000005.10, on the reverse strand, counting down.
TGAATTTGAATGTTGGCCTGCCTTGCTAGGTTGGGGAATTTCTCCTGGATAACATCCTGCAGAGTGTTTTCCAACTTGGCTCCATTCTCCTCGTCACTTTCAGTATACCAATTAGACCTAGATTTGGTCTTTTCACATAGTCCCATATTTCTTGGAGGCTTTGTTCATTTCTTTTTATTCTTTTTTCTCTAAACTTAACTTCTTGCTTCATTTCATTCATTTGATCTTCCGTCACTGATACCCTTTCTTCCAGTTGATCAAATCGGCTACTGAAGCTTGTGCATTCATCACATAGTTCTTGTGCCGTGGTTTTCGGCTCCATCAGGTCCTTTAAGGACTTCTCTGCATTGGTTATTCTAGTTAGCCATTCATCTAATCTTTTTTCAAGGTTTTTAACTTGTTTGCCATGGCTTCGAAATTCCTCCTTTAGCTCAGAGAAGTTTGATCATCTGAAGCCTTCTTCTCCCAACTCGTCAAAGTCATTCTCCATCCAGCTTTGTTCCATTGCTGGTGAGGAGCTGCATTCCTTTGGAGGAGGAGAGGTGCTTTGATTTTTAGAATTTTCAGTTTTTCTGATCTGTTTTTTCCCCATCTTTGTGGTTTTATCTACCTTTGGTTTTTGATGATGGTGACGTACAGATGGGGTTTTGGTGTGGATGTCCTTTCTGTTTGTTAGTTTTCCTTCTAACAGTCAGGACCCTCAGCTGCAGGACTGTTCGAGTTTGCTGGAGGTCCACTCCAGACGCTGCTTGCCTGGGTATCAGCAGCAGAGGCTGCAGAGTAGGGAATATTGGTGTACAGCAAATGTTGCTGCCTGATCATTCCTCTGGATGTTTCATCTCAGAGGGGTAGCCGGCCATGTGAGGTGTCAGTCTGCTCCTACTGGGGGGTGCCTCCCAGTTAGGCTACTTGGGGGTCAGGGACTGACTTGAGGAGGCAGTCTGTCTGTTCTCAGATCTCAAGCTGCGTGCTGGGAGAACCACTACTGTCTTCAAAGCTGTCAGACAGAGACATTTAAGTCTGCAGAGATTTCTGCTGCATTTCGTTTGGCTATGCCCTGCCCCCAGAGGTGGAGTCTACAGAGGCAGGCAGGCCTCCTTGAGCTGTGGTGGGCTCCACCCAGTTTGATCTTCTTGGCCGCTTTGTTTACCTACTCAAGCCTCAGCAGTGGTGGGCGTCTCTCCCCCAGCCTCGCTGCCCCCTTGCAGTTTGATCTCAGACTGCTGTGCTAGCAATGAGTGAGGCTCCGTGAGCATAGGACCCTCTGAGCCAGGCACAGGATATAATCTCCTGGTGTGCTATTTGCTGACCGTTGGAAAAGCACAGTATTAGGGTGGGAGTGACCTGATTTTCCAGGTGCTGTCTGTCACCCCTTTCCTTGGCTAGGAAAGGGAATTCCCTGACCCCTTGTGCTTCCTGGGTGAGGCACTGCCTCACCCTGCTTCGGCTCACGCTCGGTGTGCTGCACCCACTGTTGTGCACCCACTGTCCGACAATCCCGAGTGAGATGAACCTGGTATCTCAATTGGAAATGCAGAAATCGTTCGTCTTCTGCGTCGCTCACACTGGGAGCTATAGACTGCAGCTGTTCCTATTCAGCCATCTTGGAACCGCCCCCCACATTGTATGCTTTTGAGTAATTTTCTTACTATTGATTTCTATTTTTATTGTGCTGTGGTCTGAGAGTGTGGTTGGGTATGATTTCATTTTTTAAAAAATTTACTGAGTATTGTTTTATGTCTGATGGTGTGGTCGAGTTTGGAGTGTGTGCCATGTGGTGTTGAGAAGAATGTATATTCTATTGTGTTTCGGTGGAGAGTTCTTTAGATGTCTGTTAGGTCCATTTGGTCAAGTGTTGAGTTCAGGTCCCAAATAACTTTCTGTCTCAGTGATCTGTCTTATACTGTCATTGAGGTGTTGAAGTCACCTACTATTACTGTGTGGTAATATAAGTCTCTTCATAGATTTCTAAAAACTTGCCTTATGAATCTGGGTGTTGTTGTGTTAGTTGTGTGTATGTTTAAAACAGTTAGATCTTCTTGTTGAATTGAACCCATTACCACTATATAATCCCCTTTTTATCTCTTTTGATCTTTGTTGGTTTAAAGTCTGTTTTCTCTGAAATTAGGACTGCAACCCCTGCTTTCTTCTGTTTTCCATTTTCTTGATATGTTTTCTCCATCCCTTTATTTTGAGGCTATGGATGTCATTGCATGTGAGATGGGTCTCTTGAAGACAGTATACCATTAGGCCCTGCTTTTTTATCTAGCTTGCCACTCTGTGCCTTTTAATTGGGGCATTTAGCCCATTTACTTTCAAGATTAATATTGATTTTTGTGGATTTGATCATGTGTTTGTGTTGTTGGCTGGTTATTATGCAGACTTATTTGTGTGGTGGCTTTTTAGTGTCACCTGTCTATGTACTTAAGTGTGTTTTTGTAGGGGCTGGTAATGGTCTTTCCTTTACATATTTATTGCTCCTTTCAGGATTTCTTGTAAGGCAGGTCTGGTGGTAACAAATTCCCTCAGCATTTTCTTGTCTGAAAAGAATCTTATTTCTCCTTCACTTACGGAGCTTAGTTTGACTGGAAATGAAATTATTGGTTAAACATTTTTTCTTTAAGAATCCTGAATATAGACCCCCAGTCTCTTCTGGCTTGCAGCATTTCTGCTGAAAGGTCCACTCTTAGCTTGATGGGATTCCCTTTGTAGGTTACCTGTCCCTTGTCTCTAGTTACCCTTAATGATTCTTCTTTCATTTCAGCCTGTGGAATCTGATTATGTATCTTCTGGATGCTCTTCTTGTATAACCTCACAGGGGTTCTCTGCATTTCCTGAATTTGAATGTTGGCCTCTGTAGTGAAGTTTTAATAAATGCTATCCTGAAATATGTTTTCCAAATTGCCTGCCTTCTCCTCATCTCTTTTGAGGATGCCAGTGAATCATCGATTTGGTTTCTTTACATAATTCTGTATTTCTCAGAGGTGTTGTTCATTCTTTTTTCTTTATTTTTGTCTCATTGAGTTATATGAGACAGCCAGTCTTCAAACTCTGAGATTGTTTCCCCAGCTTAGTCTGTTCTGTTGTTAATACTTGTGATTGCATTATGCAATTCTTATAGTATATTTTTCAGCTCTACTAGATTAGTTTGCTTCTTTTTTATAATGGTTATTTTGTCTATGAGCTCCTGTATTATTTTATTGTGATTCTTAACTTCCTTGGATTGAGTCTTGACATTCTCCTGAATCTCAAAGATCTTCATTCTTATCCATATTCTGAATTCTATTTCTGTCATTTCAGCCACTTCAGCTTGGTTAAGAACCCTTGCTGGGTGATATGATTTGGATTTGTGTCCCCACCCAAATCTCATGTCGAATTGGAGGAGGGGCCTGGTGGGAGGTGTTTTAGTGATAGTGAGTGAGTTCTCATGAGAGCTGATGGTTTAAAAGTGTTTGTCACTTCCCCCTCCTCTTTCTCTCTCTCTCCCTCTCCTGCTCTGCCACAGTAAAGATGTACTTGCTTCCCCTTCCCCTTCTGCCATGATTATAAGTTTCCTGAGGCCTTCCAGCCATGCTCCCTGTTAAGCCTGCAGAACTGTGATTCAGTTGAACCTCTTTTCTTCATAAATTACCCAGTCTCAGGTAGTTCTTTATTGCAGTGTGTAAATGGACTAATACACTGGGGAACTAGTGTGGTCATTGGAGGAAAGAAGCCACTCTGGCTTTTTGAGTTGCCAGAGTTCTTGCTGTGGTTCTTTCTGATTTGTGTGACCTGATGTTCCTTCAATCTTTGAAGTTGCTATCCTTCAAAGATAAATTGGATAGTTTTTTTTTTTTTTTTTTGCTTTTTGCTTCTTTGATGCCCTTGGGGATTTGATGATGGTGTAAGGTGGGTTTGGTTGACTGGTTTCAGTTCTAGTCTGCTACAGGCTCTTTGGAGGAGCCCCCTCCAATTACTGTCTCCATGCCCATGTTTTTTTGTTGGGTGTTTTGGTCCATGAGACTCTGTCAAGCAGGGGCCACAGTTGGCAGATAAGCCTTATCCTTCCTAGATTGGCCCTAATCTGATGTTTGTTTGCTTCCTGGGGAAACACAGGTTTGTACCTTCCGGCAGAGCTCAGGCAGAAGTAGGGCCACTGGGTTGGAAGCTCTAGTGGGTGTGGCCCTTCTGGCTGTAGGAAGCAAGGGTGGGGAGAGTTGCCTACCCTGCCATCCTGGTGTTCCCAGGGCAACAGGAAGTTGTGCCTCTTGGCAAATTCAGGCAGAAGTAGGACTGTTGGGCTGGAAGCTCTAGCAGGCATGGCTCACCTGACTCCCTGTGGTAGAGGTGGATGGAGGCACCTGCCCTGCTGTCTGGGTGCTTCATGGTACAATAGGAGGCTGTATCCACTGGCTGAGTTCACACAGAAGTGGGACCACTGGGCCAGAAGCTGTAGCAGGTGTTGCCTACCCACCTGGCTACCTGTGGAGGGAGTGGGCGAGGTAGCATGCTCTGCCATTGAGTTTCTCCTGGGACAACAGGAAGTTGTGGCCTCTAGCTGAGTTCACACAGAAGCAAGATCATTGGGCTGGAAGCTCTGGCATTCCCACCTGACTATCAGTGGTAGGGGTTGGTGGGGCCGCATGCCCTGCCCTCTGGGTGTTTGAGGGAGTTTCTTTGCCCCTTCCTGCCAAGTGAGGGAACCTAGAATGTGCCATCTTTGAAGCAAAAAGCGAGCCCTCACTAGACAGTGGATCTGGCAGTGGATCTTTGTCTTGGATTTCTCAGTCTTCAGAAGTGTGAGAAATAAATTTGTTTTTATAAATTACCTCGTGAGATACTTTCTTATAGCAGCCATAATGGATATGACAAGGGTAATCTCTCAATTATCCATACTTTATGGCTCATTAGCATTCTGGTCTCCTCACTACCATTTCCGAGGCTGAGGTATTCAAATCATAAAGATATTAAGCTTTGCTAATGTTTAACAAAGTAATTGAGATGTTTGCATATGTAGTTTGTGTTACAGGTTGGGTTTCCTGGGAAGTAGACTCTGGGAAGGAGTGGAGCATGTGGGATGTTTGCTAGGGCATAACCTGGGCATTGACATCTGTACGAAGGACAGAAGGAATCAGGGTGGAGCAGAAGGAGAGGTCCATCTGTGACACAGGCTCTGTGACAGCCTGGGTCAACGCCATGCAGAGCATGGGAGCTAGAATGGCCCTTCAGAGCTCTCTAGAGCTGGGCCCAGGTGGCCAGGCCTTTATATACCTGCACGGATGAGTCACTGCATATAGGCTGTCTTGAGAGGGACATGCATTCATCCAGGTGGCCCTCTGCAGTTGCAGCATCCCTGAAGAACTGATCACTGGGGGCTCTCTGCCCACAGCACAGGGCAACATGTCCTTCTCTGGGGACTCTGGGCAGTGCGTGGCAGTGCCCATCACAATGTGTCAATAAATATACATATATTACAGATACATTTTCAAACTTCTTTTACTATTAGGGGTGCATAATCAAAAGAGTTGGGCAACAACTGTTGTAGAATGCTGTGATTCTTTCTGTGGGAGAATAATGCCAACATCTCAATTAATAATGATTCATAGTTCTGATCTGTTGCTGTGAGTTTTTTGGTCTTTAAGGTAATTTCCCCCCCGAAAGGAATGATTTACATTTATTTTGGACTTTTATTATGAATTCGTTTACAATTTATTCAAATAATAAATTAAAAAGTCTTGTTTTCCTTAAGCCCATAGAAGTGCCACTTATAAATCTTATTGTTCTTTTTATAAATCCAGTGAATTTCAGCAATCCTGTTCAAGGACGCTTTTCTTAGTGTTCCAGCTGAACAGAGAAAACTACCTTAAATAATCAGCCCCATTTACAACTTGGTTAATTAAATTCCTTTAAACATTTTTATTGCATTTATAAATATAATATATTTGATTTCCCCTCTGTAGGTAATGTAATAAATTAATCTTATGAATATAGTAAATCTCAAGTTATCTTAAGCATCCAATGCTGTGTACAAACCTAGACAAGACCCTTAAATCTTTCAGCTTAAAATCTCAAATAGAAAATAAGTACATTTTAATGGAATCATAAAGCTAATCTGTTGGTTTTTATAGACAAAATTATCCCTAAACACTATAAATACTGAACATATGCAGATTATTATTTAATGTAACATAAAGGCATTGCTATTCTAACCTTTTGTGGTGAGCTTTCCTGTTTGATTATCAGAAACTCTCAGGTTCTTTTAGGTGGAAGACAGTGGCACAACCAGGTTATAGGCAAAGCACGTGGCTGACCAAACTCTTCCCTCCATCTGGACATGTAATGAACACTTATTATCAAGCCTGTGAGCTCAGTGAAGTCCCTATTCTGTTTTCTTAAAAAAAGTAACTAAAAAATTCACAAAGTTGTATATATTTGTCATGTATAACATGATGTTTTAAAATATGTATAAATTGTGTAATGGCTGAATTGAGCTAATTAACATATGCGTTATCTCCTATACGGGTCATTTTTTGTATGTTCTCTGTCTTGTGCGTAGTCTGACCGATTGCATGGCAGGTTCATCTAAGGTAGATATGATGGTATCTGCAGTCCAGACTGCTCCTGACTTGGTGGGGGACCTGGGACTCTTGGGACATTAAATGTTGAGTGGCATCATTTCCTGGGATGCTTGTGCTGTTCATGAAGTGTGGGGATATTTACTGAAATATCTTACTCTATCATACAACTTGAATACCATTAATTCCACCAACAGAAACCACTGATCTTCACTAGGTCAGTTAGAAAAGCCTTTGATGTTGATGAAGATGTGCCTGGCTGACGCTCTTACTGTAGCCCTCTCTGGTGTGTGGATTTGCTGGTGACCTGCTGACTGGCTAGGGAGTCTCCATCAGGCCACTGGCTGTGCCTAGTTTATAACTTAAACTAACATATTATGGCATCACACTGTGTGTGCTCAAGTATTATAGGGTAGGTGTTAAGATGTGTGTAATCTACCTTAAAATACTTAAAATACTTGCGTGTTAAAATACCTTGAAACCTTGGAAGGTTCCAAGGGTAAAATGATACTCACTGAAAAAGAAGTTTTATCATTCCAAGTATATTAGGCTCTCATCCTAAGCAGAAAGATGTTGCTTTTCCTTTCTTTTTTTTTTAAAAAATTATACTTTAAGTTCTAGTGTACATGTGCACAATGTGCAGGTTTGTTACATATGTATACATGTGCCATGTTGGTGTGCTGCACTCATTAACTTGTCATTTACATTAGGTATATTTCCTAATGCTATCCCTTCCCCCTCACCCCACCCCACAACAGGCCCTGATGTGTGACGTTCCCCATCCTGTGTCCAAGTGTTCTCATTGTTCAATTCCCACCTATTAGTGAGAACATGCTGTGTTTGGTTTTCTGTCCTTGTGATAGTTTGCTCAGACTGATGATTTCCAGCTTCATCCATGTCCCTACAAAGGACATGAACTCATCCTTTTTTCTGGCTGCATAGTATTCCATGGTGTATATGTGCCACATTTTGTTAGTCCAGTCTATCATTGATGGACATTTGGGTTGGTTCCAAGTCTTTGCTATTGTGAATAGTGCCGCAATAAACATACGTGTGCATGTGTCTTTATTGCAGCATGATTTATAATCCTTTGGGTATATACTCAGTAATGGGATGGCATTTCTAGTTCTAATGGTATTTCTAGTTCTAGATCCTTGAGGAATCACCACACGTCTTCCACAATGGTTGAACTAGTTTACAGTCCCACCAACAGTGTAAAAGTGTTCCTATTTCTCCACATCCTCTCCAGTACCTGTTGTTTCCTGACTTTTTAATGATCGCCATTCTAACTGGTGTGAGATGGTATCTCACTGTGGTTTTGATTTGCATTTCTCTGATGGCCAGTGATGATGAGCATTTTTTCATGTGTCTGCTGGCTGCATAAATGTCTTCTTTTGAGAAGTGTCTGTTCATATCCTTTGTCCACTTTTTGATGGGGATGTTTGATTTTATTCTTGTAAATTTGTTTAAGTTCTTTGTAGATTCTGGATATTAGCCCTTTGTCAGATGGGTACATTGTAAAAATTTTCTCCCTTGCTGTAGGTTGCCTGTTCACTCTGATGGTAGTTTCTTTTGCTGTACAGAAGCTCTTTAGTTTAATTAGATCCCATTTGTCAATTTTGGCTTTTGTTGCCATTGCTTTTCATGTTTTAGACATGAAGTCCTTGCCCATGCCTATGTCCTGACTGGTATTGCCTAGGTTTTCTTCTAGGGTTTTTCTGGTTTTAGGTCTAACATTTAAGTCTTTAATCCATCTTGACTTAATTTTCGTGGAAGCTGTAAGGAAGGGATCCAGTTTCAGCTTTCTACATATGGCTAGCCAGTTTTCCCAGCACCATTTATTAAGTAGGAAATCCTTTCCCCATTTCTTGTTTTTGTCAGGTTTGTCAAAGATCAGATGATTGTAGATGTGTGGTATTATTTCTGAGGGCTCTATTCTGTTCCATTGGTCTATATCTCTGTTTTGGTACCAGTACCATGCTGTTCTGGTTACTGTAGCCTTGTAGTATAGTTTGAAGTTAGGTAGTGTGATGCCTCCAGCTTTGTTCTTTTGGCTTAGGTTTGTCTTGGCAATGAAGGTTCTTTTTTGGTTCCATGTGAACTTTAAAGTAGTTTTTTCCAATTCTGTGAAGAAAGTCATTGGCAGCTTAATGGGGATGGCATTGAATCTGTAAGTTACCTTGGGCAGTGTGGCCATTTTCACAATATTGATTCTTTCTACCCATGAGCATGGAATGTTCTTCCATTTGTTTGTGTCTTTTATTTCATTGAGTAGTGGTTTGTAGTTCTCCTTGAAGAGGTCCTTCACATACTTCGTAAGTTGGATTTCTGGGTATTTTATTCTCTTTGAAGCAATTGTGAAAGGGGGTTCACTCATGATTTGGCTCTCTGTTTGTCTGCTGTTGGTGTATAGGAATGCTTGTAATTTTTGCACATTGATTTTGTATCCTGAGAGTTTGCTGAAGTTGTTTATCAGCTTAAGGAGATTTTGGGCTGAGACGATGGAGTTTTCTAAAGATACAATCATGTCATCTGCAAACAGGGACAATTTGACTTCCTTTTTTCTTGATTGAATACCCTTTATTTCTTTCTCCTGCCTGATTGCCCTGGCCAGAACTTCCAACACTATGTTGAATAGGAGTGGTGAGAGAGGGCATCCCTGTCTTGTGCCAGTTTTCAAAGGGAATGCTTCCAGTTTTTGCCCATTCAGTATGATATTGGCTGTGGGTTTGTCATAAATAGCTCTTATTATTTTGAGATGCATCCCATTAATACCTAGTTTATTGCGAGTTTTTAGCGTGAAGAGCTGTTGAATTTTGTCAAAGGCCTTTTCTGCATCTATTGAGATAATCATGTGGTTTTTGTCTTTGGTTCTGTTTATATGTTGGATTACGTTTTTGGATTTGCATATGTTAAACCAGCCTTGCATCCCAGGGATGAAGCAAACTTGATCGTGGTAGATAAGCTTTTTGAAGTGCTGCTAGATTCGTTTTGCCGGTATTTTATTGAGGATTTTTGCATTGATGTTCATCAGGGATATTGGTTTAAAATTCTCTTTCTTTGTTGTGTCTCTGCCAGCCTTTGGTATCAGGATGATGCTGGCCTCATAAAATGAATTAGGAAGGAGTCCCTCTTTTTCTATTGATTGGAATAGTTTCAGAAGGAATGGTACCAGCTCCTCTTTGTACCTCTGGTAGAATTTGGCTGTGAATCCGTCTGGTTCTGGACTTTTTTTGGTTGGTAGGCTATTAATTATTGCCTCAATTTCAGAGCCTGTTATTGGTCTATTCAGAGATTCAACTTCTTCCTGGTTTAGTCTTGGGAGGGTCTATGTGTCCAGGAATTTATCCATTTCTTCTAGATTTTCTAGTTTATTTGCATAGAGGTATTTATAGTATTCTCTGATGGTAGTGTGTATTTCTGTGGGATCGGTGTTAATATCCCCTTTATCTTTTGTTATTGCATCTATTTGATTCTTCTCTCTTTTCTTCTTTATTATTCTCACTAGTGGTCTATTAATTTTGTTGATCTTTTCATAAAACCAGCTCCTGGATTCATTGATTTTTTGAAGGTTTTTTTTGTGTCTCTATCTCCTTCAGTTCTGCTCTGATCTTAGTTATTTCTTGCCTTCTGCTAGCTTTTGAATGTATTTGCTCTTGCTTCTCTAGTTCTTTTAATTGTGATGTTAGGGTGTCAAATTTTAGATCTTTTTTGCTTTCTCTTGTGGGCATTTAGTGCTGTAAATTTCCCTCTGCATACTGCTTTAAATGTGTCCCAGAGATTCTGGTACGTTGTGTCTTTGTTCTCATTGGTTTCAAAGAACATCTTTATTTCTGCCTTCATTTTGTTGTATACCCAGTAGTCATTCAGGAGCAGGTTGTTCAGTTTCCATGTAGTCGTGTGGTTTTGAGTGAGTTTCTTAAACCTGAGTTCTAGTTTGATTGCACTGTGGTCTTAGAGACAATTTGTTATAATTTCTGTTCTTTTAGATTTGCTGAGGAGTGCTTTACTTCCAACTATGTGGTCAATTTTGGAATAAGCATGATGCGGTGCTGAGAAGAATGTATATTCTATTGATTTAGGGTGGAGAGTTCTGTAGATGTCTATTAGGTCTGCTTGGTGCAGAACTGAGTTCAAGTCCTGGATATCCTTGTTAACTTTCTGTCTCATTGATTTATCTAATGTTGACAGTGGGGTGTTTGGGAGTCTAAGTCTCTTTTTAGGTCTCTAATGAGTTGCTTTATGAATCTGGGTGCTCCTGTATTTGGTGCATATATATTTAAGATAGTTAGCTCTTGTTGTTGAATTGATCTCTTTACCATAATGTAATTGCCTTCTTTGTCTCTTCTGATCTTTGTTGGTTTAAAGTCTGTTTTATCAGAGAGTGGGATTGCAACTCCTGCTTTTTTTTTGTTTTCCATTTGCTTGGTAGGTCTTCCTCCATCCCTTTATTTTGAGCCTATGTGTGTCTCTGCACATGAGGTGGGTCTCCTGAATACAGCACACTGATGGGTCTTGACTCTTTATCCAATTTGCCAGTCTGTGTCTTTTAACTGGGGGCATTTAGCCCATTTACATTAAAGGTTAATATTGTTATGTGTGAATTTGATCCTGTCATTATGATGTTAGCTGGTTATTTTGCTCGTTCGTTGATGCAGTTTCTTCCTAGCATCGATGGTCTTTACGATGGCATGTTTTTGCAGTGGCTTGTACCAGTTGTTCCTTTCCATGTTTAGTGCTTCCTTCAGGAGCTCTTGTAAGGCAGGCCTGGTGCTGACAAAATCTGTCAGCATTTGCTTGTCTTTAAAGGATTTTATTTCTCCTTCACTATGAAGCTTAGTTTGGCTGGATATGAAATTCTGGGTTGAAAATTCTTTTCTTTAAGAATGTTGAATATTGGCCCCCATTCTCTTCTGGCTTGTAGAGTTTCTTCAGAGAGATCTGCTGTTAGTTTGATGGGCTTCCCTTTGTGGGTAACCCAGCCTTTCTCTCTGGCTTCCCTTAACATTTTTTCCTCCATTTCAACCTTGGTAAATCTGACAATTATGTGTCTTGGAGTTTCTCTTCTCAAGGAGTATCTTTGTGGCATTCTCTGTATTTCCTGAATTTGAATGTTGGCCTGCTTTGCTAGGTTGGGGAAGTTCTCCTGGATAATATCCTGCAGAATGTTTTCCACATTGGTTCCATTCTCCGCGTCATTTTCAGGTACATCAATCAGATGTAGATTTGGTCTTTTCATATAGTCCCATATTTCTTGGAGCCTTTGTTCATTTCTTTTTACTCCTTTTTCTCTAAACTTCTCTTCTCGCTTCTTTTCATTCATTTGATCTTCAATTACTGATACCCTTTCTTCCACTTGATCTAATCGGCGGCTGAAGCTTGTGCATGCATCACGTAGTTCTTGTGCCGTGGTTTTCAGCTCCATGAGGTCATTTAAGGTCTTCTCTATGCTGTTTATTCTAGTTAGCCATTCATCTAATCTTTTTTCAAGGTTTTTATCTTCTTTGTGATTGGTTCGAACATCCTCATGTAGCTCAGAGAAGTTTCTGTTTACTAATCGTCTGAATCCTTCTTCTCTCAACTCGTGAAAGTCATTCTCCATCTAGCTTTGTTCCATTGCTGGCAAGGAGTTGCGTTCCTTTCTAGGAGAAGAGGCGCTCTGATTTTTAGAATTTTCAGTTTTTCTGCTCTGGTTTCTCCCCAGCTTTGTGGTTTTATCTACCTTTGGTCTTTGATGATGGTGACGTATAGATGGGGTTTTGGTGTGGATGTCCTTTCTGTTTGTTAGTTTTCCTTCTGACAGTCAGGCACCTCAGCTGCAGGTCTGTTGGAGTTTGCTGGAGGTCCACTCCATACCCTGTTTGCCTGGGTATCACCAGCTAAGGCTGCAAAATAACAAATATTGCAGAATGGCAAATGTTGGTGCCTGATCCTTCCTCTGGAAGCTTCATCTCGAGGGGCACCCGGCCGTATGAGGTGTCAGTTGGCCCCTACTGGGAGGTGCCTCCCAGTTAGGCTGCTTTTCGGTCAGTTACCCACTTGAGGAGGCAGTCTGTCCATTCTCAGATCTCAAACTCCATGCTGGGAGAACCACTACTCTCTTCAAAGCTGTCGGACAGGGACATTTAAGTCTGCAGAGGTTTCTGCTGCCTTTTGTTTGGCTATGCCCTGCCCCCAGAGGTGGAGTCTACAGAGGCAGGCAGGCCTCCTTGAGCTGCGGTGGGCTCCACCCGGTTCGAGCTTCCTGGGCATTTTGTTTACTTACTGAAGCCTCAGCAATGGTGGACGCCCCTCCCCCAGCCTTGCTGCCACCTTGCAGTTTGATCTCAGACTGCTGTGCTAGCCCTGAGCGAGGCTTCATGGGCATGGGACCCTCAGAGCCAGGTGTGGGATATAATCTCCTGGTGTGCCATTTGCTAATACCATTGGAAAAGCGCAGTATTAGGGTGGGAGTGTCCTGATTTTCCAGGTACCATCTGTCACGGCTTCCCTTGGCTAGGAAAGGGAATTCCCTGACCCCTTGTGCTTCCCAGGTGAGGCGATGCCCCTGCTTCGGCTCACATTCCGTGGACTGCACCCACTGTCTGACAAGCTCCAGTGAGATGAACCTGGTACCTCTGTTGGAAATGCAGAAATCACCCATCTTCTGCATCGCTCACACTGGGAGCTATAGACTGGAGCTGTTCCTATTCAGCCATCTTGGAACCTCGTTGCTTTTCTTGAAGAGAATTTGTTGTGTGATTCATGCCTTGGATGCTCGGGTCTTCCTGTGGATGAAATAGACATGCTGGTCTTTTTAATGGTTGCCTATAAAGAAACTATTGGGTCTCCTAGACCACATCCTTCAATGAGATGATCTAGCAGCCCATGTCCATAGGGTTCAGTGTTTTAGTTAAGTGTAAGAGGTGTGGAGTCTTCAACCTCACTGAGATCCCACTAACTCCCTTTCTTACCTGGTTAGAGTTTTCATTTCTTTAGTTCTTTTAAGGCATTTTAATGGTTTCCATTTTCCTTAGCAGAATTAGCACATAATTCTTTCCTTTCATTCGAGTCTGTAGCAAGTCCTATCCCCACTATCTGAGAGCAAATATTTTAAAATTCTCTTGTTTTGGCTCTTTTATTCTTTAATGTTGATTATGAAATATTGATTTATGTATTATTGAAGGATATATGTAGTGTACACATGTGTTATGAAACATAATAGTGAAATAAACACCAGGAGCACTGAGATATCTTATAAAATCAAAGGAAGATGGACCATGGGCATGGGACCCTCAGAGCCAGGTGTGGGATATAATCTCCTGGTGTGCCATTTGCTAATACCATTGGAAAAGCGCAGTATTAGGGTGGGAGTGTCCTGATTTTCCAGGTACCATCTGTCACGGCTTCCCTTGGCTAGGAAAGGGAATTCCCTGACCCCTTGTGCTTCCCAGGTGAGGCGATGCCCGTGCTTCGGCTCACATTCCGTGGACTGCACCCATGGGAGAGCCAGACATAGTGCAGTTCTGGAGATCTTGGTGTTATTACAATGGTTCAGCTACCCTTTCTCATCCCTCTGTGTCTCAACCAAGGTTGAATTCTCAGGAGGGAAAGTCTATTTGACTTACCTCAGTCTCATACCCACCTCTGTGGTTAGGGTATGGCAAATCCTGTGGTTGGGAGCCCCACTGAAACCACCTGTGCAAAGATTATGACAGCAAGATATATCTAGCATGACTGACCCTCCTCTTGCTTCTAGTCTCACAGCTGGCTGGCCTTGCTTATACCTGGGTATGGGCCAAGCTACCCATGGGAGAAATGTAGTTTATAATTTAAGTTTTAAGCAAGGATGATAATGGTCCCTTCCTAAAACTGATCCTCTCTTTGGTTGAGGACTGAAACTACCTTTGTAAGACAAATGAAAGGCCACACGATTAGGATTATGGGAGGGAACTAGATTCTGCTAAGATGTAGGTGTAGATAAACATTAACCAGCTGTTGTCCTCTTGCTTGTCTTTCTGTAATCCCTTGCTGCTCAGGAATCACGTGGCCTGAGGTCACAAAATTTGTGATATTTCCAATGGTTCCTGTAGATAACATTACTATTGTGAAACTTAAGATTGGTCTTTTGAGATATTTTTTAGACTTTTGCATTCTGGCAACTAACTGACCCCACCCAGACCTGTGGCTCATCACTCAACCATTCCTGTGGCCCCCACCCAGAGACAGATTCAGCACACAAGGACCATTTATCACACCCGTAAGATTTCATCCCCAACCAGTCAGCAACACCCATTCCCTAGCCCCCTGCCCAACAAATTATCCATAAAACCATAGCCTGTGAGTTCTCAGGGAGGCTGATTTGAGTAATAAAAAACTTCTGTCCTTCTGCTTGGTCAGGCTTGTGTTAAACTCTTTCTTTGCTGCAATGATGCTGTCTCAGTGAACGGGTTTATTTGTGCAGAGGACAAGAAGAACCCATTGTGCAATTACACCAGTGGAATAGGCACAGTTCCCTCAAAGAAGGAGGTGAGGAGGTGAAATAGTCAAAACAGACTGACATCCCTCACACTTCCCAAGCCAGGAAGTGCTGGGTGGCTTTGCTGAGGCTCCCTGCTACTTGTTCCCATGTGGGTTTCCCCTTGCATTTGGCGGTTGTGGGCCAGAGACTCCTATTCTGGCTGGTCTTGCTTTCCATGTGGGAAATCCTTGAATATCATTTAAATGTCGTTTTCAACCTTTCCAATTTTCCAGCATCCATATGGATTTTCTTTGGTCACCTGGAGCTAATTTTGAAAGGGAATTAAATTCAGTGCTTGAATTATGTTTTGAACTGTTTGAGATATTTCTGGGGCGGGTTGACAGGATTTGTGGATGGAACTTGGAGGAGGGAGGTAAGAAAGCAGGTGAAAGAAGGCCAATATGGCAATTTTCACGAAGGAAGGGAAACACTTGCAGGGACAAATCTAGGGGAAGACAGAGGCAATAGGTCAATTTTAAACCTCAGGAGCCTGGAGGGGCCCAGTAGACTGGCATAAATGTGGGTTGGATTGCATGACCTCTCTTATACTTTGACCATGATTTTCTGCTCATTCCCATATCCCTGAAGGTTTGTTATTCATCATCCATCTCTTCTTTGTCCACTATCTTTTGTGTACATCTTGACAAAAATAATAGCAAATATTGTAATAACTACTGTTTTGGGGAACTTATGCACTGAACACACTTAGCACTTGATACATGTGTTTTATTTAACTTTCAGACCACCCCTGAAAGGTAGGCCTTTGTATCCCTATTTTACAAGATGATGAGAAAACTGTTTGATCTCTGCAAGCCAAAGACACCTTGGGGGGATTGCCTCTGCTCAGTTTGGTGCTGAGGTGGTTTTATTTTTTGTTTGTTTGTTTTTTAATCAGCTTCCACATGCTCTGTGGTGGTAGTGGGTTGGGAGGCAGGACAGTAAAGGGGCTGGGGGAAAAGTGACAGCCTGATGTGGATCCTGGCTTCATCACTGCTTGATGTAGACTAGGAAGTCTCTTAACCACTCTCTTCCTCTATCTCCTCATCTTTAAAATATGAATAATTATAGAACTTACCTAATGGGGGCCACTGTGATAATGAAAGGAGTTAACATGTCAAGCACTTAGAACAGTACCTGGTAAACAATGAGCATGAAAAAACACTAGTCGTGTGAGGCTTGGGGGTTAGGGAGGAGGGATGATGGAGTGAGATTGGTCAATGGTGCAAGGTTGCAGTTAGATAGGAGGAATGTGTTCTGGTGTTCTATGGCATAGTAGGGTGAGGATAGTAAACAATGCTATGGTATATATTTCAAAGAAGACAGAAGAGAGGATTCTGAATGGTCTTGCCACAAAGAAGTGATGGATGTCTGAGGTGATGGATATGCTAAATACCTTGTATATATGCTAAATACACATTGTATATATGCATTGAAACATCATACACTGTATCCCATAATACATAATACAACTATTATGTGTCAATTAAAAAAATAAAAAATACACCGAAATGCTAGTCATTGTATTTGTCCATGTGTAATATATAGAAAAGAACTTTCTAATTAACTAGTCAGGGCAATTCACTATCTGTGGGAATCTGAGGCAGGCCATTGTGTTGCTCTCTGGAATTCTATTGACTTGACTGTAACTAGGAGGCAGATGAAATGTTCTCCAAGGGCCCTCATTCATTCCTGCTAACGACTGGGAGGCCGTTGGAGAACCATGCCATTTCCCCTGTAAGGTGTGGAAAAAAAGTCACAAGGGGTGACTATCAAGATGAGCTCACCTGACTCATGGACATAAAGATGGGAACAATAGCCACTGGGAACGACTAGAGGTGGGAGGGGAGGAGGAGGTCAAGGTTTAAAAATTTATTGGGTGCTATGCTCAGCATCAGTGGCACCACAAGTCTCAGCATCAAGCCATATACTCCTGTAACAAACCTGTACATACATCCCCTGAATTAAAAATAAAAATTATAAAAAAAATTTAAAGAAAAGAAAACACACACACACACAATTACACTGTTTTGAGGTCAACTTATAAAACTGGAAGCTTTTTAACCACTATAATCTTTCTATAATAAACAAGATTTGCAAAAGTTAAAAAAAAAAAAAAAAGATAAGGTCACCTGGACAGACCTTCTGCTCAGAATATCTCATCTGTAGAGGCCAAACAGGAATAGCCCCCTACGACACAGGGCACACAGGAGGTATCCAGGGCTCCTTAAAGTAGTATATTGAAAACAATGCAGGGTACTGGAGGATGTGGCCGTGATGAGTCAGGGAAGAAAGCAAATCTTCTTTGTGCCCTGGACCTCTGGCTATCAGATAAGGGCCACGGACTCTTTCTCCAAATAATGTTTTTAAATGCATAAAATAAAATACATAGAATTGCTAAGGAAACCAATTATAATATAATGGTTAAATATAATAATCAAATATATATATATACCTCAAATTGGGGATTTAGTGGTTGTGATATATGGGCTTTATTACCACATTAAACAGCAAGCTCTCATGGCAGCTCTAACAGCGACTGAAATTTTGAAATAGTGATGAGAGTAAATATTTTGAGATACCTGCACAAGCTTAATGTGATATGAAAATATCTGTGATTTCTCTTGGCCATAAAGTCTCTGAGACTAGGTTTGCTGCCTGCATTCATATTTGAAGGAAATACTAAATTTAAGTTAGAAGTTAATGAAAATAAAGATGTCATTTTTTCCCCCATCCAAGTTTATGGGTGTTCATGAATCCATGCCACCCAAATAATGTCTAGGATTCTATGATCCAAAGCCAGATGCATGAAAATATGTAGGTGGTGAGGTGTGCCAGAGGCAGGAAAAGAAGAATGACCAAACCGCCCACAGTCTTCTTGATCTGTCAGTACGAAGTTTTTTTTTTTTTTAGAGCGCTTAGGAATTAGAAAATGCCTCTTAAAAGTGCATAACGTTTATTGTGGAAGCACCTTTCATGATATAAGGGACTAGGGAAGCAGCAGGACATTGCATTCTTATGCCTACAAGATCGGTGAGAATTGGCATGGTTCAATTTTGGCCTGGATTTCTTTGGGAGATTTTTGCAGACGAGGGTGTGAATTTCCTGGGATACTGCAGTTCAGTTAAAGATGTAAAAGTGCTGACTTATCTCCCACAATGCAATGGACCAGCAGGATGATTTAATGTGGCTTTCAATGGTGCACTTAAGATTTATGTAGATAATCATCCCAATGGTGGGAATGATCAGTTATCACATTTATTGTTTGCATATAGAAAGGCCCTTCATGAAGTCTATGGGTTCTCACAACTCAACTGTATGCTTAAGAAGAAGGCAAGCAGTTTTTAGATTTAATTAGAGAGTATTAGAAAGGTAAATTTATAGGGCATAAAACATCAATAGTAGACTATGTATGAAGACTGAAGAAAAAGAAGAGGACATTTATTTTCTAACATAGGCAGATAAGATGTAGGCACAGTTATCTGTGAAGTTTTAATAGGAGCAGTGAGCAAGTTCTAGGATGTTTGCATGGGACAATCGTTTCTGTAATAATTTTACGTCTATCACAACATAGGATCAGCAGAAGCCAGTAAGTAGGACCCAGACTCTTGAGAGGCTGGGGATCAATGTGAAGACCTGTGAGCATCTATATGCATATATTCTGCATTTTTTTCAATTTTGTGGGAGTTTTCACTAAATTTCTTGGTATTCAAAAAGGATCTTTGAAAAAATTAGGAACGATTGCTCTAGAGGATATGCAATTACTTTGGTGGAAACGTGATTCCAAATTTATTCTCAGCAAATCTGATGAAACATCAGTCCACTCAGCTCCTTACCTAACACATTCAGAGGGATGGCGTTTCTGGAACAGTGTACTTACTTTCATACACAAAACTTTACTTTCTCAATTTTTTTATTTGTTTACTAATAAATCGTCCTTGTGAAAACACTAGAATCTCAGTTTGTAAGTTCTATTTCAGTATTATTTAAAAATGTACATTTGTAGATAAGCTTGAGTTTGTAGCTCGAAACTGGCTATGAAAACCTCAGGCTGTAACAGTTTCTTGGGGAACCACTGCATTTAAATTCGAGTTCAAATTAAATAAAACAAGGGAAGAAATTCAATAACAACTTTTTGCCCATCTTCAGAAGATAGAAAATGATGGGGAAATTTGTTGGAGAGAAATAGTCAACCTAAATCTTATTTTTTTTTTTGTGGGGTGATGCATTTACATGGAGATACATATTTTTTCTTCTTTGAACTGGTGGAATGTAGAGGTCTGATGGAACTCTAGTGCTATGCTAAAGGGGCGAATAAATAATATTCTTTTAATGAGTGGTCTTGTTTACCATGGGAAGGGCTGGCTTGTGATTACAGTGGAGAAAGCATAGAGTGGCCAGAAGATGGAGAGCAGATTGCCAGAAACACTTAGAAGACATAGAGTAGTTCCCACGTTCCCAACTTCTTCTAAAACTTGGAAGCTGATCCGAGCCAAAGTGTCGGTAGTGCTGGGGTAGGGAAACCCTGCTGTAGATCAGATTCTACAGTCTGGGTACAGAGGAGCTGAGTGGGCTGTTGTTTCTTCAAATTTGCTGAGAATAAATTTGAAATCACATTTCCACTGAAGTAATTGCATATACTCTAAAGCAATGATTCCTAATATCTTCAAGGATCCTTTCTGAATACCAAGAAATTTAGTGAAAACTCCCACAAAATTGAAAAAAAAAATACAGAACATATGCAGATACAAGGTCACAGGTCTTTGCATTAATCCCCAGCCTCTCAGGAATCTAGGTCCTACTTACTGGCTTCTGCTGATCCTATGTTGTGATAGACATAAAATTATTACAGAAACGATTGGTAGGTGCAAGCAGGAATTCAGAATATTCAAAAGTCATGTTCTCTTCAAGCTTGGTGATCAATTTGATCTCGAGTATTAGATCAATTCAGGATAAAGGACAGTTAATTGTTAATCTTCAGAATATTAATTTGTACCCAGAAAGTTGTTTACACAGTATAAACAGAGCTCTCAAACCTGAGACCATAATATTGAAATATGCTTGCAGCTAAATGTGTCCCTGCCCTACACACTTCTGCTATTCTGCTGATAATTCTTATAGGAATTCTGCAGGAGAGGATTATGCCTTCTTAATGGCCATTTAGATTCAGCCCTAGGCTTGCAAGAGGCAGCCATAAATGTAAGCTTTAGGACAAGCTGTTGAACTCTGGGAGGATCTTGCTTCCTGGAGGGAGGAGTTGACTGTGTAGGAGTGCCCAGCAGGGAAGCTCAGGTAGGGTGAGAAAAGGGCTTTCAGAATCAGGTTCATTGAGGAATCATTCAGCAGGCTAGCTGCTCTGTTGGCCTCTGCAACTCCAAAATAGAACAAGCAAGGTTAGCCTGCTGCTGCATGGCAGATGCTTGGCTGAGTCTGGCTGGGAAAGCTGGCCGCAGTAGGGGTGGACTTGATAGAGAAGCTGCTGCCCCTCAACCTCCCTAGCAGAGGACCAGACTTCTCTATGTAGCTGATTTATGTGACCATTTTATTTTTCATATTCACTTAGCTATTTTAATACAGGAACCAAAGCGGGAAACTGCAGTTGTCCCCGTTTCTGGTGAATCTCATCTGCAGCAGAGTTTCTCTACCCCAGCACTACTGACATTTTGGCTCAGATCATTTTCTGTTGTAGGCAGCTGTCCTATGTGTTGTAGGAGGTTTAGCAGTATCACTGGCTCACTCACCAGATGCCAGTAGCAACCTCCAACCTGTGACAACTAGAAATGTCTCTGTATACTGTCAGACATCTCCTAGGGGGTGAAGTCATTCCTGGTTGAAAACTCCTGCTATAGAGTCTGCCATCTCTTTAGCACACATGAATGTGACCAACTATTACCACCAAGTGCCAGCAGCTTTTCCTAATTGCAGACTAAATCCCAAAGATCATTCGTATGCCGGGGCATAAACCTAGACTCATAGTTGAGTAGTCTTCATTCAGTAAAATACAAATATGGGAGTACTTTGCTGTTTTCTAAAACTGCCATCAACTTGCTTCTTTGAATCTTTTTCTCCAGACATGGGGTGAGGGGAATCAAGATGTTGCCTGCTCATAAAATGTCAGTCACTTATGGTAAGTTAACCAAGTCTAGTGATTTTCATATTAATCTGGTTGGTAAAAGTCTCAGGCTCCTTTGGATAAGTATTTAATCCCATTCAAGTCCTATTATTCACATAGAAGAGAGGGATACAGATATTTCTCTCTCTGTGTGTCTCTGTCTCACTGTCTCTCTCCATTTCTATCTCCATCTCCATATCTTCTTATTGCCCCACATAACAGCCAGGCCATGATGGCATGAAGGGGAGAAGAAGCTGGGTTGGGGATGCATGGAGCAAAAGAATCCTTGGTAGCTAAACATGTGGTATTTAATAGTTAATGCCAGCATATTTTCTCTTTTTATATTTTTATTCTTTGGTTTGTTGATTTAAAAAAATTGTGGTAAAAATACACATAACATAAAATTTAACATCTTAATCATTTTTAAGTGTCCAGTTCTGTAGTACCTCACAGAAGTGGAATCTCACAGTACTTGCCTTTTTGTGACTAGCTTATTTCACTTGGCCATAATGTCTTCCAAGTTCATCCATATTGTAGTACATGTCCAAATTTTCTCCTTCTTCTCCTTCTTCTTCTCCTCCTCCTCCTCATCCTCCTCCTCTTTCTCCTCATCCTCCTTCTGACGGAGTTTCACTCTTGCTGGAGTGCAATGGCACAATCTCAGCTCACTGCAACCTCTACCTCCTGGGTTCCAGTGATTATCCTGCCTCAGCCTCCCAAGTAGCTGGGATTACAGGTGCCCGCCACCAGGCCCAGCTAATTTTTGTATTTTTAGTAGAGTTTCGCCATGTTGACCAGGCTGGTCTTGAACTCCTGACCTCAGGTGATCCACCCACCTTGGCCTCCCAAAGTGCTGGGATTATAGGCATGAGCCACTGTGCCTGGCCTTGTCTTTTTTAAGTCTGAATAATATTCCATTGTGTGTTTGTGACACATTTTGTTTATTTATTCATCTGTCAATGGACGCTTGGGTTGCTTCTCCCTTTTGACTATTGTGAATAGTGCTGCTACAGACATGGATGTGCAAATCTCTCTTCAAGACTCTGCTTTCAATTGTTTTGGTTAAATACTTAGAAGTGGAATTGTGGGATCATATGGTAGTTCTATTTTTAGCATTTTGAAAAACCATCATACTATTTTCCATAGTGGCCAAATCATTTTAGATTCCTACCAACAGCACACAAGGGCTCCGATTTCTCCACGTCCTCACCAACATTTGTTATTTTCTGTATTTTTGATTACAACTATCCTGATGGGCGGTGAGGTGTTATTTCATTGTGGTTTTGATTTGCTCTTTCTAATGATTATTGATGTTGAGAATCTTTTCATGTGCTTTTGGCCATTTGTATATTTTCTTTGGATAAATGTCTGCTCAAGTCTGGGCTGTTTGTATTGTTGATAAAATTTCCTCTTTTGGTTGAAACTTCAAAGTGACCATGGCTTTTGGACAATGTGTGACTCATCAGGAAGAGATTTATTGTTTCTAATGATGTGAAAATGTCAAGAGATTAGGAAAAATGTCATTATAACACCTTATGAAGCTGACATAATACCTTTATAACCAGGCAGATTAAAGTCTTGATTCTTCTTATAGAGCCTCTTCCATCCTTCACAGCCAGTCTTCCCTTTCTCCCATTCTCCAGACAACTCTGTGTCCTCAAAAGCAGCCTATGGCAAGCTCCGGTTTCTGGTTCTGCATGTGCAGACCTGATTTTTTTGAGATTTATGGTCTTGAGAATGGAGGAGCTATGGGGCCATTAGGCCATTTGCTTATTGCCTGTCTGTTCTTCAAGGTACTGGAGCAGAAGGACTCACTAGGTGCACTCTTCATGGAGGCATTTTCAGTGAGGAACAAACATAGGTTAATTAAAAGCAGATTTTACCAGACAAAGGTAATTGTTTATTTGATTGTAATCACTGATTTTGTGGTGAGAGTGAAATGAAGGAAGAGATCTTAATTTAGGCAGCAGCTTGACATTATGCTACTTGATTATGTTCCTCAAAAACAATGAATTTGGAAGTACAAACGTGGAAGTACAAAAAAGTTCCCAAAAGATGCTTTCATTCTTGAAATAAGAAACACTGCCTGTCTCTTGGTGAGTGACAATATGGAGGGCTGGTGCAAATGCTCTGGGGGAACTTTGTGCTTCTACTCACAGGTTCTCCTAATATAATCACCTATGTGCTTTCCCTGTTTGCAGCAGGCTCTTTGGGAAACAAAGTTCATCTTCCTGACCTTGCATTTCCTAGTACTCACAAATACTTGACCCTCAATATTTATTGAAAGGAGTGAGTGAAGGAAGGACAGCTAGATTGGTTCAGTTAAAATCAAGGCTGTAAGCAGGTGCCAGACCTACAAAATTGAGACACAGGCCGAATTCCATTTCTATCCCCTTTGTGATGCTGCCCTTCCCTCAGAAGAAGGAGTCAGCTGTCCTCAGTGATCCCATGGAGGGCGCACTGCATGCTCGCTCTTCTGTCTTCCTCACCTCTCTTTCCTACCCTTGCTGACTCGTGAATTCATAGAGATAGCGAACAGAATAACATGAAATAATGTCTAGCCCACCAAACACAGTTTCTCATTTTTAGGTAATGTCTGCTCTGGGAAAGCCGGGCATTCCCAATGCCCAGCTTTCCCTGTGATTCAGGGGCCACCTCTCACCCTTCAAAGACATCTGGATTCCTTAAAGTCTGGAGATAAAGAGCAAAGTCATGGGAGGGATGAAGTGTTTCTTCTTCTGCCAACTGGATGCCCTCTTTTAGGGGTTCAAATTTTTTTCCCCTAAAGGGATCCAAACATTCTCAAATAACCAATACTGGAAAATATTTTTCTTGAAGGGGAAATTTGCCTACCATCCATAGGATAACAGAAAGACATCACTGTTCACACAAGAGAAACACACATATGACCTGCATTTTCAACAGAGGCAATATTTACCCCTAAAAGGGAAAATTGATTTTTGGGGGAAAGGGGTGGAAAAAATATTAGATATTATAATGGCTTGTGGCTCTCTGAAAGGCTGTAGTATGTAAACAGATATATAGCATATCTGTGCCATTCAGATTTTGTGGGAAGGGGGTGAAAAGACTGAAAAGGCTCCATGCTGGGGAGGGGCGATGATGAAAACAAGGTTGAGAAACATTAATATACGTTAAGGGAGGTCATTGTATTCACCAGCTTGCAAGGCCCAGTTACCATTAGGCTTCTCTAGGAAGCCTCCTTTCTTCTTAATATGTGATGGTATCTTCTGACCCTGTCTGAAACCCTTGAATGGAGGTCAGGGGAGCCCTCCAGGTGATGCACCAGGCCTGTGGGTGGTTTTGGGCTCCAGAGCAGCTCACCTGCTGCAGGATACCTCTTGAGCTTCCCTGTGGGAGTGTTCCCCAGGAACTTGAGAATAAGTGGAGAGGCAGGAGGTGGTGGGGCCTAAGCAGGATCCAAGGGCAGGAGCAGGATCATACTGAGAGAGGGAGCCTGGGACCAGGGAGCAGTGAGTTGGACGTGAATGTGTAAAGGCAAGGAGGGCCTTCCTACAAAAATCTGTGGGTGCTTCCATTTTTTTTTATGTTGACGTGTTGGTTGATTTCAGTGTAGAGAGGAACAATCATTCATCTAGTTACTTATTTAACCAACATTTATTAAGTGCCTACTATATTCCAGGCTTTATTCCAGGTACTCAATCCATAGTGACAAGCCAGTAGGATTCGGTCTCTGCTCTCTGGAATGCACATCCTAAATGGGAAGACAGGCAGTCAACGTGTAAATTATTAAATAATAACATAGCAGATTGTAATAAAGTTCTGAGGTAAGATTGGATGGAGCAACAGAGAGTGACCCACTGTTCCTTCCGATTAGCTGATCTGGATGGGTGGGGAGTAGAGAACATCTGAGCTGGTAGCAGAAGGATGAGAATGGCTCTTAGAGAAGTACATTCTTGGCTGGGAAGCACTCCTGCAAAGGCCCTGTGGTGGTTGGGGAAATGACTGCTGCCTAAATTATGGAGAACAGACCATAGAGGGAGAGGAGTGAAGGAAGAAGGTCATTGCAGTAGTGGAGGCCAGAGATGGCGGTGGTGGTGGCCATGGCAGGACATGGGTGAATTCAGGTTAAGCTGGGGAGGTAGAGCCAGTAAGACTTAAGGATTAATTGGATGTGTCATGTCAGGTTAACCAAGACATTAAAGATGATTGCCAGGCTTTTCACTTGAGAAGCTGAGTCAGGGGAAGAATCATTGCTGAGATGGAGAAGACTAGTGGAGAAGTAAATCTAGGGAAAACATTTGAGAATCCTGTTGATACCCAAGTGGAGATGTCAATCAAGAAGTTGAACACATAGATAAGGAGTTCAATGGAGAGGTCAAAAACGGGTATACCAATATAGGAAAGCTCATCTTGATGATGATGCTTGGAGCCAAGGACATGAGAGAGGAAAATCATCCCATGCTACTTGCTTTAAGAACCACTCATTGCATACTTTGTGTGTTCCACCTTTGCCATTACCTAGCTTTCCTGTAGGGAATGACTTATGTATGTACCACAGTAGAGTTTAAATGACTTGAAGGTAGGTTCAGATTTCTTACTTCTCTGTATCTTTCATAGCACATGTATGAGCTCAATAACATGTGGGAGCTCTTTTACATTTTACTTTCATTTGGAGAGAAACCTGACTACTTCTCTGTGCTGGTTTTGTGTGAAGCCTGGGTGAGTTTTTCACTCTAACTTTGCATTAGGATCAAGTCATCCTGGCTTCCTTCCCACTTCAATGCAAACCTCCATCTCTTCCCTCAAGAGCTATCAGGGAAAAACAGGGACTTAGTGTGCTCTGTAACTTTTCTTTTTCTTTATAAATAAATTTTATTGTATATATTTAAGGTATACAATATGATATTATGAAATACATAGAAATGGTAAAATGTTACTATAGTGGAACAAATTAACAAATCCCTCATCCCAAATAGTTACCCATACCCCACCGTAAGAGCAGCTGTAATATACACATTAGCAAACATGCTGAATATGATATACTATTATTAACTATAGCCCTCATGTTGTAGTTAGATCTTTGGACTTGTTTATGGTACATATTTGCCACTTTGCATCCTTTGACCTATATTTCCGCATTTCTCATGCCACCCACCCCAGCTAGTCCCAATTCTGGTAACTACTGGTACCATTCTGTCTATATTTGACCTTTTAAAGAAGTATTCCACACAAAAGTGAGATTATGTAATATTTCACTTAGCGTAATATCAGGCCTCCAATTTTTTTTTTACCTGAAGCAAAACCAAAATAAAACTGGAACAAAATAATAAAAAAAGGCATATGAGACTCAAAGCCTATTTTAAAAAAGCAAACATAGGATGATTTCCCCTTTTCCCTTTGTTTCTCATATCCAAGAAACTACCTTTTTGTTTTTCTTTGTTGGAAGAGAAATGAATGCTTCTATCTTTTCTGTTTGCTTTGCAATATTTACTTAGCAACTTAGCCATGGTAGGAAATTACAACCTGTCTCAGTTAACTAATTCTCAGAATTGTTTTTATCAAGGGTGTAGAAGTGGTCCTCTTCTCCTAAAACCTCTGGCAGGGAAGACGAAAGAGGGGGATGGGCAGGCTGCAGGCACTTAAGAATGAGAAAGTGTTTTTACTAGAAAATGCTCCTGAGGGCACAGATGGGCTTTCATCATGAAGGGAACGGATTTTATCCAGAATATCTCAGTCATAAATTAAATATTTAGCAGACATCAGTGCTGTTTTCACAATGGTGTGTATTGTTCTTAACCATTTTATGTCAGACTTCCAGAAAAGGTAAAGCACCTAGTAGATTCTTAATAAAGCTGAGTAGCTTAAGTCATTAACCAGTTTATTGTATACTGCATCCAGCAGCAAAGTTTTAGCCTTCTCCGATTAGGAGTCAAAAACAAAAGACAAAGTCTGGTGCCTAATACCGTCTTTATGGAACTCTGTACTCTAGGATGACTAGCCTAATGGGCTAGTTATTGGGTATCTAAAATTGCCAGATTCCCATACGTTTTGTAGCATCAGCAATTTAATAAACTTCTCTGCTTCCTGATCCCAGTAACTAGGAGTCAATGCTAACCATGGATATGAAAAGAGGAGGGTTGACATGCAGAACCAAGGGACTAGAAAGCTCATCTGCCCTCATCAGAACCATGTGACCCATGGTTCACTGGTTCACTGACCCAACACAGGCAAAACTGCCTGACCAAGGAGAAAGAATGCTGTCTGGAATTAAAGAAAGCATGGTACAAGTTCTGTAGCTGTGAGTGACAGCAACTGGAATATCAACTGGACCTGCTTCTGGTGGCAGCGAGGACCATCCTTGATAAACCTGGCCACTCTCAAAATTTGCAAGAATGCTAGCACTATTCTAAGATTGTGAGAAATCCAGTAGAAATCTCACTGGACCACAGGTAGGCTTTCCCTACTACTTTATTCCATAGCATTCTTGTATGAAGAGTTGGTGGGATATAGCACATCTCACACACATGATTTTAATGGAATCCAAATAAACTTCTCTTATAATTACTCTTCCCTTTAAATTATTAATACAGTATCTAGTTATATGTATGTGTATGTTTAAAAAATTCATTAAGAATACATATTTAATTCTGAAAAACGTCCTAAAAAATAAAAATGGATTTGACTCACTTTGCAAATCTCTTTTAATACATATGAAAATATACTAAAAAATAGGATGAGAAACTATAAGACTAAATACACACACACACACACACACACACACACACACACAAAAGGTGTCATGCAGTATAATAGCAAACAAATGATCCCCTTAAAGGAAATTTCTAAAATTCACCAAGAGTAATGGAGTCTTCATAGTTTTGAAATAAATTACAGCTCTTGGCATGATGCTACTTTGCTTAAATGCGCAAATCCTGCCCCCCACAATTGTAACTCCAAGGGAGAAAGTTGGCTTTGTTAATGAGATAAATCTACTGTATATTTCATATTTGCTGTATCCTTTCTTAAATATTTGATTTTGACATAATCTATTTAATACTATCTCATTGTAGGAAGGACTAGACCATAGTTAAAGGCTGCAGGTCTTTGCTGCAGGGTGTGGGAGCTTACAAAGACTGAAACTACTGCCAGGCTGCTGGAGCCATTGGTTCTTCTCTGTGCCCCAGATTGCAAACAACTCATGCTGCATAATGCATGTATACTAATAAAGCACTGCACATGGAGGCTCTAAGATAGACATTAATAAATGTGACTCACTTGAACTTACTTCTCAGCTGAGTCCTACCAATAAAGATCTACTCTTCATTTGAGTACAAACTCAGCCTGAGAGCCCATTGTCACCCTTCAGACATGTTGGCCTGGTGCTTCAGCCAGCCCAAGACCTTCACAGCCTGGAGGAGAGAAGGTTCTGATCAGAGGATGTTTATCTTAGAAGAGAAGAGTGTGTCTGAGCCCTGATGTAGGGGAAGCTGCTGGAGACAGTGACCTAGAGGCTGGGTTCTAATGGCTCTGCCATGAATTAGCTACTTGGTTTTGGGTGAGCTACTTAATTTCTTGGACTTCATGTCCTTGGATCAAACAGAGATATTTGGATTAAATAATCTCTAAGAATGAACTCTAAATAATTCTGAAATCCTTTCCTCAAAACTCTACCTGATACTCACTTCCTGCTCGGCCCATTTCCAAATAGCTTTTTAAAATGGCCCTAATTAAGAGGCGGATGTGGAAAGGAAAACAAGAGGTGCCGAGCCACCTCTGCGGCCAGTTGCTCTCATCACCTCCTATAGGACAGCAGGGGCCATCAGCACAGCTACTGGGCATGCATGAAGCTGTCCTTGGCAGCCAGAACACCAGCATCCCACAAGCCTAGGGAATCTTTCAGTTCTGCTTCTTCGTTGCCTTAAGATAAAAGATGAGACCTCCAGCCCTCAGCATGATTGGGCCTTTTCTGGATTCTTATTGATGCCACATGTATTTGTAGAAATCTGTGTAATTATTTTATCATGTGATATATTTAAAACTGCATTAGGATCAGATTCTATTTTACCTGAATAAGAGTATTAAATAATTATTTTTTAAAAACATTCTCATACTATATTTAATAACCTATGTGTCCCTCTGTAGCTTTTCTGGATTAGTAATCCAAGCCATTGTTATAGACACTGGATTGGTGATATGGTTTGGCTGTTCCCTTACCCAAATCTCATCTTGAATTATCGTTCCGATCCCCATGGTGTCGAGGGAGGGACCAGGTGGAGATAATTGAATCATGGGGGTGGTTTCTCCTATCCTGTTCTTGTGATAGTGAATTAGTTCTCACGATAGTGAATTAGTTCTCATAAGATCTTATGATGTTTTTAGGAGTTTCCCTCTTTGTTGGGCACTCATTCTCTCTCCTGCCACCCTGTGAAGAGGTGCCTTCTGCCATGACTGTAAGTTTCCTGAGGCCTCCCCAGCCATGTGGAACTGTGAATCAATTAAACCTTTTTCCATTATACTCAGTCTTGGGTATTTCTTCATGGCAACATGAGAACAGACTAACACAGTTGGGAGTTAGAAAGCAGCTATTGGTTTAGCAGGTCTGCAAATGAAGTCCATTTTTAAGAAAAAAGAAAGGACAAAACTGCCGTCTATTATAATTGCATTTTTTCTAAGGTTTTTAACCATCATTCTGTGGGACTGAGCACTATAAAAACTTCTTAACTTCAGATATGCTGCAGTTAAACCAATAGACTAAAACATAGTTTGAATTATAGCTGTGAAACTGCATTATTCTAGAAATAATTCCAGCACAAATGCCATAAAAATGATGATATTTTTTGATTTAGGCTTTTCCTCCTAATTTCCTCTCATATGTTTCTGATAACATCTTATGGCAGTTCAAGGTAGGATTACAACTGGTAAGATGTCAAACATTTATTCATATGCCAAAGTTGATAATGATTAAAATGTTAAAAAATTTGTTATCTGTTTTGTCAGTAGTTTTGGGTTTCTTCCTGGCATGGCCTTCGGTCTGTGTTCTTGCTTTTTTCTGGTTTATCACGTCAATTGGTTGATCAGGTATTAGTTCCATCTGATTGTCAATTAAAATTGCCCAGAAAATGTTAACTTGCATCTGTCAGATGTTTTAGTTATTCTCTATGAATTCCATAAAGAGCCGGGAATGAAGTTTAATTGGAGAGGAGAAGAATGAGGCTCAAACATGGGATCTGAAGCCACCCAGAAAGATGAAAGATTGAGAACAGAAAAAAGAAGCATGTGGAAAAAACAGCGTATGCCCACTTTAAATGGGATAAAAGTGAGGAGGATTGGGCAAAACATCAGATTATTTAATTACAGAGACTCTATTGAAAATTATAGAGACTCTGCCAAATCTTGATTCTTATAATAACAGCTGTTATTAAATGCAGTATGCAAACACTGCTGCGTGTTATGAAAGCTGGGGAGAGACTCTGCCCTACAGGTGCTCATGGTAAAACTTCATCTTCTTAATATTTACCTGAGCTGAAATTTTGTTCCAGGCCTGGGAAATCGTAACTCCTGAGAAGTAGACCTCCATGCATTCATTAGGAGGTGATAGTTTAATTGTTTCTTTTCCATTTAAGTAGAGCTATGATGCTTTCTGGAGGCTGCCACTGAGCATTGGGTGAGGCCCAAGGACACAGACTGGGTTTGAGGCGTATCCATGGGTGGAGATGCTACTGAGGTCATCACAGTGCTAAAAACCTCATGGATCGCGCCGATGTTCGTCTTACTCCAGTTCTCAAAATCTACCCAGTCCAGGGAGCTAATAATTTTGTCCTCTCCCATTTGATCGTTTCCAGTTTCTCCTTTCCATTCTACCCACTTTTCTCTTCTCTTCATTCACAATTAGAATGGGTTATCTTGACAATAACTTTTCAAAAACCACGAGTCTGAAAGTGTGTATTAATGATCATTGTGAGCATATAAAGGATATAGACAATCCTTTAAAAAAATTGTATTTCCATAGTTGGGGAACAGGTGGTGTTCGGTTACATGAGTAACTTCTTTTGTGGTGATTTGTGAGATTTTGGTGCACCCATCACCTGGGCGGTATACACTGCACCCTATTTGTGGTCTTTTATCCCTCACCCCTTCCCACTCTTTCCCCCTGAGTCCCCAAAGTCCACTGTGTTATTCTTATGCCTTTGCATCTTCATAGCTTAGCTCCCACTTATGAGTGAGAACATATGATGTTTAGTTTTTCATTCCTGAGTTATTTTACTTAGAATAATAGTCTCCAATCTCATCTAGGTCACTGCAAATGCCATTAATTCATCCCTTTTTATGACTGAGTAGTATAATCCTTTTTTAAAATGGAAATTTGAAGATATCCACCCTCTACTATTTATGGCCCATGTCAAATTTTAAATACATCTGGAATTTTAGTTGAATGTGTAATCCCTTATGATGGTTAATTTTATGTGTCAATTTGACCTAATGGATGCATTATTTCTGGGTGTGTCTGTGAGGGGGTTTCCAGAAGAGCTTAGCATTTAAGTAGGTAGACTGAGCTCAGAAGATCTGCTGTCACCATTGAGGGACTGAATAGAGCAAAAAGAAGGAAGGGCACATTTGCTCTGTTTGGGCTGGGCCGTGCATCTCCCGCTCTCATACATCAGTGCTCCTGGTTCTGGGGCCTTCTGACTCATGCTGGAACTTATGCCGTGGTCTCTCCTGGTTCTCAGGCCTTCAGGCTTTGGACTGAATTACTCTACTGGCTTTCTGGGGCCTCCAGCTTGCAGATGGCAGATTGTGGGGCTCCTCAGCCTCCAGAATCACGTGAGCTGATTCCCATAAGACATTTCTTTCTCTATATCTATATCTATTATATTGGTTCTGTCCTCTGAAGAACCCGAATACACCCCTTCTCTAAAGGTTCATGAAAATTTTTGTCTTTTTTTGCTGAACTTTTTTGAGATGTGTGTGTTTGTCATATTCCCCTGGCTTTATCTTTGTCCTCTCTGTCCAGCTAGACTGTAAGCTCTTTGGGGAAGGGTACAGTTTTCTCTGTCCCCTCCACCCCTCCACCCTTCCACACTACCCCAGCATAACATTTTTCTTGAAAGAGACACCGAGTGCACATTTGTTGAATTGACCTCTCACATTTGAGTCCCCTTCGTTTATTTCAGCCTGCTTCTAACAACACAAACCAAAAACTTTCTTAAAACGAAAGGGAATGAGTTGTTCTGTTTTTAAAATGAAATTCCAGGAAGAGTTGCCATACATAAATTATGTATGCCCCAGAGGAAAATGTGGCAATGAACTGATTAATAGCAGTGTTGTGAGATACCAGCCCCCAGATAACCCAGGAGCCACGGTTCATGTGTCAGGACTGGCTTTTCTGCCGCAAGGCCGTCCTGAGCAGGTCACATTCTGCTGGTGACCTAACAGCTGCATGACTCCACGGATTTTGGGCCTTCAGGTGATGAGGGCCATTGTGTGGACAGAAACATCTAGGCAGGAAACTAAACCAATGCCATGGTTGGGAACTTCTACCTTCTTACGCTTTGGTTAAAGAAATGCCTTTTAAGAGAATTTGTGCCCATTGTTTCTTGTCCTAGTGTATCTCAACATGCCTAGAACACTCTGAAGTAAACCAAAACCAAACACACACACACACACACACACACACACACACACACAAAAGAAAAAAAATGTCTTATCACACACATTCAAAGTTAGCTACCAACCCAAGCACTAAAGGGTATCATCCTTTATTTTTTAAAAATAAAACATAAAGTTTGCCTCAACATAGGTTATGCTCTTTCCTTCCCTCTCAGTGTCTGTATTAGGATATTTTTGGCTACAAGTGACAGAAACTCAACTCAAATTTATTTAATGTATGCCTCCTGTTTCAGCAAAGCCCGGGGTGCCTGAGGTGAGCCTGGGTCCTGGGGGTGCATGCGGAGTTGCCTCCTTTGCAGGTAGGCACTCCACGGGGTAGCAAAGATGGCTGCCAGCTCACCTGGGCTCTCATCTTCCCAGTGATGAAGCTTCCCAAGGGATTGCTAACTCCATCGAACACTGTCTCCTTTTTGATGACTTCAGCCAAGTCCCTATGGGGGAAGGGAAGTTCTTTCCCTGGCTCAGGTGTATATGTAACACATTTTCTTTATTCACCTGCTGATGGACACTTATGTTGCTTCCAAATCTTAGCTGTTGTGAACAGTGCTGCAATAAACATAGGAGTGCAGATATCTCTTTGATGTACTGATTTCCTTTCTTTTGGGTACATACCCAGCAGTGAGATTGCTGGATCATATGGTAGCTCAATTTTTAGTTTTTGGAAGAACCTCCATACTGTTCTCCATAGTGGTTGTACTAATTTACATTCCCATCAACAGAATATGAGAGTTCCCTTTTCCCTACATCCTTGCCAGCATTTGTTATTACGTGTCTTTTGGATATAAGCCATTTTAACTGGGGTGAAATGATATCTCATTGTAGTTTTGATTTGCATTTCTCTGATCAATGATATTGAGCATCTTTTCATATGCCTGTTTGCCATTTGCATGTCTTCTTTTGAAAAATGTCTATTCAAATTTTTCACTCATCTTTTGATCAGACTATTAAATTTTTTCCTATAGAGTTGTTTGGGCTGTTTATATATTTTGGTTATTACCCTTGTCAGAGGGGTAGTTGGCAAATATTTTCTCCCATTCTGTGCACTGTCTCTTCACTTTGTTGATTGTATCCTTGAATTGATATGATACCATTTGTCCATGTCTGCTTTGGCTGCCTGTGCTTGTAGGGTATTGCTTAAGATATTTTTGCCCAGACCAATGTCTGGGAGATTTTCCTCAATGTTTTCTTGTAATAGTTTCATAGTTGAGGTCTTAGATTTAAGTCTTCAATCCATTTTGATTTGCTTTTTTTTGTATATGGTGAAAGATAGGGGTCTAGTCTCCTTCTTTTGTATATGGATATCCAGTTTTCCAAGCACCACTTATTGAAAAGACTGTCATTTCCCCAGTGGATATTCTTGTTACTTTTGTAAAAAATGGACTAATTGTAGGTGCGTGGATTTGTTTCTGGGTTTCTATTTGATTCCATTGATTTATATGTATATTGTTATGCCAGTACCATGCTGTTTTGATTACTGTAGCTCTGTAGCATAATTTGAAATTAGGTAATGTGATTCTTCCAGTTTTATTCTTTTTTGCTTAGAATAGCTTTGGCTATTCTGGGTCTTCTGTGGTTCCATAAATTTTGGGATTGTGTTTTCTATTTCTGTTTAGAATGCCATTGGTATTTTGATAGGGATTGCGTTGAATCTGTAGATAGCTTTGGGTAGTATGGACATTTTAACAATATTGTTCTTTTAATTCATGTACACAGAATATTTTCCTTTATTTTGGTGTCCTCTTCAGTTTCCTTCAGAAGTGTTTTATAGTTTTCATTGTAGATATCTTTCACTTCTTTGGTTAATTGCTAGATATTTAATTTTATGTGTAGCTATTGTAAATGGGATTATTTGTTTTGTTTCTTTTTCAGATTGTTCACTGTTGGCAAATAGAAATGCTGCTGATTTTTGTATGCTGATTTTGTATCCTGCAACTTTATTGAGTTTGCTATCAGTTCTAGTTTTCATGTGGAGTCTTTAGGTTATTTCAAATATAGGATCATATCATCAGCAAACAAGGGTAATTTGACTTCCTCCTTTCCAGTTTGGATGCCCTTTATATCTTTCTTTGGATGCCCTATATCTTTCTCTTGTCTGAGTGTTCTAGCTAGGACTTCCAGTACTATGTTGAATAACAGTGGTGTAACTGGGCATTCTTATTGCGTTCCAGATCTTAGAGGAAAGGCTTTCAGTTTTTCCCCATTCAGTATGATATTAGCCATGGGTCTGTTGTATATGCCTTCTATTATGTTGAGGTATGTTCTGTCTTTTTCCAGTTTTTTGAGGGTTTTTCTAATCATAACGGACACCAAATTTTATCAAATGCTTTTTCAGCATCAATTGAAATGGTCATATGGTTTTTATCTTTAATGTTTTTGATATGATGTATCATGTTGATTGATTTGCATATGTTGAACCATCCTTGTATCCCAGGGATAAATTCCACTTGGTCATGATGAATGATCTTTCTAATGCATTGTTGAATTTGGTTTGCTAGCATTCCGTTGAGGATGTTTCCATCAATATTCATCAGAGATATTGGCCTGCAGTTTTCTTTTTTTTTTTTTTTTTGATGTGTCTTTGGTTTTGGTATCAGGGTAATAATACTGGCCTCATAGAATGAGGAGAAATGAGTTTCTTCTCTGTTTTTTGGAATAGTTTGAGTAAGATTAGTATTAGTTCTTTTTAATGTTTTGTAGAATTCATCAGTGAGGCCATCAGTTTCTGGGCTTTTCTTTACTGGAAGACTTTTTACTATGACTTAGATCTCCTCACTTGTTATTGGTCTGTTCAGGTTTTGGATTTCTTCCTGGCTCAATCTTAATAGGTTGTATATATCTAGGAATTTGTGCATTTCTTCTAGATTTTCCAAATTATTGGCATATAGTTGCTCATAGTAGCCACTCTGCAATATCTGTTGTAATGTCTCCTTTTTCATTTCTGACTTTATTTTTGTCTTCTCTCTTTTTTTCTTAGTCTAGTTAAAGGTTTGTCAATTTTGTTTAACTTTTCAAAAAAAAAACAACTGTTTAATTGGTCTTTTGTATTTTTTAATTTCAATTTCATTTATTTCTGCTCTGATCTTTGTGATTTCTTCTAATTTTGGGTTTGGTTTGCTCTTGTTTTTCTAGTTTTTAAGATGCATCATTAGGTTATTTATTTGAAGTTTTTCCTCTTTTTTTGATGTAGGTGCTTATACCTATATGCTTCCCTCTGAGTACTGCTTTTGCTTTATCCCATAGGTTCTTGTTTGTTATGTTTCCATTATAATTTATTTTAAGAAATTTTTCAAAAAGAAAAACTAAGAATATTTCTTCATTGACCCACTGGTCATTGGGGAGCAAATTGTTTAATTTCATATTATTTCAATTTGTTTTAATGTTTTGAGACTTATTTTGTGACCAAACAAATGATCTATCCTTGAGAATGATCCATGTGCTGAGAAAAAGAATGTGTATTCCTCAATTCTCAGATGAAATATTCTATAAATATCTATTATTAATAGATTCATTTGGTCTGTAATCTATTTGCTAACATTCTGTTGAGGATGTTTGCATCAGTATTTCATCAGAGATATCGGCCTGTAATTTTCTTTTCTTTCTTTTTTTTTTTTTTGATGTGTCTTTGTCTGTTTTGGTGTCAGGGTAATAATGGATCTATGTTATAGATCCATTTGCAGATTAAGTCTGATGATTCTTTGTTGATTTTCTGTCTGTCTGGAAGAGCTGTCCTATGCTGAAAGTGGGGTGTTGAATTCAGCTATTTTTGTATTTGGACCTATCTCTCTTTAGCTCTAATAATATTTTCTTTATGTATCTGGGTGCTCCCATGTTAGGTGCACATATGTTTAAAATTGTTCTTTTTTTTTGCTGAATTGACCCTTTTATCATTATATGGTGACCTCCTTTGTCTCCTTGAATAGTTTTTCCCTTGCATTAATTTCTTAGGGCTGCTGTGGCAAAGTACCACAACCTGAGTGGCTTAAAACAA
The DNA here is from genome assembly GCF_000001405.40 of Homo sapiens. NCBI lineage: Eukaryota > Metazoa > Chordata > Mammalia > Primates > Hominidae > Homo > Homo sapiens. The sequence continues at coordinate 9,967,218 of NC_000005.10, read as the reverse complement.
TAGAAATTAATTTTCCTATTGTCTGAGAGGCCAGAGTCAAAAATTAAGGTGCTGGCTGAGCCACAGTCCCTCTAGGGCAATTAAGGGGTGATCCTTCTTTCCACTTCCAGCTTCTGGTGACTCCTGGCATTGCTTGGCCTGTGGTTGCATCTCTCCAATCTCTGCCTTCACTTGGCCTTCTCAGGGTCAGTGTATTCTCCTCGTCTGGCTTTGACAAGGAGGACATAAGGTATTGGATTTAGGGCCCACATGGTTAATCCAGGATGATCTCACCTCAACATCCTTAACTTAAATACATCTGTGAAACATTTTTCCAAATCAAGTCAGATTTACAGGTTCCTATTTTGTGTTTTGGGGAAACCACTATTCAACCTATTATGCCTCCTCTTCCTTCAAACGTGTTTCCTGGGAAGACAGATTTTATCTCCTTTGTAAGTATTTTCTTTTAATCAGAAACCAAATCTTTTCATTCATGCATCCTTTAGGACATGGTTCTTGAAGTGTGCTCCAGCACCAGCTGCATCAGCCTCACCTGGGAACTTACTAGAAATGCAAATTCCTGGGCCCCATTCCAGATGTGCCAAGTCAGGAACAGGGGCTGTGGACCTGTCACCTGCATTTCAACGTACCCTCCAGGTGACCCTGATGCATCCCAAATCTTGGAACCTTTGCTGTAGGAGGCAGATGGCTTTGCCGGGGGACTTGAACTCTGGTCTGCAGCACTGTGGTTCAGTGCTCTGCCCTGGCTTATGCAGATATGGAGTTCACAATTCATGGGCTCCAAAGACTCGGTCCTGCCCTCCTCTTATCCACATTCCAAGTGCAGAAGCCCTATGAGCTCTGAGAGCCATCTGGCTCAGAATGGCTGAGAGAAGTTCTCAGTGATGCTGCTGAAGGAGTGTATTAGCAAAACGTTTAGGCACGCTAGTAGTTGATTTGTGTTCTCCCTCCCCAGAGATCACATATTGAAGTCCTTACCTCCAGTATCCAAGCTGTGACTTTATTTGAAGACAAGATTGTTGCAGATGTAATTAGTTAAGTTTAAATTAGGTAATACTGGAGTAGGGTGAGCTCCTAGTGCAGTGTGACTGTGTCCCTCTGAAAAAATGGAAATTTGAACACTGAGACAGACATAAGCCCAGGGAGAACACCAAGTAAAGATGAAGACAGGGATCAAATGCCAAAGACTACCAGAAAACCACCAGAAGAAGGGAGAGAGGCATAAGGCGGAATTTTTCCTCACAGCCCTCAATAGGAACCAGTTCCACTGAGACCTTGATCTCAAACTTCTGGCCTCCAGAGCTGTGAGACAGTACATTTCTGTTGTTGCAGCCCTAGTCTGTGGTATTCTGTGAGGACAGCCCTAGCAAACTAGGCCAAGGAGCACTTAGGGTTAACTTTCTTTTGTGAGCTGGTCCAAGTTCTGAACAATTAACTTCAAGAGAACTTTTTGAGTACAACCCATTTGTCAGTTGGGAACTGCCTTCCCATAAAACAAAAGCTCTATGTCATGTTGACAATTATTTGGGACATGCAATTCTCAGTTCCTGAGAGTGTTCAAGATGGTATTTTTTACTGAGTTTTAAGTGATTGTAGTATCTTAAAACAGGTTGTCAAAGAATAATATTTTAGATTTTATAGCACATGTGACCTTCTTTTCCTTCTTCTTTATCTCTATTTTCATTTAGAATTGCCCTCTATAAATGTTTTCTCCGTCAGGATTTTTCATTTGTTGGAAGTACAAATCAATACAATTAGATACAAAAGCCTTAGTTGAAAATAAAATAAAAGCAAATTAATGTATATATTGAAGGGACATTTTGTGCAATTTTTCTTTTCCAGTTAGCCCAATTAGTCAGTGACTTTTGGGATTGGCCTTCCAGAAGTAATTCTGGGCTAAAATTCCAGTCTTCAACTTTAAGGAGTTATCCCATGGGAGCTGGTCTTCCTGCACAAATTCATAGGCATGGTATGTTCTCGCTAATAATTCCAAGTGTTTATGCTGCTCTTCTACTTGTTCATTAATTTTTGTCAATTAAATTGAAAGCTTTAAAATGTTACATGAGTAACTTTTCATTGGTTATATGAAACTGCCGAAAAAGGTTATAGCTCTCCAACCGAACATTTTATCCTACAATACCTTCCAATATAAACTGTAAACACACACACCCCCACACGTTTCTTACTTCAGATTCATAAATGGGCAAGGTGAGGGAGAGCCGACAGAAAAGTTACTGTTCCTACAATGGGCACTTGTTTGCAATGTGCTATGCTCCCCAGATTCTCCTCCTGAGAAGAAGCCATGGATTTCACAGCCAGGAGATGTGGGGCTCAGACGGGATGAGTATGTTCCTCTACGTCCTGGTTGCTGGAGTGCACCTTAGGTGAGTGGAAAAGTGCAACCAAGCATCTGCATGGAAAATAAGTGGTTTGAAATGGTAACTGGGGTGTCCAGCCCTCATCAGCTTGCAGGTACAAATAGAAATTATATTTTCTTGAATTTGCAAAGTGACATGACTTCAAATGTCCCCCTGCAGGTGCCTGTTCCCCTCCAGTGGATCCTTGGGTATTTGAGGGATTTCTGGGGATTTGAGCTCTGTGTGCTTCACTCCCTCACATCTTTGGATCCAGCATCATCCTCCTGGCACCCCCCACATTCCCTGCTTCCCTCATGTGGCATCGTCTATGGTGGATCCAGTCTCTCTCTTTTGGGGAAGGCTGAAGGGCCACTACTTGGGCCACGTGGGAGGAACATTACTGACCCCCTTTGCCGCTCTATCCCCGAAATCACACAGGGCTTTCCACTGAGAGCGCATTGCATGACTAAAGTCAGGCTCAGCATTGGTAAAATTTCTACCAAAGGTCTATGGATGACAAAAGGGAAGTACAATTCCGAGAATAGTTTTCAACTGTTGTGAGGTCAGTTATGAGATCTGGCAGTAATCCCTCACCATTTGAAATCCAACCGCTTACAAGATCAGAGAGAAGACAGTGGCTCCCCACTGTCCAATTTCAGGGTTTACCTCTGGAGTCTGCATTCCATGTTCCCCTATCTCCCTCTTCCCAGGGGTATGGATTTCATAAAGACACACTCATTTCAGGGGAAAGTGCTCACCTCTCACCCCAGGGGCTCTCAGGGTGACCACATCAGAAGAGGCTAGTTCAACATCAGGATGTGCTCTAAGGGCCAGGACTAGTCCACACCCATCACACCAGCGCACATGTGAACCACCCAGTGCAGTTTTTGTTTTCCCAGGCCAAGCTTATTTCCTTCTGTAGCCCAAACTCCAGCGTTAGAGGGTGATCCATGTCTTGGCATCTTTCTTGATATTCCAGGTCTCAAGTTGGGGGATCTAGTGAGTTACTGTGAAACACTGACATTTATCTTCAATAGGCAATAGTTCTTTCTAAAATTGCACTAAATCAGGAGTCATTTATTTCTGCTCCTCCTCTTCCACACCCTCCTATAAAGAGTCGACAAAGACACAGTTCAGACTAATCATATAACCTGAATTTGCATCAGGGAGTCTCATAGTTTTCCGCTAGAACAATGGGCAGGCATTAGTTTACATCATAGGAACCAAAAGGATGTGTTCAGAGACTCCCTCAAACAAATGAGCCATCCCCAAGACTCCCCTTTTTGAGACCATTCTGCTGCTCCAGAAGTCTTAGGGCGACTTCTCACACTAATATCAAGAGCTAAATTTCACAAGGTGTGTTGATCTTGACATCAACCTTGTCAGGCAGATGAAAGGTCAGTTTTTACTTCCACATAGCTAAATTGAAGAAGGGGTCATTTGAAGTTGTAGTTAGCAGAACTGCCTGTCAGGAATTTCAGAGACCAGGTCCCAGCCTTGGATGGTGCCATTCTCCATGATATATCCTAGACGTTTTTATATTCAGAAAGTCATAAATCCTGAAAAGGGTAAGTGGTGTGCTGATTCTCTGGTGAATATCATTTTTTATTTCTTTGCAAAGCCATTTCTTTCTCTTAGTCTTATGTGGGCCGTGCATACTCCCTCCTCTGAAGAGCTGAATTCCCTTCAGGAGCACTGAGTCACCATGTTGATGATGGTAGGGGGCTTAAGAGACTTTGGAGTTGAGAGAGCAGTGGCCACTTCCTGCAGTGGCTCATGCAGTGATGGAGAAGGCAGATTCATAAGCAAATGACCATGACACAGTATATAAACACTGCAATAGTGGCGTTTGTAACATACAGAGGGAACATGGAATATGGTAGAATTCTGCCTGAGTATGATTCATTGAAAGCTAAAGAGAAGGAGTGCTTTTTCAATCTTAGGAAGACAAGTAGCTCTTTTTAGGTCAGATTAGGAGAGAAAGATTCTCCAGACATGAAGAATATGAACAAAGGCCTGGAAATGTCTGAGAAGAAACAAGTTGTCTGCTGTGAATAGCTTGGAAGATTGGAGAGAGAATGGAGTGGAGGCTGAAAGATAAACTGAACCAATTTGTGGAGGGTCTGGCATGGCATGTTAAAATGTTTTCCACCTATTCTACAGGCAGGGCAAATCCTCAGATACTTATAAGCAGGGAAAGCAGAGAGGGCCAATAAAATATGTGTGTCCTCTTCCAGAGCATGAGGATGCCACTGAGGAGGGGTTCCAGGAAGAGCCGTGGACATGGTTCTAAAGAAATATGAGTGGAATTGGCATCGAGTTTCCTTATTAGAAAGCTGGACAAGCTGTACTAGGCTGGGTGCAATGGGAAATGGCTGGGTTTGTAACCACCCATTGTGTTCTTCCTGCCTACTGCACAAACAAGATCAATTCACAGTGATATGATTTAGTTCTCTGCCTCCACCCAAATCTCATCTCGAATTGTAATCCCCATGTGTTGAGGGAGGAAAGGAGGTAATTGGATTATGGGGGCATCGTCCCTCATGCTGTTCTTGTGATAGTGAGTGAGTTCTCATGAAAGCTGATGATTTTATAAGCCAGTTTTCCCTGCTCTTGCTCACTCTCTTCTCTCTCCTGACACCTTATAAAGAAGGTGCCTACTTCCCCTGTGCCTTCCACCATAATTGTAAGTTTTGTGAGGTCTCCACAGCCATGCACAACTGTGAGTCAATTAAACCTCTTTCCTTTATAAATGACCCAGTCTCAGGCAGTTCTTTACAGTGGTGTGAAAATGGACTAATAACACATGAGACCATGACATTGTGGTAAAGAAAGAGTTTCATTGATGCGAGGCCAACCATGCCAAATGGGAGACAGAGTTGTTACTTAATCTCATTGAGAATTTGTGGACTAGGGTTTTAAAAAGGTCCCCTTTGAGGAAGGGGTTGGAGTGCCTACATGATGGGTGCTTGCTACTGATTGGTTGGGGTACAATCATAGGGGTGTGGCCAATGGTCCTCCTGTGCCCTGAGTTGCTTCTGGGTGGGGCCAAAGGAGCAATTGGCATGTCTAGGTGGAGCCATTGGTCATCAGACATGCAAAAAACCTGAAAAGATATCTCAAAAGGCCAACCTTAAGTTCTACAATAGTGACGTTATATGCAAGAGTAATTGGGGAAGTTGCCTATCTTGTGACCTCTGGAATAATGGCTAGCAATCATTTATATCTATGCCTTGGCAGAATTCAGGCCCCTGTATCCTCCTAGCCCAGTGGTCTCTCATTAACTTTACACAGGTGGTTAAGTTTTGGGGAAGGGCTATTATCATTTAAACTATAAACTAAAAGTCCCCCCAGGTTAGTTTGGTTTAAGCCTTGGAATTATTAAGGGCATCTTGAAGGCTAAAGGCAAGATGAGGGTTAGCTAGATCAGATCTCCCCCACTGCCATAATTTTTCTCATGGTTATAATTTTTGCAAAGTCGGTTTCAGGTTCTTGATGTTGGTATGAGGGCCATCAGTGTGTAAGTGGCAAATACATTTATGTATTGATAGAAGTGGGCTAGCACAAATTCAAGAGACAGTGATATTTACCAGGGCACCTGGAGGAATAATATCATTGGCAGAGATCATGGAAGAGACTTGATTCATTGTGATGTGAATGAATAAAGATGGCGCATTTCAACAGGGAGGAAGGGATCCCATGTAGAAGAGGTCCAGAAAGATAGCAAAAAATCATCCACTGGATTTGGCAGTTAAAGAGCCATAAAAAGCATCCCTTGAACTTTGACAAACCTGACAAAAACAAGCAATGGGGAAAGGATTCCGTATTTAATAAATGGTGTTGGGAAAACTGGCTAGCCATATGCAGAAAGCTGAAACTGGATCTTTCCCTTACACCTTGTACAAAAATTAACTCAAGATGGATTAAAGACTTAAACATAAGACCTAAAACCATAAAAACCTTAGAAGAAAACCTAGGCAATACCATTCAGGACATAGGCATGGGCAAATACTTCATGACTAAAACACCAAAAGCAATGGCAACAAAAGCCAAAATTGACAGATGGGATCTAATTAAACTAAAGAGCTTCTGCACAGCAAAAGAAACTATCACAAGAGTGAACAGGCAGCCTACATAGTGGGATAAAATTTTTGCAATCTACTCATCTGACAAAGGGCTAATATCCAGAATCTACAATGAACTCAAACAAATTTACAAGAAAAAAAAAACCCTATCAAAAAGTGGCAAAGAATATGAATAGACACTTCTCAAAAGAAGACATTTATGCAGCCAACAAACATATGAAAAAAAGCTCATCATCACTGGTCATTAGAGAAAGGCAAATCAAAACCGTAATGAGATACCATCTCACACCAGTTAGAATGGCGATCATTAAAAAGTCAGGAAACAACAGATGCTGGAGAGGATGCAGAGAAATAGGAACACTTTTACACTGTTGGTGGGAGTGTAAATTAGTTCAACCATTGTGGAAGACAGTGTGGCAATTTCTCAAGGATCTAGAACTAGAAATACCATTTTTCCCAGCAATCCCATTACTGGGTATACACCCAAAGGATTATAAATCATTCTACTATAAAGATACATGCTCACGTATGTTTATTGCTGCACTGTTCACAATAGCAACCAACCCAAATGCCCACCAACAATAGACTGGATTAAGAAAATGTGGCACATATATAGCATGGAATACTATGCAGCCATAAAAAAGGATGAGTTCATGTCCTTTGCAGGGACATGGATGAAGTTGGAAACCATCGTTCTCAGCAAACTAACACAAGAACAGAAAATCAAACACTGCATGTTCTCACTCATAAGTGGGAGCTGAACAATGAGAACACATGAACACAGGGAGGGGGACATCACACATCGGGGCCTGTCAGGGGGTGTGGGACTAGGGGAGGGATAGCATTAGGAGAAATACCTAATGTAGATGATGGGTTGATGGGTGCAGCAAACCACCAGGGCACGTGTATACCTATGTAACAAAGCTGCATGTTGTGCACATGTATCCCAGAACTTAAAGTATAATAATGAAAAAAAGTGTTATCACCCATCACCACCACAATACTCTAGCCTTCTCCCATAAATATGTAGCATTTATCACTAAAAAAAGAGAAAAAGAAGAGATTGCAGGGGATTGGGAATAAAGGGGTAGGTGAATATTGAGGGTCCAAGTGAAGACAATGGTTTCATGGATATTCAATAGTGTGAATGAATATATACGCATGATTCTTTATCAACCTATGTTTTACCAGTTACTCTGAGCTAATTATGTAATTTGGGGTCTACAAGCATCCCTGCTCCCTCCTTTAACAGAGAGAGCTTCCCTCCCTCCATCTTTGGCAATAGGGAGCTCCCTGCTCGTTAGCTATGCTGTGGGTAGTAACTTTTATTGTTTGGTGGTGGTGGTAGGTAGGGACAAACAAACTAATGCAAACCTCTTAAAATTATGAAAAACTCTGAGAGGAAAAAATCCACACATAAGTTCTGAAGCCACCCACTGTATTAGCTTTCTAGGGTTGTCCTAACGAAGTAACACAGATTGGGTGAGTTAACCAACAGAAATGCATTGTCTCTCAGTTCTGGAGGCTGGAAGTCTGATATGGAGGAGTTACAGGTAGTTAGGCATGAGCAGGGCAGGAGAGGGCTCTTCCTCCACCCACTAGAATGTCTGGTGATGGTTCGGTGGTTATTGCATTGCCTTTCTAAAAATGACAGTTTGGCAGCACGAGGGAGAGGCCACTTACTAATGGTCCACACCCATTAACATCAAAATGTCAATTGAATGCAAACCCCAGGGAGAAGCAACTTCCTGGACATACGTGTCAAGAGACAAAAGTGGTGAAGTATGATCTTCTGGGGGCAACTCCACCAGAAAAGGGAAGAAAGGCTCACGTGGGCATGCATATAACTCCTTAAACACACTGCGCTGTGCTCAATGCCAAAGGGTGCAAGCACTGGGCATGTGGAAAGCCCACCCTAAAGGGAAGAATCATGGGAAGAGGTGAGCCCAAAAAGTCCTGGGATCAAGGTGAAAGGCTCTCTTTTTGCAGTCTTCTTTTGCTCTCTTTTCTCTCTTGGATCTTCAGGTGCCCGCTTGGGTCTCTTTCAAATGAATTTTCCTTTCTTTCCTGTTTTAAAGCCTTTTAAATAAACTAGCACTCCTGCTCTGAAACTTGCCTCGGTCTCTTTTTCTGCTTTATGCCCCTCAGATGAATTCTTTCTTCTGAGGAGGCAAGGACTGAAGTTGCTGTGGATCCTTATAGATTCACTACCAGTAACTCAGGGTAACTCAGATCTCTTCCACCAGTAACAGAGGTGTCAGCAGGGTTGGTTCCTTCTGAGGCTGTGAAGGAAGACTCTGTTCTAGGCCTCTGTCCGTGGCTTGTCCATGGCCATCTCCTCCCCGTGCTTTCTCATGGTCTTCCTTCTATTTGTACCTGTCTCTGTGTCTGAATTTCCCTTTTATAAGGCCACCATTTGTAATGGATGAGGACCTCACTTAAAATGATCTCATTTTAACTTAATCACCTCGTTAAAGACCCTGTCTTCAAATACAGTCGTACACTGAGGAACTGAGGGGAGAGGACTTCAACATATGCATTTTGGGAGACACAATTCAGCCCAGAACACTCACCCTATGCATTGATCTATAAATGGGTATTAGGGGAGTTTTAGAGTATAGTCATGTTGTCAGTGATTAGGAAGGAGAGTCAGTGGCTTTCAGGAAATTATGGTGTATTAGCATGTCTAAAGTTGTACTTAGTCTATTCTAAACCACCTCATCTGAGAAAAGACCTTGTTGTTAAGAGATCAGATTATAAACAAGGGGCTCAGAGATCAAGACTTTTGCGAGCAGAATATTTCTGGTGTAGGAACTTCACTGCTCATGGAGAGGATGTCTAGCAGTAGGCACAGGTTTTGGTCTCTCTGAAAGGTTTGTTTCCCCAAGAGTTGGTATCACTATCCTTCAAATTATTCTACAAGCTTCCCTTGTCCTCACTTCATGCTCATCAAACAACCTTTTGTTTATAATTGTCAATGTTGGAGTTTTCAAAAGGGAGAGAATGTGCTGATCAGAAGAAGTAAGTGTCCTGCTGAGTCAAGAATTCTTTTGTTGAGATTTAGAACCAGCATTCTTATTTATACATCTGTCTGTTGAGGACGGATGGAGCCAGTCTCTTTGAGACCTCTGGATACTTCACCCAGCACTGCTCCTCTGGGAGACTCTGGCTTTTAAGTGGTCTTCTCAGGCAGGCTTCTGTAGCTCTCTCCTGCAAATGCAACATTTGTCAATTGCTTTAGTAAAGGATCTTGTGGGAAGACTTTGAACCATTTGCTAAAATTAAGTTTTTGGATTATGGTTGGCTTTTTATTACCCATATTATGTCTGTCTCTTATTGCCACAAGTAATTGAAATGCAAAGACAACTTGGCAGTGTTCCATAGCTTATCTATCATTCTGTTTTTTTACAGTCTTTTGTGGTTTTATTACTTTATGGTAGCATCTCATTAGACCAAGACCTCTCCTGAGAAATCATTTGTCATTGAAAATATCATTATTATAGCCACAAAAAAGTGGATGTCTCTGGCAGTGCCTAGAACCGATGAGGCCTTTCTTCATGTTCCATAGAAGTGTTTGTGCACAGGGTCCTCTTTCCCTTAGCCACTCCAGTTCCTGTCAGTCTCAGCTAGGCTTCCCTTTCTCATTTGCCTCAAAGGGGCTCTTGTGTCCTGAATGTAATGTTTTTATTAATAAGCATGACTGATAAGTCCACTATGAGTTATTAATATTCTTATGACTTCTATACCAAAGAGTGGCTGTATTTTGACCCATGATTCAGGGGAGATCTTCTGAAGAGTAGAAAACAGGAATTGCAGTGGTGAAATATTTATATTTCCTTTACTTAAGACTTCAAAGACAAACAAGAAGGTGGAAGCATCCTGAAAGAGTTCTAAAGAACTCTGGGTGTGAACCACTTAAAGAGAATAAAGAGGCTATTATGATAAAATGACTAATTGAAGAAATATGGGTACAAGATTGTTTTTGTGCAATGTATTAGGAAATTCTTGCACTTTTTGTAATAAAAAGTATTATATATTTTTGTATTAGTGAGGCTTGTCCAGATGAACAGAGCCCATAGGATATGCATGTACAACTCTTGCTTGGGGGAAGTCAGTCTTTCGTTCTGTTCAGACCTTCAAATGATTGGATGAGGCACAATGTCATCTAATCTCATCCATAATGTGGATAAGACAGCCACACTATGGAGAACATTCTGTTTTACTCAAAGTCTCAATTTAAGTGTAAATCTCATTGAAAAACCATGTTCCCAGAAATATCCAGAATAACGTTTGAACAATATGTAGTCACCATGGCCCAGTCAAGTTTCCACATAAAATTAACCATCACACTAATACTCTCCAAAAGTATAAAAGCATTTTGATTGAAATTATGTTGGCAGTAGCTTTTTCACTTTCAACAGGGTGGCTGACTTGTGGGCAGATGGCAAAGAAGAGACAGTAATGGGAACCCATGTTTAGGTGGGGTGGAACCAGGGGAAATTTTCTTCATTAGTCAATGGAAGGTTTTGAATCTCAGAACCTGTTTGAGGGCATGCATTCATGAGACCCACATTGTTGATTTTGTGTATATTCAGTTTCGGATAAGCCTTTAGAAAACTTAGGGTTGGATGCAAGGACACTTATTGGGAAGAACAACAAGTTGGGTGATGAGGCCATTCTATGCTGACTTGGAATAGGTCAAAGGTCATTGTTCTAGGGTCTGTAACCTTTAATGTTTTTATCAGTAACTTGAATAAAGATATATAGATGTGATCATTGTGATTTTTTTGATAGGTCTGGATTGACAGTGGATAAATTAGAATAAAATAAGAATCCAAGATGACATGAAAAGATCCAATTAGGAACTGAATCTCTGTGGAAACTTACAGGAGCACACTTGTGATCCCATTCTTGTTTTCTCAAGCACTTTTGCAGTCTAGGAAGATAGGGTTGTGGCCAAGTAATATCGCATGCATAAAATTCTTAGAAGTCTTAAGGTGACTGCTCCCCCAGAGCAAACTGGATGCTTTGAAAAGCTCGGGCTGTTTTTGCGTGCCAACATAGTGTTGACTAGGAGAGGGTGCTGTGTTAAACAGAGGTCACAAAGCAATCAGCCACCCTATCTGGTCATCATTTACACAAAATAGCATTGCCAGAAAGGGCTTTCATTTAAAAATGGCTGGAAGGCAGGGTGCTTGGTGAGACATTTCCCTATGCCTTTTCTTGTTACTGTCCCATTTTTCAGAAAACCAGCACTGAGAACTTGTTTCCACAGTGCTAGTGCTAGTTTCCACTTTATAATACAAATCCATTTGTAATGGCAAATGTATCTCTATTAGGATAGTTAGCTTAAATCAATTATATAAGTGCTTTGTAAGACATTTATTTTGCCCAGTGTTTCATCAGCATCAAGGATTTAAAAAACTTTGATCTTTCCTTTTCTGAAATTATTTCATAAAAGTGATGGGTTTACTAAAATTTACTGTGAAGCTAACCTGATTACTCTGAGCTATTTTAAAGAGGATTAGGCTATTCAAGGGAGGATGGGTTCTAATCCCATGACTAATATTTTGGCCAATATAGCATAATTCTTTTTGATTATGAAAATTGGTTAGTAACCGTTGCAGTATGTGCCATCCATTTCTGGTTACAATAAACAATATTAAAATGTGTCTGTTGGAACTTTGTTGTAGATTAACTCCATATCTCTGAATTAATCACTGTGTAGTAGGGAAACCTGCCATATTGCTGGAGGAACCTAGGGGTAAAAGTTCTTTTGTCCTGACATTTGCAGGGGACTCATTTTATCCATGTGTTTCCCATTATTTAATCAAGGTTGAGTACAGAAAAGAGAGTCGGGTAGTAATGGTAGTAATCATTTCAGAGGGATCTGGTCTTTGCCAGAATAGAATTACGTTTCCAGGTTGAGGTTTCCAAATGTTTTTTTGCCTAAAAGAAAACAAGCTTACTTGTGTTTATTATAATCATTGTGCTAAAATTTACAATAGATATAAGCTGTAGAAGCTTGGTTAATTAACGTCACTTCTTAAGCCTAAGGGGATATCTCACAGATTTTATGGCTGTATTTTTGTACCCAAAGGCTCTTGGTCTGATTAAAAAAGAAAAAAGAACCTTGGGAATACTTTTATACTGAAAGAAGCCTGGAAATGTGGTTTGGTACCAAAATAGCAGATTTTCTGAGAGATGTTGAGAGTTTATAAAGACAGGAGACAAAATTGGGACTACATAAGTGAAACTAAACTCATGCCGTACCCTCATACTTCCCTTCCCTTGTCCTCTAATTAGATCCTTCACCACTCCTTATTGGTTCAAAGCAACATCAGGTTGCTCAAGCTGGACACTTGGGCATCGTCCCTGAGGCAGAGTTCATCTTCGTAAATACCTGTCCACTTCTCTCCGCCCCCATACCATCATCTGGGTCAGATCCAGAATCATATCGTGGAAATAGCAATCGATGTTTCCTCCCCAAATTTCCTTAGCTCCCTCCTGTTTATTGTTGACACTGCAGTGCAGTCAGGTTTTTAAAACATACATTTCATCATGTTGACCCTCTGCTTAAACCCCTCAGTGGCTCACCATTGCTTTTTACATAAGCCCAATACCTTTACTTTCACCCACTGGACCCCGATTCCTGGCCCCAGGTTACCCCTGCAGCTGCATCCTCCTTCTCTCTCATCCTCTGTGCTCCATGCTATGCCTTATTTGGTTCCTTGAAGAAAGGCTTCCCAATCCAGAGCTCGCATGCATGTTTCTAATGCTGGGACCCTCTTCTTTCCACTCTACCTTCCCAGCTTTATCTTGCTGACACCTACGCTTGCTTCAGTCCTCAACAGTGACTGGAGCTGCCTGGGACTGCCTTTTCTGATCCTGTTGTCAAGTGTTACTCTCCCAGCATGTGCTCACACCACCCAGTACTTTTCCCTCACAGCACCATTGTGATAAAGTAATTATCTGTTTCCCTAGCTGTTTGGTGTCCCTCTCACCTGCTAAATTGTAAGCTCCCAGTGGGGCAAGCCCTGTGCCTTCTGTATTCCAGAGCTTTTCCTGGAGTTCACTATATTGTAGGGACTCACTACTTATTTGTTGAATAGAAAAATAAGTGAAAATATGAGCATGGAGTCACTGTGCCAGGGAGAGGTCTCATATGAGCTTCAAGGTTTATGGCATATATATATATATGCATGCACGCATGAGTGGAAGATAATGTGAGTAAATATTAGCCAAATATGTCTCTCCTCCTCCATTATCCCCTCCTCCCTTTTGGTACATCTGTGCATTTTGCAATCATTACTGAAGGAAAGGGCTGCTAAGAGCAAAGAGCTGAGAAAAGCAGGGCAGGTCTCCTCCTGGTTTGCGAATTTTAAAAGCTGAATGTAGTAGAACAAGGAATATATCCAGTCTTCGTCCTCACTTCCTGGCACAGGTCTTCAAAACCTTGGCATGTCCTGAGTGATAGGAGTGTCTGTTGGCCAATATTTATATAATTTTTGTCAAAACATAGAAAAATAGAACCATACCTAGGTATATTATTCTGCAATTTGAACTTTTGTGGCACTCAGGATCATAGACCTCCAAAGATGTCCATATGTTAATCCCTGGAATTTGTGACTATGTTACCTTAAATGACTAAAGCAACTTTGCAGATGTGATTAAGGGGCTTGAGATGGGGAGGGTAGCCTAGATTATCTATGTGGCCCCCGTGTAATCACAGGGTCCTTATAAGCGGTAGACAGAAAGGTCAGAGTCAAGAAGCAGATGTGCCAGTGGAAGCAGAGGGCAGAGTCAGAGACAGAGTGGAAGATGCTGCTCTCCTGGCTTTGAAGACGGAGAAAGCAACCATGGGTCAAGGCCTGCAGGCAGCCTCCAGAAGCTGAGAAGGCAAGGAGAAAGTATTATCCCTGAGAGCCTCCAGAAGGAATACCATCCTGCTGACATCTTGATTTTAGCCGAGAGAGACTCGTTTAAATTTTGACCTCCAGAACTGCAAAATAATACATTTGTGGGTTTTTAAAATCCACTAAATTTGTGGTAATTTATTATAGCAGCCATAGGAAACTGAAACAAATTCCTACTTAAAATAAGTAATAAACATTTTCCAGGCCCATAAATACATTCTTTTAGCCTCATGTTAATGACTCTAATCGTTTTCCACTATGGAGCTATCCCATAATTTATCTACTGATTTCCTTGGTTGAGCACTGTTGTGATACCTTGGTTCTTGTCTTCTTAGTTTAAAAGAATTTAAGAGATGCACAGCAAAGGAGATGTAGCATACAGTAATTTATTGCAAAAGAAAAAGAGTATTTTGAAAGTTAGGTGCAGAATAGACAGTACACCGTAAGAGAATCAGGGCAGGCTGCTCATAAGGACGAGACAGCAAAGACTTGCTCTAGGGAGACTCCCTTTAGGGGAGTCTTACACAATTATTCATAAGTAGGTGGGAAGAGGTGTTGCTATAAACATGTTCTGGGTGGTCCTGTGGGTGCACATGCTCAGTAGCTGCAATTCTTGTTCATACATCGCATGTCTCATTAGCACCTTAAATCTCCACCCAGGGAGATTTATAATTTACTATTATAATGAGCGAAAGGTCAATTTGAGGACAGGTAAAATCAAAGCGCACATGCTCTCTAGAGGAGAAAGTCTGTACTGAAGATAGCTTTGCCTGATCGAGCTCAATTACAATGTGATTGTGTTGACTCTTGGGTCACCATGGTTGCTGCATCCAAGAACCTTCCTTGATGACCTATCCTGCCTCACTTTAGAATGCTTCCAGATTTTTTTTTCTTCCTGCTGTATAAACACTACTGTGATTAATACCCTTGATATATGTCTTTTTGCACTTTTCTGGTATTTCCCTAGGATTGATTTCTAGAAGTGTAGTTCTAAGGAATGCAAATTATAAAGGTTTGTGACATACGTTGACATTTGCATTTGAGACGTAGAGATTTTCGGTGTAAATGTGTTGACTTCATCAGTCCATCTCTGTGAAACATAATGAAATTAGGTCTGCTAAAAGAGAACATTCCTTCATATTTGAATCCAATCATTTATTCTTCCTGCTGTTCTCTATCTGCAAAGATGAGAAAAGAAAGATCTAAAATAGTGCAGAGAGGGGGCCTGCTTTGTAGATGCCAATCGGCAGGTTCTTTTCTGGGGAATTCCTGCTGAGCGGCAGAAACTGACATCTTGAAACAAAGCTGGGGTCAAAGAAGTTGAACCCATGCATCAGTTGCACTTGAATATACCAACTTATTCTCCAATGTGTTTACACATGTGGATGTGATTTTGCCCATTTGTGACTGGGCATGTGTTTTGGGATGCTGCTGACCCTCTGTGGGCACGCTGCAATGATAGCTGGTACTGCAGTTGGGAATATTCTGCGTGAATTTCCAAGAGCATTTGTTGTGCATATTAATTACATGTCCACACTCTATTATTTGAAATTTATTTTCAAATAATAAATTATTATTATTCTTTGAGTCTATTAGAGTCAATCAGGGTCTAAACAATTAATATGACATGGATATTGCATGGGGAAAAGTGGTAATAAGTCCAGAGTTTTAACAATTTGGGGTTTCAATTTGGAAAGCAATGCAGTACTTATTTGGCTATAGACACGTTTTTTTGCTTCTAAAATATTATGGTTAATTCAGAAGTGACCAGAATGTAGGCATAAAAGAGGGCAGGAGATAAGAGGGGAAAGAGAAACTCCAGAGTGTGGGGGAGTGTATTAAGCGGATAACTGGACAAATCCTAAGTATGCTAAATAGGTTACAGTTCCTCAGGTAATATGTATTGCCCATCATGCCTATTACCCTGGTTCTATAAACAAGTTCTACTATATTTATTATTAATTACCAACATATGAATGACACTATCTGATGTGTGTATTTAGGTAAATAGCCACAGATACACCTTCAAGGGACTGTTGACCACATACCAAAGGAAGTCTAGATCTCCAAAAGGGCAAATATCTAGGAGAAAATAAAAATAAATCTGGATGTCTGTTTTCATGGTATAAAACATAAAGTCACTCTAAAATATCTGAGTGTTTGAATTTTTCAATTTTCTTCTGAATATCTTGGTTATTTGAACCAAGTCTAGGAAATATCCTCTTTCCGCAGTCTTCCCCCTTAGGCAGGGCAAGACTGGAGGAACAAAGCTATAATGTGCATGTGTGGAGGAGCTGCTGTATTAGCCTCCTAGGGCTGCATAACAAATAGCACACACTTGGTAGATCATAGCAGACGTTTGTTGCCCTCACAGTTCTGGAGCCTGGAAGTCAAAAATCAAGGCATCAGCAGGGCCAGGCCTGCTGAAGGGTCTAGGAAGAATCCTTCCTTGCCTCCTCCAGCTTCTGGTGGCTCCAGGTGTTCCTTGGCTCATAGCTGCCTTATTCCAATCTCTGCCTTCGTCTTCATGTAGCCTTCTCCTCCTCTCTTGGTCTCCTCTTCTGTCTCCTTTAAGGACACTGTTGTTGGATTAAGGGCCCATCCAGATGAATCAGGATAACTGCATCCGGAGATCCTTAACTTAATTACATCATAATGACCCTTCTTCCAAATAAGATCACATTCACTGGTTCTGAGGATTAGGACATGAATGTATCTTTTTGGGGGACTACCATTCAATTCACTACCCTCCCCCCAACCCCCACCTGCCATCACTGCTCCACTGCAGGCTGATGTGGCTGGAACAGGCTGAAACTGCTTGGTTTACTGCTGGAGAGACAGAATATATGAATGGATAAGGCCACACCAGATGTGAAAACAGAACTCTAGCCCGCAATCTGTAAAGACCTGCTGTATTAGTCTGTATTCATACTGCTGATAACAACATACCTGAGACTGGGCAATTTACAAAAGAAAGAGGTTTAATTGGACTTACAATTCCACATGGCTGAGGAGGCCTCACAATCACGGTGGAAGGCAAGGAGAATCAAGTCACGTCTTAAGTGGATGGTGGCAGGCAAAGAGAACTTGTGAAGGGAAACTCTTCTTTTGAAAAACATCAGATCTTGTGAGACTTACTATCACGAGAACAGGATGGGAAAGACCTGCCCCCATGATTCAATTACCTCCCAATGGGTCCCTCCCACAACACAACACGTGGGAATTCAAAATGAAATTTGGGTGGGGACACAGCCAAACCATATCACCTGCCCAGGAAACCAACTCATTATCTACAGCAGGGATCCCCAACCCCTGGGCCGCAGACCCACAGCAGCCTGTGGCCTGTTAGGACCTGGGCTGTACAGCAGGAGGTGAGTGGTGGGTGAGTGAGCATTACT
The DNA here is from genome assembly GCF_000001405.40 of Homo sapiens. Taxonomy (NCBI): domain Eukaryota; kingdom Metazoa; phylum Chordata; class Mammalia; order Primates; family Hominidae; genus Homo; species Homo sapiens. Next base: position 9,949,462 of record NC_000005.10, on the reverse strand, counting down.
GCCTGGGCTCCGCCTCCTGTCAGATCAGCGGTGGTATTAGATTCTCACAGGAGCATGAACCCTATTGTGAACTGCACATGCAACGGATTTAGGTTGTACTCTCCTTACGAGAATCTGATGCCTGATTATCTGAAGTGAAACAGTTTCATCCTGAAACCATCCCCTCCCACCCCATCCCCCCACTCTTGCCCAGGTCTTGTGGAAAAATTGTCTTTCACAAAACTGATCCCTGGTGCCAGAAAGGTTGGGGACCACTGATCTACAGCAGCCAGCCCATGAAGTCAGATTGCTGCCTCTAGCCACCAAATGAGCCAAACAATAGCACCTGTAGCAACCAGCCCCAAGTGGCCAGGACTTGATTCATCACTGACAACTCTAATTTTTTCCCCTACTTCCGACTCAGGACCTGCCAGAGAAAGCCACGTTCGCTCCCCTAACCAATCACATGGGATTCCTGGCTTCTAGTGAACCCCACCTGCAGCTTCCCCCAGCCAGCAGCCTCCACTCAGGGCACACCTGCAGCCTCCCACTTTGCCACTGTGAAGCTTCCCTGATCCTCTGCCTCCCTTCAGTCTCTGCCAAACACCACTGACTGCTACTGCCTCCCATGCTATAAGTAATGAGTAAACAGCCTGTGCCTGCTCTCTGTTGCTGGTCTTTGTTTATTTCAGCCTTTGCTATCTTCTGGCTGCATCCAGCCAACATCCTCAGCTGGAGTTCTCCTTGAATATCTCTTTTCCACACCTGCAGTGTCCCTCTGCTGCCACACAGGAGCCAAATTCAAACTATCCATGCAGCTAGAACTGGGTGGCAGCGGAGGGGAGGCAAGGGGATGTAACGAGCAGAGGGCTCGGTGGTTCTGACCAGCAGGGTATGGACAGCAACAGGACCTGTGGCCAGGTGTCAGAATGCACCTCAGAAATGATTCAAGCCCCACTGTTGAATCTGCATATATTAAAAGCTCTTCATGGGTACAACCCAGGCATTTTATAAATTGTGTTGTTTTCTAGATTTTTTTCTTTAATTCTCTGGCCTTTTCTTGGTCATTGAATGAGGTTGCCTTTGGGATATAGTAGTGTTTATTTTCTATTGCCCTGTAATTATGGAACGTTGACAGGGAGGTAACTTTAGCAGTAACAGATTTTTTAGGCAAATGACTGTATGAAGCTGGTTATGAAAGAAGCAGCAAGGAGAGGCCTGAAGGGGTTAACTCCAAAGGGGCAAATCTGGAATGCGGGAGGAAAGCAAGAAATTGTGCGGGAAGCTGGAAGAGGCCATGTGGTTTGATATAAATAGCACAGGGCTGAGGTCAGGTGATGCAGTGATGTCAAAAAGGGGCCCAATTTATAGGACCTTCGTCATTCCCGTCTGCTCCACAATTCATGCTCTGGTACTAGTCTGACATTTGCCCAGTGAGACGATAATTCTGGGCCTCTGTTTTTTTCATGTGAAAGGTCCAGTTTTCATTAAAACACTCTGTAGTCCATGGGACCAACTGACTGTAACAGCCATGAGGATGGATTGGAACAGTGGTTGCCAAGCTGAGCTCCCCTGGGAGCTTCTAGGTTTTTCACGAAGTTGCTTGGGGCGGCTTGCAGGGGCCCTGGGCCGCCCTCAAGATCTGCTCCTCATGTCGATGTGAATGACGCCACATTTACCAGTTTTTCATGTTGGGCTTCTATCTATGCTTCACCTTGAAGAAATTTTCTTTTAGCTAAACATTTTGAAGACACTGAAGCAGAGTGTGCTGGGCAGTATGATATGAGCCAGCAGTCTTGCTTTCCTGTCTTTGGCTGCATTGCCAAGCTACATGTCAAATATGCATGTTTCAGGAAATACGCAACAATGGTCCTGCTCACTCACCTCGCTCCAGGGTGTTTGCAACCCCCACTTATCAGGCTGTACTTGAGTCACTGGCTAGTTACAAACAGTGTGAAAATTAGCACAGACTTAACGTAACTGGTTTTGCAGCACCTCTGGAGAGAAGGCATAACTGATTCTGATCACACAGTTGAAAAGCTGGAAATGCAAACTATTTAAAGGTTACCTTGCATGATACTGGATGGGTCACGAGGACAGCCACGACCAGAACTGGAGCCAGCCACATCTAAGCCCAGCATCCCTAGCCATCCGTGACTTCTTTCTGCACAGCTGACTTTGAACTTGTCTGCTCCCTCTGAGTAGGGAGTAGCCACTGATTGCTAATTTTTGCTGCCAACAGAACTTACACTCAGCTTCTCTATAGTGATGATAGGATTTCAGCATTGAAATTCCTGCTTGGGAAGCAAGTGAAATAAAAAACAAACAATGTCTTGCTCCCTACTTAGTGCCCTCTGTGGACCCCGGGCCTGCAGCACATATACTGACCATGCAGCCTGAAGGACCAGGGCCTCGCCTAGGGTCACTGTGGCCACTGGGTTATAAAACACAAGGGCTCCTGAAAGACTCCAGCTATCATCCAATTAGAACAGGGTAGGGGTGGATGGGAGGGAGGGGTTGCTCTCTGGCTGCTGTAACAAATTGCCACAAACATAGTAGTTTAAAGAACTCTGAGCAGCGTCTCGCTAACCTAAAATCAAGGTGCCGACGGGGCCGGCTCCTTGTGGAGGCTTCAGCGAGGATCTGTTCCTCATCTTTCCCACTTTTAAGGCTGCTGGGTGCATCATTTCCATCACTTTCAAGGTCACCTCACCTTTTCCTCTTCTGTGATACCGTTTCTTCCTCAGCCCTCTCTTACAAGGACACCTGTGCTATGAAGTTGAACCCACCTGGAGAATCCAGGATCCTCTCCCCATCTCAAGATGCTGAGTTGCATCCGCAGTGTCCTATTGGCAGAATGTATTCACAGGGCTAGCGGACTAGGACATGGACCTTATGAGGGGCCACTGTCCAGCCTACCTTACTAGGAGATTCTTAGACTGGGTGGAGTGCAGAGTGAATCCAGGCTCCAGACTCAACTGAGTCTGGAAGGGGCGTCATCTCCTCTGGGAGAGTGGGCAAGGCGAGTAGGTGTTCGAGAATCTTCTGTTCACAGCTGGATAGAGGATGACATTTTGGGCCTCTGACAGCACTGCAGGATTCTCAAAGTGTCTGGATTCTGGAAACCTCTTATCTTCTAGAACTGGAACTTGGAGAAGGGAGGGCACAAAAGCCCTGGGAAGGGGAATTTTCAGAGGAATCAGCTCTTTAGAGAGAGCCAGAAAGATGCGGGAGTGCTGGGAGCTCTCTGTGTGAGGCCATGGCCTGAGCCTTGGAAATGACACAGGACAGAGGGCCAATGGCCCAGCTTGTCTTTCACCCTGGACATCTGCTGGCCAGTCAGTTAGCGTCAGCTTCCTGGGCTGCCACAAAAATGCGATTCAAAAACACCTAATGATTTTATTTTATTTCTGTTGTTTACTCTTTTAAAATGTATATTTATTATATATTTCTAACAATTATTGCAACACATGGTCAGGGAAGAACACTTGGATAATTAAAAAACCCATAAGTTTGTCAGAACCCTGTGGCCCAGTCATCTACTAGTCTAAGGTGATACCTCTGTGTTATAGGCAAATGCGCACATTCACACCTACACACATCTTGGACATTCTGTAAGCATATAAAATATTTTGTAGTTGTTACCCAACTGCTTTATTGGGAAAACATTTAGATTTATTAGCCAGGGTAATACACCTGCAAACACAAACACTTTGATGCTTCTCACACCCGCGTTTCCTTGATCTTAGGTCTCCATGAAGGTGGTAATGGCCACCTCCTTCCCCCATAATAGCCATGAACAGTGAACAGCACAGATAATGAAGTCATGTCTCATCATGAGTTTCTTGGATAGTTTTTGGAGTTTATGAAGTGACCATAGTCTTGAGATCCAAACTATTGACTTGCAAGAATTGGGCTTTTTGAAAGCAAAAATGGTGCTTGAGATTCAATAACTTGTCTTTGACTATCAAAAGCTAAAGAAGTTCCTGTGTTCATAACATTTACGCTATGAAGATTGGATTTGGAGGAAAATAGAGCCAGATGCCTTGTCATCCCACTGGATAAAGATTCAGTGATTTCAGTAGAAGGTGCAGGGTAGGGGGATTGGAGGGAATGGGAACAGACAGGGGGCTCAGTGGTCCAAGGAGCAGAGGACTGGGTTGGGAGGAGCTGTGGGTGGCAAGGACAGGAATCAGTCCAGTCCAGTGAGCTCTGCCCAGAGCTCTGGGAGCAAAGTGCTCACTGGAGAGCCCTTGCAGACTGTCAGCATTGGAGTGGGCCCCACATGAAGGCAGTGCCAAGGGCTGTGTCTTGTCCTTCTGCTCATCCTTGGATGTCATTTAATTGTACTGTAGGATGAGGTCCATCTAAGCCCTGTGATTTGCTTTTTCCCATCTGAGTTGTTATGTGTGCTTAGCTTCCCTTTTCAATGGTCCAGGATGTTACAGGCACCCCTTCCCCCAAGCAGAAGGTGGAGCACGGAGGGTGCTGGCTCTGGGGAAGGCAGATCCCTTGCATTCATCCTCGGGTAGGAATGTGCAGAGCCAGCCTCCCGTGCTGTCTTTCAGTACACCTTCATCTCTGCCACGTGACCCTTCCCACATATCACAGCCACTTCTAGAGGTGCCCACTCCATGTATTAATACATACAAGGGCCACCTTGCCAGGCCCGCCTTCTCAGTGGCTGTCAGATGTGGACACTCATCCCAGGTTGCAGGGTTGGGAGGCTGGAGCGAGGGGACCTGCAGGGCCAGTGAGGGGCCTGGTATTCTGCAGCGTCTCCCTCCCACCTCCTTCTACCCTGCAGCCCGGGGATTTCCAGCTGCTGCAACCTCTTTCAGCTCTACTGAACTCCCTCACCCTCCCCTGCTCTTGTTTCTATAATTTTGCTCAGGCACATCAAGGATATTTTCCTGTCTCTCCCTTTCATAATTCTCTTGGTGAACCAAAACCCAAACCACAAAACAAACAAGGACAAGACACCGGGTGACAACGGGTCCTGCTTGCCACCCCTTTCCCGGAGTGAAAAATGTGACAAAGTGAGCTAGCACCGTCCACCGTGGGCTCTCGGGAGAGCCAGACATCACCTGCAGGATCCCGTGGGCCTCTCTCCCCTCTCAGGTTCCTTCACTCAGGCTCTCCTCAGTCACTATTCAGGAGACCTAACAAGACGCTCTTTTCTGTGTTTTCTACATGACTGTTTTGATGTTTTAGTCATGACTGCTGGACCTGTATTCATGACTTTTTTTTAATTGCAAAATTCTCTTTTCTAAAAACAATTCCAATTAGACTTTAAGACAATGGCTTTGAGGGCTGACTAGGGGAGCCAGTGCTGTCTGTGGCTCTGCTCTCTGGTATAATGCACCCCACATTCCAGCAACAGACCCCAGGTGGTTTGGAGATGAATCTGATTGAAAATTGGCTGGGTGGGTGGTGGTGGCCGACTGTACTTCCATGCTTTTAAACTAAATTAAGTTTTAAGTTCTAGGGTACATGTACCGGATGTGCAGGTTTGTTACATAGCTATACATGTGGCATGGTGGATTGCTGCACCTGTCAACCCATCACCTAGATATTAAGCCTGGCATACATTAGCTATTTTTCCTGATGCCCTCGCCTCTCACACCACACTCCCCTGACAGGCCCCAATGTGTGTTGTTCCCCTCCCTGTGTCCATGTGTTCTCATTGTTCAGCTCCCACTTATAAGTGAGAACATGCAATGTTTGGTTTTCTGTTCCTGCATTAGTTTGCTGAGGATAATGACTTCCAGCTTCATCCATGTCCCTGCGAAGGACATGATCTCACTCCTTTTTATGGCTATGTAGTATTCCATGGTGTATATGTACCACATTTTCTTTATCCAATCTCTTGTTGATGGGCATTTGGGCTGATTCCATGTCTTTGCTATTGTGAATAGTACTGCAACAAACATACATGTGCATGTATCTTTATAATAGAATGATTTATATTTCTCTGGGTATATACCCAGTAATGGGATTGCTGGGTCAAATGGTATTTCCAGTTCTAAATCTTTGAGGAATTGCCACACTGTCTTCCACAATGGTTGAACTAATTTATATTCCCACCAACAGTGTAAAAGTGTTCCTATTTCTCTGCAACCTTGCCAGCATCTGTTTCTTTTTAACTTTATAATAATCACCATTCTGACTGGCGTGAGACACTTCTCAAAAGAAGGCACACATGCGGCCAACAAACATACAAAAAAAAGCTCAACATCACTGATCACCAGAGAAATAAAATTCCATGCTTTTAGAAGCAGTAAACTTTAAAGAAGAATTTTCACAGAAAAATTAATCCACCTTTTATTAGTGAAAGAAAATATACCCTGAGCATGTCTGTCCCCAGATTGGGAGTAGATATCAACATAGACAAGTTTCTTTATTTATTGTACATTTCAAAATAACAAGCAGAGAATAATTGGAATGTTTCTAGCATAAGGAAAAGGCAAATATTTGAGGTGATGGATATACCAATGACACTGATTTGATCTTTAAAAATTACTTGAATATATTAAATGATCACACATACCTGAAAACATGAATGTTGATTATGTATGAATAAAAAATAAAAAATGACATGTAGCTTTAAAATAGTTGAACCTTTCACAGCAGAGCAGAGGTCCTTCTCACTGACAGTTCAAATGTCACAGGAGCTGGGTGCAGTGGCTCACGCCTGTAATCTCAGCACTTGGGGAGGCTGAGGCAGGTGGATCACTTGAGGTCAGAAGTTCAAGACCAGCCTGGCCAACATGGTGAAACCCCATCTCTAATAAAGATATTAGCTGGGTGTGGTGGCAGGTGCCTGTAATCCCAGCTACTCGGGAGGCTGAGGCAGGAGAATCGCTTAAACCCGGGAGGCAGAGGTTGCAGTGAGACGAGATTGTGCCACTGCACTTCAGCCTGGGTGACAGAATGAGACTCCATCTCAATAATAATAATAATAAATGATAATAAAAAATAAAATGTCACAGGAAAGCAAGAAGCCTTTTCTCTTCCTCTTAGCTTTGTGGTTCTGGTGCTGGCATAAAATTACTGGAACAGCTGGGTCTACTCCGGGTTTGGTTGTGGTTCATTTATTCTCTGGCAATAAGGTTTAACACAAGTCACTGAGAACAGCGTTGAGGGGCTGAGCGTGAGGGAGCAGATCTTAATTCTCAAGTATTGATCAAAATAAGGCCCCTCTGAACCGCCACTGCACTCCTCACTGGCTTCATCATCATTATTTTAAAATACATTTTTATTTTTAAAATTGATTTATTTAAAAAATGGGTATGGGGTACATATGGGATACAAGTACAATTTTGCTACATGCATAGATTGCACAGTGGTGAAGTCAGGGCTTTTAGGGTATCCATCACCCAAATAATGTACATTGTACCTATTAATTAATTTATCATCATGCACTCCAGTTTCCCCACCTCACCCATCATTATTAATGGAGCCCAGCATGGCCTCTGTTCTCACTCATGCCCAGCATCTAGTATCCTCATCTCTCTCCATTTGTGGAGAAGGCCAGAGATATTTCTGTCCAGCTCTGCCCCACCTCTGAGTAACTACAGTGGGATGAACAGAGACCTCTAATAAGTCATGTCCATGTCTTAATCCTTGAAACCTGGTGAATGTGACCTTATTTAAAGAAAGGATCTTTGCAGGTGCAAATAAGAATCTTGACATGATTTATCTGGGCTATCTGGTGGGTCTTTATATCTGGGTGGATGCTTATAAGAGACACACCAAGGAGAAGCAGCCACAGAGGAGAAGGTGGTGAGAAGATGGAGGCAGAGATTGTGTCTTCAAGCCAAAGAATACAGAGGACACCAGTGGCCGCCAGACACTGGAAGACCCAAAGGGCAGATTCTTCCCCAGAGCTTTGGGAGGGGGAATGACCTTCCCAACACCTTGATTTTGGATGGCCTCTGTGAATTTGGATTCTGTCTGTGAGAGAATAAACTTCTGCTGCTTTAAGCCACAAAGTTTGTGGTAATTTATTATGAGTGACCTAGCAAATGAATATAGTAACCCATGAAAATTGGTGGATGTCACAGAGTATCATATGCAGTAATAAACTGCATAATAGAGTAATAGAGTATCATATGCAGTAACAAATTACTGCATGTGATACTCTAATGGTGGATAGATGTCATTATACAAAACCCATAGAATGTACAACACCAAGAGTGAATCCTAATGTAAACTGTAGACTTTGGGTGATAATGATGTGTTAAGTGTAGGTTTATTTTTGTAACAAAAGTACCACTCTGGTGCCTGATGTTGATAGTGGGAGAGGCTGTGTGTGGAGGGGTACCAGGGATATATGGGAACTCTCTGTACTTTCTGTTCAATTTTGCAGTGAACACAAAACCGCTCTAAAAATTAGTCTAATAAAATGGATGACTTGCCCCTTTTGTCTTCCTTTGAGAAAGTGTGGCTCTCTTCACACTAACGGGTACAGCCTGAACCTTGTCACGCCCTGAGTATCTCTTCATGGAGGTAAGAAGGCCTTTTTTCTTTTCCCTGAGCAACCATGACCTGGAGAAACGGCTCCCTTCAGTCATGGGCAGTTCCCATAGTGGGGACTCAGATATGAGCCTCCCATAGGCAGTGCTCTGGTCAGTGGGAGAGTGAGTGCCATATCCTGAAGGGGGTTGAGTGTGTACTGGAGAACCCGCAGCACTTGCTTTGTCTAGGTCTGCGTCTGAAACATGAAATGTTGCTGTAGGACTTCAGGCAAGTTGGCTGGCTCTTCACTTCAAACTCATGGTCTCAAACTTCTCATGAGTTTCCAACATTGCCCATCAAACCTATTCCCTTCACAACTCCCAGAATATTTGCTCTTCATTCTTTGGGATAACTATTTCATGCTTCAATTTTTCTCCTCAAACCTCCCAGCACCCTATTCCTTTCTGTCCTTCTCACAACCAGGTCATCAGCTAAATGTGAGTTAGCTGTGCAAATAGGAGGAGTTAGATGGACACATCTTCATTTAGCAGCATCAAACCTAGGAACCCATCTGCACTGGAAGTACAATACTTCTCCTTTCTCCCTCTCCAGGTCTGTGTTCTCTGGAAGCCACCACTCCTACCATCTTTTCAAGGATTTAACTGCTTCTTGTTCCTTCCCCTTCCTCCTGCATCATCAGTTTTTCTCTGCTATATCATTTTTCATAGCTTACAAACAGGCAGTGGTTTTTCTCATCCTCTTAAATCTTCCTTGACCCCTTCAGGTTCCAGCAATTACCCTATCATTTTGCTCCATTTCACAGCAAAAAAATTCTCAATTCTCAAAAGAATTCTGTGCACATATTGTCTGTGCTTACTATCTCAGGCCCTGGTAATCTGACTTTTACTCTGACCTTTGTTTTAGACTGTGCCCTTCAAGGTCACCAATGGCCTTCATATTGTGTTTTATTTCACTTCTCGCTATGGTTGGGGTAGATGATGACTCTCTTCTTCTGGGAGGCATTCTCTCTTCCAGATAATCACAATCCACATTGTCTTCAGATCTGGCCTTTGCTTTTTCCCATTGCTGGCTCCTCCTGTTCTCCCTAACTGTAAATATTTGAGGGCCATAGGGCTCATCTTGGGTCACCTTTCTCTATCCCTGGGAGAGCTGGTATATCCTCATGCCTCCCACATAAATCTTCAGCCCATATGTTTTATGTGAACCCAAGACCTGCACATTCAACTATCCACTTGACATATCTGTGTGCTTGCTCACAGGCCTTTCAGAATTGTCATGACCTCCTCCCAATTTTCTCCCTCTTTTCACTCGCAGTAAATGACAACCCCACTCACCCAGTTGTTGAAGCCAGAGCCTGGAGCATCATCCTTTCCTCCTCCCTCTTCCCCAGCCCGCCATCCCATGCAAGCCATCAACACATTCTGCCATTTCCAGCTCCAAGTTGAAGTTCCAATCTATCCACTTTACCTCTGCCATCACGTTTTGTTCTAACCCTCTTCATATCTCACTGGTCCACAGAGCAGCTTTTTTATCTTTTGACTCCTTCTCCATTCTATTTTCTATAGCAGTCATCAGTGGTCCATTATGCTTCCCCCTACATCTGAAGTAAAATCCCAACTCCTACTGTATCTTACAAGGGCTCCTCTGTGTGCTCTTAACCCTGCCTACCTTGCCAACATCATCTGGTGCCACTCCATCTGATGTATGCTCCATCTGATGTATACCAGTTCCAGCCACACTGGGGCTTTGCCATTATAGGGGTGGCTGATATGGTTTGGATATTTTGTCCCCTCCAAATCTCACGTTGAAATATCACCTCCAGTGTTGGAGATGGGCCTAGTGGGAGATGTTTTGGTCATGGGGGTAGATCATTCATGGACAGCTTGGTGACCTTCTCATAGTAATGAGTGTGTTCTTGCTCTGTTAGTTCATGTGAGACCCGGTTATTTAAAAGGGCCTGGCACCACCTCCTCTCTTTCTTGCTCCCTCTCTTGCCATGTGACATGCCTACTCCACCTTCATCCTCTGCTATGATTGTAAGCTTCCTGACGTTTCACCAGAAGCCAAGCAGATGCAGATGCCATGCTTGTACAGTCTGCAGAACCAAGAGCCCCATAAACCTCTTTTCTTTATAAATTACTTAGTCTCAGGTATTCCTTTATAGCAAAACAAAATTGATTAATAGAGGGGCATTGCATATACTTTTTACTCTCCCCTAGGGTTTCTCCACCTTAACACTATTGACATTTGGGGCTAGATAATTATTTGTTGTGAGGGACACTGTCCTATGCATTATAGAATTTGTGGCAGCATCCCTGGCTTCTACTAACCAGATGCCGGTAGCATACACTCATCCCAAGTAGTGGCAACCAAAAATGTTGCCAAACATTGCCAAATGTCTCCTGCATGGTAAAATCACCCTCAATTGAGAACCACTGCTCTACCTAAAATACTCCCCACCACTCATCCCCCAACCCAACCTGACCTTTCTCTCTGGCTGCCCTTAATATTTTTTCCTTCATTTCAACCTTGTTGAATCTGACGATTATGTGTCTTGGGGTTGCTCTTCTTGAAGAGTATCTTTGTGGTGATCTCTGTATTTCCTGAATTTGAGTTTTGGCCTGCCTTGCTAGGTTGGGGAAGTTCTCCTGGATAATATCCTGAAGACTGTTTTCCAACTTGGTTCCATTCTTCCTGTCACTTTCAGGTACACCCATCAAATGCAGGTTTGGTCTTTTCACATAGTCCCATATTTTTTGGAGGCTTTGTTTGTTCCTTTTCATTGATTTTTTTCTCCAATCTTGTCTTCATGCTTTATTTCATTAAGTTGATCTTCAATCTCTGTTATCCTTTCTTCCACTTGACTGATTCAGCTATTGACACTTGTGTATGCTTCACAAAGTTCTCGTGCTGTATTTCAGCTCCATCAGGTCATTTATGGTCTCCTCTAAACTGGTTATTCTAGTTAGCAATTCCTCTAACCTTTTTTCAAGGTTCTAAGCTTCCTTGCATTGGGTTAGAACATGCTCCTGTAGTTCGGAGTAGCTTGTTATTACCCACCTTCTAAAGCCTACTTCTGTCAATTCATCAAACTCATTCTCTGTCCAGTTGCTGGCGATGTTGGTGCTATTCCTTTCTGTTTGTTAGTTTTCCTTCTAACAATCAGGCCCTTCTGTTGGAGGTTTGCTGGAGTTTGCTAGAGGGCCACTCCAGACTCTGTTTGCCTGGATATCACCAGCGGAGGCTGCAGAACAACAAAGATTGCTGCCTGTTTCTTCCTCTGGAAGCTTCATCATACGGGGGCCTGCCAGATGCCAGCTAGAGCTCTCCTGTATGAAGTGTCTGTTGAGTCCTGCTGGGAAGTATCTCCCAGTCAGGAGGCACGAGAGTCAGGGACCCACTTGAGGAGGCAGTCTGTCCCTCAGCAGAGCTCGAATGCTGTGCTGGGAGATCTGCTGCTGTCATCAGAGCCAGCAGACAGGAAAGTTTAAGCCTGCTGAAGCTGCACCAACAGCTGCCCCTAAGAAGAAAAGAGAGAAGAATCAAATAGACACAATACAAAATGATAAAGGGGATATCACCAGTGACCCCACAGAAATACAAACTACTATCAGAGAATACTATAAACACCTCTATGCAAATAAACTAGAAAATCTAGAAGAAATGGATACATTTCTGGAAACATACACCCTCCTAAGACTAAACCAGGAAGAAGTTGAATCCCTGAATAGACCAATAACAAGTTCTGAAATTGAGGCAGTAATTAATAGCCTACCAACCAATAAAAGCCCAGGTCGAGATGGATTCACAGCTGAATTCTACCAGAGATATGAAGAGGAGCTGGTACCATTCCTTCTGAAACTATTCCAAATAATAGAAAAAGATGGAATCCTCCCTAACTCATTTTATGAGGCCAGCATCATCCTGATACCAAAACCTGGCAGAGACACAACAACAAAAGAAAATTTCAGGTCAGTATCCCTGATGAACATCGATGTGAAAATCCTCAATAAAATACTGGCAAACTGAATCCAGAAGCACATCAAAAAGCTTATGCACCACAATCAAGTCAGCTTCATCCCTGGGATGCAAGGCTGGTTCCACATACACAAATCAATAAAGGTAATCCATCACATAAACAGAACCAGTGACAAAAAACACGTGATCATCTCAACTGATGCAGAAAAGGCCTTTGATAAAATTCCACATCCCTTCATGCTAAAAACTCACAGTAAACTAGATATTGATGGAATGTATCTCAAAATAATAAGAGCTATTTATGACAAACCCACAGTCAATATCATACTAAATGGACAAAAGCTGGAAGCATTCCCTTTGAAAACTGGCACAAGACAAGAATGCCCTCTCTCATCCCTCCTATTCAACATAGTATTAGAAGTTCTGGCCAGGGCAGTCAGGCAAGAGAAAGAAATAAATGGTATTCTGATAAGAAGAGAGGAAGTCAAATTGTCTCTGTTTGCAGATGACATGATTGTATATTTAGAAAACCCCATTGTCTCAGCCCAAAATCTCCTTAAGCTGACTAGCAACTTCAGCAAAGTCTCAGGATACAAAGTCAATGTGCAGAAATCACAAGCATTCCTATATACCAATAATAAACAGAAAGCCAAATCATGAGTGAACTCCCATTCACAATTGCTGCAAGGAGAAGAGAACACCTAGGAATCCAACTTACAAAGGATGTGAAGAACCTCTTCAAGGAGAACTACAAACCACTGCTCAATGAAATAAGAGAGGACAAAAAAAAAAAAAAATGGAAAAAACGTTCCATGCTCATGGATAGGAAGAATCAATATTGTGAAAATGGCCATACTACCCAAAGTAATATATAGAATCAATACTATCCCCATCAAGCTACTATTGACTTTCTTTACAGAATTAGAGAAAAACTACTTTAAATTTCATATGGAACCAAAAGAGCCCATATAAGCCAATACAATTCTAAGCAAAAAGAACAAAGCTGGAGGCATCATGCTACCTGACTTCAAACTATACTACAAGGCTACAGTAACCAAAACAGCATGGTACTGGTACCAAAACAGATACATAGACCAATGGAACAGAGCAGAGGCCTCAGAAATCATGCCACACATCTACAACCATCTGATCTTTGACAAACCTGAAAAAAAGCAATGGGGAAAGGATTCCCTATTTAATAAATTGCATTGGGAAAATTGGCTAGCCATATACAGGAAACTGAAACTGGACCCCTTCCTTACACCTTATACAAAAATTAACTCAAGATGGATTAAAGACTTAACCATAAGACCTAAAACCATAAAAAAACCCTAGAAGAAAACTTAGGCAATACCATTCAGGACATAGGCGTGGGCAAAGACTTCATGACTGTAACACCAAAAGGAATGGCAACAAATAAAAAATTAACAAATTGGGATCTAATTAAAGAACTTTTGCACAGCAAAAGAAACTATCATAAGAGTGAACAGGCAACCTACAAAGTGGGATAAAATTTTTGCCATCTATTCATCTGACAAAGGGCTAATATCCAGAATCTACAAGGAACTTAAACAGATTTACAAGAAAAAAAAAACCCCATCAAAAAGTGGGCTATATGAACAGACATTTCTCAAAAGAAGACATTTATGCGACCAACAAACATATGAAAAAAGCTCATCATCACTTGTCATTAGAGAAATGCAAATCAAAACCACAATGAGATACCATCTCATGCCAGTTAGAATGGTGATCAAAGTCAGGAAACAACAGATGCTAGAGAGGATGCGGAGAAATAGGAACGCTTTTACACTGTTAGTGGGAGTGTAAATTAGTTCAACCATTGTGGAAGACAGTGTGGCAATTTCTCAAGGATCTAGAACTAGAAATACCATTTTTCCCAGCAATCCCATTACTGGGTATATACCCAAAGGATTATAAATCATTCTACTATAAAGACACATGCACACGTATGTTTATTGCTGCACTGTTCACAATAGCACAGACTTGGAACCAACCCAAATGCCCACCAACGATAGACTGCATTAAGAAAATGTGGCACATATATAGCATGGAATACTAGGCAGCCATAAAAAAGGATGAGTTCATGTCCTTTGCAAGGACATGGATGAAGTTGGAAACCATCATTCTCAGCAAACTAACACAAGAACAGAAAGTCAAACACTGCATTTTCTCACTCATAAGTGGGAGTTGAACAATGAGAACACATGAACACAGGGAGGGGAACATCACACATTGGGGCCTGTCAGAGGGTGTGGGACTAGGGGAGGGATAGCATTAGGAGAAACACCTAATGTAGATGATGGGTTGATGGGTGCAGCCAACCACCATGGCACATATATACCTATGTCACAAACCTGCATATTCTGCACATGTATTCCAGAACTTAAAGTATAATAATAATAATAAAGACTTAACAGTTTGTATAGTACAGGCTTTGACCAATCAAAAATATGCTGGTGATATGGCTTGGGTGTGTCCCCATCCAAATGTCATCTTGAATTGTAGTTCCCATAATCCCCACATGTCATGGGAGGGACCTGGTGGGAAGTAATTGAATCATGGGGGCAGTTCCCTCCATGCTGTTCTCGTAATAATAAGTTCTCATGAGATCCAATGATTTTATCAGGGGCTTTTCCCTCTTTCCTCGGTGCTTCTCCTTCATGCTGCCATGTGAAGAAGGACATGTTTACTTCCTCTTCTGCCATGATTGTAAGTTTCCTGAGGCCTCCCTAGCCCTGCTGAACTGTGAGTCAATTAAACTTCTTTCCTTTATAAATTACCCAGTCTCAGGTATTTCTTCATAGCAGCATGAGAATGAAATAGTATAGGTGGCTTCAAGAATCCTTACTTTTATCTGTAAAATGGAGATGATAATAATTCCTACCTCACAGGTTGTTGTGAGAGTAAATAAGTTACAGTGCATGAAATATTTATCCCAGGGCCTTCCACAAACAGGACACTGTAGTGGCATCTGCTATTACTCTCACCGTTCTTATTGTAGTTGGCTCATTACCAGCCATGTCCAAACCTATCAGAGCAGCCTCTTGCATCTCAGCTTTTCTTTATCATTGTGCTCATGTTGTTTCTACAAAACACTCACAACAAGTTGCAATCATATCTGTTTTTGTTTGTGTATTTGCCCAGAACCTGTCTTTTCTCTAAGTTCCACCAGGGAAGTGTATCATGGTTGTCTCTCTCCTGGAACAAATGACTCCTACACCTCAGCCACTTCACACAATAGAAGATTAGTTCTCTCTTCATATGACAGCTCTATGTGAGTGTCTAGTGCCCAGCCTTCCAGGTAGTGATTCACGGACACGTTTTGTGAGTCCTCCTTCCTCTGAGGCCTGGGACTTTTCTGCTGGATCTTCTGCCTCCTTTCACATGGAGGGTGTGATGGTTAATTTTAGGTGTTTGCTTGACTGGACCATGGGGTGTCCATGTAGCTGGTTGAACATGATTTCTGGTGTGTCTGAGAGGGGATGTCTGGAAGAGATGAGCATTTGAATCCATAGACTGAGTAAAGTAGTTTGCTCTCTCCCATGTGGGTGGACATCATTCAATTCACTGAGGGCCTGAACAGAACACAAAGCCTGAGGAAGGTTGAAATCCCATTCTAACCAACTGTCTGAGCTGGGACATCAACCTTCTTTTTCTCTCATGCTTCTTGTTCTCAGGACTTCAGCTTAGAGTGCAATCTACACTGTCAGCTCTCTGGCTCTCCAGCCTTCAGACTACACCACCGGCTTTCCTGGGTGTCCAGCTCGCAGACAGCAGATGGTAAGACTTCTCTGCCTTCATAATCATGTGAGGCAATACCTTATAATCTTTTTACATCTCCCAATCTCTATCTCTGGATCTCTTCATGTTTCTCTATCTCCATCTCCATCTCTCTTCTTGGTTCTTTTTCTCTTGGGAGCTCTGACTAATGCAGAAGGTTTCCAATAGACCTGGCCTGGGAATATCTGACATCACTCCCACCCACATTCCCTTGGCTAGTGCTCAGTCACATGGCCATATAGCTGCAAGGCAGGTTGGGAAATGTAGTCTGGTTGTGCCTGGCAGGAGGTGGGGAAGGCTGTGGTGAGCATCTGCTAAATCTCCTTATAGGGCAGCATTGTGTCAGTGGTCCCAGCATCCACAACAGTGCTGGGCATGAAGTTGACAGTGAATAGACACTGTTAAATGAGTGATATCTTCACCTATCTAAATTTTTTTCCTAAACATCCAAAGAGCAAGAAATTAATATATATTATATATATTTATATATTAATTATATAATTAATATATATTTATTATTAATCATATAATTAATATATATTTATTATTAATCATAATTAATATATATTATTAATTATACAATCAACATATATTATTAATTATACAATCAACATGTGTTATTAATTATATAATCAACATATGTTATTAATTATATAATTAACATATATTATTAATTATATATAATATATAAAATTTATATATATATATTTCTGAGCTTCAATAGCACTTATAAGTTTTATTCCTTACTGAAAGACTCATGGAAAGGTGATTTACAATAGCAGGGTGCTAGTCTTAGCTCTGCCAGGGAGACCCAGCTAAACCTTGGAAAAGCCATTTCACCGTCTAGGGCCTCAGTTTCTTCATCTGCCCACAGAGTCTCCAGGGGTGCAGAGGTGCCGTTGGGTTTTGATTAACAGCACAGTTCTGTTTACGGAAGAGACCTGAAATCAACATTTCTGGATTGATTTTCTGACCAGCATAGCTCCCTGTGACTGACACATTCCTCAGAGTATGCTGTGATCTGAGGGAGATACATTCAGAAGAAGGACTCCCAGGCAGGTGGATAGGAATGACCCGAATGTTAAAATTTAGATCGTCTCTCCGCATCCCTTCCAAGAGCTGGCAATGAGCCTACAGTGTAATTCAGGTATATACTTTCTATTTTAAGACTTCGGTCAGCCCTTAATGATAATTCTTCAATAAATGTTGTGGTTTATATTGGAATTACAGAAAGCTCCTTGATAAGCCTTTTGCTACAGGCCTAAGTTCACGTGTAGGTGCCAAATTTAGAAAAGACAATACAGGATGCATGTTGCATAGGACATACTTTTAGCAAAAAAAAAAATTGTTGTTTATCTGAAATTCTGATTTAACTGAAAACTTTGTATTTTATGTGTCAACCTTATTCATGCAATCCTTCAGGCTTTAGCGTTGGCTCTAAGAATGTCCTGTTTCCATTTCTGATTGTTTTGGTGATAGCAGAACCCATTGCAACCTTCCATGATGTGTGAACTGTCAGAGAAAGTGCCTCCTCCTTCCTTATCTAATGTAAGTTTATTAATTGATTGTTGACTTGGTTTTTCATACCTGAATTTCCTACCTCCATTTCAGCGGCTCACTGAGCAGGCAACCCCATCTTTCTGCACTTGCACTCCGTAGGTCGTTTTACTTTTTAGCCTTGAGTAGAAGGGGTCTTCCTGGCCTTCCTTTCATCTTACTTTCCACCTGACCACAATTACTCAGCCAAGTCCCTAATGATTATATTTGCATCTTCTTTATTAAAACTGGGGTTGACCTTAACATCTGTGAGCCATGTTCTGATTTAATTAAGATACACTTGGTTTAGTCCACAACCACTTATAAATTTTAATTAAATTGGGTATATATTAAACTGAATTATTTTACAAGAACCCATGCATTTGATAAGAAATGTAATTATCTGTGTTTGAAATGTTATAGTTTTATAATTTGAAATCCTGATTTTAAAGGGGTAGTCATTTTAGTCAACTTTAGCCTTGAATAAGCATTGATGAGGCCATTTCTGACTTTGATTTTAATTTATATTAGTTTCTTCTCATTATCAGAAAATATCCATCATTCATGTATTCATTTGTCCATTCACTAGACACTGAGAATCTGTTCTGTCAGAGATTGTGCAATTCACCATTTTGGAAGCTTAAATCTGCAAATTCATAAGAATTGTCTTCTTTTGACCTTGCTTTTTGTCCCATAGCCTTCGTGAGTTAGTTGTCCACTTGGATATGAGCAGGTTATCTTTTCATTATTGATTTACATGTTCAACTCTTTCAGTATTTAGAAAAAGGTTTAGGTAAAAGTGTCTAAAATGTCTCCCTCAAAGAAAAAATATCCTCTTTCATCTTTTTTTTTTTTTTCCCCAGGGCATATTATGTCTGATTAGGGAGGTAAAAGAAGGCTGTGTATGGAAGGTGAGTGTGATGGACTGAACTGTGTTTTCCTAGATTCATATATCGAAGGCCTAACCCCTAGTGTGACTGTATTTGGAGACTGGACTTTGTGGAGGCAATTAAGGTTAAACAAATTCATAAGAGTGGGACCTAGTCCACTAGGATTGGTAGCCTTATAAGAAGAGGAAGAGTTGGCCGGGCACGGTGGCTCATGCTTGTAATTCCAGCACTTTGGGAGGCTGAGATGGGTGGATCACGACGAGGTCAGGAGATCGAGACCATCCTGGCCAAATAATGAAACTCCATCTCTACCAAAAATACAAAAATTAGCCGGGTGCGGTGGCACGTGCCTGTAATCTCAGCTACTCAGGAGGCTGAGTCAGGAGAATCCCTTGAACCAGGGAGTCAGAGGTTGCAATGAGCTGAGATCGTGCCACAGCATTCCAGCCTGGCGACAAAGTGAGCCTCTGTCTCAAAAAAAAAAAAAAAAAAAAAAAAAGAGGAAGAGTCATCTCTTTCTCCCTCTCTCCATGCATTTGCACTGAGGAAAGGCAAGCCAGGAAGAGGGCATTTACCAGAACCCAACCCCGCCGGCATCCTGATCTGGGACCTTCAGCCTCCAGAATTATGGGAAAATACATTTCTGTTGTTTAAGCCACTCAGTCTGTGGCATTCTGTTATGGCAGCCTAAGCTGACTGAAACAGGGACCCTGAGTCTGACCTTGTGGCACAGGTAGGACTTCCATGGGTGGCTGGCATGCTGGCTTGGGTGGGAAGCTCTGTCTTTATAGTAGTTTTGTCCCTTGCTGTGACAGGCTCTATCAGGCCAGCCACCTCCTTGCTCCTGAGAAGAGCACAGATTTTATCATCCGGATGGGGCATAACCTTTGACTGTGGAGTAAAACTAACCAGTCTGTCTTTGGATTGATGCATGACCTTGACCCATTACCACCGCATCTTGACTGATTGAACTTTTCAGCCTAGACACTTGTGATTTACAACCTAAGGTCCTTTGCAGAAAGATGAATGTGGGATTCAGTTTATCAGGTCCTAGGGCTTGCTTCTGTTCCGTCAGGGGAGATTTTTCCATTAAAAGAGGTATTAATCCTTTCCGTTTTTTGTGTCCCATTGAGTCTCATATGTCAACAGATTTCACAACATTAAAAAAAAAAATCTCAAGTTCAGCTTAATATTTTATGTGACTTTTATACTGCTGAGCTGTGTCCAGCACTAAAAGTGTGGTTCCTGATTTTCCCTCTGAGTCCCACCTTCTGTATTTCTTTGATGCACTAAAAATGCTCTCTGTGGATCAATGGAGAGTACCAGCCCTCCAGACATAGAGCTGTGACAGAAGATCAATGTGTGGTGTGGATGGCTGAGAAGAACCTTCAATAATGTTTTAAAAGGAATCTGCACTCCTCCATCCCCACTCCATGGAGACTGCCAGCAGCGCTCATACCAGCTAACATGCATTCTTCTCCTGAGTGTGCAAAGGTTTCATGAAACCAGCAAAGGAAAGCCGTGGTCCACATCCCCATTAAAAAGCATTTTGATTTGTAGATTATTCTGACACTTTTTCTCCCCTCTCCCATCCCTCTAGTGAGAATATTTAAAAGAAAACAGAACCTGGCACTTTGCTTAAGTCATGCAGTGAAACCTACCATGTGCATCTTATTTTCAATCTAAAAGCAATGCTTAGCAACTTTTACTTGCTGGCATCTTCTTGTGCCAAGAACAGTGAGAAGGTCCTGCTGGTGGGAACCAGAGGCTATGTTCTCCTGGCATCAGTGAAGAGGAGAAGTATAAGAGCCCCATTTATTTCCTTCTTGTTACAGTGTAAAGCAATATAAAATTGCCATCTGTAAAAGAATCTACGAAGAGGCTGCAAGCAGAATATTTGCAATCCCCAAGACCATGGATGCTGATTTTTGCCAGATCCTCAGGCACATCTTACCAGCTTTGGATTTCTCCTGGTGGAGCACTATTTGGGTAACACACTCTTAGACTTTCCTGGAAGAAAATGGAACAAAATTCACACCCAGAAAAATTTTTAGGATCCTGGAATTAGATAAAATTAGGCAGGTCTTAGAGGGCATACTTTTCATAACAGTTTATGTAGCTTTGTTTGCTAGCTAACACAAAAATAACAACAACTGTAAGACAGACAAGAAACTCAAAAAGCTCTAATGCGTTATTGAAGCACCGTGACTGTGAGAATTCCTCTGCTTGGAATGGCTTGCTTGCAGCTGTTGAATGGTGGTGTTAAGTTGCCTGTGATTTGCAGTAATGTGCCACCACGTTTCAGTCCATGGGTGCTCAGTAGTGCGAATGAGGTGTTGGATGCACCCAGAGGTGGTGTCGCCTGTTCAGAATGTGAGAGGGAAGTGGGAGGGGGCAGGGCAGAGGAGGAAGCATGGGCTGTTCCGCACAGGTAGAGGAAAGGTGTGTTTTATGCCAGGGAGAAAGGGACATGGGGAAATGTGGTATCTGTTAGCATGAGTGGAAAAGAGCCAAGTGCAGTAAAGAAGTATTTTTCTGATTAAGAAATGATCATCTGCAGTGAACGTTTATGGCTAATAATGATTTAGAGAAGGAAGAGCTTCAGGTCACACAGGACATTGGAAACAGACCTTCTGATATTTCTTTCTAGGGCACCACAGCCTGATTCACTCTCTAGAGCTGCTCTGATCAATATGGCAGCCCCTGGCCATATTGATCCTACAAACTCTGCTTTGACTAAGTTCTAGAAGAAGGGGAGTAGAGGGGGAGAGAAGAGGTTTGCTTCTGAGGGAGGGAAGCAAATGCAGCCTGTGAAACAATGTTCTCTCCACTCTCCCTTGAACTACTCAGCATGTTTCCTGTTTAACCTTGGGAATTATTTACAAAACTGAAAAGTTTCACTTGGCTAACTGAAAGTAGTTGTTGTTTTTTTAAAAAAAGATGTGTGGTGCTTTTATCATTTTAGAAAGATAAAGCTAAATTCTTTCAGCCTTTATTTAGAGATAAACCTCTAAATCCTGGTACACACATATTTTTTAATCTCACCCCAAGGAAATAGCATTCTGATCCTTCATGAGTCATCATTCAAATTCAAGCAAACATCCTGCTGGTTTAGTTCTCTAACCTTAGTGTCCAAAAGGTATTTCTATTTGGCGAATCACCTTGGGAGTTTCCCACCTCTCCTTCGGGCATCACCTTCTCTTCTGGGCGACAGTCGTGCAGATTACACTGTTCCACCAAGAGTGCCTGTTCTATCACTGTGAACACATTAACATACCATGCATGATCATTACAGAAGGCACTATGGGAACCACTTGGTGAAAGGTGCTTTGTAAAAAATAATGCTACATAAATGGAAGATCATTATTACTAGATTAGCTTCTGTCTTTCAGACTAATTATTTCACAGTCTTCCAGAATGCACTGCATTTGCCATCTGCTGGCCCAATTACCTAAATGATTGAGATTCCTTTAAACCTGGTCACACAGCTCCTCATTCTTCTTTGCAACTCCCATTTTAGTGTTGTCAGCAGATTTTAGAGCCCTGTTGTTCAGATCCTTGTCAGAGCCACTTAGCTTTATGATGCGTGGCAGTGCTCCTTGAAGGAGCCAGTGACTCTCCTTGCTAACTCAAAGTTGAAGGCAAGGGAGGCTCACTTTAGTTTCTTAATCTAGTATTTGCTTAGTTTTTGTCATCTACTATTTTGTTCTCTCTCTTAAAGCTTTACATGGAGTCTTTTTGAAAAATCAAATAAAGCTACATAACACCTGCTTTCTTACATTTCTTCATCAACTTCGATGGAGGTGAATAAATTTTGACTTCTTGGCCATATTCTTTAAAAATTAAATTCTGGAAAGTTAGTTAAGGATGATTTCTTTCACATCTGAACCCTTTTTGCTTAAGCCATTTTTTCTACATTGTTTGCTTTACTAGTTTTCAAATACTATTCTTTTTCCAGATTAGGTCTCTAGAAGAAATTTTAATTTGTATTCTAAATTTCCATGGTTTGTTTAATTCTCTGGTAGATATGTATATGCATGTTTAAATCAATCTGAATTAAGCTTGAAATTGGACATTGAGCAGAGAATCGTGGCATGGCCACAGGAATCCCCACTCTTACCACAGGGCATAGGCAGTTGCAAGTGGGCACTAAATGCTTTGGTGTTGAGTTTTCAGGTAACTCAGGTTTATTTTGGACACTGCCATTGCCAGGACCTCTCCTCTTCTTGCAGATATTCTACTCTTTACTCTGCCTTATTTGTTAATACAAAACAGTGATTTCAAATCAAAGTAAATAATATCATTGGTGGCTCCATGCTGTATGCCAGTCATAGGCTTAATAACTATGGATGATACACAGCATTTTTAAAAAGTATCACTGCATGTTCCATTGCCATAGTCAAATAACAATGAAAGCCTTAAATATCAGTTTTTGATATCAAAACACTTCATGGTTAATTGGTGAATTAGTCATGCAAACAGTAATTACTGCAGGAAATCTAAGAAGGGAGAGATCAATTTAAAAATTATTTTTCAAAATGAAATGGATTTTAATTGTTTTTTATGCTTGCAGACATAATATGCACTTATTATAAACAGTATGCAGAGATGCTAAAAAGAATGAACCAGAAGTCATCTGTAATTTCTACATAGAGGTAACCACTATTAACAATTTAGGATATAGCCTTCTAGGCTTTTTTTTTTAGTTGTTGTTGTTCTATAGTAACATATCAGTTAGTCTTTGCTTCATTACAAACCATCTCAAAGCTTAGTGGCTTGAAATGCTAACCATTTAATAAATGATTCTGTCAACAAAAAGACTCAAACTCTGTAAAATGTTTGAAAAGATTTATTCTGAGCCAAATATGAGTGACCATGGCCTGTGACACAGCCCTCAGGAGGTCCTGAGAACAAGTGCCCAAGGTGGTTGGGGTGCAACTTGGTTTTATACATTTTAGGGAGGCATGAGACATCAATCAAATTACATTTGAGAAACACATTGGTTCAGAAAGGCAGGACAACTCAAAGTGGGAGGGGCTTCCAGGCTATAGGTAAATTTAAACATTTTCCTACTGACAATTGGTTGAGTTTGTCTAAAGACCTGGGATCAATAGAAAGAAAACCTTCAGGTTAAAATAAAAGATTGTGGAGACCTGGGTTCTTTTGAAGTCTTACAGTGGCTGCCCTTAGAGACAATAGATGACAAATGTTTCCTGTAAAAGGTGTTAGACTCCTACTTAATCTCCTGAGGATTGGGAGGCCTGGAAGAAAAAGATCTAGCTATGTTAATAGAGATTCTTTACAAATGTACATTTTTACCCAGAAAGGACAGCTTTGCAGGACCATTTTAAAATATGGCAAAGAAACATGTTTTGGGATAAAATATGTTGACTTTCTTCTTTGTCACATAGTGTTATATGCCATATTGGATTTGGAAAGTAAGTCACGATATATAGGGTTAAATAAAACCCATCTGGTGAGAATTTATAGTTTGTAGGGTATGACTCCCCAGACCCCTTAGATAGGAATTTGGGCAAGATAAAAAAAATTCAGCATAGTCTGCAATTATTAAGGTTGCAATTTGGGCTGGGTTCAGCTGGTCAGTTCTGGTCCAGGCCAGTCTCAGGTGACTGCAGCTGTTGAATGGTGGTGTTAAGTTGCCCATGATTTGCAGTAATGTGCCACCATGTTTCAGTCCATGGGTGCTCAGTAGTGAGAATGAGGGGTCAGATGCACCCAGAGGTGGTGTCGCCTGTTCAGAATGTGAGAGGGAAGTGGGAGGGGGCAGCTCCCCTCAACCTCAGCTGAGCTTGGTCCTGTGTGGGCAGTGAGCTGGTGATGGGTCTTGACTAGCATGGGTAGGAGAGCTAAATCCTTTCTTCAGTGGCTTCTCTTGCTGCACGAGGCTGCTTGGTCTGGTTCACAAGGCTGTCTCAGGTTTCAAGAGCAGCAGAAAGGCAACTCCAATACGCAAGCACTTTTCAAGTCATTGCTTAAGTCATGTTTGCTATTGTCTCACTGGTGAAAAGGAAGTTGCATGACTAAGCCTAGAGTCATTGTGAAAGGAACCATAGAAAGGCATGAATACAGGGAGGCATGAACAAACTGGGCACACTACAGAAACTAGATCTACATAGTTCTAATATTTTAGCACAATGAGATCCTACTATACACTGTTCTAGTCAGGGTTCTCCAGAGAAATGGAACCAATAGGAGGTATATGTATGCACAGAAAGATATTTATTATAAGTAATAGGCTCACATGATAATAGAGTTTGGCAAGTTTCAATATCTCACTCACTCCAGAGTGAGTTGGCAAGCTAGAGATTCAAGAGAGCTGATGGTTTAGTTCCAGCTCGAGTCTGAAGGCCTGAAAGTCAATAGGGCTGACAGTATAGTTTTAGTCTGAAGGCTGGCAAGCTCAAGGAAGAGCCAATGTTTCAGTTCAAGATCAAAGGCAGGAAAAAGTCAATGTCCCAGTTCAAAGGCAGTCAGTCTGGAAGAATCTTCTTTATTTGGGGTAGGGGCAGTCTTTTTGTTCAAGTTCTTGGATGACTGGTTGAGACCCACCTACATTAGGGTGGGCAATCTCTTTTACTCAATCTACCAATTTAAATGCTAATCACACCCAAAAACATCCTTACAGAAATACCCACAATTATGTTTGAACAAATATCTGGGCACCTTGTAGCCCAGTCAAGTTAACATATTAAAATTAACCATCACACATGCTATTGCAAACTCTGCTTTTTAATTTTAAATATATGTCAAGGACCTTTTTTTGTGTCTGTAAATATAGTTGGATATCATCATTTCTGATGGCTGTATAGCTTACTATTGATATAATTTCTATTCTATTGACAAACATTTCTTATATTTAATTGTTATATTTTATAATGAAATTTGATGTGTATTAACAAACTGTCCTCTGAATAATTTTTACATTCTCACCAGAAAGTTTAAGAGTTTGACTATAATACCTTCACTAACACTGACTGATAGTTCATTCAGAAAATATTTAGTGAGCATCTACGTGCACGGCAGTATTTCAGGAGCTTGGTATGCTCCTTAAAGTATCAGAGCAGGCAAGGTTCCTGCCATCATGAGACTTCCATTCTAGTGGCAGAAATACACAGTAAGCAAACAAACACATAGCTCAGCAAAGTACCATGACAGGTGGGGCAAAGGATGTCAATGGTGTAATATTATATAAACATAAAGGGGTGGAGGTAACTATTGTAGACAGGATCATAGTTTTTATTTTTGCCAATCTAACTGCTAGAAGGAGAAATCACTTTAATTCTGAGTGGGAAAGAAAAATCATATGAAGAAAGTTGAATTTGAATTGGATTTTGAGGTATACAAAATAGAGTTGGGTTAGACACTTGGCACAAAGACTTCTGGAGATTTTGCATGACCAAAATTGTTAGGGAGAAAAACTCAGGGGTGATTAATGAAGGATGGGTCAATCAGTTCCTTAAACCAATTTTAGAGAAATCAAGTAGGTGTCCCGTCCACATTTATGTCAAGCTGTCTGAAAAATGTTATTGTGTTTCTGGGTTAAAAAATTATGTATATTGAGTTAACACCACCTGATTATACTATGTGTTTCCTTTTCTAGTGACATTTGATCATTTGGCTTGAGTAATCTGAATTTTTCTATTGATGAAACTGAATTTTCAAGGTAGAAATTTTGTTCCCTAATTCAACACTCAGCTCACAATAGGTTCCCTCAAATGGTAAGAATGGATGGTTGGGCATATCTCTCCTACCACAGATGTCAAGTCTGTATTTTTTAGGTCACAGTATTTGTAACTTCATGTTTCATCTTTCAAAGCATAACTATTTTTTGTAAAATGGTTCCTGCAATTAAGATACATTACCACCAGGAGGCAGTAGTGGGCCCTCATTGCACCATATAAATCACCATATGGTGAGCAGGGTAAGAAATCAGCAGGTCATTTTATTATAAATGTTGATTTTTAAAAATTTGAGTTTAACATTGGCCTGAATAATCTGTAATTACTTTAGAGTGGCATGTAAAAAAAGATAAAAGCCTAAGATGCAATTTGATGCCTTTCTCCTTTCCAACATGTTTCTAGAGATTGTGATTCAAATGATCCTTTGTAATTCACCATGAATATTTTATAGCAAAAGCCCAATGAGAACTCATAGCAGATCTGCATTTCAGTCTGTTGGTGCCTCAGGCTGGCCAGGGCTGGTGTAAATGTGGTTGCTCAGGGCATAGCTGCTCATCCACTTCAACAGGTTGAATTTTGCTACATAGCAAAACTCAGTAGAAAAAAATTAATCTAATCAGTATCGCATTTTGCCTGTATGCATATAAAGTCCCTAGATATTTCCTAATTACAAGTTTTCTGTGTTTACCTCTTTGTTTTTAGAAGAACTCATGACTCAATGTCCCCTTTAGCTATTTTTCTTCTTTAACTAGAACTAAGTATAACCCAATTTGCATTGGATGCTTGTTTACTTCTCCAGCAAGCTCTAAAGGGTAGCTAGAGCTTAATATAGAAGCTTAGAGTAGTAAGAAAGATGACTTTTCAAAATTGTTTTCTTCAAGGTTTATTATATTTCTTATATACAGCAAACCATTTTGAATAAAATTAAATTATGGTTTTGAAAAAGAGATTTAAACTGGCTTTTGTTATCATCATTAAAAAAATTCATTATCCAAATACCTAATGCATGCAGGTCTTAAAACCTAGATGACAAGCTGATAGGTGCAGCAAACCACCATGGCATATGTATACCTATGTAACAAACCTGCACATTCTGCCCATGTAGCCCAGAACTTAAACTAAAAAATCAAAGTAAGTATCACCAACCGACCCTCCCAGCCTTCAGTGTGCTCTGAGCCTTAGGGGCAAGAAGAGGGTTTGTCAGATGATAAGAAGAACAAGACTCAGCTGCTGGGCTTGTGAAATCTTATCAGGAACACTGGGACAGAGGTCAAAGGGGAGCAAAGGCAGGAAGCACCCACAGTGGCCTCTGAGGCTAAATGGGTGCAAGCTGATGTCTGACTTAGTCTCCCACAGATATACAGCTTCCATCCCTATAGAGGCAGGTCTACCTGGGCCACTACCTGGACCACCTTGGTCTGAGGTGGAATACTCTGAAGTTCAGTGGGTCAGTCACTCATTAGGACCATTCTCTTTGGAAACAGGCTCTTGAACATCTGCCCAGGACCTCCAAGTCTGCAGTGGATGGAGGCCACATGCTCTGACCCAGCTTCTGGGCATCAGGAAACACCACTGAGTTCTCTTGGTACATTTATGGGAAGAAGCCAACATCACTTTTCTTATTCCTTCTTAAATCTTTGACCCTGGGGTTGTTCCCCCAAGAGGCTTTAAACAGGAATAAGGGGGCTGATTGGCACCAGAGCTGGGTCTCCTGTTGTGCAGCCTCAAACAGTGAGTTGGTAGCAATAAGTGAAACTCATGGAAGATGTTGAGGCCAAGCTGGACACCAGTGAGCACTTGCTGGCTGCAGGAAGCCTAGCAGCCCGATGGTGACTGTACATCAGAAGGGGACACCTCTAGACCCTGCCCCTGTGGCCTTGGTGTTGGGCCTGGTACCATGATCGTCATGGGAGAAGGTACTATGGGGGTGGGGTGGGTCTTTGCATATAAGCCTTGGAGAACTGGAAGACTTTGCGACCAGTGCAGAGTTCTTGGTGCAGGGTTAAAGTCTGCGAATACAGAGCTCCTCTATGGGGAGTGGGGAAAGCAGTCCATTTATGCTGAGATTTTCAGTGGCATCCACAGGAATCAGCATCTCTGACAGCTGAACAGAACGGCACTCACACTCATGCTGTGTGTGGCTCTCAGAAACGGCTCCCAGAATGGGGTGTCACAAACCACCGGAGAAGCTCTGGGTGCTAAAGCCAGTTGCCCCCTAGTGGGGTGTGTGTTTTAGGCTGGACAGTATGCTGCATTCTCCTTCGGACTTCAGCAGCAAAATGCCAGGTCCACCTTCTTTGAGGAAAGAGTGAGACACTGGATATATAAACATACAAACGGGCAATGGTCAGACTATGCGTAAAAATAGAACTGCCCCGCAGCCTGCAGCAACCAGTCCAGAAAACCAACTTGTTATCTGCAGTAATCAGCTCAGAAAGCCAGCCTGCTCTCTAGAAGTCAGACTTGTAGGAAGTCAGACCACTATCTCTGTCCTTTACTATTATTATTATTTTTTTTTAGAGATGGGGTCTCACTCTGCTGTCCAGGCTAGAGAGAGCAGTGGTGCAATCAGAGCTCACTGCAGCCTAGAACTCCTGGCAATCCTCCTACACCAGCCTTCTGAGACTATAGGTATGCACCAACACACCCAGCTAATTTTTAAATGTTTTTTCTAGAGATGGGGTCTCTCTCTATGTTGCTCCAGCTGGTCTTGAACTCTTGGCCTCAAGCGATCCTCCTACCTCAGCCTCCCAAAATGCTAGGATTACAGGCATGAACCACTGCTCTCAGCCCAGACCACTATCTCTAGTAACAATTCAGGAATCCAAAAATGGCATCTCTGGTAATCGGCCCAAAATTATGAAGACTTGATTCACAACTCACAGCATTCCTAATTTTTTTTTCTGACTTTAAATTTAGGACCAACCTGAAAATGTCAAATATACTTCCTTAACCAACCAGATAGTATGCCATCCCAACCAAACCTTTTTTAGAATACAAGAGTAAAAGAAAATTCAAATCATGCTGTTTCCACTACTCAGATGGGAACATACCATTGTTTTGTTCATTCTTTCAACTTTTGAAGTGTATGCTGTTTATTTTGTTGAAAGAGCTAAGTGCAGGTGACCCTGGTGAGAGAGGGTGACCCTGGTGGTGTAGCCCAGTGTGGCACACTGCCTGCATCCCCACTGCTGGGGCTCTGTGCATTACTGCCCTGTCTCAAGAAACCAGCCAAAGACACCATTCCATAGAAAGGAAAATCAATAAGTAATTTCTTTCCCCCATGTAGCTCTGTGGGTGGCAAGGACAACACGCAGTCACCCACGACTGTGAGGGAGAGTGCCTTGAGCGAAAGGCAGTACACCACGTGGCTCTAAATGAAAATAAAGACAAATGAGGAAGCCAAAAAAGGCCCAAGCAGATAGATGCTGATGTGCAGAGAGGCATTTTTCATTGGCATTTAATTTTAGTTCACCCAGGCACTTTTGCATCACGGCTTGGTGGTGGTGGAGCTATAATTCTATTTACAGATCAACAACACGGAATATTTTACAGGGTAAAGGGTGAGTCTCGAATTTCTTGAATGAGAATCTTTCCCACGGCCTCCTCATCTTTCCCAGTTTGGAGAGTACTTTACAGAAATTGCAAGTAAGTGATGAAATGTGAGTGAGAAGGGAAGAGAATTCCTCCTGTGTTTTCGAAATGGAGCTTGCCACACTGTCACCTATCATTTTTTGCTTCCAAAGCATTGCCACTTAAACGGAGCTGATTCAGCTGAGTTTGAGGAAACGGTAGCAACATCAAGTTAAAGAAGCTAAGTGATTTTTTTTTGGTTGATACATGCCTATTTCTTTGTTGCTTTCTGAAATAAGTATTGTAGTCAACGCTCTTCATGGAGTGGAAAAATATTTAGTCCTAAAACATTTTTCAACATTTTGACTAATGGGATCAGCCTAAATAAATGAACCCAAAGGCCTTCAACATTTTTGACAAGAGTAAACATTCTTTTTCCAGGAAAACTAGCAAACTTTTTTTCTTTCTGACTTGCTTTTCCCAGTAGGTGCTGAAACAACATTGCAGATATAACAAATATTTTTAATTATATCAAGATGATGAAGCAACGGAAAAGTTCTAGAAACAATCCTTAACTCATTAATAGAATTAATGGTTGCTTTAACGTCGTCTAACTCGTTTTATTTTCTCTGTGCTGAGGAGCATGGAATTGTCATGTAAATAATGTCACATCTGTGCAAACAATTTAAAAGGTGTTCTCCAAATTCACATTTAAGCTGTCATTTCTCTTATTTTGTTAACGGTTGTCTTCCCTGAAGTTTTGGCCCACCTCACGTGGGAACTGCATGTTGACCCTGTGTGGAACCCTCATCCCTGTGTGTGTTCGAGAATCTGAAGGGACTGCACATCAGTGCCTTCTGGAATTAAGATTCTAGCAGCAAAGACAGTTAGCAAAGGCTCGTATAAATTTCCTTAGTGTTCCTAGCTGGCTTCGTAACACTTTTAAAGGTAATTTAATTTTTCTTTTCGCATTGGCTGAGTTTGTTTTTATGTCTTAATGTTTGCATCCCGAAGGTCCCTGTGGCCTCCTAGCTTTCAGATTATTCTCTGTGGACCTGCGTTAGATATCTTTGCATGCAGAGGCTGGTAGTGGCAAAGGGAAGTGATTACTAGGGAGTCATGACCATCCTGATCCCTAAAGCAACCTCTTAATTCAGTGCTTGCATTCAAATCCTGCAGGCTGGATGCTGAAACTTAAGGGTGTTCTCTTGTATAGTAATGCTGTTTCTAGCATTGCGTGTTTTGTGTAGCTATTTGCTATTGGCTTATACACACAAGTAGATGTACAGGCACTTGTGTTCGCATGTACACACACACAAACACACACACACACACACACACCCTTCACTGGGAACTTAATTAGCAATGCAAACCCAAACTATTCCTAACAGAACAAGGACCTATATTTCAAATCTTTTAGATACTACAGGCACATGTTTCACATCATTTCATTAAATTCAGGCCTAGCCACTCAGGAATGCAGTTTCGTTTGCTGGATGGTTATTTCCAAGGTACCTTTTGTTCTGCATTCAAATCATCTTAAATAAGTGCACAATTTATGGTTTCGCACAGTGGCATCATCGGTCTTGCTACAGTGCCGTATCCATCAGGCACTCGTATTCAGCACCAAAGTAACTGCAGATCAGGTTTTAGCATCTCAAGGATGTGAGGGCTGGAAAATATTTTCTCCTGTCACTTGAGTTCTGGAGGAATAACATGATAACAGTTTTCTAGCTCTCTTCTCCACGCTGCATTATTAGAGAGGTTGTTGTCAGTGGAGGCATTTTAGAGTGTGGACTGTGTGTGTGTGTGTGCACGTGCACACACGAGGCGTGCAGGGCAGTGGGGAAAGGAGGTTCAAAAGGACACAGCAAGCTCAGATACAAACCAAACATCTAGGTTTAATGATAATATAATTGAGATTCTGCTTTTATAAATGTTGGATATTTGGACTAGCTTTCTTGTTTCTCTTTCAACATAATTTTAAACTCATGCAAATGATCACATAGTACTGCTTACTGGCTGCTCACAGCTATCAGTTTCTGGTGGTCATACTGGCCAATTTGCCAAAATGGTTTGCATTAAACATATTTCACCTTGCCTGCCCAGATAACTGATTTCAAACCGTTCAGTCAGTGGCGACCTGTACGAGGTACTTGTCAGGGGTCCCTCTTGGCTGTACCATGATAACTCTGGAAGAGGGGTGGGGCGGGGTGAAGCGGTGGTGACTTCCCTCTCAGGGAATTTATTGTCTATGTGGGCACCACTGGGAGGAAGCTTCTAGTCCAGTGAACATTTACTGAGGACCTGCTACGGAGCGTAACTGTTACTTAAGGTAAAGGCTCCTTGGAATTACCTACATTATTTATATATCCCAGGTTATTCATCCAAGCATGGAGTGATCTCGAAGAGCATCATGACCATTTGCATTTGCTTTAAGACAGTTTGTCAGGAAAATGAAAGACTATGTGTAATGTTATTTTCCATCACTTCTGAATAATTTACAAATATGCCCTCGGAAGGAGTCTAGAGAGCTGTATGAAAATTTCCGATGGCACAGTGACACCACACAGTTGTCATCTGGAGCTCGTCCTCAGGTGGAGGCATTTGCAGAGTATGTCCCCTTTCCCCCTCCTTATCTCACAATAGAGAAGATGGACTTTTTTTTTTTTTTGAGACAGAGTCTCACTCTGTTGCACTGGTTAGAGTAGAGTAGCGCCATCTCAGCTCACTGCAACCTCTGCTTCCCAGGCTCAAGTGATTCTCCTGCCTCAGCCTCCGGAGTAGCTAGGATTACAGGCACACACCACCCACCATGCTCGGCTAATTTTATTTATTTCTTTATTTGTATTTTTAGTAGAAACGGGGTTTCACCATATTGGCCAGGCTGGTTTTGAACTCCTGATCTCAAGTGATCCTCCCATCTTGATCTCATAGTAATCGCCTGTGTTGGGATTACAGGCATGAGCCACTGAGCCCAGCCAGGCAGATGGACATTTGAAAGCCTAATTCGCTGGTGGCGAGATCACAGAGAAACTAATGCATGTTTCTTCTTCCTTACCCATTCAGTAGTCATTCATTTATTCTATGATTACGGTTCGAGGAACCATAGTGAGCTATAAAGATAAGAGATCATTGTTTTCTGGAAACTTGCCAGAATTTTTTTTAAATGTAACAACATATGTCCTTCAAGATAGCCTTTTGCAAACAAAACAGAGCAATATTTGCATTTAGAAATGAAATGTGTTTAACTCATTATTTTATTCATGCTGTGCTGATTGAGTGTCTATTACATGCCATCCTCTGTTCTAGGCACTAAGAGTAAAGCAGCAAGCAAACTGCCTCTCTTTCTACCCTCTCCCAGAGAACACTCTAGATAGTAAAGAAGATAAAGCACAAAAAGTAAAATACCAACCCCAGCACTTTGGGAGGCCAAGGTGGGCTGAGCTCTTGAGGTCAGGAGTTCGAGACCAGCTGGCCAACATGGTGAAACCCCATCTCTACCAAAAATATTTTAAAAATTAGCCACGTATGGTGGTGTGTGCCTCTATCTCAGCTACTGGAGAGGCTGAGGCAGGAGAATCACTTGAACCTGGGGGGCGGATGTTGCAGTGAGCTGAAATTGTACCACTACACTCCAGCCTGGGTGATAGAGTGAGACTCTACCTAAAAAAACAAAACAAAACAAAACAAAACAAAAACGTAAAATACCATGTAGCATAAACACTAAAAGGAAAACTAAAGGAGGCATGGGGGCTGAGGGTGAGAGGGACCCTACTGTGGTTGGGGGTGAGGACAGGCATTCTCACCAGGGAGATGTGAGCAGGACCGGGATATCCTGAGAGAAGCCGGGCAGTAGATACTTAGGGAGGAGTACCTTGGCCTGGAGTGGGCCAGTGTGAGACTGCTGAAGAGAGTTATCTTATAAAAGGACTATCTGATGCTCCTTTGTCAGCCAACAGGCAGCCCTGAGGGAACTGCCCCAGAGCCGCAGATTTCAGTCCAGTTCTCCTTGTCCTGCTTGTACACAAAGCCGGAAGCATCCCTGGGTGAAATTGTGCCTTAGTAATTTTTTAGTATGAATGGAGATTAAAAAACAACACATCTTGTCAGATGACCATAATCTCCAATTCTGGGACTGTCCTGAAATGGCCAGGTTGTCTGGAGTAAGACATTAATCTTCCTGGCTCCATTTTCCTTCTGTAAACTGAATTGGATAAGATGGCCTCTGAGGGCTCCAACAGTTGTGAGCATCTCTCCGTGTGAGCACATGTGCCTGTCTCCATGTAAGTCAATGTACAATCTCCATGTAAACCTCATGCATCTCTCCATGTGAGCCTGTGTAATCTCTCCATGTGAGCCTCATGCATCTCCTCATGTGAGCCTCATGCATCTCCTCATGTGAGCCTGTGTAATCTCTCCATGTGAGCCTCATGCATCTCCTCATGTGAGCCTCATGCATCTCCTCATGTGAGCCTGTGTAATCTCTCCATGTGAGCCTCATGCATCTCCTCATGTGAGCCTCATGCATCTCCTCATGTGAGCCTCATGCATCTCCCCATGTGAGCCTGTGTAATCTCTCCATGTGAGCCTCATGCATCTCCTCATGTGAGCCTCATGCATCTCCCCATGTGAGCCTGTTTAATCTCTCCATGTGAGCCTCATGCATCTCCCCATGTGAGCCTCATGCATCTCCCCATGTGAGCCTGTGTAATCTCTCCATGTGAGCCTCATGCATCTCCCCATGTGAGCCCGTGTAATCTCTCCATGTGAGCCTCATGCATCTCCCCATGTGAGCCTGTGTAATCTCTCCATGTGAGCCTCATGCATCTCTCCCTGTGAGCCTGTGTGCATCTCTCCATGCGAGCCTGTGTGCATCTCTTTATGTGGCCCCACGTGCATCTCTCCATGTGAGCCTGTGTGTATATTTTCCTATAAGCTTGTGTGAATTCTCATCTTGTAAGCTCCCATTTAGCCTCTGTACACACATATCTATTCTCCTCTTGTGAACTTGTGGCAATCTCCTCTAGTAAGCTTGTGCAGTATTAAAAACTTGTGAGCCGTGGAGGTTTATAATAATGCATCGTTGAGGACCCAAGGCCTTTGAGCACTGGTGGGTGTGCACTGCCTGTAAAAATGGTCTTTCCTGGCCGGGTGCAGTGGCTTATGCCTGTAATCTCAGCACTTTGGGAGGCTGAGGTGGGCGGATCACGAGGTCAGGAGAGCGAGACCATCCTGGCTGACACGGTGAAACCCTGACTCTACTAAAAATACAAAAAATTAACCAGGAATGGTGGTACGTGCCTGCAGTCCCAGATACTTGGGAGGCTGAGGCAGGAGAATCGCTTGAACCTGGGAAGCGGAGGTTGCAGTGAGCTGAGATCATGCCACTGCCTTCCAGCCTGGGCGATGGAGCAAGACTCTATCTCAAAAACAAAAAACAAAAACAAAAAATAAAAGGTCTTTCCCTAGAGCTTTCACCCAGGTGTGATTCCCCAGAGCTTTCATCCAGGTGTGATTCCCCAGACCTTTCATCCAGGTGTGATCACCCAGACCTTTCATCCAGGTGTGATCACCCAGACCTTTCATCCAGGTGTGATCACCCAGGGCCAGGAGATCAGGGATTGTCTGTCTGGGCACCACCTGTGGGCAATGCCTTCTTTGGGCCCTCACCTGGGCCTTCAATAGTGTGTGCTGTCCAGACAGTGCTCACACTGGCTTTCTAGGAAATGGTAGCATTGGTGTTTGTTCTGGTCAGCCTGGCAAGGCCACATAACCACTGAGCTACAGGAGAGGGAGCCCCTTGAAAGAGAAAGACAGTCCTGTCATCCATTTCAGTAACCCCTGGCCTGGCACACAGTAGACACTCACTAAATATCACCACTGAGGACTGCCCTGAACTTGGTGCCCGATACCCAGCTCTGATGTGTTCCTTGCTTGGTAATTGTCTGGTCAACAGTAAGAGGTGGTTGATGGTTAGTTATGCCCTCAAACCTTGTGTGATGATTAATACTGAGCGTCAACTTGATTGGATTGAAGGATGCCAAGTTTTGATTCTGGGTGTGCCTGTGAGGGTGTTGCCAAAGGAGATTAACATTTGAGTCAGTGGGCTGGGGAAGGCAGACCCACCCTGAATCTGGGTGGGCATCAATTAACTGCCAGTGAATATAAAGCAGGCAGAAAAACGTGAAAAGCTTAGACTGGCTTAGCCTCCCAGCCTACATCTTCGTCCTGTGCTGGATGCTTCCTGCCCTCCAACATAGGACTCCAGGTTCTTCAGCCTTGGGACCTGGAGTGGCTTCCTTGCTCCTCAGCTTGTAGATGGCCTATTGTGGGACCTTGTGATGGTGTGAGTTAATATTACTTAATAAACTTCTCTCTCTCTCTCTCTCTTTCTCTCTATCTCCTATTCTGTTCCTCTAGAGAACCCTGACTAATACACCTTGCTACTAGTCTGTAGTGAAAGCAAGTCTTGAACAAAATTTGCTATCTACAGAAAGCAGGCAAGATAACCTTGAGCCTGATAAAACCTC
The DNA here is from genome assembly GCF_000001405.40 of Homo sapiens. NCBI lineage: Eukaryota > Metazoa > Chordata > Mammalia > Primates > Hominidae > Homo > Homo sapiens. Next base: position 9,912,991 of record NC_000005.10, on the reverse strand, counting down.
AGCTCTATGTCCTTCTAGAAGAGTTCTGCACACCTTGTGGGGAAGGCTCAAAGACACATATGTGACGGTTTTCCAGTGACTGAACCCTGCCATCCTACTAGGCTGCAGACATCCAGAATCTTCCAATTTAGTTTCTGCCAATAGGACCACTTAGGGTTAAGCTGTGGTGCTGTCCCCATGGGTGTGGGCTTCAGACTTAGAATCTGCTCTCTAAACCCCAAAGCATGTTACTGTTTTGAGGAAGAAAGATTAGGAATCCATAGCTCTTTAGGTATGCGCAGACATTAACATTTTAGTGGCTCAAAAGGAGTCCCATTTTCTCATTGGCAACTTTCTGTTTTAAAAAAAATAGGTAATCTAACTTGTATGAATATGCTTTTTCTTCACCTACTCCTACTCCCTGGGGATCCTCTAAAGCTATTTTCCTTATGATTGAAATGTGTTGTGATTGAAAATGTTATTCATCATAACCCTAGCAGAAGGCAAGTTCCCATTTCAAAATCTTTTGTGCTGGAGGGAGGTGAAAAGTGAGGGTGCTATGAGCAGGAGGGTTGGGAAGAATATGGAAGAGCAGAAGTGGTGGTTGGGGAGAGAGGGTTGGAGCCGAGGTGGGCGGCATGCCACATGGCATTGGCTGCTGGCCGTGTATTTGATGCAATATCCATCTACCATTTTCCCAGAGGAGCTGCTTCCTACCCATGGGGTCCAAGAGCTCACAAGGTGGAGGAGGAGAGACCCATGGCTCTCCCAGGTGGGGGACAACAGTCATGACCTATCTGAGAGTTCCCAGGAGAGTGTGCCTGCTACCACATCTCAGTTCTGCTGGGCTGGGGGAGGCCAGGCAGGTCCTTGGGCTACTTTTATTCCTAAGTAATGACTTCCATCCCTGCCACAGAGATGTGCTTTCTGTGCAGGGACCCTGCCCAGATCCCAGGGAGGCACAGTATACAGTGGTGCTGCTTTGGTACCCAGCTTCTGGTGTTTCATTGAATGGAAGCCAACACCCAGTGTGTGTCTCTCTTCCCTCTTCAATCCCAAAAGGCACTGAATCTATTTAACTGTGCATAAATTGATTATGAACTTGACATCAGCAATCTTATGTATGTCTTAATCTTGAATTGTGTACACTGGTCCTATACCCTAATACATGTGTTAAATTAAGTCTAGTCTAAAGCTGGTTCCTTACGTATTTTAGGTTCAGCCTAAAGGTCTCTCTGTACATAGTAGACTGTAACCTAACTGGATGTGGAAACAGACCATAACCTACTCTTGTGCCAATCATTTAGTTCTGGCCAGTCACCAAGTTTTGGCAAAAGGCAGCCAACTATTGAAACCATGTTCAAATAAGGCAAACACCAAGCTGTAAACAGTTGGCAGTTTGTGTACCCACTTCTGTTTTCTGTCCATCAGTCTTTGACCATGCAGCCACACTGCAGCCTCTCTGAACATATTCTGGTTCCAGAGCTGACTGATTCATGAATTGTTCTTTACTCAATTAAACTCAATTGAATTTAACTGGTCTAAAGTTTTTAACACGTTTGTAAAACTTTGGATTGGATTGTAAATATACATTTTTTTACAATTTTGTGGTTGTGTAGTATTTTCGGTTGTTAATTTCAGTGTGTGATTTCTTTCTGTATTTCTTCTTTTCGTACCTTCCATTCCTGCCAGAACTGGTTCTGTCTGATTTTTTCCAGTAAAAACCCTGTGGCAGGATAGAGAATGAGAAATAACCTGCAGTGTGAGGAAGAGGATTTAGGGTATTATCATTGACAGAATAATAGCCCCTTCAAAGATGCCCATGTCTTAGTCTTTCGAATCTATGGATATGTTGCCCTATGTGGGAAAAAGGGACTTTGCAGATGGGATTGACAATCTGGATGGGGAGATGACCCTGGATTATCAGCGTGGGAACATGGTAATCACAGGCATTCTTACATGAGGGAGGAAGAGAGTCAGAGGAAATAGGATGAAAGAAGCAGAGGTTGGAGGGGTGTGACTGGGCTTTGAAGATGGAGCAAGGGGCCATGGCCCAAAGAACGTGGGCAGCCTCTAGAAGCTGGAAAAGGCAAGGAACCGATTCCCTCCAGAGTCTCCAGAAGGAACACTGGATCTTAGCTCAGGGTGGTGCATTTGGGATTTCTGATCTCCAGAATTATAACAGATTTGTGTTGGTTTAAGCCACTATGTTTGTGGCAGTTTGTGGCAGAAGCCATAGGAATTGATACAGACACCACAGAGGAACAGGAGACTCACATATGGGGATTAGTGGTTCGCCCAGGCTCAGGGGACAAGGGCAAGGCAGAGGCTGATGAGGGGTTCGTGGGTCCTGAGACCTTAGGCATCCACATCAGCTTCCCAGGCTCTAGAGGGGAGTGGCTGCAGTGGGGGATCCCTGCAAGGGGGACTCTGGGTTATCCTGGCCCACAGGCCAGAGATCCGGGGCAGGAAGGGTGTCTTAGCAGCATTCCATACTTGACATGTTCTAAACTGGACCTAGGCTTCTCTTCTTCAAGCCCAGTAAGTGGTATCTCTTCCAGCTAGTGCCTCAAAACAGAAATCTGGAAACTTTTCTCACTGAAGCCTCCTCCTTACACCCCCATGTCTGACCCATCACAGAGACTTGATGACCTGGCCCCTCCCTTCCTCTCTGCCTCTGTCTACTCTAGTCCTTCCTACTTCTGTTTATCACAAAGCTCAGACTGATTTTCACGTCAGGGCCTTTGATGTCCCTGTTCTGGGAAATTCTTCCCTGTGGCTTGCTCCTGGTGGTTTCTTGGGTCTCTGCTCAAATGTTTTCTTGCAGAGAGATCTCTGACCCAGGGCCTCTGCAAGCCACCATTCTCTATCACGTTCCTTGTTTATTTTCTCTGTAGTTTTGAACCCTACCTGAGATCGTCTTGTTCAGTGCTGATTTTCCTTCTTGAGGACAGAAAGACAGTGGCTATTGTGCCCTTTGCTGAGCCCTTCGCTGAGCCCTTCATGTCTAGAGCAGCATCCGGCACATGTGGCAGGTACTTTGTGTTCTAAGCATCTCCAGAACCTTGGGGGTGCTTCCATTTCCAGCTCCATTGCCTCTCTCTGTGTGACTGATGGTGGGAGATGCTTCAAAAGGAAGCAAATTTAAATTGTGTTTGGGTATAGTCTGCTAGAGTAGTTATTCTCAAGCCGGCCTGTAAGGAGAAAGCTAAGGCCCAGAGAGGCTAGAGCTTTCTGAATAGAAGATCTCACATGCCTAATATAGTGTGGGGCAGTTAATACCAGGTAGTGGAACTCATTTGTAAATTAAGTAAATCCCATATCTGATAACAAACATATTCTATAGATTTAATGAATAATGTACGGTTTCACATGCTTTGAGATTTTCACATGCTGTCAAATCGAAGATTGCGTGCTAGGGAAAGTAGGTAAGAAATGTATAGCTTAGGACTGAATTATTTTGGAAAGCTTCTTGCTTCCTTTTAGTAAATATAATGAGAGATAAATCCTACATAGATTTAAATTTAAGTAAGATATTCATTTCCCTTCCAACGTAGCATAGCTCCTTCTTCACTCTGCCCCAGTGGCTTGAGAATATAAATATTTTCTATCAACTACTGCTACTGTCCATTAGTACCACCACTGCTACTGTTACAGTACTGCTATTATTACTACTACCGCTACTGTTATGCTACTGCTATAACTAGTACTATTGCTACTGTTACTACTGCTGCTATTACTACCGCTATTGTTACTACTACTGCTATTACTGCCCACTACTACTGCTACTATTGCTACTACTACTGTCTGTTACTACTACTCCTGCTACTGTTGCTACTGATGCTGCTACAATTGCAACTACTATTTCTATTATTACTACTGATGGTCTGTACAGTTCTTGCATAGTCTTCTTTCCTTCTAAGGCCCCACTTTATTTCTTTTATGGGTAGAGTTTCTTTTCTTACATTTTGTCTTTTAAACTTTTTTTATTTTGGAATAATTAGAAACCCACAGGAAGTTGCCAAAAAAAAAATGTACAGGGAGACCTGGTGTAGCCTTCACTCAATTTCGTATTATGGTAACGTTCCATATGACTCCCATGTAATATCAAAACCAGAAAACCAACACGGGAATTTTCTTTTTTTTTAAATTTTGAGCAAGAATAGATTCATTTTTAAAGATTTATGACTTTTATTTCCACCATAGTATGCATATATATATATATATATACACACACACATATATATGTATATACACACATATTTACACTGTTTGAACAAGAAACTGGTGCACAATTTGTTGGTCATTAGATAGTTACATGACTGACTCTCAGAAAATACACAGCATATTGGTTATTGATGGTACGTTTCCTGTGTCTTTGTCATTTTCTTCTCTCATCCTGTGGCAAATCTTGGTGAAATGAATGTCGCTAGTGGAAAATAGGGGATCAATACATTAGGGGTCTGGAATTTTTGTGTTCAACTATCATTTCTTTGCTTTTTCAATTGTTTCCAGGTGTTACCTATAAGGTATTATATTGGCTTATGCCATTTTCTAAGAAAAAAATCTTGAAAAGCTTCATTGTAGCGGGATGAAGTTTTTTTTAACATGGCAATATTTTATTAATATAAAGAAATGGAAGCAAAATGTGATTTCTTCTGACTAAAAGTATGCTGTCATTTACTATGAAGTGATTGGGCTTTGGAGCTCCTCTCTTTCTTGCCCCCCAGGAAACTAGCACAGCAGCCTCTGCAGAGGGACTTCAGTAGAAGATTTTCTAGGTAGCATCAGAGCTACACTCCGGAGTCACTAGATGAAATTTCTTCTGGAGTCTTCCTTTGGAAGTTGGCAAAGTTAGGTTCCTCTTCATCTGTGCAAAATGGCCACGAACAAAAAGACCTCACGAGACCTCTTTCAAGCTCTATGAATTTTCTACTGCAGTTTTTCTGGCACAAGGCAAGACCTGAAGTGTTCAAATTGCTCATTCTGATTGCTTCAGTAGTCTCATCAGGTATTTCAATAGGGAGCATTGTCATTTCTTCATTCCTTGTGTTTTGTCCTTCCCACAATCACATTGCCTCACTTTGGGGAGCAGGTGCATGCACCATTGGCACATAAACTCATCATTTAGAAGCAAGAGACCCAGCAGGCACAGACTGAAGGGGCATGGAAGGTGGCCCTCCCAACATGGGAGCTATGTGGGGATCAGAGGGTTTGGAGTCTAACTAGTTAACTCACTTGTTCTTACCCCTGGCTGCACTTCAGAGCAAAAATGCCAACGCATTGGCTCCACCCAGACTACTTAGTTCATAATTCCCATGAGACAGGGCCTGATGTTGGCTTTTTTTTTCTTTTTAAATTTTTAGGTGCATATAATCAGGGTTGACAACCACTGACCAAGGTGTTGAAAACAGTATATCCCTAACAAAATAACTGTGTTTTGTTTAGATTCTTTTATTAGAATACTGGGTCAAGCAGATTGTGTGATGTCCACTTGAGGGAAAGATCAGGAATGGGGAAGACATACCTTTGCCCTAGGATGTGGGTCAATGGAGAAACGGTGTTCATTCTCACAGGCAGTGTAGGGCAATTAGCAAAGTAGGTGATGCTCCAAGTCCGGTAGGGTTGCAGTTCCAGGCAGTCTGCCCATTCCAAACAATGCCCCTGTCAGAGGATGGGGTATAGAAGCAGGCTCACTTTGCCAGGAGACTAAGTATGATCTCCAGCTAGCTGAGCTGGATTCAGGAAGGGAGGTGTTGTAGGAATGGGAGACATGCAGTATGGTTACTACCGCTTCTCACTTCCTGCTTCCCACCCTGGATGGGATTGCAAATCCCTGTCCATTCTCCTGGAGGCCACTCTCCAGGAAGCAGCAAGGAAGGAGAGAAGAGGGCTGAGAGTCAGCCTTCAGTGCTTAGGCTTCACCTAGTGGGAAGCAGGATGGAATTCTGAATACTTTAGTAGGACTAAAGCTCCTATACTTGGAATTTCTTACTATGACTGCCCCACTGGGGTGGAGTTTGTCTGTGAGCAGAGACCTCTGGGAGAGATCCTGCTCTGGAGAGACAGAGAAGGAGATGTTAGGGCTGAGTCTCCCTCCCAATCCCGTAAACACTTTCTTAGCAATCCCACACTACCACTATTAGTGGCACTTATTGTGTGTAATTAATTGGCTTCAATAATTTAAACCATCATCTTATCATTAGTCTCTTTGCCTCCTTTCTAATCAGGTTTCATTCTATCATGAGTTAAAAAAAATGCAAAACCCCAGAATATACAAGTGGGAATGCTGAGTGGTTTACATTGGCCTCTAGAAGATTTGACATCACTCAATTGAGCTGGTCTCCTATAATCACAATTCTTCTCTCCTCACCCCAACCCTGCTAGAAGCCACTCATTAATTATAGATAGAAATTGTAAAGGTTGGTTTTTCTGCCTTGCATTCATCATAGAGATGTATAGTAAATGCAGCAAAATTGCATTGCTAAACTTGAACTTGTCTTAAATCAAACCAACCTCTAAATTATCCTTCAAACTTCTCCCCATCCCCCTTCCCTAAATAACTGTTGGCCCATAGACCAACTTTTATTGATGACATATTAAATTAGATTAACTTTATTTGAGCTCAGACTGAAAAGGTTGGAAAATAGATTTTATTACCCACTCTAGGTGAAATCTAGTGTAATGTATCATATTAATATGCTATTTGATTCTCCAACTGAGATAAAGAAACAGAATTATGTTGGAGAACAGAAATCACATTGCAATCTCAGTCTGAACCAAATCATCAAAACTAAAGGATACATTTCTGAAATACAAAACGAAGAAAGAAGAAACAGCCAAGATGGGGTCCACAAGTCTCTCCTGTCTGGGGGATAAATCTGTGGTTTGGTACCTTGGAACTCCAACTCCTCCCCATTGTTCTTCATTAGTTTCTTCCAGGCCTTCTCACATTCTTTAAATCCCTGTTTTGGCTGTCAACCTGTGCTATATTCCTGGTCTTTCAGCAGAGGGTGGAACAGTAAGTGCAGCACTTTGGAGAGCTCTTGACCTAACGCCTGAATCTAGACAAGAATCTGGGCCAATTTAGGATCATAGGACTACCATGTAGCAGGCTACAGCAATTCCTCATGATATGGAGACTACAGCAGTTTTTTTCTCTTAATCTGTTTGGCCAGCTTCCACAAGTTTCCTCCCCCCTGGGGCTCAGTATCTTGGAAGAATAATATCTGGTAAAATATATCTTCCTGCATGCCACTGCAAGAATCCTAATACATACTGTTAAGATGCAGTACAATTCACTGCTCATCCTGTGGAAAACTGACCAGGTTCAGTAAATTCTATAAGCTCCTGAATACATTTCACATGCTTTTATTTTATTTCTTTTTTAATACTCTTCCTTTCTTAATGTAGATGAAAGTTTCTGACATATCTTTAGTTTTTTCTCTCTGAAGAACTTTTAACATTTCTTTTGAGGCATGTCTACTGGTAGCAAATTCCCTCAATGTTTGTTTGTCTGAGAAAGTGTTGATTTCTCTTTCATTTTTTGAAGAATAATTTCGCAGAGTACAAAGTTCTAGGTTCATTTCTTTTTCTCCCAACATGTTAAATATTTCATTTTACCCTTTTCTTACCTATATGGCTTCTGAAGAGAAATTGGATGTAACTTTTCATATTTGCTTCTCTATACATAAGGTTTTTCCTGCACCTCTGGCTTCTTTCAAGATATTTCTGTGTCTTGATTTTCTGCCATTTACATATGACATGCTTAGGTGCAGGAATTTTTTGGTATTTTTCCTGTCTGGTGTTCCCTGAGCTTACAAGATTTGTGGTTTGATGTCTAACATTAATTTGGGGGAAATTCTAAGCCATTATTGTTTCAAATACTTTTTTCTTTTGTGTTCTCTATTTCTTCTCCTTTTGTTATTACCATTACATGTACACCTTTCATAGTTGTTCCACAGTTCTTGGATATTATGTTCTGTTTCTTTTGCTGTCTTTTTTCTCTTTGCTTTTCAGTTTTTGAAGTTTCTGTTTTAATGTAGTCAAGCTCAGTGATTTTTCTCCTCAGCTGTATTCGGTCTACTAATGAGCCATCAAAGGCATTTTTCCTTTCTGTTACAGTGTTTTTGTTCTCTAGTGTTCTTTTTTATTCTTTCTTGGAATTTCTAGATATCTGCTTACATTATTTATCTGTTCTTACATGCTATCTACTTTTGCTATTAGGGCTTTAAGCATGTTAATTATAGTCTTTTTAAATTCATGGTCTAATAGTTTCAACATCCCTGCCATATCTGGGTCTGTTTTCAATGCTTACTCTGTCTCTTCAGACTGTATTTTTTGCCGTTTAGTGTGCCTTGTCATGTTTGGTGAAATGTGGATGTGATGTACTGGGCAAAAGGAAGTCTTGTAAATAGGCCTTTAGTGTGTGGTGGGTGGTAAGATGTAGGACAGTGTTTCATAGTCCTATGGGTAGGTCTCAAGCCTTAGATGAGACAGGATGGATGTCGGGGGCTGGATTTGGGTGTCCTTTCTCCTATATGTAAGGCTAGAGCTAGCTTGATTGGGGGTATTTTCCTTCCATCAGGTCAATTAGGCTCTGATACATCCCCAGAAGATCAGGCTTTGGTAAAATACTTTATCTTGCAGTCAGAGCTTGTTAAAAAGAGCAACAGGGATATTTTCTGGGGGAAAGTGGTGGCTAGGAGGCAGGACTAACTTGCAGTTACCACTCAGATGGACAGAGCAGGATGTGGAGACCCACATAATGAACTTTTGCTCCAGGAACTACTGCAAGAATGTACCAGAAAAGCCAAAAGAATCCACAGACCCTTTGAAGGAGGTGGATTGCCATTGCAGGTTCTGTGGGACAGCTGAGGAACTGTGAGTCTGCTTGCTTTATCAGCTGGGAGGCTTGTAGCCTGGGGCAGGTTCTCAGGCCTGCTCACTTGCTGCCTGGAAGTAAACTCAGTGCTGTTTGTGGAGCATGGTGAGAGTGAGACTGGTCTCTCTAGCTCTGGGCTGCACAGGAACTGAGTGAGGCCTGTGGTTCCTGGCTTTCCTCCACTTCCCTGGCAACTTGTGTGACACAACAGAGGCAGCCATAATCCCCTTGGGAACACAACTCTGTTGGCCTAGGAACCATACTCCCATCTGTCATGGCAGCTGCAGCAAGCCTCACCCAAGGAGAGTCTGGCTGGAGGCCAAACAACACAAAACCAGCACACTTAACAAAAATATAACCAATGACCCTTGCAGAGTCCACTTAACTCCCCTCCACCAGAGCAGGTGCTGGTATCCACAGCTGAGAGACCTGAAGATGGATCACATCACAGGACTCCTTGCAGACATTCTCCAGTACCAGCCCAGAGCCTGGTAGGTCTGTTGGGTGGCTAGACCAGTATTCTAAGTGAAGTAACTCGGAAATGGAAAACCAAACATCATCTGTTCTCACTCATCAGTAGGAGCTAAGCTATGAGAACACAAAGGTATAAAAATGATACAATGGACTTTGGGGACTTGGGGGAAAGGGTGGGTGAGGGTTGGGATAAAAGACTACACATTGGGTACAGTGTACACTGCTTAGGTGATGGCTGCACCAGAATCTCAGAAATCACCACGGAAAACTTATCCATGTAACCAAGCACCACCTGTTCCCCAAAAACCTATTGGAAAAAATAAAGGACAACATGGATGAAACTGGAGATTATTATGTTAAATGAAATAAGCTAGGCACAGAAAGACAAACATCACATGTTCTCACTTACTTGTAGGTTTTTTCACTTACTTATAGAGGTGGGGATGGTTAATGTGTACAAAAAAATGGATGAATAATACCTACTGTTTGATAGCAGAACAAGGTGGCTATAGTCAATAGTAACTCAACTGTACATTTTAAAATAACCTGAGTGTACTTGGATTGTTTGTAACTCAAAGGATAAATGCTTGAGGGGACGGATGACCCATTATTCATGATGTGCTTATTTCACATTGCATGCCTGTATCAAAACATCTCATGTACACCAGAAATATATACACTTACTACATACTCACACATTTTTTTTTAAAAAAGAATTATCTGATATATTTCAAAATGGTTACTTTTCCCTTCTACCTGCTGAAGACACGAGTGATTTTTTCTCCGATAGCCACCGTGAGAACCTGGTTAAGCTCCATGAGATTAAAATTTTCAAAGGTGGTGAGGGGTATGGGGAGGTGGGGACTGATCACTGTATTGATCTGTAGTTTTTAACTTTCAGACCTGTCCACGCTGAGTTTATAGCAACTGTCAATTACGGTTCAGATTTTCCTACCCCAGCGTGACTTTCCAAAGAGGCTTCTGCTCATGGATTTCTGCTCCAGTAAGTTGTGATTTTTAGTATCTGCCTGTCTCTCCAGTTTGTGGGGCAGAAGTTTGCCCTGTGACCTCACCTCTATGATGGATCTAAGAAGAATTTTTGATGTTTCCATTTGTTTAGCTTTTGACTTGTTGTTAAGGTGGAGTGGTGACTTCCAAGCTCCTTATATGCTGGACCAGAAATTGAAAGCCAAATTTTAGAAGAAATTATCTCATGGGTTGCTGGCCAGCCAAATGACAGCCATGGCTGGGTTAAATTTGGGGGTGTTATGTGCTCTACAGGGATTCTGCTTCCAGGATCTGGGGAGACAGCAGCCCTCTGGGAAGAACCAAAAGCACAGTAACATTCTAGAACATGTCCACAGTGTGGTAGTTGACCCACTCAGTTCATGTATGCCTCAATAGCATACTGTTAAATTATAAACTTATGAATAAGAAATTTGTAATAAAGATTTTATAACCTCACAGGTCTTTAGTAAGGCTAAATAGTAGAGCATGGTATTCAATGACACACTATGTTTAAGAGCTATACAGCTATAATAGGGGATAAAAGACTGGCTTACCCCAGGTGTCAACTGTAATATCTTGGCATGCTTTGCCCGTGATATCTGAGGGACAGACGTAACATCAAAGAGTAATGGAAGATTAACAGGAGTAGCATCTTGCAGTCCAGCGAGTCCACTACTCTGAGATCCTTTCAGTTCAGTCCTGCTAGGCTGGACGTGGGAGGATGATAAACAGGCTGGTGCTGAAGCAGCTATTCATGGTTAGTTAAAGCAAAAACACATGGGTGGAGTAAGTGAAGGACAATTTATTATATGGGGCATTTGCCGAAGCTATTTTTCTAGCATAGGTGTGCTTTCTTTTTCTCCGGAAAATAAATAGAACAATCTGACTTCCAGTCTTCTTGCCTGTCTCCGGCCTGGATCCACATCGCTTCATGCTTGCGCAGTTGAAATTATTTTCCCACAGAGTGCCTTACTTTCTGTCTTTTCCCCTTCCAATTCATTCTTCTTACTGCAGGAAGATTTATCCCCTAAAATACCCTGCTTATGATGTACACTTCCTTTTACAAAGCTTTCAAAGGCCCCTATTATACCCAGAGCAAAGTGTAAACTCAGTCAGTATTCTAGAGCTTCTACATTCAGACTACAATTCTTTCAATATTTTTTTCTTATTGTTTCCTGGCTTCTACTGTCCCCTCTGGCCACATTGTTTTCCAGAAGAATGAACGCCCCTGTGCATACCTAAACTTTTGGCCATGCCCTCTTTTCTAGGCTGATGGTTTTCTCTCAGCCCAAACAGGTTCTCTGGTAGCTTAGTCTCACCAGAGTCGCTTTCTGTAAGAAGTCTTATTTCATCTTTACTTTGTCCCCTACAATCTCTAGCAATTCCTTTTTTCTGCTGCTACATCATCTCTAGACTGTGACATTCATTTGTATTGAGCTGTTTGCCACCTTTCACAGCCATTTGTTCTGGTGTTTAAGTCAAGTTCAGGATCAAAGCTCCTGGAGAGATGCCTACCCTTCTCTGTGGTCTTCTCAGGGTCCAACCCAGGGCCCTAATGGGAGGCACTAGTACCTATTTACTGAGTGAGTGAAGGGTACAAAGCAAAGCAGCTGCGAATCTGAGCCAAGGTATTGTGTCCTCCGAGGACGACTAGTGCAAACAGAGACACGCTTCTCAGACAGGGTCTGTTCCTGATCAACTGCTCTGTTGCGGCTGAATGCAACCAGCATTATTCTTCCCCACGCAAATTAAATCCGTTTGAGCAGGAGGCCGAGGCGGGCGGATCACGAGGTCAGGAGATCGAGACCATCCTGCCTAACACGGTGAAACCCCGTCTCTACTAAAAATACAAAAAAAAATTAGCCGGGCATGGTGGCAGGTGCCTGTAGTCCCAGCTGCTCGGGAGGCTGAGGCAGGAGAATGGCATGAACCCGGGACGCGGAGCTTGCAGTGAGCCGAGATCACGCCACTGCACTCCAGCCTGGGCGACAGAGCCAGACTCCGTCTAAAAAAAAAAAAAAAAAAAAACCATTTGAGCAAGTGTATCTTAGACTATAGAGTGATATCCTATACATAATGAAACATATAACTCTGGCTTGTGTAAATCGACTGTACTCTGCCCCACTGGCGGGATGTTTCTGTGTTTAAGCTTTCTTGAATGCAGTGCTGCATTTGATACTGAAACAAAATGAAATCTTTTCTTGTATTTTCAAGCATGAACATTTAATCCATAAGAGAAGAAATTCAGTAAGTTAATGAATATAGGGTAAAATATTAAATCTTACTGGTGGCTGAAATCATGCAAATTTTAGTAGCTAACATCTGTGGAAAGGATAGTGTTTGTCAGAGGTGGTTCTAAGAACATGTCATGAATTAACTAATCAAATCATCACCATGATGCTGTTGAAATGGCCTCATTATCATTATAATCTCCATTTGATCAATGAGGATCTGATGGGTGGTAAGTTGTGAAGCTTGTGTATAAAACTAAGACATTTAGTTTCAGAGAGAGAACATATCTGTACCCAGTATACAATTCTGCCTCTCTGAATTCTGCCTACTTCTGTCTTGCATGACTGCCCTTATGAAACTAAACATTTCCTTACCATATGACCAAGCGAATGCACTTTTGGGCATTTATCTTAGAGAAATGGAGACTTATCTTCACTCCAAATATTGTATGATTCAGCTTTATTTGTAATAGAAAAAAACTGGGAACAACCAAATCGATTGATTCATTTGGGGACCGGACCACAGGCTGGGAACCACCTTCTAATGATGTAATCACCAACTGGACTCCATTGGGACATCTCAACTTTGTTGCTCAAATAGAGGTTCTGTAAGATTATAAGGCAATTATGTGTCTTTTCTAGACCATTAAGCAGGGAGAAAAAAAGCACTTTAAAGAGGGCACTGTTTTCATATCTATTTACATAGAGTCTAGTTTTTGTCTTCTTGTGAGAGGCTGCTTATTTGAAATTTTCACCTTTAGCTATTTTTTTTTTTTTTTTAGACAGAGTCTTGCTCTGTTGCCCAGGCTGGAGTGCAGTGGCGCGATCTGGGCTTACTGCAACCTCCACCTCCCGGGTTCAAGCAATTCTTCTGCCTCAGCCTCCCGAGTAGCTGGGATTACAGGCACCTGCCACCACACCCAGCTAATTTTTGTATTTTTAGTAGAGATGGGGTTTCACCATATTGGTTAGGCTGGTCTTGAACTCCTGACCTCAGGTGATCTGCCCACCTCAGCTTCCCAAAGTGCTGGGATTATAGGTATGAGCTACCACACTCGGCCACCTTTAGCTATTTTGCTGTCTTGTGTTCAAATTGAGAGGGAAAGAAGTTCCCCTTGGTATACTATTTCAGAAAACTTGGGCTGTATAAGAGAGAGTGGAATGGAGAAATGAAGACAGTAGTCACTCCTGTCCCTCTGAACTCCTCTGGTGGTCATACATCCTGAGTGCCGACTCCATCCTTAAGCTCATACTGTTGTCTGTCTATAATTTTCCTCTAAAATATTTTAGTATAGATGGTGTAAAATATTTATATGTGTGGGCTAGTTTCACTCTATGTCCTAAGGGTGGTTAGTTGGCATTTATAGTGTCCAAAAGAGAAATACACATTCCAATGGTAGGCACGGTTAGCATTTTAAAGATAGCCAACAAGAATTCGCAGTTCCATGTCCACTTCCCGTCTTCAACGACCTCCATCTGTAAATGTCTGCACTAGATAATTGTTAATTAGCATGAGGATTATTGCAGATAAGTTTTATTGAAAGAAATGGGTGGTGCGCATGATCGTTGGAATATTGTGGGTTGGTTAATCCCTGTCCAGGCCCCTCTGCCTGTCTGTGGACAGGGGTGCAGGAATCTGGAGGGCCCAGCTGCTACATGTTCTCCTTTAGAGTATTGCCCTTCATCTAGGGCTCTCTGTTGTTTTGCTTCCTGCCTCTTAATTGGGAATTCTGTGTCCTGATCATGCAAGGGACTTGAGGAGTTTCTAAGTGGCCAAGACCTGGGACCTTGCAGAGTTTCTAGGAACAGATTGTTTCATGACTGCTTGCCAAGAAACATTGATTTCTGTGGCAGAATTCTGTCTGTAACCTGCTTTCATGGTGATGTGCCATCTGGTGGTGGCAAAGCCATGTGCGAGAGGCCTCAGTGTTCTTTCTCATAACTAGAGGCCAGCAGGAATAGGCCTAGCTTAGGGAAGGTCTCAAAACCACGTACACACGGCTTCTACCTCGTCCCTCTCTCTTAAAGAATTTCCTCTGATCTTGGAGCCAGGAGATGAGGAGGCTTTGTGAGGATAAGATTAGATTATTGTGCCATAAAATTGGAAGTACTTTAAAATCTGGGCCCCTTTGTATTTGGGAATTCTGTACTTCCTACTCAGTAATTTACTGTCACATTTTCCCCACTGATAATAGGAGGAGACACACTTAAGGATGTATATTTTTCAAAGATGGTTATTTTGGAGCTTAAACAGTGTTAGATTATCGTGAACAATTATTAGGCAAGGAAAATTAGCCCACTTAATTAACCTAAGATATGTATTAATAGTTTAAAGCTTAGTCATTAGGAACACAAGGATGCGTTGGGAACAGTAACAGTCTTACTTAGAATTCCGAAGTGAGTCCCCGTGTCATTAGAAAATACATTGTTATGAAATTCGGAGGATTAATTAAAGTTAAAATTTGAGGGACTGTATTGAAGATGCGTCCTTGGCTCATGTTTCCTCTTTAAGTGTTGTGTTTATATATCAATCTAAAACAGAAAATGTGTTCTTTAATCTGCAGGCTCTTAGTAATTTTATCTTTCTCTTCAGATAAATTGTTTGGTTGCTTTCATCATCTTCCTAGTACATTTTGAACTGCTTAGTCTACCAAAGTAGAAGAATCATGCTTAATAAAACCAAATGACTTCTTCTTTCAAATGTTAATTCAGCAAAAAGAAAAAAGAAAGAACCCTCCCAAGAATGGGAATGTATGATCTCATAAAAGTTGTCTTTAGGCAAAGATATAATACATGCCTACTTTGTCATTTCAGGAAAGTTATTGAAGTCAAAAACAGCCAGTGCCTAAGTTCTGGGTATAGACGTGCGGTTAGCCTAAACTTACACACACAGTAGTGGATTGTTAACTTGAACACACCAGTTGCAAATCTAGGTGTTTTTGTTTGTTTTTTGTTTTTTTGTTTTTTGAGATGGAGTCTTGCTCTGTCACCCAGACTGGAGTGCAGCGGCGTGATCTCGGCTCACTGCAACCTCTGCCTCCTGGGTTCAAGTGATTCTCCTGCCTCAGACTCCCGAGTAGCTGGGATTACAGGCATGCGCCACCACGCCCAGCTAATTTTTGTATTTTTAGTAGAGACGGGGTTTCACCATATTGGCCAGGCTGGTCTGGAACTCCTGACCTTGTGATCTACCCACCTTGGCCTCCCAAAGTGCTGGGATTATAGGCATGAGCCACCGTGCCCAGCCATATCTAGCTGTTATTTTGTTTTGTTTTGTTTTAAGAAAACCTCATGTTACATCCCTTTAAATAATTAGCTGGAGGAAAAGTTAAGATCATCCTTAGTCTTCTGGGTAAGTAGCCATTTTTCCTGGTGCCCTAGAAATTACATAACACAGATGTTTTCATGGTAAAATGCTTGAGTGCAGAGGCTAAGAGACTTGCCTCTCTGAACCATCGACATTCATTCTCTTCTCCTGGATGACTTCTTGGGGATCGGAGCCAAATTGTTGTCTCCCTTCTTAGCCCCAAAGTTGTCATGCACACAGTAGATGCAGAAGCAGTGGGTGCATTTAGCAAGTCCTGCTGTGTTCATGGGATTGGATTTATTGCTTGGGGAGATACAAAATAATTAACTAGTGTGGCAAATGAGGTCCTTGCCTTGCAAGGACTTAGAATATAGGCATGAAGTGTTAAGACCTAAACAACATTGCCAAACAGGCATGGCAAAGTGGATAAAGTCTAGCGTGATTTCTTTAGCCCTTGTTTTTGGGGCACAAAGTAAAGCCATTAGGTGAGGAATACTTTCCATAGAAAGTGTTCTTCAAGTGGAAATGATCTTCAAGTGGCTGAACCCTGAGGGAGGTCTAGAATTTGGGTCGGCGGTTTGGGTCGGCGGTTAGAGAAGGGAGGACAAGTAACAGAGACAAGGCTCGCAGAGCTTCAGCCCGTCTGGAGAATAATGATGGATACGTTTTCTAAACTGACCTAAACCAATTAGGTTCTTTTTGGTATAAAATGTAGCCTCCAAAAAATGAAAGGTGGCTGAGGTTTAGCCATTCTCCTGTAACCTCAAATGCCAGTTTAAAGAAAGCCAGTCCCAAACCAAATTCTGCTACCCATATGGACATTTACTAAACAAATACTATTAGCAAAAGACACGAGAGATAATCCAACCAGTTCTGTAAGATTCGTGAAGTCCCAGTTCTCTGTGTTTTGTGGTCACCCTCTGATAGGCAGAAACCTCTCACCTTGGTGGCTAGACCCAAGTTGCCTGGGGAGGCGGGGAAGCTAACAGGTCTCTCAGGATCCATATACCTTGTATAAGGGTTGGGGTAACTCTAAAATATTTTCACCAATACCCATATCTTGGATAGCTTTAATTTCACACTAAGAAGCTAGTTATAACATTCATCATAGAAATTTTAGAGGCCACTATTTTCACCAGTAAAGACCCATCCCTAACCCTGGATGTGCTAATAATCACAGTACAGGTTGGAGGTTGAAATTCAGATGCGTTCATATCAGCTTTACAAAGCAATGGCTTCTTGACTGTAACTCCATCAGATTACAGCTGGACTCTCTGTTTCTTATTAGGGCAACTGATGCCTCTAGAATTATAATTTCAGTGGAAAGGCACACACAGAATATTGCACTGTCTGTGATAAAATATTTTTGAGAGCATTGTAGACAGTGTGATTTAAGATTGGTGGGCTGGGGCAGATCTGTTGATAGAGTGCCCAGAAGGGCAGACTGCATATATTGGATTTGTAACAGAACAGATCTCTGATGGTTATTGTCCGCTTCTAGAGTTTAGGCAGAAAAGGATAAGAAAAGAAAAAAGAAAGACCTCTCTGTTGACCATTGCACTGATTCAAAAGGAAGCCTCGCCTCTGCAGGCTTTTTGAGGCAGCGCTATTCCAGTAATCAGCAGACTGCCTGCTGCCCGGCTCAGCCACAGTGATTGCATATGGCTGTGGCTGCTACATCACTACAGGGGGTGGTATTGACTTTCAAAGGCAATGGCGGTCCCTTCATCTGTGCCATTTCCTCTGAAACAGAAGTTATTTTCTCTCACAACTGTGCATCATATTTGTAATAGCTTATTGATCAAAGCCAGGTCCACTTTCAAAGCAGGAAGAAACCAGGTGTCTCCTCCTCATGTGTTGGCTTTCCATCAGAAGGCACTGGTTTTGCAGTCCCAGCTCTTCTGCAGAAGCCATACTGCCTTAATCCCTTCCTTCTCCCCCATCACCCCCCTTCACACACACGCAGTGACATGTGCTTAGGCATGAGAAAGCCGAGGCCTTTGGTATAAGGTAGAGAGTGAGCTGAACTTGCTGCACTGGGCTACTCAGACAGTTCTTTGTCAGTTGCAGCTATACTTGTTCATCAGGAAGCCTCCCTACCACCACATGGTCTTCTCCAGTTATGTTAGATGTGTATGTGTACCACTTTCTGGCATTCATGTTTTAAATTTTAGAGAAATGCTAAACCTCATCCAGAAAGCCTGAAAACCTCATTCTCACTATGCTGGGTAGAAGTTGGTATAAGGCAACCTTTGCTTTGTATCTTGGCCAAAAATTTACCAACTGAACCACACAAAGAAACCTGCTGTGAAGTGGTTTCACCTGCAAAGGGGCCCCATGGCCTTGGGGCTGATGACCTCATTTTAGGAGTCTCCAATGTCTATAAATCTGTTTATAGCCTTCCTTAGCATCTCTAGGTGACCAGGATAGAACTAACTTACTGTATTAGTTTGCTAGCGCTGTCATAACAAATTACTACAGACTGGATGGCTTAAATAACAGCAATTTATTTTCATGTAGTTCTGGAAGCTGGAAGTCCAAGATCAAGGTGTCTGCAGGTTTGGTTTTTTCTGAGGCCTTCCTCCAGGGTTTGCAGATGGCTGGCCTCTCGCCATGTCCTCCCACGGTATTTCCTCTGTGTGTGTGTGTGTGTCTCCCTGCTGCCTCTGTTTGTGTGTCCAAATTTCCTCTTCTGTTTTTTTTTGTTTTTGTTTTTGAGACAGAGTCTCACGGCTGGAGTACAATGGCGTGATCTTGGCTCACTGCAACCTCCACTTCCCAGGTTCAAGCGATTCTCCTGCCTCAGCCTCCCGAGTAGCTGGGATTACAGGCACACACCACCACGGCTGGCTAATTTTTTGTATTTTTAGTAGAGACGGGGTTTCGTCATGTTGGCCAGGCTGGTCTCAAACTACTGACCTCAAGTGATCCACCCGCCTCGGCTTCCCAAAGTACAGGGATTACAGGCGTGAGCCACCACGTCTGGCCAATTTCCTCCTCTTAAAAGGACACAAATCAGATTGGATTGGGGCCCATGGGAAAGACCTCATTTTAACTTAATTACCTCTTTAAAGACCTCATGTCCAAACACAGTTACATTCTGAGGTACTGGGGGTTAGGACTTTAACAGATGAACTTTCGTAGGGTCAACATATATTCACTTTTTATCATATTTCCAAGTTCCCTAAAAGCCTAAAGGCCATGTTAGGTACTGTGTTTTGGCAGCAGTTCTCACACCCATCCAATCTTTGACCACCTGAGCAGTCTTTAAAGGTAGATTCATGGGACCTTCCTCCTTTTTCCTCCCACAGAGTCTTATTCAGTAGACAGATCACAAGAATCTATGTTGTTTCTGCAAAGTAGACCAGCCCCTCAGGATAGATGTACAAAAGTGAACAGGTATTTGCATAGAAGTCCTTCTCTCTGAGGGGAGAGGGGGGATAGGGAACTGAAGTAGAAGGAGATTACGTTGTTGTAATACACTTTTGCTGTTGGAATTTTTTTTATTACAAGTATGTATTACTTTTTCAGTAAAAAAGGCATTTACTAACTTAAAAAAAATTTTGAAGTGGACCGTTTGACCAGCCCAATTAGAAAACACAGTTGAATGAGTGCTGTCATCCCTTGGGCTCTAGGTACTTCTCATTTAAGACCAACAACCATCTGAGCGAAGAAGTCGGAGATAGGAGTCTGGGCTGGGCTTTGGAATGAGGCAGAACAGACTGAAAGACTCATGGACAGAAGCACAGGTGGCCCAGGTGATATACAAGATAATGGACAAAAGAAAACATGGACTAGAAAGCCCGGCCACGGGAGGTGGAGGTTGCACTGAGCCAAGATCACACCACTGCACTCCAGCCTGGGCATCTGAGACTCTGTCTCCAAAAAAAAAAAAAAAAAGCTGGGGCAACCAAGACATCACCCAGATATTTGTAGGGGAAGAAGGAAGAAGGCTGGACTTGCAAAGATTCCCTGAGCCCTTCTCTCTGGTTGCATGTAAGAATTATTGGGGGAACCTTAAAAATATTGCTGCCAGGACCCTATCCCAGAAAGCTGGAGTGACTTGGTTTTGGTAGCGGTGCAGTCATTGGTAGTTTATAAAGCTTCCAGGGGTTCTTTTGTGGGACATGTGGCTTTGTCTGGTGCATGATCAGTGGTCAGATCTGCCCTGCACTCTCCTGAGAGTGACCACAAGGGCAAATGAATGCAGGGATACTTGGTCTGTGAAAAGATAAGGGAATAGAAATGGGCTTGTGTCTCTTGAAGAAGGGCTGCTTTTTTGTTTTTTTGTTTGTTTTGAGTGTAATACTCTTGTACTTGACTCATAGCCTGCTTCTTCTATCAGCCCATTCATTCAGGGAGGGGAAGTTCCAATGGAAAGAATGGGCATAAGAGGCGCTTTTCCGCAGACAGTTCTAAATATGGGTCAGTGGAGGGGGGTCAAGTGCAGGGAATCAAGAAGACATGCCTAAATATCCAGCCTAGATAACTGGTTCTCAGTCTTGGCAGCATAGCGGCATCTCCAGAGAGCATGAAACACTCTTGAACCCTGGGTCCCATCCTGAGGTTGTTATGTAGTTGGTTCAGGGCTCAACCTGGACACCAGCTCAACTAGACACCTGAAGTTCCCTGGGAAATTCTAAGGTGAGGCAAAGTCTAATAATCACTGGCCTTAAAATGATGTAATTGGAAAGGAAGGAATGGGAAGAAAAACATGATAACCCCCAGGAACTTTTGGGGGCAAGAGTTCTACAAAGCTTGAGAAACTAGTAATAAAGTTGTTAGGCTATGGCATGGGAAGAAGAGTAGATCTGAAATTCATGTGGCATTTCAAAGACTGAGCCCAGCGTACTCAGATCAGAATGTCTTCTGCAGCCTACAAGGATGGCCCTTCTGCTTTGATATCTAGGCAAGAGGCTGGCTGCTCTACATTAGGAAGAGGATAAAAAGTAAAGAAATAAAACCCCCTAAATCTGCCCCTCCTGGGTCAAAGGGATTGTGGGGAGAGGAATAAAGGGAGAGGGTTGGGGTGTGTGTGTTGGGGCCCATATGGGTTCTGATGGGGAAGGGTGAAACTTTAAATATATAAGAAAAAGAGCAGAACCTAAGGTGGGCTATGAGGGAGGGGAGGGCTTGGGCCAGCCCATGGGGTCCTGGGGAAGCTAGAGGTGGTTAGGTAGGATGCACTGGGGTCAGCCTGCCAAGCTCTATCCCTTTTATTTGCAGAAGGGGTCAAGTATGATTGTGAGTTGTTGGGCAGGAGCTGGAGTGGTCATGAAGTGCTTTGGTGGCTTGGGGTACAGAAGTTCTTTAATATTCTAGCCACTGTCCAACTGCCCTGATGGGTACTGGGTGTAATACGAGTCCTGGTCTAATATCTGTTCTCTGGGCTTCCATCTGCAGAGAATGAGAGGCATGTTATATGGGCAGAGGAAACACTGTGGGCTGGGGGCTTTTGCTCAATTTACTTTTTGGATTCTGGGGTCATAGCAGCCACCTAGAAGTAGGTACACTTTGTGGGCAAGCAGGCTTAGCAGAGGGAGGGCCAATGCTGAGCCCTCCCCCAGCCACCTTTGGAACCCATACTCTGTGCATGGGATCCAAAGTACTCATGTGTCTCCTGGCCCCAAAGAGCTTTGCTTATGTGAGTTATGTTGGCAGATACTTACCATGTTAGGAATTAAATTTAAAAAGTATTTAATAATTCACTAAAGACAAAAATAGTACATCTATTACATGCTAAATGAACAATATCTTTTTATGAAAATTTTTTTTTCCCAAAATGAAAGAACATGAAATGAGAGATTGGCATTGTTTTACATTTTTGCATAGCTCTTTAACGTCCTGCTTAATAGAAGATGGCTGCCTGCTTACATCTGCTTCTGTATTCAGTCTGTTGTGATTTGCTGTTTTCCAGATGTGTGGCTGGAAAAGGGGCATGCATTTTAATGTTGGCTTTCTTTTTAGATAATTATGAATAGTCTTCTTTGATACTGTATCAAAACTCTGAGGTAGACTAGAGAGAGAATGAGATTTTAAAAGCCACATAATGACTTCATGTTATTAGGTTTGAATTTGTGGACCCTTAAAAAGGCCATGGGCACCTACCGAGGTCTCCAGACTATACTTTGAGGATGGTTGTGGTAGCAGAAGGAAGCCCCAGATGCTGTCCCCAAAAAACGATGTCCACATGGAAGACCAGGATTCCAAGCAAACCTCCAGTAATCCACTTTGATTATCATTTCATCTCACATTGTGCCTTGTTTTTGGAATCCGGTGTTAAAGTTGACACGTGGTTATAAGTAGGTCACAGTGGCCCTTAAAAACAGGGTCAAGAAATTTCACTAGTCAGTCATTTAAATATCGAATTGACAAAAGGAAACAAATAATGTAAAGTGAGGCCCACTAAAAATGATTAGTTTACATGGACACTTACATGTTTAAAATATCAGTCTTTGTAGAGCTTCAGTCTTGCTGATTTCAAATACTCTTTTATGTCCCTTTTAAGAGAACAAATCAGACTGTAAAATTATGTTTTTAAGGATACTGTGTAATAGTCTTTGTTACTTTAGGATGGCAACATGAGCCCTACAATGATATATATAATGGGGTTGGAAAGCTGGGGAGGAGAAAAGATAATAATGATTACAAAGTGAGAACAGATAGGGGACCTACAGAAGCTGCAAGACCCTGAGATGTGAGGCGGAGGAGGAAGGGCTAGGCAGGAGTAGTAGGTTCTAGGGGGAATATCAGGGTTAAGTGTTAGAGCAGGAAAGTGTGAGGTCATGGGTGGACATATTGACGAAGTATTTGAATTGAGGCTTATAGAATGTCAGAAGTTTTATGCTCTTAACCATCACGTAGGCGGCCTTTTTGAGAGAACACAAAGGTTCTGGTTTCTTTTTACCTTGCCTTTTCTAGCTTCTCTGCAGGTGTCTCCAACTCAACTTGTTCATGAAAACTGTGGGATTTCTTCTGAAGGCTGGATCCCGAGTCCCTTTTTCTTTTTACCCTATATTTTATCCTTAGGGGATCCCACTCACACCCACAGCTTCATTACTCCTTAAACCCAGTTGTCTTGTAGATTTATATCTTTAGCCCCGACCGCTCTCTAACTTCCGTGTGAATCAGCCCACCCGACATTTTACTTGGTATCTCAATATACCTTACACTCTGCTGCCAGAAAGCCACTCACGCTCCCCACCAAGCCTGGTCTTTCTCCCAGCTTGCATATCATCACAAATGTCATGGCTATTCTGGTTTCAGGTCTGAGACCACGGAGTCCTTGTTGGCTCTCTTGCTTCGTCAGCCTGGGTTGGATCCCCACCCCAGCTCTGATGACTTGGTATCCACTTCTTTCAGACTCTGCCCCTTCTGACCCAGTCCTGTGAGGCTCCATGACCTCTCACATGAGGGGCCTTTGGCAGCCTCCTGATGTCTGGTTACATCACTGTTGCCCCAGCACAATCTGCTCCACACAATAAAGTCAGAAGCACTATCTGAAAATGCAAACATGCAAATCTGGTTACCCCCCGCCACCAATAAAAAACAGTGAGCAAAAAACCCCCGCTGTAATGCTTTAATTCAACTGTAAACTCAACAGCTTAACTCAAAATGGAAACAGTATTTTCCCAGTGGATCACAGCAGCCCAAAAGGTATTTTTAGCCATAGCTGGGCTGCCTGGAGTCTACCCTGTGCATGTGTGGTCCTACGTCAGCCAGATACATGAGCAGGATCCATCCACAGAATTTGGGACTCTCCTTCTCCCTACCAGACATCCTGCTTTCCTTTCAGTTACTAGGGCTGCCGTACCTGTCCCTCCATCATCAGTACAGTAAGACTGCACATTTTCATCTGCTCCAGCATGGTGCAGATGGGGGCACTCAGAGTAAAGGAAGACAACCAGAAATGTACCCTGAGCATTCCCCTGCAAGCTCCGACCCCCTTTCAGTAGCTGCCTGCCTCCCTGGTGCTGCTTATTAAATCTAATACTGAGTTTATAGGTCTGTATAGTTTAAGGGTGTTTTTAAGAAATAGTCTGAGAATGGTTGCTCTCATAGCAGATACTTAGCCATTACTGGGAGTGCAAACTCAAATCTTAAATGCTCAAGTTGGCCTTCAGGCTTCTGCATAACTCTTAAGTAGTCCTCCATCCTCATCCCCTCTGAAATGTTTCTCTGAATATGCCTCATTTTGATCACATTCACCTAATTTCCCTTCCTGGAAGATGCCATCTGTCTTCTGCTATCTTGGCATTATCCTTGCTTGGGCTCCTCTCACTGCTCACTCCTCCCCCACCCACCCTCATGTGGTCACCCTTGCCTCCTCTGTGAGTCATCCCCTCCCTGTCCACTGTTAGCACCATGGATGTTTCCTTTGGAGCATTTATCCTAGTTGTAATTTGCTGTTTATTTCTGGAAATCTGATTCATGTCTATTCTCCTAATCAGACTGTAAGCTTGTGAAATCTGGGACTTTTGGGGGAATGACAGCATGCCCTTTCCTCACCGTTGCACACAGCTTTGGGTCCACCCTGTGAAATGCTCCCCCTGCAATCTGCGTGCTTTAGGCAGAAGGCTCTTCATACATGCATTACGGATTGATTAATTTTTAAAATAGTTCAGCAGGCTGTGTTGGGTCCGGGATAGCAGAAGCCTTTCCTTATTTCGTAGGAGCTTGGGAATTAGCAGATCACTTCAAGTCTTTGGGGCTTTGGGGAAGTGACTTGACAGAGAAAACGTAGGCAAGGTTGAATAATTTTTTTTGGAGATGCACTCTTTGTGACTGTTAAGGCTTTCTAGTAGAACTAGAGTAAGAGGAGAAAAGGAGGGCTTCAGGGGTGTTTCAGAGTCAGGCAGCGGCCATGGCAGCTCCCGTGAGAGGGCTGAGCAGTGAAGGAGCTCTTGACAAAGCTACTCCTGATGTGAGGGGTGGAGGGGAAAGAGGATCTGGGCAGGAAGGGCATGGTGCAGATGGGGGCCTACACTCAGAGTAAAAGAGGCAACCAGAAAATGTACCCTGAGCAGTCCCCTGCAAGCCCCAACCCCCTTTCGGTAGCTGCCTGCCTCCCTGGTGCTCTCAGCGGGGCTGCTTATTAAACCTGGTACTGAGTTCCTAGGTCTGTATAGGACTGGGAGGGTCTTGATGGGAGTGCTCCTGTGGCCCTGCTGTCCTGCCTACTCCCCACCTGCTTTCCTGGAGTACCCTGCTTAGCTTTGGAGATTCCACGCAAAATTCTATCCATTGTCTTTTCTTGTCAGGCAAATTGACCCCTCGCTTTCTTACGCCTGTGTTATGTCCATCTATTTTTCCACTTTTCTAGTTATGCTTATTATAACAGATTGCACTTGTTCATTGACATGTCTGTTTCTCCCTGTGAGCTCCTCGAGGACAGGGTCCATGCTTTGTTCGCCTTTGTCCTTAGTGGCAGCCTGGTAACAAGCACATGGTAAATGTGGCACAAATGGCTATTGTTGGAGCCAATGAATAAGTGAGTGACAGGTGATAGAGTGTGGTTCAGGAGAATTGGGTCACCATGTGTGATACATAGGTGGTGGAGGAGCCTCGTGTGTTGAATGTCAAAGAAAAACTCAACAGGCAGATAGTGAAGGGACTAAGGTGTGAAGATAGCAGGGGAAGCAGGAAGAAAGATTTGCATTTCTGCTTGATGAGAGTGCTGAGAGTGCTGATGAAACTGGGAAGGATAGCTTGGAATTTGTTGAGCTAAAATGTGAGATATATTTGAAAGTCATTTGACATCATTATAGTGGAAGACAAGGCTTATATTCAGCAACTTTGCACTAATATGGTTGTATAGGTTGTTATAATATGAAATACTTTCATACCAGTTGGTGAATAGATGATGTCAAAGATCAATATAATTAATAACTGCATATGATTATTACTATGTGGTGTGATCAAGTTGTCATTTAGTTAAAATCAAAATGACATCTGAATAAGGGCAACAGAGACTCAGATTCTGTGGATAGAGTATAAATGGGTACAATTGCTTTGGAAAACACTTTGGTAGTCTCCATGTAAGTGACTACACATATTATTTTTTATGCTCCAGCAATTCCATTCCCAAAAGAAATGGGTATATGTTGTACCAAAAGACAAGGATGAGAACATTCCAGTGGCGGTGGTCAAGCTGTGCTGTGGTGTTAAGGGCCATCGCCATTACCTTTGGTGATGGTTACGTAGATGTTCCAGTTTATTATTATTTTTAACTTTTATTTCAGGTTCAGGGATACATGTGCAGGTTGGTTATGTAGGTTAATTGCATGTCTTGGGGGTTTGGTGTACAGATTATTTATCCCCAAGGTAATAAGCATAGTACCCAATAGACAGTTTTTTGATCCTCACTCTCCTCCCACCACTTTCTGATTACGCATTGAAATGTATAGATAGTATTTATGTCTTCATATAGGTGTTAAACTGTAATAGAAGCTTGTTTTAACAATTATATAAAAATAGACTGGGAACGGTGGCTCACATCTGTAATCCCAGCACTTTGAGAGGCCGAGGTGGGCGGATCATCTGAGGTCAGGAGTTGGAGACCAGCCTGGTCAATGTGGCAAAACCCCGTCTCTACTAAAAATACAAAAAAATTATCTGGGCATGGTGGTGGGCAACTGTAATCCTAGCTACTAGGGGGGCTGAGGCAGGATTGCTTGGACCCCAGAGGTGGAGTTTGCAGTGAGCCACGATTGCACCACTACACTTCAGCCTGGGCGACAGAGTGAGACTCGTCTCAAAAAAAAAAAAAAAAAAAAAATGCTGGGCGCAGTGGCTCACACCTGTAATCCCAGCACTTTGGGAGGCTGAGGCCGGTGAATTGCCTGAGCTCAGAAGTTCCAGACCAGCCTGGGCAACACGGTGAAACCCCGTCTCTACTAAAATACAAAAAATTAGCTGGGCTTGGCAGCATGCACCTGTAGTCCCAGCTACTTGGGAGGTTAAGGCAGGAGAATTGCTTGAACCTGGGAGGTGGAGGTTGCAGTGAGCCAAGATCGTGCCACTGCACTCCAGCCTGGGTGGCAGAGCAAGACTCCGTCTCCAAAAAAAAAAAAAAAGAATTATATAAAAAAATCATATTTGAAGCTTGTAACAGTATATGCACCACCCTCAGTTTTCTTAATATCCTTTCTCTATGAAAAACCATTTCTTTGATGGTGCTAATAATTTTATTGAAGTTTCTTCCCCCAAATATTTTTTCTCATTTATTTGCAAATGAGTTTTCAAATGATCACTGTGCGAGTTTTGTTTTTTTATATATGTTTTATATTTTTATATGCATTTATCACACAAACACTTTCCTTCTCTCAAAAGTTAATTTGCTGCCATGTATTCTCCCCACACCCAACTTTCTGACTCAGTGGCCGTTGTTCACCTCCCACATTAATTTTTAATTGATTAACTCATTCTTTTAAAGGATAATTTTGCATCTTAATTAGATGCTGGTATGGAACTATTGATAAAAACTGTAGCTTCTCATACTTTAGCTTCTTTTTCCCCCCTGACTTATATCATTTTTAGTTCAATTTGTTAAAACTTCCAAGCTTAACAACACCACATAACTGAAAAATGTTTGATCAGAGTCAATTAGAGCAATGTTGCAGAAACAAAGTTATGGTTTATTATAGCTAGAGATTGGATTCCATTACACTAAATAATTTGTATTTTGCCTACAGTGATAGCTGTATAAGGCAAATGAAAGGAATTAATATTCTCTCTGATTAGCCAAGTCAGCAGTCTTTGAATTTCTAAGTGATCACAAATCTTCTATTTTTTAACCACATGGCTGTACTTATATTTAACTTTCCATTAATAAAGAAATCATAACTTCATAATAATTATTAAAAAATAAAAATTGTATTGCTATAATTTATTCAACATTACAGAGGCAATAGTGTATTGATTAGAAACATGGGTTCTAGGTCAGACTACTGGGGTTTGAATCCCAGCTCATGTATTGGCTGAGTGACCTTGGGCGAGTCACTTATCCTTTGGGTACCCTAGTTTCTTTGTCTACAGAAAATGGTTACTGTGCAGATTGAAAGAGTTAGTTTATGTATAGCACCTAAGACAGTGCCTGGTACATAGTAGACACTCAGTAAATGCTAGTGCTTTGTTCTATTGTTACATTTGCTGAAATATTAATTTAAGACTGAGAGTGAATGTCAATTTAGAAAGTAAGAACATTTTGAATCACAGGAGTTTATGTGACAACAAAAAGTACAATTTAGGCAAAAGGAAGTATATAAAAAGAGATGATTATTTTTGGACAAACAGCTAGTTCCTAGAAAAAGGTCAAAGTTATTTTGAAGCTAACATTTAAATAAGAGTTATTAACTGAGAGGAATAAATTAGTGTTGCCAAGAGTGACTGCTGTTGCTGGCTATTCTGACAGCATAATAATGGTTGGGGTGACAATACAGACAGAATCTAACCATTATACTTCCCATAGATTGCTACTTTAGTAATAAATAATAGTAACTTGTGTTTTATAATGTAGCAGTTAAGATCAAAAGGTATCTGCTGTGGTTTGATTGTCTCCTCCAAAACTCATGTTGAAATTTAATTGTGATTGTAAAGTATTAAGAGGTGGGGACTTTTTTTTTTTTTTTTTTTTTAAGTCAGAGTCTCACTCTGTTGCCCAGGCTGGAGTACAGTGGCACGATCTCCACTCACTGCAACCTCTGCCTCCTGGGTTCATGCCATTCTCCTCCCTCAGCCTCCCGAGTAGCTGGGATTACAGGCGCCCACCACCACACCCAGCTAATTTTTTGTGTTTTTAGTAGAGACAGGGTTTCTTGTGTTAGCCAGGATGGTCTCGATCTCCTGACCTCATGATCCACCCACCTCCGCCTCCCAAAGTGCTGGGATTACAGGCATGAGCCACCACGCCTGGCCCTAAGAAGGGGGGACTTTAAGGGATGTTTAGGCAATGAGGACTCCACTGTCATGAAGGGATTAATGATGTTATCCTGGGAGTGTGTTAGTTATCACAGGAGTAGTTTCTTGATAAAAGAATGGGTTCAGCCCGATTTTCTCACTGTCTCCCATGTTTACTTGTCCTTCTGTTTTCTCCTTTCCACTAAGGGAAGATGCAACAGGAAGGTCCTCACAAGATGGCTGAACAGATGCAGGTGCTGTGCCTCTGGACTGCCTAGCCTCCAGAACTGTGAGCCAAACAAAGTTCTATTCATTATAAATTACCCACTTTGCGGTATTCTGTTTTGCAGCCGAAAATGGACTAGGATAGTATTGTAAATTTGTATTCTGTGATATTTACCCAAAGTACTTGAGAAAGCCTGGCTCAGAGCCTCAGAGCTGGCCACTGGACCCACAGCTGATCGTAGATGCATGTGTGAGCCCAACCAGAACCAGAAGATCTCCCAGCAGACCCATAGACTCAGGAAAAATAAAAAAGCTCACTGCTTAAGCCACTGAATTCTCGGTGAAGCTTGTTACATATCAATAGCTAACTGATAAAATCAATTTTATCTGGAAAGACTGAGAATCTTTGTCTTACCTTTAAATATTAGTGATATATTCCTCAGGTGCTCAAACTCTCCAATAACTGTTACCAAATTCTTGATGTGTACGAAATCCATGTATGCTTCCAGGTTCTCCAGGTTGGTCATCTTGTTTTCCCCTCATTTGAGCCTGACTTCCCTTCGACTTCTAACCTGACTTTTATTTTTATTTATTTATTTTTTTAAATTTTATGTTCCAGGATACATATGCAGGATGTGCAGCTTTGTTACACAGGTAAATGTGTGCCATGGTGTTTTGCCACACTTATCAACCCATCACCTAGGTATTAAGCCCAGGATGCATTAGCTATTCTTCCTGATGCTCTCCCTCCCCCTGTACCCCGGACAGGCCCCAGTGTGTGTCATTCCCCTCCTTGTGCCCACACGTTCTCATTGTTCAGCTCCCACTTATAAGTGAGAACATGTGGTGTTTGGTTTTCTGTTCCTGCATTACTTTGCTGAGGATAATGGCTTCCAGCTCCATCCATGTCCCTGCAAAGCACATGATCTTGTTCCTTTTTATGGCTACCTAGTATTTCGTGGTATATATGTACCATACTTTCTTTATCTAGTCTATCATTGATGGGTGTTTGGGATGATCCAATGTCTTCACTATTGTGAATAGTGCTGCAATGAACATATGCATGCATGTGTCTTTTTAATAGAATGATTTATATTCCTTTATTCCTTTGAGAATAATAATTAAATAGAATGGTTTATATTCCTATATTCCTTTGGGTATATACCTAGTAATGGGATTCCTGAGTCAAGTGATATTTCTGGTTCCAGGTCTTTGAGGAATAACAACACCATCTTCCACAATGGTTAAACTAATTTACAATCTCACCAACAGTGTAAAAGCGTTCCTATTTCTCCACAGCCTCACTAGCATCTGTTGTTTCTTGACTATTTATTTATTAATTAATTTATTTATATTTTTTGAGACAAGAGTTTTGCTCTGTCACCTAGGCTGGAGTGCAGTGGCATGATCTCGGCTCACTGCAACCTCCACCTCTGGAGTTCAAGCAATTCTCGTGCCTCAGGTTTCCAAGTAGCTGGGATTACAGGCACCTGCCACCATGTCCAGCTAATTTTTGTATTTTTATTAGAGATGGGGTTTCACCATGTTGGCCTAGCTGGTCTTGAATTACTGGCCTCAAGTGATCCCCGCCTTGGCCTCCCAAAATGCTGGGATTACAGCCATGAGCCACTGCGCCCAGCCATTTCTTGACTTTTTAATAATCATCTGACTGGCACGAGATACTATCTCATTGTGGTTTTGATTTGCATTTCTCTAATGATCACTGATGTTGAGCTTTTTTTCATATGTTTGATGGCCACATAAATGTCTTCTTTTGAGAAGTGTCTGTTCATGTCCTTTGGCCACTTTTTAATGGGGTTGTCTTTTTCTTGTAAATTTAAGCATCTTGTACATTCTGGACATTAGACCTTTATCAGATGGATAGATTGCAAAAATTTTCTCCCATTCTGTAGGTTGTCTGTTCACTCTGATAATAGTTTCTTTTGCTGTGCAGAAGCTCTTTAGTTTAATTAGATTCTGTTTGTCAATTTTCACTTTTGTTGCAATTGCTTTTGATGTTTTTGTCACAAAATCTTTGCCTATGCCTATGTCCTGAATGGTATTGCCCAGATTTTCTTCTAAGGTTTTTATAGTTTTGGGTTTTACATTTAAGTCTTTAATCCATCTTGAGTTAATTTTTGTGTAAGTTATAAGGAAGGGGCCCAGTTTCAATTTTCTGCATATGGCTAGCCAGTTCTCCCAGCATCATTTATTAAATAGGAAATCCTTTCTTCATTGCTTGTTTTTGTCAGGTTTGTTGAAGATAAGGTGATTGTAGATGTGTGGTCTTATTTATGAGATCTCTATTCTGTTCCATTGGTCTATGTGTCTATTTTTGTACCAGTACCATACTGTTTTGGTTACTGTAGCCTTGTAATATAGTTTGAAGTTGGGTCACATGATACTTCCAGCTTTGTTCTCTTTGCTTAGGATTGTCTTGGCTATATGGGCCTTTTTTCATTCCTTATTAACTTTTAAGTAGTTTTTTTCTAATTCTGTGAGGAATGTCAATGGTTGTTTAATGGGAATAGCATTGAATCTATAAATTACTTGGGCACTATGGCCATTTTCATGATATTGATTCTTTCTGTTCATGAGCATGGAATGTTTTTCCATTTGTTTGTGTTCTCTCTGACTTTCTTGAGTGGTGGTTTGTAGTTCTTGAAGAGGTCCTTCGCTTCCCTTGTTAGCTGTATTCCCTGTGTTCCTAGGTATTTTATTCTCTTTGTATTAATTGTGAATGGGAGTTCATTCATGATTTGGCTCTCTGTTTGTCTACTGCTTGTATATAGGAATGCTTGTGACTTTTGCACATTGATTTTGTATCCTGAGACTGCTGAAGTTGCCCCACTTTGGGGCACTCTGGCTGCCCCTTGGTGGAAGGATTATGCTGCACTGGGGGAATCCTATTTGTCCAGACTGCCTGGATCCCTCAGAGCCAGCAGTGGGAAAGACTAAGTCTGCTGATCCACGGAGACTGTGGCTCCTCCTCCTCCCCAGGGGCTCAGTCCCAGGGACATCAGAGTTCTGTCCCTAAACCCCTGGCTGGAGTTGCTGAAATTCCTGCAGCGAGGCCCCACCCAGTGAGGAGGGATGGCTGACATGACTTTTATCTGGTATATGGCATCTCTGGTTATTGACTTGGTTTTGGGCTTCTTCTTGTCTACAATTCTGCCTTACTTTGTCTACCAAGATTCATTCTTATCTAACTCTGATCTCCCAATATCTGACATTGATTTGTCCCTGCTTTTGCCTTTAGTAATTAGTATCCCAGCGTCTGTTGTTGTCTACATGGCTATTCTCACTGGGGACACTTTTGCTGTCCAGGAGTCATTTGGAAATGCCTGGAGACATTTTTGGTTGTCACAACTGGTGGTGCTCTTGTCATCTACATGATAGAGGATAGGGATGCTGCTGAGCATTCAGAAATGTGAAGGACAGCCCCTCTATAACTAAGAATTATTTCACAACAGTGTCAATAGTGTTGATATTGAGAAACCATGGTCTAGATCTACGACAGAGAATGGTTCCTTGAACAGTGCAGTTGTTAATCTTAGGTTTAACTGTACTTAGGTTTTCATCTCTATGGCCCAGCTATTCTCCTAGGAAGCCTCAGGAACAAATTCTTTCTCCTTCTGATGTACCATAGTTCATCCAAACTGAGCCAAAATTCCTTAGGAAGCAGGTGTCTTCCCCAGAGACTGTGTGAGAGCCTCACTCTCCAGTTTAGCCAGCTCCAGAGCTCAGCATAACAATAGAAGATTACTCAGAGACTAATCTATAACCTAGGACTTTTACCAGGGTCCTTAAAGAGGTAAATATTTTTCCTCTTTACGTATAGTTTATGTATGACTGAACTTAGCAACTGGTGCTTTTAAACACAATAGTGTTTAAAATTCCTTCAATGGGGTTTGGGTTTGTAGAACTCGAGTATGTTAAGCATACTCTATGGCTTCTTCAGGGGCTTGTAACCTTGTCTTTATTGCTGATAAAGGAAAATCAAGCAAACCCTGCAGGGGAACATCTCTGTCCTCACAGAAACATAA
This sequence comes from Homo sapiens, assembly GCF_000001405.40. Classification (NCBI taxonomy): domain Eukaryota; kingdom Metazoa; phylum Chordata; class Mammalia; order Primates; family Hominidae; genus Homo; species Homo sapiens. The sequence continues at coordinate 9,879,940 of NC_000005.10, read as the reverse complement.
GGATAGCCTGGTTATCTGTTCTCTTATCAATTATAAACAATTGACCCCACTGCCAACCCAGCCTCTAGTCATTTAGCAAAGGAACACAAGGCAACATCTTGACAATGGTAAAATGATGGTTCAAACAGGCTGGGGGAAAGCTGTAGACATTTCACCATACAATTTGATCGTACCTCTCACAAAATTTGTGTTTGATGCCTCATTGGTATATTCTAGTTTGCATATAATCATCACATCTCTATGGGTCAGGCATCTTTATGGGTCAGAGAAGTAGAACCACAACAAGTGTATAAAGTATGGGGGTTATTATAAAAATTAAAATTAGGCCTTGCAAATGTGGGTGCTGCTGGAGCTGCCTATGCTGATTGTTGTCTTGCGTCGAGGGCTGAGCATGAGGTTGCTATAGGTCTACCAGAATGATAGTTGGAAAGGACAGCTAGATGTCCGGAGAAGTATGGACAAACTGGGATCCACGAGAAGAACTGGATCCCAAGAGGGCAAACTGGAGCTTGCAGATGTCCCTCACCACCTCCATGTGGGCAACCTGCAGGAGAGGCAGGTGCCCTTGATCATGGAAATGCATGTGTTCCTGACACCCAGGGATCAGAGAAACTGAAGAAGGAGATCACAGACCTGTGAGATTAGTGTTATTAATTTTTCCTCTTGCTTCTAGCTCCAATATGGTTCATCCCAGAACTGTAACTGTTCCTGTGTATTAAATATGTTGACAGTTTGTTCACCATGTGTATTTCTGCATTAACTTTGATTTTTAAAGAACATTGCATTAAAATATTTGCCTTGACTACTAAGTGCCTCTTTAATTGTCATGCCCCAAGGCAAGTTCCTCACCTGCCTCACCATAGTCCCAGCCCTGCTGTGGAAACTGAAGGAGCTGCAGGTTTGAGCACTCCATTACACCTTCTGGGAGGCTGGAAGTTAGTGATGGTAGGCGTGAACTCTGTAGTGCCTGGCACCCTGCACTCACTGGCCTTCAGGGTGGAAGGAGATAGAGTTGCTTCTTTATGTCTGCACTCCAAACCTCATACAAAACATCCCTTGTGGCCAGCACTCACTCAGGACCACACAGGGAAGGGAATTCTGGGAAATGTGCTTTTAGCTCAGCTTAGTTGACACAGTTCCTACAACATCCACACAGTTTTGTACAATTTTATTCTTGTGTATGAAAGATGTTGATGGATGCCTCTAGATTCTGAAAGCTTCTCTCAAACTGCATTTGGAGGAAGCCCAGCTGACCTCCTTGTCTCTCCCCATACATGATTACTACGTTTGGAGCTCACTGTAATTGTTATAGCTGCAAACCAAGAAAAATGAAGTGACCATATGACCTAAGTAAAAACAACCCCAAACTAAAGACAGAGAACTTTTAGAAGAATCATATCATCTAAGTAATCAGACAGCTGCTGCTTAGATACAAGCGTTCGTGGTTCACTTCCAAATGCTGTCAGATTCTATTTGCTGGATGTCCAATTCTGTTTGAATGCTCGTGAATGCTGAATCTGGTAACTAGCCCAAGGCTCTAGTGAGGGAAAGCAATCAGATGATCAGGATGAATCCTCCTGGAACTATACTCTATGACACAGTCCTGGGCGGGGGTGCTAAGTGTGGGGAGGAGAATCTAAAAGGAAATACGGTACTCCACTAAGGCAGAGAAATATTGAGGGACTTCTTGGTACTTCAACAACAAAACACCCTGGATGGTGTTCAAGATGAACCATTTTATATTGCATTTTATTCTCTGCTGAATAGTATTATATTATGTTGAGGTGACTGTGTTTGTTTTCTGAACCCATGAATTCATTGAGAGCCCCCAAATGACTCATGGTCTCCACACATAGCAGTCAAAATGCTTTCAGTGGAGCCAGTCCTAGTGGATTATGTTTAATTCTAGGAGAGAGAAATAGTAGCTACAACCCCATTTCTGTCTTCCTCCACTACTTTCTTCCCCAGTGAGATTTTGATCAATTTCTCCAGTAGGAGGTGATCACTGATTTTAAGACTCCTTTTCTTTTCTCTAACCTATGGTGAGAACTTGAAAAGCTTGATATTCTGTTTGTGAAAGGAAAGGAGATGCCTTCAAAAAAAAGAAGAGGAAGAAGAAAGAACAACTTTTACACTTCTGTCTCAGTGGGAAATCCATGTTGAGTTCTGATACATTAAGCAGTTCGCAGACAGAAATTTGAAAATGCTTCCAGCTGTTTAATTTCTCTCGGCTCTGTTGAGATGAGAGCCGCTCAGAACACGTGTGAGTCAACCATTTACCCAGAGACAGCACTTAATACTCTGATATGGCATGGGCCAGGAAGCCCAGAGCAGCATATTGGAGACAGTATGTTACTACAATTGATGACAGATTGCTTCTTGGATTTACTTCTAAATGTATTAATTGGGAGACTGCATGTGTGTATTTGAGTACCTTTGGTGACTTGCTATTCAAAAAGTATAAAGAATTGAAGGGGAGAAAGAGGCATAATTTGTATGTGTATTGAATTTCATTCACAGGGGCAATATTAAAATTTGCTGCTAGAAAATCTTGAAAATATTTCTCCTTCCTTTCCATATAGAAAGAGTTTTCTAAAATCTCTTCTTTTTCTGGAAAGGAAGAAGGAGAAAGATGGAAGGAAGAAGACGGTGGGTTATTCAAGAGTGGAAAACATGGTTTGGGGAGAAAACCCATCCACTTTCTAAAAAATAAGAAAATGCATAAACATTCAATCTTCTTGAAGAGTGGGTTTCAAGAGAGGCCAGTTGTGAAAATATAAGGAACCTCTGTGTTAAATGCCCATTTCAGGAGGAGTTTAACACCTGAGTAATCATACACGAATCAGAAGCATTTGCAAACTGTGGTTTCATATTCCTGTCTGATGATCCATGAAGAAAGTGGGGAGGAAACACATTAAGTGTGTTTTTCTAGAACTTTATATTCCTTGTGGCATGTGTAGACACTTTGGGGAGCAACCTGCATCTTGAGTATTGGTGGTTTCTTCATTCCTTTCGTTTACCTGAATAAACACTTTGGAATCGAACACGTGAGTGCTCAGCACACTGCATTTAAAGACAAGGAATGTTCTTTGTAATCTCTGCAACTAGACAACCTTTTTGGCCTTGCAGTCCCCTCCCACTCCTGATGTTTCTTCTGCAGCTGTTGTCACTGTCTCTTTTAGTCCCTCCTGGGAAGTCGTATTCATAATTTTTAAAATTAAGAAGTCATTATAATGTTACGATTTGCATTTTTAGGTTAGCTCTTTCCATCTGTTTTCCATAAAAGATACTTCTGCAAAATACATTTGGCAAGGTTTTATTTAATAATAATATTTTTTAAAAACCCCACCAGCAAAGGCAATGTTCATTACAAACAGAATGGGAGAAAGACTGTGCTTCTCGGGTATGACAGATTTTGCTTTAGGATTAGACAAAATGTTTCATGTGGCTTCTGTGAAGGATGAGTTTTCTAGCCAAATTCGCAAGAGAACAATTGTGGCCTTCAACAGTCATAACTAGGGGGAAAGGAGGCAGAAAGACCTGGAATTCCTATTTTAATGACACTATAAAGAAGCAAGCTCAGGAATCGTCTTTGGGTTCTACTCTAAGCCATGCCTCACGTGTCCTCTGAATGCAGCCACCGTGTTGGTTGCCCTTTTGGGACATTGCTACATATTTAAACCTTTCAAACTTTTTTTTTTTTTTTGGTTTGTCGTCCTTTCCTCCTCCATTTGTTGTCAGGGGTCAGCTTCCTGAAACATGTAGCTGGGCTCGTGAGTTCCAGGCCCTCATCCTTCTGGAGCTGTTTCTGCTCTTCAGGGGCTACCAGACTTCTCCTGTCCCTCCTGGGCTGCAGATGCTAGGAGAGGACACCACTCTGGAGGTGGGGCAAGGCCTGGCCTAAGTTTCCAGTCTCTACCATAGTTGGGTATGTAGATGTCTTCTCTGAAGACATGGGGCAAAGTGGGAGTTACAATGCAGAAATGAAGAGGTTGATCTTAGGTATTAAATAGGACAGTCTCCAGAGGTCATTGAGAAAGCACCTAAGAGATTAAACCCTTTCCAAAGAAGTTCATGAGCACTTTTTCCGGGACTCACCAAGGTGTCTCCCCACAGGACTCACTGTATTTGTCCAGTTTATGCCAATCACTGTAACCTCCTGCTTCTAACCTACTCGGAGGGAGATGCTGCTCACTTTTGGGGAATCCTCATAACCCACTTTCCCACACATCCCTCCTCCCATTCGAGCGCAGCCACACATCTGAGCCATTGAGTTGTGGTAACTCCATGGGGATTTCAGCAGAATGGTCAATGCTGGCCAGTAGTGCACCAGATCTCCCTTCTCCCTGACCAAACCCAAAACAGGTTTGTCGGGGAGGCTGTGGGATTTCGTACTGTGTGATGAACCTGTGGGAACACAGATCCGCATGGCTGTTTCACTGCTGTGAGTGTCTGCATGCTGTTCCTTTCATATGGCACAGGTTGGACCAAGCTCATAAATGTCTGTCTCCCCAGACAAGACTCCAAGACTCTTTCTTTTTCTAGTCTAAACCTGAAGTTGCAAGATGGAAGCACAGGAGCTGAATTCAGCTGGCAGCCTTATTTGACTTGGCTGGTGCTGAGTTGTAAAAATATTTGAATATGAATGTCTGTAGGTAGGACATACCCTTTCCAGTTCCCCACCACATTCCCGACCACTCCCCTGTTGGCTCCTGCCCGCTCCCTCATTGATTTTCCCTGCCTGGTTCCCAAAGTCATTTGAGTTTGCAATCAAATGGAGGAGGGAAATGATGCCTAGCTGCCTCCTAATTTTGAGAATTCCTCTCTCTTCCATGAAGTCTGTCAGTACCCTGTTGCACACAGTAGATTTTATTTAATTTCAATCCCTGTTGAGACTTCACAGAATCAGAGAAGAGCCATATCTCTTTTATGGGGGCTCCCTAAGCACACAAGAAGAGGTTTCAGAAGGACCCTTATTATAAGAATGCCCATAAACCCAGGTCTGAGGGATGATGTCCATCTGCATTACTTTTGGGGGAAGTTTAAAATCAATTGGTTTGGCTTAAAGACCAGAAGTTGATGGGATTGAGGCAAAGGGGAGGTCACCATGTGGTCTACAAAGATCTTTCTTCTTGACTGAGAAAAGGAAAAAGATGGGTTGAAAGAGATGGAGTTATTGCTCAGACAGAGTGGAGGTGGCATCTCTACCCAGGACTTGGGGCTCCAAGTCTGGGACTTTCACCTCTGTATCAAGAAAGACCTGTAGCGCGGGGATTCACACCTAACATGAGTCATACTAAAACTATGGATCAGGAATAAAAATAATTAAATATAAAAGCCCTGTGGCAGCAATGTCTTGCCACCTGAAGGAGATAGCAGAGTGAGCTCTTAGTAAAACTTTGGGATTCCACTCTTACCCAGAAAATGAAATAGGATCCCTGAGTCTTGGCTGGAGGGGGAAGATGCTAAGGAATCCCTGAAGAATAATGCAGGAATTTCTAGACTTTTAGGATCTACACATTTTTCAAAAGACAACCATACCAACAGTTTTTCCTGATTGCTAACATCTTCCTTTGCCATATAGGACATTGAAAGCAAACAATAAAACTAGCACCACCTACTATTTCTATAATTTTATAAAATAAAGGAGTTTTGAAAACCAAAGTAGCACAGAAATAATCTCAAGCGAGAGCAGTTCTTCCAAAGAAAAGTTGTTGGCAAATTTCTGCCACCAAGCCAGGAAAAATAAAGGATATAGTTTAAAATATTGCATGTAGAGAAAATGCATTATAAAATTTTATGTTGTATATTTTGCTTTTGCAATAATTTTTTCAATTTGTAAAGATATATTTGATGTCCTAAAATAAACTCCAACTCACTCCATGTAGTACTTTGTCTTTCTTTCTTTCTCTTCCTCCCTCCCTCCCTTCCTTCCTTTCTTCCTTCCTCTCTCTCTTTTTCTTCCTCTCTCTCTCTCTCTCTTTTCTTTCTGTCTCCCCCTCCCCTACCCTCCCCTTTTCTTTTCTTTTTTTCCCCGTCCTCTTCCCTCCCCTCCTTTTTTTTTTTTTCCCCGAGACAGAGTCTCACTCTGTTGCCCAGGCTGGAATGCAATGGCTCAATCTCCGCTCACTGCAACCTCCGCCTCCAGGGTTCAAGCAATTCTCCTGCCTCAGCTTCCTGAGTAGCCGGGACTACAAGTGCAGGCCACCACTACCGGCTAATTTCTTTTGTATTTTAGTAGAGACGGGGTTTCACCATGTTGCCCAGGCTGGTCTTGAATTCCTAAGCTCAGACAATCCACCTGCCTCGGCCTCCCAAAGTGCTAGGATTACAGGTGTGAGCCACCGAGCCCAGCGTCCCCTCCCTTTTTTATTTCTCCTCCTTCTATTCCTAATCTCCCACTCAGGATGTAAGATACTTTGGTTTTATCACAGTTGCTGTTGTGAATTAGGTTGATATGGGAATTTTGGTGACATTTCAAATATTTGAAATATTCTGTGCAATACGAGAAGAGGTTAAAAAAAAAAAAAAAGGCCTGGTCTTCCAGTGGTTTCTTCTGCTCTCCTCATATGGGGCACCCCTGTGTGGGGCCAGGAGAAATCAGACCAGATGCTTGGGGTTCCATGAACTCTACAGGGAGCCTTTTAGCACTGTCAGTCTGGGGTCCCCAGGGCCCGTCGTAGAGAGGGAGAATATCCTACCGAGAGAAGCCAGGGGAGGACGTCAGTGGACAGCGCCAGCCTAGTGCAGCGTGGGGGCCTGGGTCTCAGCAGCAAGCACCCATGCAGACACCAGGACCTCCACTGGTTAGGTTTAAACTCAGGACATGTTATTTAGCCTCTTTAATTCTTTGTTTCCTCATATGTAAAAGGAAAATCAAAATAGCTCTCCCTCACCAGGTTGTTGTGAAGATTACCTGAGTGGTGATGTCTGCCTGTGAAGTTCTCAGAACCATTTCTAATGCACCCTAAATCCTCAAAAAAATGATTGCAATTATTATTAGGCCAGAGCATGTCTGACAGATTAATGATTAATGTAATTAATGGAAAAATTAATGATTACAGGGCACTGGCGAATTTTAGGATTACATGCACTGTTTCTTCAAGTCAATGTAGTTATACCTGACAGAGTATGGTTATTATCTTTTGCCTGCATATATTATTTCCCCAAACTTAATTAAAATATCATTTCTTCATGTGCTAGAGTTAAACTATTAATCTACCTAAAGAATCTTTGGTTAGTAGCCCAAGGGTAGGATAAATTCACAGGTGCAATTTAATTTCTGGGCATATCTATATTTACTTACATTCATGTATCATATTCCAATTTTAGATTTTAAAAATCCCAGAGTTATTGTAAGGGCAGTGGAAAGTAAAAGGTGTGAGGGCTGTTTGGAAATATCTAATTAAATATCTATTTCCAGCGCACTCATTCTGGCTACCCAGAGTGATGGGTGGACAGTGATTATAATAAATAGTTTGATTTTTGAATTACTTTTTTTGCACTGGCTTAAGCAAAGGGGTTTTTTTAAAAGGGGAAAATAATTATAAAAATTAGAAGCTGTGGCTACAGATATGATTCTCTCTTTGTTGGTGTGAACTGCTCTGGAGAATTCATCCTCCAATCCAGCCAATCATAACAGTCTAGAAAATAAAAAGTTAAATAGCTGGGTGTGAATTGCATTGCTATGTCTATATGCCTGCTGTTGCATCATTGTTGAGCTCTCTGAATCACACGGAAACTTTTGGGAAACATTGCAGATAATATTTTGCTTTAATTTTTAAGACCACCATACCATAAAAGCAAAAGTTTATAAGCCTGGGAGCAAAAATATGTATACATAAATAAAGTTACTTTTTTGATCTAGAGATAAAACTATATAATAGAATATTTATGCCCATATATAACTTTATTATGTAATAAAATCTACACTTTTGAAATTAGCAATGAATCAAGATTATTTGCAATCAATTTGTTTCTGTTGATTTTCTTTTTCTGCCCTGGGCATATGTCCATATCAGAGTTGTACCCTTTGATCATTGTGTTTGCTAGCAATAGGTAAATTATGACACTTGGGTTGAATTGTCCATTTCCCAGGGTGTATTCTGATTTGGACAGGGCATTTCTTGTATATATTAAAATGCTCAATGGCAACTAGTGCAGCCCCTTATTCATAAAAAAAGGCTTGACAGTTATTGAACTGAATGACAGCTATCAATGGACTGTTCTCCCCTTGTCTGGGCACCATTTTGGACAGATGAGATAATTTCAGATGGCACCTTTTTATGCATGAAGAGAGAAAAATCTGGGGTAAAATTCCTCCTGTAGATACTGTTGCTCTTGGTGAACAGGCTTCCCCCATCCGAGTGTGTGCAGTTGGGGAGGACAAGGAGAAACTCTGTGATTGCTCTGGCGAGCCAGGGCTGAGGGCTTTACGTCTGTGTCCAGGGATGACAATTGGATCAGACAGAGTGGACACTGTGGCATGATTTGGGTGGTACCAGGAAGTCATTCATCATCCAAATCTTCCTGTGAATAGTAATTATGGCATTGGCTACAGGAAAATATGATGCTTATATGAATGCAGCCAGCCTCTGAAATGACAACTGTTTTCTCGCCAAGCTTGGAAAGGACATAGTCAAACTGGTAGTCTATCTTGCCTGTAATCATCTAGAATTGTCTGGGGAGGTGATCCTGCCCTTTCAACTTGGATCTTTCATTGGCTTTCTTAATCCAATTCTCTCCTTTTTAAGATTTCCTCTGATAATCCCTTTTGCTCACATTCTCCTGATTGTGCCCTGGAGACTGACCTTGGTTCTTGTCTTTTGCTGTTATTGACAGGAAGGGCAACACCAGCTGGTCTCATGAGATCTAACAGAGACAGGCTGATCCAGAGCCTAGGTGATTCAAACCCTGCATTATGTAACAAAACTGTAGAAAATGCTAGTTCTTTTTTTAAATCTCTTATATTCTTCTGGTACTTATGTTTTCAAATAAATGCTATTTTGAGAAAATTACTACCTTGCATTTTAAGTTAGTTTAGTTTGCTTTCATGACATTTTCTCTTGTGGATTTCCATCATCATAGTGACTATGATGTGTCCCTCCCTGCAGTGTGCATTTGATCCTCTCATTCATCCTATCCATATGGAGAACACCTACTTGGCTTTCAAAATGCAGTTCCAGCATCTCCTCCTCCATTTTCTGGGGGATTGGACTACTTACCCTTTTGGGGGCTCGTATTATGTCCTGATACTGCTCTGCAATCACATTTATAATACTTTATGGTACTTTATTTCTATGTTTGCCATTATTTATTTGCCTATAAGTCTTTGAAGAGTGGGTCCATGTTTTAACCATCTTTGTATCCCCAGTGTCTAGCCTAATGTACATAGTAGATGTTCAATAAAGTCTTATTGGATGAACCTATTAAATCAAAGGATATAGACAGGGAGGAGACATACCATGTGACAGCTAAGACTACAGAGACAAAGGATGTATACCTTTTCATGGGAGGGTAGAAGAAAAGTGTGAGGAAAGAGAAGGTGCTCTGAAACAAAGCACTTGTTTTGATATTTTATAAGAATGCCGGCATGACCAAGAATCTGAGGTTACTCTGGCCTATCTGGAAGATAAATAGGCTGTTGAGATGCAGTTATGGAGCCTAAAAGGGAGACCAAGGCCAAAGCTGTAAATGTGTGAATCCTTTGTACGTAGGAGGTGTTGGAAGCTGTGAATGTGGATGAAAGTACCAATATAGAGAGAACAGAGTGAGAATAGAAGACAGCCCAAGAATCTAAAGTCATGCACTTGCAAGGGAGTCAGAGGAAGAGAGGTAAGAAGTAAACCAGGTGATAGCTCTGTTATAAAAAGGCTTAGTCATGTTTCCAGAAGGATGGGTGGTCAACCATGCTAATGCTGTTGAAAGATTGAGAACTAAAGAAGTACATGGTAAAACAACAAATAAATAAAAGGTCAAGTAATATAAAGAGTACTTAATATGTCCAAGTCTAAATTTATTATTTTCTCCACTCTAGTTGTTCTATCTTGAGAAATCCCAAAGATCACGCTCAGGTTTGATGATTCACTAGAAAAACTCACAAGATTCAGCATATAGTCATACTCATGGCTATGATTTATTACAGAAAAAGGATACCAACCACAATTAGCAAAGAGAAAAGGCACATAGGGCAAAGTCATGGGGAAACCAGGTGCAAACTTTCAACAATCTAGTCCCAGTGGAGTCACACAGGATGCACTTAATTACCTCAGCAATGAATTATGATAATACATCTGAAACATCAATTATTGAAGCTTATTAGAGCCTTGCTGCTCAGGATTTTTATTGGGGGCTGATCACATAGGTACTCTGATATAGTTTGGCTATGTCTCCACCCTAATCTCATCTTGAATTGTAGCTCTCATAATCTCCACATGTCGTGGGAATGACCTGGTGGGAGGTAATTGAATCATGGGAATTGGTTTTCCTGTGCTGTTCTCATGAAAGTGAATAAGTTTCATGAGATCTGATGGTTTTGTTTTATAAAGGGCAGTTCACTGCACATACTCTCTTGCCTGCCACCATGCCTTTGCTCTTCCTTCGCCTTTTGCCATGATTGTGAGGCCTCCCCAGCCATGCTAAACTTTGAGTCAATTAAATCTCTTTCCTTTATAAATTACCCAGTCTTGGGTATGTCTTTATTAGCAGCATGAGAATGGACTAATACAGTAAATTGATACTGCAGAGAGTTGAACGCTGCTGTAAAGATACCCAAAATTGTGGAAGTGACTTTGGAACTGGGTAACAGGCAGAGGTTGGAACAGTTTGGAGGGCTCAGAAGAAGATAGGAAAATGTGGGAAAGTTTGGAACTTCCTAGAGACTTGGAGGGCTCAGAAAACAGGAAGATGTGGGAAAGTTTTGAACTTCCTAGAGACTTATTGAATGGCTTTGACCAAAATGCAGATAGTGATATGGACAATAAAGTCCAGGCTGAGGTGGTCTCAAATGGAGATGAAGAACTTCCTGGGAACTGGAGAAAAGGTCACTATAGCTAGGCAAAGAGACTGGTGGCATTTTGCCCCTGCCCTAGAGATCTGTGAAACTTCGAACCTGAGAGAGATAATTTAGGGTATGCAGCAGAGGAAAATTCTAAGTGGCAAAGCTTGAAGAGGAAGCAGAGCATAAAGGTTTGGAAATTTTGCAGCCTAATGATGCAATAGAAAAGAAAACCCCATTTTCTGGGGAGAAATTCAAGCCACCTGCAAAAATTTGCATAAATAATGAGGAGCCAAATGTTAGTCACCAAGAAAATGGGGAAAATGTCTCCAAAGCATGTCAGAGACCTTCATGGAAGTCCCTCCCATCACAGGCTCTGAGGACTAGGAGGGAAAAATGGCTTCCTGGGCCAGGCCCAGGGCCCCCCTGCTGTGTGCAACCTAGGAACTTGGTACTTTGCATCCTAGCCACTCCAGCTGTGGCTAAAAGGGGCCAAGGTACAGCTCAGGCTGTGGCTTCAGAGAGTTCCAGACCCAAGCCTTAACAGCTTCCACGTGGTGTTGAATTTGAGAGTGCACAGAAGTCAAGAATTGAGGATTCGGAACCTAGATTTCAGAGGATGTATGGAAATGTCTGGATGTCCAGGCAGAAGTTTGCTTCAGGGGCAGGGCCCTCATGGAGAATCTCTGCTAGAGCAGTGTGGAAGGGAAATGTGGGGTTAGAGCCCCTACACAGAGTCCCCACTGGAGCACTGCCTAGTGGAGCTGTGAGAAGAGACCTCCATCTTCCAAACCCCAGAATGGTAGATCCACCAACAGCTTGCACCATGCACCTGGAAAAGCTGCAAACAATGCCAGCCTGTGAAAGCAGCCAGTAGGGGGTCTATACCCTATTAAGCCACAGGAGTGGAGCTCCCCAAGGCCTTGGAGCCCACTTCTTGCATCAGAATGACCTGGATGTGAGACATGGAGTCAAAGGAGATCATTTTGGAGCTTTGAGATTTGACTGCCCTGCTGGATTTCACACTTGCATGGGGCCTGTAGCTCCTTTGTTTTTGCCAATTTCTCCCATTTAGCATGGGCATATTTACCCAATGCTTGTATCCCCATTGTATGTAGGAAGTAAATAACTTGTTTTTGATTTTACAGGCTCATAGTTGGAAGGGACTTGACTTGTCTTAGATGAGACTTTGGACTGCGGACTTTTGAGTTAATGTTGAAATGAGTTAAGACTTTGGAGGACTGCTGGGAAGGCATGATTGGTTTCGAAATGTGAGGGCATAAGATTTGGGAGGGGCCAGGAACAGAATCATATGGTTTGGCTGTGTCCCCACCCAAATCTCATCTTGAATTTCAGCTCCCACATTCCCCAATGTGTCATGGAAGGGACTTAGTGGGAAGTAATTGAATCATGGGGGCAGGTTCTCCCATGCTGTTCTTGTGACAGTGAATAAGTCTCATGAGATCTGATGGTTTTATAAAGAGCAGATCCCTTGCATACACTCTTTCCTGCCACCATTTAAGACATTCCTTTGCTCTTTCTTTGCCTTCCACCATGATTGTGAGGCCTCCCCAGCCATGCCGAACTGTGAGTCAATTAAACCTCTTTCCTTTATAAATTACCTGGTCTGGGATATGTCTTTATTAGCAGCATGAGAGTGGACTAATATATATCCCCTCTGTGTCTGGCATGTATGCAATTTCAGATTCCCAGCAGGAAAGCAGGAGTTCAACAAAAACCAATTCTTTTCACAGATACTTTTGGCTCGGTGAATGGTGCTTATCAGTTAACAGCAGAAACCCTCCTGAAATGTAAGTTCCCAGATGCCAGCCAAGAACCAATCTTGTCAGCAGTCAGTCCTTTTCTGGAATTCCCTGTAATGGTGAATGTCATTATTATAAAATCTATTAAGCAAGTCAGAAACAAACCCATGCATCATCTTTTGCCCCTTTCTGTTTTTGGCTGACCACGTGGTTTTGGATTCAGGAAGAATAATGAGAAAATATAGAACATACATACACACAGGTATAGACACATATTTGAAGGCTTCAAAGAGCTGCTCAGGCAATGAGCATTTCTGGGGCTAAGATACAGAAAAAAGAGGGAAACAAAGAGAGGTGTCTGGCATTTGGAGCTGCTTTTGCCTAGAAGGCAAGTGCAAAATCAGAAAACAAAAATGACATCTGAGAAGTTAAGATTATAAGCAAAGTTCTTTGTAGTCTCACAAGGATAGAGGGACAAAAATTGTAGTGAATGACCTTCTAAGGAGAAGTCCTGTGATTACTGCAGGTTTTTGGTTGTTATGCTTAAGGCCTATATCCTATGAGTAAGGGTGAACTGGAAACATGCCATTCCTCAGAAAGACTGAAAAACAACTTCTAATCAGCTCAGTCCCAGACGGAAAAAAAGTGATTTGCCAGAGGAAAAATTAGTTTCTCTCTGGAGAGTGATAACCTTATTCAAAGTCTTAAATTGTCTCTACATTTTTTATACAACATTTGACAATGTTGTGTTTGAAAATAAAACAGGTGTACAAAAAAATAAGGTTTGTCCAAAAACAAGAGAAATACAGATAGTAAAAACAGACCCATAGACAATTAGAAATTGGAGTTATTGTACATGGATATTAAATACTCGCAATTAAGATGTTCAAGAAATACAATTACAAGATGAAGGATTTCAGCAGAGAACCAGAAACCATAAAAATTCCAATGGAAATCCTATAATGGAAAAATAAAAATAAATGAAATTGAGATTTCAATCAATGGGCATCATGGTAGGGTAGTAGAGAGAATTAGTAAACTGGAAGAAAGTCTGTAGAATATGTCCAGAGAGATATTAAAAAACACAGAGAGATAAAAAGTCTCAATGTATAGAAGAGTAAGTAAGAGATATATGGGTCATAATGAAAAGATTGAATTTCAGGTATAATTGTAGTTCCAGAAAGAGAGGAGAAAGAAAATGAACAGAAACATAATCATAGGCAAGTATTTTTCAAGATTTTGGGAGGACATTAAGACTCAAAATCATGGCCTATGAGCCTCAGCAGGATAAATACAAAGAAAACCATGCTTTAGCATATCACTGTCATTTTTGAACACCAAACACAAAAGGAGATCCTGAAAGGAGCCAGAAGTGTTGAAAAGGCAGATGACTTTGAAAGGAAACAGGAAGAGTGACAACTGACTTGTGATGGGAAACAATGAGAGTCAAAACACAATTGAATAATCTCGTTAAAGTGATATAAGAAAATAACTGTGAACCTAGAATTTTACTTTAATTAGCAAAACATTCTTCAAAAGCAAAGTGGAAATAAAAGAAATACTTTCAGAAAAGTCAAAACTAAGAGAACTTTTCAGGAGCCCATTTGTGTTAAAGAAAACAGCAAAGGGAGTTCTTCAGTTCAGAGGAAAGTGATCCCAGGTAAAAACACAGAATGCTGAAAGGAAGACCAACAGAAAATGGAAATGAAATGAATAGTGACTATAAAAACATCAAAAATAATGCATTGAGATGTTTAACATACATTATCACTACAAACATGAGAAGAAGAGCAAAAATTATAAGGGATGAGTAAATAGAGTGGAAGTGTACTAAGGTCATTGTATTGTGAATCCATAGGCATAGTGGGATACAAAATCATACTTGACCCATGACTTTGTCTTGTTGATTTTACATCCTGGATATCACTAGAATTTGTGTCCTTCTCTCCATTCCTTCATTCATACCCTCATCCAGGACACCATTAGCTCCATCTCCTGAAAGACTGCAGCCACACCCACTGGCTTCCTTGCTCCCCCTCCACACCTCATATAAACTGTTCTCCACTCAGCAGCCAGAGTGATCCTCTGACAGCCTCCATAATCACTTATCTCTGGTCCAACTCCTGCTTTTATTTCATCCACCCGTATGGACGTGTTTATTCCTGTAATGCTCCCTGACCCAAGGAAGAAAGAAGATATGAGGAGGTCAACCATCCAGCTTGCTGAGTCACCACCACTTGCTGGTGGCCTTGTGATCACAGCCTTAAGCTAGTGCCCTCGCTTGGTTATGGGGCAGTTTGTGGCCTCTGTCTCCCTTTCCAGAGGGTCTTCCTGCATGCCACAGGCTGAAGTCTCCTTCTCTAGCTGTACCCTGTCACTTCCAATCTCTGGAATTCCTCAGTTTCTGGTTCAATAAAGAATGTACTTTTTACCATTCCATTAATGGGTTTAATTTTTTGTGTATGGGAACTGGATGATGATAGAGCACTCTATCATCATATGAAGTAGCCTATGGTGATAGGCTACTTCACCTTCTTTTTTTTTTTTTTGAGTGGAGTCTAGCTCTTGTCACCCAGGCTGGAGTGAAGTGGCGCGATCTTGGCTCACTGCAACCTCCATCTCCCCGGTTCCAGTGATTCTCCTGCATCAGCCTCCTGGGTAGCTGGGACTACAGGTGCATGCCACCATGCCCAGCTAATTTTTTTTTTGTAGTTTTGAGAGAGATGGTGTTTCACCGTGTTGGCCAGTCTGGTCTCAAACTTCTGACCTCAAGAGACCCGCCTGTCTCAGCCTCCCAAAGTGCTGGGATTACAGGCATGAGCCACTGCACCCGGCCAGGCTACTTTACCTTCTAAGAAGAGATGGGAAACTTCTGCTAAAGTTACCTCTTCCTATCGGGTGGGAAAGTTGGCATGAACATGTTCCATCTCTTTCCTCCACCTCTTACGCATAGGTAGACCACACTCAGGCACAGCAGGGCCTCTTGACTGCTTCTCAGGTGTGTGTTCAAGAAGAAATATGCACTTAGCTTCTGCTCCATTGAGGAAAGCAGAGCAGGACAGGGCTCCCTCTTCCCAACCCCAGAAGAAGTAGCCATTCTTTTGTTTTGTTGGCCTACTTGTATTCAGTTATGGGCATAGCAGGAGTAGTGTTCAGAATTTAAAAATCATGTTTGGTCTAAGCTCTAGGTCATATTTTCTAATCTAGCTTTCACCCGAGAGCCCTATCCTCTGGTGGTTATTGGAGAATTGCTTAGCCATTAGTTGAGTACAGACCTGAACTTTACTTGGGTAACTGTCCCAAGGAGCACTGTCCTCTGAGTGTTCTTTATTGACCAGAACTTTTGAAGGGGAGGGGTGTGTTCACCCTTGGGTCCCAACACCACTATCCAAATGATGCCAATACAAAAGATTACTGTTTATATGATCCTCTTCAAAGACACTTTTCACAATTTCCTCTTGTTCTTGGGCAGTCATGTATGAAGCCCTGGGTTTGGAGTATAAAGCCCTGAGCACTGAGAGAGCAATCTAATGTGAGTCAGGGAACACGGGGTTAGGTTCCAGCATTAGGAAGAAAAGCAAGTCTGCAGCCTCAGGTCAGTAATAATCTTTGGGCCTGGCTAGGTGCGGTGGCTCACGCCCGTAATCCAAACACTATGGGAGGCCAAGGGGGCAGATCACGAGGTCAGGAGATCGAGACCATCCTGGCTAACACAGTGAAACCCCATCTCTACTAAAAATACAAAAAATTAGACGTGTTGGTGGGAGCCCACGTCCCAGCTACTCGGTAGGCTGAGGCAGGAGAATGGCGTGAACCCAGGAGGCAGAGCTTTGCAGTGAGCCGAGATCATCACGCTACTGCACTCCAGTCTGGGCGATAGAGCGAGACTCCATCTCAAAAAAAAAAAAAAAAAAAAATCTTTGGGTCTCAGCCGCTTTCTGTATAACATGAGAGGGCCAAACCAAGTCAGCGAAGCCTGTATCAGAATCTTGATAGGTGGTGATGGTGGTAGAGGGAAGTGTTTAGTTTCAAAGCATATTTAATATGATATTATATTTTCATATTTCAGGGAAAATGGTTCATTGTTTCCATCATGTACTCTATGGAATACAAAGCTCTGAAACCTGTTGGCTACTGGAAGTGTACAAGAAAAAGACTCTCAAGCTAGAGGTGGGGTAGAGCTGGAGCCAGCCATGTCAAGATCTTTCGAGGACATGAACATTTTTTATGCTTATTAAAAGATGATGTGGTTTTAAAATAAATCTAAGGCTGGGCGCAGTGGCTCATGCCTGGAATCCCAGCAGTTTGGGAGGCTGAGGCGGGTGGATTGCTTGAGCTCAGTAATTCAAGACCAGCCTGGGCAACATGGCAAGAAACTCTCTCTACTAAAAACAGAAAAATTAAGTACGTGTGGTGGTGCATGTCTGTGGTCCCAGCTACTTGGGAGGCTGAGCTGGGAGGATGGCTTGAGCCCAGGGGGCAAGAGATGGGGGAGAGGTTGTAGTGAGCTGAGATCACGCCACTGCATTCCAGTCTGGGTGACAGAGCCAGACCCTGTCTCAAAATAATAATAATAATCATAAAACGAAATAAGACTAAGAGAAAGGTAGATTACACAAGTGCTAAAATCCCTTCCTGTTCTAACTTAGTGGATTCTTTATAAATCTCCTTATCCAGGGAATAGGGAATTATGTGACAGGACACAAGCAGAGGGCTCTGTGCGGTCTGATGCACAGAAGGTCAGAGTTGCTTCCCTTCCTCCACGGCTGCTTTTCTGCAGGTTAGGCTGTCAGAACAGGTTGCCCACAAACTAAAGGTACTAGCTCTCTGCTTCATGCCAGGCTTACGTCTGACTTTGATTTTTAATAGCAGGAAGGTTTGCTCTCAAAGCGCAAACCTTCCCAGCTCTTTTAACTGAAAACGAATGCACTGACTATGAGGCAATGAGAATGGGATGAAAAATTGGCTCATTTTTTTTTTTAAACTTAACGTTGCTTGATTTTAGCAAGTAAAATGGACTTGAAGGAGGCCTGTTTGCTCCTAATGGATTTGCCAGTCCCTCCTCGTAATCAGATTGCAGGGAGCCTGCTCTGCTTTATCATCTGGTAATCATTTTCAGAGCTGGTGAGACACCACGGGGGACTGGCCTCTGGCAGCAGTTCTCGGTTTGATTTGCAATATTTGTCCATGTGCATTTTTATGCCATTTGAGGATCACCCATCGCATCATCATTGAACTCAATTCGTTCCATTATGCTTAAGTGTGCGTTAGCTCTGGGGTGAGGACCCCTCATGCCTGGCTGCCCTGGAATGTGACCCAGTGAGTATTTTGTAGCAATGCTTCAGGCTGAGCTGGGGCTAGGGCAGGAGCTGAGATAAGCACTGCTTCTCTGTACAAACCCACTCCCTCATCCTAAATTTGAAAGGAGAGTAAAGAAGTCCTGCGAGAGGGTACAGGACATGCAAGGGGAGACTTTTTGCTGCTGTATACACACCCATTCTGTACCACCTTGATTCTACATATTCCTTAGAACAAGCACCCTCTACTGCTGTGTCTGGAGTCTCACCTTCTCCCTTAGGTGCCAGTTTGGTTGTGTGTGGGTAGTGCAAAGCTAACCATAGACAAGACTCTGAAACAAGTGCCTTTTCTCCACCACCATCCACTCAATTTCTTCCAACACTCTATGTTGATAGCACCCTATTTTATTGAACAAATATTTATTGGGCAGCTAATATGTAACTTGTACTGTTGCAGGCAATTAATTGCCTGTCAATGATCCAAACAGACAAAATAATTGCCGTCAGTGATATTATGTTCTAATGGTGACACAGGCATGAATGCAGGAGACTTAAAGCCTTAAATGATCATGGAGAACAGTCAGTAAAGTGATCCGTGCGTGGGCTGGTGTAGGCATAAAGGAATGGTGGGAAATACGGCCAGCTGCAGAGTGAATGTCCACTAAGGGGGAAGGCTGTTTTTCCACCAGCGTGAAAGAATGTTGTCCCTTTGCATTTCATTTCAAGAAAAGCTGGAAGTGTGAATTTTAAAAATGTAAAATCTATTTGTTTTAAATATTGGTCACTAGCTCAAAAGTTTTTAAAACACTATTCAATACCCAAATGCAATAGCAAAAAAAAAAAAAAACCTCATCTTCCCAGATTGTCCATTACAGTCAGTTTGCAACTTCTATGCTATGGAGTGAGCAAAAAAAAAAGGCCCTTACTTTCAGGTGACCAATAGGTAAAGGAACATATTTCTTGAGGGGCTGCTGCTTAGATCGTCTTGCTGCAGGAAGCACAAATGGCCCCACCTGTGTCCCTTTTTAACTGCTCCCACATTTTCACTGCGACCAACCTTTCTGCAGGCTGCAGCCATCCAGTGGCTGAGCACAGATGGGTACTGAGACATGACATGGAGCTCTCCAGTGGGTAACTTTGCCTTAAGGACTGCCCATAGGTCTGGCCAAGCCATTTTTTCCTGCAGTTTGAGACTCTTGCTCTCCAATATTCTATCCCTCTCTCCTTCCGCAGTATCAGACCTACATCCCAGGCTGAAGGCTTTTCCTAATTTCTGCTCTCTTTCCCCACACATCCTTTTACACATCAAATCCACAGCCGACCTGAAGTAACACAAGAAACTAGAGGGTTCTGACTGAAAGGGAGCTTCCTTCCTAGACCTGATTCTTTAGCTTGTTATTTCCTATTTTGTTTTGTCTTATTATTTGGTGCCATAGACAGTTTGAAATGTACTCAGAGTCTGGAGAGATGAGCTGTGAGGCAAGGAGCCTGAGCTGGGGAGGGAGATGAGGGAAGGTAAATGGAGAATGGCAGTGGTGTGCCTCCATGGTGGGAGGCAGCACAGGCTGAGAGGCTAGGAGGGCAGTATTGTGATGCGCTGGTGTCATTCCTAGCAGAGAGCAGTAAAGATAAATGTCTAGAAAAATGTTACTTGACCTTCACCATGATAACAAGCATTGACACCTGTTTCTTCAAAGATTCAACTGAGTTATTTGCCCACTGGATCATGGTCTCTTCTTTATGCATTTCTTCTTCGTGTTACTTTTCTTCCCATTTCCCCTCCTTCTTCCCCTTATTGCCACCTGCTTCAGTTCACACTTAAAACACACAAACATACACACTTCAAGCTTATGTCTCTGAAAGTTTACAACCTGTCAGATAAGATATTAGACTTTCAGTGGCAATAAATGATTGGACTGTTGACTTAATATTTTACAACAATGCACACAGTACTTTTAGCTCCTTACATTGCTGTTTTCAGTCTATTTTTATTCACTTACTTTTTCACTGGATCCTGTGAGAGAGGTAAGAATTATTGTCTTTGTAGTTATACTGATGTAACTGAGACTTTGACCCATTTGCTCTGGGTCTCAGGGGCTGTCTTCCAAACAGTGAGGATCCTGTTGTTGAAGCATGTTTGTTGACGATAGCTGGAGTAATATATTCAATTCTGTGGGAGAGGCAAGCAGCAACTGAGGTTTCTAATGGGCGGCTTTTATCTGGTCCCCCTGCATTACTTTGCTTGAATGCGTGTGACTGAGGACAGAATGGGTTTGAAACTAGAATAATGGCCACTCCCCAGACAGTTAGATTACAACAGATCTATGACTTGCAAGAGCAGAACGCAATAATCAATGGGATACCATAAGCCAAACCATCTGGGGCACTTATATCAATTTGAACAAAATGCACCTTAGAAGGAATGCTGAATTTTCAGTTCTTAAGTGATGATCAAGCCCACTCTATGAAAAACAAAGTGTGGTTTGTAAATGGAAGTGCCTCTCCTGGTTCACAGAAAGTTCCTGTGGCTGTTTCTAATTCCTTCAGCTTTTTCTTTCTGCAGACTAACATCTAAATCATTTTATACCTTTGCTTTCATTTGGTTTCTTTCGTGGCTTTATTTCTTTATTGCCTTGACCATGTGGCAATTCCAGTTCGTGTTAGATAATATTGGAGGTATATTTTGGGGGCCAAAGGGAGTGGTTGACGTAAGATGGAGACTGCTATGAGGTGAGGATTTAATTGTTTCTGATAGGCAGCAAAGGACCATTTTAATGAAAAAAGTTCTTGAGCTGGGAGGGAATTAGTGAAAATCGTTTAAGGGAAACCTATCATTGTTCTTGCATCTGACACTTTAAACACAGCTATTAAACCCATCTACCTCTCCGTGAGTGGAATGTGAAAACTATCAGCCAATACCACTTTGTATACCCAACTGTGCAAAATTGCTTACAGCTTGTCTGCTACCTACTAATTCTTGCTTTTATTTTCTAAGTCCAAGACATCCAGGAGACATTTTCTTTTGCAAATTATTTCCCTTGTTTTATTTTGAATTATATTATACAGACAGGGAAGTGCATACAATCTATACAAGCTGTTGTTTAAGGAACACTTTTAAAGAAAGCACCCCTGTAACAACCATTCAGTCTAAGAAACAGAGCCTCGTCAGACTCCCAATTTCCTTCTATATTGTCCTCCCAGAGACTAATCTTTGTTCTGACATTTTGTTAATTATATCATTGCTTTTTAAAGATATTTTTATCTCTTATAAAAAGCATCACTAAACAATGTAGTTTAGATTATCCTGCTCTTGAACTTAACATTGAGGGAATCATATCAATGTGTTCTTTTATGTCTGACTCCTTTTACTCAATGTGTTGTTTGTAAGCTTCATCCTGATGTTATGAGTAGCACTGGGGAGGGTGAGAAGGACAGCTTTATATTACCTGCATCACTGCCCCCAACTTCAGGCAGCACGGCATGGAGAGAGATACCCTTCACTTGGGGAAAGGAGAGAAAAGTAAGCACTGCACTTTGCCTTGGATGCCAACACTGGGCCTGCCACAGTAAAACCCAACACTGGGCTCACCATAACCTAAGACTCCAGGCCGGTCCCTCTGGACTGAACCTATAGGACTACCCTAGTCCAAGGCTGGATCCTGCAGCCCCAGGCTCCAGTCCGGCCTGGCAGACTCAGTCTTCAGGCCTGCCTCAGCCCCAGGATCCAGACTGGGCCTCAGTGGCTTTGGATCTACCCTAGGGCCAGGTCAGCCCCCACAGATTCAGACTCTAGGCCCACCCTAGGGCCAGGGTAGCCCCAGCAGCCCTAGGCTCCAGACCACCCCCAGCACTGGGATGGCCCCTACAGCCCCAGACTTCATGCCCACCCCAGCCCTAGAATACCCCCCATGGCCCTAGTCACCAGGTTGGCACCTGCAGACCCAGGCACCAGGGTCTGCTCACCTGCTGACCCAAGAAACAGGCCAGCCTGCTGGAGGACATTAGCAGCAAGCCTGCTCATGAACCATACCAGGTGGTATACCCAGAATCTCTGGGTAGGCTGACTGGTGAAGGGCTCCCCCAAGACAAAGCCAGTCTGCAGACTGGAACAAGCCTCTACTTTTTCAAATGTTCAGACCTCAATGTAAGTCAACAAGAAACACAAAAAACCAATAACGAGACATAACTCCTACCCAAAGAACACAATAATCTTCTAGTAGCTGACCCAAAAGACATGGAGATATACAAACTTCCTGATAAAGAATTCAAAATAAATATTTATATTAAATTTATTTATTTTCCTTCAACTTTTAAGCTCGGGTATATGTGCAGGATGTACAGGTATGCTACACAGGTAAACGTGAACCATGGTGGTTTGCTGCACAAATCAACCCATCGCCTTGGTATTAAGCTCCACATCCATTAGCTACTCTTCCTGATGCTCCATATATACCAGTTGTTCACATTTTTGGGTTACATTGCCCTTTGGATACCTGCATACAATGTATAATAATCAAATCAGGGTAATTGAGATATCCATCACCTTAAACATTTATCTTTTCTTTCAAACGTTTAACTTTTCTTTGTCTTGCAATTCTTCTAGGCATTTTGAAATATACAATATTATTGTTAACTTTAATTCTCCAACCGTACTGTCAAATACTAAAACGTACTTCTTCTATCTAACTGTATTTTTGTACCCCTTAACCAACTTCTCTTCATCTCCTCCTTCTCACTTCCCTTCCCAACCTTTGGTTACCACAATTCTACTCTATGCTTCCATAGAATCTACTTTACTTTATTCTGTATTAATATATATGAATCAGTGAGAACATGCAATGTTTGTCTTTCTGTACTGGGCTTATTTTACTTTACATAATGGCCACCAGTTCTATCCCCATTGAGCCAAATGGCATGATTTTATCCTTTTTATGGCTGAATAGTATTCCATTGTGTATATATACCATATATTCTTTATCCATTCATGTGTTGATGGATACTTAGATTTATTCCATATCTTGACCATCGTGAATAGTGCTGCAATAAACATGGGAGTGCAGATATCTCTTTGAAATACTGTAATCTTGTGGGTATGATTCAGTTATTCTACTGTTTCTTCTTGATTTTACTCATGGTGATTTCTTTCCTTGTGTGCTTGGTTATTTGTGTGCAGTTTATTGTCTAAGGGTTTTATTGTGGTAATATTTTGAAGGTCAATAGACAATTTTCTCTATAGAGAGAATATGCATTTGCTACTGCCAAGTTTCTGTATGTCTGGTCTTGGGTGACCATAAACAAGTTTGTAATCTGTGGATCCCTGTATCTCCCAGGCAATGCTGTAGCTAATGTCTATAATTTGGTAGGAACACTCTTTCTTTTCCTTTAATACCTACTCCAGACAGGGCCCAACAACTTCCTCTGTATTCTCCTGCAAAGATGTGAGAGAGGAGTTTATGTGTAGCACTATAACCATGAGTTCATTGTCCTTTTTTTTTCTCCCCTTGCTTAATATAAGGAGAGCCTCCTATTAGTGTCTCCACTTGGGATACAGCCTGGGCATTGACCTCTGTATCTTGTGCTATCCAAGGGAGATTGCAGAATCAAAGCAGGAATTTCTCGGGGTAGGCAAGTAACTGCAGGTCAAAGTAGAGTAAGTTTCTTGTGCTTGGCTTTCTGGATTTCAGCTTTCCTTAGATTTTATTTTGGCTATCTGTCAGTTCTTAAATTCTTATAAGGAGACGTTTTAAATATTTTATCTAGCATTCTTAGTTGCTTCTATCTGAAGGTTTGGTTCTAATAAACCATTGTTAGAAATGCAAGTTATTGCCTTCTTTTTAAAAAGTAAAATGTAAATACAATTCTTATTCAAAGGCATAATCTTTTCTTCCTTTATGCTGATTGTAACAAAATAAAAAAAAAACTAGAAAACACATTGTAAAAGAAGGAAAATTTGCCCTTGATACCAATCAGAATGTAGGGCTATAATATCTTTTAGCACTTCTTAACCAGGATTGAAAAGCAAAAAACAAAAACCAAAAAGCAAAACCAAACCTTAGGCCCTAATACCTGAAGGCATTGTGGTAAATACTTATGATTTTATCTTGCATCAGCATCTATTTTGAAAACAAGTTTGACTTTCTCATATCAGAAGCAGGGCTCAGTCACCATTGACACAGCCTTTAGTTCCATGCTATACTCAAATGGCTCAAGCCAGTGGCCAAAGATAAAAACTTGGAGGCATCTCTCTCCAGTCTGGCAGACTGAGCTCTGCACTTCCTTCTGCTTTCTTTAAAGGGATCATTCAGGCATTTGCCCAATTACTTGAAGTGACTGATACGCTGTTCTTTTATATATGCTGCTGAGAGCATGCACTCATGTGTGCACGCTCTCTCTGTCTCTCTCTGCCTGACTCCATTTCTGCCTGCATGACTGAGGATGGAGAGCTTCACTCTTGACTCATTGTCAACTCCTTTGCCTAGGACCTATAAGTAAAAACTCTTTAAACTTATTTCCTATTGTGATGGTGTATTGAATTTGCACCTTCCATCTAAAGAACTAGAGGTTATCCTGGCCGGATTTTCCCTGTTGCCAGGGAGACTAGAAAGTCAGGCTCCCAGTGCCTGAGCAATGGTCAGGCAGGACTAAACTGGAGATGGGTCAGATAAGAGCCATAAGGGCATCTGCCAGTGTAAACAAGTTTCCTATGTGAGGGACTCCCTGATTGCAAGTCAGTCAAGTAAGAATTAGGAAGTCTGCCAAGTAAAAGAAGTATCCCGTGAAAGGTACACTGTAAACACCCATGTCCAGGTACCCTTCATGTCCCATTAGGGCAGGGTTGCTAGCTGTTCTGGTACTAGAACCCAAATTTAGC
This sequence comes from Homo sapiens, assembly GCF_000001405.40. Taxonomy (NCBI): domain Eukaryota; kingdom Metazoa; phylum Chordata; class Mammalia; order Primates; family Hominidae; genus Homo; species Homo sapiens. Next base: position 9,855,013 of record NC_000005.10, on the reverse strand, counting down.
TGGGGGCTCTCGAAACAAGTATCCTTTGAATGGAATGAATAAACTTCTCTCTAAGACTTTCAGAGTTGTACTAGCAGAACCCATTATGAAGAGTCAGTGTCTGAGGGTATTATTTGAGAAAATGGCAACTCAAATCTTTTTATGTAGGATCTTCAACCCTGGTTAATATGGGCTGAATATCCTTCAACAAAAAGATCAATGGGCCTTTATTCATGGGATGAGAAAATACTTACCAAATCTTTAATTTTGATGGTTGTATCACGATTTATTTAACCTTCCCTGTTTTTTGTACATTTATGTCAAATCCAGTATTGCAACTTTCTGTATCCTTATCTTAGTTTTAATACTTCCTTCTGATCCTCTTACTTTAGCAATCCATCAAACTTTCTTTTTTAGATATTTGGCCTCAATATACTCTTTGATTCTGCAGTTTGAACATATTATTGAATCTTGAGTCTCATCTTACCTTCAACAACCTTTGTTCCTTATTACAACTCTGATAGATGAGGCCCCAATCCCTTAGCCTGAAGAAGACGCTACAGACTGTTATGGAAATATTGTGTTAGGGAATATTACGTGTTGAATTGCATCCCTCCAGATTTACATGTTGGGGTCTTAACTCCCAGAAGCTCAGAATGTGACCTTATTTGGAAATTAGGTTGTTGTAGATGTAATTAGTTAATATGAAGTCACAATGGAGCAGGTGAGGCCCTAATCCAATATGACTGGTGTCCTTCTTAAAAAAAAAAAAAGGAATTTATGCACAGAGAGACACACACAGGAAGAATGACATGTGTACATAAAGCCAGAGGTTGGGGTGATGTGTCTACAAGCCAAGCAACACCAAAGATCCCAGCGAGCAAACCTTTAGAAGCTAGAGAGGCTGAAGCAGATTCTCCCTCACAGTCTTCAAAGGAACCAACCCTGCTGACAGCTGGATCTTAGACTTCTTGTCTACAGAACTGTGTGACAATAAGTCACTGTTGTTTAAGCCATCTAGTTTTGGTATTTTACCACAGCAGCTCTAGCAAACTAGTACAGGGAGACTGTGTGAGTTAAATTAAAATCATGTATGATTAAAAACAGGAAGAACCCTTTCAATTTAGACCAATATGTTATTGGGAGGTAGATTTAGAAGTGCAGCACTTCTCAGTATCATTGACCTTATAATTGCTCTCAAATGTGCCTTTTCTTGTTGTGATCCTCTGTCATTGGTCACTCTGCCTCATATCTCTTTTATGCCCATTCCCACCCCATCAGGAGCCACTGCGTGGTTCTCCAGCAAAGGTTTATTCCTGTATATGCTCCCCTTGTCATCCCCAATTAGAAGACCTAGATATCGCCAAGGGTTTCTTGTGTATTCAGGGATACAGTCATGTTGAGGTAGGAGGTGGGACTTGACTCTGGACCAGATTAAAGACTGGCTGAATCAGGGAAGAGGCACCCAAAGTACCTCTCCATAAGACATGCCCACCAGCACCATGACAGTTTACCATTGCCACGGCAACACCTGGAAGTTACCACCTGTTTCCATGACAACACCTGGAAGTTACTGCCCCTTTCCATGGCAATGTCCTGAAAGTTACCATTCCTTTTCCAAAAATTTCTGAATAATCTACCCCTTAATTGGCATGTAATTAAAAGTGAGTTTAACCATGAGCTCACTTTTAACTGTGAGCTGTGCCTGAGCTGCTGCTCTTGACACAGCCTGTAGGGTAGCCCTGCTCTGCGGGAGCAGTCACGAAGCTGTAACACTGCCATCTCAATAAAGTTGTTTTCTTCTACCACTGGCTCACCTTTGAATTCTTTCCTGGGAAAAGCCAAAAACCTTCCTGGACTAAGCCCTAATTTTTGGGCTTGCCTGTGATGCATTAATGTGTTTCATGTGTATCCAGGGATTCCAATTCTGGGATATCAAAGGTTACATGGACTGGGAGAGGCAAAGTCAAAACTACTTTGTCCTGCATATCCTACCTCCCCACTGCTCTCCCGTGCACCAAGTGAAACAATGATTTCTATCATCTGTTTTCCAGTGCCAAAACATTTTCTATACTAACTAGCTCAGCTAGAAAACTTTGAGATGGTTACTGGGAGAAGTGTCATGCTCATTCATTGACTGGGAATGATGCCAATGGGCTAAATGAGACATATATATATATATTTTTTTTTTTCCTGCAAGAAGGAAGCCAAAGATAGAAGCTACCAGTTCAAGTCAAGCCAAGCTGAAAATCAGTCTCATTTGTCACCATCTGATGTTGTACAGGGGTATCAGTGCTGTGAATGAACCCACGTATCCTCATGGGCTATTGCCCGACTGTCTCATTTTAAAGAGGATTTATACTTCAGAGTCTTGCTATGTATTACATCTGAGACAGATGAAAGGAAACAATTTATAATTGCTTAACACGTGTGCACAGGTTAACATATCCCACCTCCAAATTATCTTCCTCCTTATGAATCACAGTTCTCTGGAGATTTGTGGGAGGCACTGAGTTTCAATCACAGTATTAAATTTAGTGACCTTCAAGAGAAAGGGGGAGCAAATTGCAGCTTCCTCAACTTGTACATGCCAGGAGTTTGCCATTCATCCTGCTACCAGGCAAATGAACATAGTGACCTCCTGACAGAAACAGGAGAGAATGAAAAAAATTCTGGGGAGTGAAAATAAGTTTGGACACTCTTGTGATCTACAGTTAAGTCATCCAACTAGCTAAAGTAACTTTGAAAAAAAAAACAACTAGTGGACCTCAATAATTTTGAAGCTTTAGAAATACATGCATTTAAATAAATAAAATTAGAGGTTAATTTCTTCAAAACCATTTTTGTAAAGCCTCCTAGAGGATAAGGCTTGATTCTTCATTAAAAATAAAGTAATTCTCCTTTGTAAATGATTTTTTAAGCACATCTATAATATACTATACCTTCCATTGTTTAATAAATGAAACATCCAGAGCTGTCACAGTGAGATAGCCCTTCTACAGGAGGTATTTAAACTCTTCTTCTCTTCTCTCTTATTCTTTTTCAATGTCTCTGAGCCATATTAATGATGGATATTTAATCCCTAGTCAAGCCTCTATCTGAAGCTGTCTGGAAATGAGGAGTGACTTTTAAAAGGCAGACAATAAACAGACTGGATAGATTCTATCTACAGAGAAGCACTTGACGCCCCTAGTGTGACCAGCAAAGCTTGAAGTCTTTAAGGCTCTTAGCTTCCACATGTCACAGCCCTGTATGGGTATTTATAACCCATTTCTGAGACTGAGCACCTTCCAGTACTGGGCAGCATATTGGTCCAGCAACTGGGCCACCTGCTGGCCATTGGACAGTTGCTTTGCCAGACGATGATCTGTTCTCCATTATGTGGCTTCCCCGCATCCTGTGCTGTTTGGCATATTCTGCAGATGACCAACTGGGATGTTCATGCTGCACTTCTTGTGTTCCAAATGAGTCATGGATATTTTAGAGTTTGGAAAGTAAAAGAAAAAAAAAAAAAAACAAATCCCAGCAGAAGAAATTACTTGTGAGATCTGTAGATCAAGTGGATCAATGCAGTTCTTATTTGTCTTTAGTGTCTCAAAAAAGACCAGAATTAAAGTGCTCTAGAGTTATAGGTGGTATTATTTCTTTGTCAATTTTAGGCTTTTAAATTTGTAATGTACACCAAAGGCCATGTTGGCTGCTCCCACCACTGTCTTTGTTGTCTAGCCAACATGCGCCTTCAGACAATGAAGACAACCTGAGTCAATAAAGGTTTTCAACTCGATTCTGACATTACTGCAACTAGGTTATCAATAAGTTTGGATGTTGAGTGTATCATTCTCTCTATAAACATGGTTTATAGATAATTTATTAAACTTTTACTCTTACCTGTGTGTGGAGGCATACTAGTCCCTGAGAGAACTGCCTTTATCCAGCTGTCTTGCAGGCAGCAATAGACATCTCAGGTCGTGGATTTAGCTGCTCCTGAAAAATGCCTTAAATCTGAACTCCACCTGAAAAGAGACAACATTCATTTCCAGGTCCACTGATGCCACCAGCCAAAACTTTAAAGGGAAACAGAATGTTCTCTTTCAGCTCTTTCTCATTCTCCCCCTCCCACTCCAGGTCTGGGACTCTTTAATTAATGGATCCCAAAATTAGAATATGAAGGCAATTCCTTTGCAACACCTCCCATTTCACAGTGGTGTGCTTTTGCTCTTTGGACGGGGTTGATACCATGTATGAGAGACAAATCTTTTATCAGGAGCTCCAACCTGATGTACACACTTGCTCCCCGGCATACTTACACGTGTGCCCATCTGTTTGGGTGGTAGGAGGCCTGTGGGGGATGGGGCAGGGCAATTTCAAGGATGCCCATTTGCCAATGTGGAAGAGCTGGTTCGGGGGCACAGCCTGCAGAGCCCAGCATGTGCCAGTTCTTCTGCCAAGAGAACCTTCTGTTTGGCAACAGTGCCTGAACAGGCAGCATGCTGCTCTACAATGGGCAACATCTGCAGATGGAAAGCTGGTGGGTGATGTACCCTCCGTGATGGATTCTGCTGCATGCCATCACCCAGCTCCCTTTAGAACAAGCTAACAGTGAATAATACCTCACAAAAGCAAGCCAGTTTTACCATCACTTTTTGATTATGGAAATAGTTATTGAATGCTTGCCATAAATTGAAAGTCATGTGTTCTGTGCTTTGGGATAATGTAGATGGATTTGACATGGACCCTAGCTTTAAGAGGCTTGTGGAAGTAACAGAAATAAGCACACACATAGAGAGTTTGTAGACAAGCAATGTCATAGGCCTAGAGACACAGACACCAAAGCCACAGAGATGTGCTATTAAAGCCCAGAGGAGGGAAGAGGATGTTCAGCTGGGGCGCCCAGGGGATAGGTGTTTGGGCTGCGCTTTGAGGGTGGGAAAGGTTTGCACCTGTGGTTAGGGTGGAATAGACCATGCATAGTTGAGGGACTTTCATGTCAGATAGGAGTGAGAGACAGTGGAGTGCTTGAGTGGGACTTAGCACGAACTGTGAGATAAATGAAAGAGGAGATGGAAAAGATATGCTGAGGATAGATCATGGGGAGCTGTGATATCTGGGTGAGTGTTTGGTCTAGGAGAGCTAGTCAAGACAGGGATGGAGCTGTGCTGCCCCCAGATGCATGAAAGGTATAGAGGAAGATGGGAGCTTGCCTGGGAGACCACAGCATCAGCACTAGCCCTTGGTCCTGAGAGCTGAGTTTGAGTCTTCATAGTTTGTCAATTAACCAGTGTTTACTGAACTCCTTGTTACAGGCTCTTTAAGTGGACCAGGTAGTATTTAGCCTCTCCACCTAGGAGGTGAGATACATCAAGTGAACCTTTGTACCTCAACATGATGAGATAAGGGCAAAGCTACAGGAATTCCTATGGAAGTCTGGGAACCCAGAGGAGGGGGGAACACAGAAGTGTCCAGATGCCTGAAATGTCACCTGCAGAGTGGAGGACAGCATGACCTTCAGAGCTGGGTGGTCTAGTTGTATCACAGCCATGCAGCATTGGGCAGATTACATCACTTCTCTTGCTTTAGGGTATTCATTTGTAAAATTGACTTAATAATAGCGCCTACTTCATAGGGTTGTTAATTAAGTGAGTTCATGTATTTCCAATGCATGGAAACATGCTTGGTCTCCAGCATTTGAACTGTGTGTGTGAACATGTGTTGTTGTGGCAGTGCTGTTTAACAAATGATACAGAATGGTGGTTAAATATTCATATCTCAACCTGGGTCTGTGGACCAGGGGTGGCCCCACTGGGTTAGACTTGCTTGACTCTAAGCTGGGGTCAGGTTTAATTCTGATCCATGTGTCTTTTCAGTTCGGATCCCAGGAACATCTCCATCTGGGACTTGTTTTCACAATGGAGAGAAGGAGGGTTGGGTCCCAGCCAAATGCTGTGCTTTTGCCCCATGTGCACTCAGGGTTCCTCCCAGCTCCTCACATTCCTCTGGTCTCGCCTTCCAAGACCAACATTGATTGGCAAGGAAACGTATTCTTCTCATGGAAGTGTCAAGGGGATGGTAGATACCTGACAAATAGGAACATCATAAACCATGCCTGTCATGGACGGTTTCCTGAAGGAAGTAATGGAAACAGACTTAAAAAACGGTTAAGCAGGTATATTAGTTGCAGGCAAAAACACAAACACCAATTTAAAGAGGTAGAGCTGACCTAGCTGTGACTATGTTGTAATGAATTTTCTTTTCTTAAATTTATTTTAATTTTAAAAATATCTCCCCAACTTTATTAACATATATATATAATTGACAAATAAAAATTGTATAAATTTACAGTGTACCATGTGCTGTTTTCATATATGTAGACATTGGAAAATGATTAAATTAAGCTAATTAACATGGTATCATCTTCCACATTATTTTTTTTGTGGTGAGAACATTTAAAATCTACTCTCTTAGTGATTTTCATGTATGTAATACATTATTATTAACTGTAGTCATTCTGCTGTACAATAGATGACCAGAGCTTATTCATCGTGTCAAACCTGAAACTTCATACCCTTAATTTGGAGTAAAATCGGCATAATGTATAACAACAAGCATTAAACTTGACATAAGGAGACCCGAGTTCCCATTGCATAATCTTGGTTAAGATGCTTACAATTTGGATGCCTCCATTGTTTCATTTGCAAAAAGGAGGGAGCTAGATTAATTAACCTTCAAGTTCTCTTCCAATATCCTGTGATTCCATGATGATGAAGAGTTACAAAGAAAGAAGCGTTGCTGAGATGGGTCTTTGGAGGAATAGAAGGCATCTAATTTGATGGAAGGCATTTATTGTAAACCTGCGGAATTTATTGCTGACAGAAGCAGTGATAAGAGTTACTTCAGGTTCTTGATCAGTGAATACTAATTTGGGACTTAAGAAGTATTCATGAGTTCTGTGTTGGATGGTGTAGTGCCATGTTTCTCAAGCCTTAGTGTGCATCAGAATCACCTGGAGGGAGTGTTCAAACACAAATTGTTGGGATCCAGTCCCACTCCAGAGTTTCTGATTCAGTAAGTCTGAGGTAGAGCCCAGGAATTTGCGTGTCTGACAAGTTTCTGGATGATGCTACTTCACTGGTCCGGGGACCACACTTTGAGAACCACTGGTGTTGGGGAAGTAGTTGGTGCCCTGCCCAGATGACCTCCACTACTGGTGCACCCAGGCCCCAGCTACTCTTAGTGTGGCTATGGCCCACAGCTGTCCTGTCTCTGGAGAGTTGCCCTTGGCTAATGGAACCTTCTAGGAGGCGAAACAACTCAACCATCAGGCATACCGACCGTCAAAGGCTTACAAATGACTGGTCACTTTGTCTCAAGGTGGCACCAACTCCAGCTGGCTTGTCGTTGATGCTCCAAAGCTTCCATGTGACATTGGCTCAAGCCAGTCCCTGGTGAGAGTATATTTTTGTTAGTATTTTGCTCTAGCTGCATCCTGCTGCCTTCACTCTCTTCTTCTAAGAGCACTCCCTCAATTGATCACATGAACAAGAAATCCTATCTCAGGTTCTGCATTTAGTGAAACTGACTTAAGACAGATGGTCTAGAGCTAGAGAACCCAGGGCCAAGGAAACCAATTTGTGTATTGTTTCAGGGATCTAGAAGTTAGGTATTGAGGGTATAATTTTATAAAAATCAAAAGGGGGAAACCCAAAGAACTTTTTTAAAAAAGGATCTAAAATAGACCCCTTTACCATGTTATGTAAGATCAGGCATAGGACAAAAGAGAAGAAGTACAAACATTTTCTTATGGTCAAAACCTGAATATGATATGAATATGATAAGGCTGTTTGTAACAATGGACAATTTGAGAAGGTTGTTGAGAGGAAGATCAACTTGGATTTCAGCGTGTAAGGTTTTGTGAGTTTTAGGGTCATCTATGAAGTTTTCCTGTAAGTGTCTGCCTATATGGGACTTGCTAGAGGGTGAGCTGTCAGAGCTGGGCTGTAGCTTTGGGAATCATTTTCACAGTTCGTAATGAGATCATGGGAGTTAATGAGGTAACTGAGACATTGAACAGCTAAGGCAGATGGCCTGAGACTGCAACTTTGAGGCTGCCCATGGTTACACCTGAAAGAAAAGCAGATTTCAAAAGAAAGTGTAAGGAGACAATTGAAATAAGTTGGAAGCATAAAAAGGGTTAGTGAGTTAGAAAAGTGTGGGCTTGGTTTTGTTTTCAATTGGTCAACTTAGGGGCACATATTGAAATATTGTTATTTTGAACTTCTGAGCCTTCAAGAAATTTCAGGTTTTACAAGTAGAGTTCATTTTTGTTTGTTTGTCTTAGTTTGTGTGTGTGTGTGCAATGTGTGTGTGTTTGGGGATTGGTTTAGACATGAGCAGATATTTTCACCTAAATGCAGTTCTCATAAGAGTAAAGTACATTCAGAGAAGGTGAGTGTTGAATATTTTTAATAGGAGATGTGCATGCACTGATGGAAAGATGTAGGAATGTTATTTCAAATGGTCTCTGTTCTGTCTGTTTTAACTTATTCCAAAAGAGAGGAGAAGTGTGTTCTAAGACAAATGCATAGAAATAGCGTGTCCGGGAGACACAGACAACATGACCTGGGGCTCACTGGACACATTGTCCAGTGTGTAGAACATTGTCCCAGACTATGAGGAGACCAGAATGGATGAAACATTGTCGTCGCCCTCCAAAAACTTTTCTCTTGCTCAGAAAGACATAGTCCCTATGGGTGGAAACAATATGCAGTAATTAGTCAGTGGTGCTTAAAGTTTCAGGACTTTGTAAACTTTTGCATACTGCTTGTTACTTCTTTGTTGAAGTATCCATTTCTTCATTCAAAGACCTTCTTTGTTTTCTAGCCCTTCATCGGAAATAGCTTTCTTGGTTTATATAAATCTCATCTAATTATATTTGTGTTACACACCTTTTTCTACTATTAAAAAATAGTTTATTGCCCCAGTTTTCTATCTCCTTCCTTGTAGTAATTGGTCTCAGAGTGAAACATTACCTTCAAGCTCATGCTAATATATGAATAATATGTTTTCATTTATTCCTTTACATTTTATTTGGCATTTGACATTGCCTCTCTTATTTTTGTTTGGTTGGTGTTATTTTTGTTTCTGTTTTGGACTGTTACCCTAGAATGTGCATCTTTATTTCACAAGATATTCTTGACTACATTATCAATAATCGTTATGTCCACCAGTAAACCAAATTAAAAAGAATTACTCTAATAATCCATTGCATTTGGCGGACACTTTGCAAACATTTTCTCACTTCATCTCTTACTTGGTCCTTAATTTAGGCTCAATTTGCAAATAGACTCATTGTATTACGGCTTCAGCCTTTATTCTCCTTCCTTTATTCTTTGCTTTCCTGATATGATATCTAGCTTGTCTGTCATATTTCTGAAGTACTTGGGGCCCAATTTCATTTGAATTAATGCACCATACTTGGCACCTTGAATCTTTTTCACACTTGACAACTAAGACACATTGAATGACTGCCTTATCCCTGAAGAGCACTAACATTTTTTTTTCTGCCTTGAATCTGGAGCTTGCCCAGAAACTACTTTCACTTGCAACAAATTTATCCAGCAAATATCATTAAATGTTTACTGCATGCAACATATCTAGATTCTACGGGGGAGATAAAGCAGAACAGACTAGTTTTTAAATTTAATAACACATGTTAATCTGTCAGGCAAATATACCAATAATACCCACGAAGATCTGCTTCCAGCTTGCTGACAGCCACCTTCTCACTGTGTGCTCACATGGCCTTTCCTTGGTGCATGTGGGGTGGAGGGAGAGAAAGATCTCTTTCTTCCTCTTCTTATAAGGGCACTAAACCCATCATGAGGGCTCCACTCCCATGACATCACCTAAACCTAATTACCACTCAAAGATTCCACCTCCAAATACCATCACATTGGGCATTAGGGCTTCAATGTAGGAATTTTGGAGGGACACAAATATTCAGTCCATAGCAGGATGTAATAGGAAATAGGTTTGGAAACATTAGTTTGGTCCAGGTCACAGAGGGCCTTTTATGTCCAATAAGGAGTGTAAAAAATTTTTGATGACAATTGACACTATTGAAGACATTGATCATGTAAATATCATGGTCAGACCTCAGCTTTGGGAAAATTCACCTGGCAAGGGCCACGGTCATTCTCAGACTCTCTTTCATCCTGGCTCTGGTTTATAGAATCAGATGATTTAGAAAGCTCTTTGATTAGCTTACTTTTTTTGTAGAAAAGTTCATCTATTACAAAAGGCCTAAAAAAATGCTGAAAGCTTCCAAGCAGAATATAGAGTTCATAGCTAATTAGGATACAATGGAGCCAAACTCAGAGAAAGCATCTGATTTTATGGAGCTTATAGTCTAGGAGGGGAGATGTGCTGAAACCAAATAATCACGTAAATAAGTGAATGCACTATATGAAATTACAAACAAGATGTATTTGAGGCTATATAATGAGGTTTATCCTGTTTAAATATGTCAGGGAAGACTTACATAGGAAATCACGCTTAAATTGAAACTTAAAGAATGAACAGGCATGACCTAGGTAAGAATTAATGTAGAAGGCCCTGTGGTAAGAAAGAATAGGGCAAATATAAAGAACTGAAAAATGTGACTGGAATACAAGTAATAAGGGAGGGCATAGCATGAGATGAAGATAGAGAGTTAGGGTTTAGATCATTCAGGAATTTATAAGTCATTAAAATTTTTTTCCTATTAGCAATGGGAAGCCATGGAAGGGTTTTAATCTGGGAAGAGGCTAATATAATAGAAAAATGGCAGAATTCTAAGATTGTCTCCATGATCTCAGCCCTCCTGGTTTATATCCTTCATACTTCCCTTTCCTTGAGTGTGGGTAGAACCTGTGACTTCCTTCTCACCAGTAGAATACGCAAAGATGATGAGATGTCATTCCCAATGATAATACTACATTATGTAGGATTCTGTCTTAATATACTAGAGCAAGAAATTATCCTTGCTAGCTTGATGAAGAGGGCAGGCATGTTGAGGAAGTTCACATGGCAAGGAACTGAGTGAAACCTCTAGAATATGAGGGCAGCTTCTAGCAGACAGCCAACAAAAGGCTCTAGCTTTTTGTCTATCTGCAAAGCCTGAATGAGTTTGGAAAAGGATTCTTCCACAGTGAAGCCTTCAGTTGAGAATGTAGCCCAGCTTGCAACTATGTTGAAGACCAGTGATACTCTGAACAGAGAACTTAACTAAACTGTGCTTGGATTCCTGTGCTACTGGGGTCATATTCTGGTACCCAGCCATCTCCTCACTTCAGAAACAGAGGAATTTTGAGGCTACCATTCTTTATTAAGTCTATAGCCTGAAAATGCTTTATATTTTTCGTGGTTTACCCTTCATCTCTGGATGGATGGAAACTGTGAAATAGTAAACTTGTTTGGTTTTAAACGGTTAAATGTGTGGCACCTTGCTATACAGAAATATGAAACTAATACTTTTTTGTTGTAATATCACTATAGTTGCTTATAGAGAACAGATTAAAAGTGAAAATCGTGGCTGAAGATAGATTAGTTGCAAGATATTCTATACTGTAGGTAAGAAGTGAAATGGTAATGGTGGAGGAGATGGAGAAAAGTGGAATGATGTGAGAAACATTTAGGAAGTACTGGTTATAAAGGATAAGGGCATGTCAGAAATGGTACTTTGGGTTGTGGAAGACCAAAGACTTTTCCACAAAATGAGAAAAGACAGAGTAAATATTTATTTAAAAGTCAGATTAAAGACATGGAAGAACTGCTGAAGCAACAAAAACTTCAATCACAAATAATCCAGAGGGAAAAGAATTATAGAGAGGTGAGCCAACATTCTGTGAGCTACTTCTTCCCTCAGAGAATTTACAGTAAGTGAGAGGTTAAAAAAGACAGGAAAAGAGTCCTGCATAAAAGGCAGAGAAGCCAGCTGAACTTTTAGCCTGGGGTTGGATAGCAAAAATTTGTAATTTGAAGTGTCCAAGATGGGCAGAACAGAGATGCTAGATTCTTATAAATGAGCATGGCATATGGAAATAAGCCCAAATTCATGGTTTTCTTCCTCAAGCTATTTGTCCAATTGTTAGATTGTATGGGCAAGAGACTAAGAAGCTGAGTAGAAAGCTATCAAAAGTACAGAAGAGATTTTGGCCATCGCAAGGCAGTTATGACCCAATAATTAGAGGTCAAGACTTACCAAGCAGGAGAGGCCCTAGTAAACAGTAAAGGTTTCAGGCTTCCAATTAGGACCCATGGAAAACTAGACTCTAGGAGTAGAGATAAGCCAGAGATAGAAACTTGTAAAAACTGCAACTTTGCCACAAATCAGCTTAGTAGCTGGGTGGATTGAGCTGCTTCAAAAGACAGACTGTGCTGGGCACAGTGGCTCATGCCTGTAATCCCAGCTCTTTGGGAGGCTGAGGCGGGCAGATTGCCTGAGCTCAGGAGTTTGAGACCAGCCTGGACAACATGGTGGAACCCCTTCTCTACTAAAATACAAAAGAAATTAGCCGGCCGTGGTGGTGGGCACTTGTAGTTCCAGCTACTCTGGAGGCTGAGGCAGGAGAATTGCTTAAACCTGGGAGGTGGAGGTTGCAGTGAGCTGAGATTGTGCCACTGCACTCCAGCCTGGGCAACAGAGTGAGACTGTCTCTCAAAAAAAAAAAAAAAAAAAAAAGAGAGAAAGAAAGACTTCCTACCAGAATATAGGTTGAACCTTCCCTGGAGGAAGATAACATGCTCCAGGGGCTTTACTATTTTTTAATAGATAATGTCTGACTTTCAATAAAAAATTATGAGACACACCAAAAAACAGGACTAAGAAAAAACAAAGGACAGTAGAGACAGACACAGATCTACAAGTGATGAAGGTTTTTACACACATACATTAAAATAATTGTGCTTGGTTTCCTGGTCGGGAATTTGACCTCACCTTACTTACAGATAAGTTAATCTGTTACTGCTTTACAAATGCTGGAAGAGAACATGAGACTTCTAGGTCAAAGAAAGAACTGTATTACTTATGGCTCAGCGAGCACATGATGGATGTAAGCATATTCACATTGCCTCCTGGCCTCCAAATTCCACAGGGGCAATGCTATATAGCTCAGATGAATGCTACACATGCAGTGGGTTTGCATCACAGCTGGAGAACATCAAGTTTAGAGAATCCCATGCTTTTATAGCAAACACTAAGAAAGCTTGCTCTCTGTTCTGGAGGGAGACATTACATTATTCCTCAAAATTACTGACTACAAACACAGTCTTGGAAAATGGCCCAGGTAGACTGGCCACAGCCTTTTATTGTTGGCACCACCAGCAAGAACAGAAAGGGATGCTAAGGATCCCAGAGAGATTGCATTTCCCATCATGTTTTGGTCAAGAAAATAGAATAACAGAGTGGAGAATGTCCTTAGGAACTGAAATTTATAAAACAGAGTTAAATGGAATCTCTAAAACTAAAAAATTTAATAAATTATATTACAACTCATGATATGAGTTTAATAGCAAATTCAGTACATCAGAATAGAGAATTTGTAAACAAACTAAGAAAGTAGAAAATATCCAGGCTGAACTACAGCAAGGCAAAAAGTGGAATGCTGAATGTATGTAAGTAAAGAAACATGTGAAATATGGCGAAAGGCACCAATAAATGTATAATTTTTTCCTAGAAGGAGAAGATGAAAGGGAATATGTAATATTTCAAGAGAAAAATGACAGATTAAAGACATTCAGCACCATATTCAAGAAGCACTGTGATTCTCAATATGGATAAATTCAAAGTAAGCTTGCAAAAACAAATGACAAAGAGATAACCCTTGAAAGCATCCAGAGAGAAAAATAGGACACATGCTCTCAAGGTAGAAATATAAGACAGACAGCTGACTTCTAAATGAATATGATGGAAGTTAGATCACAGTAGAATAAAAGCTTTAAAGTGCTGAAAGACCAACCTAGATTTATGTGCTTTGTGAATATGTCTTTTAAAAGTAAATGTGAGCTGAGGCAGGAGAATGGCGTGAAACCGGGAGGCAGAGTTTGCAGTGAGCTGAGATTGTGCCACTGCACTCCAGCTGGGTGAAAGTGTGAGACTCCATCTCAAAAAAAAAAAAAAAAAAAAAAAAAAAAAAAAAAAATAAATAAATAAATAAATAAATAAAATAAAATGAAAAATAAAGTGAATGTGAATAGATAACATTTTTAGATAAAAACTGAAAGAGTTTGTTACTAGCACACCTTCACTAAAAATATTCTAATGGAGTTCTTCAGGGAAAATAAAAGTAATCCTATCAGAAACACAGAAATACAGTAAGAAATGAAGAGCAACATAAGTGATAAATATAAATGAACATTGACTGTACAAAATGATAAAGCCTTGGGATCTAAAATATATAGGAATATATAGAATTAAAATGCATGACAACAATTCAAAAAACATAAGGGAATAAATGGAGTTAATGTAACATTAAGATAGTGGTAAAAATCTTAATTCATGTTAGAGTTTAAATAGTCAAGAAGAGTGCATGCCCTAATCTTTATAGTCACCACCAAAAGATAATAAGATATGAATAACTAAAAATGGATGGTAGAGGAGAAAGATGGGAAGGATAAAAAACAAGATGAATATTGGTGCCATTCATTCAGATAAAGAACTCTGAAAGAGATTGAACAGGAGATGTAAACTCGATGGTTGGATGAGTTAATGTGAATCCCAGAAGTCTGAGCTACACTTTTTTGAGGCTCAGAGCTACCCTGTTTTCGTGGTAAATTGAAGAAGAGTGAGGAATATCTCACTTGTGCAGACAGTCCTCAGTTTAGCTCACCCTTCCTGCAGCTCACATTGATGTAATCAATGACATAGGTGGCAAAATCTCACCAGGGAACTTTATGCAGCTGAAATACAAGGTAGCAAGGAGAGCAAGAGTCCAAAACGTTGACTCTTTTCATCTCATTTGCTTGTAATCACAACCCATTCAAAGTCATTTTCCTAAAGAGTTGGATTCAGAATCCTTCTGGGAGGACGAAAGTCTAGAATGGTAAGCCAAATTGGGTTTGGCCTGCAAAGGGGCTAGAAGTTTCCTTTCCCCTAGAAATATAAAAATCGATTACATTAAGTATTCTGTATTAAAATGACTGAGATAAGAATAGTTAAATATGGAAGGCAGGAAAAATGACTATACTTTAAATATGTAATTACCTGTAATGGACTACCTTAAAAAAAAAAAGACGTGTGTTTACTTTTACAACTTCTGACAGCACTGCACATGCAAAAACTACCCGTCTGTTGTTCAGCCTTGCAAAACGCTCAATGCCTCTCATGTTAAGCCTGTGAAGAATTTTGTCTGTTCATTCTTTATTGACAGCTGTGATAGAGCTTTGAGTCACTTTGTACTTATTGGATTCCTCAAGCACAATTTCTCCTGTTTCAGCGTAGAAACACACCTTCCCTATTTGGAGATTGTCAAGAGTGTTGTGATAGTAATTTCATCATGTCACTGAAAGCTTTTCTTTTTTTATTTTGTTTTAAGGAATAAAAAGAGTAATGGACTAGCTTTTCATTTACTTATGAGATCTGCTTGTCGTTATAAAAGACTAAAGGTTGTCTTTCAGTGTATTTTGTTGTACAACAGGATGTTATTTTATTGCTGATATCATATATGAATTCTTACCACTTGCTTTTCACATGGCAGTTTGAGTGTCGGAAACCTGAGAGTTCCATCAGCCTAAATTATTTTTCCTTTTACCGTGTCTGTGCTGCTTTCCCACTCCCTCTCCTGCATTCATCCCTGCCCACTCTGCAGCTGTGCAAAGCTCTAAGCTCTTGAGAATCTGCCTCCTTGTCTTCACAGAGCTGAGCACAGAGCCCTCTTTACCCTAGCGGCTGCGCAGCTCAGGCTTCATCACTGTGGTGATAACAGAGACCTGCTCGATGCTGATGATGTTATGATCCTGAGTCAAGGATTTGACTTTTAAAACGTGATGTTTTTCCATCGGCTTCTGGAATAAGTACTCCAGCCCAGATTTCAGTGTCCAGTTAGTCCAGGTCTGAAACCAGAGCCTTCTAACCATCCAGCTCTCACTGCATTTCAGATGTTTGGTTTAGCCTGCTGTTGGTGTTGAAACACACCTCAGAAAAAGCACGGGAGGTCAGTGTTCCAAATGTGAATCATTTCCAGCGTTGAAGATGACCTTAAGGAACTGAGCTTCCTTTCCTAATAGAACATTGCATCTTACTCTCTTCCTAAAAAATGTATATCCAAGAATCCATTTTATTGGGCTTGCTAGGAGTTGATGCAGAGGAGAGTTGTGCTTTCGGAGCAGAAGTACTGTCCAGCATTTAAAGCTCTCAGAACCCCTGGTTTATTCCATCTTCATAACTGTGGATATGAGAATCAGAGGCAAATGTCAGTGATAACCTCAGCTGCTGAAGAACAGAAAGCTGTACCTTGAGGTGTCATTTCACATCATGTATGCATAACAGGCAACCTGCTTTGTAGCTTTTTCTTCGCATATCAGGGATGAAAAAATATGGCTCAGGAGCTGTCTTGGCTGGCATGAGGGGCAGATGTTCAGATTGGGTGTCTACATTTTAAGAGGCGTATTCTATTCGCTCCTTCATTCTCCTCTTTCCCACATACTCTTGATCTTTCTCAGACTCGGCTTCTGGGAAAAAAACCAGGGGCCCACAGATATGCCTGGAGAAGGGTGAGGATGGACTAGAGGTGCAGAGACGGGGCGCACCACAGCAGAGCACCAAAAGATTCCTGGGCACTTTTACAGATACTCAGACCCCATCCCAGACCTGGAAAGTCAGAAATTCTGGGGTCTATACCCAGGGATCTGTGCTTTTTCAAAGCTTCCCAAAGTGATTCTGATCATCATCCTGGTTTGGAGACTCCTGCCCTGGGGGGGTTGTCTCTGCATTTCATCCATGGACTTGACAGAGATGCTCACCATAGCTGAAGCTTGCTCTGTGATGTGATCCAACTGAGGAAGCAATGCTGGGACTCACAGATATTTGAGTAAAGAGAGACCATGAAAGAGACACAGACTGTCTTACTCAATGGCGAGCAGACAGTGCAGGCATCCATTCAGTGCCTATCTAATGTGAACCTACTATATACCAGGTGCTTTTCTAGTGCTGGGCCCATAGCAACAAACAAGACAGATGACATCCCAGATGCTGCAATAATCAGCAAAACATGCTGTCGCTCCACGAGGCAGGGGTTTTTGTTTTGTTCACATTTGTATCCCAAAGCCAAGACGGTTCCTGTGTAGAAGGCATTTGTTAAAGAAATGAAGAAGGTGTTTCCAGTGGAGACGTGTGTGTGCAATGGAGGAAAGCAGAACAAAGCAGGAGGCAAGAAGTCTGGGGTGAGAAGGTTGGGAGGAGCCAGGCCCACAGGAAGGTGCAGGTCCTGAGCCTGGAAACAGGGCGAGGGGCCATCGCTCCATTCTGACCAGCAGAGGCAAATTCATCCTTGATATATAGATCCAGGAACAATTTAGGAAGCTGCCCGCCTATTTACTTCCAAGGCATGCTCCGAGCAATTAGCATCCACCAAAGGTTCCTGCGGATTAAAACATTCCTGGAAACCTTGCTGTCCCCATGGTAAATATGCTCACCCTCTCTTCTAGTTAAGGGCTGCCATGTGGCCTCTGCTATTCTAGGACCCCATCCGTCACCATAACCAGCCTACAGAGAGCAGCTGGCACAGACCTCTTCAGGATGCGGGGGTCTCCTCACTTCTCCATGCCTCGGGAAGAGTCTGTGGGAGCTCTCTGTGAATGTAGTGATGTGTGTGTATTTGTGTGTATGTGTGCATATGTGCATGTATGTTGTAGTCCAATATTTCTATTTTCCTAAGCCTTTGGGTTCATCTTCTACAGTATTCCAGGGAAGTTCTGGCATCTCAGCCTCATTAAAAACAGGTCACCATTGAGTTCCAATTTCAGCCAGCCAGCCAGCCAACCAGTCACGTGTTAGAGCCACTTCCATCTGCATAAAATAACGTATTAAATCTGGAATCTCTCAGCAATGCACCATGATTAAAATGTTAAGACCAACTCAGTGTTACATTTCCTGCTCCTTAGTCGAACATCATTAGATCCTCATGCATGTTTCTTGGTTTTTTGCTGATATAAATAAGCAAAATCTTGCAATGATTTTCAAGTATAAGCCTTGTCCTCCCAGTCACACTTTGTGTTTGTGTCCCTGGAGCAGGCTGAGATCTGACTTTAGATATGGGAACAAGGGGTGGTTTTGCTATTTGCTTTATGGAACGGTTATCACTAACCATCAGGAAAAGGACACTTTCTAATTCTACTATTATCTCACTATGTTTAATATGCAGCAGATAGGCAGCAAAGAATAGTTCCTGTAGTTATTCCTCTTAGCATTCCATTATACATAGCAGTGGCTCCTGCCTGGGGCGATTTTCCTCCTGCCCCAAGGAAATTGTCAATATGTGGGTACAATTTTGGTTGTCATAACCTGGGGCGTATGGAGGGATGCTGCTGGCATCTTGTGAGTAGAGGCCAGCGATACTGCTAAACACCCCACAATGCACATGACAGCCCTCCAACAAAGAATTATCCTGCCCCAAATGTCAGTAGTGCCAAGGTCAAGAAACTTCAGCCCACGAAGGGATTTGATGATGACAGAATTTATTTAACACTGAAGTTCCAAATAACACACTTTATTAGTCCATTTTCATGCTGCTGGTAAAGACATACCCAAGACTGGGAAATTTACAAAAGAAAGAGGTTTATTGGACTTACAGTTCCACATGGCTGGGGAGGCCTCACAAGCAGAAGGTAAAAGGCACGTCTCACATGGTGGCAGACAAGAGAAGAGAACTCGTTCAGGGAAACTCCCCTTTTTAAAAGCAACAGATCTCATGAGACTTATTTGCTATCACGAGAACAGCATGGGAAAGACCTGCCCCCATGATTCAATTACCTCCTACTGGGTCCCTCCCACAACAGGTGGGAATTCAAGATAAGATTTGGGTGGGGACGCAGCCAAACCATATCACACACAAATAACTGATTTTATCTGGGGTCTGATGATTAACTCATTTCAGATCCAGTTTTAACAAACATTTATAGGGTTTTTCCTAAATGATTTTTCCTACAGTTTTAACTCAGCCACCCTGGGATCAAGGCATCCTAAGCCTGTTGTTATAACAAGGACACTGAGTTGAGAGAGGTTCTTCTTGCCCAACATTAGGCTGTGGGAGAGGGGCCCAGCAGGGATTTGAACCCAGGCCCTCCCAGGCTTCCTCTCCCCCTGCCACTTTGCAGGACATGACTGTCAGGTGGCACCATGGGTGTTCTTCCTTGGCATCACTCGTCTTTCATGCGGGCTCCCTGGTTGCCTGAGGTCTGGCTGTATGATGTCATTCATGGTGTCAGCATCCTGCTGGGAAGTAGCACTGAATTCTTTTCTTTCAGAATTGGCTCTATTAGAGGCTGAATAGGTGACAGCAAGCAATTATTCCTTTCTTTCTTTTGCCTGTGTTCTCTGTTCTTATTGACAGGCACAAAAGAAAAAAAATGTGGATGGTGTGAAGTGCCAGCAGATATCTGTGAATGGGTCTAGGTCACCTGACACTGAATGTATGTCCAGTGGGCAGAAAAAAGGTGTTTCTAGTGTAGCGTCACATGAATGTGGGGACACAAGGGCTCCCCCTGGCCACAGTGGAGAGAGCTTCTCTGAGGCCCTGGCTCTGCTGTTCTCCTGTTGCCAGATATTTGGGTCCCAGAACATCACCCATTTTCATGTGCACACATCCATCTCCCCTTGGCCTTTCCAGATGCTGCCATGTGCTGGCCCCTAGGAACTGGCAACTGCTTTGGAAGAGGAAACTTTTCATTTCCTTTGGCGTTTCTGAGCCTTAGAAAGCTGGGGGCAGATGTTGAAAGCTGAGCTGCTGCCGTGCCCCTAGGGGTCGGCAGACAATCAATTTCTAACCTGTTGCTGGGCAGCTCAGGCGTCATGAAAGAGACTTAATCTCCAACGATTAAATATTAAATGCTTTCTAACATTTAAACATTAGGCTCGTTTTATGATTGTGAAAGCAGCAGTAAAGCAAGGGAGAGACAAGTTTACTGCATCTTAACTTGTGCAGCAAATTGAATTTCTATCGATGGGGAGAAGTGCTTCTCCCCGTAAGAACTCTCCAAGTGCCTGGACTACAAAGATGGGCAGAGGTTTGTGGGTTTCTTTTTTTTTTTTAATGCAGTAATAACATTTACAGAGATGAAACTGTCAGCACTACCCCTAATACTGCAGATTAATTTTGACAGTCATCTTTCTAATGCAGGGGAGGGAGCTATTGCCTGTGTCCCTGGGGAACGTCTGAAGATGAAACTAGAGAAATACAAGTATTTGCTGTGGTTGCTTTGCTCTATTTGATCTTTAAAATATTTTTTTTTCATTCTACAAACTTTTCTCCATAGGTGTGAACACATTAGCGTAAATAACTCTGTACTCTGGGCATTTTTTAAAACTGTTTTTATGTGTACCCAGCTTTTCCTTTCTGCAACTGCACTCATCCACACAAAAGATTAAAATCACAATTGTGAACATTTATTGAGTTTCTTTTTGTGCCAGGTACTGTTTATTTTAAGCACCTTGCATGTGCTAACTCAATTGGGGGTCACTTGACCCACTAAGATGGGATTCTGTGGCTTAGATTTCTAAACGAGGAAACAGGATGTTGAGGAAACTCTGGGGAGAAGCACAGCTGGGGCTTAGACCCAGGCAGTTGGGATCCCAAGTCAGTGCGCCCAGCTCCCAGCTCCTAGCTCCTGAGCGCTTGACGCAGAAACAGTTCTGCTCTGCTTCCTGCCCTTTCCCTACAGCCAGGGACCTTACGCTCTTCCAGGTAGGGCCTGGAAGGGGGATGTGGTGAAGATTAAGGGAGCAGCTGGGGAGCTGAATCCATCTCCGTACTGAACAAAGGAGTCACCAGCTAGTGGCCCTACCAGACAGGAATCGCCTGCTTACAATGTCAGCTGTTCTGCTTTACTCACCTGGGGCTCTGAGAAGCCAACACTGATGCCTCAGGGTCTTTTTTAAAAGTTGGAAAGTTTAGAGCAATAATAAAAGGACTGGTTTGCAGGAACTCAATTCTCACATGCAACAGGAAGTCTATGCCTCCTCTAAGTGAATTCTTTGGGCTAAACCATTACCAATATTCAACTATTCTTGACCTACCAAAACAGCAGTTTCATGTGATACAACTGTATTTATATTTTTATTATATTCATATGTTTCACTCTTAATCAGATTTGCCTAATCTGATGGGGTGATTTTTCCTTTGTACCACACAAGTATTTTTCTTCTTTTATGGATATTTGTTCTTAATCTTCTTTTGTTTTTTGATACCATCAATGTGTCCCTTTTTACCTGACATAAGTTGTCACCCAGCTGTCTTCCAGCTTGCATTTATCCATCAGCATCAGGGCATCTTTTCATTTGTAACCCTTCTTTGTCATTTTGCCTTAACTTTGTCTTTTCACAGCTCACAAAGAAAATATTCCATAATAAAGGATACTTTTAGCAACAGCGTTGAAAAGTTACAGTTATAAAATGTGAAAGGAAAATACATCTTGGGACCCCAAAATCACTAAGCCAAGGGAAAAAATCAAGCTGGGAACTGTGTCAGAAACCTGCCTCAGATTGTATTCCTAAATAAGATAGCTACAAAGATAAAAAGCTGCATACCTTCCTCACAATTTGCCTACAAGAAAATTCCTTACGGACAAAGGACAGACAGAACTCAAAGTCATCTCTCTGAGGCTCGCCTGAGACAAATGCATACCTGGCTGCTTTCTCTGCCCTGCTGTTTATGTGATAAATGCAGATTCACTGAGCCAGACTAAACTGTGTATTCAGTGCAAGGCTGATAGAGGACTCAGAAGAATGCAATCTTTTGTCTCTTATCTACCTATGTCCTGAAAGCCTCTGCCTCTTGTCGTCCCGCCTTACCTGATTAAAACGATGTACATCTTCTACATATTGATTGATGTCTGATGTCTCCCTAAAATGTATAAAAGCAAGCTGTACCCTGACCACCTCAGACACATGTCATCAGGACCTCCTGAGGCTGTGTCACTGTCACGAGTACATCCTTAAACTTGGCAAAATAAACTTCCTAAATTGATTGAGACCTGTCTCAGACAACTTTCGGTTTACAAAAACATAGAGGAATATTTGCAAAGTGCTTCAATTGTATTATGGGTATTTTGGCTTGCTACGTCTTTTTCATTTCTTTTCATTAATCTTACACCAAAGTTTGCCCACTTGTGTGGAATGAGCTGCCACATAGTTGGCTCATTTTGCTTTTGATTTACATGGAGGCAATGTGTCCTAGAAGGGACACCTTTGAATCCCAACAGTTAATTTTCTCCTCTGCTTAGAGGAACACTTGAGAAGCAGGGATTCCTATCGACAGGGGCTGAGAGAAGCACTGCTTTCCAGCTACAGGAGAACCCTGGCTGGGAGCAGAAGATGGCGGAAAGGTCCACCTTCTCCCTTCTCATAGTTTTGCCTTACGTTTCACCTTTTTAGTAAAACCTTGAAACATGAATGCACACCTATGTTCAGCCATGAGTCTGAGATCATATTTCAGGACAATCACCAGCATGTTTTGATGAGTGACTTGTTGGACTCTGCTTAACCTCATTTCTGCACCTTACTTGTATGTGAATAAGGAGGGCATGCGGACATCTGGAACAAAAGAAGGAAAAGTGTTGCTCGTTTGTTTCACTGAAAACTGGTGAAATGCCAAGATGTCAATGTATGCATATTTTCATTGATCCTTATGTTTAACATGTTACTGAACTATAAGACCCAGCATGGTCAGCAGATCAAAGACACAAAGAACCTAAGCCGGAGATGAGCTGGACTTGATAACAGGTTATGTAGATGAAAGAGAGTAAACTAAGAAGGCTGGCCCTGGTGCTAGTTGGCTTTTTCTAAAACTGTGAAGCGCACGTCATTCCTCTCGGCCTCCTTTTTCTTTTCCATTGCGAAATTGTCAGAGTTAAACTGAAATATCTCTAAGAATTTCCCAACAAATAAGTGATTCAGTGG
Organism: Homo sapiens; assembly: GCF_000001405.40. Lineage (NCBI taxonomy): Eukaryota > Metazoa > Chordata > Mammalia > Primates > Hominidae > Homo > Homo sapiens. Next base: position 9,831,888 of record NC_000005.10, on the reverse strand, counting down.
GCTCTCTAGTATGTCAGAATTTTGTTTGGAAAATTTTTAAAGAAAGACCTAACGACCTTTTCAGATAAAAATCGCAAATATAATTAAGGAGCTGGGAGGTAAGACTTGTGAAGAAAGGTTTAATAAGCAAGAATTATTTTGCCTTGGAGGAGAAAAGACAAGGAGTTGATATTACAGTAACCCCTTGATGAAACAGAAATCTAAAAAAATGAGTATAATAAGCCTAGTTTTTCTTTAAAACTAATATGTTACGATTTGAAAAAAAAACAGAAACATGCTCGTTAAAGAAAACAAAATTGCCAAAAGTTTGCACACAGAGAAACAAAAACGTAATTGCATCCCCCATACTCACGTTTAATCTTTCACTGAATTTTCTTTTAGCAGTTTTCTCTAGTTAAAAATGTCTACATTATATTGCATATATATATTTCTGTATTCTGTTATTTTAAATTTAGAATAAAACAAACACTTCTAAATGCTATAAAATTTTATTGTTTCGTGACACTATGCCATAGTTTATATAACTATATATTTTTTTTGCTTCTAGTCATAGCCCTGTGGAAAATGTGCATAATACTTTGCTCTATATTATCAGTATTTCCTCATGATATAATACTACTGCTGAGCTTCCCGGGTCAATGGAAATAAACGTATTTGCTGTTGTTGATAACGTTCTCAAATTGCCTTGAGACGAGTTCCACCAAGTTACAGTCCCAACTGCAATCTGTTTCCCCTGTCACCAGCATACTCTCCAGAAGTTATAATTATATTATGCTTGTTAGTGAGATTTCCTTCTTCTTTTTGTAAATGTCTCTTCATAAACTTTGCCCACTGATTTGCTGACATCTTAATGGTGTTGAACAATCACCCAATGGACTTAGATTTTTCCAAGAACATGCAAGCATGAGATGATTTTTTAAAAATTCATATGCATAGGAATTTACTGGAAAGACTAAAGCCTCTGAGTCAACAGAGGCTCAGGAAAAATGCCACAGCTTGATTAAGTTGCTGTCTTCTCTATATCTATGTTCACCTCTTAAAAAGTGTCAAACTGGATGATCTTTGTGACCATGAAAATATTCTCTTGGAGAAGAATAAAGAAAGAAGGAAGAAGACCTCAGAGTTAGTACGTTATTGGTTGGGGATAGCAGAGAAATGATTCTTACTTTGGTATCAGGTAGGCATCTTAAAATCCCTTCCAATGCAGAAACTCAGAAGCTTTATACCTGTATGTCTGTTTTGTCTCTGTTGTATGTGTGTGTGTGTGTGTGTGTGTGTGTGTGCGCGCGCACGTGTCTATCTACCTACCTACCTACCAACCATCTATCATCTCTCTATTTATGTCTATCATCTTTTTTCTGTCATCCATCTTTCTATTGTCAGTCATCTACATAGTCTGTCATCTATTTTTCTGTGTCTGTCATCTATTTTTGTGTCTGTCATCTATCATCTATCTGTCTACCTATCTTTCTATGTCTATCATATCTCTCTTTCTTTGTCATATACCTATCATCCACCTATCTGTCAATCATCTGTCATCTGTGTCTGTCAACTATCTACCTACCTATCTGTATTTCTGTATATATCTGTCATCTTTCTTTGTCATCTGTCTATATCTAACTATCTATGTCTATCATCTCTCCCTTTGTTATCTGTCTGTCTGTCTGTCTATCTGTCTATCCATCCATCCATCCATCCATCCATCCATCCAATCTGTTCTCTTGCTCCTGTTTTTATCCAGTAAATCTTGGAGCAGGCCTAGTACCCTTAAGAGCTACTTCCCTTCATGGCCAAAGCTGTGGGTGGTCTATGCAAAAATGCTTGTGGCCTCCCACCTGCTGTGGGAGCAGCTTTATCTTATCCTTGTGACCATGTGTGACAAGGTCAATGGTCACAAAGATAAGGTCACAAAGATAAGATCAAATCTCAGGGTCCTGAGGTATTCTTAGAGGAATGACTAGGCAGTATCTCTGGTCCCTTTGCTGTGCCATGATTCATTCCCCCCTTTTGTGTCTCAGCCTCTTTTTTTTCTTCTGAAGCTTTTTTTCGCTTGGGGTACACTGCCTGTGGTTTTAGCTTACCCTTCAACTTTACCTCTCTGTCTTGATCTCTGGAGGAATGCTCCTCTGGGTTATTTGCATCAACCATGACTCATTATTCTGGAGCTGAAGGGACAGTTCCCTGCCACTCCTGGGCCCATGGCTTAAGCCCTCAGCTGGGGTTTAGCAGGCCAGGTTCCTCCTTTCCAGCAGGAAAGCGGAGACAGAATTTAGTGCTGCTTATTGTTCTTCACTGCAATCAAAAGCAGAAAAATAGATCTATATGAATTTTAATTTCAGTAATCACAGTACAATTAATTTGGTCAAGAGGAGATCTAGAAACAGATATGATTTTGGTCATTGGTCAAATGATGCCCTTGTCTATGGTCACAAAGATAAGATAATTTCTCAGCATCCTGAGATGTTCTTAGAGGAATGACCGTGGGGTGTCTCTGGTCCCTTCCCTGTGTTATGATTCTTTTCCCCCTTCTGTGTCTCCCACCTGCCATGGTATGGTGAAGAGCTGAACTTTTCTGTTTTTATGAGAATTATTAGGTCTGTGTATGATTAAGAAGAAGTGCTAGTGAGGTTTAAATTTAAATGCCTTTATTATTCAAAATTTTTATCTCAGAGCTTTTGCAGAAATTTTAGCCTCTGGCTAAACAATGATTACTTTGCCGTAATTTTTCTCCCTAGCAGTAGATAGCCTTGCATTCAGTGGCTTCCCTTCCAACACAAGTCAGTTTATTTCAAGTTCTCAACACAGCTGAGGTTCTTTATCAATTGTTGATTATCATCCATGCTATGCAGGAGCCCATTTCCTCTGTATTCATAACACAGCACTGGCTACATCCTCAGCCTCACAATCAGTGTTCCTACAGAGTCCATATACCCAGTAGATCTAATGAAACTCTTCTCCACCAACCTGAAGTAAAATAAAAAGTTTTGTCTTATTTTGGGGTTTTGTTGTTACTAGACAGTGATGTTTCAAGGTTGACATATCATCTCTCTGATGTAAAACAGCTTTAGAATATAAATATATGATAAAAAGCAAAATTTACAGCATTTAAGTAAGAATGGACAGCTGTTTACAATGGTCTGGAATTCAACTGTATCATTCAGAATAAGTTATCTCCCACTTATCTCTACATGACATTGCAAATTAGAAAATCACAGTTTTTAGCTTCCAGTATAGAAAAACAGGGATATGAATTATGCAAATGCAAAGCAGTTGATTTCAAAGATGAATTCAGTCTGGAAATTACTTTGTTACCCATGAACAACCTAAATTATATAAATAGCTAACATTTATTAACAGCCTGCCTCATGTCACACCATATACTTGGTACTTTGGAAGCATTATATGTTATACTTAAAATGCCGTAATTCCTGGGCCTCAGTTGTAGTAATTAACATGAGACCTAGGCTGGGTGTGGTGACTCATGTCTGTAATCCCAGCACTTTGGGAGCCTGAGGCGGGCAGATCACCTGAGGTCAGGAGCTCGAGACCAGCCTGGCCAACATGGTGAAACCCTGTCTCTACTAAAAATACAAAAATTAGCCAGACATGGTGGTGGATGCCTGTAATCTCAGCTACTCAGGAGGCCGAGGCAGGAGAATTGCTTGAACCCAGGAGGCAGAGGTTGCAGTGAGCTGAGACTGTGCCATGGCACTCCAGCCTAGGTGACAAGAGTGAAACTCTGTCTCAAAAAATAAATAAATAAATAAAAATAAAAAAGACCTAAAGAATGAGTATGAGCTAAGCATTTGAAAGAGGAGTTGAGGAGAAAAGTAATATTCTAGGTAGAGGAAAAACAGCTTTGCAGAAATATGAAGGTACTAGAAAATATTTTGAATTCTAGAAATAAAATGAACATTTAGCAAAGCGGAATATCGTAGAAGGTATTGCTGAAAAACTCCATCATGCAAGGATTAGAAGTAGGTAAATTTGTTTGAAATATAAGTACATAAACTTGGATTTTATTGTGATAATAAGGAATTGCTGGATTTTAATCAGATAAAGGTATTTACCTGATACTTAATTTGTATTTTATTTATTTAGAGAGAAGGTCTCCTTCTGTCTCTGTCACCCAGGCTGGAATGCAGTGGGATGATCATGGCTCACTGTAGCCTCAACCTTCCAGGTTCAAGTGATAGTCCCACTTCAGCCTCTTGAGTAGCTGGGACTACAAGTGCATGCCACAACACCTGGATATGTGTGATTGTGTGTGTGTGTGTGTGTGTGTGTGTGCATGCCACCACACCCGGGTGTGTGTGTATAGGGATGGAATCTCACTATGTTGCCCAGGTTGGTCTTGAAATCCTGGACTCAAGTACTCCTCCTGCCTTGGCCTCCAAAAGTGCTGACATTCAAGCATGAGCCACTGTTCCTGGCCCAATTTATGTTTTAAAAGATTGTTCTGAATACAACATGGCAAGTGGGTCACAGAGGATGAAAATGGGAAGCAGGAGGTGTTGGAATAGACTAGAGACAATGCTTGCCCAATCCAGGAGATGGACTGGACTAGGACAAATGGATGTACAGCGATGTCGTGTTGCAGGTAGAATTGAGAGGATTGGGATTGCCCTGGAGGTGGGTAAGAAAGGAGGTGACAGGTGAAGGGAAGCCTGATGACTGTGCCCCTAGGTTGGTACCATTTCTAACTCCAGGAAGACTGGAGGAGGAAGGAGGAAGGGGCACAAGGTGATGAACTCAAGCTGGTGCCTGTTGAAAATGTTGTGTCTGTGAGCGGAAAAGGGAGACATCCTGTCAGCAGTTGCATATAGATTTCTGAGGCTCAGGAGCTGGGTAAAGTTATAGAATTGAAATTCATTATCAGAGGTGGAAATTGGAGCTAAAAGGGTAGATTAAATTGTCCTGGGAGGGTGTGTAGTATTAGAAGTATTGGAGACCCTAAAGAATGCCAAGTGGTAAGAGCTGGTGAGAAGGAGCAGCATTGCCAGTGGAATTTGGTAAGTAGAAGGCAGGAAAATCAAGGGGTGTGGATCCATGGAAATGGAAAAAACAAGGTTTCCAGAAGGAGGGGTGACCAGTAAATGCCAAATGCTGCCCACGGGACAAACAAGACTGGGGCTAAAATGTGTCCCTAAATTTGTTTTCCTTTTTCAAAAATATGTTTTAAGGTCAGAAGTAGTACATGGTCACTGAAAAAAGCAAACCTCTTTTTTTATGTGTAGTTATAAAAAAGTTATCTTGAACAGCCTTTAAAACGATATAGGTTAGCCCTAACCTGTATTAAGTGGAAAATTTACTAATTAATGTATTTCAGTGGGCTGACTTTTTGCAAAAGTATTCTTTCTTCTTATGTACCTATTTGTAAAAATAAAAAGTGCAAGAATAAATAAGAAACCAATGAAATAGTTTCCAGTTGAGACATTTTAGTGTGTTTCTTTTTACGTTGTTTTAACCCTGGGATCATGTAGGTATTAGTAAAATTTAAAGCAAATTGAAACATAATTGTATGTCAAATTCATATCATACCATGGAAAAGATTTATTTTAAGTGACATTAATATATGGAACTGAATAGAAACCTTTAATTTGTTACAGCTCAAGAAGAGTTATAGAAATTTTAAGCTTCAAGTGAATTATGGATTTATTAGTAATGATATTAGCATCATTATACAAAAATTATTTTATGTATTTTATAGGATAAAGTGAAGGACATTATAATGATAGATTAAAAATATTTTATAAATCTATGACTTATAATGTTAAATGTAATGTAAATGTTAAATGTAATTAAATGTAAATGTTAAATGTAATTATAAAAATTACCGTTTCTTTTTCTGACCACTGAAATGGCCTAGAAACAATATCAGCTTGGTAGCAATGGGCACCCTAACCCACTGGATTTTGGCCTTTAATAACATTTACCCCTGTAAGGAATCATGGCTCCTTGGAGCAGTGACTTATTTCAGGCCAAGAAAGGTATAAAATGAGTCTGGAATCGCTTGTTGTGCCAGAAAGCAAGGAAGGTTTCTCAGATGAATATACAAAAAAAATAGGATTAAGCTTGAAAGTGCTCCCATTGGCTAAACTTATAACAATTTGAGCGTGACAGCTATTTTTGTTATTTTTACAGATTGAATGTGTGGAAATACATGTGTCTTTAACAATATTCACAAAAGAAAAAGCCTGAAAAATCTCATTGACTTTATTTGAGGCAGCAATTCCATGTACTCTAATTTGAGAAGCAGGAAAATTGAGCAGTTATCATGCCTCCCCAGGAGGAGCTGTTTTTTAGGGTAACCAAATAGTCTAGTTGTTGAGAGAAAGTTCCATCTTACAGAAGAATGTGATGTGGTTTGACTGTGTCCACACCCAAATCTCATCTTGAATTGTAGCCCCCACAATTCCCATGTGTCATGGAAGGGACCTGGTGGGAGATAATTGAATCACGGGGGCAGGTCTTTCCTGTGCTGTTCTCATGATAGTGAGTAGGTTTCACAAGATCTGATGGTTTTATGAAGGGGAGTTCCCCTGCACAAGCTCTCTCTTCCCTGCCACCATGTAAGACATCCCATGCTCTTCTGCTGTGATTGTGAGGCCTCCCCAGCCATGTGGAACTGTGAGTCTGTTAAACCTCTTTCCTTTATAAATTATGCAGTCTCAGGTATGTCTCTATTAGCAGCCTGAGAACAGATAATACAGAATACCAGCTAGTAAGTAGAAAGGAAATGATAGTATTAGACATTGCTATTTTATATCAGGAAATAATTTATTTAAAACAGCTTCATCAATTGGTTAAAAAACCATTAGGCTGGAGATTAGTGAAAGCCTGCATCTTTGGTGGCAAGCTGAACACTGCACAAGTCAGTTTTCTGTTGGGTTGGGGGCTGTATCTTACAGTGCAAGGGTCTGGTTTTCATCACCTCTACTTAGGAGATGTCCATGTTTGCATAACTCCAGGTGGGATAGATACCTTGTGTCTCCTTTCCTTTCCCTTTTCCTTTCTCTTCCCCCCTGCCTTTTTTTTTTTTTTCAGAGTTTTCACTCTTGTTGCCCAGGTTGGAGTGTAGTGGCATGATCTTGGCTCGCTGCAACCTCCGCTGCCCAGGTTCAAGCTATTCTCCTGCCTCAAACTCCTGAGTAGCTGGGATTACAGGCGCCCACCACCACACCTGGCTAATTTTTATATTTTTAGTAGAGACGGGGTTTCACTATGTTGGCCAGGCTGGTCTCAAACTCCTGACCTCAGGTGATCCACCTGCCTCGGCCCCCCAAAGTGCTGGGATTATAGGCATGAGCCACTGCAGTGAGCCATAGGCGGACCACAGCCTTACCCATCCCTGTGATGTAATCCTGTTAGAAAAGCTTAACATTAGTCCAGGCATTAGGCCTCATTTCCAGTTTATAGGAAATGCAAAGGATAGAATATCAAGCTAAATGGCACCATGAGGAAGCAGTTGGCCACATTCAGAAGGTGAGACATTGCACAGAACACCATCTGGCTGCTGTTCCATCAAGTCGGTTTTATGAAGAAAGTTCCAGATCAGAAAAGACCTAACAACCCTAAATACTAGAAGCATGAGTGGTCCTTGATTCATTTTGGGGACTACTGGAGAGATAGGATTATGGACTGGGTATTAGATGATTTCAGGAATTACTGTCAGTTTTATAGGTGTGGCCTCCAGGTGAGCTTGACTAAGGGGAGTCAGGCGCAGAAGACGGAAAGCTGGTGGGAGAGCGGGAAGGAGGCACTTCCACTCCAAAGCTGGTGCCATGTTTTGGCAGTGCCTGTGCCCTACACATCTGCTAATTGTGCTGGGTGGGCAGTTCCTTTGCCATAGCTTCAGTTCTCAGGAGGCAGGCGGGCAACACTTTCCTCCCCCAGCCCTCCAAGGCAAACTTCTTGAGTGACAGCACCACTCCATGTGGCTTGTCTCTGGGTGCCTCATATCTTTTTTAGTTCTATCAGTGTTGCCCACATTCTGTAAGTGGCACTTTGAACCATTTGATTTGAATTCTGCTTCCTACTGGACCCAGATGGAGACAACTTCTATTCGAATTAGTAGTGAGCATGCATTTTCAGTTGGGTTGAAACTGTACCCAAAGGAGCATATCTTCCTTTCTTTCTTTCCTTCCTTCCTTCCTCCCTCCGTCCATCTGTCCCTCCCTCCCTCCCTTCCTTCCTCCCTTCCTTTCCTTCCCTTCCTTCCTTTCCCTCCCTTCCTCCCTTTCCCTCCCTTCCTTCCTCCCTTTCCCTCTCCTCCCCTCCTGTCCTTTCCCCTCCCCTCCTTTTTCCCTTCCTCTTTCCCCCCTTTCTGCCTTTCTGCTTCCTTTCCTTTCCTTTTCCCTTCCCTTCCCTTCCCTCCCTTCCCCTTCCTCTTCCCCTTCCCTTCCCTTCCCTTTTCCCTCCCTTCCTCCCTTCCTCCCTCCCTCTCTTCCTGTCTGGAGGTGGATGACAAAATTTTGCTGTTTCTATGTCAAGAGCATAGTTATATATAAAGCATATGAGTAGATATTCAGCATATCTGTAGGATTAAAATTTCATGGGTGAGAGCATGAGGAAAAATATCTAAAAAGCCTTTTTAGGGGAATGATAATGGGAAAGAAAAATGGTTGAGAAACGCTATGATAAGCTGCCAAATTGCCTCCTCTCCCAAAATATAGCATTTTACACTCTTATCAAAAGGGGAAGACTGGTTTGCTTTTTATTATTAAATCCTTCTAATCCAGAAAAATATACTTTTATATAAGTCTTTTTTATTCTTCATGACATTTTATAGTTATTCTTGAAAAACATAAGTCCTGGACAGTTCTTGTTCTGTTTTTCCAAGCCAAGATTTTTTTTTTTTTTTTTTTTTGGTGGAGAGGAAGAGATGCTTTCATTCTGAGAGAGCAGTCAGCTTTGACCTACTCATCATTGCTGTCTACTTCCTGCAGCAGCAACAGTGTCTACCCTTGCAACGTTATCTCTGTCATAGTATCTTTTAAAAAAGCTATTACTGTTTTTTATTGTAGCACAATTTTTACCAGCAAAAGAATGGGAAAATTATCTTAATTTCATCAATAGGGGACTGATTAAAAATCACAGATTATCCATTAGAATACTGTCTAACTCTGAATACATTAATATGCAATAAACTGCCATATAAATTTGTATGTGAAAAGCAAGGAAAAGGACATATGTACATATAACATATGTTACATATATTTTACAGAAATAAATATTACAGGCTGGGCACGGTGGCTCACACCTGTAATCCCAGCACTTTGGGAGGCCGAGGCGGGCGGATCACGAGGTCAGAAGATCGAGAGCATCCTGGCTAACACAGTGAAACCCCGTGTCTACTAAAAATACAGAAAATTAGCCAGGCGTGGTGGCACACACCTGTAGTCCCAGCTACTTGGGAGGCTGAGGCAGGAGAATTGCTTGAATCCGGGAGGTGGAGGCAGCAGTGAGCCAAGACTGTGCCACTGCACTCCAGCCTGGGCAACAGAGTGAGCCTCCGTCTCAAAAAAAAAAAAAAAAAAAAAATTACACATGCATACATTACATATTATGAAAGAAAAGAACAAAATTTTCTGAGAAAGTATAAATGGGGGGTCAGGGAAGTCCTTTTTGAGGAAGTGACATCAAGGAATCAGAACAGTGACATCTGATAATCAGTATCAGAAAATTGAGTAAGATATAGCCATGTGAAAATTAGAAACAAAACATTAAAAACTAGTGGATTAACCTATACGAAAGTCTTAAGGAAGGAAAGAATTTAGTGTATTAAAGGAAAAGAACGAAGCCAATCTCACAAAAATGTAGTGTGATTACAGGTGTTACTGACAGCAAGAGCAGTGGTCATGACCACAGAGTCAACTGGAATGCTCCTTCCCCTTCTTGATGGTGACTTCCAAGCCCCAGCCTTAGGTGACATTTGCCAGGGCTGGGCATGGCTGCTAGACTTTCAGGTCTTAGATTTTATACATGTGAAACTGACACGTGGAGTGATTTTAATATCTTTCCCCAGGTCATAAGGCTAGAAATTAACGGAGAAAGAGCCAAAGTGAAAGTGTTGTTTTTGTCTCAAGTATCTCTCTTTTTATTGAAAATTTAATAAACCTGATACAATTAATTAAGTACAAAATAACATACCACCAAATGATTTTCCAGTTAATGCTTGTGTCTGTGGTTCCCCACTTCCCTGTCTCAAAGGCAATCACTATTATCAATTTCTCATGTATCCTTTCAGAAATGTTCTATTTGCCATAGCATCTTGCATCTCTTTGGAATCATACCCAGGCACCTCCTGTTTAGATCATGCTCTTGTTTCTTCATTTCAGTTGGTCCTAGCCTTGTGTACATTCTGCAGGTGTTTCAAAATAGTGAGACCTTCTCACATTCTACTTAAGATGCCAAATAATGACTGTAAAGTTCAACTCTCTAATACACAAGATTCATCAAAGAGCTGTCCCTCCAATGACCTTTCCAGATTTGAGGTTGTGCTTTTATTGACACTCCTCACCAAGCATGGAAATACCTGTTCCTGTCCCGTGCTTGTGAAGAAGAAGGGGGTGGTGGTGGTGGTGGTGTGCTTGAGTCTTCTCTCTGCTCACTTAGAAAGTGAAAGAATCCATTCTTGAACCTACAGATGAAAGGGAGGTGCTGTTTCATGTGCAGAGCTCCTGCTGGGATTCTCAGTCTCTAAGGTTCTCACCTAATGTACATCTGCCCTCCCTGTGTTGTTTTTTTATATTTAGAACCAATAAAGTTCTTGCACAGCTACAGTTGTTGGCCTGCACTGCTATCAAGGGTCTCTCTCTTTCTCCCTCTCCACCTATAAAGTTTTACTCCTGAGATATCCTTGGCCAGAAAGCACCAACATTCTGCTGGCATCTCCTCTTCCTGACTTCCTGCCAAGCTCTTTCCCGGGATTCATGTTTCCATGTGGATATAGGCTGATGATGGCAGGAGAGCTCAGGAATGCTGGTGGGAAAATCGACTCTGTTCATCTCCCAGTCCTGGAAGGGTGGCCTGGGATCCTGGGCCAGAATACTAATTAGTTCAGGGCCTTGGGACAGATGTTTGGGGGATGGAAAATGTCTTCTTGTTTTTGTTCTTTCGTTTTTGTTTTCAGGAGGAATTTGTTTCATAAAGCAGAGTTTGAGTTTGCTGTGAACTGAAGCCTGGTTGGATTTATCTAAATCAAGCTCTTTGTGCTGCCTGTGGTTATTTCCTCTAGGATGGAGGAACTGGCTTGTCTCTCAGGCCGGGTTTTCAGTGCTGTGAGTGTTTGTGCTTTGCAGGTATTTAAGAGAGAAAGTGGAAGAGGCTAGACACCACTACATGCTAAAAAGGATTATATAATCTTGGTAACCAACTTTTCTGGTGATTCTATGTTATTTTATGAAATTGATGTACTGTAGTTGACTTAATAATTTTCCTATTGTTGGCCATTTTATTTGTTTTCAAATTTTTACTGTTATAATAAATAATTCCACAATGAACACTTTGGGGTATGAAAATTTTATAGGCTCAAAGCAGAGATAGGCGTTCTGACAAAGCCTGGGTATGGCAGGGGTTTCTTCTTGTCCTACAATTTATCTTTCTTCCACAGAAATTTCAGCCCCCTATGGCAGTCTGGAATAGAGATGGAATCTTCCAGTCTTTCTTTCTAGTGACTTCCTTTCCATGTGCTTAAGTTTCTGATCAATGGAATGCAGGTGAAAATAGAGTGTGCAAACTGGGAATGCTCTTTAAAAGAAGGGGCTGTTTGCTTCATCTTTTCCCCTTTCTCCAGACTTCTGCTTGGGATATAAATGTGATTTCTGGATCCCCAATTTTATTTTATATCATGAGGTTGAGGCATGGCAAAGTGGTTAGATGGGAGGAGCTGGGGGTCTCTTTATGTTTCATGGAGCTGGCTTGTCATGACAGGGCTGAAATACTTACATGGGAACAAATACATTTCTGTCTTGTGCAGTACGCTTTTTTTGCATATTTGTAACTTGCAGCTGTACACAATCCTACAGTATGCCTGGGTTAACATGAATGTCCTAGATTTTAATGAGTAATCAGTAGATGGCAAGGAACTGAAAATGGACATCTTGCAAAGTAAGGTTGGAATATGCCCAGTATAAGCTTGCCTGCTGTGGAGGTTTTGTGTTTTGATATGGCTTATCTGCTTTAATGCACCTCATGTCAGCATGCCGCACCCATCCGTATCTATTGATACATCAGTGGAAGCCAGATGCAGCAGATACAGTTATCCCCATTTCTTACCTAATAAAACTAAGCTCATCCAGACAACTGGGAAGCTTGCTGAAATTATGTCTCTGCACTAAACTCTAAACCTATTGGATCACAATGCCTGAGGATGGAGCCCAAGACGTAGTGTTTTTATTAAGTGTGCTCAGCGATTCTGATGTGCAGAGATAGTTGGGGACTTCTGCCCAATTCTACTGTATTGTAAGATTATTGCTTTGTTTTCCAGGTTGCAGAAACCTTCACCTTAAAAAAATTAAGCTCGCATGTAATGGATCTGAGGAAATATATCAGCATGAAATGGAGCTGAGAGATTGTCTCATCTCTGAGCGATGGTGACCTCGAGTCCTTTGCTTTAAGAACCACAAACTCAGCACCTTCCCTAGGCTTAGACTCATTGAGGAGTCTTTGAGTCGCCATTTACCATCCCTAGATCTCTCTCAGCAATCCTCATCTGAGGTTGTATAATGGCTACAGCTCCCCTTTCAGTTGAATCAAACCCTGTTTATCTACCTAAAGCAGTAACTGAGGGCTCTAAGGAGGGCAGGGAGGGAGAGGAACAGTAATGAGGAGTGCAGATGTGTTTCAGTTTACTTGGGATGTTTTCTCAGTGAGAACTCTTCCTCTTTGAATAATACATGGCTTCGAAGTCATTAAATCATTATGTTCCCTGTGTCCCACTGGGAAGATTAACTGTGTGAGCTGAGAGCCCTTGAATGTTTCTTTCTTTTGTGTTTACAATTTTGAAGTCTATGTTGTTGGGGCTGTGTGGCGGTAGGTTGCTTCCAAGCATGTTTCCCCTCCTTGTGTCCCACATCTTGCAATGTGACTCTATGCTTCCTCCCATCAAGAGGTGAGGCCTATTTCCCCACCCCTTGGGTCCAGGATGGACTTGCGACTGAGTCTCACCCTGAGGATGTGGATGAAGTGGCCTGTGCAGTTCCAGGTCTAGGCTTAAAAGATCTTGAACGCTTTACTTGTTCTTTTTGAAGCATGCTGTGCTGGATGAGAGAGCCCAGGTTTGCCTGCTGTATGAAGAGGGAGACATTGCCCAGTCACCCATCACCCTGGCCCACAGCCAGCTCACTCACCTGAGCAGCTGAGCCCAGAAGAGCTTCAGCCCACATGGCTGACCTGTATACATGAGCCACATGGATGGTGGTTGCCTTAAGCCACTAAATTTGGGGATGTTTAATTATGCAGCAAAAGCCAACTGACAGAGGTATCAACATAGGCTACAGAGGGTAGAGAAAATCTTGGGGTGACCACACTCAAGGCATATACTCTAGAGAGATAATGTCGCCCAAATCTCTGACTCTGAGAGAGCAAGAATGTTTCTTGTCCTAATGAGGTAAGAAAATGTCTTCACTGACAGCCTCCCCTTAATATGGCCAAATGAGCCCACTTGTATAACACAATTTGATTTAAAAAAATCTGAGTTATGGATGAGATGGCCTTAAGGACGTGACAGCCTCTGCTGATTGTCCCTGAGTCCTGTGTCTGTCTCTCACTTTTTGGCAAGGAGGAGACAGTGATTATACGGAATGGTCTCTGATATGGTTTGGTTCTGTGTCCTCATCCAAATCTTATCTTGAATTATAATCCCCATGTGTAGAGGGAGGGACATGGTGGGAGGTGATTGGATCATGGAAGCAGTTTCTCCCATGCTATTTTTGTGATGGTGAGTGAGTTCTCATGGGAGCTGATGATTTCAAAGTGTGGCACTTCCCCTCCCCCTCCCCCTCTCCCTCTCCCTCTCGCTCTCCTGCCTCCATGTAAGACAAGGCTCGCTTCCCCTTCACCTTCTACCGTGATTGTAAGTTTCCTGAAGCCTCCCCAGCAATATGGAACTATGAGTCAATGAAACCTCTTTCGTTTATACATTTTCCAGTTTCAGGTAGTGTCTTTACAGTAGTGTGAAAACAAATTCATACGAGCTCAGGTAATTCTGTCCCAAATCTGATGCTCCTCAGTATCTTCTAGTTTTGTTTTGCTTTGAGACATTATTCACATACAAGAAAATTCTCCATTTTAAAGTTTAATGATCTTTAGGGTATTTACAAGATCATGCAACCATCACCACTATCTAACTAGAACATTGCCCTCACCCCCAAAAGAAACCCCATACTTGTTACCTCAGTGATTTAAATTTCTTCCAGTTTGAAAAGTATCTCAATTTAATTTTTTCTAGATCAGTTCTTACTGTGCAATCAAAAAGTGCATAATTGTTGATGCCTGTAAAATTGTCATTAAAAAGTCAAACTTTTTCCAAGAAAACAGAAAATATTTTTTTCCAAATGAAATAAATTTAAAGCGTAGGCATGTGCAAAATAGAAAATAAAATCTAATCTCATTCCCATCTCTATGACACAACGGCTGTTTTCAGTTAGGGGTATCTTTTTCCAGGAGAAGATGTTTTTACAGATATTAAACCTCGTGCACAGAGAGCTTAAATCGGACATGTTCCTTTGGCTTGTGACATGTGGGCTTAAAATCAGTTTTCCTGATATTCCGCTCACTTTTGTAGACTTCAAAGTCCTATCAAAGATTTTGACTCATACACACTGGAAGCACATTGCAGGTGAAAATATTAGTAAGCCTGGAAAAAATTAACAAAATTAAAATTTTTATTATAAAAATACTACCTATATATTGTAGAAAATTTGCAAGCTAGAAAGAATGAAATTTAAAAGACCGCTGATCAGACCCACTCTAAGTTAACCACTGTTGTCATCTCAGTGTGTTTCATTTAAACATTTATTTTGCATTGTCTTAAACTTCAACTTTAATCATTATGATGAGCTCAGTAGGTTATATTTACAGTGTATAAATGATCAGTTATACTATTATTAGAATCATCAACTGCCTTGATGCTTCATAGTTTTCATGCTTGCTTGTGAATACCTTTTCTTAAAGACCTTTCAAAATAGGCTAAGAGAACTTGATGATGGAATGCCTCTAGTAATATTGCTTTTCATCATACCTAATAATGAAATACTTCTCCCTGAGATACATTATTTCTGACTATTTGTGATAAGCATCTCCCATGAATGGTAGTATGGCACTATCCTGAGAAATGTCTGCAGAAAAAAAAAGCAATAGATTTTTCAATTTATGTTCATCTGTGAGGCAATGACTCTTTATTACAGGGGTTTTATATTGTGCTTTAATTCTCCATTCCTGGTAATTTTTCATTTTTTTTCTGTTTTTAAAACCTTATTTTAACAATAGAATGCTTCGAATCTTCACTGTCTTGTTGGAAAGACAATAAACTAAAATAATCAATTGCGATTGATTATCACATATACTTATATACTATTTTATGGCAGATATTCATTATATAATATCTTTTCAAAAATAGCATGCCAGGGTTAAGACTTAATAGCATGTTCATATTTGATCATGTTGAAAAGAGGAAAGCAAAGAATCAAAACAGTGTATAGCTGACAGTTGATAAACTGTGGATCATAAAATAGTCACTTTTTAATGGAAACTCATGATTTTATTTTATGATTTTTATGATAAAGACATATAATCCTTGAGAGAGGAAATTTACACCTTGATGACTTCCTCTCTATTGACACGAGAGTTAATTCCACAATCAATTCAAAGTTGGGTCTATGTGTCCAGGCTGTTGATTAGTTAGGGCATACACATATATTTTTAAAAAGGATAAAAATGCCTGTTTCTATGAAGTGTAAGTTTCAGGAACATTAATGACCCTAAGAGGGTGACCACTTCTCATTCTTGCCATTCCAAAGCTGGTGGAGTTATAGAATCCTGAGATATAAATATAGTTTTGTTTTTAGTTTGAATACTCTGAAGAGTAACAATTTTAGAACAAATACAAAGCATGCTCATTTTGTGGCATTTACTATGGGACATGTGAGATGTTGAGTATGTATATTTATAGTTGTTCTACCAGGGTTCCTTCTTTTTTTTTTTGGTCAGGGATCAGAATTTAACAAATGTACAATACAGACTTGAGTAGATATTATTTGCTGTGGATCCCCTGCTATCCTTGGTAGCATGCAATGTAGCAGAAGGAAGTCTTTCTCTTGGGACCTGCAGACCCATAGGGCTTGCTTTCTCTCTCTTTTTTAGTGGTTTTAGGCTGATATCTTGGCTTTTCCTCATTAAATAAAAAGATAGGAGATTATCTATCTATCTGTTGTCTATCCATCTATCTATCATCTATCATCTGCTTATCTAATATAAACACACATTGACTTGTTTGTGCATTAAGAAGAGAGAGGGTTCACTTACACCAGTTGTACATCTAAGCCCAAGACTTCAGACATGGAGTGTGTTTGCTTCTTGATGCTGACCAGCATCTAATCCACATTTCTGGTATTTTCCCCCAGTCCTGTGAAGCCTCTGGCTTGTACTGCAATTGATTCTCTGCTGGCTATCTTAATCTGGTCTGTCTCCAAGTGTCAAGGAATCTGACACTTGACGTAGCTACTTTGATCAATTACAACCTCCTTTTCTACTCCTTTAAGGGAAGTTTATTTGGAAGGCTTTTAGGGAGCTTAATTACATTTCCTTTTATCCATTTGAAAATAAATTAAACAGCATTTCATTTACATCACCCATGTGTTCACCATTCTGCCTCGCTTTCTCCGACACGCCATGTGAAGAGAGAAGGAGAAACACTGTATTAAGATGTATAGTTCATGGAGAAATTTCAAAATATCCTGACAGATTGCAGAAATAAATGCTAAACAATAACAGTGTTTACACTCAGTAATGAGATAATTTATTACTAAGTTAGTGGGACTTTTCTGTTCCTGTTTTGCAAATGTGGAAGCAAAGTCAGAGGAAGGATATTTTTCTCCCCAAAGTCATACACTTTTTTTTTCTGACAGATCCAGCAAAAGAAATATAATTTCTCCATATTTCATCTTCTCCTTAGTCCACTGAGTCACCAAAATTAGGCAAGTAAATTGGGTCATAGAGAAGGTAAGTTATGTCATTGTTGAATGATTCAGATGTATCCACATTGCCCTTCATTCTAGAATAAAGAAAGAACGTAGGATTGACCAATCAGCTTGCATTTGTAGACAAATGCTTCAGTGATTTTAAATTTTGATCTGGAATGTAGAATGTATTCCCTATTTGAACTTTCATGGAATATCTGGATGAAAAAAAATGGGCTCGAGAACAGTGGAATCGATTAGAATAAAAACACTACAGTAACCATGTTTGATTTCCAAATTTTTTACTCTAGATATTCCTGCTTAGATAAGAGAACATTCTTGCCATGGACTTTCCTTAAAGTGAGAAAAAATTCTTAGCATTTTGTGAGCATTTTTTTTTTTCACTTTCCATTGATTTAGAAAACTCGGCATAAATGTATCAATTAACAATAAATCTGTATTTAATGCTGACATTAAGGAAACCTACAGATGTCTAGCCAGATCCCATTGTCTTCAAGTACTGTCACAGAAAGAAGTCCATTTAACATCAAAGGGGGCTGCATACCTCAGCAAAAGACAGAGCAGAGGAAGATGAGTGTTTTAGGAAAGTACTTTACCTGTAATGATGATGGCTGAATCATGTTGAATTGTGCCTGGGTTGGAAAGAAAAGAATAGTGGAGTGTCAGATTTGTATTCTGGAAAGCATTTTAAACTTGAAAACCAGACTGGAGTGAAATAGAGGAGCTAAGGTAACCTAAGGAATATGAAGGAAAAATCTTGGAAGAGATTCTTTGAATGGTCTGCAAATGGGAAAAGAGATGAAGTCAATAATGAAAACCAAGTTAGAATTGATGAGACCAGCCAATCTGGAGGGTTAGGAGGCAGAGACAGATGTGGCAGGATGTACTTTCAATTCTATAAATTTGATGTAGAATGTATAATTAGGATGGGAGGTCAAATATAATTCATTTTCAAGCATTATTTGGAAGTCATATATGACTTTATTTACAGTTATCCATGACCTTTATGCAATATGTATCAGTTAGAATACAGGCTAAGGAATCTATACTGTAACAAAGAGACCCAAAATATTGTGGCTTAGAACAAACAAACCTTTCTTTCTCTGTTCTGTAACAGTCCAGAGGGGTGCAGTCAAGGGTGCTTTGTCAACTGTGGTGTGGCCCTGCCAAACTCAACACATGGCTTCCACTTCTGCATCCAAGATAGCTGCTGCAAGTCTAGTCATCCCCAGGCCAGCAAAGTGGGAGAAGGGCCAGGAGGTTCATACATATCCTTTTCTAGAGTTATGACCTCGAAGTGGTTTCTTTACTAGTTTGCAAGGGCTACTGTAACAAAGTTCCAGAGACTGATGGATTAAACAACAGAAATGTATTGTCTCACAGTTGTGGAAGCTAGAAGTTCAAGACTGAGTATTGGCAGTTGGTTCTTTCTGAGGGCTGTGAGGAAAAGATCTGTTCCAAGCCTCTCTTCTTGACTTGTAGGTTACCATCTTCTCCCTTTGTCTCTTCCATTGTCTTCTCTCTATGGGTATCTCTGTGTCCAATTTCCCCCTTTTTATAAAGAAACTAGTCATATTAGATAAGGTCCTTGTTTAAAATGACCTCATTTTAACTTGATTACCTCTATAAAGACCTTATCTCCAAATAAGTTCACATTCCTCAACAGGGGTTAGGATTTTATTATATGAATTTGTGGGGAACACAGTTCAACTCACAACAGTGTCCCTTCCTTCTGCTCATAACCCATTGCTAAAACTTAATCCATGTCTACACCAAATTGCAAGAAAGGCAATTAAGAAATGTAGCTTTTCCTCTGGGCAGTCAGATGACCAACTAAAACTGAAGAGAAAAAAACTGGGAGGCATGGTCTCTGCCACCCAGTGACTGTCCACATGGCTTGCTTTCACTACCCATGAACTGTTCTACGGCAGTGACCAAGTTTGTTTTGGTCACTGTTTATTCCCAGCGCCTACCGTGGTGACTGTTACTAAGTTCCTGGCCCCCTATTCTAGACAAGGCAGAGGAGTAGGCAGGAGAGCTTGGTGGAAATGGTGAAATAGTGGTGACTGAGCAGCAGGTAACCTCTAGGTAGTTTTCTGTGGGGTTCTGTTCTTGGTCCCCTATTCTCACTCTACTGACTTTTTTTGGGCCATTTCATTCTCATCTGTGACTTTGGCCATAGTTTTGTTGAATTCCTCCTATATCTTTATCTCTGGCCCCCCTTACCTTCACACTTAGAGCCCAATCATCTGCTGGATTGATCCATTCATTGGTCCTCTATGTCCTCCAAGCTCAACACATGTAAAATAAAACTCATCTCTTACCCACCTCTCTACACCTCTTCAACTTCATATATATACATACATACATACATATATATAATATTATTATATGTATACTCTAATGTTTACCAGTCATTCATTTAATGAATATTTATCGAACATCTTCTCTTTTTCTCCGAACCAGACAGTATTCCAGGTACTGGGGATGTAGTATAGTCTTTGCCCTCATGAAATTCATGGGTTATTGGGTGGGGCAGGGGGGTGAAGGACAATACAGATAAACATAATGGTGATTTATGCTATAGAGGGTGAATTCATAGAAAATAACAGTGAGACCTACTTTAGATACAGAGTGGGAGAGAAAGTCTCTCTGAGGAGATGACAGTTGAAATAATGACAAGAGCAAGCAATGCGGGGGGAGGAAGTTTGGGGCAGAAGGAATATCATGTGCACAGCCCCTGTGATGAGAAAGGGTGTGTCATGTTTGAGAAAGGAAAGGGTGCCCAAGAGGCTGTTGTGTTGAAAGGTTGAGGGAAGGGATGGCTTGTCATTTGGTTGGAGAGATTGGCAGAAACACATCATAAGGGCCCTGTAATTTTCAACATGCTATGCTTCAGATGTCTATGAAACACACAGATGTGGACATGAAGTAAGCAGCTGGATGTCTAAACCTGGGTTTCATTGGCCTGAATGTATCAATTTGGAGTGATCAGAATGTGGGTGTTGTTAAAGTCATGGTAATAGATATGATTTTCTAGGCAGAAGAAGAAGAAGAAAAAAGGACAGAGTTCCGAGGTATTCAGAACCAGGGAGGAACCAGCAGAGGAGATGGAGCAAATGCGTCCGGCAAAGTCAGAGGAAGAGGTGGAGAAGGCAGTGTAAGACGAGGCTCAGGAACAACTGTCCTAGCTTGTAGCCTTTGAGCTTACATATTTTGTCCCTCTTCACCACTAAGTTTAGGGGGCAGGGGATGCCCACTTCATGAACAGACCTCACTCTTTAGGCTTATGGGTATGGGGATTTTAAAATATGTAAGAAAAATTTTAGTCTGTTTGGACTGCTATAACAAAATGTCGTAGACTGTGTGGTTTATAAGCAACAGAGATTTACATCTCATTGTTCTGGAGGCTGGAAACCCCAAAACCAAGGTGTCAGCAGATTCAGTGTCTGGTGAGGACCAGTTCCTGGTTCACAGATGGCTTCTTCTTGCTGCATCCTCGCATGGTGAAGTGTCTGGGCAGCTCTCTGGGGCCTCTTTTAGAAAGATACAAATCATGTTTATGAGGACGTTACTCTCATGACCTAATCATCTCCCAAAAGGACCACCTTCTGATAACACCACCTTGGTAATTAGGTTTCAACATATGAGTTTTAGGGGAACACACACATTTAAACCATAACAAGGAACATCCACGTGAGGTCATGCGATAGGAACCAGGCATAGTCTTGGGGCATAGCTGGGGGTCTTCAGCCAGTGGGTAAAGTGCTGGTATAGACAGATAGGAGCTTTCTCTGGTGTGGGTGTAGACAAAGAGAAGACATTCATGTGAAAATAGTGCAACATTTTCCATTGGAAGAAGACTGGGTGATTGTCAGGCAAGGTTCCATTCTCATCAGCCTCCTGGGCCCTCAAGCAATGCCCTTTGCCATGATATTCAGAAGGGTCCACTTTTCTAATGCTCCCTGGATTATGGATCCTCCTCCTTCTCAGCAGTTTTCCAGATATTAGCACCTCACTTCCAGGGGCTCCATCTGGTGGTAATCTCTCCATTGCTTCCATATCCCTCTAGCAGTTCTCTTGTGCATCCTTATCTCAAACCTTCTTTATAACCCCATGCCCCCCTGAAACCTACTGTCTTCTTACTCCTCATGGCCCATTAAACTCAGAGCCAGAATAAGTCCAGGTGTGGCTTGCCTTTCCATGAAGACCAAAGACTTCCAACCTCCCCCGGAAGTGAGGAGAAGAATTTATCTTTAATCTGTCTCATACAGCACAAAACAAATGGAGAAAATCCCAAGCGTGGTGAAGTTTCTATATTCACATGGGCTGAAACTTTCATATCTTGCCACAGGAGACACATAGAAGTCAAGAGAGAAGAATATTTTCAGAGACGAGAATATGTCAAATGCTAATGCGAGGTCAAGTAATATCTCACTGGCACCCTTTGGATTTGGTAGATAAAGACATCGGTGACCTTGCCTTTCACTGGATGGTGGAAACAAAAGACAGATTGGGGTCTGTTGAAGAGTAAGTGAGATATAGCTTCCCCTAGCACACATGCTAAAAGTAGACTTGTCCTGCCTCCCAGAGACCAAGGCACATTCAAGCCTCTGTTCTACCTGTGTTTCACACACATGAGAATCAATAATAAAAATAAAAGAATGAGTGTAAGAGAAGGAAAGCATGGGGGAGAGAGGTTCCATGTAAAGTTGATGACCACAATCAGCCTGAAAGTATCTTCACTAACTTGAGTTGTTCACTTTTAGGCATGTCAGATAGTTGGCATCATCCAGAAAGAAGGTGCGTTTTAAAAAATATTTTATTTTGAGACAATTGTAGATTCATGTGTGGCTCTAAGAAGGAATACAAAGAGATCCCATTTAAGAATGAAGGTCTTCATTGGCATTGATAAAGGATAGAGGTGGAAAGAACAGAGAATGTAATCAAGGTGGTGATGTGGTTTTTATTACTGGATCAAGGATTTTAAGCTGGACATGAAGAAAAGTGAAAAGTGGAGAGGACCTGTCTTCATCTGTTCATTCTGCTACAAGAAAATATCAGACTGGGTGGCTTAAATAACAGCCATTTATTTGTCACAGTTCTGGAGGTCCAAGATCAGGATGTAACCATGATTGGGTTCTGGTGAGGGCCCTCTTCCTGGCTTGCAGATGAATAACTTCTTGCTGTGTCTCGTAGGCCTGGTATCTCCTCCTCTTCTTATAAGGACACTAATCCCATAATGGAGGGTCTACCTTCATGACCTCATCTAAACCTAATCACCTCCCAAAGACTCCACCTACTAATACCATCACATTGGAAGTTCAGCCTTTGACATATGAATTTTGAGGGAACACAAATATTCAGTCCGTAACATTCCCTTCATGGCCCTCTGAAATTCCTGTCTTTCTTACATGCAAAAGACATGTATTCTATCCCAACAGCCCCCCAAATTTTAACTTATTCTAGCATCAGCTCTAAAATTTAAAGTCTGAAGTCTAGTCTAAAGAGAGACTTGAGGTATGCTTCGTCATGAGACAGAATTCCTCTCCAGCTATGAATCTGTGAAACCAGACAAGTTGTGTGCTTCCAAACTGCAATGATGAGACAGGTATAGGATAGACGTTCTCATTCCAAAAGGGAAGAATAGGAAAGAAGGAAGGAGTGATGGGTCATAAGGAAGTTCTTAGCAAGACAAAAATTTAAATTTGTCTTAGCAGGACAATGATGGCAGCATCATTCTCACAGTGCAATGGACTGGCCCTGCTCCTCCTGCTCCATGGGGACCCACCCACAAGGATATCTTCAGTGGCCCCACCCCTATGGCAATAGTTGGGAACATTCTGACCTATTGAAATGAGAGAGTTAGCCCCATCCTTTGAGACCAAGGAGGAACTAGGTCCACCTCATAAGCCTGTGGTGAAAGTGGTAGCCCTAATAATCTCTGAATCATCTTCCCTATCATCCTATTTTTTCCTCTGAGGAATGGTATATGTTTGCAGCCTTCATTCTGTCTCATTTTCTCTGTTTCTTTTCATACTACTTGTCAAAGTTTTTGCTAATCCCATTTCTTGCTTCTGTTGAGGTGGCTGATTAGGTCCATGGTTGACACTCACAGTAGTCTCCTCATCAAATAGCCATACCCTTAATATTATCTTCCAAACATTCTCATTTTTTAAAAATATGGATAGGCTAAGGATTTTCCAAATCTGTAAGTTCTGGTTCTTTTTTACTCAACAATTCCTTCTTTAATTGATTTCTCTCTTCTTACATTTTTCTATAGGCAGTTGGGAGGAACCAAGCCACTCTTTCAACACTTTGCTCAGAAATCTCCTCAGCTAAATAGCTAACTTCATTTATGAACACGTTAGTCAAGTTCTTTGCCACTATATAATAGGGATTACCTTTACTTCATTGCCTGATAACATGTTCCTTGTTTTCATCTGTGACTTCATCAGAATGGCTCATATTTCTACCAACATTCAGTGTTCACAATCACTTATGTAGTCTCTAAGAAGGTGGATGTGTTCTCTGCAGATTTCTTCTTTTCTTTCTGAGTCTTCATCAGACTCCCCTTTAGTAGTCCTTTCATGGCAATCTTGGCTTTTTCTAGCATGCACTTCAAAACTCTGTCAGTCTCTACCTAATACCAGTTCTAAAGCTGCTTTCACATTTTAAGGAGATTTTTAGAGCAACACCCCACTTCTTGGTACAAATTTCTGTCTCAGTTAACTTGGGCTACTTTTTTTTTTATGTTCTAATAAAACTTCATTTTAAAATTTTATTTTATTTTAATTGTTTGTTTTGATTTGTTTTATTTTTATTTCAATAGGTTTTTAGGGATCAGGTTGTGTTTGGTTACACTCAAGCAGTGTACACTGCATGCAATGTCTATTCTTTTATCTCTTACCTCTCATCATTACCCTTGAGTCCCAAAAGTCCAATGTATCATTCTTATGCCTTTGCTTCCTCATAGCTTAGCTCCCACTTATGAGTGAGAACATATGATGTTTACTTTTTCATTCCTGAATTACTTCACTTATAATGATAGTCTCCAATTCCATCTCCAATTCTATTCAGATTGCTGTGAATGCCATTACTTAATTCCTTTTTCATGGCTTAATAGTATTCCATGGTATGTAGATATACCAAATTTTCTATATCTACTAGTTGATTGATGGGCATTTGGGCTGGTTCCATATTTTTGAAATTGCAAATTGTGCTGCTATAAACAGGCATGTGCAAGTATCTTTTTCGTACAATGACTTCTTTTCCTCTGGGTAGATACCTAGTAGTGGGAATGCTGGATCAAATAATAGATATACTTTTCGTTCTTTGAAGAATGTCCACACTTTTCCATAGTGGTTGTACTTGTTTACATTCCCACCCACAGTGTAAATGTGTTCCCTTTTCAATACATCCATGCCATCATCTATTATCTTTTCATTTTTTGAATATGGCCATTCTTGCAGCAGTGAGGTGGTATTGCATTGTGGTTTTTATTTGCATTTCCCTGATAATTAGTGACGTTCGGTATTTTTTTCATATGCTTGTTGACCATTTGTATATCTTCTTTTGAGAATTTTCTATTTATGTCCTTAGCCCACTTTTGGATGGGATTGTTTGTTTTTTTCTTGCTGATATTTTTTGAGTTCTCTGTAGATTCTGGATGTTAGTCCTTTGTCAGATGTATAGATTATGAAGACTTTCTCCACTCTGTGGGTTGTCTGTTAACTTTGTTGATTATTTCTTCTGCTGTGCATAAGCTTTTTAGTTTAATTAATTCCCATCTATTTATCTGTTTTTGTTGCATTTGTTTTTGGGTTCTTGATCATGAACTCTTTGCCTAAGCCAATGTCTAGAAGAGTTTTTCTGATGTTATCTTCTCAAATGAAAGTTATGGTTTCAGGTCATAGATCTAAGTCTTTGATTTATCTTGAGTTGATTTTTGTATAAGATGAGAAATGAGAATCCAGTTTCATTCTTCTACACGTGGCTTGCCAATTGTCCCAGCACCATTTGTTGAATAGGGTGGCCTTTCCCTACTTTATGTTTTTGTTTGCTTGGCCGAAAATCAATTGGCTGTAAGTATTTGACTCTTTATTTCTTTTCTGGATTCTTTATTCTGTTCCTTTGGTCTATGATTTTTGTACCAGTACCATGCAGTTTTGATGACAATGGCCTTATAGTAGTTTGAAGTCAGGCAATGTGATGCCTCCAGATTTGTTCTTTTTGCTTCATCCTGCTTTGGCTATGTGAACTCTTTTTTGGTTCCACAGGAATTTTAGGATTGTTTTTTCTAGTTCTGTGAAGAATGATGGTGATATTTTGATGGAAATTGCATTGAATTTATAGATTGCTTTTGGCTGTATGGTCATTTTCACAATATTGATTCTACACATCAATGAGCATAGGATGTGTTCCCATTTGTGTTATCTACGATTTCTTTCAGCAGTGTTTTGTAGTTTTCCTTGTAGAGGTCTTTTACCTTCTTGATTAGGTATTTTCCTAAGTATTTTATTTTATTTTTTTTGCAGCTATTGTAAAAGGGATTGAGTTCTTGATATGATTCTCAGCTTGGTCATTGTTGGTATATAGCAGAGCTACTGATTTATGTGCGTTAATTTTGTATCTTGCAACTTTGCTGAAATCATTTTCCAGTTCTAGAAGCTTTTTGGATGAGTCTTTAGAGTTTTCTAGATATAGAATCATGTCGTCAGCAAACAGTCACAGTTTGACTTCCTCTTTACTGACCTGGATGTCCTTAATTTCTTTCTCTTATCTAATTGCTCTGGCTAGGACTTCCAGTACTGTGTTGAATAGAAGTGGTGAACCTGGGTATCCTTGTCTTGTTCTAGTTCTCAGTGGGAATTCTTTCAACATTTCCCTGTTCAGTGTAATGTTGGCTGTGGGTTTGTCATAGATGGCTTTTATTACCTTAAGGTATGTCCCTTCTATGCTAATTTTGATGAAGGTTTTAATTATAAAGGGATGCTGGATTTTGTCACATGTTTTTCTGCATCTATTGAGATGATCATGTGATTTTTGTTTTTAATTTTGTTTATGTGGTGTATCACATTTATTGACTTACATATGTTATACCATCCCCACCTTTCTGGTGTGAGACCCACTTGATCATGGTGGATTATCTTTTTGATATGCTGTTAGATTCTGTTAGCTAGTATTTTGTTGAGAATTTTTGCATCTATGTTCTTCAGGGATATGGGTCTGTAGTTTCCATTTTTTTGGTTATGTCTTTCCCTGGTTTTGGTATTAGGGTGATACTGGCTTCATTGAATGATTTAGGGAGAATTTCCTCTTTCTCTATTGTTTGGAATAGTGTCAATAGGATTGTTACCAATTCTTCTTTGAATGTCTGATAGAATTCGGCTGTGAATCTGCCTGGTCCTGGATGTTTTATTTTTGATAATTTTTTAAATTACCATTTCAATCTTCCTGCTTGTTATTAGTCTGTTCAGAGTCTCTATATCTTCCTCATTTAATTTAGGAGGATTGTATATTTCCAGGAATTTATCTGTCTCCTCTAGGTTTTCTAGTTTATGTGCATATAGTTGTTCATAGTAGCCTTGTATAATCTTTTGGATTTCTGTGGTATCGGTTCTAATATCTCCCATTTGTTTTGTAATTGAGCTTATTTGCATCTTCTGTCTTCTTTTTTTTGTTTATCATGTTAATGGCCTATCAATTATATTTATCTTTTCAATGAACTAGCTTTTTGTTTCATTTATATTTTGCATTGTTTTCTTTTGTTTCAATTTCATTTAGTTCTGCTCGATCTTGATTATTTCTTTTCTTCTCCTGGGCTTGGGTTTTGTTTGTTCTTGTTTCCGTAGTTCCATGAGGCATGAGCTTAGATTGTCTATTTGTGCTTTTTCAGACTTTTTATTTAGGCATTTAATGCTATGAACTTTCCTCTTAGCACTGCCTTTGGTGTATCCCAGAGGTTTGGACAAGTTTTATCACTGTTATTGTTCAGTTCAAAGAATTTTTTATTTCCATCTTGATTTTATTGTCAAAACAATGATTATTCAGGAACAGGTTGTTTAATTTCCATGTATTTGCATGGTTTCGAGGGTTTCTTTCGGAGTTTGTTTCCAATTTTATTCCACTGTGGTCTGAGAGAGTACTTGATATAATTTTGATATTCTTAAATTTATTGAGACTTGTTTTGTGGCCTATCATATGGTCTATCTTGGAGAATGTTCCATGTGCTGAAGAATAGATTGTATATTCTGCAGTTGTTGGATAGAATGTTCTGTAAATATCTGTTAAGTCCATTTGTTGTGGGGTATGATTTAAGTCCATTGTTTCTTTGTTGACTTTCTGTCTTGATGACCCATCTGGTGCTGTCAGTGGAGTATTAAAGTCCCCCACTGTTATTATGTTGCCATCAATGTCATTTCTTAGGTCTAGCAGGGTAATTGTTTTATAAATTTGGGAGCTCCAGTGTTAGGTGCATATATATTTAGGATTGTGATATTTTCCTGTTGCATTAGTCCTTTTATCATTATATAATGTCCCTCTTTGTCTTTTTAAACTGCTGTTGCTTTAAAGTTTGTTTTATCTGATATAAGAATAGTTACCCCTACTCTCTTTTGGTGTCCATTGGCATGGAATATCTCTTTCCTCCCCTTTACCTTAAGTTTATGTGAATCCTTATGTGTTAGGTGAGTCTCTTGAAGACAGCAGAAACTTGGTTGGTGAATTCTTATCCAGTCTGCCATTGTGTGGTCTTTTAAGTGGAGCATTTAGACCATTTACATTCAATGTTAGTATTGAGATATGAGGTACTATTCTACTCATCATGCTATTTGTTGCCTAAATACCTTTTTTTCATTGTGTTATTGTTATATAGTCCTGTGAGATTTATGCTTTAAGGAGGTTCTATTTTGTGTGTTTCAAGGATTTGTTTCAAGATTTAGAGCTCCTTGTAGCAATTCTTGTAGTGGTGGCTTCATAGTGGCAAATTTTCTCAGCATTTGTTTGTCTGGAAAAGACTGTATCTTTCCTTCATTCATGAAGCTTAGTTTCACTGGGTACAAAATTCTTGGCTGATATTTGCTTTGTTTGAGGAGGCTAAAGATAGGACCCCAGTCCCTTCTAACTTGTAGGGTTTCTGCTGAGAAGTCTGCTGTTAATCTGATAGGTTTTCCTTTATAGATTACCTGATGCTTTTGCCTCACAGCTCTTAAAATTCTTTTCTTTGACTTGACTTTAGGTAACCTGATGACTATGTGCCTAGGTGATGAACTTCTTGTGATGAATTTCCCAGGTGTTCTTTGAGCTTCTTATATTTGGAAGTCTAGATCTCTAGCAGGCCAGGAAAGTTTTCCTCATTTATTCCCTTAAATATATTTTCCAAACTTTTAGATTTATCTTCTTCCTCAGTAACACCAATTATTCTTAGGTTTGAACATTTAACATAGTCCCAAACTTCTTGGAAGCTTTTTCCATTTTTTAAAATTCTTTTTTGTGTTAAATGAATTGAATTAATTTCAAAGGCTGGTCTTCAAGCTCTGACATTCTTTCTTTTGCTTGTTCAATTCTATTGCTTAGACTTTCCAGTACATTTTGCATTTCTCTAAGTGTGTCCTTGATTTCCAGAAGTTGTGATTGTTTTTTATTTGTGCTATTTCACTGAAGACTTTTCCTTTCATATCCTGTATCAGGTTTTTGATTTCTTTAAGTTGGACTTCACCTTTCTCTGGTGCCTCCTTCATCTGCTTAATGATTGACCTTCTTAATTCTTTTTTATTTTTATTTTTAGACGGAGTCTCGCTGTGTTGCCCAGGCTGGAGTGCAGTGGCGCGATCTCGGCTCACTGCAAGCTCTGCCTCCCAGGTTCACACCATTCTGCTGCCTCAGCCACCCGAGTAGCTGGGACTACAGATGCCCGCCACCACGTCCGGCTAATTTTTTTGTATTTTTAGTAGAGATGGGGTTTCACCATGTTGACCAGGATGGTCTCAATCTCCTGATCTTGTGATCCGCCTGCCTTGGCCTCCGAAATTGCTGGGATTACAGGTGTAAGCCACCGTGCCCAGCCCTTAATTCTTTTAATTCAGAGATTTTGTCTTGGTTTGGATCTATGATCTTGGTTTGGATCCATAGATCTTTGGACCTATGATCTTTTGGGGGTGATAAAGAACAGTGCTTTGTCATATTAGCAGAATTGCTTTTCTGGTTCCTTCTCCTTTGGGTACATTATGTCAGAGGGAAGATCTGGGACTCAAGGGCTGCTTGTTCAGATTCTTTTGTTCCACGGGGTGCTCCTTTGATGAGGTCTTTGCACTCTTCACCTAGGGTTGGGACTTCCTGGGAGCTGAACTGCAGTGATTGTTTTTGCTTTTCTGGGTCTAGCCACGCAGAGGAGCTACTGAGCTCTGGGCTGGTACTGGGGAACATCTGCAGGGTCCTGTGATGTGATCTGTCTTCAGATCTCTCAGCCATGGATACCAGAACCTGCTCCCATGAAGGTAGCAGGGGAGTAAAGTAGACTTTGTGAGGGTCCTTGCTTGTATTTTGGTTTAGTGTGTTGGTTTTGTGTTGGTTGGCTGCCAGCCAGTAGGTGGTGCTTTCAATAGTGCATCAGCTATGGTACTATAAGGAAGATGCAAGCTTGCCCTAGGGATGCCTGGTTAAGTATTCAGGTTTCTCAGGCAGTTGGCAGGGCCATAGAGCTCCCAAGAGATTATGACCTTTGTCTTCAGCTACCCGGGTGGGTAGAGAAAGACCACCAGGTTGGGGCAGGGATAGGTATGTCTGAGCTCAGACTCTCCCCAGGCAGGGCTTGCCGTGGCTGCTGTGGGGGATGGGGGAGTGGTTCCCAGTCCAATGGAGTTATGTTCCCAGGGGAATTATGGCTGCCTCTGCTGTGTCATGCACGTTGCCAGGAAAGTGTGGGAAAGCCAGCAGTCACAGGCCTTGCCCCCTCCTGATGCAGCCAGCAGTCCTAAAGGCTGGTCTCACTTCCCACTGTGCCCCACAACAGCATTGAGTCTATTTCCAGGCGGCCAGTGACCAGGACTGAGAACTTGCCCCAGACCACCAGCTTCCCCCTTGAAAAAGCAAGCAGACTCACAGTTTTTGGCATCTCAGGGAGCCTGCAACGGTGATCCCTTTCCTTCAAAGGGTCTGTGGATTCTCTTGGCTTTCCTGGTATGTTCCTGTAGTAGTTCTTGGAGCCAAAGTTTATGATGTAAGTCTCCACACACTGCTGTGTCCACCTGAGTGGGAGCTGCAAGCTAGTCCTGCCTCCTATCTGCCATCTTAATCCTCCAAAAATATCAGCTTGGGCTTCTATAACAAAATATCATAGACTGAGTGGCTTAAAGAACAGGCATTGATTTCTCTCAGTTCTGGTGGTCTTGCATCAAGGTGCCAGCATGTTCAGGTTCTGGTAATGGCCCTCTTCCTGTCCTGCAGATGGCTGCCTTTTTCCTGTATCCTCACATGGTGGAGAGAAGAAGGAACATCTGGTTTCTCTCTCACTTTGTCGCCCAGGCTGGAATGCAATAGTGTGATCTCTGCTCACTGCAACTCCGCCTCCCAGGTTCAAGCAATTCTCCTGCCTCACCCTCCTGAGAAGCTGGGATTATAGGCTCCTGCCACCATGCCAGCCTAATTTTTGTAGTTTTAGTAGAGACGGGGTTTCACCATGTTTACAAGGCTGTTCTCAAACTCCTGACCTCAGGTGATCTGCCTGCCTTGGCCTCCCAAAGTACGGGGATTACAGGGTTGAGCCACCATGCCCAGCCTCTTCTTTTTCTTATAAGGGTACTACTCTTATGGGGGCTCTACCCCAAGGGCCTTATTTAAATGTAATTATCTCCCAAAGACCCCATCTTCTAATTCCATCACACTGGGAGATAGGGCTTCAAAATATGAATTTTAGGGGAATGCAAACATTTAGTCCACAACAGGGCCAATGGATAATTTGAAAGAGGTGGCATGAGAAGGACTAGAAGTGGCCCATGACCCTCATGACCATGGCCCACCAGATAAAACCCAGCTTGGCATTCAAGGTGCTGCAGAGCTGGCCCTTCCTCCCTTCACTCTATACACAGGCACTTGGAGGTGCCTACACATCTACTTGCCCTTGCCCTCTCCTTAGTTTGGCCAATTCTTATTCATCTTCCATCACAGGCCTATGTGAAGAGCTAGGAAGCCCTTCCTTAGCTCTTCACTGTGTTAAGTGTATTTCACCACCTCCCATTCTTTCCACAGTAGACCCTCCCTCCCACCACAAAGGCTGCTGTATTTGAGAGAACTCTGTATTACATTGGAAACCTGTGTTTATGTGTCTGGTCTAAGACTAAGCTAAACACAGGTAGAAAATATGTCTCATTCCCAGAGATATGAACCCAAATGAAATTATATCTGTCTATGCCAGCATTTTTCAATGTCTACACTATTGACATATTGGGCTGCGTAATTTTGTCGTTAGGGGCTGTTTGGAACATCGTAGGATTTTGAACAGCATCCCTGGCCTCTATCCACTAGCATACCCAATTATGACAACCAAAAATTCTTCAGCCATTGCCAATTGTCCCTCTGTTCTATACTAGGAGTTATAGGAGGTAGGCCAAAAGAGGAAAGAAATAGGCCTGCTTAAGGTTCATCTCCACGTGTGCTTGTAAATGAACTCACCTTGGCAGTTTCTACCTTTTTCCACATTGCTAAATCTCATTAGTTGTTTCCTATAGAGCAACATATATTCAAAAATGCTTGTGGGATTTTTTTATGATAACAAAATAATCTTACGAAAAACGTTTCCACTGAAATACTGTGTTAGGAAGTTTATGATACCCTCAAAATGCCATTGAGAGGAAAATGTGCTTGAGAACAAACATCTGTTAGCTCGTTTGAAGCTGTGACAGCCCTCAGGATTTAGCACTTACCGTTTGGCAAGAACAAGTCTTCAGTTACTTTAAAGTTTAGTAAAAGATGCCAGGAGATGTTTCTTTCTTTCTCTTCTTCTTGTTTGACTTAAATGCTTAATTGGGAGAATTATGCCCCCTAATTTAGTGATATAGTGACAGAGTTGCAAATTATTTCAGAGGATCAGTGAAACGGTATGGTGGGAAAAGACACAGCTGAGTTGTTTTAAGAGAAGAAATAATTCAATATTTCTGGACTGGTGTGTATCTTAGTCTACTGTTCTCACTGAAACATGTCCTCTAATAAATCTTGATGAGCAGCTGGTATTCAAGGTGAATCCTCTGCCTCAGGATCCCTCAGTTTTGGCTTTCTTAGATGATGTTTCTGATTTGATGCAGCCTGGCTAAATCTCCTCACCTTGCTAAGGAAATTCTCTTTGGAAGATAATTTTGTGATTGAGGAGCTATAATTGTCACTGATACTTAGTTAATTAGTTTGCACTATGCATGACACAGGTGGGAATTTGTGAATGAAAAAGTGTCAGCATTTTGGAAAATATTTTGAACTAGGGTGGCCCCTTAATTTTGTTGTTGCAGTTTTAATGTCCTAAAAATGATAAGGGGTAGAGCTGTGGTTTTCTTCCCACCTAGTGACAAGTGGCGCTTTAGAGAGACAACCTAACAGGCATTGGTGAGGGGGAGGCACTGTCCTGCTGCAGATACTGGTCTGTGGATCACTGCATGTCCCAGCAGTTGTCTAAAGCAGGTGAAGTGGCACTATAGCCAGGCTTAGAAAGGGGAGAGGAACCTCTTTGGGTGTGTATATGCCTGCCTGAGAGGTAGTCAGTGTCCTGGTCCTTCCCTGGGTTTGTGTGGGAAGATGGCAGACATGCTCTGTCTATACCTCTGAGGGATATTGTTTGGAAGGAGCATCCTTTCTGATGATAAGCAGGCTGAGTTTGCGGGAGAGATTGCTTCAGCTGTCCATGTGGTACTGGATTTTACTTACGTTGGCACAGTCAGTTCATTCTCTGTAAACCAAAGCGGACTTCAAGCCTGATTTAATTGTTGTAAAGTAGTGACCCAGGCTCATGAGTTAAGTTGTGGCCATCTGCTCTTCCTGTTGAAATGTGAGCAGCCAGTTAACCAAAGCTCACAGCATGAAGGATAAACAGTATTTCTGGGACCCTCAGCATTTTACAGATGGGGAAACTGAGTCCAGGAGGAAATCAATGCCTTCCTTGTAGTGATGCCATTAATTATGAGTAGAATCAGGGCTAGGACATAAATATAATTTTTTCTAATTAAATGTTCTTTCTACAACATTTCCTACCAAATATCAGAAAAACAATCCAAGTTCAGTAGATTTTTGGCAAGAGCTTTATTGATGTGTAATTACTAACCATATAATTTCACCTGTTTTAAGTATACAATTCAATTTTTTTTGTAAATTTACAGAATTGTACAATTATCACCATAATCCAATTTTAGGACATTTACACTACCCCAGAAACATTCCTCATGTCCATTTGTGATCAATCCCCATTCCCAACCCTAGGAGCCCTCTCCCAACTCAAGGCAACCACGAATCTTCTCTTTCTGTAGATTTATTTTTAAGAAAAGATCGTTCATATTAATCAAATCGTACACCATGGGATCTTTTCTGTCTGGCTTCTTTCATTTAGCCTAATGTTTTTGAGGCTCATTTATGTTCTCGTTCCCTTTTATTATCACATGTATTCCATTGCGTGGATGTTCCATGCTTCCATGGCCAGTTCACCAGCTGATGGGTATCCCGATTGTTTCCACTTTTAAACTATCGTGAATAATGCTGCTGTGAACATTCGTATACACATCTTTGGAGGCAAATATGCAGGTGTATTAGTTGAACATGACTTATGTAGGGTGCTGTTTTTAGTTTAATGTTGAATTCTCTTTGGAATACCTTGCAAATTCATTTTTTAAAATCTACGTAGATTTTTTTTTATAATTGTAGAATTTGCAAGGTATTTCAAAAAGAGTTCAAAATTAAGCTAAAAACAGCCTGCTACGTAAGTCAACAGAAGGATGAGTTGCAGAATCAGCAGTGGCATCATCGTCAACAACCTTTATTAGGCACTAATTTTTCCTGATTCCTGGGATTTAAGTCAACAGAGGAATGAGCTGCAGAATCACCGGTGGCATCATCATCAACAACCTATATTAGGCACTAATTGTTCCTGATTCCTCGGCTGGGTAGGAGATATTTTTATTCTATAGACTAGAATTTTTTGCTGTTAATTCATGCTTTCTTCTGTCTCCTGCTAAAACAAGCTTTTTTTCTCATTCAGAAGCAGTGAGGCTGTGTCTCAGAGAAGGTGGTAAATGTGCAAACTTCGGGCTGCCTTGTCTTCCAAGTACCCCACATGCTATAAAGCAGCCTCTGAGAGGACCCTCACTGACTACTGACATTGACATTGAATTCTATGTTGTTGGGGGGCTATCCTGTGCATTGTAGGGTACGTCAGCAGTACCCCTGGCCTCTACGCACTACATGCCAGTAGCAAACCTTCCAGTCACAACAATCAACATCTTCAAATATTGCCAAGTCTTCCCCGGGGAGGAGGCATAATCATCTGGGTTGGAAGCATTGGTCTAGGGGACAGTTGTGACATCCTCTCATCCCCCATAATGCTCTTCATCTAGCAAAGGCTGAGGATTGGTGAGCCCAATCAAACTCCTCCTAGCACCCCAGGAGGATCCCAGGAGGATGTTGAAGGGCAGAACATGTGGCTCCAAGACACGTTGCCTATATATGGAGCAGTGTTTCCCAGTGACTGTAGCAACAATGTCTGCCGACTAAGGACAGTCCTGTGAAGGGAAACATGTTTGGGTTAGCAGGGGGTAGTTATAGGAAACAAGTGGAGGAAAATATGACAGTTTGAAGTAGGGCTTTTTAATTTAACTTTGATTCAAAGTTGAGTGCTGCTTGAGTCAAAGTCTGCCAGTTATCAAGGAATTGGTGTGGTGCCACTGGCAGAGAACACTTTTCTTTTTTTTTTTCTTTTCTTTTTTTTTTTTTTTTTTCCAGAAAATAGCTATTTTCTGCGCCAAAGACTTTCCTTTATGTTTTCAAATGACACATCTTTAAAGGACTTTCAGGCCACTCTTTTGTTGTTTTGGCTTAGGATGGAAGCTCTGAATACTTCCCAGAAGGAGGAAATTTGGGGATTTTTGTATGCAGGGCAACAAATCTTCCCAATTTGTGGGGACTGAGAGGTTTCCCAGGATGCAGGAATTTCAGTGCTAAAACCCAGACAGTTGTTCACCTTACTCAAAGAGGCAGTATGATGCATAAAGTCCTATTTGAGACCCTTGCTGGCCATATCCTCTTGAATTGTCCTCTCCCTACCCTGAAGCTATAGGTTCTGCTCACAGCAAGTGGGTAGGGTGACAGTCCCTGCATTTCTGCTAGGGCTGGTGCCTGGGCCCAGTGGGGTAGATATGAGCAGTGAGTCAATGAAAGACTTTTGTTCACAGGGAAGGGCTACTGTGGACACATCTGTTTAGCAAGCATTTTTGTGTCTACTGTGTGGTCTTGTAAGAGTTAAATTATTCTGCTGTATTTAAATTCTTAACCTACAATCTTCAAACACCTTTAATGCCTTGATCAGTGTCCTGACATGCCACATCAGTGACTCTTTTGTTGTATGAAGTTTATTCTGGCTCTTGAAGAGCAACCCTGAGGTCCCTGTCATCTCCTGCCATCTTCATTGGGGTTAATTTGTCTATTTGCCTGCAGACAAGTTCCCAGGAAATGGACAGAGGTCAGTATGTTTCGGTGAGGGAGAGGACCTGGGAAATGTCTGGGGTGGTTGAGCTTCACTTTTCTGGACCCTTAGAGAATAGGATGGAAGCTGTGGATCCTCTCCCTATAAAATGACAATATTCAATTACACTTACCCCAAATTTGTCACACAAATTCACCAACACAGACAAATTCAAGGGCTGCTCCAAAGCACATCCATGTTCCTCTGAGCACAAGGATCAGGATCAGGACCCTGAATTAGAGCTTAGATTGGGAACTCTTGAGAGCACAAGGAAAACCAGGAGGGGATGAACTTGAAAAACTTCTTCAGCACTTGAGCCTGTGCCGAAGGAAATTGTTCCTACTTTGTCTTGGATGGGGCCAAGTGTGACCAGGAAAGGGAAATTATGCCCTATAGCAGCTTCATCTTCTGAGTCCTCAAGACATTATCCGAAACCTCCAATGGCATCCTGACTCCTAGACCTGGCTACTTTTCTTTTTTTTTTCTTGGAGGTAGAAGGCAATTAAGGCTTGAAGTAAAAGAGCTGAGAATAGGGAAACCCTGGTATGTTGCACACCTGTTATGTGCTAGACATGGTGCTGGGCCCTTTTTGTGTTCAAGAGCTTTTAGCTTTTGAAGATATTACTTTGTCCTCTAGCCCCAAGGGGAAAAAGTCTCCTAGAAATGGAATAGTCTTAGCAGTCAAGTCCAAGGACACTTCATCATGATGTTAGTAAGGTGCATGTGTCTCCAGGTTTCAAGTAGATAGAAAGAATCATAAATTGCCTCTGGTTGCTTTGTAGAAAACGCTGATTAGAGAAGCCGATGGCCAGAGTAAGTTCCAGTGTTCTGTACCACTGTAGGGTGACTACAGTTGACTATATGATACAGTTTCAAATAGCTAGAAAGAGGACGTTGAATATCTGTCCCCCCACAAAAAGAAATAATAAGGGCTTGAGATGATGGATGTGCCAGTTACCCTGATCTGATCACCATACATTATATGTATTAAAACATCACTATGTACTTCATGAATATGTACAGTTATTCTTTGCAAAAGTGAAAGATAAACCCAAATACTGAAATTATCATTATTATATTATTAATGTGTGTAGGTTGAATGGATTCAAGTTTGACATTCTACCAAGAAAGGCTGTATCTCCACAGCAGGACTCTAAACTTAGCTGCAATATTGGGATAATTTTTTCTCCCTTCAAATGGTTAATAAGGAAAACAGAACAACCATACTTATGTTTCAAAGCAAAATGTGACCCCTTTCTGAATTCGTATGAGGTATATAACAGTTAAGACTTAAGAAAAAACATTTTAGTAAAGATATTTTCTCAGAAAAGTTTACTTAGGGTAATTGTTTAAATAGAGGCTCAATTTTTAAGTTGAAAATTAATTTTTTCTTAACCTGTTAAAGTGACAAACTTTGTTTTAAATAATAAATTTAGTAATTTTTGTGTAAAATAAGAATGATCACTTATATTTGTTTATTAATATTTGTTGATTAACTCATCAATTGAACAAATACAATTCACTTAAGCACTCAAACGTGTAAACTGAAGTAGTTAAATTCCCATAAGCATTTAAAAAATATTTTATAAATTTAATATATCTGAATCCTTTTATATCCCTAACAGGATAGACTTACAATAAACCAATTCCTTCAAATCACTTACCCAGCTCTTATAAATATAATAAATCAATCAAGTTCTCTTGAACTTCAAAGACTCTTTGCAAACTTAAATCTTATTTCTTTCAAATTCAAACCACAAGTCTAGAATCAACTAAAAAATTTTAAAACCCAAGGCCAAAAAGTCCCATGCTCTAATATGCTGGAATAACAGAGATGTTTCAAATGACTTAAATGACCCAGAGATTTTTAAAAATCCTGGTTACAAGATTTTAAAAAATCCTGGTGACACAAAACCCTGGTTACACAAATCCTGGTTACACAGTTCATTCCTAAATTCAACACAAAGTATTAATTCTGTGGGTTAGTTTTGCTTCATTATTTCTGAAGTTTTCTGTATCTTCCTGAGTACAATGTTTCTGAATCCTTCAGGAAGGGCCAACTTTCATCTGAGGCTCAGCTCTGGAGTGTGGTTCTGGACCGAGACACAGGGTCTGGGTACCACACCCAGAATGATCAGCTTGCAGGGTGCCAGCACTTCTCCAGGCCTCACTGTCCATGCCTCCTGGTGTTTTATGTTGTCTCCCTATCCACTTTTCAAAAGCAGCAGCCTAATAATTCACAGCTTCTCATTCCCTGACTTGACTGAATGAGACCCCGCACCCCAGGGCTGCATCTGGTTTCTGTTCTGCCTGACCACACACCACATCCAATGCTGAAGGACTCACCACCCCAGACTGCAGGCCTGGTCCTTGACTGAGAACTGCAGCGGAGCACCTGCATTGAGTGTGCATATGGGCATCTGAGCTGATTTTATTGTGTCTTCCAAGGCCTCCTATCTTATGACACCCCCACAAACTTAATACTGTCCTTCTCCATCTGTCCCTAAGGTTTTCCCATTTACTGTATTTGGTTTCCTCTATAGTGATCAAAGTTTAGTTTTCTCTTTCTTAGTTACCTGAGTTGAAAGAACTACCTTTTGCTCATTATCCCATAACAGCATAGGTAGTATTGAGTTGTTTTGAAACCAAACTTCCCTAACATGTGTGTTTTATTCC
Source organism: Homo sapiens (assembly GCF_000001405.40). NCBI lineage: Eukaryota > Metazoa > Chordata > Mammalia > Primates > Hominidae > Homo > Homo sapiens. Next base: position 9,793,302 of record NC_000005.10, on the reverse strand, counting down.
CTTTTATCTTCAATTAGCTTAGGCCATTCCTAATTTATACAATATGTCTGCATCATTTCCTATGCCCTTTCCCCTCCTAATTCCTCCCCCTCCAGGAACAAAAAGCCCACAAAGAAAACAAGTACCTCATGTATTTTGAGTAGCTCTTTTTTCCAGTCCTGCCATTTTAGGACCGTGTTTTGCTGGATGTGTTAGAAGAAACTCCTGGAAGAGTCTCTTGATCACCTTCATGCTCTATGTATAGGTGGACTTGAGCAAAGTCTGTTTCATGAAGATTCTTTCTAAGAAAATGCATCTTTTATATGCAATGGAATCATCCCTATTAGCACAGTGGTGAGATGTTGGCATTTTTGCTTTTAATTGTGGGATCCCCTTCACTTTCAAGAGAATATGCTTGGATTTGGGATAGAATGAACATTTTGATCAGAATATCACCAGTTTAAAGATGAAAAGCAGAACTGAGTGGAGGAAGAAAGATCATATAGAGGCCTTCATGTTCTTCTTCTCAGTGAGTCCTATTTTTTATATCCCAAAGTAGAAGTAAAGATTCATATATAGATCTTTTTTCATCATACATACCACTTTCCCCATGAGATTAATGATCGCTGCCATGTTTCCTCCTAAGTCGTCAAGCAGGAGTAGTCATTTGGGAACTTCCCAGGGATATAGCATTGACACCTGAGCAAAGAAATATGGGATCACCAGCATTCACACTCACTTTTGAGTTTTATATCCTTTTGGAATGAAAGTCGTGTTGTCAATAGCTGCCGTGCAAGTAATTTTTCCACTTCAAAAGTCGGGTTGATCGTTGCCAGTGTTTGTAACCTAGTGCAAGATAGGTCAGACATTTCAAAGTTATAACACGGGAAGAAAGCCTACTTCTCCCAGTAATCATGTCATCAATCCCAGGTTTATATCTATAGGCTACCAGATAGAACAGATGGGTTCATTCTGTATTTATGACCATGACAACCTAAAAGTCTTGGAAAATAGCAGAGGTTCATTATGTTTTAAAAATTGCTATATGTGAATGTGAATGTTCATGCATTTACATGCATATATGTGTGTGTTTCTGTGATATGAACACCTATTTGAAAGTGAGCCTTGGGGAGCATAGGTGGGTTATTCAAGGGTAAAAAAAAGATGATCAGTAGAAAAAAGTTCCAGATCCAGGTCTTGGGACTTCAAATTTGTGTGGTTTCCCTACATTGAATGTGTATTAGACATGACACATGGATCTGCAATCAAATCAAATCCGAAGTCCTTGTTATCCCACTTGAATCCTGACTCCTGGTGGCACTAAACTCTATCCAACACATCTCGTTCTCTTTCCTGCCCCCTACATGAGAATATATTATTTATACAGTGATCTTGACGGTGAAGAAGATTCGGCTGCTCACAGGAGAGCTCAGATAGCTCTGTTTCTAGTTCACAAATGGACCTTCTATCTGCATGCGTCCTCTACATTGGAAGCCCCACACCCAGGCTGTACAACAGAGTCATGTGGGGAAGTATCTAAAAACACAGGTACCCTAAACCAAATGAATCTTGGAGGACAGGGCCTAGGTATCAGTATTTTTCTTCTTTTCTTTTCTTTCTTTTTTTAGATGGAGTCTTGCTTCATTGCCCAGGCTGGAGTGCAGTGGCATGATCTCAGCTCACTGCAACCTCCACCTCCTGGGTTCAAGCAATTCTCTTGCCTCAGCCTGTTGTGCAGCCAGAATCACAGGTATGCGCCATGATGCCTGGCCAATTTTTGTATTTTTAGTAGAGATGGGGTTTCACTGTGTTGCCCAGGTTGGTCTCGAACTCCTGGCCTCAAGTGATTCACCTACCTTGGCCTCCCAAAGTGCCGGGACCACAGGCATGAGCCACTGCACCCGGTCCGGTTTCAGCATTTTTAAAAACTTTGCCAGGTGATGTTAATGCACAGCCAGGGTTGGAGATACCTGATCTGTCCTTGTCATTGCACTCGTCCTGCTGAATGGGATAACCCTGAGATGCTCTTCTCTCTCACTGTACATGCTGGGGCCAAGGCTGCAAGGGAGGATTCTGAGCAGAGTCATCTCATCATACCCATGATCCGTGTGTGTGTGTGTATGTGTGTGTGTGTTCACTCCACTATAATGCACTTCACAGCTATAAGACTAATGTCATTTAGAATACTGCTTATCTAACTTAGTGAGCATATGGTTCACTCATAGATCTTGTTAATATTCTTAGTCAAGAGTCTTGGTTGGGGCTCAAGATTTTTCACTGGTAACCAGCCCCTGGAAGACATCCATAGTGCTGGGCCACAGACCATGCTCCAAAGAGCAAGAATGCAGAGCATTTAAGAGCTGATAAACAAATATTATTTTATAGGCCAGGCACAGTGGCACATGCCTGTAATCCCAGCACTTTGAGAGGCAGAAGTGGGTGGATCACTTGAGATCAAGAGTTTAAGACCAGCCTGGCCAATGTGGCAAAACCCCACTAAAAAACTCTACTAAAAATACAAAAAAAAATTAGCCAGGCGTGGTAGCGAGTGACTGTAATGCCAGCTACTCAGGAGGCTGAGGCGGAAGAATTGCTTGAACCTGGGAGGCGGAGGTTGCAATGAGCCGAGATTACACCACTGCACTGCAGCCTGGGCGACAGGGTGAGACTGTCTCAAAAAAGAAAAAAAAATTCTTATTTTACACACACACATGCACACACAGACACACACAATGCTGTATTTAATTGTACGATACTTTTTTTCTTTTTTTACATTTCAACACATGTGCAAGTGAGATGCATCTTACAAATGATGATGATTTATGCTTGCCGTTGACGGGAAACAGCCGTGACACAGTTGGCATTGCCTGTGTTTGGGTAGACTCGGCCCCAGTTGCTACACCGATGTGGCTTCAGTTGAGTCATGTATGTTGTTGCTAACTATATGGTTGAGTTTAATTGATGTTTAAATTATCTCCAAAATTTACATATTTTTGGCATTTAAAGTAAAAATTATTAAATACACAAAAAGGCATGAAAACAGAGTGGCAGGGTATAAAATGTGTTATCAGTGGAGCAAATACTGCTCTTTGTCAGAATAACCACATTCTCTATTTCCTTGCAAAGTGACCATCGAAGGCTTAATGGTAGATTGTAACATTTGTTGAAAACATTCACTGCCCCTCTGTACTGGATCCCTCCCTCCAGGGCCTGTCCTTTGTGCATTGCATGTGAGAGGAGCATACTTCACATCCTGATAATGTTGTGCCTGACCATGTGATTTCTTTGGCAAAGAACATGAGCAGAGTGATATATGTTTCTTCTGGGCAGAGGCCTTAGGAGCCATCACACTCTTCTGCAGTTCCTCTTGGCCTTCTGCCATGAGGATGGCATGTCCCCAGTAGGGGCTGTTCTTTTATTCTGGACTGCAGGACTTACGAAGCAGAACCACAGCCAATATACTTGTTGCAATATACTTGTTGCTGTAAATCCCTGGGATTTGGATGGTGTTTGTTGCCACAGCATAACTTACCAAACCCAAGAAAAGAAGTAGGTGGACACAAATGACTACTGAGATGTGTGGAGAAGAATTGCCTAGCACACAACCACCAATGCTGCTGAAGGCAGGAGAAATTGCCAGATCCACACAGCAGGATAAAGACATTTAAACTAAGGAGAGACTGGTGTGATCGATTCATGCATCTGGTACACAGGCTGTCATGGAGGGATCCTGCTATACCTTAATTCACACATTTTTTCTCAGTCATTTGAAAAATGAAAATCTGCCTTACAATTGGTGATGTCTTAGAATCTATGCAACGTTGTAATTGGCTCCACGTTGAAGTTCCATGTTTTATTGGAGAAGATCCTATCCCGTTTCACATGCCAAATTATTTGTGCCCATTTTTCAAGCATGTTGATTTAAATCTGTCGAAGGATCTGCGCACGTCAAGGCAGCTTAATGAAGAAAATGACTCTGTATGTATATCCTTCAAATAAAGATTAAATTGTGCCAGGTTTAAAGCAAAAGTCAAACTGTTCCTGCAGAGGAAGATCTAAAGCTTCCTCTGGTCACCTTGCTTTTGAAGTCATTACTTAGTATCAAATGCCTGGCAGATTTGATGCTTTGTATCAAATACCTTTCCCAGGCTCCTGGGTTGATGCCCGTTTTCCTCCTTTGGATGGTAATTCTTTCAAAGCTGGATAAGTTACTTGGGGGTAGGCATGGGAATGGTGTCTACTAGCTCATTTTTGTTGTATTTGCTTTAGAGGTTGTTAAGTAGGAGGAGACAGGTATTATCTTTGTGAAACCATGATACAAACAAGAAAATGGAGACTCATGGCTCATAGGCATGTGTATAAATGCATACATTGTCCTTGCATAGCCCCTGTTTTTGTGGTGGGGAGGCAAAAATTAGAGACCATTCTTCTATTTTTGTTTTTCACTTAATTTTATCTCTGTGTCATGAAGAAAATTTACATAGAAAATTTATTCTAGTTTTAGAATAAAAACATTTTCATATTTCACTTACAACCTCCACTCTGTATTCTTTTCTAAAATACCCCATCTTGTAGCTTCTAATGAGTTTACTGTTGTTCGGCTGAAATCAACCCACATGCTCTACAAGATGCCACATTTCTCTCTGAGATGAAAGGCAAGACAAATAGACCCATAATTATATTTTCTTGTTTCTTTGTGGCTATCTGCTCCTTTTTTATTTTATTTTTTTTAAGAGACAAAGATCTTAGTAGAAATGCTTCTACTCTCACATACCTGTTGGAAATTCTTTAAATTCTAGGAATTAGCTCTCACGGGTTTTTAGGTCAGAGATAAAGATTGCCCAGAGGTGGTGAGTGACAGCAAAATAACTGGATGCTAGCAAGGATTACCCGGTGGCTGGGAGCTGTATTAGCCATGCACAGCAGAAGCAATGGATAGAGACCATCCGTGCAGCCCCAGCTTGACTTGGGCAAGTCAATACAGTCAGTCATCCTTAAGCTGCTTATCGGGTGGAAAGTCAAAGGAAGTTCAGAATATCAACTGGTGTGTTTGGACAGTGCAAATAGCCAATTTAGATTAGGCAGGCAGAGAACTCGAATTTAAGCCTGCAAATTTGGATTGAACACACATATACCTTTCTATGTGTGATCCTTCAACAAGAAATCATTAAGCTCTCTGGTCTCTCTCCATTTATCTGTACTGTGAAGGGGCTGAATGAGGTGATATCTGAGTTCTCTTTGAATGCTGAACACCCCATGATTCTGGCACAACCTCACTTTGTGCGGCTGTTGACAGCCCAGCAGGCTCACCATGCATCCAGCATTGCAAAATCGCCTGGATTGTGCCACATTGAGCTTGAGAGTGTGCAGAAAGCATCTGCCCCTCAGACGCTGTTGGTCAAATTGCTGTCATTCTGCAAAGTCTAATTCAAAGTGCCACACAATTGCCAGACACCCTGGACAAGAACTTCATCTTTAAAAACATGTGCTGTATGTGGCAGAAGTTTGCCCTTGCTTGGGCAACATTCACTCAAGTGCAGACACTCTCTGGGGTCCTCTTTTTCAGAGTTGATTGTTTTTAAGGAGTTCTGACAGTGTTTCTTGCAAAGTTGCTGGAAAGGAGTAGCCCATGGTTGCTTAGCACGCAGATGTTAGGTCCTTAATTGTTTGGGAAGACAGTCAAGAAATAAATTACCAGGTTCTGATATTTCCAAAGTGTCACTGCCACTTGGCTAGTGAGCTTGCAGGGGATTGATTAGAGAGATCAGCAAACATTTGCAGCCATGTGTTACCAGGCATTTCAGTCTTCCAAAGGGAAGAGTTCTTCTGTAGGACCACTTGTATCTTGTATTTCCATCAGACTGAAAAAAGAATAATGTGATTACTAATATACTTTTGCAATACCTGGTTTTTGATAATAAGTACAAAGAAAAAATGGAGACACATTTTTAAACACCATATTAGATGGAATGAGTTCAATTTTACCTGTCTTTTTCATGATGTTTTCTTTTAAGCTTTTGGGTGCTATAATTTGCAAAGCAAATTTTCTCTTACATGTTTATGCCTGTCAAGATGATAAATTTCTCAATACTACAATTGGTGAGAAGCTGATACATACTTCCTAATGCTGTTTTGCTTCCTGACTTCACCCCACAGCCATTTGTTGACTGTCTATGATGTGCTAGTCACCTGGCTAGGTGATGGGAATGCATGGCGCAACATCTCTGTCTCTTTGGTGTTCACTGAGGTCAAGTGGAGAAACTTGGGCCAAAACATATAGTTGAGGGAAATGCAGTGAGTCCACTGAAGTTCTGTCCAAATAGACCACTTAGATGGAATCACCAAGAAAGTGCAGGATTCATTTAGAGAAAGATTCCTGGGAGAGGGGAAAATATTTACAAAGCATAAGAGGAGAAGAATGATGTGGCTTATGCAGAGAAAGTATGTTTCAGCTACAACAAAAAATGTGGGGAAGAATGGAAGGTGGGACTGAAGAGCAAGGTTGGGGGCAGCTCATAGAAGGCTACATTGCTCAGTAAAGGAGGTTATTTCTCCTTAATTTTATCTTATTTCACAAACAGTCCTTCTAATTTTTAACAATTTTAATGCTTTCCCCTCAAATCTCCTAGGGCTGTGGGTCTCAACTTCTGCTGCATATTCGAGTCATTTGAAGAGTTTATGGAATCTCGATGCTCAGCTACATCCTATACTAATTAAATCAATTCATTGAAATACAGGTGTCAGCACTTTTAAACTTTTTAGTTCCTAGGTGTTTAGAATACTCAGCCCACGTTGAGAACCGTGTTATTGTACGTGCTATTTCAGGAAGGTAAGAAAGGTAAATTCTAGGCACCACTTACTCACCTTTGAAATTCACATCCCTTCCATACTGTGATGGGACTTAGTTACTTTGTGTACCAAAGTTTACAGCATCTATATCAAAGTCACACATGAATTCATAGACAGTTAGAGGTAAAATATGCTGTGAAGGAACTTTCATATGGGTCTTTGTCAAATACTCCTAAACATCTTTCCTAGGAAATATGCTCTCAGAGACAGCAAACAAGCATGACAATCTTAGCCATTGTCTAGTTTAATAGGTCACCACTGTCCTCCCTCAACTCAGGGCCTGGAACCCCAAATTGTCACCTCCTTCACCTTTTCCTAATGACATCCTGCCCAGTCGTGTATGAGTAAGTGTTTCTATTCTGCTTCTAGAAACTAGATTATGTATGTGTAACATATGTGACTGAAGTCAAGTCACTGATTTTAAATAAGCAAAGGAAAATTAGGACAGTTCTCTGCAGAGCAGCAGGGGTCATGGATTGCTAAAACTTTTTTGTTTACTTTTTGGCTCTGCTTCATTACTTTGTATATTTTCAGTGGTCATATAACTTTGGAGGGTGGGTTTGGGAACAACCAAAACTAGATTTCCAGAGCCAAGTCTAGCATATGAGATGATGTGTAACTTTTGAAACCTAATATGGCAGAGAGTGATGGGTGTGGGAGGTTGTTAGTTCAGGGTTTGAGTCCTCAGTCTGCCCACTACGCTGTGTGCCCAGGTCTCTGAACCTCCTGCCCTGTCTTTAGATGGAGACTTTAACCTCCTTGGGCTGGTAAGATAAATAAATGTGATGGTTTATAGGGAATGTTAAACATAGTCTCTGGGACCCTAAAATGTCAGTGTCCTCAAGAAGGAATAAAATTGTATAAATGGCATCAATGCTATCAGAGTTGAGATTTTTGAAAAATGTTTCAGCTTCAATTCAAACATACTCATATTTATTGAACAGCTATCAAATCTCCACAAAGATAAAGGAAGAGAGACCCTACCCCCAAGTGTCTTAAGATAATCACTGTTAATTTTTGGCTAATGCCCACACTGCAGAATACATAATACAATCATTAAAGATAATGCTTTAGAGCCTTGGAAGATGGCTTGGCAGGACTTCCCCCAGATGTTATTGTGTGATAAAAGCAAAATTTACAAAAGGCACTTGAAATGATTGATTCTATTTTTGTAAAACCGTGACAAAAACCTCCCCTGAAGATGCATATTTACACAATGAGTATCTGCCTACATAGGTGTGTGTAGGCTCATTTGAGTAAATAGAAGCATATGGAAGGATACACATAGCAACAAATGGCAACAGAACTCACCTGGCTGTGGGGAGATGAGAGAGTGGGGAGCTGTAGCCATGGTGAAAAGGGCATGTAAGATAAGGTTTCATTCCAGTAAAATTATATGTCTATGTCTTTATGAAGAGATGCATTCCTCTTTTTTGCTGAAAAATATATAGCCCCTTTAATTTAACATGGGATACTGTTCTGGGTTGAATTGTGTCTCCCCAAAAATGATATGTTGAAGTCCTAACCCCCAGGATCTCAGAGTAGGATGTTATTTATAAACAGTCTTCCTGCACATGTAATTAGTTAAGTTGAGATGAGGTCATACTAGAGTAGGGTGGACCCCTAATCTAATCTGAACAGTGTCCTTATATGAAGATGGCCATGCAAAGACAGAGACACACAGGGCTTCGAGTGATGCTGCCACCAGCCAGGGAAACCCAAGGATTGGTGGCAGCCACTGATGCTGGGAAGATGCAAGGAAGGATCCTCCTCTGGAGCTTCTGAGGGAGCGGGGCCCTGCGGACACCCTGATTTTGGACTTTCAGCCTCCAGGACTGAGAGGCAATACATTTCTTTTGTGAGCTCTGAACCTTTTTACTCTGGCCTGCTTTTCAGGGGCAGGCTGGCGGTTTGACGATGAGACCTTTTCATGATTCTTATGCATAAGGTTGAAACCCTGTGCTATCCTCCCAGGCTGTCTGTTCTTTTTCCTTTGCCTACATTGAATGTTCTCTGCCAGTGTGCTGGGCACACTCTCAGGCCTCATGCCAGCTGCTGGGGATAGCACACATGAGCAGGTACTTGAGAAGTATTTTCTGGCATATGGACCTCAGGGAGACCCAGCAGTTGTGGTGAGTCCTGGATGTATGAGAGCCCAAGGGCTCTCAGTAGTGTCCTCTGTGGACAGACCTTGGCCTGGTCCCAGCCTGGGGATTTGGGGGATTTTCCCTCTCCACAGGACACCCCAGAGACAGAAGAAAGACTCCTGCTAGCCTGGTTAGATAGATATTCCAAATCAAAATTATATTCAATTATAGAGCATTAAGAGCTAATGTTCATAGTAAACCCTTACATGGCATGCAATGGTCAGTACCATCCTGTGTTCTTTAAGTTTATTAACTTATTTAAACTTCACATCCTGATGCCCTAGGTAGTGTTCTCATACTTATTTTACTGTGGAAAACTGAAGCACAGAGAGGTTAAGTCATTTGTCCAAGGTCATACAGCCAGGAAGAGATGCAGCTGGGATGTGAATCCAGGTAGCGCAGCTCTGGAGACTGGGCTCCTAACCAGGACCTTCAAGACCTCTGGACACTCCAGTGCTGAGCAACTCCCTGTCTTGAATGCTTCACTCATCAACCCATTAACTGTGCACAAGTTCTTCCAAGATATGAGCATGTATAATAAGATTTGTCTTGGCTACACATATTTTAAACAATATTTTGGCTTTTCTGTTATAATAAAAAAATAGTTTTGGTGTTCACATTTTAAAGCACTAGAAATAACCAAGAGAAAAGAAAGAAAGATTGAAATATTCTTATTCCATTAAAAAAGCACAAAATTCTTTTACTCTAAAGGAAATCAGTATGAAAATTTTATTTAATAATTTACAATGTTGTAATCAAAAGAAGAGGATATGGGCTTGAGAAACTGGGCTTACACTCAAGGAAGGACGTCCCAGCAGGTCCAAAGGTGTTTAAGTAGAACCCCAGCTCCCAGGGCCCAGCACGGATGCACATATTCTTGAAGCCATCTGGTTCTGCAGGGAGGAGTCTCTGGATGGGGCCTTCTCCAGGCCAGCCTTGCAATTGCATCAGCTAAGCTGACCAGATGCTGTTAGGAGCTTCTCCCATTTCAAGGGCCAGCTCAGCCTGTTGATGTTACTGCCTTTCTTAATAGCTAAGGAGTTTAAGTAGAATCGTTGAGATTATCTTTGCAGATGCCTGAGTGAGATGATTTAAGTATATGAGGAGAGAGACAATGTTGTAATGATTCTTTTAGGTAAAGGGGAACTAGGCTATGCAAGCATTTAAATGGCTGGATTTAAAAGTTAATGAAGTATTCAAAAGCCAATAGAGTAAGGCAAGGAGAAGGCAACGGGGCTGCAGAGATTTGATGAAGACAGGAGACACGCCCCTTCTGCAGCCATGGGGAGGCAAGGACAGCGATGTCTGCAAACCACACAAATGCCTGCTATTTGTCAACTTCAGCAACACCCACTAAAGAGCCAGGACTTTGACCTCCCTCTAGCTCGTGGGTTTCTGTCCTCCCTAGCTATCCTCATTCTGAGAGGTTTTCCTGGGTTTTACTGAAGCTTGTAAAATGTTAGTCCTTTTGCTCCATTGGTTTTCAGATAAGAATCACTCCCTCTTTCCCCCAAAGAATGCTTTTTATAAGTAGATTTTTTTTTTCCACTGGACAAGGCAACATTTAGTCCCTTTAGAAAGAAAAGAAAAGATGTATTGCCTTTAAAAGTGTTTTTAAGCTACAGATGAGGTAGGTTGAAATTCTTGCATGCACGACTCTTAGTTTGTGGTTAATGCGCCCATCAGTGATGTAAAGACAAGGTCCCTGCAGCTGGAGACCATGCAGTGCTGGAGTCAGAGTTCTAAAACAATGCCTGGCTTGGTGCAAAGGGGTCTTGCTTTGACTTGCCCTGAGGCACAAATGTTCAGACCAGTTCCAGCAAGTCAGGGCTTAATATGTGGGTGGGACCCCCCCAGCCCCGCCCCGCCCCACCCATCAGGATGCCCACCCAGGGGAAATCAGCTTGGTAAGGGCATCAGGTTTTGAAGGGGAAAAGGCAGAGTGGAGTTCATCAGTAAACTGGATACTGTGGCTTTAAAAGTAGAGTGCTCACTTCAAAATCTTCCAGAAACCTGCAAATCCCAGCACAGTGAACCTTGGGAAAAGAGGACTATGAGATCCTGTAACTTGTAGGAATTGGCCTCTCTTTCATCTCCAAAGACCTTCATTGGTCAGAAGTCCCCAACAAGTATTTGCCAGGCCTGCCCTGTGCATGGACTGCTGGAGGGGCCTGAGTAAGAGAGGCAAGCCCTTGTCTCCATGGAGCTTCCACTGTAATGTTCAAGTGAGAAGGAATAGCACATCAAGATATATTCACAAATGACTCATTTATTCCACAAATATTTATTGAGGACCCGCTTGAGCCAGATGCTATTCTATGTGCTTGAGAAACATCAGTGTAAAAAACCAGAAAGACATCTATCCCCATTTTAATGGGGAAGAAAGACCAGACAATAAATGTAATGAGTCAATGGAATAGTAGGGGTAAAGGTGAGAAGGCTCCAAACACAAGGACAAGTCAGAGCAGGGTGAGGATAGGCAGGGATGATGGATGGAGAGGCTGCAGGTTCAAATGGCACATGCAGGGGGCCTTGCTGAGAAGGGCATTATTCAAGTTCCTTGAAGTAGGCAGAGTGAGCATGTGGGCATCTGGGAGAAGCAGATCCCAGGCAGAGGGAGTATTCTAGGGTCCAAGCACTGGAGCAGAGTGTGTCTGTTGTCTTTTGGGAACACAGGGAGGACAGTGTTGTCAGAGTGGTTTACACATACAGCAGAGTGGGGAATTTAAGTCAGTGAGGAAAAGGGGACAGATCTCTGGAGGCCTCCTGGGCAGGGACTGTGCCTTTTACTCAGTGGAGAAGTGGTGTGGTCTAGTGTGAAGAAATAGCTTGTCTCAGTTACAGATTAGGAGAGTCGCTTGGGTTGCTGTGTTGCAATCAGACCCCAGCACACAAGGGCAGAAGCAGCTCTGGAGGCCATTGCAGCAGTCCAGGTGAGACATGGTGCTGGGGACAAATGTGGGAGCAGTGGAGGCTGTGAGATGTCGGAGCCAGCAGGATTTGAATGCAGGGTGTGAATGAGAGGAGCCAAGGATGATTCTAACATTTTCAGACTGCAGGACAGGAAGGATCAAGTTGCCACCAAATGAGAGCAAAAAGTCTGCAGGTAAAGTTCAACTTTAAAAATTGTGTTGTTACCCAAGTGGAGATATTGAGTAAGCAAGTGGATACACAAAACAATTTGGACTGAAAATATGAATCAGGGTCATGGTACATGGATCATTTGATGGTTAGTTTTATGTGTCAACTTGGCTAGGCTATAGGATATATATCCTACATAAAATATATTACGCATTAAGAGATTTACTTTAAGAAATTGGCTCACACAATTGTGGGAGCTGGCAAGTTTGAAATGCATAGGCAAGCTGGTGGACTAGAAACTCAGGAGGGAGTTGATGCTGCAGTCTTGAAGCAGAATTCATTGTTTTCTGGGAAACCTCAGTTTTCGCTCTTAAGACCTGCAACTACTTGCATGAGGCCTATTCCTCACAGAGTTGAGGGTATTCTTTTTAACTTGAAGTTAACAAGATTATAGATGTTAACCACATTTACAAAAATACCTAGATTAGTGTTTGATTAAATAACTGTACTATAACCTAACATGAACGCACATGTGCGTGCATGCGCGCGCGCGCGCACACACACACACACACATTCTGTTAGTTCCATTTGTCTGGAGAATCTTGACTGGTACAGATAGAATTGAAGCTATGAATTTGGTTGAATTTACCAAAAGAGTATAATCATTACGGAAGAAGGAAGAGCCCCTTCTCCTGACTTCTTAATGTTGATGCAGAAAGACGTGGAGATGGAGAAGAAGCAACAAGTGAGGTAGCCAGGACACTTATAGAATTAGCAATGTCCATTAGTGGGTAGGGGGTCCCAGCTCTGTCAAATGCAGCTGATGACCAGTTAGCCAAAGGAATCTGAATCAGAATTGACCTCTGGATTTTGTGACACAAAGGTCCTGTGTAACTGTAGTAGGGAACCTTTCAGTGCAGTGGAGGGCTGGTGATGGAACATGAGGAAAATGAGTTCAGGAAATAATTCCAGAAGAGAAGTTAAGCAAAGAAGAGTCCAGCAAAGAAATCTCTTCCCAGGAGAATTGCTGTACAGGGGCAGAGAGCTGCAGGTCAGGTAACTGTCAGAGTGGGAGGGGGTGATGTTCTTTTCCATGAGATGAGATGATTAACAGCAGTCTTCTATGTCAAAGGAAATGATCTTGTAGAAAGGGGGAAAACTGATGGTGCAGGAGAGAAAAGGGGCCGTGCTGGACAATGTCTTTGAACAGGTCACAGGGTATGTGGCACACAGAAAGATTGGCCTTTCACAGAAAAGTGGGTTCATCTCTAGCAGTGTTTGTTGAATTGTTAAACTCTAGTGTGCATCAGAAGTCAGCTGAGGGTAAGTACAGGCATATCTCATTTTATTGTGCTTCTCTTTACTGCACTTTGCAGGTAATGGGTTATTTACAAATTGAAGATTTGCGACAGCCTTGCATCCAACAAGACTATCTATGCTGTTTCCCAGCAATATATACTCACTTCAGGTCTCTGTGTAACATTTTGGTAACTCTTGCAATGTTTCAGACTTTTTCATTATTATTATATCTGTTATGATGATCTGTGATCAGTGAGTGATCTTTGATGTTACTATCATAATTGTTTGGAAGCATCACAAACTGCATGCATATAAGACATCAAATGTAAGCAATAAATGTGTGTGTTCTGATTTCTCCACTGACCAGCTGTTTCCCCATCTCTCTTCCTCTCCTCTTGCCTCCCTATTACATGATACAGAATAATATTGAAAATAGGCCAGTTAATAGCCCTAAGTGTTCAAGTGACAGGAAGAGTTGACATCTCTCACTGTAAAGCAAAAGCTAGAAATGGTTAAACTTGGTGAGGAAGTGTGTTATTCTGTTTTTGTTGCTATAAAGGAATACCTGACACTGAGTAATTTATAACGATGAGATTTAATTGGTTCACAGTTTTGCAGGTTGTATAGGAAGCATGACACTGGCATGTACTCCCCTTCTGGTGAGGTCTCAGGAAGCTTTTACTCACGGTGGAAGGCTAAGCAGGAGCAGGCATGTCACATGACAAGAGATGGAGCAAGGGAGAGAGGAAGGAGGTCCAGACTCTTTTAAACAATTGGATCTCACATGAACTTGTAGTGAGAACTAAATCATTACTGCGAGGACGGCACCAAGCCATTCATGAGAGATATGCCACCATGGCCCAAACACCTCTCACCAGGTCCCATCTCCAACACTGCAGGTCACATTTCAACATGATATTTGCAGGGGAAAAAACATCCAAACCATCTCAGGAAGGCATGTTGAAAGCCAAAACAGGCTGAAAGCTAAGTCTCTTGTGCCAAACAGCCAAGCTGTGAATGCGAAGGAAGATTTCTTGGAGGACATTAAAAGTGCCACTCCCGTGAACACACGAATGATAAGAAAGCAAAAGGGCCTTATTGCTGACATGGAGAAAGTTTTAGCAGTCTGGCTAGAAGATCAAATCAGCAACAACAGCCCCTTAAGCCAAAGCCTAATCCAGAGCAAGGCCCTAACTTTCTTTTGAGAGAGGTGAGAAAACTACAGGAGAAAAGTTGGAAGCTAGAAGAGGTTGATTCATGAGGCTTGAGGAAGTAAGCCATCTCCATAACATAAAAGTGCAAGGTGAGGCAGCAAGTGCTGGCATAGAAGGTGCAGAAAGTTATCTAGAAGATTTAGCTAAGACAAGTTATGAATGTCACTGAACTAAATAATCGATTGTCAATGTAGACAAAACAACCTTGTATTGGAAGAAGATGCCATCTAGGACTTTCCAAGCTAGAGAGAAGACAATTCCTGGCTTCAAAGCTTTGGGAGACAGATTGATTATCTTGTTAGGGGCTAATGCAGCTGGTAACTTTAAGTTGAAGCCAGGGCTCATTTACCATTTTGAAATCCTAGGGCCCTTAACAATTATGCTAAATCTACTCTGCCTGCTCTGTAAATGAAACAACAAAGCCTGAATGACAGCACATCTGTTTACAACATGGTTTATTGAATATTTTAAGCCCACCATCGAGATCTACTGTTTAGGAAAAAAAGAAACTTTTTTCAGAATATTACTACTCACCAGCAAAACACCTGGCCTCCCGCCGGGCGTGGTGGCTCACGCCTGTAATCCCAGCACTTTGGGAGGCCGAGGCAGGTGGATCATGAGGTCAGGAGATCGAAACCATCCTGGCTAACAAGGTGAAACCCTGTCTCTACTAAAAATACAAAAAATTAGCCGGGCGCGGTGGCGGGCGCCTGTAGTCCCAGCTACTCAGGAGGCTGAGGCAGGAGAATGGCGTGAACCCGGGAAGCGGAGCTTGCAGTGAGCCGAGATTGCGCCACTGCAGTCCGCAGTCCGGCCTGGGCGACAGAGCAAGACTCCGTCTCAAAAAAAAAAAAAACACCTGGCCTCCCAAAAGCTCTGATGGAGATGTGGAGATGTACAAGGAGACTAATGTCTTCATGCCTGCTAACACAGCATCAATCTGCAGCCCATGGATCAAAGGGTAATTTTGACTTTCAAGTCTTATTATTTAAGAAATGTTTTCATAAGGCTATAGCTGCTATAGATAGTGATTACTGTGATGGATCTGGGCAAAGCAAATTCGAAGCCTTCTGGAAAGGATTCACCCATCTAGATGTCATTAAGAACACTTGTGATTCATGGAAAGAGGTTAAAGTATCAACATTAACTGGAGTTTTGAAGTTGATTCCAAAACTCATGGATGACTTTGAGGGATTCAAGGCTTCAGCGAAGGAAGTAATGGCAGATATGGTGAAAATAGTGGGAGAACTGGAATTCGAAGTGGAGCCCGAAGATGCGACTGAATTGCTTCAATGTCATGATCAAACTTTAGCAGTTGAGGAGCTGCTTCTTACGAATGAGCACAGAAAGTGGTCTCTTGAGAGGGAATCTACTCCTGGCAAAGATGCTGTGACTATTATTGAAACAACCACAAAAGACTTAGAATATTGCATAAACTTATTTGATAAAGCAGTAGCAGGGTTTGAGGGGATTGATTCCAATTTTGAAAGAGGTTCTCTGGGTAAAATGTTATCAAACAGTATTGCATGCTTCAGAGAAATCTTTCATGAAAGAGAGAGTCAATCGATGCAGCAAACTTCACTGTTGTCTCATTTTAAGAAATTTCCACAGCCAGCCCAGCCTTCAGCAACCACCCTCATGATCAATCAACAGCCATCAACATAGAAGCAAGACCCTTCACCAGCAAAAAGATTACAACTTGCTGAAGGCTCAGATGATCGTTAGCATTTTTTATCAAAAAAGTATTTTTAATTACTGTATGTACATTTTTTAAACATATGTTATTGCACACTTAATAGACTACATTATAGTGCAAACATAATTTCTATATGCACTTGGAAAGCAGAAAATTCATATGACTCACTTTATTGGGACATTTGTTTTATTGTGGTGGTCTGGAACTGAACCTGCAATATCTCCAAGGAATGCCTGTAGATGGAAGGCAGAATGTGTCAACATAGACGACTGTAAGAAGGAAAATGTGGTGTGGGGAGTCTGGCCATCTTCCTCTGAGTGCTTCCACTTTCCACGTCAAGCAGGAAGCCACGTCATTAAGCTGAAAGTCAGGTGAAATAGTCATCTAGGAGGAATGGGAAAGTGAGTAAAACAGGGCTTCATGGGTGGTTGTGCCTGACCTCACTAAAGGCCCACTTGAATCTCCTCATGAATTTAAGAGGTGATTAGGAGAGGAGGCAGGAGAAGATGGGTGAATGGAAGCCTCCACTGATCATCCTCCCTGCAGAAACACCAAATTACTCTGGATAGAAACAACTGTCCACACAAAAAAGCACCTTCATAAAAACCAAAAGTCACAGGAGCGATCACACTACCTCTTTTTAATTTCACGTCACTGAAGGAGGCACTGAAGAGGGTAGGAAAGACAGTTTTGAATTGCTGACACCATCCCTCCCCTATTACCTGGCAGTGGGCATGTGGCATGGAGAGAGAATCCATGCACTTGGGGGAGGGAGAGTGCAGTGACTACAGGACTTTGCATTGGAACACAGTGCTGCCCTGTCACAGTGGAAAGCAAAACTGGGCAGAACTCAGCCTGTGTCCACAGAGGGAGCAGTTAGACCAGCCCTAGCCAGAGGGGAATCACCTATCCCAGTGGTGAGAACCCGAGTTCCAACAAGCCTTGCCACCATGGGCTAAAGTGTTCTGGGGTTCTGAATCAACCTGAAAGGCAGTCTGGGTCACCAGAACTGCAAATCCTGGGCAAGTCCAGGGCTCACAGTCAGTGGACTTGGGAAGCATGCAACCTAGGGAGACACCAGCTGGGGCAGCCAAGGGAGCGCTTGTGCCACCCCTCCCTACCCCAACTCCAGGCAGCTCAGCTCAAACCTCTGGGAGAGATTCCTTTTTATTTATTTTTTTCTTGAGGTGAGGAGAGGGGAGAGTAAAGAGGACTTTGTCTTGCAACTTGGATATCAGCTCAGCCACAGTAGGATGGGGCACCCAACAGAGTCCTGAGGCCCCCATTCCAGGCCCTGGCTTCTGGGCAAAATTTCTAGATATACCCTGGGCCAGAAGGGAACCCACTGCCTTGAAGGGAAGAACCCAGTCCTGGCAGGATTCATCACCTGCTGACTAGAGAGAGAGAGCCCTTGAGCCCTGAATAATCAACAGCAGCCCCCAGACAGTACTCACTGTGGGCCCTGGGTGAGACTCAGAAACATCCTGGCTTCAGATATGACTCAGCACATTTCCAGCTGTGATGTCTATGGAAGAGACTCCTGCTTGAAAAAGGAGAGTGAAGAGTAATGGAGACATTGTCTTGCACCTCAGGTACCACCAGCTCAGCCACAGTGGGATGGAGCACCAAGTAGGATCTCAGGGTCCCCAGTTCCAGAAGTTGGCTCTCAGACAGCATTTCTGGACTGCCCTGGGCCAGCAAGGAGCCCACTGTCCTGAAGGAAGAGTCCCAGGCCTGACAGCATTCACCACAAGCTGACTAAAGAGCCCTTAGCCTTGAGTGAACATTGGCAGTAGCCAGGCAATATTCACCACAGGCCTGGGATGGCGGTGGACACAGGGAGAGTCCTTTGTGTGCAGAAAGGGGAGGGCAGGAGTGGGAAAGACTTTGTCTTTTGGTTTAGGTGCCAGCTCAGCCATGGTAGAACAGAGTACTGAGTAGATTCCTAAGGTTTCTGACTCCAGGCCCTGGCTCCTGAATGACATCTCTGGACCTGCCTGAGACTGAGGTGATCTTGCCACCCTAAAGGGAAGGACAGAAGCCTAAGCTTGCTTTTGCAGCTGCTGATTGTAGAGCCCTAGGGCCTTGAGTGAATATTGGTGGTAGCTGGGCAGTGGTTACACCAGTCCTAGGTGAGACCAAGCACTGTGGTGGCCTCAGGTCTGACCCAGCACACTCCCACTGGTGGTGGCCACAGAGGTGCCTGTGTCACCTTTCCCAGCTTCAGGCAGCTCAGCACAGAGAGAGACTTTGTCTGGTGGAAGTTAGGGAAAAGAACAAGAGTCTCCGCCTGGTAATCCAGAGAATTATTCTGGATCTTATCCAAGACCACAAAGGCAGTACCTCTATGAGTCTGCAAGAACCACAACGTTATTAGGCTTGGGGTGCCCCCTAATGCAGATATGGCTACATGACCAAAAGCTTAGATCATAACACCCAAGTGCCTTCAAATCTCTGGAAAGCCTTCCCAAGAACAATGAGTACAAACAAATGCGGGTTGTCAGGACTACAATAAATGCCAAGCTCTTGAATGCCCAGACATTGACAAACATCCACAAACATCAAGACCTTCCAGGAAAACGTGATCTCACTAAACGAACTTAATAAGGTTATCAGTGATCAATCATGGAGAAACAGATTATGTGATCTTTCAGACAGAGAATTCAAAATAGCTGTTTTGAGGAAACTCAATGGAACTCAAGATAACACAGCAGAGGAATTCAGAATTCCATCGGATAAACCTAACAAAGAGACTGAAATAATTACAAAGAATCAAGCAGAAATTCTGGAGTTGAAAATTGCAATTGACATCCGAAGGATGCCTGAGTCTCTTAACAGTAGACTTGATCAAATGGAAGAAACAATTAGGTGAACTTGAAGACAGGCTATTTGAAAATACACAGTCAGAGAAGACAAAAGAAAGCAGAGTAAGAAAGAATGCAGCATGCCTGAAAGATTTAGAAAATAACCTCCAAAGGCAAATCTAGGAGTTAGTGGTCTTAAAGAGGAGGTGGAAAAAGAGATAGGGGTAGAAAGTTTTGTTCAACAGGGTAATAACAGAAAATTTTGCAAATGTACAGAAATATATCAACATTCAAGTACAAGAAGGCTATAGAACATCAAGCAGATTTAACCCAAAGAAGACTACATCAAGACATTTAATTAGCAAGCACTCAAAAGTCAAGGGTAAAGAAAGTATCCTAAAGCAGCAGGAGAAAATAAATAACATTTAATACAGCTCTAATACATTTGGCAGCCGACTTTCTAGTGGAAATCATACAAGCCAGGAGAGAGTGGCATGACATATTTAAAGTGCTGAAGGAAAAATCTTATATCCTAGAATAATATATCCAGTGAAAATATTCTTCAAGCATGAAAGAGAAAGAAAGACTTTCCCAGACAGATAAAAGCTGAGGGATTTCATCAACACCAGACCTGTCCTGTGAGAAATGCCAAAGGGAGTTCTTCAGTCTGAAAGAAAAGGATGTTAATGAGCAATAAGAAATCATCTGAAGGTACAAAACTCACTGCTATTAGTAAATACACAGAAAAACACAGAATATTGTAACAGTGTAATTGTGGTGTGTAAACTACTCATATCTTAAATATAAAGACTACAAGATTAACCAATCAAAATAAATTGCTACAAACAGTTTTCAAGAAATAGACGTTACATACAGTAAGTGTAACTAGAACAAAAAAAAAGTTAAAAAGAGAGAGGATGAAGTTAAAGTGTAGCATTTTTATTACTTTTTGATTGTTTGCTTGTTTGTTTATGCAGTGTTGTTATTAGCTTAAAATAGTTGGTTCTAAGATAGTATTTGCAAGCCTCATGGTAACCTCAAATCAAAAAACATATGACAGATACACACAAAAAAAATGAAAATCAAGAAATTAAATCACACCACCAGACAAAGTCACCTTCACTAAAAAAAAGAAATGAAGGAAGGAAAGAAGGAAAAGAAGACCACAAGACAACCAGAAAAATAACAAAGTGGCAGGAGTATATTCTTACTTATCAATAATAACATTGGTACATGGTGACATTAGTAAATGGACTAAACTCTAATCAAAACGCAAAGAGTGGCTGAATGGATGAAAAACACAATACCCAATGCCCTACTGTCTACAAGGAAAACACTTCATCTATAAAGAACACATAGACTGAAAATAAAGGGATGGAAAAAGATATTCCATGCAAGTAGAAACCAAAAAAGAGCAGAAGTAGCTATACTTATATCAGACAAAATAGACTTTAAGACAAAAACTGTAAGAAGACACAAAGGATATCATATAACAATAAAGGGGTCAATCCATAAGAGTATATAACAATTTTAAATACATATGCACCCAACACTGGAACACCCAGCTATATAAAGCAAATATTATTAGAACTAAAGAGAGAGAGAGGCCCCAATACAATCATAGCTGGAGACTTCAACACCTGTCTTTTAGCATTAGATCTTCCAGACAAAATCAACAAAGAAACATTGGACTTAATCTACACTATAGACCAAATGAACCTAGTAGACATTTACCCAACATTTTATCCAACAGCTGCAGAATACACATCCTTCTCCTCAGCGCAAAGATCATTCTCAAGGATACACCACATATAAGGTCACAAAACAAGTCTTAAAACATTAAAAAAATTGAAATGATATCAAGCATCTTCTCTGACCACAATGACATAATGCTACAAATCAATAACAAGAGAAACTTTGGAAACTATACAAACACATGGAAATTAAACAATATGCTCCAGAATGGCCAGTGTGTCAATGAAGAAATTAAGAAGGAAATTGAAAAATGTCTTGAAGCAAATCATAATGGCAATATAACGTACCAAAACCTATGGGATATAGCAAAAACAGTACTAAGAGGGAAAATTTATAGCTGTAAGTGCCTACATCAGGAAAGAAGAAAAACTTCGAATAAACAACCTAATGGTGCATCTTAAAAACTAGAAAAGCAAGGGCAAATAGAACTCAAAATTAGTAGAATAAAAGAAATAATAAAGATCAGAGCAGAAATAAATGAAGTTGAAATAAATAGAACAATAAAAAAGATAAACAAAATTAAAAGTTGTTTTTTGAAGAGATAAACAAAATTGACAAACTTTTAGCCAGATGAAGAAAAAAAGAGAAGACCCAAATAAATAAAACCAGAGATGAAAAATGAGACATTACAACTGACACTTCAGAAATTCAAGTGATCATTAGAGGCTACTGTGAGCAACTATATGCCAATAAGTGGGAAAACCTAGAAACAGATACATTGCTGGACACATACAATCTACTAAGATTGTACCATGAAGAAATTCAAAACTTGAACAGACTAATAACAAATAACAAGATAGGAGCCATAATAAAAAGTCTCCCAGCAAAGAAAAGCCCTGGACCTGATGGTTTCACTGCAGAATATTAACAAACATTTAAATAATTCATACCAATACTACTCAGACTATTCTGAAAAAAGAGGAGGAAAGAATACTTTCAAACTCATTCTATAAGGCCACTTTTACCCTGATACCAAAACCAGATAAAAACACATCAGAAAAATAAACCTACAGACCAATATTCCCATGAAAATTGATGCAAAACCCTTAGCAAAATATTAGCAAATCAAATTCAACAACACATTAACAAGATAATTCATCATAATCAAGGATGATTTATCCCAGGGATGCAAGGATGGTTTAACATATGCAAATCAATCAGTGTGATACATCATATCAACAGAATGAAGAATAAAAACCACGTGATCATTTCAACTGATGCTGAAAAAACTTTGCCAAAATCTGGCAAAGATCTGGCAAAGATTGATTCACACTGGCAATCAATGTGATACATCATATCAACAGAATGAAGAATAAAAACCATGTGATCATTTCAACTGATGCTGAAAAAACAGTTTATAAAATTAAACATCCCTTCATGATAAATACCCTCAAAAATTGGATGTAGAAGAACATAACTCAACACACAATGCAAGCCATATACGACAAATGCACAGCTAGCTTCACACTGAATGGAGAAAAGCTGGAGGCCTTTCCTTTCTGATCTGCAACATGACAAGGATGCCCATTCTCACCACTGTTATTCCACATAGTACTAGAAGTCCTAATTAGAGCAATCAGACAAGAGAAAGAAAGAAAGGGAAACCAAATTGGAAAGGAAGAAGCCAAATTATCCTTGTTTGCAGATATTATTATATTTGGGAAAACCTAACGAGTCCACCAAAAAACTATTAGAACTGAGAAACCAATGCAGTAAAGTTGCAGGATACAAAAGTAACATACAAAAATGAGTACCTTTTCTATATGCCAACAGTGAACAATCCAAAAAAGAAATCAAGAAAGTAATCACATTTACAATAGCTACAAATGAAATTAAATACCTAGGAATTAATGTAATAAAATAAGTGAGATATTTCTATAATTGATGCAAGAAATTGAAGAGGACACACAAAAAGTGTAAAGATATTCCATTTTTACAGTTTGGAAGAATCAATATTGTTAAAATGTCCATACTAACCAAAGTAATCTATAGATTTAATGCCATCCCTATCAAAATACCAATGACATTTCTCAGAGAAATAGAAAAAACAATCCTAAAATTTATATGGAACCACAAAAGACCCAAAATAGCCAAATAGCCAGTTATCCTGAGCAAAAGGAGCAAAACTGGAAGAATTACTTCACTTGATTTCAAATTATTGCAGAGTTATAGTAACCAAGGCAGCATGGTACTGGCATAAAAACAGACACATAGACCAATTAAACAGAATAGAGAACCTGGAAACAAACCCATACATTTACAATGACCTCGTTTTGGACAAAGGTGCCAAGAACATACATTGGTGAAAGGATAATCTCTTCAATAAACATGTGGGAAAACTGAATATCCATCTGAAGAAGAACAATACTAGACCCCATCTTGCCATATAAAAAATCAAACTAAAATGGATTAAAGACTTAAATTTAATACCCAAACTATGAAATTACTACAATAAAACATTGGGGAAACTCTCCAGGACATTGGAGTTGGGGCACAGATTTCTTGAGTAAAACTCCACAAGCACAGGCAAACAAAGCAGAAATGGACAAAGGGGATCACATCAAGTTAAAAAGCTTCTGCACAGACAAGGAAAGAATCAAGAAACTGAAGAGATAATCCATAGAATGGGAGAAAATATTTGCAAACTATCCATCTGACAAGGGATTAGTAACCAGAATATACAAGGAGCTCAAACAACTCTATACAAAAAAAATCTAACAATCCAGTTCAAAAATGGGCAAAATATCCAAATAGATATTTCTCAAAAGAAGACATACAAGTGATAAACAGGTGTATGAAAAGGGGGTCAACATCGCTGACCATCAGAGAACTGCAAATCAAAACTATAATGAGATATTATCTTACTCCAGTTAAAATGGCTTATATCCAAAAGACAGGCAATAACAAATTCTGGCAAAGATGTGGAGAAAAGGAACCCTCATACATTGTTAGTGAGAATGTAAATTAGTACAACCATTATGGAGAACAGTTTGGAGGTTCTTCACTAGACTATAAATAGAACCTTTATATAATCCAGCAATCCCACTGCTAGGTATATACCCCAAAGAAATCAGTATATAAAAGAGATATCTGCACTTCCATGTTTATTGCAGCATTGTTCACAATAGCCAAGATTTGCAAGCAACCTGTTTCCATCAACAGATTAATAGATAAAGAAAACATGGTACATATGTGCAATGGTGTACTATTCAGCCATAAAAAAAGAATGAGATCCTGTCATTTGCAACAACATAAATGGAACTAGAGGTCATTATGTTAAGTGAAATAAACCAGGCACAGAAAGACAAATAAGTTCTCACTTATTTATGAGAGCTAAAAATTAAAACAACTGAAGTCATGGAAACAGAGAGTAGAATGATTGTTACCAGAGGCTGGAAAGGGTAGTGATGAGGGCGTGGGAAGTGGAGCTAGTTAATGGGTACAAAAATATAATTAGATAGAATGAATAAGATCTAGCATTTGATAATACAACAGGGTGACTACAGTCAACAATAATTTATTGTATATTTTGAAATAACCAAAGGAGGATTGTATCATTTGTAATACAAAGAAAAGATGATGTTTGAGTTGATGGATACCCTATTTACCTTGATGTGCTTATTATGCATTGTATGCCTATATCAAAATATCTTATGCACCCCATAAAGATATACACCTATTACGTACCCATAAAAATAGTTTCTTTAAAAAAGAAGCAATTAGTCAACATGTTTTCTCTGCTACATTCAGTTGGTAGAGAGCTGGATTTCAGGGTAGCTGATTTGCCAAGCAATTATGACAAAGTGTGAGTGCCAAGAGTTTTGAGGGCACTGGCCAAAGAAAGCAGTAGTGACTGTTCAAGGAATGGGAGTTGGAGAAGGAGGGGATGGAGGTCAGCAAGGAGGCGAAGGAGGAGGAAAGATGCAGTGGCTGAGACTGGTGGAGGAGAAGTGTTTAAGGAACCAGGAGGCCATGGGGTGACCAAGGATAGAATAGGAGTGGTCATGGGAAAGCAGCGCTGACCTAGGAAGTCAAACTTGCTAGACATGTTGAGTGTGAGTTGACAGTTTCATGAAGGTCAATGGGTGATACAATTTGATGACATGGGATTCAAAACTGAGAGGCTTTAGGGAGGAGAGAAGGAAATGAGGGATTTTGTGAATACAATGAAACAGAGCAAATGTGTGAGAGAGTGTCTGGGACCCAAGGCAGGTGTCTTTTAGCTGGTGAACCTGGGCTGAGACCTGAAGGACAGGAAGATGCCAGCCATGTGCAGACTTCGGGTAGAACATTCCAGACAGAGAGAGTGCACAGTCTCCAGAGAGGGATGTGTTGGCATGTGTGGGGAACGTAAGGATGGACAGATGGCGTGCTGGATGGGTAATGGACAAGGAGGCTCCTGACAGCAGATGCAGTTAGGGTGGGGGCAGGAGAGAGATCATGCCTGTCGGCCTCAGGAAGGAGTGTGGGGGCTTGATTCAAATTAAAAAGGGAATCCAGTACAGGGTTCTAAGTGAAGGAGTGATGTAATCTGGCTTTTTTTTTTTTTTTTTTTGAGACGGAGTCTCGCTCTGTGGCCCAGGCTGGAGTACTGTGGCACGATCTCAGCTCACTGCAACCTCTGCCTCCTGGATTCAAGCAATTCTCCTGTCTCAGCTTCCCAAGTATCTGGGACTACAGGTGTGCGCCACCATGCCAGCCAGTTTTTGTAGTTTTAGTACAGACAGGGTTTCACCATGTTGGCCAGGCTCAAACTCCTGACCTCAAGTGATCCACCACCCTCGGCCTCCCAACGTGCTGAGAGTACAGGCGTGAGACACCACGCCCCACCTGATCTGGTTTTGAATGGGTGACCCTGGCTGTCACATAGGAAACAGACTGTGGTTACGGGTCAGGAGGCCTGCTGAGGATCAAGACCCAGTGAGGCAGTGCTTGCTGGGTGCCAGCCTTACTTTGATGAAGCCCTTCAATGACCCTAGGAGATCAGGAATATTATTTTCCCTGTTTTACTGATGAGAAAACTGAGCCACATAGATTTGACTCAGTGAGTAAGTGGCAGAGCCAGGATCCAACAGTTGGCAATGTGGGTCCAGCTTCGAGGCTCACTGTGTGAACAAGAGATCTGGACAGCTCAGACAAGTCAGGAAGTAGGAGAGCTGGCAAGGAGCAGGTGGGGTCAGGATATGGTTTGCATATGAGCACCGACGTAGAGAGAGAAATGAAGGATGCATCCTAGATTTGGGGCCTGGATGATGCGTGGGATTGCGGGGGAGGGCATGCCATTTGCCAAGATGGGAAGAACGATGAAAGGAACAAATTTGGAGGAGGAAATGATAGGCTTTATGTTAAATCACAGGTGTCTTCCAGAAATGTCAGTGGATCCATTGGGTAGGCAGTCAGATGCACTCCCTGAAGCTCTGGAGAGGCCATGGCTGGAGAGATGGATTTGGGCTCCATCCATGTGTAGGTGTTGTTTAGACTCATGAAAGAAGAGTGCATGGATGGGAGAGAAGAGAGCATAGGATGGAGCCCAAGGCATGCCAGCATCAGTGATCAATGAGGAAGTGAGGAGCAGCCAGGGCGGTGGAGGAAACCAAGAGAGGATTCTGTGAGCTCCTGGCTATGACAGGTTCATAACTGAGTCACACCTCCCTCCCTCTCTGTATGCTTTAACCTCTGCCACAGTCATGTAGTTCAGAGGCTGGCCATTAGTCTGAGTCAGTCCTCCACTGTATGGGGTTGCCCAGGAATGGAAACTCAGGCCTGCACAGAGAAAGACACATCAACCACCACAGTGCACTGTTTGGCCCACATTCGGAACACCTCCCTTACCTTGTATTCAGTTGACAGATGTGTACTGGGGACAAAAGCTGAAGGGTAGATACTGATCCGTGATCATTGCCTTATAAGGGGTTATGAGACTCATCCAACCCAGGTGACCTCTGGGATCCTTTGGGGTACTCAGAACTGCCCCAGGCAGGAATGCATGTAGAAAATCCTGCTTCACCACCATTCTGTATTGATCACTCTGCCTGCTACCTTCTTCCAGCATTTTTGTTTTGTTTCCCTGTAAAGGGCCTGAAGTCTGTTTTAGTCTCAATCCTTAGCCAGCTTCAAATTGTTAAAAATATTTTAGACCCCTCTTTCCTACATGTTTTGGCTTCACATAGAAACTGATTTTGAATGTAAAGTAAGCATTTGTAAACATTTATTTCACATCTTTCTGCATTAAAAATATGAAACACCTACAGATTCAGGATTATCTAGGTTTGTTGGAGGTTTTCACTGGCAAAATTTAAATATTCCATTATATTGCTTTTCTGCATGGATGATGATTTACTTTTAAAAATGCATTACAAGATCTTTGGCTTTGTGCTGTATTCCTGCATACAATTTAATTATTTTATTTGGAGATAATGAAGAATAAATCTGGAAGGCCAAGTAGCATCCTGGCTGTGAATAACTCAGCCCAGTATGATCACAGAGCACCAGACAAAGAGAAATGCAATTCAGATAAAATGTTAATAAAGTGAAATGAAAACCTATTTCTCATTGCCTTAGGCCACCTATATGCACATTTGACACATTGATGCTTTTGTCTTCGGGTAATCTAGTCTATGTCCTTGTGGGACATGAAAACACAGTTTTAATAATATGCTCTAAAGTTATTCCAGGGGCACTGATGTGAGAACTTGCTATAGAATGAGGTACTGGGTCGTTTATTCTTGCATTAGGTCTTCCATTATTTTCATCTCTGTGTGTCTTGCCTGTGTTTCTGCCACCAGTATGAAGCATGTCTTTAGGACTTTCTGTGCCATCTGGTATCCATCAAGGGGAGAGTCCCAAACTGCACTGGAAGGCATCTTCCAGATGGTGGTGGGCGCTAAAGATCAGCTGTGTGGGTGTGAGCTTCCCATGCCTGTGGAGAAGCAGCAATTGAATTGCTCATCTGGAATGAAGTTTCGTGGATTTTTTTTTTTTTTGAACAGATCACTGACTACTTCCAATGTATGTATACAGATTTGACCAGCATTTATTCATACCTAATTTGTGCTAGAGTTGTACTTGGCACTTAAAATATATTATTTGGATTAAATTATTTCACTGAATCCCATCCCAACCCAGGGGGCATATGTTATTATCTGAGGTTCAGGAATAAGCAATTAATTTGTCTCTCTTAAGACAAGAATAAGTGATAGTAAAAGTTCAATGTTGTTCTAAGCCTCACAATGAGTACTTGATTTTTTTAATTTAAATAACAATATTTGTACTATTTTTATTATTATAGAAGAGCCATCTGCTCAGTGTAGAGAAATTTTAATGTTGTTTTGTTTCTGCCTCCTAGAGACAACCACTACTAACTCATTTATTGAATTCCAGGGTTTTTCTAGATGTGTGTGTTTGTGTGTGTGTATATATGTGTGATTTTAACGTAACTGGGTTCATACTATAAATACATTTTATATCCTAAATTTGTGCTCTACTTTTTATCACTTGATGTTGTATTGTGAGCATATTTTCGTGTTTTTGTTTCACAGTTTATGTAAGTAGTCTCATTGGCTGTGTGATGATTTATTTAACTCTTCCCTTGCTAGTGGTGGTTCAAGTGGTTTGTAGTTTCCTCATTTGGTTTTAAACAGGTGCCATAAATAATTTTATACATAAACCTTGGTCAAAATCTCAGGCTCTTTCTTTAGACATGGCTTCTAGAACTGAAATTGCTGTATCCTGTGCCATGTTCTCTTGTTTGATATATCTAGAGAAATTGTTTTCCATCCAAAATGCTTCTCTGCTATAGGACAGAGTGTGAATGAGCTGATGTTTTCCTGTCTTTAAGGGTGACAATGTTTACATATATGCTTCTATGTGTAAGGGACCTACTTGTTAGTGAACACATTCTAATTCTTCTCAGATTTGTCATTTTCTGGTAGAAATTCCTCCTAGATCCGAGCTGTAAGCTGACTGACTGTGAGTCTTAGTTTGCTGAAAATGTGAATTTCAGTTTTATAGCTGGTTTCTATAGGTATTTAATAAGATGTTGGGAACAGCTCGAAAATGCTAGCCAGAAATTATTTTAATACTGAAAGCCTCAATACTCCCAGGGTAATTCAATCTTAAAAGTGCTAACATTTAAAAGTGCTCTTAGAAGTTTTTATAGAACTGAGTGTTACAGATGTGTCGGACACCATCCGAAGCTACATAGGGTGGTAGAAAAGTAAGTGCCATATTGATACACTTTTTGAAAATTTCAGATGAAGAAGTGATATAACCTTTCCCAGAATTAGGGAAAAACAATTGTGAATTTTTCCTTTTATTTTTTAAAACACAAGTTTGTCTCCTATAAATTTCAAATAGTCTGTCTTTCTGTAGTCTGACTGTTAAACACACAACCTTTTAATTTATTTTTGAATAGCAAGCCCATTGAAATCTAGGAAGGATAAAAGCATAGGAGGTCATTTCAATTTTCACTTCAATCTTTTGTGTCTTCTCCTTTATCCTCCCTAAGTTGGGAAGTAATTAGATTCTTGCATTATTTTCCTTTCTGAATTTCTACAAACATTAACTTTTATTTTCCATATTGTTTTACTAGCTAAACGATGCTCTGTTGGATTGGTTAGGAGCACACAGCAATTCATTTGAAAATGGCCTGTTTTACGTTTATTTCCCACTTCTTTGTTCCTGGCAGAGTCTAAGGCCCCATCCCGGGGTTTTGATGTCTCTAATTCTTGGTTGGATGCTGGGTTGCGGCACTTGGCTCTACCCTCTCATTCCTTTGTTCTTCCGATTCTCGCTTTTGCATTTCTTCCTACAGTGCCCCACGGCAGAGCAGGTTTTCAGATGTTGCTGCACATCTGGTTCATTTGTAGACAATAACTTCCTGTGGTATGTTTCCTTGTTCCCATTCATGGAGTCACAGAACAAATTCTAGCATTGCTGTTTTCTCTCATACATAATTTTTCTTTTCTTTTTTTTTTGAGATGGAGTCTCGCTCTGTCACCCAAGCTGGAGTGCAGTGGGTGCAATCTCGGCTCACTGCAACCCCTGCCTCCCAGGTTCAAGCAATTCTCCTGCCTCAGCCTCCTGAGTAGCTGGGACTACAGGCGCGCACCACTATGCCCAGCTAATTTTTGTATTTTTGGGAGAGATGGAGTTTTACCATATTGACCAGGATGGTCTCGATCTCTTGACCTTGTGATCCACCCGCCTCGGCCTCCCAAAGTGTTGGGATTACAGGCGTGAGCCACCGTGCCTGGCCATACATAATATTTCTAACAGCTTCCCCTTTTTTTGCAACTTTCTTGATTCTACTTCTTCAGTTTAATTAAAAATCCTTCAAAACTAATTCTCCGAAGGTTAAGCGTAAACAAAGTTTCAATATAGATGTTATTTTAGGAAAAGCAAAAAGTTAATTTATGCTTGTCCTTTCAGTAATTATCTTCTGTTTTTGCAATTTTGTATATATTTCTTTCTCTGAATGGGCTTCTTGGAGTCTTATATATGTTATCTTGGTGTGTGTTTGTAGAAAAGAATCCTATGGGGAAATGGCAATGAGACATGGTTTTTCCTTTCTTTTTGATAGGAATTTTCCAAAGAGAATTCTTTCTGTTTCCAATTTAGGCAAATCTCATCCCAGTGGAATAATTTCCTAAGTAAGTTTAGAGGCAGGGAACTCTTACAAATTGCAGATTGCTCTCCATTGCCACAAGGCTATTTCTGAAAGAGATCTTCTTCTCAAGTGGTGTGAACTTTGCCACTCTTTCCTTTTTGAATTCTAGCTAGCAGGTGTCAAGCCTAGATTTCTGAGCAGCTTTTGTGCTATCTTTTAAACACCAGGACTCAAGGGAAAAGATTCAGATCATTGCAGATTTTCACACAGAAACCCATTTTGGAAAAGTGAAAGTTCCGAAGACAATTTACCGGGTCTATATTGTGACACGCAATACTTGAACACTTCTCCATGTAGCAACCCACGTGGCATCTTTGTTGTGGTTGGAAAAGACACATTACCAGTGATACATTTTCGTGTGGAATGCTGTGAAGCTTAATCCTTTTTACCCCCTTTGAACTTGGTGATATGAACCACGTTTAGTAATTTTAATAATCCGAGACTGGGGTCCCTTGACTCTCACCAAAAATATAAAAGGTACAATATCCTGTTTTGTGCCTTTATTTGCAGAAATTCCTTTGAGCAGGTATTTTGCTACATAGGGGTCTTTTATTTTAGGGGCGGTTGTATGTGGAGGTGGAAGAGTGAAAAGCTTACAGGATAGGCTAATGACCTACCCTTAGCGGCTTCCATCTCCTAGGTAAAAACAGAAAGACTTTAGACAGCATATTCTTTTATTATTACCAGTGTGAGGCTGGAAAAAAGGTTTCCATGTTCTTGTAATAAAGAGGAGGTGTTTTTTTGGTGAGCCCTTTTGTCTTGTTGAGGGCTCTGAAGTGACAAGGAAGTGATGGTGGGTGGTGCAAGGCTCGTGGGGACGCCATGACCCAGCCTAAAGGCAGTCAGCTCAGCTTCCACTGCTGCATCTCTCCTGAGGAGTCCTGGGGTTTGGGAATTTTGCCAGACTTCAAAGGTTTGGAAAACTTGTCAGTGGAGCTACACAGAAAGCCAAGAAAAGTGAGCTTCAGAAATGAACACTGTCTGGAACCAGGCTAAGATGTGGTCTGAGCATTTTTACCAGGTTTTATTGTCATGATTACGGAGCTGTGCAGTAACAGAGTCATAATTACTCTTGCAACCCTTGCATTTGATGCACTCACACATCGGCAGAGAGCAGACGCAGAGGATCATAGCCTGCTGGATAACTGAGCAAAGGCATTCAAAGCCTAGATAAAAACATTTCAAGGTGGGGCAGGTGTAGTTTAGAGAAAATGACAAATGGAACACATAAGTAAGAAAAAGTTATCAAAATATTTTTGCAAAAGACTAATGCAATTTCTTCTATCCTTCTGGAGTTTTCAAGTGGAGTAAAGATTTAAGTCTTTTATTTTATTATTTGTGTAAAGCAACCATAAATCTCCATTTTCTATCATCTAACTGTACTTTTTTTTTTTTTTCTGGGACTTGAAGTATAACCATCAAGACCTTCCTCTAGTTAGGCTATTTGACCTTTAATTCTTGTCTAGCTTCCCTCCTGTTCAGCTCCAAGGAAAATAAAAAATGAGAAAGATAAAGTAATAAAAAGAAAAAATATGTTTTGCTATTCCTTGCAGAGGCTTATTAATTCTCAGAGGAAGATGTATTTTCTCCTCAGTTGGGTCACAACCTTCTCAGAGTGGCAAGGCCCATTTATTTGGGTGAACATTTTTCCACAATGAAAGAGCAACCATTTATAAGATAAAAGCAATAATCTTTTGTGTATTAACCTTATATCCTATGACCTTGTTATTCTCTTATTAGCTCCAAGAGTTATTTTGTGGATTCTTAGGGGGTTTTCTGCATAGATAATCATATCATTTGTGAATGAAGACAGTTTTCTCCCATCCAAGTACTAACCAGGCCCAACCCTGCTTAGCTTCGGAGATCGACGAGCTCGGGTGCGTTCAGGCTGGTATGGCGGTGGACGAAGAGGGTTTTCTTTCTTTCCAATCTGTATAACCCTTGCTTGTCATATTGCACTACTTAGGATTTCTAGAATGTTTTGTAGAAATAGTGTTGTGTAGAAATAGTGAGAGACAATATCTTACTTTTTTCCTGATCTTAAGAGGAAAGCATTCCGTTTCTCACAAGTAAGTATGATGTTAGCTACTGACATCTTGGTATGGCTTTAAATCAAGTTGAGAAGCTTCCTTTATCCTTTTTGTGTACTGAGGATTTTCATCATGACTGGGTGTTAGATCCTGTCAAATGGTTTTTCTACATCCATTGATATGATTATATGATTTTTCTTATTTAGCCTGTTGACATGGTGGACCACAATGATTGATGTCTGAATGTTGAAACAGCCTTGCATACCTGTAATATTTCCCACTTAGTTGTATACAATTCTTCTTACACTTGGTTGTATTTTATTTGCTAATATTCTGTTGAGGGTTTTTAAGTCTGTGTACATGACAAATGTTCGTCTACAGATTTCCTGTCTTATAATGTCTTTGCATGGTTTTGATATTAGGGCAATGCTGGCCTCATATTAAGTTGGGAAATGTTCCCTCTACTTCTATCTTCTTGGAAGGCATTGTAAAAATTGGTATTAGTTCTTCTTTAAATGTTTGGTAGAATTCACCAGTAATTCCAGCTGAGCCAGGTCCTTTCTGTTTTGTAAGGTTATTACTTGTTGATTTAATTTCTTTAATAACACAGGCTTATTCAAATTACTTCTCATATGAATTTTGATTATTTGTGTTTTTCAAGGAATTGGTCTGTCTTACCAAGTTATCAGATTTGTGGGTAAAACATTATTGCTGGTATTTTTAATTAGCCTTTTACTAACCATAGGACTGGTAGTTATGACCCCTCTTTAAGTTCTGATATTGATAATTTGTGTCTTGTCTCTCATTTTGTTGGTTAGTGTAGTGAAAGATTTACCAAGTTTATTTATATTTTCAAAGAACCAGCTTTTGGTTTTATTTGTTTTCTCTAAACCACTTCTAAGAAAGAAGAAAGGGAAAAGCAAGAGGAATGGGTAAAAGAATCTACACATTGGTTCACAGCTGTTCACTGGTGAACTAAGCAGATACTCAAAATCTTATAGTTGGTATAATGAACCATGTACCATAATAAACCACCACTTTAAAAATAGTGACAACCTGACAACCTGGTTCCTTTTCAAACATCATTTTAGACAACTTGTAATGTAGATCACCTTTACTTGAAGGCACTGAGTAGTGTACCACTTACCAGAAAAACTCGATAACTATTTTTCAGTCATAACTGGTTTTTGTTCAGGGGAAAAACATCCATATACTAATGATTTTCAAACTTTAGTTTGTATAAGAATAATATGGATATTATTTAAAATGCAGATTCCTGGATTCCACCCAAATTCTGTTTGGTGTATCTGGGAAGGGGGCCAGAAACTTTTTAACTGTACAAGCACCCTGGGTATAATGCACTGATCTGTTGATCTTTCATTGACAACATTGCCATCGACTTTGGAGCTGGAAAGGCCCTCAAAGAGTGTGCATCCTGACCTTTACATTTTATGAATGAGATGCTGGATTTCCAGAGTGTTGAGTGCAAAGTTGGTCAGTGTCAGTGGGAGAGACTGAGCCCATGGTTTCAGCCTCCTGGTACAATGATGGTTGTCCAGTTTGATCATTCAACCAATTTAGCCAACTAAATTTTGAATATATTTTGACAATTATAAAAATCAAATTTTAAATAATAAATGTTTGTAATTACCTTAGATGTTACAAAGAGCATGTGACAGATACGATGTTTTGTGAACCAGATTAAATAATGGAGTCACCACCATCTGCTTTGACTTCTACAGTTCCAATAGCTATGACTTAAGGAAGCTGTGCAAAATTATATGGTTCACCATTCCAGCTGCATGTTCTGGGCATAAATGCTTAAATATCAGCGTTTTTTCATGAATTCATGAGGAAAGTAAAACTGTTCACCCCTGTTTATTTTATATTTGTATGACAGTCATAATTTTACCATTTGAAAATTATTCTATATTAGTTTAGAAGCCCCAGGGAGACGACAGGATTTACTTGACAACTGTTATGGGACAAGTGCACCTCATGGGCTGCCGAAGCCTGGGGGAGTCTTTTCTTGGCTCTCAGTCTAAGTTCCAAGTGGCTGTAGAAGTTTAACCTTGATTTTCTCTTTATTTTCTTCCTTTTCCCTGATTTTGTGTTTTGTTTTTGTTTCTTGCTCACACGGATACTAATTTATTCCTCCTTGGAGGCAGCAAGGATTGGAAATATGGTTCTATTATCTTCAATTTGTTGATCTCTATAGGTGGACAATAATGGTCTCTTCTCTGTTGGGTGAGAGACACAGTTCTTTGTTGGGTTCTTTTAGATTTTGTTTGTCTATTTTGAGCTCCAACCAATTAAAAATTTCTGGGAAGGAGAACAGCTCTTTGAAATCTGGACCACGGAGTTCGTATGTGTCTATGTTTATTTTGACCTGGGGCAGTTGCTGTAGAACTGAAGCTGTAAATTCTGTATATGTTTTCATGTTTGTGTGTTTGTGTATACGTAACTGACAAAGGCCGTAATCCCTCATTGGACTGGTATGATTTCTTCCCTATTTCCAGGAGATATTAATAAATTAGGTTGTTATGGTTCTTCAGTTAAAAGAGCTTTGTTCTAATTACTTATAGAGATGAATACATACCTAAGTAAATCAAATATTCTTAGAGTTTCTTTAAAGTAGTAAAATCAAATTTCTAATACTTTAAAAGTGCTAGACTTTTAAAAATGTGCTATACTTTAAAAATTATTTTTACACAAACTGCTACGTTGAAAACTTTTAAGAATCTAGGTTCACATAATTAATATATATATTTGGCAAATGGGAACAATTTATTTAATAATCATGGTTTCAAAATTATTGATATTAACTGTATATACATGTTATTTTACTTGGGTTGTTTTTCTCATGAAAAAAATAGCCTAAACTTTCTAAAATTATATAGGTTTTGAGATAAAATAAGCTAATAATACTCCTACAGAGTTTTAAAGATTATGAGAAAAGTAATTTGTGTTCAACTAAATTGAATCATTTTTCTAACAAACTTTTCTATCAGTGGTAATTATGTTTTTCAGCGTGCTAGTTTAAATGTAATTTCCAAGGTCTTTAGGTAATTTAAAGTCTTGAACTAATATTAATTTAAGCTAATTAATGGGTAATTCTTAGATATCTAGACATTGTGTAAGTAATGCAGAATACTGAAATCTTGATGTCTAAGCATGATTTTAAGTTTTATAATTCTACATGCTGAAGAGTCTATATCATGTTAATAAATGTCATTTTTGCCACTTTAAGAAGATGTAAAAGGGGTGGCTGTGACTGTCCAAAGCTGTGTTAAATGTGTTCATGAGCCGTGCTATTCTGCTAAAATGCTGCAGAATGACACTTCTCAATCATATACCCTCTATTTTTCTCTGTGAAATAGGAAATATTCACCTTGATGAGAAACTGTAATCAGTATCTGTGGTTGAGACTATACTAGAGGTCATGACAGAGAAAGGCAGGTGGGCATATGCCTTTGTTTTGTAAGAAAAAGGAGAGTAGTTTTATCCTAATATAAAAGTCAATTTGTTCCACACTATGAAAGAGCTCAGTAAAATATGAGACCTGGAAAATGAATTTTATTTGCCTTGGTTTTTAATAACTAAATCTGAAAAGAAGGCATAAAGTAAATTAAAATCTTAAATGTTGGTTCATTTTTGATGGGTTTATTTCCTTGGTTTGATGATTAATGCCTTCGTTTACAGAATGAAAGATTATTCTTTAACTTCTCTGAAATCTGTCTGGGGAGCAGAGAACCTGTGCCTACCAGAACCATTTTCTGTGCTTTATGTGTGTGCTTTATTTTGACTTTATTATGTCCTTGATTGTTGAAGAAAAATCCAGAGAACAAACTTTTCTCACATGTGAAAGAACTAAGGTTCTTTATGAGCATATTATCTTTTATGTTTATTTCAAAATATTTTCTTGTCACATTGATTAAACAGATCACCATGCAGTTGTTTCTCAGGTGCTTATGATCTAATCAAAATCAAGTGCCCCAAATCTCCTGACAACCCTTTCGACTTTGCCTTGCAAAGATCAGCTCCTATATTTAGAAAAAATAAAATAAAAATGTCATGATATCTTTTACACCGAAAAATACCTTTGAAATTTCCCAAAGGCCCCCAACCACTCACAAAGATTTACTTTCTTACTGTATGAAAAGACAAACATAAAAAAAATTTTGTTTTATGTGCTATGTATTTCTTAAATTAGCCCAACAGTATTGCAAGAGCCCCATGGGAAAAGCTGTCAAATTAGAAGAGATGCTTAACCTCCTCTTGAGTTTGTAGAGGTACAATGTTATGAATATGAACATGAGTATTTCAGAAAGTATATTTCTTATAAGAAGATTCTGGGGATTTGCCTTACTCTTGGGAGACATTGATCAAACCCTTATGAAATAATTATTCTCTATACTCTAATGGGAATTGTATCCTCCTGCATTCTGATATTAATTACAGTAATAAATTGACCACAACCATAAGTCTTTGTCATCTCCAGATAATTTTTGTTTTACTCTGATGCTTCCCTGAAGGCTCTCGCGTAAGGTACAGGCCAGCAATTTAGGCTTTACTCTTAGATCTCATGGAAAGGATTATAGCAGGCACTTTGAACTACTTTATGCTCCCTCGTGTAGACTCTTGGGGTACAAACTTCCAAACTGATGTCATTTAGATGCTGCCAAACTGTCAGAGGCATTTGAACCAGAGCAACTCCATTTTAAATTGGGGCTGGGTAGAATAAAGCTGAGATCTACTGGTCTGCATTCCCAGATGGTTAGGCATTCTAAGTCACAGGCTGAGGTAGGAGAACAAAATACAGGTCATAAAGACATTGCTGATAAAGCAACTTGCAGTAAAGAAGCTGGCTAAAACCCACCAAAACCAAGATGGCTATGAGAGTCACCTCTGACTGTCCTCACTGCTACACTCCCACCAGTGCCATGACAGTGTACACATGCCATAGCAATGTCAGAAAGTTACCTTATGTGGTCTAAAATCAGGAGAAACCCTCAGTTCTGGGAAATTGCCCATGCCTTTCTGGAAAACTCATGAATAATTCACCCCTTGTTTAGCATGTAATCAAGAAATAACTATAAAAACGGACAACCAGCAGTCTGCGGGGCTGCTCTGTCAATGGAATAGCCATTCTTTATTCCTTTACTTTCTGTTTTTCTTTTTTTTTTTTTTTTTTGGAGATGGAGTCTCACTCTGTCGCCCAGGCTGGAATGCCATGGCACGATCTTGGCTCACTGCAAGCTCCACCTCCTGGAATCAAGCAATTCTCCCGCCTCAGCCTCCCGAGTAGCTGGGATTACAGGCGCACGCTACCACGCCTGGCTAATTTTTTGTATTTTAGTAGAGACAGGTTTCACCATGTTGCCCAGGCTGGTCCCAAACTCCTGAGCTCAGGCAATCCACCTGCCTCAGCCTCCCAAAGTGCTGGGATTACAGGCGTGAGCCACCATGCCTGGCCTATTTCTTTCTTTACTTTCTTAATAAAGTTGCTTTCACTTTACTGTATGAACTCGCCCTAAATTCTTTCTTTTGCAGTATCCAAGTACTACTCTCTCGGAGTCTGGATCGGGACTCTTTTCTGGTAACAAAGCTATATCCCCAGTCTGAGGCAGGATCTCTAGGACTCTTCTTAGGCTGAAAGTTTTGAGGGTATACCGAATTGGGCTAATGAACCGTAAATTATGGAATTAACCCATCTGACTAATCCCTTGTCTTATCAAAAATTTTTAAAACCTGAAATGGAAATTAGAGGAAGACTATCTATGTTAGACAAGATTTTATAAATGATATCTTTACCTCCAGCTTTGTTCTTTTGGCTTAGGATTGACTTGGCAATGCGGGCTCTTTTTTGGTTCCATATGAACTTTAAAGTAGTTTTTTCCAATTCTGTGAAGAAAGTCATTGGTAGCTTGATGGGGATGGCATTGAATCTATAAATTACCTTGGGCAGTATGGCCATTTTCACGATGTTAATTCTTCCTACCCATGAGCGTGGAATGTTCTTCCATTTGTTTGTATCCTCTTTTATTTCATTGAGCAGTGGTTTGTAGCTCTCCTTGAAGAGGTCCTTCACATCCCTCCTAAGTTGGATTCCAAGGTATTTTATTCTCTTTGAAGCAACTGTGAATGGGAGTTCACTCGTGATTTGGCTCTCTGTTATTGATGTATAAGAATGCTTGTGATTTTTGCACATTGATTTTGTATCCTGAGACTTTGCTGAAGTTGCCTATCAGCTTAAGGAGACTTTGGGCTAAGACGATGGGGTTTTCTAGGTATACAATCATGTCGTCTGCAAACAGGGACAATTTGACTTCCTCTTTTCCTAATTGAATATTTCCTTCTCCTGCCTGATTGCCCTGGCCAGAACTTCCAAGACTATGTTGAATAGGAGTGGTGAGAGAGGGCATCCCTGTCTTGTGCCAGTTTTCAAAGGGAATGCTTCCAGTTTTTGCCCATTCAGTATGATATTGGCTGTGGGTTTGTCATAGATAGCTCTTATTATTTTGAGATACGTCCCATCAATACCTAATTTATTGAGAGTTTTTAGCATGAAGGGTTGTTGAATTTTGTCAAAGGCCTTTTCTGCATCTATTGAGATAATCATATGGTTTTTGTTTTTGGTTCTGTTTATATGCTGGATTACGTTTATTGATTTGCATATATTGAACCAGCCTTGCATCCCAGGGATGAAGCCCACTTGATCATGGTGGATAAGCTTTTTGATGTGCTGCTGGATTTGGTTTGCCAGTATTTTATTGAGGATTTTCACACTGATGTTCATCATGCTACCTGACTTCAAACTATACTACAAGGCTACAGTGACCAAAACAGCATGGTACTGGTACCAAAACAGATATATAGACCAATGGAACAGAACAGAGCCCTCAGAAATAATGCCGCATATCTACAACCATCTGATCTTTGACAAACATGACAAAAACAAGAAATGGAGAAACGATTCCCTATTTAATAAATGGTGCTGGGAAAACTGGCTAGCCATATGTAGAAAGCTGAAACTGGATCCCTTCCTTACACCTTATACAAAAATTAATTCAAGATGGATTGAAGACTTAAATGTTAGACCTGAAACCATAAAAACCCTAGAAGAAAACCTAGGCAATACCATTCAGGACATAGGCATGGGCAAGGACTTCATGTCTAAAACACCAAAAGCAATGGCAACAAAAGCCAAAATTGACAAATGGGATCTAATTAAACTAAAGAGCTTCTGCACAGCAAAAGAAACCACCATCAGAGTGAACAGGCAACCTACAGAATGGGAGAAAATTTTTGCAATCTACTCATCTGACAAAGGGCTAATATCCAGAATCTACAATGAACTCAAAAATTTACAAGAAAAAAACAAACAACCCCATCAAAAAGTGGGCAAAGGATATGAACAGATGCTTCTCAAAAGAAGACATTTATGCAGCCAAAAGACACATGAAAAAATGCTTATCATCACTGGCCATCAGAGAAATGCAAATCAAAACCACAATGAGATACCATCTCAAACCAGTTAGAATGGTGATCATTAAAATGTCAGGAAACAACCGGTGCTGGAGAGGATGTGGAGAAATAGGAACAATTTTACACTGTTGGTGGGACTATAAACTAGTTCAACCATTGTGGAAGTCAGTGTGGCGATTCTTCAGGGATCTAGAACTAGAAATACCATTTGACCCAGCCATCCCATTACTGGGTATATACCCAAAGGATTATAAATCATGCTGCTATAAAGACACATGCACACGTATGTTTATTGCGGCACTATTCACAATAGCAAAGACTTGGAACCAAGCCAAATGTCCAACAGTGATAGACTGGATTAAGAAAATGTGGCACATATACACTATGGAATACTATGCAGCCATGAAAAAGGATGAGTTCATGTCCTTTGTAGGGACATGGATGAAGCTGGAAACCATCAGTCTCAGCAAACTATCACAAGGAGAAAAAACTAAACACCGCATGTTCTCACTCATAGGTGGGAATTGAGCAATGAGAACACGTGGCCACAGAAAGGGGAACATCACACACCGGGGCCTATTGTGGGGTGGGGGGAAGGGGAGGGATAGCATTAGGAGATATACCTAATGTTAAATGACGAGTTAATGGGTGCAGCACACTAACATGGCACATGTACACATATGTAACAAACCTGCATGTTGTGCACATGTACCCTAAAACTTAAAGTATAAAAAAAATGATATATTTGCTAAGAATTCGTAAGTGGGAGTTCTTCATTCATGCATAAAAACAATGTGAGGGGCCTCAGGCTAGACGGCCAGATAGCACCAATATTTAAGTAATTGTTGGAGAAAGAGGGATATCAGACATTTAGGTGTTAGGAAAGCCAGAGTGGAAAGAAGAGCATGTAAAGAAGAAACAAGTTTTCAGTAGAGCTACATGGACCCTGGAGTACAGAGGACTCAGTTATTTTCTGCCATTGCCAAAAGCTAACATTGGCTGACAAGACAGTGAATACCAGGACATATACTCACAAGTTCTTATAAGAATCTGCACATTCAACCTCTCCTGAATCCTGGAGTTGAATTCAGCCTCACCCTAAATACACTTTGAAAATGCCAGAATGGGTAGTGTATCTAACTTAACACAAAACTTTATTTTAAAGATTTCTGATCTCTGATGTATGCCTGTGGGTATCGATCATGCTTTTGAGTCATTTTAATCTTTTCCTTCTCCTTTGTTTCCACGGGAAACCATCAACTACAGTCTAATGACATCCTAAGCCTTCCCAGATTGCTTTCTATGTTCAAATGAAAGTTGATAGTTACTTATCTGTATTGTGCTACCAAGTATTTAATGCACAATTAGTCAAGGACCCAATTAGAATGCAAGTTAAACTGAACCTATGGTTAATTAAAGCAACAGGACAATAAAGCTGAGAGCAGGTGGTTTAGGTACCTTAGGACATTGAGTTAGAAAATTTGGTCCATTAAGAGTTGCTAATAACCATTTTAAAGTTTGTTCTTTGGAGAAGATTTTGTGCATAACAATTACTGGTTATTTAAATAGGTATTTCAGGATCTTGTTTCAAAGTTGAATAGTCATGTAATCTCATTTGGAGGAAACTCTTGTATACCTCTTACTTTATATAGAGTCACTGAGAGTAAAACAAATATGAAATGTAAAGCAAGTGTGGGAATCCTTATTTTGGGGTAAATAATAAAAAGAAAACAGAAGGAATCATTTATAACAGATGTTTCTCTGACCTTTTACAGATGACATTTTCAAAAATTAGGAAAAATAAATACAGATTCAGATTTACATACCTCTATTGAGCATTACCTGTCTGCTGTCTCTATACTGGGAAAGTTTTAGTTTCATGAGAATATATTATATGGTCTTTTCATCAGACCAATATATTGACCAGAAGTGACCATAGAATTATAAAATGTTGGATTTGGAAGCAGTGTGTGACATCATCCAGCCCTGTGGTTCTAACCTCTTTTGGTGGGGGTGGGGGAGGGTTATAGGATATTTCTGTAGGTCTTATGAAACCTGTGAATATTTTCCATTAGAAAACCACACAAGCAAATATATTTCCAATTTTGTAACATTTTAGCAGATCTAATGAGATAGATCCATTTATCACAGATAAAAAACCTTTGATCTAGTTGCCTTAGTTTATATTTAAGGAACCAGACTAAAAGATGTGGCCAAAGACATCCAGCTCCTGACTCCAGTCTATTCTTATTCTGCATGCCCTGGTCATTTCTGGGCTGGCCAGTAGCTAGTATTACACCTACCTCTGGTTGTTTTAATCAATCATCATATACGTATTGAAGTATAACATGGTATCTCTGCCTCTCCTGAGACAGTTGTGTAATAGCTCCCTGAGAGCTACTCTATGGCATTTGTATGTGAGGATACATCCAATCAATATTGCATAAAGTCTGTGACTGCCCTGCTTATTCTTCTAAAGAGCTAATGGTTAATCTTCTTTAACCTGAGAGGAAACAGTTATTTCAATCTGATTGCCAATTTGAGGATTGATTTGGTAATTTTGTACTTGATCACTGCTTTTGGAAGTGCTCCAACTGTTTGGAAGCACACTGAAAAGGGATTGTGATGAGTTATGTGCTGTTTCTAATGATGAAAGTGAGAAAGTGACCTGCTTCTCTATAATTATCATGTAAATCACATTATGTCTATTGCTAGGTCTCAGCAGTAGACTTCTAGTTTTCGCCAATATCTGGTTCTCCTTTCTCTTGGGTAATTGAGAGGATTAAACTTCCCATTCCTGTTAAAGTTAAGCAAGGAATGTAACTAATTCTGGTCGATGATTTCAAGTGGAAGTGATGTGGGCCACGTTCAGAGCAAATCATTTAAAATCTGAGTAATGGAAGAGTTTACTAAAGGGACTAGGCTGGAGTTTAAGTTTGCAAAGGTGTGGGCTATGTTTTAAGAAAGCAGCAGGATGGTGGTGTACTCTGGGGAGGTCTTACAGCACCTAAGCTTGAAAAGGCAAGGGAAGGGAGCAAGTACAAGAATGCAGAGAGTGGAAGAGATAGGGAGGCAGACAGTATGTGAGCAAGTGCTGGTCCTCCGTAGAGGGGTGCAGCCAGGCCACTGTGATTTCACAGGAAGTGAGTGGAGGAATAACGCCCTAAACTCACCCAGTTTCTGCCCTTGGATCTCCTGCTGGTGCATCCTATTGGTCAAATCGAATGAGAAGCCAGAAGACAAGATAGCTCATTTATGCATTCCAAACAGATCTGCCTCCTGCAACCAAAATCAGGGTGAAGAATGCTGGTGAGGGCCTCTCAAGAGGCAAAGGGGTATGTCCAGCATGGAAACTCTCCAGTACTCTTTTCCCCTTAGTGGCCATATGGATGCATGTTGAGTCAGAGAAAAGAGAGGTTCACAGCAGCCTAGGAGGCTGAGACATTGCCTTGGAGGACACCTGTTCTCCAAGGTTGCTGGATCCACAAATAACTTTGCATGAGCAGGAAATCAGTTTTGTTGTGTTAATCCAGTGTGATTTTGTTGTTCTTTGTACTTGACTTATAAGACAATTTCTTTGAAGTATCGCTTTATGGGAGAGGAATTTTGATTTTTCTCTTGTTTGTGTGCACAGGTAATGAGCCCTTCAACAGCTACATGGAAGAGTGGAAAGCATCTCCCACATTCCCTGTGGGTTTACTAAGTTTATTAATGCATAGAGGGATTTTGTTCCTGGCTCAGCCTAACCTATAGTCTCCAATAAGTCCTGTGGTTAACATTCCTGTTCATTCCTTTTAGAATCTTTC
This sequence comes from Homo sapiens, assembly GCF_000001405.40. NCBI lineage: Eukaryota > Metazoa > Chordata > Mammalia > Primates > Hominidae > Homo > Homo sapiens. The sequence continues at coordinate 9,749,487 of NC_000005.10, read as the reverse complement.
AGTATCTGAAGAATTAATGCCTTAAATGTACAGATGCTGTACATGATCAATAATTCAAATTTTGTCCAGTATCAGCTACATCACTATGCCATGGTCAATTTTTCGGAGTTATTGATCACTCTTTTTTATCCACTTAACCTCTGTTCTTTTGGGAGGGGGCAGCCCTCAGCATTTAAGGTCTACACAAATGGTGATGGCTATGCTAGGCCATTCTCCAACTTTGACATCACATTCTACGAGGGTAGCTTGTGTCTTACTGATGAGAGGGCTGTGCCTTGACTTAATCATGTGTGAGTTCTTCCCCTATGTTCATTCATTTTATATTCCTATTAGAGTCTTCTGAGTAAAATTCTGTATTTTCCAGACCTGTTGCTGGATCTACTGTGATGGAAAACTTTAAATCTGGAAAATGGATAGAAGGGGGAGAAGTCTAAAAATAAGAAGAAAGAGAAAAAGATTTAGCTAAAAGCCTTCAGTTTATTTTCATAATAGAGAGCTAGAAGGCAAAGAATGAGAAGAGAGAAAGGAAAGTTGGCCCTGGCTGGGTATGGAGGGGTATTTTTGGTGTTTGGGAGGCTCTTGAGAAGCTACAGAAGTGAGAGATTTGTAGAGGAGTCAAAGGGGGTTGAGAATTCTTTTTGTGTATTATGAATGAGCTCTGCTATGGTTTGGATATTTGTCCCCTCCAAACTTCATGTTGAAATTTTATCCCCAGTGTTGGAAGTGAGGCCTAATGGGATGTATTTGGGTCATAGAGGCAGACTCCTCATGAATAGATTAATGCCCTTCCTCTGGGGTGAATGAGTTCTTGCTTTATTCATTCCCTTGAGAGCTGGTTGCTGAAAAAAGCCTACTATCTCCCTCCCTCTTTCTCTTGCTTACTCTCATGGCATGTGATCTCTGCACACACCAGCTCCCCTTCCACCTTCCACCATGAGTGAAAGCGCCTGAGGGCTCCATGAGATATAGCTACCCAATCTTGAACTCTCCAGTCACCAGAATCATGAGCCAAATAAACCTCTTTTATTTATCAACTACCCCATCTCAGAAATTCTGTTATAGCTACAGTAAATAGACTAAGACAAGCTCTTTTATAAAGTTGAGCATCAAATAACATTGCAACCTCTTTTTAAATTGTTTTAAACCATTAGATTATGGTCTTATAAATTTAGACCTGCAGTGAGCCGCGATTGTGCCACTGCACTCCAGCCTGGGTGACAGAGCAAGACTCCGTCTCAAATAAATAAATAAATAAAAATTTAGACCTATGCAGAGATGGTACCACATGAAAATCTTGGATTTATTTGTATTAAAAGTTTGGTTTAAATGCTAGAATAGCTCTCCTTTCAAAATCAAGCATTTAGAAAACTTCATGTCCTACTTAACAGAAGAATAAAAAGCCAGCAGAAGGAAACTGCTTCAGTTTTCCTCCACCATATTGAAAATCTCACCTGCAGCCACCATGTCCATTCTTTCCTCACTCCATCCCATTACAGTGAAGACATGTTTTTTATTATTATCCATAACACATCCCCTAATCCCTGGGCTAGACCCATCCCAGCTCCCCAGGTACCTTGTGACACTAGTTATCCTCATGCTGACCTGAATTTTCAACCTCATCCTCTTTACTGGCCTCTCCAGATTAGCATTTCTCTCTTTTCAAAAAAAAAAAAAAGTTACAAATCTTTACCATCTCATTTTTTGTTCTCCTTTTTAGCTAAACTTATTGAAAGAGGTGTCCCACTTGTTTTTCCTACTTTCTCCCCTGGTGCTCTGTTATAATTGGAATATTTGTCCCTTATGCTGCACGTTGAAATTTGATTCTCAGTGTTGGAGGTGGGGCCTAATGGGAGGTGTTTGGGTCATGGAGGCGTATCCCTTGTGAATAATTTGGTGCCATCCTTATGGTAATGAGTGAGTTCTCTTCTTGCTCTATTAGTTCCTGCAAAAGCTGGTTGTTAAAAAGAGCCCAGCACCTCCTCACCTCTTTCTTGTTTCTTCTCTTGCCATGTGATCTCTGCATGCCAGTTCCCCCTCCCATTCTGCCTTGAGTGGAAGCAGCCTGAATTTCTCACCAGAAACAGATGCTGGTGCCATGCTTTTTGAATGTTCTACAGAACTGTGAGCCAAATAAACCTCTTTCCTTTATAAATTACCCCACTCATGTGTTCCTGTATAGCACCTCAAAGACACAATCTTACATTCACCCCTCTTTAACACCCTTCAGGCCTATCTCTGTCCCCAAAACTTCACTAAAATATTCTCAACCAGGTTCCTAATGATATCCATATTGCAAACTCCAATGCCCAATCTTTTGTCTTGTTTCATTTCCCAGCAGCATTTGACTTGGTTAATATCCACCATCTGGAAATCTTCTCTCTTAGCTATCATAACACTAAATTCTCCTGGTTTTTATTCTATCTAGTCATGAACTTAGTCTCCTTTGTCAATTTGTCTTCTGTCCTGTTCCTTGAAAATGATGTTCCTCAGAGGTTTTTCCCTAGGTCCTCAATCTGTACACTTACCCTGGGTGTTTTCTTTTTAAATTTTATTTATTTTACTTTAACTTCTGGGATACATATGCAGAACTTGCAGGTTTGTTTCATAGGTATACATGTGCCATGGTGGTTTGCTGCACCTATCAACCCATCATCTAGGTTTTAAGCCCCACATACATTAGGTATTTGTCCTAATGCTCTCCCTCACCTTGCCTCCCACCCACTGATGGGCCTTCGTATGTGATGTTCCCCTCCCTGTGTCCATGTGTTCTCATTGTTCACCTCCCACTTATGAGTGAGAACGTGTGATGTTTGGTTTTCTGTTACTGTGTTAGTTTGCTGAGAATGATGACTTCCAGCTTCATCTATGTCCCTACAAAGGACATGAACTCATTCTTTTTTATGGCTGCACAGTATTCCATGGTGTATATGTGCCACATTTTCTTTATCCAGTCTATCATTGATGGGCATTTGGGTTGATTCCAAGTCTTTGCTATTATAAATAGTCCTTCAATAAACATATGTGTGCATGTGTCTTTATAGTAGAATGATTTATAATCCTTTGGGTATATATCCAGTAATGGGATTGCTGGGTCAAATGATATTTCTGGTTCTAGATCCTTGAGGAATCACTACACTGTCTTCCACAATGGTTGAACTAATTTACATTCCCAGCAATAGTGTAATAGTGTTCCTATTTCTCCACATCCTCTCCAGCACCTGTTGTTTCCTGACTTTTTAATGATCGCCATTCTAACTGGCATGAGATGGTATCTCATTGTGGTTTTGATTTGCATCTCTTGAATGACCAGTGATGATGACCTTTTTTTCATATGTTTGTTGGCCACATACATGTCTTCTTTTGAGAAGTATCTGTTCATATGCTTTGCCTACTTTTCGATGGGGTTGGTTTTTTTTCTTGAAAATTTGTTTAAGTTCCTTGTAGATTCTGGATAGTAGCCCTTTGTCAGATGGGTAGATTGCAAAAATTTTCTCCCATTCTTTAGGTTGCCTGTTCATTCTGATGATAGTTTCTTTTGCTGTGCAGAAGTTCTTTAGTTTGATTAGATCCCATTTGTCAATTTCGGCTTTTGTTGCAATTGCTTTTGGTGTTTTAGTCATGAAGTGTTTGCCCATGCCTATGTCCTGAATGATATTGCCTAGCTTTTTTCTAGGGTTTTTATGGTTTTGGGTTTTACATTTAAGTCTTAAATCTACCTTGAATTAATTTTTGTATAAGGTATAAGGAAAGGGTCCAGTTTCTGTTTTCTGCTTATGGCTAGCCAGTTTTCCCAGCACCATTTATTAAATAGAGAATCCTTTCCTCTTTGCTTGTTTTTGTCAGGTTTGTTGAAGGTCAGATGGTTGTAGATGTGTGGTGTTATTTCTGAGGTCTCTCTTCTGTTCTATTGGTCTGTGTATCTGTTTTGGTACCAGTACCATGCTGTTTTGGTTACTGTAGGCTTGTAGTATAGTTTGAAGTCAGGTAGTGTGATGACTCCAGCTTTGTTCTTTTTGCCTAGTATTGTCTTGGCTATGCTACCCTGGGTGTTTTCATACTCAGTGACCTCCATTTGTATTCATATATTAATGACTTCCAAATATATGTTTCTTAAAAAAATCTCTCCCTTCAACTTATTATATTATGTCCAACCATAATAAATTTCATACTCAACCATAATATCTCATGCTCTGCTCCTTACTGAACGGTTGTCTTTCACCATGTGGTCCAGATCCCATTGACTTCTCCCTCTTTTTCCTCCAGTTGCCAACTCCTGTCAATATTACCTCCTAACCTTTCCTAGAATTCATCTACTTTTGCCTAGCCCCACTGCCATGAGGCCAGGCCACTGCATCCCTTGCTGGGGTTAATGTAACAACTTCTTACTTGGTCTGCCCGCAGCCTTTTTCCACCAATTCATTCTCTTCAATGTACCCACAGTAAGTTTCCTCAAGCAGAAATGTCATTGTGTCAACTGCTTTGTGTCACTATAAACCTTGTAAGATGAAGTTTCAACCTATCAGTCCATCTTCGTTTTTCAAACAGAAATTTATGTTTTAAACTTTGAACAGGTACATTTATACTCTTTGTCTAATGCAGCTGCAGATTTCAAAGATTTTCTGAAACTTCACCATAACATTGTATACATGTTCAGAAAGCACAGTAACTGAGTCAAAATGGAAAATTTAAATATGATAAACATTTTCTAGGTTAAGAATAAAGAAAAAAGAACACTTTGTGCTTTGTTTTTGCTTGGTATAACCTCACATAGTCACCAGTTCCAGGGATTAGGATGTGGATGTCTTTGGGGGCCATTGTTTTGCCCACCACAGCTATAAACAAACCAGACACCACTCTGTTTCCTCAAAGATCTGATAATCTAATGATGTCATGAAAGACTCACCTGGCCCTTACTATATATACAAGTTTGTCATGAATAATCACCTTGATTAGGAGGGTATTTCTCAACCCCTACTGGCATGTTTTAAGGACCACACGGACCACTTGTTGCTGTATGGATGCTTTTGATTACCAGGGTGTGATCTAATTCTGTTGAAAAGAATAGTTGGGTTTTATCCAATATTTTTCCATTCCCATCTTATTTTCCATAAAAACTAATGAACGTGTCCACTTAATAATTTTCCTTACATATTGACAGAGTACCTATGACCCACCGGCCCAATATTAGACACTAAAAACGGGAGTGCTTGTAGAAGTATGGCAATTCCAAATGTATACACAAACAAAAAGAGTTTGATTGCCATAATTTACAGAGTCTTAAAAATGTCAAAACCTATGTTTTCCAGAGTCTGGCCTTTAGAAATTCAAAGAAGGGAGAGAGCAGTGTGTCTTGAGCTGGTCTTGGGCAGAGGGGAAAGGAAGAGATCACCCCAGTCAGGGAGAGTATAGGCAACTTGGGTGCAGAGTGATCTGGTCTAACATATTTGCCAAAGTATCCAAACATGAGTGATCGGATAGTAGGCAATACAAAATTGAATACATTTGGCTTTAAATTGTTATTTTAAAAATATTTTCTTTTGAAATTATATTCCATGTAGGAAAATATAAAAATGGAATTTCATGTCCTAAACATAAAAATACACTAATAATTGTGTTTTTAAAAATCATTTCCAAAGAGAATTTTTTCCCTCCTCTCCTCCTCCTCCTCACTTGCCTTTGGTAACATCCATCCAGAAACATCTTTCTAAAGCTATATGGTAAGACTGTGCACTTAGTCTGGGTGAGAAATCTTAAGATCTGCTGGAAGCAAATGCCAAGTCTATGTTATGTACAATTCGTGACATTGCTTAGGTACCATAAAATATTCATGTTTATGCAGTTTTGGGTTGTATAATCCACTATCATTTATATTTCCATGACTTACTGGTAATGACACTAATTATACAGTTGGCAAAGAGGCGCGAAGTGACAATTATGATGATTTTGTCAACAATGGGATGTTTGATTGTAAACTGTTTCCATCCAGAAATCTTCCATGTTTATTTTTTCCATATTGCCTGTAGAAAAGATAGCATTAGGAGATATACCTAATGCTGAATCACAAGTTAATGGGTGCAGCACACCAACATGGCACATGTATACATATGTAACAAACCTGCACGTTGTGCACATGTACCCTAAAAGTTAAAGTATAATAATAATAAAATTAAAAAAAAAAAGAATAGCACTGCTCAACTGAGACAATGAAACTTAGAAATCTCCCTATTTCATTAGCATCCAGAGGGGAAGCCTGGGAGGCAGAAGAGAAAAAAGGGAGTTGCCTCTGCACTAATTAACAGTAAAGTCCAAGAGAGTTGGTTGGTAAAGTTAATCTGGAATGTATCATAAGTGTGTAGTGTCTTCGCAGGTTGTCTGGTTGGGGAAATGGAAAAGAAAGAGGCTCAGGCTTTTTTTTTTTTAATCACCTATTGCTTTCCATGAATCAGCAAATTCAGGTTGGTGCTCCTGATTGGTTCCTGATGAGATCTTGTTTTTGCTAAGGATGTGGATCAGTTATTCATCATGCTTAAAGTTGCTACTTTTCTCTCTGTTTCTCTGACTGTTTCTCTGACTGATGTCTTTTTTTTTGGTTCAGTTTTAATTTAGACATGCATTGTTCATTTATCTTTTGGGTTTCTTCCTCCCCTTCCATTAAGAACTTCAGGCAGGTAAAGATTTTTAGCTTTTCTTGTGAATGACATTGAATTAGATGCAGCCAAGCCCTACCTAACTCATGAAAGTTCCCTTTTTAAGTTTTCCTGGCCATTGAGGTTATTTAAATGTGGCATGTGGTAACAGAAGAAAATTGAGTTAAGATTGTCTATTTATGAAAACAACCTTGAGTATTTTCTTTTGTTAAGAAAATCAGCACTAAACCTTGGATTGTTTTTCACAGATCTTAAATAAGACATAAAAATGAGAAATGATAGTAAGGTAGAGTCAGGTTCAAAGATATTTTGTCCTTTTGAAATGTTTTCCCCACAAAAACTTGGTGTTTCTTCTGTTTCCATGTGGCTGGTGAAGCTGTTAAATGCTATGTTAGGGACATTGAGATTAGCATGTACAAATCTCTCAGGGGAGTAGAGGTATTTTGCTACAGACTCCTGATGTGTGTTCTGCATGGAACTTAGGAGCAGGGATGTAGTGATAAGTTTATTTTTATTGAGTCTGCCTAAAGTTTTCAGGAGGCTGATTCTCAGTGGGTGAATGAGAGCTGTCTTTCTATGTATATTCTTTGCAAATCATCTGTTAGCAAAACACTCGGAGAGTAACAGGAAAACATATTTAAAATCTTGTTTGTGCAGGCCAGACGTGGTGGCTCACGTCTGTAATCCCAGCTCTTTGGGAGGCTGAGGCGGGCAGATCACCTGAGGTCAGGAGTTTGAGACCAGCATGGAGAAACCCATCTCTACTAAAAATACAAAATTAGTCAGGCGTAGTGGTGCATGCGTGTAATCCCAGATATTCGGGAGGCTGAGGCAGGAGAATCTCTTGACCCCAGGAGGCAGAGGTTGTGGTGAGCCGAGATTGTGCCATTGCACTGCAGCCTGGGCAACAAGAGCGAAACTCCATCTATGTATTAAAAAAAAACAGTCTTGTTTGTGCTGCCCTATGTTACATGACACAGGGGAGAAAGCCTTATGAATAATGACGTTTATGCTGTAGAGAAACCGACCTTCAAGAATGAAGGCACGACCCTGGGACTGGGAGGAGCTTTTAGGGGTTAGTTGACTCACTTCCCACTGTGTCCCGGTCACCTGGGGCTGTTCAGCCTGGTTTACAGACTTGAGGACTGAGGACTCCACTGGGATGCTTGAACAGGTGGGAACAAGTGAGAACCCAGATCCCCTTCTGCCATGGATGCCAATCAACTTCTATTCTGTTTTCCAACATACACGAGATAAAACCACTCATTTTTATTTCATGTAAATCTTTCTTTTATTTTCTAAGATCCCCCAAATTTTCTCGTTTTCATAACATTTTATATCAACATTAGACATAAGAAACATTTATCATTCTGGGAAAAGAGTGGGTGGTTTGCCATAGATCACTCAGAGCAGTCAGCATCCGTGGGTGACTGTCAAGCACTTGAAAATGTCTTGGCATGGAAAATTTACTAAAGCAAGAGATGGGAGAAGCGGGTCCCATTGACCAGCTGTTGGCCTTGAGAAAATCTCTTAATTTCTTTGGATCTCTGTCTCTGACCAGCCAAATGAGAGGATTAAATAGCGGATCTCTGGGAGTCCCTTCTGATTGTTCTCTCTGGGTCGCAGTCTCTAAAGGAGGGTGTGATTGTGTTCTAGCCCCACCTCCGGGACTTCACGTAAGCAATGATTTGTGGTATTTAGTGGCATAAAATATATAATATAATAATCCTACCCAAGTGGTAGAGGCTGGTTGATGAAGAATGGCATGGGAAGAGAGAAATACCTAATTCCTGTTCAGTATTTAATGAGCGGCTGCTCTGGGGCTAAGCTCTGTTTATAATAAGTCCCACCTGGGACTGATCTAACAGTTAATAAACGTCTTCAAGTTCCTCCACTGCCACTAGGACACATCAAAAGAACTAATTACTCAGATTTTTGTTTAATGGTGCTTATCTAAATAACTTAGGAGCTTTTGAGTGAAAACAATAAAAATTCAAATGATTACGGTGCAGTGTAAGAAGGATATTTTCATAATCGGAAGAGAAGGAGTTGCAAAGCCAGCCACAGGAGACCCACTCCTCGGTGTTACCTGCTCAAAGGTTTTGACAGGTTCAGGGAAATGGGCCCCTGTGTTACTGGGAGATGTCTCTGATCCTCTCTTGGCTTCTGCCCCTTAACCCCTGCCCACTCAAAAACGCTTGTGTGTTTCAGTTGCTCTGGGGTTTTGGAAGGCAATTGGGTGACAGATTTTAATGGACATCACAATGCACTAAAAAATTCCACAGCTTAGATGGTTGTTGATTTCCAGTGTAAATTTGTCTTTTTGTTAACTCGTTGGCTTTGAAATTCTGAGGGAAGTGCGTGAGTGAAGAGAGAACTACACCATGGTGCCTTTTATTCATTTCATTGAAAACTGATCCATGAAGCAGTGCTGTGTGGTAGGAGAATCAGAAGCAGAATAAGAAAAGCCAGACTGCATTCTTTACTGTACCACTTATTAACTGGGTCTTTGGGGGCAGGTTGTGTAATCTTTCAAGGTCTCACTTTTTTTCAGCATTTTTATTCGCCTACAAATCAGTCCTAGGATAAAAGGTTTAATGGTCAAATAAGTGAGGGAAATTCTAAAGTCTAGAACACCTTTCGGACAAATCCATAATTTCAATTAGCATATAAAAGGCTCTGAGAAAACTTTGACACAAGATTTTGCAAACTTAATAAATACCAGAGGTCGTTTTGGTTACAGTCTATCACCAGAAAACATCTCTGGGGACTTGGGACTAGACAACTCCTGTGATCCCTCTCAGCTTCATGAATAGGTGGGCAGGGTGCAATTGCTGAAAATTTTGGGGAAAGCTACTGAGATATGAATTAAATCCTGCTTTAAAAAGACCTTGAATTCTGGGAGGACTAATTCAGTTGCTGTATTTCATCAAATCTAAAATGCCACTGATTATATAAAATGCACCATTATTTTATGTAATTCTAAGACATAGCTTGGATTGTAAGACTCATCCTGATTTAGAGATCATCTTAAATTCTCTGAATTCAAGTTGTACTCCTGTGTTCTGAGTTGGGAGTGCTTTTGCCACCAGGCTTTAAAAGAAGGAGCATCAGAAGGGCATTAGAAAGAGAGCGTAAGCGTTGAATGACCTTTATGCTTGAATCACTTAATAAATATAGTGTTTGCATGAATAACTTACCATAACTCCAAGGAATTGCTTGGCATCTTACCTGCCTCTTACGGATTAAGCAACTAAGATGTAATAATGGTGTGTATTGCCAAAGATGACAGAGTAAACAGCAGTTTTTTGGATGCTGGGTTAGCAGGGCATCTTGCAATTGTGACTCCTTCTAAAATATTGTTATTCATTAATTCCCAGTTTTATTAATTCCATTTTCAAATGAGTGAGTCTGGAATGTAGTTTGGGTTTCTCACTGCCCAACACATAGTGCCTCCAGGGGTAGGTTAGTTAACACCTGTCCTGGAGACTGTTGACACCCTGACCTGCAGAGGGCAGATGAGGGGTGGGGAAGGTGACGGAGGGACCAGATAAGCCAGCACGCTGTTCACCTTCACTATGAGAAGCTATAATTTCACCAGGAAAAGCTCCAAAAGGGAAAGAAAACTGGATTTGAACTTGTAGGGGTGAGGGAGCAGGTGCCTTATGAATACGGGACTATCAGTTGGGTCTTTTGGAAAAAGAAGAACTTGGAAATGACATGACCAAGCTCCCATTAATAAAGCAGTTAAAGGCTGTCTTCTTTGTTTCTGATTTCCAGTTAGCTTTTTCTAGAAATAGGCAGGTACTAGGGAAAATGTGGTTTTTTATTTTTATTTTTTTAACTGAATTAAAATAGCCAGAAAAATGTAATGATGTTAGATTGACTTTTTCTCCAGCAGGTTGGCATGGGGATTACTGACACAGCTTAGCTTTATAGTGTGAGAAAAAAATTAAATTCAAGCCTTAACATATGTGTATGCAGGAAGAGAGAGGCCTAGTGGGATATTTGGGTGTTGCCTTGAGACTCATCTGCACTGATGCTGGTTCTCTGTGGGCTTCCTCTTTGCTGGCATTGGGGTTTATTAGTCATTACTTTAGGTCAAGACATTAAACATTGGGTGTCAAGGCAAAGTTGGTATAACAAAAGATAGTGTGGTAACTGCTATTCCCCATCACTACCGTAGCATGAATTGGTTCATAAATCAGCAGGTTGATCACCCACGAGGGCCTCCCAAAAATAGAAATGGGTGTTTAATTTAAATAATGTAATAATCATCGCTAGGTTGGCTAGTGACAGAAACCGTACCCCTATCAGACTAAACAAAGGTGGTGTTATTGGAATAATAATGAGTTGCCTTTTGGGACTCAAAGTAAAGAATGTGCTTTGGCTTCAGGACTTGAAGCCTAGGAGGAGCGCCTTTTTCCCAGGCCTCCCTTCTCCCTCCACTTCTCTGGTTCATTTATCAGGAAACGTGACAGCTGTCAGATTCCAAATTTTACCTCTCACAGTCCAGGAGCACACAGAGATGGTCTGTCATTTTCATTCTCATCTGTAGCTCCAGCCCCAATTGGATCAGGGCCTTACCCTTGGACTTATAAACTCTGAGAATGGGTGGTAATCATCCCTGGAAAAGTATAATTTCCTGGGAATTAAAAGAATGTGCTAGTTTATCCTGAAGAGAAAAAAACTCAGCTCTTGCAGGAAGAAAGAGAAATAGTGGGTGTGTTTGAGGGGAGAGAATTGTGAAATAATTTACGTTCTTTTAACGACAAGTATGAGGGCGGCCAGAGAACGTAGTTCTTCATCCAGGTGGAGAGAAAGGTCTGCGTTAACACTGCATCATACGTGTCCTTCTCTGTCATCCTCAAAATGCACCCTCCCTCTTAGAGTGATAACATCACAGCAGACAGAACAACACAGGGAATTAGAGGAAGCCCCACCAGTGACAGAGTTTAGCCTCACCTTGGACAAAGATCTGAGAAGGGTTTTGGAGGCTTTTTGCTGGTAAAGAAGTAAGTCATGAAGACAAGAAATTTGACTTGTGTATTAAAAGGTTAATTGAGCCCCTGTCCTTCAGAGCTTTGGGATACTGCTAACTGACTCTGGTTAAATTGATGTGCATGATGAATCATTCAGCTCCACATCCACAGCATCTTGCCTGTTCTGTTTGTCCACACTGCCACTTGGAAGGAGCCAGGGAAAAGGAAAGGCAGCTCCTCGCTCTCCTTGTTCCTGACCTGGCAGGCTGGGCTCATATTTCTCTCTCACCCTTGTCATCGCCCTGGAGGCTGGACCTGCAGAAGGGGAAGACAGAGAGTCGGTGGTGACTGACATCTGTCAAAAACCCGCAAAATGCTGGGTGCTGTCAAAGCACTCAGCATGCATGATTTCACCTGACACAAAGATTTTATGACATTGTTATAATTGAAATTGTTCTCAATTTCCAGATGAGAAACTGAGCTGGTGGGAAGTTAAATAACTTGTCCAAGGTCACTCAGCTAATAAGTGATAGAGCCAAAGTGGCTAGATTCTAGAACCTCCTGCAACTATGTTGACCTAATGTGTAAGTGAACACCCCCATTGTGAATGGGGAAACAAGAGTCTGGGTTCTTCTAGTAGGAGGCTGGATTGTGCACCTTCAGAAAACAATGGGGCAGGATGAAGACCAGAGCTGCTGCTGACAGTGGTATAGGTTGCACACTTTCACAATCCATATGGAGAATAATATTTCCCCATTTGCTCAACCTTTATTTCCCCATTTGCATGACCCTGATGGAGACTTTAGCACAATGAGAAAGGGTAGAAGATGTAAAGTTGCTAAATTCAGCCTAAGTCTCAAAATATATGAATGGGAAGAGTTAAATAAAGTGCCAAATGTGAATAAGGGTAGGGAGAACTTAATGAGAAAGGGTGGGGGCATTTCTAACTATGACCTTACACATGGCTATCACAGAGCTTTCCTGAAGTGGCTAGTTCCCATCCAGGGTGACAGACATAGGCCCTTTTGCTAAGCCCTCATGGGTATCCAGAATACTTGACAAGGTGGAGCTCAGGACTGAAATAAGAGATAGTCTAAAAGAAATGTCCTTATAGAGAGGGGAGATGGGGTATGTTATACAGCATGCTGACTTAATTTGGATTCCCCAGCAGGACCTGAGATAAGATGTCAAACACAAGTACTTTATTTGGGAGGCCATCCCAAGAAACAGCAATTAGGAAGTGGGTTTTGCAAGGCACAACAGAGATACAAAATGCATCACCAAGCAATTTACCACCGTGGCCAACTGGAGAATGGTGCCATTGAGAAACTCTGGGAGAAAGTGTAGAACATGAAACTGAAATGTCATCTACAGGAAGGGTGAGGGAGCTGGGATGTTGATCCACCTACTCTCAGCCTAAGCAGCATTAATCCTGGACACTTCTGGTCCACTTCACAAGAGAGCAGATGGGGCTTGTGGTTGGACACTGAGCCAGTGTTCACAGAAATGGTAAGTGCAGAGGGAATAAGGCTGGGACGCTGTCCTGCTAGACCATAGCTGCAGTGCTAGCTTTCTGCGGTCCCACAGCCAGGAAAGCTAAAAGGCTGAGAAGATTGAAATCTCAAGAATAAATTCTGACTTTGCCATGGGAAGTGAGGAAGAAAAAGAGGGATGCTAGGCAGGGGTTTGGGTTTCAGTAAAACCTGTGTAAAACACTGAGAGGAGCAGTGGAATCTATGACTTTCCGTACAAAGCTGTGCGTTAAGTGAAACCCTAAAATAAGCTGAAACTAGTAAAAATGCAAACAACAGCACGAGATACTCTATGAGTAACAGCAAGTGTAAGAAAACCAGGAAGCTGCATGCCCACTGATTGGAATAGATGGAGCTTTTTCAAGGGGTAGCAGAGAAAGCTGGATGTACAGGTCCTATCTGTCTTTTCTGTCACCCACTGGAGAAGGTGGAAGCAAGTTAGAGGGAAAGATGATTGTTATAGGTTTCTATCTCCATATGCAGCATAATGGCAGGAATATTGCTGTTATATGAGGTAACTTTGCAGGTTCTTAAATAAAACTTTGCATTCTTTAAAAAGTTACATTCCTAAATAAACATGAACACTATTCAGATGAGTCGAGGGATGTAAGTATATAATTTACTATTATGAATAGCAGTTTTCTGTTATCTTAACATCGCAACTGTAGTTTTCACCATGGTGGGGGGTGTGGCCTGTGGAGTAAGGTGGCCTGGCTTTAAGTCCAGGTTGTCTTAGTTTCTCTTCTATAAACCTGAGGTTAAAATGAAGGCACCATCTAGGATTACTGTAGGGATTGTAGGGGGTTTTGTTTGATACACAGCATAGCATAGTAAATACATGGTAGGGAAATTATCAATTTTATTTGACAAAGCATCGTGAGCTTTTTGCCTTTTGTAAATATTAATCTTATTTTATCTTGTCAGTATGTGATATATTCTCTCACGCATTGGCAATAAAAAACTCATAAATTTTTTTCAGTTGTTACTTAAAGTAGATTCTCAAACAAGCATTATTTTGGCTCAGATGTAGGTTAGTAAATCAAGATGTTAGAATTTGGCTCTGTGTCCTCACCCAAATCTCACGTTGAATTGTAATCTCCAGTGTTGGAGGGGCCTGGTGGGAGGTGATTGAATCACAGGGACAGACTTCCGCCTTCCAGTTCTCATGATAGTGAGTGAATTCTTAGGAGATCTGGTCATTTAAAAGTGTGTGGCACTTCCCCCTTGCTCGCTCTCTCCTGTCACCACGTGAAGACGCGCCTGCTTCCCCTTTGCCTACTGCCACGACTGTAAGTTTCCTGAGGCCTCCCTAGCAATGCTTCCTGTACAGCCTACAGAATTGTGAATCAATTAAACCTCTTTTCTTCATAAATTACTCAGTCTCAGGTAGTTCTTCATAGCAGTATGAGAACAAACGAATACAGTTACATTTCTAAATAAAAATGAACACTATTCAGGTGAGTCAAGGGGAATATAAATATATAATTTATTATTTTGGATAAGCAATTTTCTGTTGTCTTATCACAGCTGTAGTGTTCACCGTGGTGGGGGGTGTGGCCTGTGGAGTAAGGTGGCCTGGCTTTAAGTCCAGGTTGTCTTAGTTTCTCATCTATAAACCTGAGATTAAAACGTAGGCACCATCTAGGATTACTGTAGGGATTGTAGGGGGTTTGTATGCTAAACAGATAGCATAGCATAGTAAATACATAGTAGGCAAATTATGAAAGTTAATTTTATTTGGCAAAGCATTGTAAGCTTTTTGTCTTTTGTAAAGATTAATCTTATCTCTGATCTATTTTCTCACACATTGGCAAAAAAACCTCTTGTACAGTTTCTTTCAGTCAGTACTAAGTAGATTCTCAAACAAACATCATTTTGGCTCAGATGTGGGTTAATAAATCAAGATATTAGAGTCCGTTCATTTCAGCAAGGTTTTATTCCCCAAAAAAGGGAGAGGGAGCTGTATTGATTGGACAAAAATATTTAAAGGTAGTGAGTTGTGTTAGTCAGTTTGGGCTGCTATAATAAAATACCTTAGGTTGGGTAATTTATTAGCAACAGACATCTATTTCTCACAGTTCTGGAGGCTGTGAAGTCTGATATCAAGGTGCCAGCAGATGCCATGTCTAGTGAAGGGCCTCTGCTTCTTGCATCTCCTGCAGATTATTCTCATGGTGTCCTCACATAGCAGAAGGGGCAAACAGGCTCTCTCACATGTCTTTTACAAAGGCACTAATCCTATTCATGAGGGTTCTGACCTCATGACTTAATCACCTCCCCAAAGGCCTCACCTCCTACTAGTATCCCACTAAAGATTAGGTTCCAACATCCAAATTTTCAGGGAGAAGGGGACACCAACATTTGGATGATAGCACAAGTGGTAGACAAAGCTTGGAAATAGTTATATTGGGAAATGACTTTCTTAATGTTTACACTTCATAATATGCTCTTCTCAGAAAAAAAAAAGCAATGCAATTTTTAGAATTTTTTTTTTCTTTTCGGAGGTGGTGATAAGCTGCTTAAAAATTAGGTGAAAACCTGAGCCCAATTGCTACTTGTGATATGAAGCAAGCTGGCTGTGTTTTGCTTTCCCAGTGCCATTTTCTCACGCATAACAAATTGCTGCATCCTCTGTGTGAGATTTATTAGGAGGTCGGTTTTCCACACGAGCTTCAAGCTTCCATTTCTGAGCAGTGAGGTAACAGTTGTCTAAGGCCAGAATGTGAGCTGCTTGGAAGCCAAATGCTAATGTTTTGGGTTTCTTTTCCCCAGTGATACCTCTTGTCATGTTTGACTATTCTTTTAAAATTTTCCCAGATCTCCACTGGTTTCAGACCCATTAACCATTTTGACTTTGACTATTGCCTAGCAGCAGTCACTTTGCCTGAGTAATTCCACAAAATGAAGTGACACCAGGGCTCAACAAAGTTTTCCTGTAAAGGGCCAGATAGTAAATACGTTATGCTTTGCGGGCTGTTTGGTCTCTGTCCTAACTGCTCACCTCTGTGGCTGTTACACAAAGGCAGCCATAGACAATGCACAAATGAGTTGGCATGGCTGTGTTCCAATAAAACTTTATTCACAAAAACAGATGGAAGGCAAAATTTGGCCCATGGACCATAGTTTGCTGACCTCTGAGTTATATTATTGGTAAAGCCTAGTGGTTTCCACGGAACAATCATTTAGAGTTGTGATTGTTATTTTTATGTGTCAATGTATCCAAGGTATAGTACCCAGTTATTTAATCAAACACAAATCTAGGTGTTGCTGTGAAGGGCATCTTGCAGATGTGTTTAAGATCTATAATCAGGTGACTGTAAGTAAAGGAGATTATCATGAATAATATGTGTGGGCCTCATTTAATCAGTTGAAAGCTTTAAGAGAAAAAAATACAAGGTTTCCCTGGGAAGAAAATAATTCTTCCTCAAGATTGCAATATCCGCTCCTGTCTGAGTTTCCAGCCTGTGGGCTGCCCTGCAAATATCAACTTGCTACCCTCTATGATCATGTGAGCTACTTCCTTAAAATAAATCTCTTTATATACATATCCCATTGGTTCTCTTTCTCAGCAGAACCCTGACCGATATGGAAGCTTTTTTGCCTTATGAATATATCTCACCCTGAAGGCCCAGTCTCCTTTATTGTACTATTTATCTCTACATATTTGCTTGTTTGTTTATTCATCCATCAACCCATGCATTCTTCAATAGTCTTCTCCACCTCAGTAAATGAGCCACCATCCACCCTGCTATGGAAGCCAGAATTCCTAAGGACACCCTGGCCTCCTGTCTATGCCTCTGGGACAGATCTCCTTCCATCTTCCCCTTGTCCATGGCTCTGCCCTATCCAAGCCACCCTCTGTGCAATCCTTTCTCCATAAAGCCCACCTGGAGAGCCTTATATGTAAACGAGGTGTGGTTATTCTTCTGCCTTAGTCCCCTCAATGACTCCCCCATTCACTCAGAATAACATCCAAACTCTTCCTCTTCTGCTGGTCGCTGCACATCTTTCCAGTTGTATTATCAACCACTATTTCCTTCAATGCTCTGCTCCAAGAACTCGGGCCTTCTGGACACATTACTAAAGGCTGCCCTCGTCCTTGCTTCAGGGCCTTGGCTCTTGCTGCTTCCAGTGTTGGGAATATTCCTCCCTGGTTTGGGCAAATCTCGTTCTTTCCCACCAGTTGGATCTCTGTTTTCATGTCACTTGCTTCAGGAGGTCTTTGCTGATGACTCCATGTATCTTGCCATTATTCTCTATCATAGCAGTCCTTATTTTTAAACATTGTAAACATCATAATCTCTATTGTGTTTGTATCTCTCTTGCAATAAAATAAAAACACCATGAAGGCAAGGCCTTGCCTGCCTGGTTCATTGTTTAAACTCCAGAGTTTAGCACAGCGTTAACCATAACTAGCAAATGAATAAGAAAGTGCTGGCTACATGTCAACAACTAAACTAAGTACCATGGTTACCATGATTTGTAAAAGCAGACATGTCCTGCCCACCAGAAGCTTCTGGTCTAGTAGGAAGGACAGCTAGTTATCAAAAAGTGACACAACCACAGGTAAAATGGAAATCATGTAAGTGCTGCAAAAAGACACACATGGAGTACAACATGGGAACTGTGGCCTTTCCAGGGATCCAGGAATACTTTCCAGAAGAATGGGAAGTTGGCTGTATTTGAAAGATGAGTAGCAATTTATTAAGTAAGGAGTGCTGAAGGAATATTTCAGAAAGAGGAAACTGCAGGTGTGCAAATGCCTGGTGGAAGAAGGGAGAGTAGAATGTTGGAGGCATGGGCGGATGGCCACCTAGGAGAAGCTCAGAGAGGGGAATCCGTTGTGATGGTGAGGAAGCCGCTGGGTGGGGGCAGACTCCAGGGGGCCTCATGGGCCATATCAGGATGTCAGTCCCTACCACGAGGGCAACAGAAGACACGAGGAGGAGGCAGCGAAGGGGGTGCCGCGGCTGAGTTTGTGTTCCCTGGAGTCTGGATGCAGCTTGGGGACAGATGCCGGTGGGAGGGAGGCAGGAGTGGAGGCAGAGCAGTCAGTGAGGAGGTTCAGGTGATAGATGACGTTGCTTTGAGTGGAGTGTGGTGGGGAAGGAGGGGAGTTGTCAGGCTAAGAGATAAAGGAGATGAATGTCAGCAGGGCTTGGGCGTGGGCTGGCTGCGAGCAGGTCAGGGAGGGGAGGTGGGTGCTGGTGTGCTCAGCTGGTGGAGGGCATACCTGTCGGTACACACTCATGGGGGACAGCGGATTTCAGTCCACCTATGTGCTATGTATTAGTCTGTTTTCACACTGCTGATAAAGGCATACCTGAAACTGGGTGATTTATAAAGAAAAAGAAGTTTAACAGACTCAAAGTTCCATGAGGCTGGAGAGGCCTCACAATGGCATCCCTTAAATGGCAGCAGACAAGAGAGAATGAGAGCCAAGAGAAAAGGGAAATGCCTTATAAAACTATCAGATCTAATGGGACTTATTCACTACCATGATGACAGTATGGGGGAACTGCCCCATGATTCAATTACCTCCCACTGGGTCCCTCCTACAACACGTGGGAATTATGGGAGCTACAGTATAAATGAGATTTGGGTGGGGACACAGCCAAACCATATCATGCCACTCTTCATGCCCTGGTGTCTCAGTGGGGTGGTGCACCTGCCCCAGCTATCTGTCCTCTTGGAAATGCAGAAGCAGAGACCCCCTAAGTGTCTTTGAGTCCTCAAAAGCCACACATCCTACTGCTGAGCAGCCTCCCTGTGCCTGGGTGCTCTGGGACATGCGATGCCCCAGGCCCCCACTGGATGGTACCTGCACGGGTGTGGCACCTGCACAGGTGTGGCAGCGCCTTTATTTGCTGCTTTGGAGCTACACCTCAAGCACATTTGGTATCAAGCCTTCTATCTATTTCCAAAAGGTTGTCTTGTGAAGATGAGGCTTTTGGGTCCATTTTCTTTTACTCAAAGCCAAGATACTATAGAAATCTCTTCCCTGGACCTACTTGCCAGTTCACTGTGAGGTCTAAGGAGATGTCAATGGTGGAGAAACTGCACCTTTCAAGAAAGAGCCTAAGGTGGAATTTTTCTCTTGCTTCCGTCTGATCCTCCTTTTCATGTTCTCAGTAACATGTGGAATCCATCTGCATCAAAATCATCTTTATATCTTTCGTAAAATTAATACCCAAAGATATATGCATAAGAATGCAATCACCACTATATCCTATGATTTTATGTTGGTGTGTTGTACAGAGTATTTAAAAAATAAAAATGAGCTGGCATTCATATATTTATAAACTCTCAATTTCCTTTCCCAGGACTTCCCTTTTGTGAATTCTTGCCCCCTTTATCTACCATTCCACCAGTCTAACGTTGGGCACAGTCATGTTACACACAGTTATAGGAAAATATCTGTGGATATCACTCTGAAAAGTGAGAAAAAACAGGAAGAAAGCTTAATGCTCAATAAACTGTAACTCAAAACATGATATGCTTTCTACTTCTCAGTGGATGGGTCACTGAGCCGGCCCACATATTGGCAGATACACTTGTTGTTTCTGTCAATTAAGTCGTTGAGGATGAAAGTAAAGGTTGACTTTAAAACAACATTTAAAGGCATGTTTGTGCCTTATTTAAGTGCTGCCTCCGGTTTTACGCGTGCCTGCTTTAAACTAATTGTCTCCATTCAAACAAACCTGCACATTGTGCACATGTACCCTAAAACTTAAAGTATATTTAAAAAAAAGGGTCTTTTGGATTCTGGAAGCTTCTCCACAGCTTGCCAAACACAATTCTGGGCAGGGAGGGCAGTGGTAGCATGTCACCAAGGCGTGTGCCCAAGAATAAATAGGGACCTTAGGTTGGAGGCAGTGTGTCAAATATGGTCATAAGGCAGAAACTAAAAAGAGCCACGAGCAGCAGTGCTACTGACTAATGGGGGAGGCAAGAGCCAGCCTTGTGGAGAGGCCAGATCAACTTGCCCACCAGCCTGACCCAGGACAGACCCTCATTCGTGACTGTCCCATGATGTCAGGGACCATCGTCCTCCCCCATAGAGGCTGCCCCTAGGGGGTGAGAGATGAGGTCCTTCTTTATAGACCCTCCTTTTGCAGTCCCCAAAAACTGCCCCCCTGCTAAGCACACACACACATTGTGGCCAGCCTGGGCTGTGGGTTGGTCAGACTGGGGTCCAACCCAGCTAACCTCTGAGTATGAGTTTTTATAAAATGGGATTAAAGGCGAGGGTGAGAGGGCAAGACAGAGGTGGAAGCACATCTGTGGCACAGCTGGATGCTGGTTTTTCTTCCTGCCTGCTCTTTCTCTCTGAGCCAGAAGATAGCTCAGGCTTTGTCTCCTCAGCAGACGCTGACCAACTCCCTGCCTGCATCAGGGAAGCCTCTTCAGTCCTGAACAAGAGAGCCTATCCTAACTGCGCCGGGCCTCAGTTTTCCCTGCTGAGATCGAGATGCCATGGAATCTTCTTTGGGTCCCAAGGAGCCACTGGTTTCCTCCAAGAATGGAGTGTGTTGAGTCTTGCAAACCCCATGTTCCCAGATCTGCCACTAAGGGCTGGCAAGAGCTCTACTTGCAGACGTGCCACTTGCCCTTGGGTTTCGCTCTCCATTTCTTCAGCTCATCTGGGAAATGGGCTTCTCTATCCCTTACTCCCCTACTTCCCAGCAGCTCTCATCCCCCATGAACTATTTACATCCACATGAAATAGGCCACCCTAGTAGGGCAAGCCTTCTATACATTTGGGTAAATTCATTTTTTGCAAACTTGACTTCTACCAGACTTCCTAAATGAGTCCTGACCCTTTCTCCTACCTTGAATATTTGAAAACACAAGTTACATGGTGGCGGTCTGCCAACAGTGACTGTGTAAAAGACTATTTTGTCTAAAAGCACTTGAATTTCAGGTCGTGAAAACACTGTGTAAATGCAATGTCATATTGGAACTTTGTTCCCTTATTTTTAAAAATGTCTGTTATGAAACCAGTGAAAACTGTGCTAATATCAGATATATTGCATCTTCATTTGTGTATTGCAGGCAATATGGTTGTTATTTGTAGATAATGTAGATAAGTTTAATCTACATTATCTCTGTTGTGCAAGATTTTTTTTTCTATAACTCAACTTTGAGACCCCATTCTATTGGGGTGGTAGAAATGTAGTCTAACAATTTGGGTTTTGCCAACCTTTCTAGGGTTCTATTTAATCTAGGGGGAGGAGACAGGGGCTTGATCTATCCAGTACTTAGTTGTCCCTTCAGAGTTCAGACTCTCCTGTTGCATCTCTGTTCTTTGCTTTCCAGGCTTCATGTGTCTCCATTGTTCCCCATTTCTGTTTGGCTCATCTGTAGATCTGGCGACTGCCCTGCATTCATACCCAAGATGCATTCTACCCCTTCCTACTCATGCTCACTGGGCTTGGGCAACCCCATGAGGCTAAGTGCTTGGATGCTTGGAGTGTTTAGCTAGTCCTGCACCTCACTGGGGCCCTGGGAGCTCTGCAAGGCTGCCTTGGGCCCTCAAGCAAGAAGCCGACCACGCAGACACTTCTACTCTGGCTCTTGCAGCTTCGTTACCATCTACCTGGGGCCAGGTCTCTGCTGTTTCAAGGCTCCAGCTGTCCTGCACTCCTTGTCAGCACCTCTGAGGCTTGGTGTGGGTTGGACACCAGTGCCACCCTTTGCTCAGAGGCCACCTATATCTTAGCTGCTATTATTTTCAATCTGATTTCTCTTCTCTCTCCAGTCTGGGGAATCTCTTTCTTTCCTGGGTGGTAGGAGTTGACAGTCTTTTACTTGGGATCTAGACTTCTGAATCTCCAAAGCATTCTCATGGCTTTCGGCTGTAAGATTACCTGCCTGAGTTGATGAAGTCTACTCTCTTGGTTTCTCAAATAGAGAAGGATAAAATGTCCCAGCAAATATGGAAACATCATGTCAGTTAACTCCGAAAAGTGTTATCTGAGACTAATTATTTTTATTTTCCATTAACTCTGTTTATTCAATGATCACTTTTAAATGTCTGCTTCCTGGTGGAAATGTACTAAGATCTGAGGAACAAAGATGACTATCACATAATACCTCATCTCTTTGAGGCCTAACAATTCAAGGATGGAATGAGGAAGAAATAAACTGTCTACAATATGAAAGGCTTGATCAAGTGTAAATGCAGGTGAGATCACACGCCATCCAAGCATGTGTTTTGTGGGTATGTTTGTGGCTCAGGAACTGCTGTGACTGGAATTTCAAATGACTACTTGTACTACTAATATGAAATGATGGGGTCATATTTCTCAAAGAGGTTGAGCAATACCATGTACACATTCCGTTTTAAACATTGATGATGGGCCCCTCTGTCACTCATGATTTACATGAAAACTCCATCCGTAGGTAAACCAGTGTGAAAACAAGTCTTCTATGGAGAATGCATGGTGCTAATTAGCACTTTCTTATCAAAAGGAAAATGGCTTGGTGAAGCTTTCGTGTTCAGCTTCTCTGTTGAGAAGTCCCAGTTTTAAATTTGGGAAATCCATAAGCCATCATCCTCAGTTGGTGCTAGTGTGTCTGGAATTGGTGGGTTCTTGGTCTCACTGACTTCAAGAATGAAGCCGCGGACCCTCGCGGTAACTATTACAGCTCTTAAGGTGGCGCGTCTGGAGTTTGTTCCTTCTGATGTTTGGATGTGTTCGAAGTTTCTTCCTTCTGGTGGGTTGGTGGTTTCGCTGGCTCAGGAGTGAAGCTATAGACCTTCACAGTGAGTGTTACAGCTCATAAAGGCAGTGTGGACCCAAAGAGTGAGCAGCAGCAAGATTTATTGCAAAGAGTGAAAGAACTAAGCTTCCACAGTGTGGAAGGGGACCCGAGCGGGTTGCCACTGCTGGCTCGGACAACCTGCTTTTATTCTCTTATCTGGCCTCACCCACATCCTGCTGACTGGTAGAGCCCAGTGGTCTGTTTTGACAGGGCGCTGATTGGTGCATTTACAATCCCTGAGCTAGACACAAAGGTTCTCCACCTCCCCACCAGATTAGCTAGATACAGAGTGTCAACACAAAGGTTCTCCAAGTCCCCACCAGAGTAGCTAGATACAGAGTGTCGATTGGTGCATTCACAAACCCTGAGGTAGACACAGAGTGCTGATTGGTGTGTTCACAAACCTTGAGGTAGACACAGAGTGCCAATTGGTGTATTTACAATCCCTGAGCTAGACATAAAGGTTCTCCAAGGCCCCACCAGAGTAGTTAGATACAGGGTGTCGATTGGTGCATTCACAAACCCTGAGCTAGACACAGGGTGCTGATTGGTGTGTTTACAAACCTTGAGCTAGATACAGAGTGCCGATTGGTGTATTTACAATCCCTGAGCTAGACATAAAGGTTCTCCAAGGCCCCACCAGAATAGCTAGATACAGAGTGTCCACTGGTGCATTCACAAACCCTGAGCTAGACACAGGCTGCTGATTGGTGTATTTATAATCCCTTAACTAGACATAAAGGTTCTCCACGTCCCCACCAGACGCAGGAGCCCAGCTGGCTTCACCCAGTGGATCCCGCACTGGAGCTGCAGGTGGAGCTGCCTGCCAGTCCCGTGCCGTGTGCCTGCACTCCTCAGCCCTTGGGTGGTCGGTGGGGCTGGGCGCCGTGGAGCAGGGGGCGGTGCTCGTCGGGGAGGCTGGGGCCGCACAGAAGCCCACGGGGGCGGATGGGGGAGGGGCGGTGCTCAGGCATGGCGGGCTGCAGGTCCCGAGCCCTGCCCCGTGGGGAGGCAGCTAAGGCCTGGCGAGAAATCGAGCGCAGCGCCGGTAGGCCGGCACTGCTGGGGGACCCAGTACACCCTTCACAGCTGCTGGCCCGGGTGCTAAGCCCCTCATTGCCCAGGGCCAGCAGGGCCAGCAGGGCCAGCCGGCTGCTCCAAGTGCGGGGCCTGCCAAGCCCATGCCTACCCAGAACTCCCACTGGCCCACAAGCTCCGCGCGCAGCCCCGGTTCCCGCTCGCGCCTCTCCCTCCACACCTCCCTGCAAGCTGAGGAAGCCGGCTCCGGCCTTGGCCAGCCCAGAAGGGGGCTCCCACAGTGCAGCAGCGGGCTGAAGGGCTCAAGTGCCGCCACAGTGGGAGCCCAAGCAGAGGAGGCGCCCAGAGCGAGCAAGGGCTCGCTGTCACCACTGCCAGCACGCTGTCACCTCTCACTAGGATGCCATCACCTAGTTCACCCCCTTCTCTCAGGAGTCCCCCTCATCACCTGTACACTACGGATTTTAGGCAGCTCGGTGACTCAGGTGGCCCATGTGGCTGCTGGTTACCAAATCACAGAAGCACAGCACCAATGTGTTTCAAATGGGCTGCCCCACAAAATGCCTCCAGTATTTCCAGGGCTTAATGCACACACTTGCATGGTTCTATAATGCTGAATTGACTGATTTAGTCATTGCTTCTGGAAGAATTACATTGCAACCAGGATTTTCTCCTAAATTGTAAAGTCATTTGAGAGAAGTGCCTCCATACCCACTTTCTGACTCTGCTCCCAGTGTCCAGCCAAGTGGGTACACATGAATATGCCCTGAAGCCACACACCAGAGAAGACTTGCTCAAAGCTCTCCCAAGGAAAACTCATATTTGTTGAAGAAATGAAGTCATTCCTGTGCTCCACCTGGCTCTGTGACATCAGAGATTTGTCAGTTATTACCGTAATCTGCACAGGAATAGGATACAATGTGTCTCAGTGGTTTCCTGGAAAATGCTTTATCTTATTGGTAGATTTTCTTAAGGACAACATAAAGACTACATTTGCAGTCCCTACATGGTGGGATAGGATATAAAATGGATTTTTGTCTTGGAAATAACAGTTGGGAGAAAAGTTTATTTTAGCATGTTAAGTATACTATTTATGTTCTATTTCATTGCAAAAGAACAGGGAAAATGACCTTAAAGGATATAATAATTCAACATAGTAAAAAAAAAAAAAAAAAAGAAAGAAACATCTAAGAGAGGCATTTTTAAAAGGCCAAATAAAGATTAAAGGGTCTGAAGTTAAAATAGAGCCAGAAAAAAAGGTTGCCTTGCTGGCCATACAGCCTTGTATGTGGTGGAAGGTGGGCCACAAATATGGTTCTTGGCCTAATGTGGCCGATGGGAAGATGCAAATGAAATCAGCCACAGTTGCATTTCAATAAGGCATGCACTGGTCAGTTTCTCAGGAATTGAAGACTGTTCTTCCTGACACTGAAACATGAGCTGTTCCTTAAGTCTTCACGAAGAAGCCCTTTTGCAAAGTGATCAATGCAATTCTCAACTACATCCCCACATCCCAACAGGAGAAAGACTGAGATGGCTCCATCTTCCACAGGTCATAGGTCACAGGGTCATCCCAAAGGAACAATGAGGAAGAACAAAGAAAGAGCCCTCTGCCTTATTTCGGTGACATTGGGACCAATGTCCAAGCGCTACTCCTTTCTCCCTGGATCCAGTGCAAAGCTCCTCCCAGGACTAAGAGAGCAAAGAGCAGCTGGGAGCCTTGTGCCCGGCAGCACAACTGGTCATCATGCCAGCCAGGTGCATTCACCCCTGATGAGGGTCACTAGCATCACCAGGTGCACCAGAAAGCTGAGAGCCTGCGAGGGCATGGCCAGTGGGGCCAGCTGAGTTGCCAATGGCGGCTCATCCCTGCACCCAAGTGCCCTGGCACACCCCTGCCTCTCCTTGGCAGTGAGGGTGGGCATCTCCCCTCTTCCTGGCACTGCACACCTGGGAGTGATCCTAATGGAAGGAGCCCTGGGAAGGGGGAGTGTTTGTCAGATATTGTCCATGACTGGCCAGTCATGGGGAACAGGTGTGGCAGGAGTTGAGGAGTTGAGAGGAGTTGGCCTCATCTCTTCAAATTTATTGTCTTCTCTTTATAAAAATGTGCTGTTGGGCCCATGCAACACAATGTGAAGACAGGTAATAAGCTTTTGCCCCGCAGTCCACAATTATCAGTGCACTCTCCCCTCGGGAAAAGACTAGAAGCCCACGATAATGAAGTGGTAGAATCTAGGCACCTTAGCTATAGACCTTGGCTGCATTTTGACAGAGAACAGGCCCAGTCTTCATGGCAACAACAGAGAACCACCAAAACTCTTCCCAAGATTTAAGAAATTGAAAAATGTCAATCCATCTGCAAGCTGGATTAGCAAGCTGGGAACCCCGGGAACAGCAGATGGTGACAAGCTCCCAAATGCCAATATGACCCTAGACTGAAATATTTCTGTGCTCGCTCTCCATCTCCATCCTGCTTTCACTCTATCCATCTGCTTTAGAGGCAGGTTGCCCACTCAAGAATTAGGCACAATCTTTGAGGCAGGGTGTTTGTCATGCAGCAGAGGCTTCTTAGTGGTAAGCTCCTCTGTCTGACCATTTCACAGCCTAAATGACCACTTCCATGTAAGCAGTAAGGGCAAAGCAGAGCCGATGGCAGCCGTCTAGGGCTTCATCTGGAGTGATGGTGCCAGGCATATTCCAAGCCCAATTATTCAGCCTTGGCAACAGTATGGGTTGTGAATATGCTTGCTCAAGTGTTTTGAACATTCTAAATACCAGGAGGTATTTTTCTGTAGTAAGCTGAGATGGCTGTGTGAGGGATCAGTAATGCAGAAAATAGCTCAGGCAATGGAAAGGAGGAAGATAACATAGCTACTGAATACAAGTAAAAAGAATATGGAGATCTAAACTTTTGCTTTGCAAGTTGAGACTGACCCACAATGCTGAAGCTTAGCATTTCACTTTCTAAGAATAATACTCCACAACAACCCCTGCTCCAAAGGACATGGAAAGAGAACATTTTGTCTCCAAAGAGATCCATTGGGTTTCTCCAGAAACCAGCAAATTTAACCTTTCCATTTTACGTAGATTACATCTAAACTTCCAGATAGTGTTAGTACAATGTAGATTTATCAGTTATCTATTGGTATGTAAAAAATTACCTTAACTTAGTAGCTTAAAATGACAGCATTTATTATTTCACTGTGTCTATGGGTCAGGAATCTGGGCACAGTTAAGTTGGGTGCAGAAGCTCTGAGTCTTTCATGAGGTTGCAGTCAGAGACATGGTGGCCTCAGGGGTCCCCTGTGGGGGGTCCTCTTGGCAGCGGTTCCTCCTGGGCTGTTGGATTGAGGGCCTCAGGTCCTTACCAGCTGTTGGCCAGAGACCATCATCATCATCAGTTCCTTTACCCTTAGGTTTACAAAATGGCAGCTTGCTCCATCAGAGTGAGCAAGTAAGAAGAGAGAGAGAGAGATTAATAAGGAAGAGTCTTTTAAAACATCTTCTCAGAAGTAGCAAGTTAAGTTACTGGTCTGGCCACCTATAAGGAGGTAGGGTTTCTTGGGAACTATGTTAGAAGCTGCCTGGAACAGAAGTTAGTCAATATTTGACTGTTGACTATTACTATTGCTTATTAGGTTTTATTTTGGATAAGTTGAAGGTAGTATAGTAGAAAAAGTAGATATTTTTGGAAAATACATGAAATTTTATTGAAATGAAATATTGAGCCTATTTCATAAATAATACTCAAATAATATCATATTTGCTTTTCCTTTAATTTCCTACTTTCCAATTACCCAAAGTAAGAGAAATCCTCTAAGCAGTTAAACTGTCAATTAATTTGCAATATTCAATATCACTTGCAGTTGTCAACTAAAAATGTCCAAAAATATATTTGTCACAATCCAGTAACACATTTGTAGGAGGTGAGCTAGGAAGAGAAAAAAGTCCAGCAATGCTGCAAATGATGATGATGATAACACCTTTAAAAGGTTCTATTCATTCAGCGCCTACTGTGGGTTAGTCAGGACACCAGGGACTTTCACACAGGCTTTTGTTTCACTCTTATATAATGCTGTGACTTAGGATTGGCCATACTTCCCAGATGAAGAGTTGACCCTTGGGAGAGTTAAGATCAAAGCTGGCTAGCAGCACCGGGGAACACCCACCTGACTCCAGATCCTGTAGCTTGAAGTGTCATGCTCCATGTTTCTGGTTTCAGAATGTACTTTCATATACCACTTTCTTCTGGACCATTTTAAAGGGATCAAATGCATGTAAAAATGTAAGCAGCCTTCATGCCACACATAGTAACTTCACAAGAACCCTCAAAGATAGACTATGGAGAGCCCCTTTGCCCTTTGCTGGCATGTGCTTTGCTCCTAGCCTGTCAGAGAATTTTTGCCAAAAAAAAGGCTTGATCAGCTATCTATTTATATAGGTAAGCAGGTTGCACATGGGCAAGGGAAACCTCGCGTCTCGCAGTTCTTAGCTACTGCCCTGCAGCAGGCAGGGTGGGCGCTGCAGCAGCCCTAGTGGAACAGCACATCATGTTCTAGATTTTCCAGCATTGCAGCAGCTGAGGCATCTGTCTAATGGAATGTGACAAGAGAAATGGGCACAGCAGCCCTCCAAGTGCAGCATGGCACTCCTGGGGCTCCCTGGAAAATGCTAGGGTGGAAAGAAAATCTGGAAACCTTCGAGATGCAGAGGTTTTAAAATTCCTCACTGAGTGAATCTTCAAGGTAGACTGCTTCTCTCTGCTCCTTCCCTCTCATCTGTCCTTGTTGATGCCCCACCTTGAGGAACTCTGCTCTCCGTAGCTCATCCTTTCCTGCCAGGGAAGGTTGAAACAGTTTCCAAGTCAGTTCATACATTCCTACTGCAGACAGGTGCAGTTCCCCACCCTTTCCTGCAGTCACTCTCTTTCTCGTCAGACTCTTAATCCTTCCAGCCTGAGATGGAGCAGACTTCGCTTCCCCTTGGCGTTAGGCTTGACTGTGTGATTTTCTTTGGCCTAAGGAATGTGGGTTGAAATGACAGTGGGTCAGTCCTGGCCTTAGGCCTTCAGAGGTACATTCCACATTTCCGTTTGCTCTCTTGCTTCCTGCCATTGCCATGAGAAGATGTCCCAACTTGCCCACCATTCCACAGAGGGTGAGAAACTCACTGAGTAGATGTGAGCCCACCCTGTGGCTTAAAGCCATGCCCAGGAAAGCCCAGCCCAGACTAGCCAAATTCTACAACCCGCAGATCCACGAGAGTAAGTGCTTTTTGTTGAATGCTACAGAGATTTTTGTGGTTGGTTGGCATACAGCAAGAGCTAAATAATATACTAATCAATTTTTAATAATCAACTATTTAACTGCCTCTCCAGTTTGGGGTATTTGGAGCCATAAAAATGGAAGAATATTCTTAGGGAAATGTTGAGTAAGATGAGATCTAAATAAGGAATCTTAGGAAACTCACATTTAAAAGGTGAGTAGAGGAAGAAAAAGAAAGAAAGGAAAGCCAAAGAGGAGTGGTCATGAAGGCAAGAAAAGAAAATAGCATAGAGGGGTAGTTTGTTTTTGTTTTTGTTTTTTTTTTTTTTTTTTTTGAATCGGAATCTTCGCTCTGTCGCCCAGGCTGGAGTGCAGTGGTGCGATCTCGGCTCACTGCAAGCTCCGCCTCCCAGGTTGACGCCATTCTCCTGCCTCAGCCTCCTGAGTAGCTGGTACTACAGGCGCCCGCCACCACGCCCGGCTAATTTTTTTTGTATTTTTAGTAGAGACGGGGTTTCACCGTGGTCTCGATTTCCTGACCTCGTGATCCGCCCGCCTCGGCCTCCCAAAGTGCTGGGATTACAGGCGTGAGCCACCGCGCCCGGCCAGAAGTGTAGCTTTTTAAGCAGCAGCAGGAAGCCAGAAGAGTCCAGTGCTGCCACTGACTCAAGCAAGATGAATAATTAAAAAAGTCCTGTTGGATGTCCCATTTAAGGAAGCACTGGGGCCTTTTGCCAGAATAGTTTTCAGTGGAAGAGTGGAGACCCAGGCTTGGTAACAGTGAATTGCAGGGTAGACAAAAGCGAGGAAGTGGGGAGAGTGAAGAGTGAAACAAGTATTGCTTCTAGGTTTTTTGTTAAAACAAATTTTACATCTCCGAAGGTTGCAAAACCAAAAATAGTACAAAGAACATCCTTACAGTCTTTACCCAGAATCACTTGTTTTTAACCCATTTGATTTATCATTTATGTTCTCTCAATCTCTCTCTCTTTCTCTGTGTACACACACACACATACACAATTTTTTTCGAATCATTTGCAGATAAGTTATGTGTATCATGGTCCTTCCTACTAAATACTTCAGTGTGTATTTCCTAAAAGTAGAAAAATATCTTTTATTAATATAACCACATACACTAATGATGTTACACTATTGATTTACACACACATTGATGCAATACCTTTAACTAATCCACTGCCCATATTCTAATTTTGTCAGTTAACATAATAATTAATATCCTTTGTAACACTTTTTCTCCAGTACAGGGTTCAGTTCAGAATTGGGCATGGCATTTAGTTGTCATGACTCTTTAGCCTACTTTAATCTAGAACAATTCCATGATTTTTCTTTGCCTTTTAAGACATTGATTTTTTTTTTTAATACAGTAGCCCCTTCACTTTTTAAACAGAATGCTCCCTATTTTATGCTTGACTGAAGCTTCCTTGTGATTGGGTTGAGGTGTGTTATCGGCCATCCCACTGCATAGAAGATACTGTGTCCTCTGTCATCCCTTCTGGAAGCACATACTATGTCCTTCACATGGGTGGTGTAATTTTGACCACCTGGTCAAAAATGTTGCCTCCTTTTCCACTAACTGCCTGATTTGATTTGTTTTGTTTTGTTTTGTTTTGTAGAGATGAGGGTGTCTGTGTTGCTCAGGCTGGTCTTAAACTCCTGGCCTCAAGCAGTCTTCCTGTCTTTGCCTCTCAAAGTGTTGGGATTACAGGTGTGAGCCACTGCACCCAGCCTCTTGGTGCACTTTTATTATAAACAAAATTGAGCATCTTTTCATATGGTTCTAGGCCATGTATCTGTTTCTTTTAATGAATAGTTTTTCATGTGTTTGCCCATTTTTCTGTAGGACTTTTGGTTTTTGATCCTTGATTTTGCAAAGTGCCTTGTACATTAGTGACATTAATTCTTCTATTTGCAATGTATGTTGCAAATTTTTCTTCCATTTTGTCATTTAAAAATTTACTTATGGTGGCTGGGCGCAGTGGCTCACGCCTGTAATCCCAACACTTTGGGAGGCCAAGGTGGGCAGATCACAAGGTCAGGAGATCAAGACGATCCTGGCCAACACGGCGAAACACCGTCTCTACTAAAAATACAAAAAAAAAAAAAAAAATTGCTGGGCATGGTGGCGTGTGCCTGTGGTCCCAGCTACTCAGGAAGCTTAGGCAGGAGAATTGCTTGAACCCGGGAGGCAGAGGTTGCAGTGAGCCGAGATCAAGCCACTGCACTCCAGCGTGGCAACAGAGTGAGACTCCATCTAAAATAAAAAATAAAATAAAAAGAAATTTACTAATGGTGTAGTTATTCCATACAACCTTTTTTAAAATTTTAATTTATGCAAACAAACATATTAGTATTTTATTGCATTTAAATTTTAAGTCAGACCTAGCCTTTTACTATATACATAGGTTGTAGAAGAATTTATTTTTTTCTAGTATATGTCCTTTTATTTTTACATTTACATTTCTGATTCATTCAGAGTTCATTCTTATGTAGGGTTTGACGGATGGATCTACTTTTATGTTTTTCCAAATGGAAATTCTTTTTTTTCATCTTTTCCTTGACATTTTATTGTTTCTTTGATGTCAGTCTATTCATGTGCCAGTGCCACTCTGTTTTAATTGTGGGAAGTCTATATTATGTTTTAACATCTGGTAGCGGTATTATCCCTTTCTCACCCCCACCAAGTTATTCCTTTTTGATGTGTTCCTAGATATTCTTGTGTGTTGTTTTCTAATGTGTCTGTCTCCATTAAAAAGCTCCTTAGAATTTTTGTTGGTCTTGCACTACATTTATAAATTAGGGAGAACTGACATCTTGATAACACCGAGACCTCCAAATCAAGAGCAAGGGGTCTCTCCACTTATTCTAGTTTACTGTTGTGTTTCTGCAGGCTCCTTATTCCCCCTTCTTAAGTCCTTCTTTCCCGTCTCTGTCTCATCTCCAAGGAACATCAGATCTTTTCTTTAGATCTGATTATCCCCCACAAGTAGTATGTTCTGAGGCCACCCCTTCTGGCCCCACCCACTCTCCAGTGCCTTCCTATGCATCTCCAAGTCCTGACTGGTATTGGGTTGTTTTGCATTGTCTATTTCATTTCCTCTTTCTAGGGTGAGTTTGTGCTTCCTCGTGGCCCTCTGCTCCCTCTGTTTATTTTCTTAGCTCTTTTCTGCTTCCCTCTCTGCTCTCTGCATCCACAGGCTCTTAGCAGCTATGAGTAGGTGGTGAGAGTTCTGTTGGAATTTGTTACTTTCAGGCAATTTGAAGGTTGCAGTGTTCTCTGTTGTCTGGTCATGCTGAAGGCATGAGTCCTGTGTGGTTTTATCTGTCTTCCGTATCGATCGTATGGCTGGTTTGGTAGGCAGGCTGAGACTCAGAATTAGCTCACCCTCGTCTTCTAAACCCTGAGGACCATATTTTAACAAGCTTGACTTCTAGGTAAATCCAGAGCTGGATTTCAAGTCAAAAGTTGTCATTTTTTCCCCTTCAGAGAAAGACTTATGCATGATCATAGATTACAGTACAAAGAGAAGGTACAAATTCAGCTTATGAGGAATTCTGTACCCCTAGAGAAAAGGGCTTGTTTGGAGAAATTTTGAGAGCAGAAATGGGGGAACTCATTAGTCTAGGTTTGGGTGATTATGAGAAAAAGAGGTTTGGAAGTAACTGTAAGCATATATATATATATATATAATATATGTACTGTTTACAGACTTGGTAGAATCTGGATTGGCTGAAATCGATTGTTGTCTCTGGGTTTTGTCCCACTATATTGTTGTAGGACTTTCTCCTTAGTTAGCTAAAAGCAGGGTCCTTGTCACACAACCATGAAAAATTAGGCTCAGAGACACTTTGAAGGGTGAGAAAAGCAGGGTTTATTGGGTGAAAAGGGAAAAAAGGGAAACAGGGACTCTCAGCAAAACCAGAGTCCTGCTAGCTGGCTTCCTGCCTCACAGATTGAATCCCAGTTTCCCCACCCCAGAACAAGAGAGGCCAGGCTCCTCCCTGCTGCAAAATGGCACAGACTTCCCGAGGCTCCTCCCCAGCGCACATTCCTCCCAGTGACCAGGCTGGTTGAAGTTTCTCCAGGGACCTCTTTACACTTGCCTGTCTCAATACTAGAATAATTTGGGTACCTAAGTCACATTGTATTGAAGCCAATGTGATAGCCACAAAGAGATGGAGCAGAGGAGCTAGAGAGTCCTCTCTCCACCTTCCACGCCTTGGTAATTGGCAGTAAAAGAGTATGTGTCACTCCATTTGGAGGCTCCGAAATAACATAATCGTATGTAGCTGGTTTTTTGTGGCCTCTGAAGGCTGAAGTATATAAACAGGAAATGGCTTTACTTTTCTCCCACTTATATTTCAATCTTGCTCTGTTGGCTTTCCCTTCCCTGCTCACTGAAGGCATCTCAGGGAGATTCGTTCATAGCCTTCTTGATGCTCTGGCTCAGTTTGTAAGAGGAGATTCACTGTCAGGTATTAACAATCTAGGTAGAGGGAAAGCTTCAGTCTCCCATCCAGTTCAAAGCTCTTCTGTTCCCTGGCTTGGGGTCTCCTTCCTTCTCCTCACCTCTCTAGGGCAGGGGTTGGGGGAAAACAGACTGGAGGAAAGAGGACAAGTCTCCTGTACATGAGGCTGTTGAAACCCACCTGTCCTGTCCCCTATGCATGTGGCTGGTCCCCAAAGCTGGCACTCCCTTGGGAGCACCTTTGTGGTTGCCTAGTGGCCCCGCAGAAGCCTCTCCAAATAAATCAATAAGCTGTATGGAGGGCCTTTTGCAGTTCTCCTCTGTTGTTGCTTCCAATGGCCTCATACCCACAGCCTCCTGGTGCTGGGAGCCCTCAGTCCAGCAGGCTGCCCAATTGGGTGGGTGCTTTCAAACTGTGAGGTTCAACCACCTGCTGTAGCATCCCCAAGTGCATCCTCGGTCCCTGGCTTTTATGGTGCACTGCTCCTGCCAGTTTCCCATCTTCAGAATTATTCAGAATAGGAGAGGCAGCAGTCTCTGCTTCCATATGCCCCAAATTCCTAGACACACACACACGTTTAGTTCTTTCAGGAGCTCCCTTTACACTTTGTTCAGTCTGTAGTGCACTGGCTGTGCTGGGGAGCAAGGTGCCAATCTCTCCCTCTTGAAGTGTGTGTAGTTTCTTTTGACATATCTTCCTGGAGTCCCCTTTCCTTAGCTTGAAAGAGTGGACGAGCACCCTAGTTCCCTCTCTCATGATGGAGGGAGAATCCACATCAATTCCCCATTGGCTGACAAATTGGCACATCCTGTTTAATGAGCTTTATTTACATATGTGTAGGTGTGTATATAGATACTGTATGTACATATGCACACATAATATAGGTGTATATACATGCAAGTTGCATGTTGCACACATATTGCATGTATCATGCTAGACACAGAGTTCTGTTTCTAGATTGGCTCTTCGATCTTTCAGAAGTGCTGGGAAATGTGTTCAGCACTTTCCTTTGGAACATGAAAGGCTTTTCTTCCATTCTCAATTTAAAGCTTCAGCCAGAATCCCGAACCAGCAGGAATAGTGTCAGCCATATTCTATTACAAACACTTTCTTTTGTTTTTTGTCATCTCTTATGTGCCAATCCCTATTCCAGATAGTTTAATTTATTGTTTCTGATTTTCATATTGATCCTCCAAAGAGAATTTTATGGACCTCCTTTACAGAGCAGAGTACTGCAGGTCAGAGAGGCAAAACATCTTGCCCAAGATCACACATCTGGTGAAGCCGGCCCTGGATATGGTGTAGCACTGGCTGATGACAAAGCCTGCGTTCTGTGCTTCATCACAGCCTCAGATGGTTAGATAACAACATCAGATGCATCTGTTAAACTAAAACAGACTTGGTTCTCCCAAAAGTACTGATTACAAAGTTCAGCTGGGACATTGTGTTTGTTATCATGAACGCTGATGTGGATAACACTATATTCCCTGGAAATGATGGCGATATTATCTACATCCCATTTACAGATGCAATACCAAGTAAAGACTGCAAATGACTGTGCCACAGGGAGGAAAAGCAGTCAACCTGTCTTTAGGGACCTGTTCAAATTTCTGGTGTCTCAGTGGATGTTGATTTCTGACATAAAGCCATTTGTGCACATGAGGAAGATACTGTAGGAGGCATTTGGTGAGTGCTGCAGGCAAGGCTTTCTGCTAGGTGAGAAAATGTGTTCCAGTGTGTAGGACTGTCATCCAATGGCAAAACTAGCCACTGCCATTACATTTATATAATGACATGAAGATATTACTCTATTGGCATTACATAAAATAATTTTAAATAAACAATATGCTTATAATAGAGGTACAAAAGGAATTCTCCTTGCTGAGTTTTTTAATTGTTCTACTTTCTTTGTAGCTGTGAGCCAGTGTTTGGTCTTTAGCTGAAACAGACATTTAGCCATAAACCACCAACCAGAAAGATCGTAAGTGATCAATTTCTCCTGTTATTTTAACTCCCTTGTCTCTCCTAACTGCACCACGTGCATTTTTCCTCACTGACCTTCCAACACATTCCCAGCTTTCATGAGCTTTGTACTTCAGTTATTAAACTACAAAAGAAATGGAGCCAAAAGACTGAAATATATTTCTCAGAAATACAGCTGTGCTAGCAACAGGCACCGCATGTGAAGTATGTCTCTTATCCCACTTCTCCTCATCACATTTCAGCAAATAAATCCTACTCTCTGTGGAACAATTTTGGTGTTAGCACAAAGTAATTCAAAGCAGTGGGGGGTGGGAGTCGCATAATTATGACCAGCAGAAGACGCATTTGCAAAAGCTGTGCCTGAAATGATTTAGTTAGGAAAAAGCTTTGCCAGAAGCCCAGAAAATCCTTCTGTTTCCCCCTAAATTACAAAGCATTTATTCTATTCTATGGTGATTTACATGGTAATTCTGTAAAACTACTTTTGTCTAAGATTATTATGTTTGTCCTCCTCAGTAATAACACGTTGGGATTCATCCGTTTATTTATTCATTCATTTGACAGAATAAGACACGGTTCCTCTTCTGGTGGGCCACATAAAGGAAGTTGTCATGTTCCAACTTAATGTGTGGGTTGAGAGGGATCTGCACAAACGAGCGTCATCGGGGAGAAAAATATATCCCAGTCTGCGTGGTCACGGGGAGCTTCCTGGGCAAGGTGACAGTTGGACTGAGTTAAAGGAGAATGCATTGCTGGGGGGATGGGAGGGCAAGATGTCCTGGTGGAAGGGGGTGGCATGACCAGGGCCAAGTGCATGACCAAGGACATGGAGGATAGAAGGTGGTGGTGTGAGGAAGGTGGGAGGGTGGGTATATTAGTTAGGGTTCTCCAAAGATACAGAAAGATCTGTCTTTCCCACTTGTTCTGTATCTTTGTTCCACATCTTTGGAGAACCCTAACTAATATACCCACCCTCCCACATTCCTTTCATACATACACACACCCATCTGTATGTGTGTAATAAATGGAGGAAGGAGAGAGAGAGACAGCGCACGTGCTAGACACATTTATTTACTTTAAAGAGTTGACTCACATGATGTGCGTGCTGAACAAAATCTGTTGGACAAGCCAGCAGGCTGGAAATTCAGGTATGAGTTGGTGTTGTAGTCTGGAGTCTGAATTCCACATGGCAGGCCAGGCAAGCTGGAAACTCAGGCAGGCTTTCTGTATTGCAGTTTTGAGGCTGAATTCCTTCGTCTATAGAAGCCTCAATCTTCGCTCTTAAGACTGTCAACTGATTAGATGAGTCCCACCTACAAGATGGAAGATAATCTGCTTTAGTAAATTCCACCAATTTAAATGTTAATCACATCTAAAAATTACCTTCACAGCAACATCTAGACTGGTGTTTGACCAAACTACTGGGCACCATACCCCAGCCAAGTCAGCATATAATGTGAACCATCACAGTGGGAGACATGTCACAAAGTGGTAAGACAGCAAGAATTGGTGGTCTGGGCTGGATTCCAGAGAACCTGGACTGTGCCTATGAAGCACCACTGCCCTGTAGACCTGGGATAATAAACACTGATGCCTAAAGGGACCAGGCAGGTAAGATAAATGAGTGAACTGAGACCTGCTTATAGTTGTTAGACACTTTGTTTACATGTTAAAAGATGAAAATATTCTCTAACAAAGAAAGATGTTACCCCACTTTCTATTCCCTCCCTCCCTCCCTCCCTCCCTCCCTCCCTTCCTTCCTTCCTTCTCTCTTTCTCTCTTTTGTTGTGGTGAAAAAAAAAAAACGTTGAACATAAGGCTGGGCACAGTGGCTCATGCCTGTAATCCCAGCACTTCAGGAGGCCGAGGTGGGTGCATCGCCTGAGGTCAGGAGTTCGAGACCAGCCTGGCCAACATGACGAAACCCCAACTCTACTAAAAAAATACAAAAAATTAGCCAGGTGTGGTAGCAGGTGCCTGTAATCCCAGCTACTCAGGAGGCTGAGGTGGGAGAATCTCTAAAACCTGGGAGGTAGAGTTTGCAGCGAGATTGCACCACTGCGCTCCAGCCTGGGCCACAGAGTGAGACTCCATTTCAGAAAATAAATAAATAAATAAAT
This sequence comes from Homo sapiens, assembly GCF_000001405.40. Classification (NCBI taxonomy): domain Eukaryota; kingdom Metazoa; phylum Chordata; class Mammalia; order Primates; family Hominidae; genus Homo; species Homo sapiens. Next base: position 9,711,662 of record NC_000005.10, on the reverse strand, counting down.
ACAACATGAAGTCTGTTCTCTTATCAAATTCTTAAGTATACAATATAGTATTGTAAACTATAAGCACACTGTTGTGCAGCAGATCTCTGGAACTTTTTCTCTTGCGTGACTGAAACTCTAGACCTATCGAACACCTCCCCGTTTCCACCTCCCACCAGCCCCTGGCATCCACCATTCTACTCTGTGCTTCTGTGAGTTTGACTACTTTAGATACCTCATATAACTGAAATCATGCAGTATTTGTCCTTCTGTGATGACTTATTTCGTTTAGTAAAATGTCCTCGAAGTTCATCTGTGTTGTAGCATATTACAGGATTCAGTTCTTTGTAAGGCTGAATAATATTCCATTGTATGGATATACTGTATTTTCTTTATCCACTCACCCATCAATGGACATTTCAGTTGTTTCCACCTCTTGGTTATTGTGAATAATGCTGCGGTGAACATGGGAGTGCAGGTATCTCTTTGAGATCCTGATTTCAGTTCTTTTAGATAAATACTCAGAAGTGGGATTGCTGGATTCCGCTTGGTCATTCTATTTTGAATTTTTTGATGATCTCCATAGTGTTTTTCATAGAGGCTGCATCATTTTACATTTTACATTCCCATCAACAATGCACAAGGGTTTCTATTCTCCGCATTCTGACACTTATTTTCTGTTTTTTAAATATATATAAATATATATCATAAATTATATATAAATATAATTATATATTATATATAATATATTATATATATAATATATATAATCTGGTTATATATATATGTGTGTGTGTGTGTATGCATATATATATAATGACCATCCTAACAGGTGTGGGGTGCTATCTCATTGTGGTTTTGATTTGCATTGCCTTAATAATTAATGATGTTGAGCATCTTTTCATATACTTATTGGCCATTTGTATGTATTCTTTGGAGGAATATTTATTGCAATCCATTGCAAATTTTTTAATCAGGTCATTTGTGGATTGTTTTTGTTTTGTTTTTGGCTATTGAATTGAGTTCCTTATATATTTTAGATATTAGCCTCTTATCAGATGTATGATTTGCAAATATTTTCTCCCATTCTATAGGTTACCTTCTTTCTCTGTTGACTGTTTCCTTAGGTGTGCGGAAACCTTTTCTAGCTTTTTATTTACTAGAGATATTTCAGTCTATCTTTTGTTTGCCCATTTTTGGTAGGGGCAAAGGTTCACAAAACTATGTCTCAGACATAACTAAAGTAATGGTTCATGCAGGGATCAAAAAGTGGCAACTATGACATGTCCTCACTACTATTGGGGGAATTAGAGTGGAGGGCACTCAATGAATTGGAGAGCATACTCTTTGTAAAGGAGACAGCCAATCCTCTGGCCCAGGCCTTGGGTGAGTGGAGGGCACTCGATAAGTTGGAGAGCATACTCTTTGTAAAGGAGACAGCCAATCCTCTCAGTGAGTTGGAGTGCATGCTCTCATAAAGAAGACAGGCAATCCTTTGGCCCAGGCCTTTGGTAGTTGGAAGGCATGCTCTTTGTAAAGGAGACAGCCAATCCTCTGGCCAAGGCCTTGGGTGTTCTGTGGAAATGTGGACCTGGTTGGCAAGATGTTATGATGTCTATTTAACATCTCCCAATTTTGAAACATCAGTTCAAAATATTTCAAAAGACTCCGTGGACCAAAACTCACCTACTGGCAATGCCAGGTCCTCTGCTGTAAGTGGTAGAGACCATTTATGGGTTTTAACCAAGACAGTTTCACAGTAAGTGAATTCATTATCTATCACTGCATAATAAATCACCCCCAAATTTAGTGACTTAAAATAACAAACACTTATTATCTCACATTTTCTATGGGTAAGGAATTAGGGAGCAGATTAGCTGGGTGTTTCCAGCTTCGAGCTTCTCATGAGGTGTTAGTCACAATGTTAGCTGAGGGCTTGACTTGGGTGGGGATTCACCTCCAAGATCACTTGTGCAGCTGTTGGCAAGAGGCATCCATCTTTGCTCTGTGGATCTCTCCAGAGAGTGGCTGAGTATCCTCAAAATGTGGCAGTGGCTGTCCTCAGAGAAGGGATGAGAGAGACCAAGACGGAAGCCACAGTGTCTTTTATCATCTAACCTCAGAAACAAAATCCCACCACTTCTGCCATGTTCTTTTGGCCACACCCAACCAGTGGGAGGGGACTTCATAAGGGTATAAATGCAAGGAGGCAGGAGTCATGGGGGCTTCTTGAAGACTGGCCACCTTACTGAGTACTGGAGTAGCATTGGTATGGAGGGTAGATTTGAGGCAGGGACCTTTTAGGAGGATATTGGTTCAGTAGAATGATGATTTGGGGAATGCAGCAATTAGAAAGAAGAGAAAGAAACTGAACTGGCAGTTACTTAAAAATCAGCGAGGCCCTATAATTGAAACAATGACCCACTTCTAGCCAATGAGTGAGTCTGTGGAAGGTATTTCTGGAAAGGGTTTTCTTTTCTTTTTTTTTTTTTTTTCTACTTTAAGTTCTAGGATACATGTGCGGAATGTGCAGGTTTGTTATGTAGGTATACATGTGCCATGGTGGTTTGCTGCACCCATCAACCCATCATCTGGGTTTTAAGCCCCACATGCATTAGATATTTGTCCTAATGCTCTCCCTCCATGGAAGAAAGAGCTAAAGGATAAAGGCACTCTCACTTCCCTGGTTTCTTCGTGAGTTTCTTGCTTTTGAATATAACTGTGTGGGAGCATGGTGCCTGGAGCTGTGGCAGCTATTTTGTGACAGTGAGGTAAGAAATTATTATGCTTGATGTGGCTGAGTTGGGGAACAGACAGAGCCTGGGTGTTTGGAGATACTGCTGAGCCACCAATCAACCCTAGAACTTTTTGTTACATAGCAATAAATGTCGAGAGTTTAAGTCAGCACAGGTTGGGCATTCCATGACTTTCTCCGGAAAGCATTTCTGACATACACAGGAGAGAGAAAGGCCTTATCTCCAAACCCCAAGATTTAATGATTGAATGCTGGGTGAGATAAAAACTATGAAAGGAAGAGGGCGTAAACCCAGGTAGCAGTCATGAGGACTGAAAAGAAAAAAAAAAAGAGACCATTTGTTTCTGTTTTGTGATAAAGCTTCCATATAAATAGTATGTGACAGACGCTGGTGGAGCTTTTAATCAATGTATGCAAAAGTCAGACTGTGTAAAAGGAGAGACAAAAATCCATTGCCTTATGACATGATTATATTAATTTTCTTTTACTCCCTTTATATGTATTTCTTTATATGGTAAATGGCCCTTGAAGAAAATGGTATCTCCGTTTTTGTAGAAGAAAACCATGTAGGAGAGATGAAAATTAAGTGAACAAAATTGAATCTGCTCTGCGGCACAGCACCTCAAGGATTCTTACTTGAGAACCAAAAGAAAGTGACAGTCTGTGGCCGAACAGGGCCTGCCATCGCTAGGATACGCTCCCTCTGATTTAAGCTGAGTAGCCTGAAAACCTCAGAGCATCTGGTGGTCAGTTAATTTCATTTGAAGAATATTCTACGGGCCCTTCTTTTTTTCCTCTTTGGACTTTGAAGTTTGTTTCATTTTCCTCGGCTGCCTTCAAATGCTGATCTATGCGGCCAGGAGCTTGCGCCGTAAAGACAGAATATTCATAGTTGAGTCCTTTCTGTCTCCTCACTTTCATTAAACGCTAGAGATAAAGCTTCACACTGAGACCCATGAGTCAGCTCATCCAGAAACTCTGGTGAGAAGAAGCTCCAGGCAGAGAGTGGCATGTGTTTGCAGGGAGAGGCTGTGAGCAAAGTGTTGTTCTAGCCAGTGAGTGACACAGGGGCATCTGCAGGGTCTTTGCAGCTCCTGCACAGTAGTTAGCCTCAGTTATTTCGCACCACCTCCCTCCCTGAGTTGTGCTAGGGTTCCATGAGGTTACACAGAACAAAAGCTTGGGGGAGGGCTTGCACCGAGAGCTGCAAAAGTGCCTTTTTGTTTTGTGTTGTTTTGTTTTGTATGAGACAGAGTCTCACTCTGTCGCCCAGGCTAGAGTGCAGTGGTGCGATGTCAGCTCACTGCAACCTCTGCTTCCCGGGTTCAAGCGATTCTCTTGCTTCACCCTACCGAGTAGCTGGGACTACAGGCACACACCACCACGCCCGGCTAATTTTTGTAATTTCACTAGAGACGGGGTTTCCCCATGTTGGCCAGGCTGGTCTTGAACTCCCAACATCAGCACTTTGCTCTGGCTGTGTGTTTTCTTCAGGTCAAATAGTTCTCTGGTCTTTTAAGATGACTTGGGGATGGAAATGTCTGATGGGCCATTGAGAGTCCTGGATGATGAGGATGGGCGTAGCCTGCCTTTGTTCCCTCCTGAGGGTCTGCCATGTCATCCTGGGGTTGGAGGTGTGCTGGGGAGTTGGGAGTCTGCAGGACTCATGGATCTCTTTGTTCCCATCTTCCTGCCTTCTCATTCTTCTCCCAGCTCCACCACCAGCCTGAGGGAATCCTTCCCGAGCCTTCAGAAAAATCCATCTCCTGTTGAGGTTTTGGGTATTTTGTCTCTGCCTAAGATCCTCTCTTGGCTCTGGGGCAGTGACTGCTGTTAGAAATAAGAACCTTAAAGAGCTTAGGATTTTTCTGTCCTTCACTGCATCTCATCTCTATCCTGAGGCAAGAGTAAGCTGAGTAACTAATAAATATGTGTGTGTGCAGGGGACGCTTTGGGATAGAGAGAAATAAAGGGAAGAAAAATATTTTTTAAAAAAACCGCATCATTTAATACTTCAAAATACTCCTTTAATATCAGGGCCAGCTTTCTCCAGCCCTGCCCTGTCGGGGGAGTGGAGGCTGAAAATTCTACCACCTGCTTAAGACAGGCCTTGCCATGCCTGCAGCTCCCTCCCCAGCAGCACCCAGGGAGTGGACCAAGCCTTCCTCTCTGCTCTCCGTCGGGTAGCATGGGATGAGTTCTGAGCACTCAAATATCCTCTGAGCTCCATTATTCTGCCTGCCTTTCTCCCTCCTACCCTCTCATCTACTCAGATACAGCAGGGTTTTCATGTCTGTACAACTCAACTTCTTTGGTTTCTGATGTTTTGTCTCCCTTAATGAGAAAGATGATTTCCCTAAAACCTTTCATTGTTTCCTGGAGCATGGACATTTTGTCTAACTCTCACTAGCCTGGTCCCCACCAGTGCTTTTGAGTTTTGCTCAGAATAGGACAGAGCACCTGGAACCATGAATGACGCTGTGGCCTCTGAGAGTCTGGGAATTGCTCGGAAGACCCCGTCTACCCACTGGACAGTTCCTACTTGTGTATATCTTGGCCTGAGAGGCCTGGTTTGGTCACAGGTGTTTGGGTTGTGGCTTCGCAGGCCAGGCCAGTTCCCCTGGTTCTGAGTATGGCCAGGGCTCTACTTCCTCCCTTCCCCACTGGCCCAAGATAGCCTCAACACTCCTGAAAAGTGGGGTGAGGACATTTGAATTGTCACCATAAGAAATGGTGCTAGTTTGTAGTAGCAGGTATATAATTATTTGTTGTGGGTTTGAGGAAGTCTCCTAAAATAAAACCCATCTTCTGTCCCTCAGTTCTGATGGAGATCAGAACATTGTATTTATTTCTAAAAGAACTTATTTTGGAGAATGTGATTTAGGTATGAGGGCCAAAGGGACTTCTAGCTTCTTCCATTTGATCTGTTGGATCCACCTAAGGGGAATTTGGTCTTTGTAGAGGAACCTCACTCACCCAGGTCCCTTCCTCTCACCAAGCCCAGTAAGGTGACCTGCTGGTCTCTGAACTGCTTTAGTTTTAGCACTAAAAGTCTTTTTTTGGGGGGGGATGGAGTTTCACTCTTGTCTCCCAGGCTGGAGTGCAATGGCATGATCTTGGCTCACTGCAACCTCTACCTCCCAGGTTCAAGCAATTCTCTCCTGCCTCAGCCTCCCGAGTAGCTGGGATTACCGACATGCACCACGATGCCCGGCTAATTTTTTGTATTTTTAGTAGAGATGGTGTTTCACCATATTGGCCAGGCTGGTCTTGAGCTCCTGATCTCAGTTGTTCTGCCCACCTCAGCCTTCCAAAGTGCTGCGATTACAGGCGTGAACCACCGTGCTTGGCCAGCACTAAAAGCCTTATATCCCAGAAACCCTTCAATCCCAGACACACCAGCAAAGTTGGCGACTCTAAAATCCCCTGGGTTCAGGACTAAATTGGCCAAAATGACACTTAGAATTGATACAGTCAATCAGAACTGAATTTTAATTTTAGTTTACTTATCTGAAGCAGTGTGACTTCTTTTCATTAAATAGCTTAGTTATTAGGAAAGCAATACATGCATGCTCACAAGATATAACTTAAAGATGACAAAGGAGCATAGTATAAAAATTAAAGATCATCTTCCATTTCTACTCACACCTCCCCTAGAACTTCTAGCCAGGGGTAGCCACTCTGAATAGTTTTCTGGTGTTGGTCTATTAATGGTCCATGCACAGAGAAGCCTCTTTATACACATGCATGCATGTCTTGCACGCAATTTTCTGAATTGTTGTGGGATTTTTTTTTTGCGGTAATTCTAGTGTGAAGTTTCAGCCTAAGACCACGTATACATTTATTTCAATTAAAAACAGAATGATTGTATGGTTTTTTTCCCATTGAAGAAGAACAACCAATTAGCCACTAATGAGTGCTTAGCTTGTGCTTAGTTTTCTGCTATTACAAATAATCCTGCAATGAATAAACTTGTAAGCTCATTTGTGCACCTACACCTGTTGGATAGATTGCTAGAAGTAAACTGGTAACACCGCAGGGCATGTGCATTTTGCATTCTGATAGTTACTTCCAAATTTTCCTTCAAGAAGTTTGCACCAATTTACATTCCTATTAAGAATATATGAAAATGTCTGTTTTCCAACTCTCTTATCATCCTTGAGTGTTATTAAAATTCTTAATCTTTAGCAATCTGATAGTAAGAATGAGAAACTAGAGTTTTATTTGCATTCTGTTATAAGTTAGTATGAACCTCAGTTGTATATTAGTTGGCCACTTGTCTACCACTTTTTTGTGTGTGAACTAATTTTTCATGTCATCTGTCCATTATTTTTCCTTATCCTTTTTGAAATCTGTATGTTTCTGCTTCTTAAAAAATCTGCAATTTTAGGATGACTTCATTTGGTTTCTTCATCGTGAACTGCCTTTTGCTGTGCTTTGAGGGTATTAACCGTATACATTTAAATACTTAAATCTCACCACAGCTCACGAGCAGCCAGCTTGCAGCTCATGGGAACTATTTCATGTTACTAAATTAGATTTGTAATATCTGATTTTTTTTTTTTCTCAGTGGAGCTGTTGCTGCAGAAAGTAGATAAAGAACATGGGTCAATAAAAAAAGAAGATACTCTGGGGGAGGTGTAACTTTTTGAGGGAAGAAATGGTAATGCAGAAAATTGAGAAGAACATAACATAAAACAAAAATTAAGGTACTCTTAAGCTCATGGGGTCCAACACTTATGATCTGGATTTGAATTTCATCCTAGCTCTGTCTAGTGATAGGGGAATCGCTGCACCTCAGTTCTTGTCCCTGAATTTATTCACCTATCAGAGTGCCAATTAATATTTCCTGTTTAAGTGCAACATAGTGCAGTCAAAAATTTTCTAGACTAGGGATCCAGGGCAAATTAATATTTTGTGTGATTTTACTACAAATCAGCTTTATGACTTTGACCACTTTGGAATCAGTTTCTATTACTGCAAAGTTGAATCTCTCACTCCTAAATAAAATCTTGGACTTAGGATATTAGGTGTTCTATGAGTATGCATTTAGTCTAGTAGTTAAAAGAGCAGCTATGCTTTACCTTTGAAGACTATGAATAAAATCTCCTTCTGACATCCAGTCCTGCCTCCTTATCCACTCCAACTGACCTAGGACAGTTGTAGGCACAGATGCAATGTAAGCAAGCTTCCAAATCTTCACATGGAGAGTGACAGGAATGCCAAGGTTCCCCAAGACTTTGTTCTTTCATGTTCTGAGGAAGGTCACATGGTTTCTTGGTGGCCATTTAAGTTCCACTCAAAGGCTGGTCCTCATAGCTTACCGGGGATTGGTCTACCTCATTCCTGTCACTCCTGCTGATCAGGGGTGCTTTGTGTATATGTTGTTGGAGCCCCTGTGCAGGTACAGTCCCCCTCTTCTCTCCATGTGGCCCTGTTGCTCCTTCCACCAGTGGGTGCCCTCATGACGCTCTACAGAGTACAGGCTCCCTGGAACAACTCCCCTTCTATCAAATGCCTGCTGGACCTGTCAGATGAGCTTCATTGCCTAAAGCACCCATCAGTATTATAGACTTAGTTATTGTTTTTAATTCAGCCTTCTGTTTGGAGGATGTTGGTTTGACAAGTTTTCAAATCTATAGCCCCACCTAACAGTATCATACCTGAAAGTGCTCCTGACAGTGACAAGCCATGGCCATGATGAAATCTTGGTGGCTACACATGAGATGTCTTCACTGCCCAGTGAGGACAGTTCTCCAGCTGTTGGCAGAGGGATTTGCCCTTAATTCTGGTATTATGGGCACTGACCAGAATCTCAATTATCTGTTCATTCTTTCAGGAGGCCAGTAAAGTGTCAGCCCAACTGTGGTCCCTGTGCCTAAAAACAAATTCCTGGAATCTAGCTTTGTTTTTTCTTTAAGGTGTGAAGTTAAAGAGGTATTGTTTAACAGGATATTCCTATTAATACTTTTTCTCTTTCTGGCCTCTCCCTTTCATCTGATTGCCTTCCCCTCCTTTCCTGTAACTGTTCATGCTGACTCTCTTACCTCTGTCTTCCTTGTTTTCTTTCTCCCTCCATCTGACACCCCCACCCCCAATGCCCTTACTTTTGCTGGCTCCTCTCTTTCTCTCCACCAGTCCTCTGAAACCTGCCTCTCGTCAGCATTCCATCCTTCTATCCTTCTGCCCTTATGTCTTCTGGTTTGACAAGATCATTTTGGGTGCTCTCATTCAGGCCCATTGTTTCAATTAACAATTTGTATCACTTAACTATTTCTGTGAAACACGTCAACCTCAAACGTATTTGCTTGAAACAGTAACTATTTAACTCATAGTTTCTGCTTGACAATTTAGGCCAGGCTCAGCCGGGTGGGTTTCTAATCATTTCCAGTCTTTATCTATGACTTTCTTTTTATTTTCAAGGATCTACATAGATTTTCCCCCTCGGCACCAACGGCAGTTTGGACCAGATATTTCTTTGGTGGAGGGGCTGTCCTGTGCATTTTAGGATGTTTAGCAGCATCTCTGGTCTTTACCTAGATGCCAGTTGCAACCCTCTCCCCCAACCAGTGTGATAATGAAAATGTCTGCAGACATCACAAATGTCCTGAGGGCGGGTTGCAAAATTTTCCCTGGTTCAGGAGCAGTGACTTAGCACTAGAAGAGTAAGAGTTTAATAAATACATAGTTAATGAATAAATGCCTTGTTTTACACCCACACATGCAAAATTGTTAGAAGTATTTGGCACTTATTGGACAGGTCTTTGATAGATTTTTATTTGGAAGAGTATTCCAAGGTTTAAGGGAAACAAGAAGAATAGAGCCTTTAAACTGACTGACTTGGAGAAATGAGAGAACCTAAAACATACAGCTCTAGGAGTGGATTTCATGCTCAACATCGTCCTAAATGTTTCTGAAGATGGGAAATCTAACTTCTGTTTTGTTATCTACATAAAATGACCTTTTGGGCAGTTTTGCCCCTGTACATCACATTAATCTCACTCTAACAGAAACTTTATATTAAATTAAGAAATTGTTCATTCTAAAAAAAAGGATTCTCTTCACTTTTTGCAAAATTTTGGTTATAAATGGTAACAATATGACTGCAAGAAAGAAGAGGAACTATAATTTTGGTGTGTAAACTTGATTTGGGAAAAGTTTAGTTATCTTATAAACTATATAGAACATGTGAAAAACTGTTATGATAAGAACTGGAGAAAATTGTTCAATATACGAAGGAATAACTTTACAAAAGTATTTGCAGTCAATACACATAGATATGCTTTAAAATTAGTATTTGTCTAATCATCATTGATCATTTCTAGCATTTAGATTTCCTTTAGTTCATGTCAGTCTATTGATGGTGGTTCTTGCTTCCCAGAGAAACAGGCATTTTTTTCCTTTGTCATTGTACCAGGTTATAAGCACGTGCAATATCTGTAAGATACTGAGGAGGAGTTTTGAAACACCCAATGTCACCCTTTCATATTTCATTCTTCTTGTCAGAAAGGCAGTTTGCTCCCTGCAGTAACTGAAAGTTACTCAACCTAGAGCTAGAAAAGCTGCCATTCATCTTGTTGCCAGATGGGTAAAGAGAAGGAATTTCATTGGAAGGAGGGGTCCGGGAAGAAACAGATGAATATGATTATAAGACTGTGTGTGTGTGTGTGTGTGTGTGTGTGTGTGTGTGTGTGTGTGTGTGTGTGTCTGCGTGTCTGCCATGTTGCTAATGAAATAATAATCTTGTTCAGCTTGAATCCCTTGTCTCCCCTTCTCCACACACACACATAAGGAAATATAATTTGTTCTGCCCACTTCCGCTTTTGAGAAACTAATTTGCCAGCGGGGTTCACCTGTGTCAGGAGTGTTGAACAACTCCATCATTTTTTTGAGAAATGTTGCTGCAATGCTGATGCTTTCTCTATGCTATGAACTAAATTGTGTCCCCACACTTCACTTGCACACAATTGATATGTTGCAGTCCTAACTCCCATAACCTCAGAATGTGACTGTATTTGGAAACAGGGTCTTTAAAGAGGTAATTCAGTTAAGAATGAGGTTATTAGGATGGGTCTTAAATCTAACATGACCGGCATCCTGATAAGAAGAGGAGATGAGGACAGAGACATGCACAGAAAGAAGCCACATGAAGACAGAGAGAAGACGGTCATCTACAGGCCAAGGAGAGAGTCCACAGAGAAAACAGAGAAAACTGATCCTGCTGACACCTTGATCTTGGGTTTCTAGCCTCCAGGACTGTGATCAAACAAAATGCTGTAATTTAAGCCACTCCATCTGTGGTACTTTGTTACGGGTGTCCTAGCAAGCAAGCGCATTATATCCCAACGCTCCTGAGTGATCATGCGATATAGATTTGAGTTCCTGAGAAAGGCCTTCCTAATCTCTCTTTTCTGCTGCTTCCTGGCCAAGTGCATGGGTGGAAAATGGGGTGCATGGGTGGAAAATAGAAAATGGGTGCAAGGATAGTGAAGGGCACCTCCAGGGTAGCATGTATATTTTCCGTGAATCTATGGCTGGTCTGTAATAGAAGTCTACATTACCTAAGATCACAATTCGTATTACTTGTTAAATTGGGCCTATAACGAAACTAGGTAAACACATAGATTCTAGTCTGGAAACCTCATTATTTCATAATTGTGACCTTGATGAATGATTCCATTTCAATGTTAGGAACCCTAAGCTGGATACTGAATCAGGGTCATTTTTAAAAAATCAACTTACTCAGAATCCTGATGAAAAGACAGTGGTGGAATGGATGAGGAAATGCCTCATTGTGTTCAGGATTCTATGGATTAGCTTTGTTTGTGTAAGGTATAGTGAAGTTCTGTTTTTCACACATTGGCATAAGGTTAAACACCAGATTTTTTTTTTGAGTTAATAAAGACACTGGAATGCATTACCTGATAAATTATGGGATACTTTTTTTCTGAAGAACTTTGGGAAAAAACAGACTTGCTTCTTTTTTGTCAGGGATGCATACTTGTGATTCTTCCTTGGGCTGAGAATGCCCCAGGGAGTCCGCTAACTTTATGTTGATTTAAGAAAAAAATGAATCATTACTTCAAAGATGCTACAGGGCTTTAGCTAATAATGTCTTTGTAGAGGGCAAAGTAGTTAAGAATCAGCAGCAGCATACTGCAATTAAAATAATATAGGCTTGTAGAAAGAAGAAAGGCAAGGTGGCTGACGGACAGTCAGCTTTCAACTCATCAGGTTCCTATCACGACTGTCCAGAGATATGGCAAACATCAGAGACTTCATAAAAGCAGCACTTGGTCCTTCTATGAGTAATTACAGTCCACAAGGACAGTGTGTTTATAGACAGAGTTTAGATGCCAGAAAAAAAAAATCACAGAATCCCTGAGACCATGAGTTTTGGTGACAGAATCTGACTTTGGCTTTTGATGTGAATCTCTGTGACTTGGTAGTGGCTCAAGGTCAGTAGGCACAAGTAATAAAATAGAAGTGTATCATTTCAACTCATATAAATCATCCTCAGAAGAATAAATCGTCCTTCGAAGTCAGAAAGTGGCATCAGCTACATATTAATGGGAGCATGAAAGCGTCGAAGGGAACTGATTCAATTCGCGAATGCTCAGCTTCATCACTTTGATTTTTGGTGTGCAGAGTTAATTGCATCTCTGATTGAACTTACATGTTCGATTATTTAGCATGTTTACATGAAATAGATATTCTAATCATTGTGTTTAGTCCATAGTTTGCAGGCAACTGTGAGAACGAATTGATGTTCTTGCATCTGGATTCATTCTCTCTGACTTCACAATTTACCTCTATTCTTCTGTATTGTACCATCTGACATTCATCATTTTGAAATTCCTACAGTTAAGTACTAAGGACTCTGAGTGAGCCAGGAACTGTTTTGAGCTTAGTTCTCAAGAAGTGTCTCCTTTATTGTAAAAACAGAAACAGGATGCCACTCCATTTTCAATATATATACTTTATATACTTGATACGCTATATGCTTTATATGCTGTATAAAATATTGGGAAAGATTAATCTAAAACACACACACAGAAACAGCATGGACAAAATTATTTTCTCTGAACACATTTACAAGATAATATTCTTTCGTGAAGTTTCTGGTGTTTGGCCGTATCTCATTGCGGTTCAGCCACTTGTCCCTGGCACTCACAGGAATCCAGATTGCACGGCACCAGATGGCATTTCCAGGACACTCTGCCTTTATAGAGTATAATACTTAGGAATTTGTTTGTTGTTGTTAAATAGAATTCATCTGACTTCTCGGGTGTGTTTATGTGTCTGGAGGCTATTTCCCTTCCCCTCTTTTAGGTTTTCCTGTAAGAGCACATTTTTGAACTGTGAGTGAAAGTCAGTGGGAAAATTTGTCTCAGCTTTGTTAAAAACAAGATAAAACACGACAACTTTAACAGAAAGATGCTTTCTGTACAACCATTGAAAAATATCGCTCAGGAATTTTGGGATGCCAACTTTGACATCATGTTGACAACATTTGAGAATGTCACGCGAGTTATTTTATGATACTGCTGTAGTGATCAAACATAAATAATCCACTTGAAAACTATTAATACAAAATACCTAAGCCATTTGTACAATCTCATTCTTTTGGTTTTTGAGTCATATTTTTGAAGTTCCAGGAAAAAATACATTGGGGTTTAGATTAGAATTCCATTAGAACTACATATTCACTGAGGAAAATGGACATATTAAAATATTCAACAGGTTCCAGTCTGAGAACATAGCCTTTTGTTCCTTATTTTTCATAATAAAATGGTTTTTTAAAAAATGAATTTATTCCTTAGTGCTTTATATTACTAATGTTTGTGAAAATATCCCCACCTGTTAAGGATTTTTTATATTGGTGAGGTAGAGACTGATGTTTTCTTCTTGTTGCTTTATTGAATTTTCTTCCTAATGCTCAGAAATTTTTTAAATAATTTTCCTGGATTTTAAAATCTTTTTTTTTTCTGCAGTTGCTAATAACTTTGATCTTAACCTTCTTAGTGATTTTTTTCTTTATTTCCACATCTTACTGTGTAAACTAGAATTATATAAAATAATAACAATGATTATTTTATTCCTGATTTTAACCAGAATGTCTTTAACATTTTAAAATTAAGCATAATAGCTGCTGGTGTGAGATTTGTAAAATGATGTCTATAAAGTATTCTATTTGTTATTGCACTTTTAAAATATAGCAAATAGTTTTGAAATTCTTTGAACATTTTTTGGCAAATAGAAGGATTCTTAGTTTTTCATATTGGATCTCTAAACATACAAAAATATCTATCTTCTCATACTAAACTAGTCTTGCATTAATAGGATCAATAATTCTTTATGGGGCAGATTATTTTTTCATGAATAGTTGAATTGTGTTCAACATCTGTATTTCCAAGTGAAATTGGACTTGAACTTTAATTTATTCTGTGTTGTATTTGTCACTCTTTGGCCTAATGTGCCTTTACTAGCTTGATAAAATGAACTGGGTAACTTGGTTCTATTTTTTTTAATGCCCTGAATAATTTATCTATTATATGAACTAATTCTTTCTTTGGAGGTTCAAAGAACTCATCTATAAAATGATCTACCTCTAAAGCCTAGATATCAGATGCAGTATTTTGAACGTGAACAAAATTTTGTATTTTTGAGGACAATTTCCTTTTTTCTTTTTCCTGATTTTTAAAATTTTTGTTTGTCTTTTTTTGTTTCAAGAGGTTGTCTTTTTTTTTAAACAAAAAAGGTGTCTTTCAGATTTAGTTCAAATTAAAAGGCTTCCCTTGCAATTGTGTTATTTCTTTCTCTCCTTCTCTTCCTTCTTTCCTTTCTCCTTCTCCTCGTCCTCCTTCCTGTGCAGTGCCTTTTGTGAATTTCTTCCTTCTTTTTTTATTTTTTTTGAGACGGAGTTTCAGTCATGTTGCCCAGGTTGGAGTGCAATGGCGTGATCTAGCCTCACAGCAACCTCCACCTCCCAGGTTCAAGCAATTCTCCTGCCTCAGCCTCCCAAGTAGCTGGGATTACAGGCATGTGCCACCACGGCTGGCTAATTTTGTATTATTAGTAGAGACAGGGTTTCTCCATGTTGGTCAGTCTGGTCTCAAACTCCCAACCTCAGGTGATCCGCCTGCCTAGGCCTCCCAGAGTGCTGGGATTACAGTCATGAGCCACCACACCCGGCCTTGCGAATTTCTTTAGTAGTTTGTTTAGTTCACTTTGTTTCATCTCATCTGTAATGAAAGCATTTAAAGCATGAATGTCCCTCTGATTACATACTTGGCTATATGCTTTAATTTTTTATATTCTATTTTTATTTTTATTTTACTCTATTATTTATTTTATTTTATTTTTTGAGATGGCATCTCGCTCTGTCACCCAGGCTAGAGTGCAGTGTCATGATCTCAGCTCACTGCAACCTGTGCCTTCTGGGTTCAAGCGATTCTCCTGCCTCAACCTCCCAAGTAGCTGAGATTACAGGCACGTGCCACCACGCCTGGCTAATTTTTTTGTATTTTTAGTAGAGATAGGGTTTCACCATGTTGATCAGGCTGGTCTTGAACTCCTGACCTCAAATGATCTGCCCCCCTCAGGCTCCCAAAGTGCTGGGATTACAGGCGTGAGCTACCGCATCAGATCTCATGTTTAATATATTTATACCTTATAACTATGGTTTTGATTTCATTTTGAGCCAGTGGTCATGTCAAATATTTTATCAGTTTTAAGTTTTTTCAAAAATTGTTTAACCTCTTATTTTTAAAGGTAATACTAAAATTTTTTTTTGAATATTGACTCTACCGGGTCATAGGAGAAACTGCAAATGTTTTACTCTCCCTCTGGCTTTGTTATACAATCTGAAACTTTCCAAACAGGTTATTCATTAGGTTATTATTTTCTGTCTTGCCTGTCTTTTCTTCTGCACAGCCAGTAGCACACTTGAATTCATCCACCATATAATTTACTTTATTTCCCACCCTAATGCAGCTCATCACTTTATAAAATGTTTTTATCACACATTAAAAACAAATTTTATGTATCGTCTCTTCACTTCTCCAGAAGCCTTTCCCTCCATGCTTCTCATGGCTTCTGGCTGCCTCTTCTCCTGCCTCTCAGGCTCCATTCAGAGTCAGGCTCCAGTTGCCGTGGTTAATTTCTGACTGAGGCATGTACCCTAGCTGAGGTCTCAAGATGACGTCCCCTAGTACTTTCTCAGTGTTTGGTTGTGGTCTTTTTCCTTCCAGAGGCCATCCTCAGGGGTAGAGTCGTGGAGACCTGGCAATTCTCCAAGTTTGGGTCTCTGGACTCTATGCAGCCATACTCCCACCCCCAGTGCACCCAAGCCGCTTTTTAAATGATCAGAGAAAGGTTTGTCCATCTTCAGATCTTCAAAATGCAGCATCTAGGCCCATCTTGCCTCACCCTTTCTAGTGGATTCTGTAGGGAACATCAAAGGTCGTCCAACCTTTATTTACCTAAATTTATCTCAACCCAGTTCCATCTACCGAGAGTTGGTGCAAACTTCTTCCACAGGCCAAAAATAGAAATGTAACTTGGACTTCATCCAAGATTTTTTTGTTCGTTTCATTATAAATTTTAAAGTTTCCCTGAATCTTCAACATTATTTTATTGAGAAGGGAATTGAGGCTTTCTCAGGACTACAGCAAGATGACAACTAAAACTACAAAAACAGTAATCATGTTATTACTAATTATAGTCAGAACAGCAATGATAGCAGTGATTTTGTTAGGAGCTTCCCATGGACTAGGCATGAGTGATTGAATTGTTTTAATCTGCTCTGTGAGATCAGTAACATTCTTCCTTCCTTTTTAGATAGAAGTCATGTACTGGTGCGTAACCGCCCTAAGTCCCACAGCAGGTAAACAGTGCCCTTGGGATTTGACCCAGGTGGTTAATGCTAGAATCAGCACCATGAACTGGAAGGAGAAAGGATTTTACATATCGTTTAACCTACTCCTAGAGCTCAAGAATAAAACACTGAATGATATCATGGATTTGAGAAAAATCCTTTAATAGTGAAATAAAATGATAAAAATTAAAACACTGGTGAATTCTACAGAAAGAGGCAACTCTGTGCAATGACCCCCATGGGATATTAATGATCAAAATTGAACTAAGCAATTTGATAAAAAGAAATTGAGAGGAATTGTTTCAACAGTTATTAATTTTTTCATACCAAACTCCTCAATGTTTATGTTATAACTGACATAAGTTATTGGCAAAATATATCATGAGTTACGGTAGATTTAAAATAAGGTAACATGAAAGATCTACAATTAAGAACAGACATAGAAACTCATTAGAAAGAAAATGGTCCTTTGACATTTTTCTCTCACAGATTGATGGGCCACGAAAGGAGGAAATATACTTCAAACACAAAATGGCACCTATTAAAATGATTGAAGCCCAAATTAAGAAAATCTTTGTTTTGTAAGTAGGGTAACAAAATCCCATTTTCTTATTCTTTTACTTTTTTGTGTACAAAAACATGTTTTTCAGGGCTCTGATTTGGTGGCTCCTAAGCTAAAGACAATAAGTCATTTTTGGTTTATGTCTTGTTTGATTTGTAACTACGGAAAATCATTTCCCTTTGATCTCTTATTAACTTCCTCCACATTTTCATGCATTAAAATGTGTTTGATTTTGTTTTTTTTCATTGTTACAATTTGTCGTCTGCTTTCTTATTGCCAACAGCTGCAAACATTTTTGATGCTACACTTAAAAGTGTCAATTTTGTAATTGGTTTGTGTCTTAATTTTGGCAAAGGGGACCTAATTAGTTACAAACCTTCGTTTGTGAATTACTAAGAATCAGTTTTCCATGTGATAACACTAGACCAGTAATAGCTTTGTTAAAATTGGATATCTCTCAGGGGAAAAACTAAAAAGCTCGTTCTTCTCAATTTACTTTTGTAATTTCTTTGAAGATACACCTGGAGGTGAGGGTTATTGCGTTATAATAGCCAGTTTAATTCTATTGAAATGTATTGCATTCTAAATTGTTGTTGAGCATAACAACTGGCCATATTATTTAAACTGCTATGTAACAACCAACACTGTATAAAAACCAGTCTAACTGACCAAGCGTCAGTTAACTGCAGCTGTGTGATATACCTATTTTTTTAAAAGGCAACGTAGTCGGCAGTCTTACTCTGGGGACAGAAAGCATCAAGACAGAGATCATGGTATTATTACTGGACAAGGGATACAGATAATAGAAATTTAAGAAATGTATTTGTCTGTTTATTATTATTATGCCTCTTTATTTAAAAAAAAAAACAGACTTGAGGAAGCTTTTGCAAATGTCTGCAAGAGACCAAATTTATTTTTCTTTCTTTCTTTTTCTCTCTCTTTTTTTTTTTTTTTTTTTTTTTTGAGATGGAGTTTTGCTCTTATTGCCCAGGCTGGAGTGTAATGGTGTGGTCTTGGCTCACTGCAACCACCTCCTCCCAGGTTCAAGCGATTCTCCTCCCTCAGCTTCCCGAGTAGCTGGGATTACAGGCATGTGCCGCCATGTCTGGCTAATTTTGTATTTTTAGTAGAGAACTAAAAATTTTGTATTTTTAGTTCACCATGTTGGTCAGGCTGGTCCTGAACTCCAGATTTCAAGTGATCCACCCACCTTGGCCTCCCAAAGTGTTGGGATTACAGGCATGAGACACCGCGCCTGGCCAAGAGACCAAATTTTTAAAATAAGCATTGTACAATCTATATATTCATCAGAATTTATATTAATACCTATTTGTTTTTCACTTTGGGGGATGAAGGCAGAAAGCCATCTCAGCTGCACCTGTCAATCTCTGTGGAGTGTTTTGCTCATGCCCAGAGAGGTTCATGCAGTGATGAGGAGTAGCCCTTGAAAGCTCTTCTTTTGGAAATGGCTGGGTGGAAGTGTCTGATGGGAGAGGAGAGGAGCAGGAGGAAAAGAGAGAGGAAAACTCCATAGAGAGAGATAAACCAAATGAGCCGCCTTCAGCATGTGCCCCAGATATTGTCATCTTCCTTGGTGAATAAATTTTTAAAGAAATAAGTGAGGAAATCAGGGTTGAGGGAAAAAAAAGATATGGCCAGGACGAGGCTTATCTACAAAGAGGAGATCAGCAAATCCAGCTCCGCATCACATAAAGGATATCATGCTGAGTCATGGACTCTGCCAACATAAATGCTTATCCAAGGAGGCCTGGCTCTTTTAGGCCTGCAGATCTGGGAGAAGGTCTTCTCATTATGTCATGAAGACAATGCCCTATATTAGGATGAACATCATTCACAGTAGTTCTACTGCAAAGCAAGTGAGGAAGGGCAGAGCACTTTTGTTCAGGAGTCCTTACTGGAAGCAGATGGCAGGAGACTAAAGTGCAGTTTGGGATGAACATCTTAACAGGGAAATAAATTTTCTGACCAGGTGTACAGCTTTTTGATGGTCTGGATAACTTTGAGGATATCTACAACCACTGGGATTCATAGGAATGGACTTTGTTGGGGGAGCGTCTGTGTACCTCCATAAAATTGAACACAAAAATATGATTGTGTAGCACATGGTTGAAAGTCCATTCCTTCACCAGGCTCTGAAAGTGTGTGGCCTTCCATTTTCAGAAGTACCAATCTGGAGCAAGGGTGCACTGTATCCCTCAGGCAGTCCTATGTATATAGTTGGCCTCTGAACTACTAGCCGGTGATCCTGGCTTGGTGCTGAGCTGCAGATGCGCTCTGACAAGCACGTAGAGTGCAGATGTCCTTTCACACGAACCAAGGGAGAAACACAAACTTTGATCATCACTGGAGCTGGAGTGAGCATGAGATGCAGACTGCGGAGCCCGATGAGGACACAAGCCCAGAGACAAGGCCAAGCCCATGGCTCCTCTTCATGGGGATGAGAGGACAGCTGAGAATGGAACTCCATGGACTCCAAACCCTGGAGAAGAGATGACTAATTTGAACCCAAAGTGCAAAGGGGTCTGGGGTGGAGAATATGTCATCCCTGTTTTATCCTTCTGGAAATTATGATCTGATCTGCCCAGACCTGATTCTCTGCTTCATTATTAAGGGACAAGGACTCTAGGGGACTTTTTCTTTTTAAGTCTAAATTCATGTAAGTTCCTATTTATAGAACCAGAAACTCAGATCTCAAAGAAAGCATCAAACATCTCAGTTTGTTTTACCAAGTAACATGCATGTAAGGGTTCCGCCTGTCCTTAACTGGAACACAGGCCCCACCTGGCCAGCCCCAGCCTGGCCATTTTAGAAGATGCTTTTGCTTCACTTCTTCAGTCTTCATGCCAGTTTTGCTTTCTCAATCCCCTTTTTATAATCACCTTTCCTTACGATATGAAATAAGGGCATGCTCATCTGGCATCTTCCAAGAAGCTGAGAAGCAGCAGATGCTATGCAGTGAGGAAGACTGGCTTTGGCAAGCCTCCTTCAGCCTGAATGCCTGTGTCTGCGTCCTGTGGCTGCCAAGGCAAAGTACCACAAGCCTGGTGGCTTAGAACAACAGAAACTTATACTCTCACAGTTCTGGAGGCCAGAAGTCCGAAATGAAGGTGCCAGCGGGGTCACACTCCCTGTGGAGGTTCTATGGGGGATCCTTGCCTCTTCCGGCTTCTGGGGGCTCCAGGCATTCCTTGGCCCAAGGCTGCATCACTTCAGTCTTTGCCTCTGTCTTCACAGGGCCTTGTGTTCTGCTCCCTGTCTATCTGTCTCCCTCTGAATGTCTCTTATGAGGACACATGTGACCGGATTGAGGGGCCCCCAGCATAATCCAGGATGATTTCATCTTGAGATCTTTAACTTAATTACATCTGCAAGTAAACTCACATTCATAGGCTTTGCATATTAGGCGGTGGACATATCTTTCTGGGGACCATCATCCAACCCATGACAGTGCAGAGACGCCCACGTTTATCTCCCCGGGCTACGCACACTTTGTCGAGTGAGGCCTGGTAGAAAGAAGGGCTTTGTCCTGTTTTTGAATGGACTGTGTTCAGATCTATGTCAGAGTGGGTAGTGGAAAGGGTGCTTTGCTCTGTTTTGTTTTTAATGACCTCTCTTCTACGTCCTGATTGTTGGTAAAGGATGCCTTGCTCAGGAGGATGAGCCCCAGGACAACTGAGGCTAAGGTTTTAGCATGAAAACTGTTGCCCCTTATTTCGTGTGGTTGGCAATGCACAGCAAGCATCTTCTGCTTGTTTATGTCTGTGTCCAGTTACAAATTCAGAAGCAAGAGGGTTGGTCAAGGGGTACGTATCAACACTTTTAACTCAAAATTAAGTCACACTTTTTTCCCCCCCTCTGACAGAAATTAAGGCTGACTTGATTGGGCTGACAACGATTCCTCATTTGGCTAATTAGACAACACGAAGGTTATTTTCCATAAACTGAGTTGCGTGCTTAATTTTAATGAAAATATATTTTAAGTAACTGATAAGGCAAAAGCATGTTAGGGCCACCACATTGCACATATCCAGGGACCATGACCTGTATTAGGGGCTGTGCCAATGCCATTCCCTTAAGTAGAAGCTTTACAGTGCAGCCATCATCATAGACATGGATATTCTAGTTAAAAATCACTACACAATAATACAAATCACAACATTTGATTTTCCCAAATGTGTATATTAAGAAAGGTACATCTTCAGGAAAGTCATTTGATAAGTCTTGGTCAATATTTGGGGGGCATATATATTCCAGAAATTACAAAAATTACAAGAACGCTTTTAATAGCGGGGTAACATTCTGTTACCACATAAGCAGGCTCTAGTTCTTCTCTTTCAACAAAGTTGAAGAGGATTCTAGTCACGTTTTTAGGTTTTAAAAATAATTTCCAATGCTAGATTACTATACAGTTTTGGTTGTATAGTTTAGAAAAGATTCAATTAATTGGGAAAGAACTATTTTAACAAAACTTCTGTTCTCATCAACTTATTTATGCAAACACAGTTTTTCAACATTTAGTGTTAAATAAGAATAGAAATGATGCTGACTCCCAGCTCATTCGTGCAGTAAGCAAGATGATTACTTCATCCGAGGATATGTGAACTACTGAGAATAAAGAGATTCTCACTCATCTTATTAGGAGATGAATTTGTAATATTTTATTTGAATAAGATTTATGAAAATTTTGATGTTTCATAAATTATAATATATAACAGCTAGAAAAAACGTTTAATATTTAGTATCTTATAGACAGAAATTTTTTTTAAGTGATAATATTTCTGTATACAACTTTATTCCAGAGAAGTGTGATAGAGTAACAAACAAAAGACTCTCAAGCCTGAAAAATGTATTACATTGTGATAAAAATCTGTGGAAGAAGAGTCCAAGGAGCAAAAATAATGATATGAATTTTCCAACTGTTAAAAAAGAGCTTATGATTATATATATATATTTAAATGGATACTGGTGGGTGTTAAATCCCTGCGGCCATAGCTCTGAATCCCGAGCACGAATCAGCATCACCTGGGTGGCTTATTTTTAAACCCTCTCAGGGTTTCTAATTTAGTAGGTCTGGGGCGGAACCTGGACATTTGCATTTCTGACATGTTCCCAGGTAATTCTGACACTGCTGGTCCGGGGACCACCCTTCGAGAAGGACTGCCTCATAGTTTTGGGAGTCCACTGGATAGTTTTACAATAGTGATAAATTTGGAAACATAAGCAGAAATGTTAAAGGTCACAGGGTGGATAAATGATAGGTAGATAGATGATAGGTAGGTAGCTAGGAAGATAGATGGAGTGAGTGAGCTAGCCAGGTCAGAGTAGAGCCATAGAGTTGATAAAAGTCAGTAAATGGGCAAGAATCGAGGTCCTCCATTGAGAGTGATCCTGGAAAAGCTTCTTGAAGCAGGTGAGTTCTCTGGAGCCTTTAAATGCCTTGTATTAGCAGATGAAAATGGTGCTGATGCCGTGATGGTCGGGGCCGTCTCTGCCTAGCACTTCTTCCCAGGGCCTGGCTCTGACTAGGCAATTTCTGGCCAATACCAAAGCAGCCAGTCCCCAAGCAGAAAGCTGTGAACACAGGAGGGGTTCCCACTGCTCCATTCCCGCCCTGGTGTGCCTAGCTGCAGACAGTCGCTTTTACAAAGCATGTGTGTGGGCTTCTGGGATTGGGGGAAGCTTTAGAGAGGGTGCGAGATAAAGCTGGCAGCTCTGGAATGGCACTGGGAAACACACCATCATCAGACCAGCATTTCTGCCCTGTTCTGTGCATGGCCCGTGGAGGTCCCTGGGGAATAAGCTAGAGGTGCTGGGGACACTTTGGAGGCCACGGGAGATAGGATGACAAAAAGAGAGCAGAAAAAGAGGGTCTAAGCTGTGATCCTGGAGTCTTTGACCAAGCACACAGAGCTGCATTATCCGGCCCTTCTATTCAGCCTCGATAATCCATCAAGTCTACCAGCTCCTATGGGGCTGTCTCACCCAGACAGGGATGAGGAGGTCATGAAATAAAACTGCAGTGTAGACACCAGCCTTACCTGAAAACCTTTCCTGAGAAGATAACAACATCCATGTATTCCTTTTTCATTGGTGGCTTTTGTTACATGATAGTAGTTCACTATAAATAACAAGACCACCAATAAAATATTGAGGGGGGGAGCGCTGAGGATATTTATATTTCTAAAACTCATTTTTGGTGATATTACTGTTATTCTGTCTTAACATGCTCGATTCTGAGATGATGAAATATACTAGACTCTAAATAGACACACTATGTCAAATCGCATGGGTTCTATGGTTCCTATTTACAAAGTATATGTTAGTGATTCCTAATTAGAATATGTCATATGCGTTAGGACATATGTTTGAATTATATATTAATAACTCAAGTTATCTTTTTGCTGTCCATCAAGGAAATACCTGTAAAGTCCAAGGATTCCCCTTGGTCCTCTGTAAGTTTGCTGAAATATCAACTTGCAAAAGCAGGTTAATTGGAGAAAAGGCAGGCACATTTATTTAATGTGTATACACAGAGCCTTCAGAATGAAGACTCACCCCCTCATGGGGTGCAGAAGCTTATACAATGTCTTGAGGTTACAGAAAGAATGGAGGCTTGGATCCTGGCAAAACAGGTTATGGGAAAGGGAAATGAAGATTTCAGCTGAGGGGTAATCAGTGATGACAAGGGAGGATTCCACAGGCTCACAGAACATACAGTGGCTTTGAACAAAGCCTCTTGGGCCCGCGGAGCAGAAAATGGTTTGTGACAAAAGTCTGTCCAGGTTTGTTGACAGACTTTAATCTTCTTTCCTCTGACGGGAGTACGGTTAGTGAAAACTCAGGGAAGGGACCAACCGGAGGACATTGTTTTCTTCTTCGGGGGATCTGGACTACAGGCAGAAAGGGAAACTTCAGAGAACAACTTTATCCTACAATTTGGGAGAGACAGTGGGGGTGGGGCGAATGGTCAGAGGGGCCTGCTTCAGTTCAGCATGTGTCAAAACCCCATATTTTGGTGTATTGGTTTCTGAGCCCCAACACCTCACACTTTTTAATCTTGGTTGAGTACTTTACATGTATTTAAAAACCACAAAAGATAATCAGATGTATTTTTTAAATGTAGCATTTGTTATTTTACTTTTTAAAATAAAGCATGCTTGTTTGGAGAGCACTACAGGATAATAAATACAGGAAGACAGCTGGGCGCGGTAGCTCACGCCTGTAATCCCAGCACTTTGGGAGGCTGAGGCGAGCAATCACCTGAGGTCGGGAGTTCGAGACTATGCTGACCAACATGGAGAAACTCTGTCTAATTTTGTACTAAAAAATACAAAATTAGCCAGGCATGGTGGCGCATGCCTGTAGTCCCAGCTACTTGGGAGGCTGAGGCAGGAGAATCGCTTGAACCCAGGAGGCGGAGGTTGCAGTGAGCCGAGATTGTGCCATTGCACTCCAGCCTGGGCAACAAAAGCAAAACTCCATCTCAAAAAAATGAATAAATAAATACAGGAAGACACATAGAAGAAAATAAAATAATCCACAAGTACAGTTACCAAGTTATAATTACTATTTTCACTTCTATAGTCATTTTCTGTATGATAAATATTTTCAAATAAAATTGCAATTATCTGATAGATATGGCTTTAAATTTTGCTTTTAAAAATTTAACATTTAGTAGAAGGATTTCCCTATATTAAGTTTTTTGAAAAGAAAATTTTGGCAGCCATATAGTTTCTGTCATGTGAACGTAATATAGTTTGTCTGCCCATTTCCCCAGATGTTGGCCCTTTATAGTGACATCTTTTCTTTCTGTTTTCTTTCTTTCTGTTTCCTTCTTTCTGCCCACTTCCTCTCCTCCCTTCCCCCCATCTTTGTCTCTCTCTTTTTTTGTTGTTTTTCCTTTGATCTTACTCTTGTAAATAAAGCTAAAGTGAACATCAGATTGCAGGCCTAGTGTGTGATTAATTACATGACAGAGCAAAGTCCCAGGGAAATTCTTGGGGTGAATGACCACTAAGAAGGAGTTCGCCATGGGCTGGATTTCCCATCTGGTGACTAACTCCCTGAGAAATGCCGAGGGATAACATTCTTATTGCTAGACCAATATTTTCTTTCTTCCTCAGTGATAATAATTTTGTTTAGGTTGTATTTTCCCAATGGCAAGAGCTTTGTCTTGTTGGTGACATGCTGGCATTCAGGACAGTTATGTTATATAGGTGCTAGGAAATAGATGTAAGATTAATAATAAATGAAGATCTTGTGTAACAGGGTCATCCGATCGCAGCTTAAAAGATGCAATCAAGGTCAGGCGCGGTGGCACACGCCTGTAATCCCAGCATTTTGGGAGGCTGAGGCAGGCAGATCTCCTGAGGTCAGGAGTTCGAGATCAGCCTGGTCAACATGGCGAAACCCTGTCTCTACTAAAAATATAAAATTACCTGGGCATAATGGTGCATGCCTGTAGTCCCAGCCACTTGGGAGGCTGAGGCAGGAAAATTGCCTGAACCCAGGAGGTGGAGGTTGCAGTGGGCCAAGATTGCACCATTGCACTTCAGCTTGGGTGACAAGAGCGAAGCTCCATCTCAAAAACAAAAACAAACAAACGAAAAGATACAATCAAATGGCATTATGTACCTAAAGGATTTTCCTGCATAATTTAACAATATTTAATTCTGTATGTAGTACAATGCACTGTACTTAAAAAAATAGGTATAGAAATACTTTGCAGTCTTCCCTGGACACTATATAGTGTGCCATACACTGGAGCATGTCATTGTATCAGCAGCCATCAGACCTGGATGGGTGTTTGCACAGAAGCCATCCAAAGTTTTGAGATCTGTTGTGAATCCTTAACAACCTCCTCAGCCTGCCTAAACTTAGACACAGTTTTTAAATTTTTGAGTACTCATGGTGGGCTGTGGTTCTAGTGCACTTGATTTTCCAAAGACATTTTGCCCAGTTTTATTTCTATAAATATATTTACAATATAACATAATATGTGATATTATAACAAATGTAATAAATATGTAGTATATAATTGTTATTATAAGTATTTGTAATTATATTATTACATCTATAGCTCTCCAAAAGTCTTTTTCCTTGACATGTTTTAGTCTCGATGGGGTATTTTCTGTGTTTTTGCAAGGTTATATTGTATGGCCAATTAATCCATTTCAAAGAGCAAAAGTTCATATTTTTCTTAAAGTCTCAGCTTGGGTTGTTGAAATGATAAAACTGTCATCCAGCACTTTCATCAATAAAGGATGAATCCTATCTGGTTATTTTCTATTCACCCAGAGCTCTCCCTTTGACTTTCCCTTGAATGCCTCTCAGATCTCTGCTGCTAATCCAGACCCTTCTGCTCTCCAGATACATACAGTCCATGGGCTTATGAATTCAGCCTCCATCAACAAATACTGACTGGACCTGTGTGAGCTTCCAGGCCCTGTTCTGAACCATGCATACCTCCTGTGCTCCCGGGGTCTGTGTGGTAGCAGAGGGTGTCAGGGGAGGAAGATGCCTCACAGATACTTTAGGCTCAGTCAGTCCAAACCTGAACTTTGTTATTGTTGTATTATTTGATTTCAAAGCTTGTCTTTTTTTTCCTTTAACTTTTAGTTGATACATAATCATTGTACATATTTATGCAACAGAGTGAGATTTTGATACATGTATACTATGTGTAATGATCAAATTAGGGTAATTATATCTATCATTTCAAATATTTATCATTTATGTGGGAAATATTCAAAATCCTGTCTTCTAACTTTTTGAAATATACTAGCTGGGTGTGGTGGCGTGCTGAGTCCCAGCTACCCAGGAGGCTGAGACAGGAGGAACACTTAAGCCCGGGAGTTTGCAGCTATAGTGAGCTATGATCACACTTGTGAATAGCTGTTGCACTTCGGCCTTAGCAACAGAGTAAGACCCATCTCAAAAAGGAGAAAATATACAGTAAGCTATTGTGTATCCACCCTTCAGTGCAGCAAAACTACTGAATTCATTCCTCCTATGTAGCTGTAATTTTGTATCTGTTAACCAACATCTACCTCGCCTTTTCTCCCTGCTACCATTTCCAGCCTCTAATAACCACAATTCTACTCTACTTCTATGAGTTCAACTTTTCAGCTCCCACATATGAGCAAGAACGTGAGGTATTTCTCTTTCTGTGCTTGACTTACTCACTTAACACAATATCCTCTAGGCTCATTCATGTTGCTGTAAATGACAACATTTTATTTTCTTTTATGGCTGAATAGTATTCCATTGTATACATATGCCACATGTTCTTTATCCATTCATCCATTGATGAGCACTTAGGTTGATTCCATATTTTGGCTATTGTGAATAGTGCTGCAATAAACATGAGAGTGCAGATACCCTTTAGATATACAGATTTCATGGCCTTTGGAAATGAATGCCAGTAGTGGGATTGCTCAAACCTCCACTTTGCCCAGACCTGGTCTTCTCCTATAATCCCTGCATTAATTTTCATCACCTACCTTTACCTCTTCCTTCATTCTTGTAACAAATATATGCCACACACTTCCGTAGATGCTGGCAACCTGACAGTAAAGAATCAAAACCTTGAGCTGACATTGGAAAAAGATCACACACAACCAAATCAGAGGCTGAGGCATCTACACACAGCTATGTTTTGGGTTGGGGTTGGGGGAAGGAGAAAGAGAAAGTTTCCAGCTCATAGAAGCCCATGGGATATCAGATAGTTTTTATTTCACATGCAAACTCCAATCAATTAATAGTGGCTGCCCTGAGCTCTGACTCGAGAAAGCAACATCCAGGTCAAGGGAGAAGTCTGCTGTGATCAATTAGTAATGCCTGCCAAGGGCACTAGCTAGAGGTGTATGGCCATGCATGCTAAGTGTTTCCCATCCTCTGTTGCTAACATAGATCTTTTTCCAAAGGACCAGGGGAAACAAGCCTTGCATGTCTGCTTGAGCATTAGGATGTGTTGCAGGCTTACGGGTAAAGCCACTGGCCTCGAGGACTCTGTTCCTCCTTGACAATACTATCAGCAATCAAAACTTTCAAAATTATGGTAGTTGATAAACTTGACTGTGTGTATTTTTGAAATGTGTATGACTAGTGAGTATCATCATCTTAATCACTTAGGGTAATACACACATGGACCTTAAATCACATTTGTTAAATGGCATTTCAAAAAGACTTGGGAACTTATAGAATATGGCATTCTGCCTGATTGAAGATTATAATACATATGAGATTATTAAGCAATTATAATACATAATATTAATATTAAATTATTAGGATACATATTATACTATAATGTAAATTACCCAAAGGTTTGCAGGAAAAAAACAAGTTTTGTAGTATTCAATGGTATATAAAAGGCAAAGAATAAATAATACTTTAAATAACAATACTCTGAGCCCTTGTATTTTGTATTAGACTACATTAAAGGATCTTTTTACGTCCCTGGCTCCCTCAGAATTTAGCTGATCACTGTTGGTTGCTTAGAGTTGATACTTACTGAACAGGTTAAGGATGTCATTACATTTCATATTATGTAATTTTCTAGTCAATAGAGGAAGAAGTTGTTGGAAAACAATGAGGCCACTGGCAGCGGTAAATAAAACACTGTGATTGTAACCACACCCTTTAGTTTGGGTGTCCTCATTGGGGTTGTAGGCTGAATGAGGCATTTTAAACCCTCAGAATCCACATGTGCAGTTCTAGTTTGATTGACAGTGTGGCAGGTTGGAGGGCCTCATGCTAAAAATCAAGCACCTTTCAGTATTCTTTCTCAGTGTCAGGTGCATGATCTGCCCTGTGAAATGTTAAAATCATCATGATCATAGTTCTTGTGTTGTATTTCTCTTTTATCCTTTTGTTCCTCCTCACTCCTTTTTTCCTCTGAATTTCCCACTGGGTGCAGGGAGTATTTATTTCTTCATCAGGGTCACACAGAAGGAAGGGTGACGGGCTGACTGTGAGTTTGGCAGATGAAGCTGAGCAGGGTGAAAGGCACTTCTCTTTCTACTTTCTTTGGATTCTGCCTGCAGAAAGCACAAGGCAGGGCTGCTCCTCCATGCCTTAGGTTTTCCAAGAGCAGATCCCCACCCCCAAAGGGAAACCCCAGGTAAGCTTTTTGTCTGCCTAATTCTGGGCAAAGTATTAAAAAGCTGCTTAGCTACACAACAAAGCCATGTTCTGCCAAACCTGCTTTGTTGGCAATAAATTTGATGTTTTGTACATCATCTTTCTGACCCTTGACTGTCTCTCAGTTGTTCACAAATTTTGGCAAGGAAAAATAGTGTTAGGTATTAACCTATAAAAACTGTAAAGCTTTGTAATACATACTCTCATTTAATGTGTCCTTCAGCTAGTCATTAATTCATTTTGGTTATCCTGAATGTTCCAGATACTGTGATCATATTGAAGATAAAGAAAAAAAATGAGACATAACCCTTGTCCTCAGGTGATTTCATAACTTGGCAAGGACACAGGCAATTAAAACAACCAGAGAACCATGTGCTAAGGGCTTAAGGAGAGCTAAATTCTAGATACTCAAAGCATTTTAAACTGTAATATGGCTATAAATAATCTGGAGATCTTGTTAAAATGCCACTTTTGTTTCTTTTGGTTTGGGATGAGTTGAGATTCGGCATTTCTAACAAGCTCCCTGGTAATGCCTATTGCTGTTGGCTCCTGGACCACACTGAGAAGCAGGACTAAATTGTAATCTCTAGTTGCCAAATTGCACAGAGAAGAGGTTCCCAATCAATCCATTATAGTAGGGTGACAGAAGACTTGTCTAAGGAGGGAGCAAGTAAGCTGAATCTTCAAAGATAAGCCATTTTCTGAGAGAGATCTAGGATAATGGAATGTCATGCAGAAGAAATATCTCTAAAGCAGGTAATTGTGGGAGGGCATCTTTTTTTTTTTTTTTTTTTGCAGAAACATGAGAAGTCCCCTGAAATGTTGAACAGGTGTGAGTTGGAAAGGGGAGAAAGATAAGAGATGGTACTCAGTACTAAGGATGAAGTTTCAATTTTACCTGGCAAGTAATAGGAAACATTAAAGGGCTTAAAGGAAATTTTCATTATCTAACTTAAATTTTTAATAGACCTTAATTTTTTAGGATGTTTTTAGATTTAAAGAATCATTTAGACGATATTACAGAGGGTCCCCATATGCCCCACACCCATTTTTCCCTATTTTTATCATCTTACATTAATAGAGTACATTTGTTACAATTAATGAACCAATCCAATGCACTATTATATTGAAATGCATACTTTACTCAGATTTGCTTCATTTATACCTAGTGTCCTTTTTCTGGTCCAAGAGTCCATTCAGGATACCATGTTAGATTTATTTTTATTATTTTATTATTTATTTTTAAAATATTGATTGATTGATTGAGATGGAGTCTCTCTCTGTCACCCAGGCTGGAGTGCAGTGGCACGATCTCAGCTCATTGCAGCCCCCGCCTCCTGGGTTCTAGTGATTCTCCTGCCTCTGCCTCCGAGCAGTTGGGATTACAGGCCCCTGCCACCATACCTGGCTAATTTTTTTATTTTTTTTTATTTTTAGTAGAGACAGGGTTTTTCCATGTTGGCCAGGATGGTTTTGAACTTCTGACCTCAAGTGATCCGCCCACCTTGGCCTCCCAAAGTGCTAAGATTACAGGCGTGAGCCACCATGCCCAGCCATGATACCACGTTAGATTTAATTGGCATGTCTCAGTTTACTCTTGACTGTGGCAGTTTCTGATCCTTTTGTTGTCTCTGATGACCTTGGCAGTTTTGGAGAATACTGGTCAGGTGTTTTTTAGGATACCCCTTTATTGGGAATTTTTTGATGATTTTTTTCATGATGAGAGTAGGGCTATGGATTATTTGAAGAGTGACCACAGAAGTAAAGTGCCATTTTTTAATCTCATTTTATCAAAGGCACATATTATCAACATGATTTGTGGCTGTTGATGTTGAACTTGATCACCTGTTTGAGGTAGTGTTTTTCAGGTTTCTCCTCTATACAGTTATTCTTTTTTTCTTCCTTTCGACACTGCAGTTTTTGGAAGATAGTTGCTATGCACAACTCACACTTTCGGGAGTAGAACTTATGCTCCCCCTTCTTGAGGAAAGAATATCTACATAAATTATTAGGAACTCTTCCACCCGTAAGACTGTCTCTTCTCCCCATTTATAAATGTATGTAATTACTAATCACTTATTTACACCTCTTCGGCCTCATGAATATTTATTATATGCTTTGGGTTATAGTCCAGTAATATTTTATTATTTTGTTTTTCAAATTGGTCATTAAGAACTCTTTTGGTGTACACAATCTTTAACAACTTTTGGTCATTGGGAACTTTTTTCAGTGGCTCCTGGGTGCCTTTGACACACTCCCATTAATATGGGGTTTTCCTTTAAACACTTCCTTACTATCTGACTCTATAAGATACTCTAGGCTTATCATGTATATTTCCTGCCCCAGTACTAGAATTAGCCATTTCTCCAGGGAGCCCTGGCTTCTTCCACTGGAGAATGATATTAGAACCTAAGATCTGGGTGCTACATGTCCTCATTGCTACTGGGATGTTGTTTCATTAGACCTGCACAGCTGACACAGCAAGGGAATATAGGGACATATGCTAACCTTCATATATACATGTATCTATAAATATTTATGTATGTTACCATTTATTTCCATATTAAGCTAAACATGAGTTCACACTGATGTCTCTAACTCTAATTCCTTTCCACATATATCATTCTAGCCTCCTCCTTGTTTGTCTATAAATTCTCACTTCCACAGTGAGAAACCTGGATTCCACCATCTGACATTCATTTAATTGTTCAATTCCAGTGTACATGTAAGTAGTATCAGCATTGGTAGCCCTTATTTTTGGGATATAACTTTATCAACTAGAGTACAGTGTTTATGGGCAGTTCCTGTTGCCTTTTGTTTCATAGACTTTACTCATTTCCAAAGTCACTTAAGTCGGAAACTTTTCTTCTCACTTTTACCCATGTGGTTAATACATTCATAGTACAGTTAGATTCTCTGGTCATGGTTTAAATTTCTTCCTGGGATCCCCCAACCTCAAAATGATCTTTTAAATTCATATTCACTAAGGTTCGTTCTTTGCGCTATAAAATTCTACGGGCTTTAGAAATGCGTAATGTCATGTATTTGCCATCACGGTATTATTTAGAATAGTTTTACTGTCCTAAAAATCCCCTGTGCTTCGCCCATTATCCTTCCTTTCCCCCTGTCCCCTGACAATCACTGATAATTTTACCATCCTTATACTTTTGTCTTTTATAGAATGTCGTGTATTTGGAATCATACACGATGTAGCATTTGCAGTTTGGCTCATTTCACTTAGTAATAGGCATTTAAGGTCACTCCATGTTTGTGTGGCTTGATAGTTCATTTATTTTTATTGCTGAATAAGATTTGATTTTCTGGGTGCAGTGCAGTTTATTTTATCCACTCACCTATTAAAAGACACCATTTTTTTCCATCAACTTTTATTTTAAGTTCCAGGGTACATGTGCAGGATATACAAGTTTGTTACATAGGTAAACATGTGCCATGGTGATTCGCTGCACACATCAACCCATCACCTTGGTATTAAGCCCAGCATCCATTGGCTATTATTCCTGATCCTCTCCCTCCCCCAAACCCCCCAACAGGCTCCAGTGTGTGTTGTTCCCCACCATGTGTCCATATGTTCTCATCGGTCAGCTCCCGTTTGTAAGTGAGAACATGCGGTGTTTGATTTTCTGTTCCTGTGTTAGTTTGCTGAGGATAACAGCTTCCAGGTCCATCTGTGTCCCTGCAAAGGACATAATCTCATTGCTTTTTATGATTGCATAATATTCCATGGTGTGTATGTACCACATTTTCTTTATCCAGTCTGTCATTGATGGGCATTTGGGTTGATTCCATGTCTTTGCTACTGTGAATAGTGCTGCAATGAACATATGCATGCATGTATATTTATGATAGAATGATCTATATTCCTTTGGGTATATACCCAGTAATAGGATTGCTGGGTCAAATGGTATTTCTCCTTCTAGGTCTTTGAGGAATCACCACACTGTCTTCTACAACTGTTGAACTAATTTACATTCCCACCAACAGTATAAAAGGATTCCCTTTTCTCTGCAAACTCACCAGCATCTGTTGTTTCTTGACTTTTTAATCACCACCATTCTGATTGGCATGAGATAGTATCTCACTGTGGTTTTGATTTGCATTCTCTAATGATCAGTGATGTTGAGGTTTTTTTCATATGTTTGTTAGCTGCATTAATGTCTTCTTTTGAGAAATGTCTGTTCATGTCCTTTGCCCATTTTTTTAATGGGGTTGTTTGTCTTTTTGTAAATATGTTTAAGTTCCTTGTAAATTCTGTATATTAGACTTTTGTCAGATGGATAGATTCCAAAAATTTTGCACTGCAGCTTTGAACTCCTGGGCTCAAGCAATCTTCCCACCTCAGCTGCCCATTTAGTTGGGATTATAGGCATGAGCCACCATGCCTAACTAGTTGTTTCCATTTTTTAGTGATTATGAATAAGGTTGCTATGAAACATTCACATGTGTGCTCTTGTATGGACATAAGTTTTCTAATCAATTGGGTGAATACCTGCGAGCATCACTGGATCATATGATGAGACTACATTTAGCTTTGTGAGGAACTGTCGAACTGTCTTCTAAAGTGGCTGTACCATTTTCTATTCCTACTAGCTATCAATGAGAGTTCCTTTCACTTTGCATTCTTGCCAGCATTTAGTGTTGTCAATGTTTTGGATTCTTGCCACTCTAATAGGTGTGTAGTAGTAACATAATGTTTTAATTTGGATTTTCATAATCATGTATGATGCTGATTATCTTTTCACATGCTTGTTTGCCTTTGGTTTGTCTAATCTTCTTTGGTGAGGTATCGGTTCAGTTTTTTGTACATTTGAAATACAGATGCTTTTTAAGATATGAGGCCTGCAAATTTTTTTTTTTTAATTCTGTCTTGTCTTTTGGTTCTCTTTTTTGTAACTTTATTTTAAGTTCAAGGGTACAAGTACAGGTTTGTTGTTACATAGGTGAACTTGTGTCATGGGGATTTGTTGTACAGATTATTTCATCACCCAGGTATTAAGCCAGTACCCCTTAGTTGTTTTTCCTGATCCTCTCCCTCCTCCCACCCTTCACCCTCCAATAGGTGTTATTGTGTGTTGTTCCGGTCTATGTGTCCATGTGTTCTCATCATTTAGCTCCCACATACAAATGAGAACATGCAGTATTTGGTTTTCTGTCCCTGAGTTAGTTTGCTAACGATAATGGTTTCCAGCTCCATCCGTGTTCCCACAAAGTACATGATCTCATTCTTTTTTATGGCTGCATAGTATTCCATTGTGTGTATCTACTACATTTTCTTTATCCAGTCTATCACTGATAGGCATTTAGGTTGATTCCATGTGATTGCTATTATGAATAGTGCTGCATTGAACATACATGTGCATGTGTCTTTATGGTAGAATAATTTATATTTCTTTGGGTAAAAACCCAGTAATGTGATTGCTGGGTTGAATGGTATTTCTTGTTTTAGTCTTTGAGGAATAGCCACACTGTCTTCCATAATGGCTGAACTAATTTATACTCCCACCAAAACTGTTTTTTTCATAAGCCAATATTTTAAATTTTAATAAAGTCTAATTTATCAAATTTTTCTCTTATGGATTACATTTTGGTATTGTATCTAAAATCTTATTTCCAAATCCAAGGTTTCATAGATTTTTCTCCTATGTTTTCTTCTAGAAGTTTTGTAGTATTGCATTTTATATTTGGATTTATAATCTATTTTGCATGAGTTTTAGTAAAAGTTATAAGGTCTATGTCTATATTTTTGTGTATGTATGTATGTATACCCAATTTTTCCAGCACTATTTGTTGAAAAGACAATCCTTTCTTCGTTGAATTAAATTTGCTCCATAGTTAAACTCAATTGAATATTTTGTGTAGGTCTATTTCTGGGCCTTCTGTTATATTCAATTCATCTGTGTGTGTTCTTTCACTCATCCCACTCTATCTTGATTGCTGCAGTTTTTTAGTAAGTTTTGAAGTCAGTCAGTTCTCCAGCTTTGTTCTTCTTCAGCATTGTATTGGATATTCTGTCTTTGGCATTTCCATATATAGTTTTCTTTTCCTCAACAAAATACCAGCAAACTGAATTCAACAGCTCATCAAAAGTATCATACTCATGACCAAGTGGGATTTATCCTTGGAATTTAAAGATGGTTCAATGTATGCAAATCAATTAATGTGATATGGCACATTAATAAAATAAAAGGTAAAAATCACATGAAAATCTTCATAGATGCAAAAAATTGACAAAATTTTAACACCCTTTTAGAATTAAATCTCTCAACAAGCTAGGAATAAAAGGAATTTATCTCAACATAGTAAAGGCTATATTTAAAATCCCATAGCTAATATCATATTCAATGGTGAAAAACTAGAAGCTTTTCTTCTAAGATCATAAGCAAGACAAGGATTCCCACTCGTACCACTTAATTCAACATAACACTGGAATTCCTAGCCAGAGCAATTAGACAAGAAAATGTAATAAAAGTCATACACCTCTAGAAGGAAGAAGTAAAATGATTTCTGTTTGCAGATGGCGTGATCTTATATGTGGAAAATCTCAGAGTCTGTACACACACACACAAGAAAAACCTGTTAGAAATAATAAATGGGGCAGGGCATGGTGGCTCATGCCTGTAATCCCAGCACTTTGGGAGATCTAGGTGGGTGGATCACGAGGTCAAGAGATTGAGACCATCCTGGCCAACATGGTGAAACCTCATCTCTGCTAAAAATACAAAAATTAGCTGGGTGTGGTGGTGCACACCTGTGGTCCCAGCTACTCAGGAGGCTGAGGCAGGAGAATCACTTGAACCCAGGAGGTGGAGGTTGCAGTGAGCCAAGATTACGCCACTGCACTCCAGTCTGGCAACAAAGCAAGACTCCATCTCAAAAAAAAAAAAAAAAGAAAAAGAAAAAAATAATTAATGGATTCAGTAAAGTTGCAGGGTACTAATAAACATACAAGAATGAATTGTGTTTCTATACATATATATTGTAGAATAAGTTTGTTGATATCTACAAAATAGCCTGCTGGGATTTTGATTGGGATTAGGATGACTCTATGGATCAAGTTGGAATATATTAGCATATTAACATTGATTCTTCCAATCTGTGAACATAGACTATCTCTCCACTTATTTTGATCTTCTTTGATTTATTTCATCAGAGTTTTCTGTACATAAATTACATATATATATTAGATATATATATATATATATGATTTCATTTTGGGGTGTTATTATAAGTGGGCTTTTATTTTTAATATCAAATTTCAATTGTTCATATGTATATAAATTTTTGTAAATTAACCTTGTATCCTCAATCTTGCTATAACGACTTATTAGCATTATGATTTTTTAATTGCTGATTCTTTAAAATTTTTTACATACACAAGAATGTCAGCTACAGTTTTATTTTTCCTTTTCCAGCCCATATACCCTTAATTTTCTTTTCTTGTATTATTGCACCAGCTAGAACTCCCAGTATGATCTTGAATAGAAGTGAGGAGAGAGATGTTCTTCCCTTGTTCCCATAATTTAATTTTTAAATAGTGAATTTCTGGGTTATGTGAAAAATGGAATAGAAGTTAGAAAGATAGTAGTCTAATTAAGAAAGTAGTATAATTAAGAAATGATCTTCAGGACTGTAGAATTCTAGTTAATATATGTAACTGAATGCATGTATATGTAATTAAATACAATTACATATATTAAACCCACATAATATTCATACATCTTTGTGAGGTATACACTATTATCAGCTCATAATATGGATGATGAACAGAAGCATGGAAAGGTAAGGTAACTTATTTAAGATTACTTAATTGTGTGGTAGAGATTACACTTAAGCCTATACCATCTGGCCCCAGGTTCTAACCATATATAATTTTTATATAAACATTATGCCAGGGGAAGATAAATTGTATTTGGATTATATGGTGTGTAGGACCATGTGGGATGTACTTATTTGTTTCTTAAGCCATGTGGTTGATATACTATTGTTTATCATAATATCCTGCATATCTTTTTAAGTATTTGAAATATTTCATAATATACTATCATCATATACTGCTTTATTGAAGACTAAATGGCAAGTGAACATAGGGGACCTGACTCTCCAGTAGGTCCTGACATAGCTGGCATATAAAATACAGTTATTGGGTCTATTCCATAGTTTTGTTACATATATGTCTATGTTCAATCTCTGTATCAGCATTGGAAACTAGAGAAGATAGGCATCCAAATGCCAGACACTTTGAGAGGACCATATTGCTGATGTCATGATTTGTGAAGGATCACCTCTTCTCAGAAGCGCATGAAAAAATTTCAGCAGAGCCTCCAGCATCTCCTGGCTTAGGCAGAGGCTGGAGCATTGGGTGGGAGCCAATGGGTGGGTGCAGGGATTGGGCTGCAGCTATTTCTTCCTGCTCTCATTTAGGGGATGAGCTTTGCTGGGCCTGGGGAGCAGCCTCAGTTGTTTCAGAGCCATTCCATTAGACAGGGTATGGAGAAGTGCCACAAGGGACAGCAAGAAGAATTTCGTTTGTGCACAGGTGAAATTCCTTGCCCTATTGCCTTCATTGCTGATCCCCAAGAGAGGGATCTGAACTGGAAAAGCAAACCTCTGGTAACGCTAAACTTTTTCATTCCCCTTTTTCTGGATAAATTCTGTTTTTTTTTTCAGCTTCTCTTATTGGCTAAGAAATAAAATAAAATATATAATTTTAAAAATCTCTTAAAATACTTATTTTGATTTTTATACTTTGTTTGAATTTCAGTATTTATAAATAAAAAATAGTGAGTAGGGTTTAAAGAAGCCACTTAGATACAAATATGTGATGATTTTATAACATTTATTAGTGTAGAAAATTATAAAATAAGTAAAAGCATAAATAAGAAAAAGAAACCATAATGCCTACACAGGCTTTGTTGTATCTCCTTCCACTGGCTTTCTTCTGCACATATATTTAAATTATGATCATATTAATGTACCCTTAAGCCTAAACATTTTATTTATTTATTAGCTTTTATTTTAGCTTCAGGGGTAAATGTGCAGTTTGTTATAAGGTAAATTGCATGTCACATGGGCTTGGTGTACAGATTATTTCATCACCCAGGTAATAAGAATAGTAGTACCCACTAGGTAGTTTTTTGATCCTCTCCCTCCTCCCACCATCCACCCTTAAGTAGGCCGCAGTGTCTATTGTTCCCTTCTTTGTGTTCATGTGTAATGAATGTTTAGCTCCCACTTATAAATGAGAACATGCAATATGTGGTTTTCTTTTCCTGCATTAGTTTGCTTAGGGTAATGCCTCTAGCTTCCTCCATGTTGCTGCAAAGGACATGATCTTATTCTTAATATGCTATGTAGTATTCCATGGTGTATATGTACTACCTTTTCTTTATCCAGTCTGCCATTGGTGGGCATTTGGGTTGATTCCATATCTTTGCTATTGTGACTAGTGCTGCAATGAACTTACATGTGCATGTGTCTTTACGGGAGAATGATTTCTATTCCTTTGGGTATATACCCAATAATGGGATTGCCAGGTCAAATGATACTTCTTTTGAACTTTTCAAAGATAAGTTCTTTGAAAAATCACCACACTGCTTTTCACAATGACTGAACTAATTTACATTTCAACCAGCAGTATATAAACATTCCCTTTTCTCTGCAACATTGGCAGCATCTGTTATTTTTTACTTTTTATTAGTAGCCATTTTTACTGGTGTGAGACAGTATCTCATTGTGGTATTGATTTGCATTTGTCTAATTATTAGTGATATTGAGCATTTTTTCAGATGATTGTTGATTGTGTGTATGTCTTCTCTTGAAAATGTCTGTTTATGTCCTTGCCCACTTTTTGATGGGGTCGTTTGTTTTTTGGTTGTAAATTTGTTTGAGTTCCGTATAGATTCTGGACATTAGAACTTTGTCAGATGCATAGGTTGCAAATATTTTCTCCTGTTCTGTAGGTTGTCTTTTACTCTGTTGATTGTGTGTTTTGTATGCGGAAGCTCTTAATTAGATCCCATTTGTCAATTCTTGTTTTTGTTGCAATTGCTTTTGGCATCTTCATCATGAAACCTTTGTCAGGGCCTATGTTCAGAATGGCATGTCCTAGGTTATCTTCAAGGGTTTTTACAGTTTTAGGTTTTATATTTAACTCTTGGATTTATCATCAGTTAAATTTTGTATATGATGTAAGGAAGGGGTCCGGCATCAATCTTCTACATATGGCTAATCAGTTATCCCACCATCATTTATTGA
Source organism: Homo sapiens (assembly GCF_000001405.40). NCBI lineage: Eukaryota > Metazoa > Chordata > Mammalia > Primates > Hominidae > Homo > Homo sapiens. The sequence continues at coordinate 9,672,053 of NC_000005.10, read as the reverse complement.
ATAGGGAGTCCTTCCCCTATTGCTTGTTTTTGTTGACTTCATCAAAGATCACTTGGTGGTAGGTGTGAGGTATTATTTCTGGGCTCTGTCCCATTGATCTATGTGCCTGTTTTTGTACTGGTACCATGCTGGTTTGTTTACTGTTGTGTTTTAGTATAGTTTGAAGTTGAGTAATGTGATGCCTCCAGCTTTATTATTATTTTTTTTGCTTAGGATTGCCTTGGCTATTGGAGCTCTTTTTTGGTTCCATATGAATTTTAAAATAGTTTTTTTTCTAGTTTTGTGAAGAATGATGCTGGTAGTTTGATAGGAATAGCATTGAATCTGTAAATTGCTTCGGGCAATATGGCCATTTTAGTGATATTGATAGTTCCTGTCCATGAACATGGGATATTTTTCCATTTGTTTTTTTTATCTCTGAGTTCTTTAAGCAGTGTTTTGTAATTCTCATTGTAGAGATCTTTCATATACCTGGTTAGCTATATTCTTAGGTATTTTATTCTTTTTGTGGCTATCATGAATGGGATTACATTCTTGATTTGGCTCTCAGCTTGGACATTGTTGATGTATGGAAATGCTGCTGATTTTTTACATTGATTTTGTATCCTGAAACTTTGCTGAAGTTGTTTATCATATCTAGAAGCTTCGGTCAGGGACTATGGGATTTTCTAGGTGTAAATCATATTGTCTGTCAACAGAGATAGTTTGACTTCCTCTCTTCCTATTTGGATGGCTTTTCTTTATTTCTCTTGCCTGATTTTTCTGGCTAGAATTTTCAGTACTGTGTTGAATAGGAGCGGTGAGAGTTGAAATCCTTGTCTTGTTCTGGTTTTCAAAGGGAATGCTCCCAGCTTTTGCCCATTCAGTACAATGTTGGCTGTGGGTTTGTCATAAATGGCTCTTATTATTTTGAAGTATGTTCCTTCAATGCCTACTTTGTTGAGAGATTTTAACATGAAGTGATGCTGAATTTTATCAAAAGCCTTTTCTACATCTATTGAGATAATCATGTGCTTTTTGTTTGTAGTTCTGTTTATGTGGTGAATCACATTTATTGATTTACATAAGTTGAACCAACCTTGCACCCCAGGAATAAAGTCTACTTGATCATGGTGGATTAGCTTTTTGATGTGCTGCTGGATTTGGTTTTCTAGTATTTTGTTGAGGAGTTTTGCACCTATGTTTATCAAAGCTATTGACCTAAAGTTTTCTTTTTTTGTTGTATCTTTGCCAGGTTTTGGTTTCAGGATGATGCTGGCTTCATACAATGAGTTAGGGAGGAGTCCTTCCTTCTTAATTTTTTGGAATAGTTTCAGTAGAAATGATACCAGCTCTTCGTTATACATCTGGTAGAATTTGGCTGTGAATCCATCTGGTTCTAAGCTTTTTCTGGTTGGCAGGCTTTTTATTACTGCTTCAGTTTTGGAACTGTTAAAAAAGAAACCTTAGCCAAATTAAATTTAACAGAGTTTATTTAAGCAAAGAATGATTCATGAAGTGGGCAGCCTCCTGAGCCAGAGTAGGCTCAGAGAGATGCCAGTGCAGCCACATGGTGGAAGAAGATTTATAGACAGAACAAGGAAAATGATATACAGAAAACAGTAGTAAGATACAGAAACAGCTCAGCATTTGTCTTATTTAAATACAGTTTCAACATTTGCCCTCTTTGATTGGTCAAAACTCAGTGATTGGCACAAGAGTAAATTACAGTCTGTTTACACCTCCATTTAGGTTATATTCACTATGAACAGAGAACCCTTTAGGCCAAACTTAAAAAATGTAAGGAGGCATCTTTAGGCTAAACTTGATTTAATACAACTCATTATTGATCTGTTCAGGGATTTAATTTCTTCCTGGTTCAATTTTGGGAGGTTATATGTTTGCAGGAGTTTATCTATTTCCTCTAGTTTTTCTAATTTGTGTGCATAGAGGTGTTCATAGTAGTCTCTGAGGGTTTTTTTGTATTTCTGTGGGGTTGGTAGTAGTAGCCCCTTTTTATTTCTCATTGTGTTTATTTTTATCTTCTCTCTTTTAAAATTATTCTAGCTAGTGGTCTAACAATCTTACTTATTCTTTCAAAAAATCAATTTGTAGATTCTTTGATCTTTTATATGTTTTTTTGTGTCTCAATTTCCTTCAGTTCAGTTTTGCTTTTGGTTATTTCAAAACCAGGTTTGGGGGTGGTTCAGTCTTGTTTCTCTGGTCCCTCTAGCTGTGATGTTAGTTGTTAATCTGAGATCTTTCTAACTTTTTGATGTGGGCCTTTGCAGCTGTAAACTTCCCTCTTAACACTGTTTTAGCTGTGTCCCAGAGATTCTAGTGTGCTGTATCTTTGTTTTCATTAGTTTCAAAGAATTTCTTGATTTCTACTTTAATTTCATTGTTCACCCAAAAGTCATTCAGAAGCAGGTTGTTTAATTTCCATGTAATTGTATGGGTTTCAGTGATTTTCTTAGTATTGATTTCTATTTTTATTGTGCTGTGGTCTGAGAGTGTGTTTGGTATAATTTTGGTTGTTTAAAATTTGCTGAGGACAGTTTATGGCCATTGTGTGGTTGATTTTAGAGGTATGTGCAATGTGCAGATGAGAAGACTATATATTCTGTTGTTTTGGGGTACAGAGTTCTGTAGATGTTTCTTAGGTCCATTTGGTCAAATGTTGAGATCAAGTCCTGAAAACGTTTGTTAGTTTTCTGCCTTGATGATCTGTCTAATACTGTCAGTGGCATGTTGAATTTTCCCACTATTATCGTATGGTTATCAAAGTCTCTTTGTCGGTGTCTAAGAACTTCGTTAATGAATCTGGGTGCTCCTGTGTTGGCTGCACATTTATAGGATAGTTAGGTCTTCTTTTGGATTGAACCCTTTACCATTCTGTCATTCCCCTCTTTGTCTTTTTTGATTATTGCTGATTTAAACTCTGCTTTGTCTGAAATTAGAATAGCAACTCCTGCTTTTTCTCTGTTTTCCATTTGCTTTGCCAGTGTTTCTCTATCCCTTTATTTTGAGCCTATGAGTGTCATTATATGTTAGACAGGTCTCTTATAGACAGCATATAGTTGGGTCTTGCTTCTTTATACAACTTGTCACTCTGCCTTTTAATTGAGGTGTTTAGCCCATTTAAATTCAAGGTTAATATTGATATGTGCAAGTTTGATCCTGTCATCATGTTGTTAGCTGGTTATTATGCAGACTTGATTGTGTGGTTTTTTTTTTAATAGTGCTGATGGTCTTTGTACTTAAGTGTGCTTTTGTGCTAGCTAGTAATGGTCTTTGCTTTCCATATTTAGCACTTGCTTAAGGACCTCTAGTAAGGCAGGTCTAGTGGTAACAAATTCCCATAACATTTCCATATCTGAAAAGGATCTTATTTCTCCTTTTCTTATGAATCTTAATTTGGCCAGATATAAAATTCTTGGTTGAAATTATTCTCCTTTAAGAATGCTGAATGTAGGCCTCTAATCTCTTCTGGCTTGTAAGGCTTCTGCTGAAAGGTCTGCTGTGAGCCTGATGGAGTTCCCTTTGTAGGTGACCTGCCCCTTCTCTCTGGCTGTCTTTAACATTTTTTTCTTTCATTTTGATCTTGGAGGATCTGATGATTAGTGTCCTGGGAATTGCCATCTTGTAAGGTATCTTGCAGGGGTTCTCTGCATTTTCTTGATTGAATATTGGCTTTTCTAGAAGGTTGGGAAAATTTTAATTAAGGATATTTTCAAACATGTTTTCTAATTGCTTGCTTTCTCTCCCTTTCTTTCAGGGATGCCAGTGAGAATTAGGTTTGGTCTCTACATAGTCCCATATTTCTCAAAGTTTTTGTCATTCTTCCTTATTGTTTTATTTATTTTTATCTGAGTTATTTCAGACAACTGCTCTTGGAGCTCTGAGATTCTTTCCTCAGCTTGGCAGATTCTGCTGTTGATATTTGTGTTATATTACGAAATTCTTGAAGTGATTTTTTCAACTCTATCAGATCAGTTTGGTTCTTTCTTAATATGGCCATTTTGTTTTTTATCTCCTGCATCATGTTACTGCATTCCTTAGATTCCTTGCATTGGGTTTTAACTTTCTCCGGGATGTCAATGATCTTTGTTCTTATCCATATTCTAAATTCTATTTCTGACATTTCAGCCTGGTTAAGAACCATTGCTGGGGAACTAGTGCGGTTGTTTGGAGGTAAGAAAACACTCTGACTTTTTGAGCTGCCATAATTCTTGCATTGGTTCTTTCTCATCTGTGTGGGCTGATGTTCCTTCAGTATTTGAATTTGTTATCCTTTGGGTGAGTTTCTTTGTTTTTATTTTCTTTGATGCTCTTGGGGGTTTCTTTGTGATATAAAGTGGGTTCAGTTGACTGGCTTCAATTTTAGTTCACTCCTGGGTCTTGGAGGAGCCCTCTTTGATTACTGTCTTCATGCCCACATTTCTTTTGTTGGGTGTTCTGCTCCATGTGTCTCCCTCGGGCAGGGGCCAAAGCTGGCAGACAGGCTATATCCTTTCCAGGTCAACCCAAATCTACTGTCCAAGTGGGGATAAGGGGAACATACGGTTATGCCTGCCTGCAGAATTCAGACAAAAGTGAGGCCACTGGGCAGGAAGCTCTAGCAGGTGTGGCCCATCTGGCTACAAGAAGTAAGGTGGATAGAGTTGCCCGTCCTGCAATCCAGGTATTTCCAGGGCAACAGGAGGCTGTACCCTTTGGCAAATTCAGGCAGAGGTAGAGCCTCTAGGCTGGAAGCTCTAACAGGTAAAGCTTTCCTGGCTACGAGAGGTGGGGGTAGGTAGAGTTGCCCACCCTGCCATCAGGGTGTTTTCCTGGACAACAGGAAGCTGCAAGTTGAGGCAGAAGTGGGAGTGTTGAAATCTAAACTTTTAAAGTCCTGACTGTAATTATGTCTAGTTTAAATGTGTTTCTAGTTTTCAACAGAATGCCAGGCACATGGTATGCATGTATTAAAATTTGTAGAAAAAAACGGACTCAAGAAGTCAATAAAAAATATTTCATGTCTCATGTAGTTTTATTTTGGAACATGCCTGTTATACTCATATAAGGACCTTTTTTATCTTTTTTTAAAAAAAATTTGCCTTGAGCTTGATTTTTTAGTTAATATCGCTATCTCTACTTTTCTGTGTTTGATTTCGTGTACCTAATATATTTTACCCATCACTTTATTTTTAAACCACATATCATTTTATTTTAGGTGGGATACACTTGGGATAGTATATAATAGAATTTCCTTTATGATGCTGTGAATCTTTTGTTTTGTAATTGAATTCAGCTCACATTTGTTGTTGTAACTGATGTTACCTGTTAGTTTTGCCTTCTTGTTTCTTGCTTTCTGTTTTCTTCTTTCTTTTCTTTCATTTCCCTATTATCTGCAGATCTAGTTTTTGTTTCCTTTGCCCCCACCCCACCCAGCAATAGGAAGATGCACCACCTATTTTTTTCCTACTCTTACTCACTGCTATGATTTTACTAGCAAATTTGAATCTGTTTTCTGTAAGTATCATCATCAAGGAAGAAATCAGGCTTTCATTCCTCTCAACCATCTGATAAATTCCTGGATGCTCTTTCATTGATGAAGCCCCTTGTTCCTCCCAGATATAATGAACATCAATGAAGATATTTTGTAGACATTAAGAGCATAGCTGTGGTTGGCCAGGGGATGTGGCATTTTAGGGGCAGATGTGAGCTTCATAGAGCCCTCCCTATCACACATCAGACCCAGCATCTATTGTTATGTCAGCTCTAGTGCCCTAGGCCCATCAAGGGTCTCTCAGTCATGGAGATTGTTGTAACTCTTTCTTAATTAGATTTTGATTTTGCTTCCAGTCAGAGCATCTGCTTCAATAAATAGAACTCTCTCCAAATTCATTTTAAAAACAAAAGCTTTTAAACATATTTTGAAAAATCTCTCCTTATAATTATTTTTCCACTAATAATCTGCCTGGAAATAGGCAATATTAAAAAAAAAGAATCATGAAGTTCTTGTTATATAACTTTCCTGAATCCAGTTCAACTCCCTGATTGATTAGTAAGTATCTAATGCATATAAGTCATACTCCTTGTCCAAAAATAGGTTGAAACCTAGCAAGGCTACATCTTAAACTATTAGCTCAAAAGTAGGGTAATGTTACAATTACAAATATTTCACCTTTTAAAACGTTGTGAATTATCATGGTATAATAAAATGGGCAAAATGCCTTCTACACTGCTGTTCTTTTACTCTCCTGCCTTATGTTCCTTTACTTTTATTTATTTAACATCTCTTCTACAATGCTAACTATATGCCAGACAAAGTAATAAACAAGCCCTTTTCGAGTATTAAGCCGCTGAATTCTCATAACAACCCTAGAGGCAGACATTATTTTATACTCATTCTACTGATGAGAGGGCTGAGGATTTGCCTTCAGGCAGGGCTGCCCAGAGGCTGTGGTCTTAGACATCACACTCTCTCTTCTCACCAACATCTGCAGCTTTAGTTTAAGGTGTGTCCTAGAGAGGAAGCAGGACATGGTACAAAGACTAAAACAAATTTGGGTTTAAATCCCTGGTCTGTCCCTTACTGATTGTGAGTGACTATGGTAAGCAGAATCGTGGCCCAAGAACATTCCACACCCCAATCACTGGGAACTGAGATGATAGGATGCCAAACCCAGGGAAATGTTACTGTACATGGAAAAGAGACTTTGTAGATGTAATTAGGGCTACTAATCAGTTGATTTCGAGATGAGGAGATTATCCTGGATTGTTCAGATGGCCTCGATGTTATCGCAGGAGCAGGAGCCCTTAAAAGCAGAGAGAGGAAGCCAGAGAGAACCAAGGCATGAGCAGGGCTTGATATGTCATGGCTTGCTCACAGATGGAGGTCATGTGTCAAAGAATGGGACCTCAGTTCTACCACTGTTGAATTCTGCCAACAACAAGGAGGAGCCTGGAAGTGGATCTTCCAGAAAAGAATGTGGCCCAGCTGACACCTTGTAAGAGGCTGAGAAGAGAATCCATCTGTTCTGTGTTGGACTCCTGACTGGCAGAACTATGAGAAAATAAATTGGTGTTTTCAGCTGTTAAGTTTATGGGACTTTGTTATGCATCTCTAGCTCACTAATACAATTACTTTAGACAAGTTCCTGAACACTGCCAAGTTTGTTTCCTCATTTGTAAAGAGTATCTAATGGTAGGTGTGTTCCCTGAAGATTAAATGAAATCATGGTGCCCGAAACATAGTAAGTTAAATAAATGTAATCACATTTCTCAGGTATAAAAAGTGCATTGTAAGGGGGTAACAGTGAGACCTTTAATTGTGGATGTGACACTTTATCTGAACTTCAAGGAATAGGCTGAGTTTTGATAGGCAATCCAGATTAAAATTCAATCAGTAAAGAATTGAGAGGAGAGAATCCCACGGTTTATCCAAACCTGTCACATGTTACATAGAAATACCAATTTGCATTTTAATGGGTGGAAGAAAATAACTGACAGCAGACTGTGGCATCTTCTAGAGGCAACTTTCAGTCCTGGAAAACAGAACAGGAGCAAAGAAAATGGAAATCGTTATGGAATATATACCGTGGTTTATAGCTTACATGTTCATATAGCTGCCTGGAAGGGGAGGGACTGTGCATGGCTCATTTTTCTTTCTCCCCTGTCCCTTGTACTCTGCATTTAGAGTAGAGCTCAACTGTTTCTGCATCAAATGCATCACAGCACCTAAAGGAAACACGATTAAAAATTTACATTTGCAATTGACATCTGATGTATTTGATATAACAACCTCTGCTTTTCTGCAGAACTCAAAGGAGGCTAGACGGTGAAATGAATTCTAGATAGTGTTAATTCAGAGATGATGGCCCTGCTCGCTTGTTGGGGAGTGCCAATATAGAAGAGGTGGAAGGGAAAGCCAGCCTGGGGCGATGAGGGAGGCATGGTTCGATAGGGGCTGCTGAGTTTCCTAGGAGTGCCACAACAAACCACCACAAACTTCCATGACTTAAAATAACAGAAATGTATTATCTCACAGTCCTGGAGATGAGAAGTCCAAAATCAAGGTGTCGATAGTGTTGGTGCCTTTTGGAGGCTCTGAGGGAAATCTTTTCCATGCCTCTGCCTAGCTTCTGGGAGCCGTGGGCAATTGTTGGCATTCCTTGGCTTATAGATGCATTGCTTCAGTCTCTGCCTCTGTCTGTGCACAGCCTTCCCCTCTTCTCTGTGTCTCTTATCAGGACACTGGTTGTTGGATGTAGGGCTTACCTGGGTAACCCAGGATAATCTCATCTCAAAATTTTTAACCTAATTACATTTGCAAAACTTTCTATCCAAATAAAGTTGCATTCACCAGTTCTAGAGATTTTTCTGAGTGTCACATTCAACTCCTTACAAGGACTGCTACCTAAAACTTTTTGAGAATAGCACATAGCTTTATAAATGTGGGATACTAAGAGAAAATAAGAAAGCAAGCTCAGTATAGCTAATTAACGTGGGTAGCATATTAAGTTAAACAACAACGACATAAACCTTCCCTAATTTGGGTTCAGGTAAATATTAGTATAATCTTCTACATGAAGTGAAAAACTTCTTCTTAGAAGAAAAAAATTTACGTCTCTGAAAAAGTTGAGCTATTATAGGCAGCTGGAATTTATAAATCTCTCCTCCTCCATTGTAGACTTGCAAATATTCTAACATTAAATATAAGAAAACATTAAGAAATATAATACAATTAAAATATATTTCTACTTTGATTTCAGTTTTTAAAAATTTATTGCCTTAGTTGAGTCAGACAATTTTAGTTGGAGATTGTAGTGATTCAGTATTATTTATCTTGTCATTTTTTCTTTTAGCACATATATTGTTTGTAGAATCATCTTTTTTTGCAGTTTGCATGAGATTAAGCTAATTTCCAATTATTATCCTGATAACTTTATGAGTTTTTATATATAATAATGCTTTATAGTATAGAATAGCATGCAAATATAACGTAGAATTGTATTGACTAAAGAAAGTCACATGATCACATTTAAGTGGATGAAAGTACAACCAGAAGGAGAAAAAGACCATTTGAGAACAGCCCTAACTACCACAGCTTTGAATTACAAAGAAATGATAATGTACTGACTTCAAAATGACAATTGATTTTTTGATTCAGTTTGTAGATAGAATCCCTCCATGTCTGATCAAAAGTAATTGGGTATTGACAAGTGAATTCTATTTATATCATTATCTCTGGAACAAATAAGAAAGAGTATTCTTAACAAAATTTCTTACGGAAATGACAAAAACACTATCAATCTTCTTGTTCTTTCTTAACTGAGTTATAGTCAGAGACTATCATTTCCAGAACACGGATAGAGTTTTGGGTAGTTCCAAATGTTTGAGCTGCCTGTGACAAACTATTAGATTGATGTCACGTATGGGTGTGTGTGAGAGCATGCATGTATGTTGTGCTACCTGTTTGATCTACTTATTCTCACTTGAGCTCTCCTCTTTCAGGCACCTGTAAGAAATCACCTCCAACTCCGCTGGAGTTAGATGTGGCCATATGACTTACTTAGAGTTGGCTGGGAGTGACAACTGTCACTCCTGGATGGAAGTATTTCATTTCCTGCAGGCCACTTCTCTGACATTTTCCCCTTGGTTCTGATAACCAGCACAGCATGCTCTGCGTGGCAGAATCATCCATCACTTTGCATTTTGGAATGAGCAGTAATGGGCAGCAGAGCCCCCAGTGAACCACGATGGCCATGCAGTGGGAATAAAAATAAATCTTTGATATTTGGGGGTAATGATGGATTATTGAAATAGCAACAGATTCTTCCCACCACCGTGTGTGCCTTTTTGCAATGTGACTTATTGCTCTTCTCATCAAGGAGTAGATTTTCTTTCTCTACCCGTTTGGAATTAGGCTGGATTTGTGACTTGCTTACATCAAAGGGGACTGAGAAATGGCATGGAGGCTGTTCTGAGTAAAAGCCTTCTGAGGCTTCACAACTTCTGCTGACTGCCAGCACCCACAAGCAGGCATGTGAATGGATTTGTCTTGGACCATGCTACCCCATGGTGCGGCTACATGAGTGACCCCTGGTGAAACCAACAGAAGAACCTCTAGCCAAATCCACTCCAAACAGCTGATACACAGAACTGGGAGGGAGTAAACCTGAGCTGTTTCAGGCACTAAGTTTGGGTGGTTTGTTTGAGGCAGAGATAATGATGCAGCATAAACTAGCTTATCCTGATTGGTGCACATGTGTGTATATGTAGTATAAATCTGTGTATATGATTTACGTACACACACTGATATATGTATACATCAAATTAGTTCTTATCACCAGGCTAGATAAGGAATGTGATCTAGTTTTCGTTTTATAAACAAGGAAATTCAGATGTTCACTGAAATTCTCCTCATTTGTATCAAGATAATTTAGCAGATGGCTACATTAAAGGGATCTTAAAAATAGACTTGAGGAAATCATTCTCTAACAGTGAATTCTTCCTGTAGACAACTGATATTAGAACCAGATTGCGATGTTGGAAGATCAGTATCTATGTTTTTCTTTCCTTCATCCTGAGGCATTCCAGAATACATTTTTTCAGTCGGTGCCAGACGTGATTGAAACCACCTTTAATGTCAGAAAAGAGAGCATGCATTCACCTTCAGGATTGTGTTTAGGATTATGTCACTCCTAAATGACCCTGCTGTGATTAGTCAAGCCCAGCTAATTTGGGCTGAAATACAGCAAGGAAATCTACTGATGCTTTTAGTATAGAAAGTTTAGTATAAAAGGTTATAGAGGATTACTTTACAAAAAGAAACTGGAGTTCATGCTAAGAGGCTGTGGCTAGAAAGAACAGGATTTGTTAAAGTGGTAAGGTTTTAATTAGAAGTATAACTTGGATGAAAACTGTGCATTAGTTTTATGTTGCTGCCATAACAAATGACCAAAAATGTAGTAGGTTAAAACAACAAAAAATTATTATTTTCTAATTCTTTAAATCCAGTACAGATTTCCCTAACCTGAAATGAAGATGTTGGCAGTGCTGTGTTCCTTTCTTGAGATTCTAGGAGAAAAAGATCACCTTGTTCATTCAGGTGTTGGCAAAATTTAGTTCCTACGGGTGTAGGACTGAGGTCCCTATTTGCTTGCTGGCTGTCAAGTGAAGGCTGCCCTGAGCTCCTATAACTTTTCTCAGATCCTTGCATGTGGTTCCTACCTCACAGAACCAGCCATTTGCACTGAATCCTCATGCTGCTGTCTCTGTGATACACTTCCCTTGATTCCCCTTCCTATTTTAAGAACTCATGCAATTAGACTGGATCCACTCAGATAATCAAGGGTCATTTTTTTCCCATCTCAAGATATGTAGCCTTAATCATATCTGCAAAGTCCCTTTTGCCATGTATGGTGACATAGTCACAAGTCCTAGGGATTAAGACAGGGATATCCAAGGGGGACTGTCATTCAGCCTGCCATAGACTACCCAGAGGCACAGGATGTTTGGATGCATGGGTTTTAAGGACGTTGCGGCCATTGGGTTTCATTTCCCATGTTAGTCATCTTTTAGGTATTAGCTCAAAGAACAAACCAATTAAGAAACCTGGGCACCTTAGTGACTAGTAGGACATGTTCTATATAAGGAAGAATGAGTTCATATTTGACCCTATTTTTTATCTGTTTAGAAATATTTCAGGCCGGGCGTGGTGGCTCACGCCTGTAATCCCAGCACTTTGGGAGGCCGAGGCGGGTGGATCATGAGGTCAGGAGATTGAGACCATCCTGGCTAACACAGTGAAACCCCGTCTCTACTAAAAATACAAAAAAAAAAAAAAAAAAAAAAAATTAGCCGGGAGCGGTGGCGGGCTCCTGTAGTCCCAGCTACTTGAGAGGCTGAGGCAGGAGAATGGCATGAACCCAGGAGGCAGAGCTTGCAGTGAGCCGAGATCGCGCCACTGCACTCCAGCCTGGGCAACAGAGCCAGACGCTGTCTCAAAAAAAAAAAAAAAAAAAAGAAATATTTCAGGATTTTCCATAATGCCTTTTAATTATTCTTAAAAAATATTTTTAACTACTTCATCCTATTTAGGAACTCCTTCATAGATGAATGCTTGGTGTTATTCATTACCCAGTCTTGAGGGACTCACTGGTGAGCTCGGGGCTCAGGGAGGTGAGTCTGAATCTTGGGAGTTTAAGGGTCTTCACTGCAGTGAAGTATTTCCCCACCATCACTTTCCTGTGGTGGGGAATGGTCCTTAAGTGTAGGTGATTAGAAATTATGAGGGAGAAGTCATTAAAGCCAAATCTGTTGGTGCTATCGTGAGAGTCTTGTTCAGGCAGGGTAATATAAAATGGAATCCAGTAATAAAGTGATAATCTTCTATTAGGCCTGACCCCTTATGACCTAATAAAAATGTTCACGCCATGTGTTTTTCTTTCTAGTATCTTTAAATAGCTAACATTTCCCTCCCCTGTTTCTCATACTGCAGTAGACCTGACTGGGGAGCTAAGTGATCTCGTGTGACTCTCTATGCCTCGTTGCCACCAGCGTGGGCCATCTCCAGGGGCTCTCAAACCGATAGAAGACCTTGCGGTGTGGGAAAACAGCTCCAGAGCTTCTAAGCTGAGCGGATTGTTCCTAGTGAGGAAGGTGAAACCTGAGATCTATTATTAAATGTGGGGCTGTCATTCTTCTCCCTAGGGCAGCTGGTCTAAGTCTAGAGTGGTAGTCATAATTGGGGATGTGAAAGCATCTTTTCAGAACCCAACCTCACTAACTGCAGTCCCAGAGTCTCAAGAGAGAGGGATACTACTCATTCCCATGGGGGAGTAGTTCATGGGGTCCCTGTGCTCCCCTGGGTCACACGGGTGTAGGGTGCAATTGTCCACTTTGAGAGTCCACCAACTGGTTTTACCCATTTTCTCAGAGGTTATCAAGCATTGTGGGTATGAGTCTTGCTAGAAAGACTAGATTTATTCATTAATAACAGACAGATTTATTAAACCTGGATGCCAATTTGCTAACTTGCCACAGGGGATAAAATTTACAGGCATGACAATACTTGTATCCAAGGCAACCTCTTCTGGAAAGGCAGAGTATAGACTGAGAGCAAGGGGAGTGTGAGGATTTTGTGGAATGCTATAGTCATACTGTAACTTCTGTAACATCTGAAAATGATGCTGTAGTGATTAAAAGACCGTGTTGTGCTGTTATGGTGGTTTTACACTAAATGATATTCCTTGGTTTTGCATTTCTCTAGATTCCCAGCCGTCTTGTCATGAGAACACATTGCCTCATACTTGCTGCAATAGAGTTGAATAAGTAACAGCTTTTAAATTGGATTATCAACTCACATTGCTACCAAATACGAGCATATCAATAGCAAGTCATTTGGGGTAAATTAATTTGATCCACGGGTAACTCATCCATTATTGATTATTTACTAGATTTAATTCCAGAACATAACTGGGGTGCTTTATTGCAACACTTACAGTGTGCTGCAATCCTTGTTCCACTCAGCATGCAGCTCTCAGCCGAGCAGCACTGGCAGCACCGGTGAGCTTGTCAAAGAGGCACATTCACGGGCCCTAACACCAACTACTCTCTTGGGATGGAGTCCAGGAAACAGCTTTGAGAAATCTTTCAGGTGATTCCTTAAAGTATAAGAATCATGGTTACAACAGTTATATACATGGATTCTAGGGCTATAATGCGTGCGTTTGCATTGTAGCTATCCCACTGCAGGCTGCGTGCCCTTGGGAAAATTACTTAACCTCTCTGAGACACAGGCTCCTCATCTGTAAAATGAGATTTCATAATAATTCTTCCCTCACAGAGTTGTGAGAATTATCTGGTCAATGCATGTAAAGTGTTTTCTGAATACTACCTGGCAAATAGTCAGCACCCTGTATGTGTTAGCTACTATTATTGCTTTCATTCCAGGGGTGATAGATTGAGAATATAGAAGTATCTGTCTTAATTGCTCTGATGTGCCTAGAGCTCAGCTTCTGAAAGGTGGCGGGATGAAGGGGAGGAGCCCTGGATTTGGCAGGAAGACTGAGCCACTGTGTCAGCCCTCATCAGTTCTAAATCCTTCAACAAGTCAAGTCTGTGTGACTCTGATTTTTCCCCCAGTCAGATATGTCAGCTTTGTTGTTTAAGTTACAGTAAAATATACATAACATAAAATTTACCATTTTAATCTTTTTTCAGTGTACAGTTCAGTAACACTAAGTGCATTCACATTGTTGTGTGACAGATCTCCAGAACTCTTTTTATTTTGCAAAACAGAAACCCTGCACTCATTAAGTAACTCCCCATTCCCCACTCCCCGCCAGCCCCTGCTGACCACCATTCTACTTTCTCTAAGAATTTAACTACTCTAGGAACTTCATGTTCCTGAAATAATACAGCGTCTGTCTTCATGAGTCTGGGTTGTTTCACTCAGCTTAATGTCCTCCATGTTGTAGCATGGGTCAAAAATTTTCTCCTTTTTGAGGCTGAATATTTCATTGTATGGATATACCACACCACACCTGTCAGTTTTTCAGATCACTTTCAATCCTCTACCTAAACATCATCTTGTCTCTTGTCCTGCTGAGGCTCTATCAGGAGGAATAGTTTAGGCTGGTGAGCAAAGCAATCAGAGCTCGGTATTTTTAGTAGACAGCAAATGAAACGCTTAAGGGAAAAGGATCTAACTAAGCTAATTGCTTTAATTTTAATCCTGAGTGGAACAGACTTTTGAGATGTAGCCTATGTAAGTCAAGCTTTCAAAGCACATGGTTAGTTTTTTGGTTGTTTGAAATTACATGATTAATTGAATTAATTAAATTGAAATTAAAACTAGGAAATATCAGGATCATAAAATGAAAAGAAAAATTAAAAAAACTCATGCATAATTTCAGACCCAAAGAAGACACACTACATTTTAAGTTTCTGGAAGTTTTATTGTATATTTTGTATTGTATATATTGTATATTTAAAATTAAAATTAGATCATATTACAATTGTCTTTATTGATAGACTTTTAAATTTAACATATTGTGAATATGTTTTTATATCAATAATTGCAAGTCTATATTATATATCATCGTTAAGTTTTGAATTATATTTTATTGTAATTTATAATTTATTCAATCACTCTTAAGGTTGTTTTATCTTACAACCAATGAACAAAGAGATGCCATTAACAGGTATTCAGAGACATATTTCTGATAATTTTCTTAGAAAACATTGTTCAAGACTGAACTGCCAGGTCAAAAAAGTTAAGCATTTTTATGAGTTCTATTAAATGTTGGCAAATTACCTTCTGCAGTGGTTGATTTTATATGTCAACTTGACTGGGCCACAGGGTGCCCGGATATTTGGTTACACATTATTTCTGGATGTGTCTGTGAGGGAGTTTCTGGATGAGATTAACATTAGAATCACAGGTTGGAGTCAATCAGATTGCCCTCTCCAACGTGGCTGGGCCTCATGCAATTTTCTGAAGCCCTTAATAGTATCAAAGGCTGAGCAAGAAAGAATTATTTTTCCCTGCTTGTCTTTGAGGAAGGACATTGATCTTCTCCTGCTTTAGGAGTTAGACTCAGACTCAGAGTAGAACTTATCCCATCGGCTGCCCTGGTCTCCAGCTGGCCAGCTGCAGATCTTGGACGTAATCATGTGTGCCAATTCTTTTTGGTAAATTATTTCTCTCTACATATGCGATTGGTTCAGTTGCTCTGGAGAACTCCATCTACTACATCTTCAGAAAACATTATAACTGTTTATGCTTCTACCAGTAGTGAGTGAAAGTGCCACAACTTAAATCTTGCTGATACTCGATAATTTTCTTTAGCTTTTCCCAATTTGAAAATGCTATATTACTCAATAAAACATTCAAGGAATATTTATTAAGCACCTATATGTGCCAGGTACTGTGCTTGGTAGGCACTTGGACTGTAGCATTGCCCTTACAGAACTGATTTTGTGGGGATTGTAGGAAAACTGGATAGTAAGTGCAGTGTGATAAGTGCTCTGCTAGGGGACGTACTGAGTGGTATAGCATTGCAAAGCAGGGCTCCTATTAGCATTGAGAGTCAGGGGAAGCTACCTGAGAAGTGGTGTCCAAGTTGATAACTTGAACATTAATAAAAGTTTCCCAGGCATTGAGTTGAGAATCAGTGGTTCTGAAAAGGAAAAACAAACAAATTAAAAAAAAAAAAAAAGAGAAAACCACAGAGGCAGGAAAAAGCAGAAGCAGGGTCAGACATGGTATGTAGTTGTTTTAATTTGTATTTCCTTGATTTCTAGAGAGTCTAGACACTTTAAGACACTTATTGAGTGTGTGTTTTTTCTTGTGAATTGTTTATTCCTATATTTTGCCTGCTTTTTAAAAATCCAAATATACAGTATTTTCTACCTATTTCTATAAACCCTTTTACATTAGAGATATATTAGCCCTTGGCCCATCACACATTTAAAATTTTGTTTAAATTTTGTTTGGGGCTTATATATTTCTTTCACAAATTGCCTATTTATAACTTTTGTTCATTTTTCCTTTCAGATGTTCATCAGTTTTTCATGTTTTTTCAATTTTGAGATTTCTCTCTAAATTAATTAAATTTAATTAAACTAAACTAAGTCTCATAGTCAATGATTTTTTTCTCATTATTACTCATCTTTTATTTATAGTCTTTTTGATCCTACAGAAATTTAAATTTTGAAGTAGTTATATTTGTCAGTCTTTTCCTTTAAATGTTAAACCTTTCCCAATTAATTTTTATTGAGATACATAAGAGACTTATAAAGTTTGTACTGACAAGTTTTGGAAAATACATGCCTCATGTAACCATGATTACAATCAAAATGTAGAACATTTCTCTTCCCTGAGAAAGGGCCCTCATGTCCTGTTCTAGTTCATTCTTCCCATAAACCCTGCAGGCCTCAGGACATTCCTCTTCTGATTTCTATCACCATAGGTTAACTTGGCCTATTCTAAAACTTCCTATGAATGTAGTCATATAGTGCATTCTTTGTTGTGTCTGGCCTTCTTCCTAATGCAGTGTTTTTTTGTTTCACCCATGTTGTTACATATTTTGGGCTATTATAAATAAAGCTACTGTGAGCATTTTTATAACAGTCTTTTTGTGGGAACATGCTTTCATATTTCTTGGACAAATAACAGGAGTAGAATTGCTGGACCACAGACACAATGTATGTTTAACTTCGTAATAAGTTGGCATACTGTTTTCCAGAATAGCTGTATTATTTTCAGTCTCACCAGTAAGGAATGGAAGTTTTTATTGTTCTGTATCTTTACTAAGACTTGTTTCATATTTTAATTAATTTCCATGTAAATTCTGAGACAATGGGAACCTAACTTTATCTTTCTCTAGTGGCTTAACCACTTGTTCATATAATACTGTCTTCATCAAATAGGTCATAATTGCTCCATTGCTTTAAATACCAAAATGATTTTATGGACATTTTTTCCTTTCTGGACTATGCACTTATTCCCATGGGCTGATTATCACTTAGTTTTCATCATTGTTGCTTCATAATACACTTAGGTGTCTGACAGTGAAAGTCACTCTTTATTCTTTTTTTTTGTTCCAAAAGATTGCTGACTATTCTCATGTGTTTAATCTTGCATGGAATTCAGGATTATTTTAATTAAAATGCTATTTTTTATAAGTAAAGGAATGGTGGAAGGCTAGAGAATAAAATTACAAGATTGTTCCAGCCTTCTAAAAATTTTTGCCCAAGAAAATAACAGCACAAAATATTCTTATTCTTCTTCTTATTATTATTATTTTAAAAAAGCACTAGGTATTATTCTTACATAGAGAATGCAGGAAGAGTTTTTCAAAAATTCTTTACCTAGCTAGAGTTTATAAGTCTTTTTAATTAGAGCTTCAGGCATCATGGAAATTCCTATAGAAAGTAATTTTAAAAGTTCTCTACTTCTTGGAATCTATTTTTGGAAGGGAATTTACATTTCTTGTTAATCTGCTCCAGATATGGCTGTGACACTCTCATGGCACGCCACCAGAGCAGCTCAGCTGAGCTGTCTGACTCAGCCCTCGGCCTGACTTCATACAGTCACCTACAGATGAAGCAAGTCTGTTACCAAGAGATTATTTACTAACCACAAAGCCAGCTGTAACCTTACCTGCAGACACAGAAATCACTTGTAACCAAAAAGCTTGGTTTTAGGAGAGAGTGGTTGTGGCTCCTATCAAGCAAAGAACAGTAGATGTTGAATATTTGGGAATAGCTCTTAGTTTGAAACGAATTTTCAGATATATTCATTAAAATCTATGACAGTAAGTGATACAGTATCATGCACTTCTTTTGTTTATGTTTTCTGGAGGTTAAGATCCTAGGAAATCCAAACAGAAAGTAAGAGTGAGCAAGTATATAGAGACATTGGAATGGCTGTGCACTATGGATGGGAATGTAAAATGGTGTCGCTGCTGTGAAAAACCGTATAGTGATGATTCCTCAAAAAATTAAAAATGGAATTACCACATAATCCAGCAATCCTACTTCTGGATTTGCACTCAAAAAGCCTGACAATAGGGTCACAAACAGTTATTTGTACACCCATGTTTATAGCAGCTTTATTCACAACAACCAAAAGGTAGAAGTAAACCAAGCATCCATCAACAAATGAATGGATAAGCAAAATGTGGTCTATACATAAAATGGAACATTATTGAGCCTTAAAAAGGAAGGAAATTCTGACATATGCTACAACATTGGTGATAAAAAGGAAGGGAATTCTGACGTATGCTACAACGTGGGTGATAAAAAGGAAGGACATTCTGACGTATGTTACAACGTGGGTGATAAAAAGGAAGGACATTCTGACGTATGTTACAACTTGGGTGATTCTGAAGGACAACATGCCAAGTGAAATAAGCTAGTCACAGAAGGCAAAATACTATATAATTCCACTCGGAAAACGTATATAGAGTAGTCAAATCATAGAGACAGGAAGCAGAAAGGTGGATGCTAGCAGTTGGGGTGGGGAGTAGGAAATGGTGAGTTATTGTTTGATGGGTATAGAGCTTCAGATTCCAAAGTGAAAAACATCCTGGAGGTGGCTGATGGTAACACACACTAAAATGTGAATGTACCCAATGCCACTGAATTGTTCACTTAATGTGATTAAAATGGCAATTTTTATGATATGTGTATTTTACCACAATTAAAATAATATTTTTTAGAAAAGTAAATGCAACAGAAGAAAAATGCATATCTCATTTGCACTCACTCAAATGAGATAAGGATTACCTCTGTTGATACCATACATATGTTTATAAAAATTTGCATTGTAATCTTTTAGAAAATGAAATGCAACAGATTCTGAAAAACCATTAAAGTTCATTTTATTTGTCAGGGTATGTTAATCATAAAACAAACAAGCCCTGAATTTGAATGGATTAATACAATAAAAGCTTACTTTTCTCTCTTATTTCTGTCCATTGTGTGTGTGGTGGGGGCAGGCAGCCATGGTAAATCTCCATCCCATTATTCAGGAAGCCACATCCTTCCGTCTTGTGGCTCCCCCTCCCTATAGCTCCTTGGAATCCTCTCTACTCAGCCAGTGAAGAGGAAGAGGATGACGATAGTAACTGGGTAGTGTTTATGGGCCCAGCCCCGGAGTAGCCCACATTGATTCTAGGCATGTTCCATTGGCTGGACTTTGTCACAGAGACACACATAATCCAAGGGATCCTGGGAAGTGTTCAGCTGTGTTTCCAGGAAAAAGAGCTGCTCAGATACTCATGAGAACTGTAGGTCTCTGCCACAGACGATGTGTAGTTGGGTCCCACTAAGAGCGTATTTGGTGAACGTCTTTCTGGAAAGTTCAGTGATCTTCCTAGCAGTGGGAATTGTGTAAGAAAGATATGTCTCATGGGATGCAGAGAGATACTATGTCTCCATGATCAGTCCCATCTCCTAACATGATAATATGTAGTCATGTGAATATACATATAATGATTTCAATAACCCACATTTTGATCTGAAAATATATTACCTCAGCAACAGACCTCTAAATTTCCTTCTGACACTCATGCAGAGTGACTTTTATAGTGACAGTCATGACAAAAATCAGATCAAGTTCATAGACATGATGAATGGAACAGTGATGTGTGCCACTGGTACAGATGGGGAGATGGACGCCCAGCCGCTCAGGGCTTGTTGGTGGGCTGAAGATGACTTTCCCATCTCAGATGCTTGGCACTGAAGTGGAATGGGAATGAATGGAGGGCTTAGAACGCTACTGAGTGGCAGTCAGAGCTTTGGTGAGTCATAAGTTGCTTCTGGTCTCCGGAGTGTTCTTCATTCTCATACCCTCACCAAGGATGCTCAAGATCTACACAAAGCTGGAGCTGCACTCACTCAAATGAGATGGATTTACCTCTATTGATATCATACATATGTTTATAAAAATTTGAGTCGTACTCTTTTAGAAAATGAAAGCTTTAAAATCTGTTATGGATTTCTCCATTAAATATGCTTATATTAACATGAAAAAAATCTTTGGGAATATGAATCATCATTTCTCAATTTATCTTCTTTGTCAGATCAGTATTTAGCGTATTAGGTGTTCTTAAGTAACACTCATATTATTGGACTATGTCACATTTTTCTTCTGGAAAGTCTTTTGTTGCCTATTTCTGGTTTGGCTATGTCTCTCCAACCCAAGCCCGCAACTCCCTTCATAGTAGAAAGTATTTAAATAATTACCCCATCATTTAAAACATAAGTCACTGCACAGATTTATGTTAATTAGATTTAATACCACAATGAGGATTAATCCAGTGATGTATATGTGAAACGTAATATCATCCCTCCCCAGGACTGCCAAATCGATCACCTTGAGAGCATCTGTCTGAAAGGAGCTGATGACAGAATATGTTCAATTTTTCCATTTGGAATTTCTCCACACCACAGCACAGTCTTTTGAAACTTTTTATACTCTGAGTCTGTCAGAAGCAGGTAGAAGAAATCTTAATACTTTCTAAGTGTTCAGAACAATAGCCATTTCATGAATTACTTCCCTGCCAATCTTCAGGTTGCATTCTCTGGTGGACCTTTCTGCAGTGTCATTGATCAGCAGTTGTATTTTTATTTTAAACATTTAATTATACATTCATTCCATAAAAATTTGTGAGCACCCACCATGTGCCAAGCACCATCTAGTTACTGGGTATATAGCAGCGAAGAAAAATAGTTTATGTTCTAATGGAACTTTATATTCTAGGAAGAGGGACAGAAAATATGTTGGATAGTAGTAAGTACTAACCAAATAAGGAGAACAGAGCAGTGGAAAGGGATGAGGAGAATGCTGGTGATGTGGGGTGTGATAATCGGACCAAGTCTTTTGTGATGAAGTGAAATTTAAATAGAGATGAATTAGGAGAGGTCATGAATCCATGTGATTCTGGAAGAAGGAATGTTCTAAGTATGTTAGACTTCAGACTTCACGGACAGCATATGTGCACACCACCAGGTCCACCCTGGCCTTGGTGTGCTGTGTCCAACAAAGCCCAACATAATATTAGAGGCATAGAGTTGTGTAATCCCCAATGTAGTAGGTCTGTAGCTACATAGAGAATCCAGGTAACACTGTAGAAATGGGTCTGTCCGTCCTACATAGCCGGGAGTGTATAGAAAATGCACCACACACACACACAGTTTTTATTGTGCCCACCCCTCCTGCACACCCTTTTTTCCCCAGCATTCAGGGGCAAATGCAGAGGCTGGTTTAGGAAAAAAAAAATTCTTTAATTTTGAAAAAAGTTTCCTTTGGCAAAGGCAACCACAAACAAATCCAGCAAGTACGTAAGATTATATCTCTTAAGCAACGTTAGAATATATTGTTTTCTATCATCTTAGAATACAAATTTTTCTATTGTATTCTTTATTTGTAAATCTTGAGCAAGAATTGTCTCTAAAAGTTTTTGGAAATCACTAAATGTCTTTTATTCTTCTACTACTAATTTTATTTTTTATATTAAAATTTCCAGGGCCAATTCCAGACTATATAACAATCTCCCTTTGTGCTGTAAACTGCTTATAATTAAGTTGGCTTTTTAATTGGAAATTTACCTGCAGACCAGTATACCTGGTTTAAAATAGACAGGCACATTTGTTAAGTATTCTCAGTTTTGGAAAAGTAATAAATGCCTATTATTTTAAAAATGTAGCCTCTCAAAACCTTTTCCCCCAAATGACAGATATTAACTCATCTGTTTGTCATGAATCTAACTTTAATAAAATTTTCTTCTCCTTGAAGCTATTGACAAAAGTGGATGCACTTTGCATAGTCTGACCTCTTAAATAACAAATGCAAAACAAATGTAAATATGCCTCCACTTTTAATGCATTTTTGCATGGTCCAGAACAATTTGCTAAAACATGCATGGGCATATTTGTGTTTCATTAAAATCCACATTTGAGATAACATGCCCTTGGACATGTTATTGCTGACTTTTTATTGAATTATAGGAAATTGGGGAAATAGAAGCTGATAATGCTACATTCCAAAGAGGTTGTAGGAAAGCCATTGCTCAGGAGTATTTTGAAAAGATAAGATGTAGCTGGAGTCTCCCTGTGCAACTACAATGAGGTCATACAATTAAAGATGCAAACTTCTGCACAAATATTTTGCAAATACTTCCAACTTTTACTAAATATTTTCTTGTCTATATAACATTTGCCACATTATGGCCAAAAGAAATAGTGGCAGATAACTTATTTCAAATGCAATTGTGATCAGTTCTTTGAATACAGCTCTTAGCTTTCAGAAACATTCTGCTGATCTCACACACTGCTAGTGGTACACATGAATTCCATGCATGACTTTTGGTAGCTTCCCGGTTTTGTTCGGTGGACAAAAAAATACAATGCCAAAGATCTGGGTGTATCATAATTCTGAGGACATTTGATAAACGAAGTCAGGTTAAGGTTGTTGTTAGTTGTAAAATACCTCCTCTGCAACTTTGGTCAGGTTTGTTTTTGATGTTGACCCTCGGAATTAAGCAAGTGTTTCTAGTTCTCTTTCAACAATTAGCAATTGTGGACCTCAGGTCAAACTCACTTTAAGCACTGCCAGATAAAAGAGTGTTAAGTCAGATTTTGCAATGAGCAAAAGGAAGAGGGGCTTTCCAGATGAGAAAAGTTGGAGACAGAGCTTCTCGAAGGATGCCTGGGCACCGACCCTGCCTTCTTCCTCTTCATGAGCCTGTGGCCTTGCTGTGGCTGTATTTGGCTTGAGGTCCATATGTATCCAAAAGGTCACTGGTCGGCCATGATATTTCTAGTTAAGGGCCAAGATTGTTAGTATAGAGTCTATACGTCCCTAGCTACCCCCCACCCCCGAAAAAAATGATGGAGATCCTGTAAGGGATTATTGAGTTTTTCATTTCGACAGTACCATGTATTGCAAAGAAAGTATCATTCCTTGCTGCTATCTCCCAGTATGAATGAATGTGGGGCCACTGGACACCGAGCTGAGGGATGTGGCCTCTGCTTCTGCTTGGGGTAACTACCTCATGTTCCCCACGATTCAGAGACCTTGACTCAGTGCATTGGGATCTTCATCTAACCTTACAGAAGACATTCATATGTCCTCTTCTTGTCAAATTTCAGGCCACCTGAAATGATGCAGGAACAATGCAGATCTGTTATATTGTCAATTTGATAGATTGGAAAAAAGGCATAAAAACAGATTTCTTAGTTTTAAGTTATTTATTTAAAAACTATTTAAAAGCTTTATTTATTCATTTAAAATTTTTATTTACTTAAAAGTTACCAAAATGCAACTTAAATGTTGAGGCCTGAAATGCATTAATTACAAGTCCCTATAATTAAGATCACATTTTTCTCTTGCATGTTGAAGTATTCTCTCCCCAATCCATACTGCTGTGTAGCCATGGCCACACTTACTTTCTCCATTTTAGATCAAAGAATGATGCATTTTGAATATAGCTGACAATAGTTGCTTTTGAGATACATTTGATCTCATCCTGTTTTATGGCCAAAAGTACTTTTTTCATGGTTATGTGAATTCTTAGGAGGAAGTAAGCTTTGTGAATCACTATGTTAAGTCGAACTAGAAAAATAAAGTTGACTAAAAGCCCCACCATGAATTGCTTGTTAACATTATTCAAATTTCTTCCTCTTCAGTAGAATCTATGATTATCTAAATGATGTTTCATGCCAGGCAGGGAGAATAGATAATAAATTCATATTATGTACTTAACGATAACAAGACAACATTCAGATTTGTGAATAATTGAGAAAGAATATTTCATAAAATGAATCTTCTATATTATCATGGCGTCTATCTGTAGAAAGTCTGATGTATACAAGAATAAATATTAATGTCTACAGAAAATTATAACTAAAAGTTTCCCTTATATTTCCCTTTCTAATATACTACTATTGTAATTTAAAATATATTGGACCAATTTTGCTCTATTCACGTGGCTGGAGGACCTTGAGTACCATTGCTAAATGTTTTTTACTTTTCTCACATTTTGAGGAGGAGGTGCAGACTCCTATATCTAGGTTTTTCAGTCAACTGTGGTGAGATTCAAATGTATGTATGTGGGGTTTGCACAGCTCTCCTCAAAAGCATGGTCACTAGCCTTGCCTTGGGGTGATAACAGCTGCCACTGTGGATAACATCCACCCACTGAGTTGGACTATGCTTCTGTGGAGGCTGTGCTGGTCAAAACTAAAGCAAATAAATCCACAATATTCTTTTTTCTAGAATGCAAGACATCTGAATAGTCCTTGGGTCAAGGTACAGGGTCTTATGCATCTTTGTTGGGATTCTATTTTCTCTTTTCACATATGGTAAGGAGTTGGCACAAATAATCATTAATATCCTTTACAGATCTGATTTGATGTGGTTCTGTATTAAGTTTACTGTATTGAATTTAAAAAGCCGAGTTCATGGTTTTTCATTTCCTCTGAGTCAGTGAGATTCATGCCATATCATTGTCACAGTCCCTATCCTTTACCCCACTTATTTGCTACAAATGTCCACAAATATGGGTAGATGGAATAATATTTTATACGCTATGACAAATATTACATAGTTTGCATAGTAATAGTTTGGCTAGCAATGACTTCCTAAAGATGAGAAATTGTATTCATTTGTTTTCATTGTTAGTTCAGCAGCTGTTTCTAGAGCATCCCTATCTTTACCCACACATTTATGTCTATTCCTGGGTGCAAGAGATAGCTTCAGTTTCCCCAAAACACATGAACTAAGTAACCACAAAGGCTGGTCCCACATTCTGGAAAATCAAAGCAAGGCACAACAATTTTGGTCTTCTGGAAGCTGGCAATCCTGTATCTGGAGACAGCTGCTTTGAAGGGGAGAGGCAGCAGCAAGACCCAGGGCAGCTTCTATATATGAAAATCTGAAATACCCAGTTCTATCCTTGCGAGGTAATTTGTAAGGAAGTATTGTATCTTTGAAGGGCAGGAAAAATAAATTTGACTCCTACGACAAAAGAGAACCATTTGAGTTTGGACCAGGGCAGAAATGGCACTGCTTGTTTCAAGAGCACACATTATCATCTTCCATGTGTCCAATCCAATGGTTGTGCAGCCACATATATGCAAATTCATATGAAAATATATTTGACCATGCATCTTTTGAACAAAGTATAGCCAGTCAATGCCAAAGACATTCTGTTCGGTTTGGAATGAATAAAACTTCTGATGCCCATATGGTAACCTTATGCTTTGAGAACTCTTCTATAGCACAATAAAATCTGAGCCGTCAGAGTAACTAAGTGATGGAAAATGAATAACTAAATGTATAGGGAAAGAATCCAGAAAAGAAATTTGTATTTTATTTTTTCTAAGTAACTTCCACAGATATGTTTGAGAAAACTGTATGATCTAGTGAATAGAATACTCAAAACTCTAATATACAAGTCACAGGTATGGGCCCTAGTTACTTCACTAAATGACTGGCTTTAGGCAGATAATTTGTCTGGTTCCAGTTACTAACTATGAGAAATAGAAAATACATCATTACCTTTCTATAATAGTCCACAACTATTTCAGCACACCCAATGTGACAAAAAACCGTCTCAAGCCCACTTCAGTAACAACTGAGAATTTGTGGGTTCATTTAAATGTCAAGGCCAGCAGTAAGTGAGGGCTGGTTCTGAGGCTGACATATTCTGAGGAGAACATGGTCTTGCTTTCTCTTTTCTGGGCACTTTTGTCCTCTGGATGGAATCCATTCTTGGGCAGGCTGAAGTCCTTCTCTCATGGTGGCAAGATGGATATGCCAGGCAACCATCCTGTCTGCAGAGAGCCTGCCCAGTGAGAAGTTTTGGGATTAGTTCTGACTTGATGAATTTGGGTCTCATGTTTATCCCTGGATATATCTCTTTTGCTCAGGTGAATGGATATGTTGACTGCCACACCTGGGTTTCTGTGACTACTCCTGGATTCAGTGATGGAGTCAGCCCCAAGTAAGGCCCATAAACAAGGGTGGAGGAGAGTGGTTCCTGGAAAGAAAGTCAGGGTAAAGGCAAGGGGACAAATGCCAGATGGGCAGTAAATGGCAGCTGTCCAAATTTTATGCCTGAACCACTGAAAGGAATCTTCACTCTCACTGTGGGTATTAACATAGGACGCGGTGATGCTTAATGGCTAAATGCACGCATAGCATTTGAAATCAGATTGTGGTCCACAACTTGGAAATGCTGCTTTTTAGCTGCATGACTGAGGGCAATTTCCAGACCTCAGTGCACCTCAACTTAATAATCTCTAAAGTGGAAAGAATACTGATTTCATAAAATTGTCAAGAGGACAAATTGATGTTATGCCTTTCAATTGTTTAGCGTTGTAAGCACTAAATGATTGGTAAGTATTCTGCCTCTTCCCAAATGCCTCTGGCACCAGAATTTCTCACTGTGAATTCTTTCCATCCAACAAATAAACAGATAATTCCCATGTTATTTAATTTGTTCTGGTGCATAGAAATAAGAAAAGCTTAACAATCTTTTGATAAATCCAGCATAACATAGATAATCAAATTTATTAAATATAGCACCAATAAAAATCTGCAGACCAATCTTCCTTAGAAGGAGGAAAAATTCTAAATGAAACAGCAAATAAAATCAGCCATACATAAAGAGATTAGGAAACCATGACTAGTACTAGTTCCACAATTGCTTTCAGTAATGCAAGCTCTGACTCACCTACTCTGCTCTCGTCAGGGCATCCTTCCACAAAGAGATGGCATCAGACAGGACAATCGAAGTGACACGAATGCACAAAATGTGGTTTCTTATTTACAGTGCTCAGATACTCCAGCTGGCAATCTCATCCCTACATAATCTTAACCAACCTCATGGCTTTCAATATCCTCTATATGCTAGCAAATTCCAAATGCATATTTCCAAACTTGATAGTTCCCACAAACTCCAAACTTACCATCCATGACATAATATCATCTCTACCTGCAGTAGCCGTCTCAGGAGCATGTCCACACAGAGCTCTTGATTTTAACCTTCCTTCAACCTTCTCCTTCTTGAAAAATGGCTCCATTGCTCACCAGGGGATAATGCCAATGACCCAAGAGTATTTCTTGATTCCTCTCTTTCCCTCACTCCCCATCAAAGCCAACTGAATTTCCTGTTGGTGTTGCCATCAAAATCTATTCCTCGTCCAGCCACTTCTTCCCATCTTGACCACCAACCTAATTTAAGCTAACAACATGCCTTGCCTGGTCTACTGCAACAGCCTTTAGTTGTTATTTCTACTTCCACACTTGCCTTCTCCCAACCTCCACATATGTTCTCCAGAGTAAATGCCTTTCTTTAAATAACAGCAGTCAGAGTAAATGTTGTAGGATATAAATGTGATTATAACAAAGCTTCCCCCTCACCCAAACACTTCAATGGGTTCCCATTCAGTTGAGGGTGAGATGCAGTCTCCATGCCTTCCCCTCTAACTTCCTCTCTGCTCTGCCTTATTCATACTGCCCCACACATTGCAGGGTTGCTGGGCATTGTTTATTCCTGGAATGCTGCAAGCTCTTTTATTGATGGGATGGGGAGTGAGGATACTATTTCCTCCTCTCTCTGCCTGAAGTGTTCATTCCCAGATCTTCCATCCAGGTCTTTTATCACCTCCTCTCTGGGGAGGTCAGGCTTTCCTGACCACACTTTCTAAAATAGCACCTCTTTCTACTTTACCTGGAATTATTTATTTCTTCACTTGTTTAACTCTCCTCTTCCCCACTACAGTGTGATTTCCAAGATGACAGAAGCTTTGTCTTGTTCATTACTACAGTCGTGCACCATATAACAACATTTACATCAACAGTGGACTGCATATACAATGGTGGTTCCATGAGATTTTAATGGAGTTGAAAAATTCCTATCAGCTAGTGACATCAAAGCCATTGTATTGTCCTAGCACAATTACTTTATTTTTTATGAATTTAGAGTAGCCTAAGTGTATAATGTTTATAAAGTGTATAGTAGGGTAATGTCCTACGCCTTCACATTCACTCACCTCTCACTCACTGACTTACCCAGAGCAACTTCCGGTCCTGCAAGCTCCATTCATGGTAATTGCCCTACACACATATGACATTTTTCAACTTTTGTACCCTATTTTTACTGTACTTTTTCTATGTTTAGCTACACAAATAATAAATAATTACCACTGTGTTATAACTGCCTACAGCATTCAGGACAGTAACATGTTGTACAGATTTGTAGCCTAGGAGCAAAATAATGGACTATACCATACAGCCTAAGTGTGTAGTAGGCTATACCATCTAGGTTTGTGTAAGTGCACTCTATGATGTTTGCACAGTGATGGAATTGTCTATCGATTACTTTCTTACAGTGTATCCCCTATCCCTGTGATTAAGCAGTGCATGGCTGTAAATGCTGTGTGCTTAGAACAGTGCCTAGTTCATAATACAAACAATAAGTGTGTGCTGGGGTATGGGAGGGAAGGAGGAAGAGAGGAAGGATAAAGAGGAAGGGAGGGAAGAAGGAAAAAGGAAAGAAAGGAAAGAAGGAGGGAGGAAAGAAGGAAAAAGGAAAGAAGGGAAAGAAAGAGAGAAGGAGGGAGGGAAGAAGCAAGGAAGGATTTGAAATTCCACGGAGGAACTCAGTTTAGAGCTGAAGACAAAATCGTGAGGACTAGAGACTATTCCCATGATTCAACTGCAGCATCTGTGGCTTCTGTTTCCTCATTGTAACTAACAAGGGATTCTTGTTTGTAAAGCACTTTGAGTTCTTTATGTGGAAGACTTAAATTCAATGTATTGCATTGCTCCATTATTCTATTTGCTGCATTGCAAATACATCTCAGAATATTGAGTGGAGTAAGAAAAAGCACAGAAATATATTACTAGAATAAATTGAGCAAGGGAAGGGACAAGTATATGAAAGTGACCTGAATATTAAAGACAAAAATTTTAGTCTAAAAGATCAACTGCAAATTCAAGTGGAGAGAAGCAAATGAATGGATCTGAAGAATGATTAGCCTGAAAGAATCTGGTGCTTTTTAACCAAGACGTTGTGAATTTTAAATGAAATAAATTCCAAATAGGCTTTACAAGGGCCGAGCTCTGCTATCGGGAAGATTCAGAAAGGATGTCTGGGTTGGTTTGCTCAGAGTCTATTTCTTCCTTATTTGAATGATCTTATTAAATATACAACAATGTTAATACATGCACATGTTTCTTAAAGCAGGAATTGTTCCCTTGATAATGAAGTGTGAGGGCCCACTTGGGAAAGGTATTAAAACCACCACTCACTTTCATGATGCCTCTAATACCAAAGCAAATGTCCAAGTGCCGCCGGAAAGCAGAAAGATGAACATTACAGCCTTCTACCTGATGAAAAGCTTTCCAACGTCAATCTAACTGCATGTGAAAAAAATCGCACTTTCTTTTGAGGAGCTAAATGATTTGAATATAAATAAGCAACTCTTTCCGCCTGTCAGTTACCTCAAGAATATTTAGTGCTGTCTCCTTTAATGATTGCTCATTAAGATGAGTGCAAGTGAATGGATTTAATCAGGGTAATACAGGGTAATAATCATGTGAATTTCTCCACATCAGGTCTTGTCCCATCTGTTCCAAGCTATTTGTCCATGTAAAACTGTCAACGTTCCAAGCCACTGACTGACAGGTGAGGCCAGACATATACGTTTTTCATCTGAGAGCCAGAAATTCTCTGATGTGCCCTTCTCACTAAAACAAACTGTTTAAAGACCTAAAAGGATTTTATACTCAGTGCCATTGTTTTAAAAATTGTATTTGTTGTGTTGAGTGTTAAAATATTTAGTTCACTCTTGCTTAGTGCAAGAGCATGACCAACATCTGTGGCTTGATTGATGCAGTAGATTCAGAGGAAGGCTGGAGAACATGTCCTTGGGGGTCTTCACCCCAGCACTGAAAGGAGGCTCATTCAGGAAGCAAAAGGGGACATTAGTTTAGCAGTCACATGAATGCTGCACACCTACAGACAGACGTCTCTTATTTTTCCATCCTCCAGGGTAAGAAGAGTGAGTCTCAAGAGAGTGAGGAACGGTGAATCTTTGGCAGACTCTGTGTGTGCCCATGGAAGAGACAGTGACAGAAATTATGTAATGAAAAAAATGTAGCACAAGCCTTATGAATTTTTACTTTTCACTCCATGGGATTCCCATATCAAAAGACCTATTCTACACAAAATAAAGTTCTCTATGAAGAATTGTCTCTGCTCCCCAAGCTAGTTAAAACAAAAGTTGTAATAGAATATCTGAGAACCAAATGGCCCCTCAGGATCCTAGAATCCGAAAGACAAATAGCATGCTAATAAATAGAATTGGACATCGTTATTTCTTTTAAGTCTTTGGTGCAATATGTATTATCTCTGCTAGTTTCCTGTCAGGGCCGAAAAACTGTATTGCTATCCTAGACTCAGGATGTGAACTTTTTTTTTTCACTTTCCCACTTTAGTGTTCTTGTTACTTTTCTTGCAATACTGAAATGCCAGGACCTTGCTGAAGGCGCACACCACGGGATCAGTACAGAAATGTCATGGCAATATGACAGCAAACAGGGATGAACTCCATGCTGGTGTCATGGTCTGGGTTCTCCAGGAAGAGAGAGCTAGAAAACAATGACTGTCTTTCTAAGTGGCTTGCTAATATTTATTTTTTTCCTCTGGTAATATTTATTTTTCTTTTCCTCCCTTACATAATTGAGTCTGGTTTTACTTAACACACCCACCTTATGTTAAACACCAAGTGAATTAATGAATGAAGAGTACTGAGGATGAGAAGAAAGCACAAATCTGCTTCTCAGAGCTGAGTGTTGCAGGGCGCAGGTGGGTTAACCAAGATTTGCAATAGAAAGGACAGGTGCAGTGATAGACGCTTGACTGAGAAACCAAGGAACTAGCAGTAACTGCTTTTCTGAGAGTTCTTGGCTTCCCTACAAGCATACCTCATTTTATTTTATTGCACTTCACTTTGTTGTGCTTTACAGGTACTGTTTTTTTTTTTTTTTTTTTTTTTTTAAGGAATTGAAGGTTTGTGGCAATTCTGTGTCAAGCAAGTTTATCGGGGTCATTTTTCCAACAGCTTGTGCTCTCTTCATGTCTCTGTCATACCTTGGTAATTCGTTCACTATCTGAAAGCTTTTTTTATTATTTTTGTATCATTATGGTGATCTGTGATCAATGATCTTTGATGTTCCTATTGTAATTGTTTGGGGACACCACCAACTGTGTCCAAACAAGATGGCAAACTTGATTGATAAATGTTGTGTGTGTTCTGACTGACCCTCTACCCGGCTGTCCCATTGCACTCCTTCTCCTTGAGCCTCCCTATTCCCTGACTTGCAACAATATTAAAATGAGGCCAATTAATAATACTAAAATGGCCTTTGAGTGTTCAAGTGAAAGGAAGAGTTGCCTGTCTCTTATTTTAAATTAAAAGCTAGAAATGGTTAATCTTAGTGAGAAAGGCATGTTGAGAGCCATGATAGGCCAAATGCTTAGGTTGTGAATGCAAAGGAAAACTGTTTGAAGAAAATTAAAAGTGCTACCCCAGTGAACACTCAAGTGTAAGAAAATAAAATAGCCTTATTGCTGACATGAAGAAAATTTTAGGGCTCTCATACAAAATCAAACCAGCCACAACATTTCCTTAAGCCAAAGCCTAATCTAGAGCAAGGCTCTAACTCTCATCAATTGTATGAGACTGAGAGAGGTGAAGAAGCTGCAGAAGAAAAGTTTGAAGTTAGCAGAGGATAGATCATGACGTTTAAGGAAAGAAGCCATCTAACATAAAAGTACAAGGTAAAGCAGCAAGTGCTTATGTAGAAGCTGCAGCAATTCAGAAGATTTAGCTAAGGTTGGAGATCGGGGGAAGATGGCAGAGAACGGCCTAATGTGCATCTTCCACATGGATGGCAGAACAGTGTGTGGAGACTCACATCATGATCTTTTGCTCCAAGAACCACTGCAGGAACATGCCAGGAAAACCAAAATAATTCACAGATCCTTTGAAAGAGTGGCGTGCTGCTGCAAATTCCACAAAACAGGCAAAAAACTGTGAGTTCCCAAAGCATGATAGGAGGAAAACCTACCTTTGAACACACATACCCACTGGGGAATCTGAAAATCCAGATCACAGGAGAAGGATTTAACCTACCTAGGGATAAAATGGTTTTAGGGAGTTGTGCCAAATATAAAAGTAGAAGTAGCAGCGGGTAGTACCTTGCATGCACTCCCAGTCTCCAGCTTGAGCCCAGGGAAGCCATCATTGAGTATATCTCACAGGGTCCCTTGGGGAAGCCAGCCAATACAACTGCGGAGGGGTCACAGGGTGAAGGAAGTTCCCATCAGAAATTGGTAATGGTTTTGACTGGGCACAAATTTTCTTGAGCAGAGTCTGGGGTGTGAGTGGGAGCTGCTGCAGGCATAAGCAAGCAAGCACAGGAGCTGCTGCCAATGGAGCGGGCAGTGGAGAGGGGCTAGGTCTGAAAGCCATGCTTGCTTTCCCAGTGGGGTGCGCATGGTCTTGGGCACTGAGCGGGGGCACTGCTGGAGTGAGACCAGCCTCACCAACTGTGTGGGAGCTGGGTCAGGCCTCTTGCTACTGGCTATCCCCCACTTCCCTGGTGAACTATATGATACAGCAGAGGTAGCCAAGATTCTCTCTGGAATATATCCCCATTGGCCTGAGAACCACCACCTCCATCCCCCACAGTGGCTGTGGCAAGCCCCACTCAAGGAGAGTCTGAGCCCACACCCACCTAACCCTGACTCCACCTGATGGTATTTCCCTACCTTCCCTGGTAGCCAAACTCAAGACATAGAAATTCTTGGGAGCTTTATGGCCCCACACATCACATGAGAAACCAAAATAATTACCCTGGCCATCTTAGGGCAAGCTTACAGCCCCCTGCTACTACTGCAGCTGGTGCTCTCTTGAAAGTGCCATCTCCCGGCTGGAGGACAACCAACTCAGGTCATTAAAGCAACTCAGGACAGAATAACCCTGACCCCAGGAAGGAGAAGACAACACCTAATTCCACTGCCTGCAATATCCTGGCTAAGCAGAGGCCCTGAGTCTGTCCACATGACAACTTCACTGCTAGTATAACCAGCATTCAAGAAAGCCAGAAAACTAAACCTATCTACAATCAAGGGCTCTCACAGAGTCTACTTCACTTCCCTGCCACCTCCACTAGAGCAGGTGCTGGAATCCATGTCTGGGAGACCTGAAGACAGATCACATCACAGGACTCTTTGCAGACATCCCCTGATATCAGCCCAGAGCTTGGTAGCCTTGCTGGGTGGCTAAACCCAGAAGAGCAACAACAATCACTGCAGTCAGTCCAGCTGTCAGGAAGCCCCATCCCTAGGGAAAGAAAGAGAGCACCACATTGAGGGATCACCCCATGGGACAAGAGAATCTTAACAGCAGGCCTTGAGTTTTAGACCTCTCCACTGAAATAGTCTACCCAAATAAGGAACAAGAAAAGCAATTCTGGTAAGATGACAAGCAGGTTTCTGTAATACCCCAAAACATCACACACACCGGCTCCCCAGCAATGGATCCAAACCAAGAAGAACTCTCTGAAAAGCCAGATAAAGAATTCAGAAGATTGATTATTCAACTGCTTAAGAAGATACCAGAGAAAGGTGAAGACAAACTTAAAGAAATTTTAAAAATGTAGGATATGGATGAAAAATTATCAAAATAAATATGTATCATTAAAACACTAACAAATTCTGGAAATAAAAGATACACTTAGAGAAATACAAAATGCACTGGAAAATTTTAAATATAGAACAGAACAAGTAGAAGAAAGAAATTCAGAGCTTGAAGACTATGTTTTTGAATTAATTCAATCAGAAAAAGGCAAAGAAAAAAGAATTTTAAAAAATGAACAAAGCTTCCAAGAAATTTGGGATTATGTTAAAAGGCCAAACCTAAGAATAATTGGTGTTTCTGAGGAAGAAGAGATATCTGAAAGTTTGGAAAATTGTTTGAGGAAATAATTGAGCAAAGCTTCCCTGGCATTCCTAGATATCTAGACATGCAAATACAGGAAGCTCAAAGAAAACCTGGGAAATTAATCACAAAAAGATCATCACCTAGGCACATAGTCACCAAGTTATCTAAAGTCAAGACAAAGGAAAGAATCTTAAGAGCTGTGAAACAAAAGCATCAGATAACCCTTAAAGGAGAACCTATCAGATTAACAGCAGACTTCTCAGCAAAAACCTTACAAGCCAGAAAGGCTTGGGGTTCCATTTTTAGCCTCCTGAAACAAAATAATTGTCAGCCAGGAATTTTGTACCCAGCAAAACTAAGCTTCATAAATGAAGGACAGATAAAGTCTTTTTCAGACAAATAAATGCTAAGAGAATTTGCCACTAGTAAGCCAGCACTACAAAAAGTGCTTAAAGGAGTTCTAAATCCTGAAACAAAACCTTGAAATACACCAAAATGGAATCTCCTTAAAGCATAAATCTCACAGGGCCTATAAAATAATAACACAATGGAAAAAAAAAAACAAGGTATTAAGGCAACAACTAGCACAATGAATAGAAAGTACCTCACATCTCAATACTATCATTGAATGTAAATGGCCTAAATGCTTCACTTAAAAGACCCAGAATGGCAGAATGGATAAAAATCCACCACTTAAGTATCTGCTATCTTCAAGAGACTCACCCAGCCCGTAAGAACTCACTTAAGGTAAAGGGGTGGAAAAAGATATCCCATGCAAATGGACGCCAAAAGCAAGCAGGAGTAGCTATTCTTATATCAGGCAAAACAGACTTTAAAGCAATAACAGTAAAAAAGAGACAAAAAGGGACATTATATAATGATAAAATAAATGGATAGTCTAACAGGAAAATATCATAATCCTAAATATATATGCACCTAACACTGGAGCTCCCAAATTTATACAACAATTACTACAAGACCTAAGAAATGAGATAGATGAGGGACTCCAATACTCCACTAATAGCACTAGACAGCTTATCAAGACAGAAAGTCAACAAAGAAAAAATGGACTTAAACTATACCCTAGAACAAATGGACTTAATAGATATTTACAGAACATTCTACCAAACAACAGCAGAATATGCATTATTTTCTTCAGTACATGGAACATTCTCCAATATAGACCATATGATGGGTCACAAAACAAGTCTCAATATAATTTAAGAAAATCAAAATTATATCAAGTACACTCTCGGACTACAGTGAAATAAAACTGGAAATTAACTCCATAAGGAACTCTCAAAACTATACAAATACATGGAAATAAATAATCTGCTCTTGAATAATCTTTGGGTCAACAATGAAATCGAGATGCAAATTAAAAAAAATTATTTGAGCTGAACGGTAATAGTGAGACAACTTATTAAAACCTCTGGGATGCAGCAAAAGCAGTGTTATGAGAAAGTTCTTAGTATTAAATACCTACATCAGAAAGTCTGAAAGAGCATAAATAAATAATCTAAGGTCATACCTCAAGGAACTAGAGAAACAAGAACAAACAAACCCCAAACCTGGCAGAAAAAAAAGAAATAACAAATATCAGAGCAGAATTAAATGAAATTGAAACAAAAACAACAAAAAAGATAAATGAAACAAAAAGCTGGTTCTTTGAAAGGATAAACAAAATTGATAGACCATTAGTGAGATTAACCAAGAAAAAATGAGAGAAGATCCAATAGTCTCAATTAGAAATGAAACAGGAAATATTACAACCGATACCATAGAAATACAAAAAATTATTCAAGGCAACTATAAACACCTTTACACACATAAACTAAACAATCTAGAGGAAATGGATAAAATATACAATTCTCCAGCTTAAGTCAGGAAGAAATAGAAACTGAACAGACAAATAACAAGTGGCAAGATTGAAACAGTAGTAAAAAAAAAAAATCACAACAAAAATGTCCAGAACCAAAAGTGTTCACAGCTGAATTCTATCAGACATTCAAAGAAGAATTGGTACCAATCTTAACTAAAACTATTCCAAAAGATAGAGAAAGAGGGAATCCTCCTTATGTCATTCTGTGAAGCCAGTATCACCCTAATGTCAAAACCAGGAAAGGACATAACAAAAAAAGCAAACTACAGACCAATATCCCTGATGAAAGTAGATGCAAAAGTCCCCAACAAAATACTAGCCAACCAAATTCAACAGCATATCAAAAACATAATCCACCATGATCAAGTGGGTTTTATGCTAGGGATGCATGAATGGTTTAACATATACAAGTCAATACATGTGATACATGACGTAAACAGAATTAAAAACAAAAATCATATGATCATCTCAATAGATGCAGGAAAAACATTTGACAAAATCCAGCATCCCTTTATGATTAAAACCCTTAGCAACACTGGCATAGAAGGGACATACCTCAAGATAATAAAAGCCATCTAGGACAAACCCACAGCCAACATTATATTGAATGAGAAAAAGTTGAAAGCATTCTCCCTGAGAACTAGAACAAGACAAGGATGTCCACTTTCACCACTTTCATTCAACATAGTACTGGAAGTCCTAGCCAAATCAATCAAACAAGAGAAAGAAATAAAGGGCATCCAAATCAGTAAAGAGGAAGTCAAACTGTTGTTGTTCACCAGTAATATGATTGTATGCCTAGAAAACCCTAAAGACATATCAAAAAAGCTCCTAGATCAGATAAATGAATTCAGTAAAGTTTCAGGATACAAAGTCAGTGTACACAAATCAGTAGGACTGCTATGCACCAATAATGGGCAAGCTGAGAAACAAATCAAGAACTCAGTCCCTTTTACAACAGCTGCAAAAACCCAAAATACTTAGGAATATACCTAACCAAGGAGGTGAAAGATCTCTACAAGGTAAAACACAAAACACTGCTGAAAGAAATCATCTATCACACAAACAAATGGAAACACATCCCATGCTCATGGATGGGTAGAATCAATATTATGAAAATGACCACACTGCCAAAAGCAATCTACAAATTCAATGCAATTCCCATCAAAATACCACCATCATTCTTCACAGAACTAGAAAAAAACTAAAATTCATATGGAACCAAAAAAGAGACCACATAGCCAAAGCAAGACTACGCAACAACAACAACAATAAAAAACCTGGAAGCATCACATAACCTGACTTCAAACTATGCTAAAAAGCTATAGTTACCAAAACAGCATGGTATTGGTATAAAAACAGGCACATAGACCAATGGAACAAAAAAGCAAACCCAGAAATAAAGCCAAATACTTATAGCCAACTGATCTTTGACAAAGCAAACAAAAACACAAAGTGGGAAAAGGACACCATATTCAACAAATACTGCTGAGATAATTGGCAAGCCACATGTAGAAGAATGAAACTGGATCCTCATCTTTCACCTTATAAAAACAACCTCAAGATGGATTAAAGACCTAAATATAACACCTAAAACCATAAAAGTTCCAGAAGATAACATCAGAAAAACTCTTCTTGACATTGGCTCAGGCAAAGAGTTCATGACCAAGAACCCAAAAGCAAATGCAGCAAAACCAAAAATAAATAGATGGGACCTAATTAAACTAAAAAGTTTCTGCACAGTAAATAAATCAGCAGAGTAAACAGATGACCCACAGAATAGGAGAAAATATTCACAAATTATGCATCTGACAAAGAACTAATATCCAGAATCTACAAGGAACTCAGACAAATCAGCAAGAAAAAAAAACCAATAATCCCATCAAAACATGGGCAAAGGACATGAATAGACAAGTCTCAAGATATACAAATAGCCAACAACATATGAAAAAAATGCTCAACATCACTAATTATCAGGGAAACACAAATTAAAACCACTATGAGATACCACTTTACTCCTGCAAGAATGGCCACAATTAAAACATCAAAAAATAATAGATGTTGGTGTGGATGTGGTATAAAGGGAACACATTTACACTGCTGGTGGGAATGTAAACTAGTACAACCACTGTGAAAAACAATATGGAGTTTATTTAAAGAACTAAAAGTAGAACTACCATTTGATCCAGCAATCCCACTCCCGGGTATCTACCCAGAGGAAAAGAAGTCATTATATGAAAAAGACACTTGCACATGCATGTTTATAGCAGCACAATTTGCAATTACAAAAATATGGAACCAGTCTAAATGCCCATCGATGAATGAGTGGATAAAGAACATTTGTGTATATATATATATATATATATATATAATATACACACACACACACACACACACACTATGGAATACTACTCAGCCATAAAAAATGAATGAGACCTATTGCTCAGAAAAAAATCGTTTTTAAAAAATAGTACTGCTCATTGACAATGCATCTAGTTACCTAAGAGTAGTTACCTAAGAGCTTTGATGGAAATGTACAAGGAAATCTATGCTGTTTTCATGCCCGCCAATACAACATTCATTTTACAACACATGGATCAAGAAGTAATTTTGACATCCAAGTCTCATTATTTATAAAATACTTTTCATAAGGCTACAGCTGCCATAGACAGTGATTTCTCTGATGTACCTGAGCAAAGTAAATTGAAAACTTTCTGGAAAGGATTCACCATTTTAGATACCACTAAGAAGTGATTCATGGAAGGAGGTTAAAAAAAAAACACCAACAATAACAGGAGTGTAAAAGAATTTGACTCCAAACCTCCTGATGACTTGGAGGGGTTCAAGACCTCAGTGGAGGAAATAGCCGGAGATGTGGTGGAAATAGAATGAGAATTATAATTAGAAGTAGAGCCTGAAGATGAGACTGAATTGCTGTCATCTTATGATGATGTTTTTAAGAAATGAGGAAGTGCTTCTTACAGATGAGCAAATAATTTCTTCAGATGGAAACTACTCCTGGTAAAGAAGTTGTGAACATTGTTGAAATGACAACAAAGGATTCAGAACATTTCATAAACTTAGTTAATAAAGTAGTGGCACGGTTTGAGAGGACTGACTCCAGTTTTGAAAGTTCTACTGGGGGTAAAATGCTGTCAGACAGCATCACATGCTACAGAGAGGTCTTTTGTGAAAGGAAGAGTTCATCAATGCACAAAATTGATTGCTGTCTTATTTTAAGAAATTGCCACAGCCACCCAACCTTCATCAACCACCAGCCTGATCAGTCAGCAGCCATCAACATTGAAGCAAGACCCTACACCAACAAAAAGATTATGACTCATTGAAAGCTCAGATGATCATTAGCATTTTTTGGTAATAAAGTATTTTCAATTAAAGTATGTATATCTTTTTTTAAGACATAGTGCTATTGCACACTTAATAGACCACAGTTTAGTATCAACATAACTTTTATATGTACTGGAAAACCAACAAATTAGTGTGACTGGCCTTATTGCAATATTCTTGTATTTTGGTGGTCTAGAATTTAATGCACAGTATTATGGAAGTATGCTTGTATTTCATAGCTGCATGCCCTTACATTTCTGTTTTTCTAAGCTGCAGAATGTTTCTTCTAAGTTGCAAAGTTTCTTCTTCTTTCTACTGGAGGGAAAACAAGGCTCATCCTCCTGGCATGCTTGCATTTGGATCCATTCTGATGGCATCTGCTCATGAACACCTCCCTTGGTGCTTCCTTGAAGATGATCCTGTCTCTTTCCTTCATCTCACTGTAGTTGTGTCAGGAAGAACAGAGTGAGTCCAAGATGGCATAGATGGTCCTATTCAGAGAAGAGCCATAAAAGAACCTACAGATTTACTCTCACGACTAATTTTTTAAAATATGACTTCCCTTCCAGTTTTCTAAAAATAAGATTAATCTTAAGTATTCTTTATGACACATTTAGACAAAGTAACACACGTTCATTAAGACATATGCTTCATTATCAGGTCTGCCAGGTACCTTTTGATTAAGTGCTAAGTTGGAGAAGCTTTAATTCCCCCAGTGTTTATTGAATTGGTCCCCACTTTGTGCTCTGGTGATGAATTGTCTAAAGAACTAACTTGGCTGGGAGTGGTGGCTCATGCCTATAATCCTAATACCTCAAGAGGCTGAGGCAGGAGAATTGCTTGAGGTCGGGAGGTTAAGGCTAGCCTGGGCTATGTAGCAAGACTCCATATCTATGAAAAATTTTTAAAAAGCAGTCAGGCATGGTGGTGCATATCTATAGTCCTAGCTACTCAGAAGGCTGAGGCAGGAGGATTACCTGAGTCCAGGAATTTGAAGCTGCAGTGAGCTGTGATTATACCACTGCACTGCAACTTAGGTGACAAAGCAAGACTCTGTCTCTAAAGAGAGAGAGAGGACTTAGTTTTATATCACATTATATATGTGGCTCATTCTGCCTTTAGTCTTGGGATAACTGGAAGGTACAAACTATACTTTATCTACCTTTGTCCCGTCATAGTGGTTCTGCCACTCTTGAACATTTGGCAATGTCTCGAAACATTTTGGCTGTTACAGCCTGGGGAGGGTATCTGGTGGGTAGAGGACAGGCATGTGGTAGACATTCTGCATTTCCTAGATTGCACAGGACAGCCCGTGCCTAACAAAGAGTTATGTAGCCCAAAATGTCAATAATGTAAAGACTGAGAAAACCCACTTCAGCATTACAGGCAGCACGGTATACATATTAAGAAATACCAACTTAATTTTTCATAGTGCATTACAGACTGAAAGCAACAAATTTAATCATGTATTATTTTATCTTTACTTTTCTACTAGAACAACTAGCTCATGTCATAAAACTCTCATAATTTTGGAAAAATAAGAGAGAAAAGATTTTAACCCCTGAATTACTCTGCAGATGCTGACCAGGGTGAACAGTGCTGAGTGCTTGTCTTCATTTCATTACACCTTACTTTTCTTTAGGCCTTTGACCTGGTGTACACATGTATGTGCAAGCCTAATTACTTTGATTTTATACTTAGAGATACTTTTATTATGTATATTTTATTCTATAACTATTTTACAGATAGTTTTGAATTGCTCAACCATTGCATATTGGAGAACTACTCAGGAGTCCTATGTTGCTGGTTGTACCATATCATCATAACATAAGTGAAAATTTCAAAAATGTATATTTTTAAAGAGTACACGATAACATTAAGTAGAATCACACCTGTAGGCAAAATCAATTATTCATAGTAGAGATGAAGAATTGAGTATCTTTGGCTAATTACTATGGAGGAGCTGTTCTCCCAGCTGTCTGAAGGTGTCTGATTCCATTATTTGCCTGTGATGACTTTGAAAGCTAGGTAAACCTGTAAAATGCAAAAGCCATCAATAAGAAGCAAATTGATGCTAGAGTATCTCCTCCTTATTTGACTGTCTCAGAACTAAATAGAGAAAGCAGTGACATAAACAAATGTACACCACCTTCCTGCCCCATGCCTTTATTGTTAGTCTTCTTCCCCAGAGGAGTCCTGATCTAATTGAAGAGCGTGAACAACCCAACCTGTCCAAAACTTTATAACTTCATTATTTTTTAAGTAAATAATTTTTTATTCCTAAAATGCTAGAGTCTCACCTCATTATCTATTTTCTTCTTGCAGTGATACAATTTCTTCTTGGGATTTTCACAAATGGCATCATTGTGGTGGTGAATGGCATTGACTTGATCAAGCACAGAAAAATGGCTCCGCTGGATCTCCTTCTTTCTTGTCTGGCAGTTTCTAGAATTTTTCTGCAGTTGTTCATCTTCTACGTTAATGTGATTGTTATCTTCTTCATAGAATTCATCATGTGTTCTGCGAATTGTGCAATTCTCTTATTTATAAATGAATTGGA
This sequence comes from Homo sapiens, assembly GCF_000001405.40. NCBI lineage: Eukaryota > Metazoa > Chordata > Mammalia > Primates > Hominidae > Homo > Homo sapiens. The sequence goes on along the minus strand of NC_000005.10, from coordinate 9,629,757 downwards.
ACTTTGGCTTGCCACATGGCTCGGCGTTTTCTATTGTGCCAAGGTTGCCAGCGTCCGTCACCCACTCTTCATCTGGTTGAAGATGAGGATATCCAAGCTGGTCCCATGGATGATCCTGGGGTCTCTGCTATATGTATCTATGATTTGTGTTTTCCATAGCAAATATGCAGGGTTTATGGTCCCATACTTCCTAAGGAAATTTTTCTCCCAAAATGCCACAATTCAAAAAGAAGATACACTGGCTATACAGATTTTCTCTTTTGTTGCTGAGTTCTCAGTGCCATTGCTTATCTTCCTTTTTGCTGTTTTGCTCTTGATTTTCTCTCTGGGGAGGCACACCCGGCAAATGAGAAACACAGTGGCCGGCAGCAGGGTTCCTGGCAGGGGTGCACCCATCAGCGCGTTGCTGTCTATCCTGTCCTTCCTGATCCTCTACTTCTCCCACTGCATGATAAAAGTTTTTCTCTCTTCTCTAAAGTTTCACATCAGAAGGTTCATCTTTCTGTTCTTCATCCTTGTGATTGGTATATACCCTTCTGGACACTCTCTCATCTTAATTTTAGGAAATCCTAAATTGAAACAAAATGCAAAAAAGTTCCTCCTCCACAGTAAGTGCTGTCAGTGAGAGAGAAGTTGGATCAGTTCAAAGAACCCATGATTCAATGATTTACCCATGCCTGCCACACTTCCCTCAGCCAGACAAAGCAGCCTGTTCATAAATATACAACATGTCCCCTTCAGGCCTGTTTATCCAGCCTGAGGTATTTCTGTGGATATGCTACTTTTTCAAGCAGTTAAACTGATTTTGAAAGCACAACATATGTTGATGGATTACATCAATTTCAATATCCTGGTAGTGATATTGTACTATCATCGTGCAAGTTGTTACCATTGGGAAAACTGAGTAAATGGTTCAGGGTCTTTCTGTATTCCTTCTTACAAATGCATTCAAATCTACAATTATTTCAAAATTAAAAGTTTGATGAAAAAGAAAAGCACTTGTTTGAACTCGTGATGTCAGAAGGACACATGAATGCTGTATGGTCCATGAATATCTGACGCCTTGTCTTTGATGGTTTTTCCTGACCTTAACGGGCTGACTGTTCATTTCTTGTCTACCTGGATATTATTTCTGTTCTGTCTGTTGGAGTTGCAGGCAGTGGAGCCATTCTTTCTCCTCAGATCACAAAGGAAGCAAGGACAAGCAGGCCTTCTCCATCCTTATAAGCATATTCTCCTACTTCATCCTGCAGAGAGCCTAGATGCCATGGTGACATGGCCAATCAACTGATAAAGGGGAAGACAGATGGAGGAGGAGGAGGAGTAGAGGACTGAATGCCTGTTTTCCATTTCTCCTAGCTGTGCACTCTGAACAGACAATAACTTGCAAAGATGTTTTATTTTGTATTTGTGTGCCTGACTTTGAGACCCTTTCAACCCAGAGTGGTAATTTGGAACTCCTCCTGCATTGCCTGTCTTCCCAATGAAGCAACATCAGTAGGTGGGTGGGGCTGGGGGTGTCTCCGTCTGCTTCAAGTCACAAATGCATTTTCTGTTTGGTTGAGATTTTGAATACTAAGAGATAGATAGATAGATAGATAGATAGATAGATAGATAGATAGATAGATAAATTATGGAGATAGATATACTTGTATATTTCCAAAACAGCTTCAGAACCATTTTGCTTCCAGACAAGTAAATGAAGTAAAAAATGTTCTTAAGCTCAGCGGTAACTTGTAGTTCAGGCGTGATGATGCAAAGCAGGTTTAGGTTTAGATTTTTCAATCACCAGTAATAGGAACCCAAATACAGCTTTTCTAACCCAAGCCACGCAGGCCTGGTTATAATACACCAATGAAGGATTTTGCTTCAGGAGATTCAGGGACGTACTTATCTTCTTGGGCATGGGAACTAAGCTCTGAGTGTACTCTCAACTTCCCACAGGTTTCACACTTCATTCCCCAAGGAGCAAAATGACAGCCTCCATCTTCCTGCTATTTCATTTTCCCACGTCCCACTAGGTAGGAAGGTTTGTAGCTAATCACGCACTCAGGAAGCCAGCTGTGGGAAGATCAGTTGTATCCTGGGTGTAATTATTGCTTCTGAATGGGGGAAAGGACAATGAAAAGTCACTTTTCTTTTTCTCAAGTTCAGAGAATATTCTGTTCCTTGAATCTGTGATACGTGTACCTGAAAGAGTGGGAGCAATTTCAAACATTCAGGGAGAAATTTGTCATGATACAACTCTCATGTGTTTTTTTTTCTGATACTAAATTCTGATTCTATTTCATGCAACTCCTGCTTTAATAACGTTAGCTAATTAGATAACTATTAAGATATGACTAGGTTTTTATACTGTTATCAAGAAATGTTTAAAAAAAGAATTCATAATAAAACAATTCTAAAAACATTTTCATAGTCTACTTTCCTAGAAATGTATTTCTTCCAGAAACGTTGCCTAGCTTTTGAATTGATGGGTATTGCGTAGGACGCTAATTGCTCAAATTGAGAAGCAAAACAGACTGAGCTTTTGTCTCTCTGGAGCCACGCTTATCTGCACTTGCCAGCTTTGCCAAATTGCTTTTGTCCTCATTGAACAGTGGGTTGACCTCTATCATGGTGCAACATCTTTTTGTACCCACTGTTGTAGCTTTAGAGATGGGGCTGGACATTATGCCCTGGGGAGTCTTGGCTGTGGAATCGCATGCCCATAGGTGAGGCCAGTTGACTGCTGATTGCAGACTGTGGCAGCGCTTGCTGCTCAGTTAAGTGGCTTCTGGCTGTGGCTTCCAAATAGTCTCTGCGCTAGGAGGCAGACTCTTATTGAAATGGGACCCAGCAGTCTTATTCCATTCCACTTTAGATTGGGATTCAATGAGCAGGCCCAAATCAGGAGAGAAGGGCTATCTTACTCTGTCCCACTCTCTATTCTGACATTGGCTCTTTCAGTCCCTAATCCCAGGGGTTCTGCACAGTCTCCACTGACTGAAGATGATGACACCAACAGAGAAGGCTAAATCTGTGTGCTTATAGAAATAGACTTTTAAGAAGATAAATATTGGCCAGGCATGGTGGCTCAAGTCTGTAATCTCGGCACTTTGTTGAAAGGCCGAGGTGGGCAGATCACTTGAGGCCAGTAGTTCGAGACCAGCGTGCCCAACATGGCAAAATCTTGTTTCTACTAAAAACTCAAAAATTAGCTAGGTGTGGTGGTGTGCACCTGTAATCCCAGCTACTTGGGAGGCTGAGGCAGGAGAATCACTGGAATCTGGGAGGCAGAGGTTACAGTGAGTCGAGATTGTGCCACTGCACTCCAGCCTGGTGATAGAGTGAGACTCTATCTAAAAAAAAAAAATTATATGTGTGTATATATATATATATATATATATATATATATATATATAGTCACAATTTGAATGTTAAACACTAGTTCAAAAGTCTCACCAATGATAAATGCCTTTTAAATTCTTAGTCACTCATTCAAGTGTAACAATTGCTTGAAGATACAATGCTCCGGACAAGAAGGTGCTAGAAAGACATCTGATGTCTACCATCCGTCTTCTTCAGGCTGATGACCAGGCATCCTAGGTGCTTCAGACAGTTCAAATGTTTTGCCCCATAGTATGTTTAAGTACAGGCATACTTCTCATGCTATGGATGTTGTGATTTTAGGTTTGAAAATATAGTTTCCATAACTTTTGTCCTTGTGGAGTTATACCTCTTTGGGTGAGAAGAGAAACAGGTAGTCAGAAATATGCAAGAGAGAAAGAAACCAGCCAGACCATCGAAATTCACATTGGCAATCAAAGGGATGACAGATGTTACAGACAGATGGCACCCATAATGGAGAAAAATCCAAATGACGAGGATGGGGAGACACACATGTTTTAAAGAGGGTCTTGCTGGGGAATGAGTTTGGAGTTAGACTGAACATCATATTAACACAAACTTGAGATCAGTGGAAAGTTCCTTTTTTATTATTAATATTCTTTCTTACCTAAAAATTGCAGACTCTCTAGGAAAACTTTATGCCAGGAGAAGGGTATGTACTAGGAAAATTTCCTCAATGAGCTGAAATCATTAAGATTTTGGGGAGAGTCAATACAAATTCAAGATAGCTCATGGACATTTGTTTCACTGCCGTCTTTACTGCTGTCATTCTACACAAAACTAGTCTCTCACTAATACAGCAACTTATACCTTGGTAGGATTAAAATAATGATTGTTTTCAAGATGTGATGTAAACATGTGGATTCACATCTGTGACATCTGGATCTACTTAATCTTTTTGACTGGGAATCAGGAATTGGCGATTGTATCCTAAAATTTAAAACGTATTTATATCAATGAAGTGTGGGTTTCCTTTTATTATTTTTGGCGTTTTATATTGTTTCTATTTTAAACATTTCTCCACAAGATCATCAACATAATATTAAATCAAAAATTGACTTAAAATTCTGACGACAGGTCAATTTTTTTTTCTTTTTTTGAGACAGAGTCTTGCCCTGTCATCCAGGCTGGAGTGCAGTGGCATGATCTCGGCTCACTGCAACCTCCGCCTCCTGGGTTCAAGTAATTCCCCTGCCTCAGCCTCCTGAGTAGCTAGGATGACAGGCATGTGCCACCATGCCCAGCTAATTTTTTGTATTTTTAGTAGAGACGGGGTTTCACCATGTTGGCCAGGCTGGTCTTGAACTCCCAAACTCAGGTGAGTTGCCTGCCTCGGCCTCCCAAAGTGCTGGGATTACAGGCGTGAGCCACCGTGCCTGGCCCAGGTCAATTTTAAAAATACTAAAGATTCATTTTGTTCAAACTTCAACATTTCTGAGGAAAAAAGGTACAGCGTCACTCTGTTTCTACTTTTGAAGTTGGGATGCATGCTCTTCTGAGAGAGCTTTTGCTTCCATGACTTAACCTCTCTCCCTCCCATGGATCGGTGTGAGTACTACAAGATAAGCACACACATTAAGTGTGCCAGGTGGAATTTGAATTTGGGAGTGTGCGGGGATTAAGTCCTGTAGCTAGAATGGACTTGGCACTTGGTGGGCACCACTTGAATAACCCAAATTCCACAACTGCTGGGGACGTTTCAGATTCTTCTGAGGTTGAACAGATGAAAAGGAGTGTAGAAAATAAATAAGTGGCTAACAGTGGACTAGGACCTTATATCACTAAATACATGGAATGTCCTCTGGCAAAAAAAACCCACCCATTTGAACAGCAGATGCTGCATTTGCGATTGTAAATTAGTAAGTCTTCACTTGAAACCCAGCCTGGTGGCTTCTAGAAACATTGACCAGATATAAGATTTGGTCAGGAAGTTTGGTTTCATGATTAATAGTCTCCAAAATACCACTGCTTATCTGCTAAAATATTTGAAATTCCTGAACTAAGGACTTATGCCTTTGATCATGAGGTATGATGTTTTCAGCAGCATTGGTTGCAACTCTATGGGATGAGAGAGGGAACCTTGAGTGTGACATTTTAGATTGGGAGGCTGACTGGATTTGTATAGTCCTGTTAAAAGACAGGTCATTAGTCTGTAGGCAAGCCACAGCACTGCGTTCACAAAGCCAACAACCCAGTCTCCTCAGCTCTCCTCCCTAGAACCGCACCTGCTTATTTTGGTGATTTAGGCAACTTTTGTGCAATGCAGTTAGCACTGTCATGAGCTGAGTCTCAATTTCTTCATCTGCAAAATGGGATTAAGAATAATACATACCACATGCTTGGCTAAGCTTCTTCACCATTGTGAGCACAAATGAATATAACCTCCAGGTAATGGGAACTGTAACAAGTACTGTCACGAGGAATCTCCAGCAGCCCCTCCAGAGAAGAGAAGAGTGCATGGGAGGGAAAACGTTGAACAATAGAGGGTCCTAATTAAGAGCCTGATTTGGAGTCTAGATCCACCACTAATGAGCTAAGTGACTTGATGAGCCTGAGCCTCGCATTTCCTCATCTTCGTAATGGGGTTAGGAATCATTCCAAGCTTAATGAGAGGAGCTGAGGGGTTAGTGGAACCCAGTTCCCAGCACAATGCCTGGCTGCTGCCATTGTTGTTTTTAGTTATGTTAACCTTAGGAAACTGCTAGACTTTGATGACTTTCTATCTGCAACAATGACAGTTTTGTATGCTTCCCCCTAATAATCAGTCACAGGTTTTGGAGGACAGCTAATTCTAGAAAAAGGAAACAGCACATGTAAAAGTACCTGGCAAAGAAAGGAAACAGAAACCCCATAGAGAATCATGCACAAGTGAAAAGAGGAGAGGCCAAGGGAACAATCAAAGGTATGTGGAGCTGCTTTTGCTGCGGGACAAAATGGCACCAGGACTGCAGCACCTCCAAGACACAGGTTCATTCTCACTTGTGTCGTGCACTGGCTGTGGCTGTTCAGCAGCCCTGTTACTGTTCACACTCCTGCAGGAGCAGCTCCTGTTTGGAACAGGCTAGAGGAAGGAGTGAAAACAATGGGGACCGGGGAAGTCTAAAGCTTTTGTCGTATCCAGTTGCACATCAGGCAGCCAAGCCCAGAGTAAAAAGGAGAGATACGGAATTCCTCACAGAAGGGTAGCAAATATCTGGGAATAAAATAATCCTACCATGTGGGAATGTAAAATGATGCAGTCACTATGGAAAGTAGCTTGGCAGTTCCCCAATAAGTTAAACATAGAATGACTACATTACTCAGCAATTCCATTCCTAGATATGCACCCAAGAGAACTGAAAACAGGAACTGGAACAGATAGATGTGCACCCGTGTTCATAGCAGCATTATTCACAATAGTCAAAAGGTGGAAATAAAACAAATGTCCACCAACAGATAAATGCGGAGACAAAGTGCATGTTAATACAATGGAATACTCCTTAAACAGGAATGAAGTTTGTATACATGTCACGACATGGATAAACCCTAAGGACATGATGCTGAAAGAAATAAGCCACGCACAAAGGACAAATACTGTACCATCCCACATAGAGGGCAAAATCAGAGAGAGACAAAAAGCAGAATAGAAGTTACAAGGGGCTAGGGGGCAGGGGAAATGGGGAGTGATCGCTTAATGGATAGAGAATTTCTGTTTGGAATGGTGAAAACCTTCCAGAAATAGTAGTGATAGTTACACAACTGAGGGCCACTGACTTATACACTAAAATGGTAAATGTTATTATATGTATATGTATACACAATATATAACATATATATATATATAGCCACAATAAAAAAAAAATTCTACCAAAAAAGAAAAGGAGCAGAACCAGGTGTACTTCTACCAGGATATTCTGGTCCTGTTCATGGGGAAAACACAGGTGACCGAATCTCCATTGTGAATGAACTCATGATTAAACCTCAATTAGTCTTCCCCATTACAATCAGATTATGTTTAGGTTAACAGATAAATACTGTGTTTAGGCTAACAGATAAATACTGTGCACCCAGATACTTTTAGAATCCAAATAGACAATTGCCATTCCAATATGAACTCCTTCTCCTTTCAGAGTACACAAGACATTTTACAGGCCATTGAACACAAGCACGTGCAGTGATTGAAATACAGCAAAACAAACAAACAAACAAACAAAAAAAACCCAAGTCCATGGACATTGTCTTTAAAAAGAGTTTACTTTGAAACTCATCTTAAGGGTCAAACTCAAACCTAAAAAGCATATTTCTTTTCTTTTCTTTTCTTTTTTCTTTCTTTTTTTTGTTCTTTTTTCTTTCTTTCTTTTTTTCTTTTTCTTTTTTTTTTTTTTTTGAACAGAAGGTGCTTGGAGCAAATGATCAGGGAATAGAAACTCTAACCCCTCGGGGCATCAAAGTTGTGCTTGATTGCCTGTAGTAAAGAATTTTAAAGACTGATTGAATCATTCGAGCTCATTCAGAGTGAGCAAACTGATTACAGATGGCATGCTTCCAGAATGTTAAAAATAAAAATGTCTTTTCGGGTGGGACTGGTTTCCATATCTATAGCTATAAACCCTCTAAGGCACTCTCAGAGGGCTTATCTTTGGTGATAGCTGCCCTTGCCCACGTATGAGTTTAGCCAGGGCTTAGTTCAGCTAGCTCAGCTGGCCAACTTAAACTGAAAATGCCACACATTTTTCCCATGCTTTGTATTTTGTTACATTCCAGGTTTCCACCCCTGCAAATCGCAGCCGCTTGGTCAGCTTTTGCACCCAGATCCACTGGAATGTGCGGAGCAGAGCTTGTCAGTTATAGGCCTGAGCCTCACTGCTTCTAAAGAATTCCCAGAGGGATCCCAAGGATGAATGGCTATCTCCCTGCTTTTATAGGAATAGAATGGACTTCTTGTGAAATGACTCTCCAACGTGTTTGGAGAGTCATTTCTTGTGAAATGAATAGATGGACTTCTTGTGAAATGACTCTCCAGTGTGTTCTCTTTGGGGTTTTAAATCGTATTTGAGAGAGCAAAAATAAAGTACAGCAGAACAATCTGGAGAAACAAGCAGGGGCTTCCTGGGAAAGTGGCTTCAGGTCCACAGGCTGAGCCCTCCCGTGGCCATGGTCAAGCAAGACCCAGGCCAGGCCGCTGCTGCCACTCATGTGCAGAGAGTCACGATCGGGAGTGGGAGTCCCAGAGTAGGGCTCACACAGGACTGCAAGAGTGGGGACTTTTACTTTTTTTTTTTTTTTTTTTTTTTTTTGAGACAGAGTTTCACTCTTGTTGCCCAGGCTGGAGTGCGACGGCACAATCTCAGCTCACCGCAACCTCTGCCTCCTGGGTTCAAGCGATTCTCCTGCCTCAGCCTCCCGAGTAGCTGGAATTACAGGTGCCTGCCACCATGCCCAGCTAATTTTTGTATTTTTAGTAGAGACGGGGTTTCACCACGTCTTCCAGGCTGGTCTCAAACTCCTGACTTCAGATGATCCACCCGCCTTGGCCTCCGAAAGTGCTGGGATTACAGGCGTGAGCAACCATGCCTGGCGTTTTTACATGTTTAATAAGATTTTTCTTCATTTCAAATAATGTAATAATGAATAACAAGTAGTGGAGAAGAAAATAATCTAGAATTCACCATCTTAATAAATGAGCAATTTTGATTTGTCCATGTTCCCAAACACTGCAAATAAAAATATTTAATTTTGGCATCATTATAATCATGGCAAAAGTGTATTTTTATGAATTTCATTTCACTTCTTATGTTACATATTTTATTATTGATGATTTTACTGACTACAAGATATTTTATTGAGCTGATATAGCAGAGAACTCAGAAATGGAGCAATTTATAAATATTTGTTGAAAATATGAATTAATAGATTTACTTATCAGCTTCCTTATTTAGGGGCATTGAGTTTGTTCCCATTTTTACTATTATGTATAATATGTAGTGGGCACCTTTGTGGATTTTTTTCTTACTCTTTACAATTTCTCTAAGAAAGGTTCTGAGAATGAGGATTACTGGATCAGTGGCTATGAAATACAGTGGCAAATTTATTTTTATTGGAATTGTATGGATTTGCATTTCCACTAGCTGTGCACCAATGTGCTGGTGTTTTATATCCTGGCCAACACTGCTGGTTAATATCTTATTCTTTAACATTTGCTAATTTAATAGATGCAAAGAGAGAGACTTTAATTTGCAAATCTCTCTCTTAAAATAATTATCCAGTAACTTTTGCTTTTCATCTTCATTTTTTAAGCCTTTTTCTTAGGACCTGACATAGAACCTAATTAGCTTTTAAGTTTTCTCAATAAACCTCAGCAAGTTAGAGACCTACAAAATGAGCATGTGAAAGATTCTGCACCCACTGTGTCCTGCCAAGATTACCCAAGTCACTGGACCTTCCACATCTGCCCTTGGCATGCAGCTTGGCACATGGGGGATGCCAGTGCATGCTGGCCAGGGTGGCCATGGAAGGAGACAGAAATACTCCAAGAGGCAGAGCAGAGGCCAGAGACTTGGGGGCGGCTTACAGCAGACAGAGATGGCTCATAGCCATAAGCATGGGTGTTTCAGAGAGCGATGTTACTTACTGCAAGTCCTCCCTGGAGGTGTGGTAAGATTGGCAACATACCTTGTGTGTAATATGGTTTGGGCTCTGTCCTCAGCTCATCGCAAAGATTAATTGAATGAATTTCCAAACAGCATGGAGGGCATCCTTATTTTCATCCTCAGGTTCCAGATAAGAAGACAGGGTTACTGGAAGGTATAATTTGCCTGCAATCACTCAGCCATCAGGATTCTGGCTCAGGTGATCAGATTGCACAGTCCCTGCCCTGAGGGCTTGTCGTTGCTGGGCTGGGCATAGGGAAACAGACCCTGTGTGTGATTTCTTCAAAGTCTTGACACAGATAGAAAGTCAGGAATATGTTAAATGATTATACCTTGTCTCCTTATTTGGTTTCTTTAGAAATTAATATTGAATCAATAATACATTAAAGCACTCGTGGTGATGATGATGATAATGTGCTTTAATTCACTTGATCTTTATATTTTAAAACCCTGAGTCCCAAGGAAGATGTTATTGGTCCCATTACAAATAGGGAATCTGAGACTCAGAGGCTGAGTGACTGCCACAGCCACGGTTTGAACCTAGGTCTTCAAACTCATCTGTACCATGGGCTGAATAGCAATGTTGACCTCCTAAGGGTATTGAGGGTCAAATTCTTAGCACAGTGTGTGACACACATTATTATCAATGACAGAGGAGATAGCTGAAACCATGTTTGCAAGAAGGTGAGTTGGAGGCTTGGGAAGAGGATGGTAGATGGGTTCAAGGGAACCTTTGCTTCCTGGGAGATCACAGATGAAGAGAAGGAGCCCCTAGGAAAGGAGGGATTGAGTAGACCAGAGAAGTGTTGCTGAGGTTTTCCTGGAGCAGGGGTGGATGGGACTGCAGGTTCTTAAACTTAACCAGGAGAAGAAAAGAAGAAAGGAGGTAGAGAGGAAGAGCATGTTAAGGAGCTGAAGATGGAGCTGTGGTAACAGCAGCTTGAGCTGAGCCGACCCGAGACCAGGGTTCAACAGCACTTGGGACATGCGCCCATGCTCCGACCCACAGAAAGCCTGGAAGTTTTCACGTGCCGTTCACTGGTGAATTTTACAGTGTGGAGGGCACTGAAGTCATGACATGGAGGGAACAAGACCTGGGATGAGGGACTGGACTAGGCCCCCATAAACATAGTTCTAATACTCCATGTTCCCAGGACCTTCCCATCAGCAGGGCAATGATTCCTGCTTCCTAGGGTTCCATTTTTCCTGCGTCACGAGTGTCCTTCTGGGCATAGGTCAACGTTTTTCTGCTTGCATTAAACTGGGAGAAAATCAGAGAGAACATGTAGGAGATGCCTTTCCTAATTGTTCTTGATCACTTTTCTCTCGATACGATTTACATTTGGGGCTGGTCATTCTTTGTTTTGATGGGAGCAGCGGCAGGGGCTGTCCTGAGCATTGTAGGATGCTGAGCAATATCCCTGGTCTCTAGCCACTAGATGCCAGTAGCACCCTCCCAGTTGTCACAATTAAAAAATGCCTCCAGACATCGTCAAATGTCCCTGGCAGGCAAAATTGCTCCCCCCACCCCACCCTACCCCTGCCTTTGAGAACGACAGTGATAGAGGAACTCATTTATTTTACTTTACAAATGGACCAGTAAATATGCAGACTAACAATTTTATAATTAAGTAATCTGTGACCATTGTATTAATCATATAATTAAATATTAGAACATGGAGTTTCTGCGATATCACTTTCTAGATAAAACTGTGTCACTTGACCAGAATCAAACTTAGTCAATGTTTGTTTTTCTCCCAGAAAGTTTTCTCCGGACATGTTTTCTCCTGCTTCCTGTTCAAAACCATTGTTTACTGCCTGTAAGAAACAGCTGCTCTATCCCCAAAGTGACAGCATTTCAATAATACCGAGTATGTACATGTGTGCTGGGATGCTGTTGGTTTAGTAAATTTAGGGAGTAGAAAATTCACAGTGACATTTGAACAGAAATCTCAAGGGAAGATCAACGGTCTATGGGGATTAAGAAGTGTACCTCTTCCTTGTATTCATAGTTTTAAAAAGCACTGTTTTCAAAGCTCAAACAGAATGATTTGATACCCTGATTGCCTTCTGGTGGCATGTACTAAATGGGGGTGGCTGCAGAGGAAGAAGAAAAGTCTAGAAGCTACTCTTCCACAGCATATGCTTGTCTGTGTTAAGGGTCACTGGTGGTCCAGACAGTCTTCTGAAGAGAGTCTAACAGTGTCTCCAGTACGGCCATCCATCAGTACTTTAGACAGATGTAGGGAAAGGTCAAGCCAAATAGGCAGGCTCTCTAAGAGGAGTGTCATTCCTTCATCTCCTTCCTCCCTGTGTGTGTGAGAAGACACAAGGGGCCGCTCTAGGAGCTGGGGACAGCCCTCCCCTGAGGAGAGATAGAAGCAAGCCTTAGGGACTGTGCCTTATGTGATTGGAGCCTGCTGAGCCTCACTGTGCTCAGAGCCAGAGATTAATTACTCTCAGGCCACTCTATAAGCTACGAGAAAAAGGAGTCAGGAGGAGAGCTTGTGTGCAAGGAGTACTAGTGGAACAGGGAATGCTGGTGTAAGGAGGGAGGCTGGTGGAACAGGGAATGTTGGTGTAAGGAGGGATGCTAGTGGAACTGGGTGACTTTGTTTTTAAATTGTTTCTCACTGTAATGCTAGTAGGACTAGGGTAGCCAGCTGAGTTAAAATGTAAATATAAATCTTTACCAGAAATATAAAATGAGTATTGATAGAACTTTGGGGCAGGGGAAGTCTTTCCAACCTGGACATTACAATCAGAAACTTCATAGGTCTGATTACATAAAAATTTAAAACTATCTCTACAGGGAAATAAAATCTCACCATGGTAATAGAACACTGGGGCCGGGCATGGTGGCTCACGCCTGTAATCTCAGCACTTTGGGAGGTTGAGGTGGGAAGATCACGAGATCAGGAGTTCAAGACCAGCTTGGCCAACATGGTGAAACTCATCTCTACTAAAAATACAAAAGTTAGCCGGGCGTGGTGGCGGGCGCCTGTAGTCCCAGCTACTCAGGAGGCTGAGGTAGGAGAATCACTTGAACCTGGGAGGCGGAGGTTGCAGTGAGCCAAGATCATGCCATTGCACTCCAGCCTGGGCAACAGAGTGAGACTCTGTATAAAAAAAATTAAAAAAAAATAAAATAACATTGGGAAACCACCATAACATATGTAATAGAATTACTATAAACATAATATGAACTCTCAAAAGCAATGAGAAAAAGACAAGCCTGCTCAACACAGTAGGCAAAAGATATGAACTAGGCAGTTCCAGCAAGATGAATAAGTACATGAAAATTAGTAAGAAAAATAAAAACTAATACAACAATTAAGTAGTGTCACAGTTGACCGGATAGATAACAAAAATGCAAAATAATGAAGTAGCCAGTACTGGTGATGGTGTGGGGGTAGTAGGAACATCATGTTGGGGGAATTTTTAAGTCAAGACTTTTTGAGAACTATTTGCTGATATATCTAGAGGTTTGAAATCTTTAATTCTTTAACCTAGCGATAGCCTATCTAAGTATTTAGTATCAAGAAACAGCAAGTGCCCAGCATCTAAATTTAGAGAGCTCTGTTACGTGGCCATTTATGAAGGCAAAATGTGAAAAAAACCTAAATGACCAGGGAAGTGTTTAAATAAACTATAGTAAAAACATACAGAGCAGTCTTCCTGCACTAATTGAAAATGTTAATAGTAACCTACATTTATTGACATGAGGATGTTTATAAAATATTTAATGCAAAAATGACAGTATAATGCAAATATGATTTGTGTAAAAAGCATACATTATATATACATGTATATATATATATATACATGTTTATATATGTGTAAATGTGTAAGAAAGATGGAACTGTACAGACCAAAATATTAACAGTCTTTAGATTTGCAATTTAACCTAACAATCTTTAGATTTGCAATTTAAAATGACTCTTTTTCTTCTTTATCTGTATTTTCTAATATGTTTACAAATGACGTGTGTTACTTGTGGAACAAATGAATAATAAAGGCAAAAGAGAGACTCCTTCTAACTTCTGCTGTGTTTTCTGCCTCCTTTTCCAAGTCTTAGAACTTGTCCCTGTGTCAGTGACTCTCCATTCACCTTCACACTTTCTGCCTCATTCAAAGCTGGACCCGTTGGAGGATTCCTCTAATCCTCATCCATCTGTCTCTTCCTCTCTCATTTTCCAGCATTCACTGCTGCCCAGCTGTTCCTGGTGGGACCCAGCTCCTTTGTGCTTCTGGGGCCAACAAGCAAGTTCTGAGAAGTGGAATCAAATGGAAGGGAGGTTTTCCTACCAGCAGTTGTTGTAGATTTATACGTCAATCTGCCTCAGCGCTCTCCAGCCCCACACTCTCTGTTGTCTTGCTTTCTTATTTAGAATAAAAATGGTACTCTCCCTATAGTTAATAGGGTTAAATAAGATCTGAGCTCTGGAACCTCTCTCTCTGCTTTCCTTACTTGATCTGCATGGCACACAGTGCCCTTCTTGCAAGTACTAGGACACTCCAATCCCATTTCTACCTCAGGGCCTTTGCACTTGCTCTCCCTTTGCCCAGAACACACACAGTGTTGCTCTCTTCCTTACCTACTCAGGTCTCTGCTCAGATATCACTTTCTTGAAAGTCCTTCCCTGACCATCCCATCTAAAGCAGATGCCACCTCCATCATTCCATATCCACTTACCTACATGTATTTTTCTTCACAGTACCAATCACTACCTGACAATAAATTATACATTCAGTTATTAATTTGTTTTATACCTCGCCTTAGCTAGGAGAAAATTGCCATGGGAGTGAAGACTTGGCCTTCATCCTTACTGTAGCCATAGCTTTTTGTTTTGATGTTTAAAATCTGGTCTGTATTTTTTGGCAGAAAGAGTAAAAGAGGATAATAGTAGAAATTGAATTAGATAACAAAGAAACAAAATCTACAAAAGCAAAACATTTTTTAAAGAAAATCTCATAAAATAAACTAAAAATACAAAAAATTAGCCGGGCTTGGTGGCGGGCGCCTGTAGTCCCAGCTACTTGGGAGGCTGAGGCAGGAGAACGGCGTGAACCCGGGAGGCGGAGCCTGCAGTGAGCCGGATCACACCACTGCACTGCAGCCTGGGCGACAGAGCGGGACTCCGTCTCAAAAAAATAAATAAATAAATAAAAATAATACTCTTCTGATAAGGCTTTTAAATGAAGAAAAGGAAGACAAAAACAAATTATATGTGTGACTACAAAGGAGACAAAACAGATGAGGTACAATGTTTTTTAAATTAAAAGTGATTACACTGACCAACCACATAACAAGAAACTGAGAGATTCTGCTGAGACGAGAGGCCTGCTTTCCCCTGTGGCCTCTTTGGGGGTCGTCTATCAGCAGTGGGTAGAGGCCCAGCTGGAGGTGTTTGCGGTCTAAAGCTTATGCAATTTGTAAGCCACTTTAGACAAAAAAAAAGAATACAGAATTAGATAATGAACAAGAAAAAAATCGTGCAAATTTAAATACTAAAAAGCTACCAAATATCATAGATACCTTAAATCCAGAAAAATAACATGAAATTGTTAGCAGTTGTCATTGACTGCCTGACACAAATCGGTAATACTCATTTCTCTGTGTTTTTTTTTTTTCCTGCATATTCTTTTATTGCCTCTTCCTATGACAACGGTTTTGTAATGTCATTTTCTGCAGAGAGAATAGAAAGCTAATTCCATCTTTCCTCTAGCAGTGTTGACAGAATTTTTGTTATTATTGATAGTTTAGAAAAGCTTCTTTCAGTTTTGCCTCTCATAACTGGTAATCCACAATGGTGACTTTCTGTGCAGTTTCTTGCTCAGCGGGTTCTTCTTTGGGGACTAGAGAGGGGTGCAGAGTCAAAGGAAGCCCTCAGAGCCTCTAGTGGGAGCAGAGGCTCTAGGGGGTTGGGGGAGATGGAGAATTAGGCCAAGCCCTCAGACAGCTTGGGCCTTTAATTTTCCAATCTCTCAGGATGTGACCCTCCAGTTTCCCACACCCTCGCCCTAACCTTCTCACTCTTGCAGGAGTGGTCCACCCCAAGCAGGGAGAAGAGCAGCATCCTTCAGATCCATCTCCATGAAGTCAGTCACAGGCTCGGGATGCCCCATCGGTCCAAAAGGGGCAGGCTGCCACTGGGGCTGCAAGATGCAAGGCAATGCTGCCAGTGCTCTGGCCTTTCCTGTAGCCTCTCACCAGCAAAATGTAATGGTGACTACTGGGCTGGGGCAGAGCTCCATGTACCTGGCCAGTGACTGAATCTGCCACATCCCTGAATCTCTGAAGGAAGTCTCCTACTGTAAGCTTCATTCTTGTTATGGTAAACCCACTACTGAGTGGGAGCCAACCCTGGAGCAGGTAGGAACAGCTCAAGAGCCTGCAGGGCGGACAAATGGGACTACCTGGTGGGGTCGAGGGTACAGGATTTACCACCATGGATTTGCTTCTAGGAGTATTTCTCTCCTGCTCCTTCCTCACTCCTATTGATCTCCTGGTATTGGCAAGCTGTTGTTTGCATCAATCCATCTCAGTCCTTGTACCACAGACAAGAATGTTCACCTTGTCTTTAAGTCTGACATTTCACTATTTTTTTCTACATGTTCATGTCTTTTTTGTTCCTTTACTCCTGCCTTCTTTTGTTAAATATACTCTAGTGTATCATTTAATTTTCTTTTCATGTATTTTACCATATATTTATAGTGATTTTCATATAAATTGTTCTGGGGATTACAAGTCACATCTTAATTTATAACAAACTAGTTCAGATTCATACCAATTTCATTTCAACAGTGCACAAGACTTTGCTCTTCATTGTCTGCCCCTTTTTTGTGCTGTTATTATCACAAGTGACATCCTTATCCATTGTTTATACATCAACAGATTTATAATTGTTTATTCAGTTGTCATTTAAATTAGATCAGAGAAAAGAGTTACAAATAAAACTTACAATGATTGTGTCATTTGTATTTACCTGTGTTATTACCTTAACTGTCGCTCTTTTATTTCTTCACGTGAATCCAAGTTACTGCCTAGTGTTTCTTCATTTCTGCCTGAAGGACTTCCTTTAGTATTTCTAGTAAGGTAAGTCTACCAGTGACTAATTATCTTGGTTTTTAATTTTTATTTCTGTATGTATGTATTTATTTTTTAGAGACAGGGTCTCACTCTGTTGCCCAGGCTGGAGTGTAGTGGCCTGATTATGGCTCATTGCAGCCTCGACCTCCTGGGCTCAAGTGATCCTCCTGCTTCAGCCTCCCAAGTAGCTGGGACTACAGGAACATAACACCATGGCCCAGCTATTTCTAAATTTTTTATAGAATTTAGGTCTCACTATGTTGCCCAGGCTGGTCTCAAACTCCTGACCTCAAGTGATCCTCCCACCTTGGCCTCCTAAAGTGATGAGATTACAGGAGTGAGTCTGTATTAGTCTGTTTTCATGCTGCTGATACAGACATACCCATGACTGGGCAACTTACAAAAGAAAGAGGTTTAATTGTACTTACAGTCCCACATGGGTAGGGAATCCTCACAATCATGGTGGAAGGGAAGGAGGAGCAAGTCCCATCTTACATGGCTGGCAGCAGGCAAAGAGAGAATGAGAAAGACACAAAAGTGGAAATTCCTGATAAAACCATCAGATCTCGTGAGACTTATTCACTACCATGAAAACAGTATGAGGGAAACCACCCCCGTGATTCAATTATCTCCCACTGGGCCCCTCCCACAACATGTGGGAATTATGACAGTACAATTCAAGATGAGATCAGAGCCATGGTGGCTATACAAAGCTTTCCTAAAGATGGAAAAATATTAATTTCTCCTTTATCTTTGAAGCATAGCTTTGCGAAATATAGAATTCTTGGTAGACATTTTCTTTTCTCTCAGCACCTTGAATATGTCATCCTATTACCTTCTGTTCTCTGTGGTTTCTGATTAGAAATCAGCTGTAATCTAAATAAGAATTCCTTGTACATGATCAATCGCTTCTCTCTTGATGCTCTCAAGATTATCTCTTTGTAATCTAAATAAGAATTCCTTGTACATGATCAGTTGCTTCTCTCTTGATGCTCTCAAGATTATCTCTTTGTATTTGGGTTCTGGCAGGTTGATTATGAATACTTGTGGATCTCTTTGAGTTTATCTTGCTTGCAATTCACTGAGCTACTTGGCTGTGTAGCTAAATGTTTTCTATCGAATTGGAAAGGTTTTCAGCCATTATTTCTTCAAATATTCTTTCTGCCCCTTTATTTCTCTCCAGTTCTTCTGAGTTTCCCATTATTCATATGTTGTTGGTAATCTTAACGGTGTTCCACAGATCTCTGAGGCTCTGTTCATTTTTCTTTGTTCTGTTTTCTTTCCGTTCTTCATACTTCATAATCTCTATTCACTATATTCAAGTTCATTTATTCTATCTTCTGCCTGCTCATCTCTGCTGTTGAGCCCTCTAGTGAATTTTTCATATCATTAATTGTACTTTTTAACTGCAGAATTTCTATTTGATTTTTCCAAATAAAAGTCCTATTTCTTTATTAATATTCTCTATTTGCTGACACATCATACTTTTCCTTAGTTCTTTAGACATTGTCTCTTTTGGCTCTTTGAACATATTCAAAAATGTTCAAGCAAAGACACATTGTTTCTTTTAGCTCTTTGAACAAAACAGCTTATTTAAAGTATTTCTTTAGTAAGTCCAACGTTTGGGGTTCTTCAGAGACAATTTCTACTGATTGCTTGTCTTTCCAACTGCATATAAACCATGCTTTCTTGTATCTTTGCATGTCTCACAATTTTTGTTGGAAACTAGACATTTAAAATAATATAATTTGACAATCATGAAAATTAGATCCTCCCCACTCCAGGTTTATAGCTATTGCTGCTTGTAGTTGTTAGTTATTTTTGTTTATTTAGGGATTTTTCTAAACTAATTCTGCAAAATCTGTATTATTTTCCATGTGTGGCTACTGAAGTCTCTGTAGCTAATGATTAGATAGAGGTTTCCTCAAATGTCTGGAACCAATAAATCTTTCTGTTTCTGCCAAGGAGCTATATTCATGTGTTAGAACACTTCTTCAACACTCAGTCAGGCAGTTGACAATATTGCCTAGCTTTCCCTTTCTGCTTTCACAGAGCCTCAAGGTCAGCGAGAGGTGAGAGCATAGGACCTTCTCAGGTCTTTCCTCAGCATGCACACAGCCTGGAGCATGTGGCCAATATTGACATACACATGACCTTCTAGATTCCCAGGAATAGGTCAGGATTTTCTAAGTCCTAGGACTATCTCATGCCCCAGCTTTTCTTTTACAGCTTTTTTGGCTAGCCTATTGGTTGTTTCAACTGCTATTCACCACCTCAAGCAGTTACAAAGTTAAAATATGTGCCTATTAATTGTTCTCAACAAATGTTCCTTGGGGAGAAGGCTTTTTGTATTGGGCAGTCTCTAAGTCAGGTCAGATACAGACAGCCTTGTAAGTGGGAACGGTCCAGGAAACCATGAAATAGGTTTCTTTTTAAAGGGCAATTATTTGGAAGTGGAGCTTTGTAAGATCTCCAGCTTCATTCTGTTACCTCTGGGGGTTCTGCCAGGCTGCAATAGGAATGCAGAGTTTTATTTTACAAGATTACTGTGCACCTGGAGAGCAGGGAATGAGACTATTAAAATGCCCTAAGCTCACTGGCCTTCCTGAAATTCAGCCATTTTTTCTTGAATGAACCCTCTCCAGGTTATTCCAAGCCTTGGTTAATTTCCAGAGTTCAGAAAAATTTGTTTCCAACAACTTTTACCAGTTTTCTCATCACTTTTATGGAGAAGAGATTTTTGAACGTCATTGCACTGCCATTTTCACTAATATCCTATAACTTTCTTTTGATAAATGAAATGTCTTAATTATGTTGTTTTTATGTAATCTCAACCTGACCTGATACTTCTCTCCCTGATGGAATTTGACATTGACCCTTCTACCTGTTCACCCCTCAGACTAAGTTTTCCCTAGCCCATAACATGGATGTACCCCTAAAATAACTCGGCATAAAATGTATGCTCTTTGATGACATCCAAGCTTATGTGTGTGTGTGTGTGTGTGTGTGTGTGTGTGGGTGTGTATGCAGCATGATTTTTTGTTGAAGGAAGTTGCATAGCAAATTATTACTCCAAGTGATGCTACACTCTGCAGCATGGACATTACCTATGAACTTATTAAAAATGCAAATTTTCAGTCCCTAATCTGATCTATTAAATTAGAAACTGGGAGTGGGAGTCAGGTAAATTTTAATGAGCACTCCAGGTGGTTTTTAATGTTCATTAAAGTTTATGAACGACTGGGAAAGAGAAAAGTGTGTAGCTCATACCACTTAAACACTCTGACCATCTGATTAGCCCTTTATTCTGTCTCTCTGCCAAGTCCAGTGATCTTGCATGAGTTACTTATTCCCACTTATAGGTCTTATATCCTAACCTATCATATGGTGGGGTTAATATATAATCAAAGAGATCTGGTGAGTTTTTTTTCTTTTGTTTTTTTGCATGTCTTCCAGGTTATCAGATTTAGTGAGAATTACCTTCCCCACTTGGCTGAACAACAAAAACATAACTCCTATATTTTACTATAACATTAAATGGATTTTATCTTTTCACTAGATCTTTAATCTAGCCAAAAATTATTTTTTAATTTAGCATAAATGCATATTTTTTCTTGTAAACTATTAGCTATTTGTTCAAGTATCATTTACCATAATAAAACACGTATTTTGGGATTGGTTAATGGACTCTATGTTCTGTTTTGGTCATCAACTTGTCTGTTCCTATACTAGTAATATATAGTTTTGACTAGAGTAGCTCTAACATACACTTAAATATCTGAAAAATAATTTCCCAAAACATTCTCAGAAATTATCAAGGTAATTCATCCCTATGAAATTTATAATCAACTTATTCAGTTTCAAAAGCAGGACCAGAATATATAAACAATCCATTAGAATTCTGATTGGAATTGCATTAAATTTATACATTGATTTGAGAAGCTTTTGTGATGTTGAGTCTTCCCATACAGGAATATGACATGTCTCCATTTACTGGAATCTTATTTTATGTCTTCAGTAAAATATTAATATTGAAATATACATTCTACTCTTGTATTTTCCTTGATAAATTTATTTTTGGCCATTTGTACTTTTAGTAGCTGTCATGAATAGAAACTTTTACCATTTTAATTTCTAAATAGTTACTACTAGCATAGAGGAAAGCTGTTGAGGGTTTCAAAGTCACTACTTACACAGTGACACCTTCCTGTGAAATTTTTGAAAGGAAAATTAGTTCTAAAAGGTTTTCTTTTAGTTTTACCCCCTGCATTTTCTAGGAGTAAAATCTTATTATCTGCAAAGAGTGATACTGCTTTTATCTCTCTTTCAGTTTATATCAGTCACTTAATTCTATCTGATTGCATTAGCTAAAACCTCCTGAACACAATTGAGTTATAGTGAGGAGATACCCTACACTTCGTCCTGCTTCCAACTTCAGTCAGAATGCATTGAGGATTTTCCAGTTTAGAGTAATGTTTTCATAATGACTTCTGATAGCATTCGAAACTCATCTTAAGAAGTTTTTTTAAAGTTTTACCTAAAGTATTTAATCAAACGTTTTACTTTACTTAAAGTTTTTAATGAACAATTTTGTCTCAATTCAATAATTCTTTTTTCCTTTGTATTTGATGTGATTTTTTTTTACTCAAATTATTTATTAATTTACTTAATTATATTGTTAAATCCTCTAAAGTTGAATCACTCCAGCAAGTGCTAAATAGAACTTTGTGTAGTAGAAAATACCCTAATAAAATTAAAGGATAAATGAGAGACTTAGGGAAAGTATTTGCAACAGAATATACACAAATTACATGCAATATGTGCTATATTATTATGTACAACATATAATGTGATCTCTGTCAGTAAAAAAATAGAAAATGGGCAAATATAAATAGGTAAAACAGAAGAAAAATACAAATGGCCAGTAAATATGTAAAAATATGCTAAAAATCACTAATAAATTTAAAAATATAAATTAAAATGAGGTGGAGTTTTGCCTTTCAAAATGGCAACATTTCAAAGGACTAATAACATCAAGTATTAGCAAGGGTGGGGAAAAATTGGTGTCTTCATAAATATTTAATGCAGGTATAAATTGGAATAACCTTTGAAAATAAAATTTGTTTTTATATGTTAAAAATTTTACTGTGCATATATAATCTTTCAGCAATCTTACTGTTTAGTAATCTGTACGAAAGCCACAGAGTGAATTGAAAACGACAAATGTGTGTCAGGCTACATTGTATAGAACAGTAAAAATAAGAAAAATCTCTTAAATGTAAAGCAATAGGGGGCTTGTTAAGCAAAGTATGCTTCACCAATACAATACCATCAAATACCATGGGGCAGTCAAAAAGAAAGAATGGGTCTAAGCTTTCCAGTGTGTACAGCTGAGTTCCATTGTTAAGTATAAAAATACATGTTGCTTAAATGTGTATAGGCTCTGGAGACATGTTTCAACAAGTATTGGGCAGTCAGGATCACACCGTTTTATTAGTTACAAGTGAAAAATAGTTCATTATGGTGGATTCAGTGAAAAAGAGTAGACTGGGGTGTCCACGACATCCTTAAGAGGCCTAGAGAAATAGGCTCTCTGCTTCCAGGAATTGGCCTGACAGTGAGAGTCCCCCTACCCCCTGTCACTAAGCCTGGGATGCTACAGTTTGCCCTGATGTCAAGCTTGGACACAGCTGCTGCTACCCTACGTCCCATGGTGCACCTGCTCCAGTGGCTAGAACAGCAGGCTGTCACCTCCAGGAGTCAGATGCCTCCACCAAAGGTAGATCCCGGTGGAGCCTCCTTCCTCAGGCTGATCCTTCTCAAGGGAGGGTCTAGGGTGTGAGGATCAGCTTGGTGGAGCCTGAAAACTCCTGCGACCCAGCTGTCAAAGTTGCAACTCTGAGTCCTTTGGGGTCTGCTTTGGGAAGGTGGGACTCACAAGGCTAGAAATTCCCCAGACATACCCAAGAGTGTTTGAAGATGCTGAGAAGTTAGTAAACTTGGTCCGTGTCCACAAGAGATAGAGCCAACCTATTTAGACAGTGATTGTCTCCGGAGGGTAAAATCAGGGATTGCTGGGGCAGGAACTCTTTGGTGGAGCTCCAGAAAGCACCAGTCACACTGGGGTAGAGTTTATGACACAGAAGTACTGGTGGCTGGGGGAGTATGTGTATGTGTGTACAAGTATGTCTTTATATGAAACATGTCTGTGTATGCAATGTATATTAATACATATTTGCAATGATTTTTTTTTTTTTGAGATGGAGTCTCACTCTGTCACCCAGGCTGGAGTGCAATGGCACGATCTCAGCTCACTGCAACCTCTGTCTCCTGGGTTCAAGAGATTCTCCTGCCTCAGCCTCCCGAGTAGCTGGGACTACAGATGTGTGCCACCATTCTCAGCTAATTTTTGTATTTTTAGTAGAGATGGGGTTTCACCATGTTGGACAGGGTGGTCTCGAACCCCTGACCTCAGATGATCCACCCACTTCAGCCTCCCAAAGGGCTGGGATTACAGACATGAGCCACTGCGCCTGGCTGCAAAGATATTATTTTTATTTATTTGTGGTTTTCATTATTTTTCATCCATAAGGCTAAGAAATAAATAAAATGAGCTGATTGAGACCATTCTACTCCTATAATTTTTAATTCTATAAAACCTAATAAACCATAATAAAATTCAATATAAAATATTTTGATAGTGTAATACTTCATTTATACAGTATATGGATCACCGAGAGCAAAATGTAACTTGGGGTCTTGGAGTTCAGCAACCTTATTTGTGAAGCAGCAGGTCCAGATTGATTTAAATGGCTTGCCTCAGCCAACAAACTAGTATGAGCTAATGGAACTAGAGCCCATTCCTGGATTTCAGGTCCCAATCCCCACTGCAGTGCTCTCTGGTGATGGCAGCTGAGGCCAACCCTTGGACCTCACTTCTTTCTAATTTTCTCTGTGCTGAGTTACTCTCGCCCGTTCACCCACACTCCCTTGTGATGCAATGCAGTACTGTGGCTATTCTACAAGTCTTGGTTTGACTCCAAATTCGGTCACTGTCTGTGTGACTCCAGGCAAAAATATAATAAGTGAGCTCCTATGGGGTTGCCGTGAGCATCAAGTAAAACGCTTCATGAAATGCACTGGGTTTTACACTTGATGATCTCAGAATGGATTTTATGAGCAGCTGTGGCCACCTAGCCACCTTCTTAATAGAGAAATCAAATGGCATTACTTCCCTAAACAAAACCTACAATGAAGGGTGGAATTCCATCCCATGAAGGGTGGGAGTCCCATACAGAGCTGCACATGTCCAGCCACTGTCTGTCTCTTTGATATCATCTCCTTCAATACCCGTCCCAGATTCACCAATGTTCTTGTTGCTGGAACTTGCAACTCTGATTGTGACATCAGGATCTTTGCACTTAGTCTTTGTATTAGAGTCCTCCAGAAAGAATCAATACAATAAACATAGGTGAAGATTTAGCTAGATAGATAGACAGACAGATGGGATTTATTAAAGGAAGTGCCTCATGAGATTATGGAATTTGAGAAGTCTCAAAATAAGCCATATGCAAGCTGAAGAACTAGAGAAACCAAGCTCAGTCCAGGTCCAAAGGCCTGAGGACCACGGAAGTCAGTAGTGTATCTCTGGGTCTGAAGCCAAAGGCCTGAGAATCCAAGGAGGGCCAGAGAGCCTATAATTCTGATGTGCAAGGGCAGGAGAAGAAGGGTGCCCCAGCTCCAGGAGAGACGGTGAATTCACCTTTCCTCTGCCTTTTTCTTCTATCGGGCCTCCAGCTGATTGGATGGTGCCCACATGCATTGAGGGTGGCCCTTCCCCACTCAGTCCACCAACTCACATGCCAGTCTCCTCTGGAAATATCCCTACATATGCACCCGAAAGCAATCTTCCCCAGTTTTTAGGCATTCCTTAATTCAGTTAAGTGGACACCTAAAATTAACTGTCACTGTCTCTTTGCCTGGAATATTCCCTCTTCCTCCCATCTCACCCCAAGATCTCTGCGTGACTCATTTCCTTTCACTGTATCACTCAGGGAAGCCTTCCATGAACACGCTGTAGAAAACTCCACCCCCTTCCTCTCCATTCTTCAGCCCCTCACCTGCTTTACAGAAGGGTCACCACCTGCTCTCCCACTGAAACGTTAGCTTCAGGGATACTGCTGAAGGGATACTGCTCAACTGATGCCAAGTGCTGACCTCGTGAATGCATGTAGCAAATCCTCAGTAAGTCCTGACTGAAGAGAGGAACTACAGCATTCGTTTGTGGGATACAGTCCTGATTGCGTATTGATAGACTTGCTTCCCTTCTTAGTCTTTTGCAAGTTTCTTTCCCATGGAATCCATCTCTTGTTGAACTATTATTACTCAAACATATCTGGAACTGATTTCAATAATGGTCCTGTGAATAACAGAGACCCTCTTCTCTATACTTGCCTCATTTTATTGAACTGGGAGCCTCCCATAGCCCTACCCCACCCATAGACCTGCAAGGATGACCATCAATGCAGGACCCGCGTAAGTGTCTCTGGACATCTTTGCTCAACATTGTTGGTGGCTTCAGATCCTTTGTGGTCTGCCTACTTGAGATCAGCCTACTTGAGATCACCTACATGCTTAAAATTGCCCCTCTTATTCCCCAGTGTGTTCCTCTGCTGGATCTACACCTTCCATTGTAGTCCACTTTTAGATGCAGCAGTTCTCAAAGCAACCATAAAGAGAGGCCCAAAAGTCACTCATTTTTGCACCAATTCAATCCTTTTGATGGATGTCCATTCGGTTTATACACATTTAATATCTGAAAACTAAATTCAGCAGTTGTTAGAAGAAAGAGCTATTTCTCCTATAGAGAAATGGTACATTTGCCTGAAGACCTCTTCCTAACCATACGAAGACTCTTTACTAAGAAAATACCCTAAACTTTTCTAGCTTTGATTGTAACAAAAAAACTCTACATGTTTGTATTTCATTGTCTGATGTCCTATGCAGAAGAAAATGTGTAGGCTTTTAAAAAAACATATCCGACTCACCATTGGGTTATACCACTGTGTAACTTGGCATTCCATCTTATTTCATTCACCTCTTTGATTACTAATCAAATGTCTTATTGTACCTTCATCTTTTGATGCCAACTGCTATACACCACTAGTTCTATCAAGCATAGAAAATAAAGGTGAATGTAGTTTCCATTATTTCTTCTGTGCTTGACAAAGGGTATAACATCACAGGAGAAATGAGAAATAAGAAACTATGTCACAAAGAATCTATGGTCAGCGAAATCATGAGTAGAGCTGGATGGTGCAGTTTATACTAGATCACTGGAGAGGAACATTCTCACAGGACAGAATCTTTGAAGAAAGAGAAAGATAGTATTCTCTGTTGTCCTACCAGGAACAGGAGAACCAGAACGGAAACTGGAAAATCGTGAAAATTCATCTATCTTGTATGGAGTGAATAATAAGAAGGTGACTGCAACCAGGGTTGAGTGGATTAAGATGCAAAGGAAATATGGTATTTTGTGTCTAGAGAGCATGTACCCTTACAAGCTTCTAGGTTTGGAGGGAAGAAAACATGACCTATATCTCCATGCTGCCTTATGAATTCAATGGCTCTTTGAGGCTGCAGTTGACTTTAGGGGAGAATGGCACCTATATGGTCCCTGAGGGAGGCCTGTTATCTGCAGAATGGATGTTGATAAGGGTTATCATTGGGTGCTATTTTTAAGGCAAAACATATTCTGCCTGCAAAGAGACTTCAAGCTCCAACTTCAAAAGTTTCTGGTGGTGTCCCAATTTTTGTGTTTCATAGCATAGAGCAGTCGAAAGCTCTTATTCTGTTTGATTCTCCAGAATCTGCACTGTCTTTTTGTGACTGGGGACTTGCCCGCTGGGGTAGATGCTGTTTTGGTGGCTGCCCAGAAGCCCTTTCCTGGGCCAGTGCCCCCAGCTGCTGTGAGTGTCGGCTGCTAACAATTCTCTGATGTCTCCCCCAACACACACACCTTACGGAGCTCCCATTGCTTAGAATCTCTGTTAGTCTGCTCAGGCTGCCACTATAAGGCACCACACATTCAGCAGCTTAAGCAACAGAAATTTATTTTTTCATGGTTCTGGAGGCTGGAAATCTGAGAGCAAGGTGCCAGCAGGGTTGGTTTCTTCTGAGGCCTCCCTCCTTGTTTGTAGGTGGCCATCTTCTTCTGATGTTCTCCTCACATGGTCATCTCTCTGCATGCGTTAGTGTCTCAATCTCCTTCTTCTTCTTCTTTTTTTTTTTTTTCTGAAATGGATTCTCACTCTGTTGCCCAGGCTGGAGTGCAATGGCGCAATTTTGGCTCACTACAAATTTAGCCTCCCAGGTTCAAGCGATTCTCCCACCTCAGCCACCCGAGTAGCTGGGATTACAGGCACCTGCCTTCATGCCCAGCTGATTTTTGTATTTTTGTAGAGACGGGGTTTCACCATGTTGGCCAGGCTGGTCTTGAACTCCTGACCTCAGGTGATCCGCCTGCCTCAGCCTCCCAAAGTGCTGGGATTACAGGCGTGAGCCACCGTGCCCCCCCAATCTCCTCTTCTTATAAGAACGCCAGCATATTGGATGACAGCCCACTCATCCAACCTCATTTTGACATAACTACCCTTTAAAGAGCTTACCTCCAAATAGAGTCACATTTTGAGATACTAGGAGTTAGGAACACATTTCAGTCCATAACAAATTAGAAGCGTTTTTTTTTTTTTTTTTTTTTTTTTTTTTTTTTTTTTTTTAGGAAAACTGTAACACTAGTTGGAGTCTGGTCACAAATAGCCTTTGAGTATTTGACCCCTCACAGCAGTGTCCTGATCCCTAAACCTGCAACAAGTACTGCACTGCAAAACCTACACCTGCTTCCCCTAGAAAGGCATTCTCCCCAATGTCCACCTAAGGTATGGCCATGGAGGAACATGATGTAGACAAGGAAGCCCCTCCCAGGGAGTGGAAATATGAGTCAGGGCGGTAGAGGACAAGAGGGGTCCTCCAAGGTTACTAAATAAGGTTGTCCAAGTGCCCACTCCGTTGCCAAGGCTGGGTCCCTGGCCAATCTCGCTTGGCAGGCAGTGCTGATAAGAGCTATGAACCAGTGACTGTCTGTGCTGTTCCCCACCCATCCCTTTCCTGAATGAGAGTTGAGAATGAATAGAAAGTAGAGACTCTAGACAGGACCAGAATAGTCCCATTCCCCCTAGATAGCCATGGCTTCTCAGCAGTTCTTTATAGAGTTGAAGTTGGTATCAAAGCCTCAAAGTTCTCTATGTGTGACTGGCTGAATGACGCCCCTCAAAGACTTCCACGTTCTAATCCCTAGCACCTGGGAATGTGACTTTACATGACAAAAGGGGCTTTGCAGGTATGATTACATTAAAGATCTAAGACAGAGAGATTATCCAGGTGGGTTGAATGCAATCACAAGGGCCCTGATAAGAGAGAAGCATGGGGATCAGAGTCAAAGAGGATGTGACAATAGAAGCAGAGGTCAGAGAGGAGAGAAGATGCTGTCTCTTTGGAGATGGAGGACGGGGCCGCAAGCTGAGGACTAGAGGAGGCTTCTAAAAGGTAAGAATCTGAATCCGCCTCAGAGCCTCCAAAGGAGCCGAGCCCAGATGACCCTTTGATTTTTAGTTCACACAGAATGATTTTGGACTTCTAACCTGCAAAATGTAAGATAATCAGTTTGTGTTGCTTTAAGTCACTTAGTTTGTGGCAATTTGTTACAGCAACAATAGGAAACCAATGACGCACCTAGGAGGTATAAATTTGTGTTACAGTGCTCATAATATAAATATAAAATATCATCTCATACTTCAGTCTGGAACTAAGCTGGCAAGAATTGGGAAGATGAAGAGATATGTGATATCAGTCATCGTTCATTGGCCTCGGATCACTTGACTATCCTGGAGGACTTAAGGGCTCCAGAAAATTTGCAAAGGATCTCCTGACTGCAGGGTAAGGGGAGAATAGCGGGTGCAATCTACTCTCAGCCCACAGTCCACACTAACTGTTCCGAGGTCAGCATATTTTTTTCAGTAGAGAGCCAGCTAGTAAATAATCTGGGCTTTGCAGACTATGTATACGGTCTCTGTCACAACTACTCAACTCTGCTTCTGAAGTATGAAAACAGCCATAGGTCATAAGTATACAAATGGGTTTGGCTATGTGCCAATGAAACTTTATTTACAAAAACAGGAGGCTGACCGGATTTGGTCCATCAGCCATGTTTGCTGACTTTTCCATAGCCCACCTGATGGTAGAACAACCTGCTCCTCACGGCATCTACTCTCTTGTGACTAATTTGATAATTTGGGTCTTTGATGCAGCCTCAAAGGTCATAGCTCCTAGAGATAAGCCTTCAAGTCACCACAAGCTACCTTCATAGGTGAGTCACAAGTGGGGTGCTACCTGGGAGTCCAGGTCTCCAGCCCAGCAGAACCCCCATTGCTACCCCTCCTCTGCCCAGTGAATCCTTCTCTGAGTAGGTTCGTCCACTCTCCTTTACCTACCCCTTCTTTATACTGCTTCACTTGTAAGAATCCAGCCTTTTTTCTCCCAATAACCACTTTGCATTTGAAAAGAGCAAAGTAAAAAAGCTTCTTTTCCTTTCATAATTGGACCACAGGAAAATAATTAATGTTCTCAGTCAGTCAATTCTGCATTTGCATATTGTATACAGTTTATTGGGTATCTAGTTAGATTGAAGTTTATTGCTTGGTAAACTTCTGGGTAATTTTCATTCAACTAAATGTCAGTCATTACCAGTCCATCCTTGTATTGTCTTTTAAAAGTCACAAGTTCAAGAACCCCACAGATAGCACTGCAGACAAACATCTAAATGGCATGCAGTGAGATTGAAACTGCAGTCCAGGTTCTCCTGGCCAGGGGTGGGAGGCCAGATGACCAGCTTTCCTTCCATAACAGCCCATTAACGGGCTTATTCCTGTCAGAGCCCACCACTCATGCCACCTGTGACCTTCCTCTGATCCGCTTCTCTCCCCTGCAGGTGGTCTGTCTGGCTTTAGGGTTCCCCGAGGTCACTGGTCTGCTAAGGATTGCATCTGAAGATATGAACTAAGCTGAGTTAAATAGGCTTATCCTGTGGAGACAAAGACACTGCCCTGGGTTTGAGCCACCTGCCTTTCCTTAGCATCAAAACAAAACAAAAACACACTCTTTGGGGCTTAATGAATATACAGCTATTCTTCAGCTTCCTGGTTTGTACTAAGCTGATAGCTAATCTTTGGCATTTGGCATATTGGGCTTAATTATGATAAAGAAAAAGTTTAATGGGTTCATCTTGAACAAAATGGTGCACTTAATGGCAATTGTAAGAATATTTTTGCTCAACAAAGCTTCTTAAAGAAATGAATTTAAAGCCTCCAAAGAAAAATTTTATTAAAATTGTATTAAGGTTATAGAAATGGCAAAGTATATTATTTTCTTCCCTTTGTGTTCTCTAGCTGTTCAACCTTCCCTCACTCTCCACACTATTGAAGGGTCCTCGCCTGCTGATGTGTCAGCTTCCCTGTTCCTAGCAAAAGCTTTGGAATGAAAAGAAGCAAACAAAGATGCCTGAAAAGCCCAGGTAAACTTATCCTCAAATCACATGTCCTGAGCATCCAGGAAGGGAAAGCTTCGGTATCAGCTGAATGACAGTAAGCCACAGAGACACTTACTGGAGGCAAATTAATCCACTGACCAACAGGAGAGGCTAGAAATGCTTTCCCCTCCAAGTTTTCTACAAGTTTTCAAAAGAAACAGTACAAATGTATGTGATATTAGCAGGAAGAAAGAGGGACATCACATTGTCCACTGTATATACAATTTGTATTAGTCAGTTATACTGCAGTAAAGATGGGGGATGGTCATGGGGGGGGTAGGGAACGACCTTAGGGATCCAGATTAGAAGTACAAAATTATCTTTTGTCTCCAAAAGAATTCTCTTTTCCCTTGAGCTCTGTGTTCTGTGTTCTTCATAAGCTGGGAGTGAATAGGGTTACTTATTCCCTTCATCACAGGCACCAGGATACTTGGGTTAGAGAGAAAACCGCCAGATGACTGGGCAACGTGTGGACCTTGAGGGCGGCTGGGTGTGACTCTGCACCTGCACACCCGACTTGGCAAGAGGCACTTGTCATCGTGGCATTTTTTTTCCCTCAGATTATATAATATGTTATATAATAAAAAGTTATATATAACTTATATCTGGAGAACTTGAAAACTCAGGTGTTTTAAAGTAGGCATGCTGGACTTTCTGTTATTCTTTTCTAATCCTTTAACATTATCTAAATTTTCTTTGAAGTCAGAGCAGGGCAACGTGATAGGGTCATGTTGACATTGCTAATTAACTTTTGTCAGCTATTGCTCTTAATTAAGGAGGCAGGTACTTGATAAAAACAGGTATTGATTGTCCTATAGAATCAGAAATAAGCCTAACACTTATTCCTGTTAACTTAAGCAATAAGTAATAGATTTTCATATTCTCTTTATTCAGGAACTGCACTCTGCTGTCCACATACTCAATTTAATGTATGTGGCACCAACATTAACTGAACAGAAAAACTGGAAGGGGGAAAAAGCAGGCACTGGATAATCAATAGGATTCAGACCTCACAAAGCCCCCGAGTCCTTTAACTAAGGGCACAACTCTGCATTGTATGCTTGAAAAGTGCTAACAGAGTAGATCTTAAATTTTTTCACCATACACAGGCAAAAAACAAAAGGCAACTATGTGAGGTGATGGATATGCTGATTAGCTTGATTATAGTGATCATACCACAATGTACTCACATATCAAAACATCACATTGTCCACCGTAACTATATACAATTTGTATTAGTCAATTATACTTCAGTAAAGATGGGGATGGTCATAGGGGAGGTAGGGCACGACCTTAGGGATCCAGATTAGAAGTACAAAATTATCTTTTGTCTCCAAAAGAATTCTCTTTTCCCTTGAGCTCTGTGTTCTGTGTTCTTCATAAGCTGGGAGTGTAGCAATAGGGTTACCTATTCCCCTCATCGCAGGCACCAGGATGCTTGGGTTAGAGAGAAAACCGCCAGATGACTGGGCAACGTGTGGACCTTGAGGGCGGCTGGGTGTGACTCTGCACCTGCACACCCGACTTGGCAAGAGGCACTTGTCATCGTGGCAATTTTTTTTTTTTTGCCACAAACAAGCAAAACATAGTTGTTGCCAGGTAAACACTTATACAATTTGTATGCTCCATGAGAAAAATGAAGAATGGAAGCTGATAGGATATTAAAATGCCAATTTAAAATACACGTCAGATCCATGTTTTTACTACATAAAGGAGAAGGTGGAAAGGGGAGGAGAACAATGGAAAATGAGAGGAAGGGAAGAGAAAGCTCAAAGGAAGAAAGTGGGAATTAAAGGGAAGGAGAAGAAAAGGCACAAAGGCCATGGTGAGGAGGGAAAGAAAAGGAGAGACTTCATATGGAGAGGCCAGTGACAGAGGAGGAGGAAGGGGAAGGGGCATAAACAAAGACCCAGAGAGAGCCTGGTGCAAATGGCCTGAGCTCCCGGTGTCACCCATGCCCCTGCTGTCTTCGGAGTAAGTTACAGCACGTTGTCACTGACCACAGTGGCACTGGTTTCCATGGAGAGTTATTCATTATGCAGATATTGAAGGAGGGCCAGCTCTTTGCCAGGTCCTGCTCTAGGTGCTGGGGGGAGACCAGTGAGGCTCTCATTCTTGTGAGACGAGAGACTTAGAAACAGCAGTGCTTTTGCCAATGAGAAACATGGTTTGTTGTCATTATAAAATGCTAAGGTTTATATTTTAAAGAGAGATTATTTTACGACCAATTTCTTAAGCATTTGCATCCATAGGAACAATTTAAGTTTTGAAGTTGTAGTTTAGACCATTAGAGAAGTCTGTATTTTTGGTGTAAAGTCTTCTTTTACATTTGAAAGCAGCCAGATAGGTTTGTGATTTGACTTGAGGTTTTAACAGGAAGGGGAATTGGGAGTGGGGGTGGGAAGAAACAGGACAAAACCATGTAACGGACCTAAAAGTTACATTTACAAACACACTTATTTCATTGTCTTGGCTTTTTCTTTCTCTAAAATCAAATCCAGATGTCTTCTTCATCCAGCAAAGTCTCAGAAAGCAGAATTATTGGCACAATGATGCAGGGAATTAAGAGAACTTTCAGGTTAAATAAAGAAGTGAAACTTAGTTCTTAACTTCTGCAACCAATCGTATCCAAATGTCAAGCTTCTCCACTCCGAAAGAGACAGCCAAGGCACGCTCCTGTATATTTGCAATGGATTAGATGGCAATGAGCTCAGCTGGGGAAGGAGCTGCTGGGCAGTCAGTTAATGCAGACCTCTTCTTTAGCATCCAGTTATGTGCTCCACAGTAGGATACGCTGGGGTGTCCTTTCTGGAGTCCTGGTGTGAACCGGGGAGAAGGTCTCCCGCTGTAGGATGGTGTCATCTGTCAAAGAAAACCACAGCTTGATAGTACACCTTGAAAGGATTAAAATGGTCAGTGTGCATTATCTATGTTTTACCACCATAGAAAATATAGTTGGTCAATATTATGTTATGTATTTCAGAACATAATTGCAGCAATAATTAGGCATCCAATATACCTTATGTTTTAAATCAATGGGAAGAATTAAATGAAATTTCACCAAATTTGAGAACGATTTGGTGAAACACTGTTGTGAACAGTTATTTTAGTACAATTTGATAAGAAAAGAAAATTCACAGTAGAAACTAATTTTTTTCGCAGAACCACAACTTCTGAGTTCGTCTTCTGATGCAGGAATATTACAATTGAGAGGAAAACAGAGATATAGAAATTACCAAGAAAAATCCAGAGCTAGCCATTATATCAGGAACGAAGAAGCCAGTCACTGTGCTCTGGAGAGACAAATTGCACATTTGACATGCAGTCACTTTGTGTAGGAAACATTACTTCTGAAGAGAATGATACCTGGTAAGAAAAACATCCTTTTCATCTTATCAAAAACAGCTCTGTACCTGGAGTGTGGAGCCAGTGTCTTCTCCCTTCATTAGAGGCTTCAAAACCTAAAAAGGCTTTCAGTGAGGAAAAGCAAAGCTATTTACAATCATTTTGTCCTCCCTTTGCCAGCTGAGCCATGTAAGTATTGAGAGCAGCTCTATCAGATTCTCAGACAAAATAAGGGTTTCTAGAAAATGCTGAAACATACTTTTATGGTAAAATAATTCACTCAATAAAATTAACAACTTATATTGAGCCCCTGCCACCTGTGATATAAACTTCTTTTTTATTTTAAACTTTATAGAACTGCAAATATTATGCATATGTTCAGTACACTTCTCTTATAAAGAGGAGGTTAACTTTACTAAATAATGAGCAAAGCCTCAATAAATGTTTCCAAATTTGATGGGGGGAGGGAATCCCCAAATTAATTCAGTGATACTACATTCAGGGGCATGTTAAGACCTCACAATCTCCTCAGACAATAAAATGCAAAGTCAGCTCTTCCTAGTGTTTAGCCTAAGATGGCTCTGCTGTTAAATAAATAATTTCTTTTTGTCTCATCTCTAAGAGGAATGAGGAAATGTGTTTATGTATTATCAAGTCACTTACTTAATGGCTGTTGACTCTGTTCCTTGTCTTTAAGTTAAATAAATACAGAGCCCTTCACATCTTCATGGAGAAATTATTTCTCCAAATTTTGATTGTATTTTATTTTTTCTTTAGGTGTTCTTTAAAGTACAACATTGGACAAACAAAAGAAAATGGAGCTAAATTATTATTGATCACCCAAGAGTCCCTCTGAGCTTGCAGAATGACAAAGATTCTTTTTTGATTAAACTTTAGTCAGGCTCCTGAACCTTCTCCTGGGCCCATCTGTGCACTTCCTTGTAAAGTTCAGTTTAGCAAGATCCCGGCCAAGTCAGTTTAGCAAGAACTCCCCACCCTCATTATCTCGTCTATATTTGATCAAGATCTTCCACCTCCACCATTCCACAGATATAGTCTGATCACCCTGGCCTGTCTTCAGTAAGAAACCCGTTAGGTCAGCTTAGCCAGAATTCCCCTTATCCTTGATGTTTATTCCTTGTAATTTTCCATCAACTGACCCCCACCATGCTCCTGGGCTAGAAATTCCCACTTGTCCAGGTTGTATTCAGAGTTCAGCCCAATCTCTCTCCCACACTGCAAAATCCCATTGCAGTAGTCCCTATGCCTGTCGAGATGATCCTGAAGAAAGTCTTTCTTACCAGGTTTTAGCAGTGATAGCAAATATCATTAAATAACTTTTCTTCTTTTTAAATATGTTTTTGAGACAGGGTTTTGCTTTGTCACCCAGGCTGGAGTGCAGTAAGTGTAAGTGTAATCATGGCTCACTGCAGCCTCGAACTCTCAGGTCCAAGCGATGCACCCACCTCAGCCTCTGAGTAGCTAGGACTACAATTGTGTGCCATCATGGCCAGCTGGTTTTATCATTTTTATTTTTTTTTTTGAGATAGGGTCTCTCTTTGTTGCCCAGACTGGTCTCGAACTCCTGGGCTCAAGTTCAACTCCTAAGGCCTCCTGCCTTAACTTCTCAAAGTGTTGGGATTACAGGCATGAGCCATGCCTGGCCCAACTTTTGTTCCTTAATAAGAGTATATATATATATATATACACTTAATATATAATATATACTTAATAAGAGTATATATTATATATATATATATAATTGACTGGATGGAATATCACCCACTGAGGACCAGGGTTGATCCTGCTAACTGGCTGGCTGGCTGTGCCTCCTTTCCCTCATTACCCAAAGTGCTCCTCTCTCCAAACCACACCTGGGAAGAAAATCAATGTGATTTTGTCAGCATCCGGTGTTGCTGATACCCCCTAGCTGCCCCCACGGTGGGAGGCACCAGAATCCACAGTATTCAGCGCCCCTTTCATGGAGGATGGCACATCCTTGAGGAGAATCTCGGGCTTGTCTTTGTCAATGAGATATGAGTGTTCTGGATAGAAGCTTTAAGAACCAGCACCTGCTCCTTTCCCATCTTGATGATGGAAACAGGGAGACCTGGGTCACCTGAGTTCTTGGATCGTGAAGATGAGCAGAACCTGTGGTGCGAGGAAGACATGCCTTTACCTGTTAGCCACTGAGATTTTTCAAGTCATTTTCACAACCTCGCCCTGTGAAAATCTATCCTTTCTAATGCCTCACCAATCACAACGGGAAATGTGGATGACTGTCTCTGTGGATTCCGTGGACTGGTAATGATGACCAGTGATATTGAGCTCAGTTGGTGTCAATAACTATTAGTGACCCACTGATTCAACCAAAAGAGGAGCTGGAGTGTCTGAGATCTGCTCAGCTGGCAATCCCACCGATCAGCGTCTTAAGCCCAGACCTGGAAATGGAGCAGTGGATTTTATGGGAAACAAACACTAATAAGGTTTGATATATATATCTCTTATTTGATAATACAATAAGGAAATTCAGATGCAAGATAAACTGGGGCAGAATGTGTCGAAAATGAAGTATTCTGTGCGTTAGCAGCTAGAAGGTCTACAGGAGTTATAGGGTAGGACTGAGACATTGAAACTGCTTCTCCAATCTGGTGTTAGTGAGCTTTACGTGTGTCTGTGTGTGTGTGTCTTCATATGTATTGTACTTTGGAGGGTAAACTTTTTATTGAGGCATAGAATACACCCAGAAATGCATACAAACCATAAGGATTCACAAATGCTACAAATCATAAGGATATG
Source organism: Homo sapiens (assembly GCF_000001405.40). Taxonomy (NCBI): domain Eukaryota; kingdom Metazoa; phylum Chordata; class Mammalia; order Primates; family Hominidae; genus Homo; species Homo sapiens. The sequence continues at coordinate 9,592,859 of NC_000005.10, read as the reverse complement.
GCTCAAGGAGTTTTCACAAACTGAACACACCTTGCAACCAGAAGAAACACAGCATTACCAGCACCAGAGGATCCCCTGACATCTCCTTTCCCCTGCTTGACAGTAACTACTGACTTCTAAAGCAGATGACCTCTGCCTGCTATGTCTGGTTTCCTTTCCTCACTGTTGTGTGTGGCATTCATCTGTGTTGCATGTAGTTGTAGCTCATTCGTTATCACAGCTGCATAGCATTCGATGTGTGAATATACACTGCAATTTTTTTATCCATTCTGCTGCGGATGGGCTTTTAAGTAGTTTCCAGTTTGGGTCTATACAAACAGTGCCACTATGAACATTTTTACGCATGTCTTTTGTGAACATACTTGTTTGATTCTGTTGGCTCTAAACCCTGGGCCACAGCCATATGGTGTGTTCAGCAGTGTAAGAAGGTTTCATTGGTTCCACGTCCATACTTTTCATCGTTGGCACTTTAGCCATCCTAATGACTGTGTGGTGATACCTTCCTGTGGTCTTAATCACATTTGTCTGTTGCCTCGTGGGCGTATTTCTTTCTTCACTTTAAGTTCTGGGATACATGTGCAGAACGTGCAGGTTTGTTACATAGGTATACATGTGCCGTGGTGGTTTGCTGCACCTATCAATCCAACAGCTAGGTTTTAAGCCCTGCATGCATTAGGTATTTGTCCTAATGCTCTCCCTCCCCTTGCCTCCCACCTGCCGACAGGCCCCGGTGTGTGATGTTCTCCTCCCTGTGTCCATTTGTTCTCATTGTTCAAATCTCACTTTTAAGTGAGAACATGCTGTGTTTGGTTTTCTGCTCCTGTGTTAGTTTGCTGAGGATGATGGCTTACAGCTTCATCCATGTCCCAGCAAAGGACATGAGTTCATTCTTTTTTATGGTTACATAGTATTCCAAGGTGTATATGTGCCACGTTTTCTTTATCCAGTCTATCATTGATGGGCATATGGGTTGGCTCCAAGTCTTTACTATCGTTAATAGTGCTCCAATAAATATACATGGGCTTGTGTCTTTATCGTAGAATGATTTATGATCCTTTGGGTGTATACCCAGTAATGGGATTGCTGGGTCAAATGGTATTTCTGGTTCTAGATCCTTCAGGAATCGCCACACTCTCTTCCACAAGGGCTGAACTAATTTACACTCCCACCAACAGTGTAAAAGTGTTCCTATTTCTCCCCAGCCTTGTTGGGCATATTTTCATATGTCTATTTTTTCTTTGGAGTGCCCTTTTTCATGAAGTGCCTGCTCCAGTCTTTTGCCATTTGCCCAGTGGGCAGTCTTCCCTTTTTCTTGATGATTTGTAGTTCTTTATATATTCTGGATACAAGTTTTTTTTTTTTTTCAGATACATATTTTTCAAAAATTTGTCTCATTCAGTGAGTTTTCTTCTCAATCCGAATGATGTCTTGATATATAGAAGTTCTTGATTTTAATGTGGTTCTAATTTATCATTTTTTCCTTTATAATTAACATCTTATGGATCTTGTTTAAGAAATCTGTGCCTACTCCATGGTCACGAATATGTTTTCTTATATTTTCTTCTAAAAGATTTATTGTTCTGCCATTTGCATTTTAGATCTGCACTCCATCTGTCATTGATTTTTGTGTTTAGTGTGAAGTTGGGGTCAGAATCATTTTTTCTCATGGATATCCAGTTGGCCTAGCACCTGGCTTAGCATCAACCAAAACAACCATCTCTTCTGCGTGGCACTGCCACTTTTTCAGGTAACTGCAAATATGTGGGCCTTGTGACTAGACTTCCCATTCTTACACATTGATCTTAGTCATATAACCAGGTACTGTCTTAATTATTATAGTTTTATAATCATGACACATGGGGCATTTTAAAATTGTTTTCTTATCACAAATTCACCAGAATATAATCAATGAAACAAGTGATATGGATCATATTTGGGGAATTCTGAGCATGTATGACCCAATGCCCTTAAAAGATTACACATTCTATAATAGTGTACATAATTATTATTTTACTTGTTTGCCCTAAATTTGGCCAACTTTCAGTTTTATTAATTTTTAAAAAATTGCAAAGCAGGTGTGGTGGCTTACACCTGTAATCCTCACACTTTGGGAGGCAGAGGTGGGCAGATCACTAGAGCCCTGGAGTTTGAAATCAGCCTGGGCAACATGGCCAAACCCTATCTTACAAAAAATACAGGCCAGGTGCGGTGGCTCACACCTGTAATCCCAGCACTTGGGGAGGCTGAGGTGGGTGGATCATGAGTTCAGGAGATCAAGACCATCCTGGCCAACAGGGTGAAACCCCATCTCTACTAAAAATACAAAAATTAGTAGGGCGTGGCAGCACGTGCCTGTAGTCCCAGCTACTCGGGAGGCTGAGCAGGAGAATTGCTTGAACCCAGGAGGCAGAGGCTGTAGTGATCCGAGATCACACCACTGCACTCCAGCCTGGGTGACAGAGCGAAACTCCATCTCAAAAAAAAAAAAAAAAATAGCCAGGTGTGCTGGCATGCACCTGTAGTCCTAGATACTCAGGAGGCTGAGGAAGGAGGATAGCTTGAGCCTAGGAAGTAGAGGTTGCAGTGAGCCGTGATCCTGCTGCTGCACTCCAGCCTGGGTGACAGAGTGAGACCCTGTCTCAAAAAAAAAAGAATAGCAGCAGATGATTGATGTACCCACGACCAGGGACATTACAACCACCATTTCCTCCATGATATGCCAGGTTTTACATTAACAATTCTCTGGACAGGTCTATATGCTTGGTTTTATGTTCTTTATTTCCCATGTTGACAAACGAGGCTCTAGAGGGTTCCCAGGTTCCTTCAAGCCACCCAGGTAGTAAGTGTGAGAGATGCACGTACTGTTGTATTAGTTTGCTATTCTTTAATTACAAGATTGGTGGGACTGCTTTCTCTTTATGAGCTTAGGTGTCTTATTCCCTTCTATTACCATCATAGATTTGATCTATGTGCCCCTATCAGGAGGAATGACAACTCATCAGGCTTCTCCCTGGCTACAGGAGCCCTACATATTTTACCCCACCCCTACTCCACCTCCAGCCAGGAAAGAGTGATGGTGATGATGCCCTTTGCACTGACAGACACTCCACAGCATCCTGGAGTCTAAGGGAGTTAAGCACAGATTCAGAGAAATATTAACTTATGCATGATTAAACTGCTATTCCTCATGTGGAGGTGAAGAGAGAGATGTGGGTGGCCAGTCTGCAGGGGAGCTTTAGAATGTGTTCAGAGAGCAGCTGTTTGATGAGCATGAGAGTCGAAAAGGCTCCTAGGAGGAGTTGGCTTGAGGCCAGTGTTGGATGACCCTGGTGGGAATCAAGGGATAGCATTCATATGGGAGGACCAGAGGCTGACCTGGAGGGTTGAGGGTGTCCTCACACAGACTCCAAAGCCATGTGTACAACAGCTTCTTCATTGAGCATACATATTCTTTCTCTGTCACACACGCACTTACAAATCTTTATCTGTCATACCTCTACACACTGACATTTGAGATCTTTGCCAATGTTCTAAAAGAAATGTTGACAAAAGAAGGCCGCAGGTTTCTCTGTGGCCTCTGACACGTGTGCATTGCTCTGAGCTGCGCTGAGCAGAAGGGTGAGGGGGCAGGAGGAGATCAGCTGTGTTCTCTTCCCCTGGCAGCGGCTTTATTATGACAGTACCATGCATTTGTATTTTTTCCTCAGCAAAATTAATGTTAGTTGTAGAAGAGGAGTGTGACATGTAGCTTAAAATATAGAAAGTTTGGCTTCTAGATCTAGGAAGAACAATATTTGGAAATAAAACGCTGTCCTCAGAGTAGGCTACAATGGGCTCCTCTACTTTGCTTAAACTCAGTGTCATGGAGCTCCCAGAACTGTGTTAGTTGACTTTTTTTCCCCCTTGGAGATGGAGTCTTGCTCTTGTCACCAGGCTGGAAGTTTAGTGGTGCGATGTTGGCTCACTGCAACCTCCACCTTCTGGGTTCAAGTGATTCTCCTGCCTCAGCCTCCTGAGTAGCTGGGATTACAGCCTCTCGCCACCACACCCAGCTAACTTTTGTATTTTTGGTAGAGACAGGGTTTTGCCATATTGGCCAGGCTGGTCTCCAACTCCTGACCTCAGGTGATCCACCCGCCTCAGCCTCCCAAAGTGCTGAGATTACAGGCCTGAACCACCGTGCCCAGCAACTCTTAAATCCTTATGCGCCTCAGGATACCAAGGGATGGAGAAAGAAAGCAAAGGCAGCTAATGTGCTACCTTCCTTAGACTATACTCACTAACACTGATGAACAAAGACAAAAGTTTCAACTTGCTTGGGAGGACGGGAAGTCCAGGGAACCTTCTGAGCACGGGATGCTGTCCTGAAGCTGCAGGAATGCAAGGGTTGTTGACACTGTTTTACTGAAGGGGCAGAAAGAACTAGGCTAACGGCACCCTTGGAATCTTTTCTCCCGCTTTACAGAGTCCTGTGTCCCCACACTAGCCATGGTTGCCTGTCATTTTCTTGAAGTGTCTACAAGATAAAGATGTTCCCAAATGAGCAGAAAGAAAGAACGCAAAGAATGAAAGAAAATGGCTTGGTCTGGGCTTTATGAGGTTTTGTGTTGATTATGGAACTCAAGCTTTTTTAATTTTATTACTTGCACACAAATAAGAAGGAAGGATTGAAAGTTGTCCAGGTTGAGCATAAAATCCCATCACCTGTGTAGGATCTGCCTTCTTTTTCCACAGAGGTGACTTCTAAACAGAAAGGAAAGAACCTTGGGAGTGACTGATGTTGAAGTCTAGTTGCATTCTTCACAGTTTCATTCTTTAACCCCCATAACCCTGGGAAGCAGACATTTCCGTTTCACAGATGAGAAAGCTGAGGCTCAGAGAGGTTAAGTCATTTGCCAAAAATCTCACAACAAGTAAAAGGTAAATAGAAGATTTATACCTAGGTCTGCCTGACTCTAAAGTCTGTGATTTAAAGTGAAGCCAATTTTAGTCTCAAATGTCATAAAGAGTTCTGAGGACTCATGTTTTTATTAACTCTGTGAAGCATTCTGTGGTTTGCTTCATAAAAAATGTGTTCAAACTAGTTATCATGCTGATTCTTCATATATTCCCATTTTTTGGCAGACCTTTTAAAATATTTTTAAATAGTCCTGGAAATATAGGCAGTCCCAAGGTTTCCAGATGAACCAAAAAATTCTTAGCAGACTGATTTATTTTGACATGGGAAGTTTTGTCTCAGAACTTTATGGTAACAGAACAACTGACAATCATACCATGTGTTTAGATGTGGCAGAAGATCCATTCGGAGTGAGAAGAAAGCATTCATTAGGCACAGTTGTGTGGCAGGTGAAATTGCCTGGTCTATGCCAGAAACACATAATCCCAGGTATTCATTCACATGTCCACTGGATCTGAGATTTGAAATGGAACCAGCCTGAGCTTTGTCTAAACTCTCTTGGTCTTGTCTAATTTTATGCAAAGTGTTTAGAGAAACCTGCCTCCCCAGGCCCTGCCTGTGAATGGGTTATAAATGGGTTTCTTATCATTTAAGTACATCTGAATCCAAACAATTTCTTGAAGTTTAGTGGCTACACAGAGTACACTTGATTGTGTAATGCAGAAGAATTACCTGTGTAGGCATTCAAAAGCTAGCAGAAGGCAAGAAATAACTAAAATCAGAGCAGAACTGAAGGAAAAAGAGACACAAAAAACCCTTCAAAAAATTAATGAACCCAGGAGCTGGTTTTTTGAAAGGATCAACAAAATTGATAGACCGCTAGCAAGACTAATAAAGAAAAAAAGAGAGAAGAATCAAATAGACGCAATAAAAAATGATAAAGGGGATATCACCACGGATCCCACAGAAATACAAACTATCATCAGAGAATACTACAAACACCTCTACGCAAATAAACTAGAAAATCTAGAAGAAATGGATAAATTCCTTGACACATACACTCTCCCAAGACTAAACCAGGAAGAAGTTGAATCTCTGAATAGACCAACAACAGGATCTGAAATTGTGGCAATAATCAATAGCTTACCAACCAAAAAGAGTCCAGGACCAGATGGATTGACAGCCGAATTCTACCAGAGGTACAAGGAGGAACTGGTACCATTCCTTCTGAAACTATTCCAATCAATAGAAAAAGAGGGAATCCTCCCTAACTCATTTTATGAGGCCAGCATCATCCTGATACCAAAGCCGGGCAAAGACACAACCAAAAAAGAGAATTTTAGACCAATATCCTTGATGAACATTGATGCAAAAATCCTCAATAAAATACTGGCAAACCGAATCCAGCAGCACATCAAAAAGCTTATCCATCATGATCAAGTGGGCTTCATCCCTGGGATACAAGGCTGGTTCAATATACGCAAATCAATAAATGTAATCCAGCATATAAACAGAACCAAAGACAAAAACCACATGATTATCTCAATAGATGCAGAAAAGGCCTTTGACAAAATTCAACAGCCCTTCATGCTAAAAACTCTCAATAAATTAGGTATTGATGGGACGTATCTCAAAATAATAAGAGCTATCTATGACAAACCCACAGCCAATATCATACGGAATGGGCAAAAACTGGAAGCATTCCCTTTGAAAACTGGCACAAGACAGGGATGCCCTCTCTCACCACTCCCATTCAACATAGTGTTGGAAGTTCTGGCCAGGGCAATCAGGTAAGAGAAGGAAATAAAGGGTATTCAATTAGGAAAAGAGGAAGTCAAATTGTCCCTGTTTGCAGACGACATGATTGTATATCTAGAAAACCCCATTGTCTCAGCCCAAAATCTCCTTAAGCTGATAAGCAACTTCAGCAAAGTCTCAGGATACAAAATCAATGTACAAAAATCACAAGCATTCTTATACACCAACAACAGACAAACAGAGAGCCAAATCATGAGTGAACTCCCATTCACAATTGCTTCAAAGAGAATAAAATACCTAGGAATCCAACTTACAAGGGATGTGAAGGACCTCTTCAAGGAGAACTACAAACCACTGCTCAATGAAATAAAAGAGGATACAAACAAATGGAAGAACATTCCATGCTCATGGGTAGGAAGAATCAATATCGTGAAAATGGCCATACTGCCCAAGGTAATTTACAGATTCAATGCCATCCCCATCAAGCTACCAATGACTTTCTTCACAGAATTGGAAAAAACTACTTTAAAGTTCATATGGAACCAAAAAAGAGCCCGCATCACCAAGTCAATCCTAAGCCAAAAGAACAAAGCTGGAGGCATCACACTACCTGACTTCAAACTATACTACAAGGCTACAGTAACCAAAACAGCATGGTACTGGTACCAAAACAGAGATATAGATCAATGGAACAGAACAGAGCCCTCAGAAATAACACCGCATATCTACAACTATCTGATCTTTGACAAACCTGAGAAAAACAAGCAATGGGGAAAGGATTCCCTATTTAATAAATGGTACTGGGAAAACTGGCTAGCCATATGTAGAAAGCTGAAACTGGATCCCTTCCTTACACCTTATACAAAAATCAATTCAAGATGGATTAAAGACTTAAACGTTAGACCTAAAACCATAAAAACCCTAGAAGAAAACCTAGGCATTACCATTCAGGACATAGGCATGGGCAAGGACTTCATGTCTAAAACACCAAAAGCAATGGCAACAAAAGCCAAAATTGACAAATGGGATCTAATTAAACTCAAGAGCTTCTGCACAGCAAAAGAAACTACCATCAGAGTGAACAGGCAACCTACAAAATGGGAGAAAATTTTCGCAACCTACTCATCTGACAAAGGGCTAATATCCAGAATCTACAATGAACTTAAACAAATTTACAAGAAAAAACAAACAACCCCATCAAAAAGTGGGCGAAGGACATGAACAGATGCTTCTCAAAAGAAGACATTTATGCAGCCAAAAAACACATGAAAAAGTGCTCACCATCACTGGCCATCAGAGAAATGCAAATCAAAACCACAATGAGATACCATCTCACACCAGTTAGAATGGCAATCATTAAATTCAGGAAACAACAGGTGCTGGAAAGGATGTGGAGAAATAGGAACACTTTTACACTGTTGGTGGGACTGTAAACTAGTTCAACCATTGTGGAAGTCAGTGTGGCGATTCCTCAGGGATCTAGAACTAGAAATACCATTTGACCCAGCCATCCCATTACTGGGTATATACCCAAAGGATTATAAATCATGCTGCTATAAAGACACATGCACACGTATGTTTATTGCGGCACTATTCACAATAGCAAAGACTTGGAACCAACCCAAATGTCCAACAATGATAGACTGGATTAAGAAAATGTGGCACATATACACCATGGAATACTATGCAGCCATAAAAAATGATGAGTTCATGTCCTTTGTAGGGACATGGATGAAATTGGAAATCATCATTCTCAGTAAACTATCGTAAGAACAAAAAACCAAACACCGCTTATTCTCACTCATAGGTGGGAATTGAACAATGAGAACACATGGACACAGGAAGGGGAACATCACACTCTGGGGACTGTTGTGAGGTGGGGGGAGGGGGGAGGGATAGCATTGGGAGATATACCTAATGCTAGATGACGAGTTAGTGGGTGCAGCGCACCAGCATGGCACATGTATACATATGTAACTAACCTGCACATTGTGCACATGTACCCTAAAACTTATAATAATAATAAAATAAAATAAATAAAATTAAACTAAAAAGAAAAAAGAAAAAAAGTTACCTGTTTAGGGAAATTAGGTTGGGCAGTACCAGAATGGGAGAATCTCAAGGGTTTTCATGGTAAATTCCCCAGTTAACACCTACCACTTATGAAGGGTACATATCAAAGGAAAATAAGTTTTGTACATAGTGGATGTAAAACCAAAGACTTTAAGTAACTAGCCTGCAGCCACACAAATCAATGCTGGAAGCTGAGAATAGAAACCAGTCTTCTGACCTCTAGGCTCAGACTCCATCCATCATTTCTGTCTCACAGGGAGCAAAATACACCCTTTTCTTTAAAAACAAATGGAACCAGCATGCCCCAATGAAAGTGAGTGTCGTTTTTGTAGTTGTCGTAGCAACCAGATTTAGAATTCAAAATATAAATTTTAATGTGTGTGTGTGTCTTGAGGGGAGGACACTGGAGAGGTCATTGTAACCCTTTTTTCAAGAGAATAAATGGTTTAATTCTATGACTAGAATCCTAATACTTTAAAAAGCTTTAGGGATTTTAGTTTTAGAACTTCTGGACTGATGAGTACAATCTTCTCTTATAGACTTTTTGCTGTTATTTTATTTTTAGCAAAGTAAATTTCAATAAAAAAATCTCAATCTAGCTTAGTGAGAATTATATTTTAATTCTGTGGTACTTTACAATATCAAAGTTCTTTAGGAACTTGATGAGTTAATATATAATTAGTACAGTTTATTGGATTTCAAATAATTTCTAGCCAGAATATAATTCTCTACATCATCATCATGAGCAGGCAAGCATTGTTCATTTATTTTGTTTCTAGGTTTAAATAATATGACAGCTTTAAAAGAGAAAATTTTGTTTTTAAAAAGTAGCCCCTAATGGAAAGTCATTTACACGGTAAGAGGTTATAATTATATGTAGCAGAAGCTCCTACTTGCCCCCGCCTCCCAATATACACTTTCCTACTTTTTCTTAGTAATAAGACCCCAGTTCTTTTTTTCTAGTCTCTTTGGCATCAAACCAAATGACTGCTTGCGTATGTCTCTTGAACCCAGATGTGACCATGTGTTTCGGCCCATGAAATGTAAGTACAAGTGCTTCATGCAATTCCCAGAAAGTGTCTCTGAATGGAAGAGGGCCACCTTCTTCCTCCCTGGACCATGGCTGCGATGGCTGGAGCTCTGACATCCTGCCTGGACACTGAGGTCACGAGACACATTCTGGGAACAGAAGCGGTATGAGCTGGACAGATCCTGTGTCCTGCAGACTTAGGAAAGCAGGTCCACACACTCCCTTGATGCCTTTCTTGGGACTCTGCTTTTACAGGTGCAACAAATATATTTCTATTTTGGATAAAGCACTGTTTGGGCCTTCTCTTCCATGCAACTGCCCAATTCTAACTGATACAACATGTTAAATGGTAATATTATTGATTGTATCATTCTATTAAAATCTAGCTTTTCAGGCACCTGGTCTTATTCACACTGAAATCCTCTGCAACCATATTCACAAATGGTTCCCAGCCTGGAGTTTACCAGACAGTCATGCAAGCCTCCCTCGGGTACAGTTACTCATAAAACCAGTAAGAGGAGTTTGCAGTCTTCTCTGCAATTTGATGACAAAGACTTATTCCTAATAAGCTAGCTGTCCAGGAAGTGTGGGGACCACTGGCTACTTCATCAAGCTACAATAGCTCTAATCTCCAGCCTGTGAAGCAATCTTGTCCTTCATCCTCCGGCACTTTGGTGCAATTTATTTATGATCATTACTGACCTTGAGTTTAGAACAACCACAGAATGGGCCACCTAATGTGAGTGGGCCACATCCTGTGTGCACAAGCCTGCAGCAATTCATGCTTGCCTTATCAAGGTCCACTTAAGTTGAGCCTATATCCTCAGAATAGTGTCAGTGGGGGCCAAGAGCAAAGGGCAAGTGGCTACGCTCTTAGGCCTTTAGGAGCTGATCAGTTTTCAGAAATGCAGACAGTTACCTCTAATAGATAACAAGTTACAAAGAGACCTTAATTTCCTGGGAAGCTTTGTCAGGGAGACTATGTTGCAGGGATGGACTTCATGTCCCTAAGCAAGTGAGAAGACATAAGCCCCCTGCTGTTACCTGACCTCAGAGCAGCGGTGGAGATGATTGTCCAGGAGTGGACAGTTATTCATCTTTCCAGGCCCTCTTTGAGTCATGATTTCAGAGGAGCAATTCATAGCACTGGGCACGGATGTGCCATTTATCCACTACACATAAAAACTCAGATTTGCAGCAAAGTGCTGTGTGATTTTCATCGTCAACACTGTTTACCATTAAGATAAGAAAATCCGAAGGCAAGTAGCCCTTCAGGTGTTTTGTGATACAGCGAAAGTGAGCAGCAAATAGACAAATATTTGCATTTCTTTTAAAATGTGAAGCTTTTCTAATTTCAGAAGCAGTCTTTTAGGGCAATATTGTTGATATTTTGTCAACAATACTACCTAAATACATAGCCTCTGTATGAACCTAAATATGCATATTCTACAATGCCCTAGATGTTAACTATTTAAATGGCAAACTGGGTATTTATATATAATTCTATGTTATAAATACAAATATTAACCTTGTTTATATTTATATTTATTTTATTTTATTATTATTATTATTATTTGAGACGGATTCTCACTCTGTCGCCAGGCTGGAGTGCAGTGGTACAATCTTGGCTCACTGCAACCTCCGCCTCCCAGGTTCAAGCGATTCTCCTGCCTCAGCCTCCCGAGTAGCTGGGACTACAGGCACCCACCACCGCACCTGGCTAATTTTTGTATTTTTAGTAGAGATGGGGTTTCACCATGTTGGCCAGGATGGTCTCGATCTCTTGACCTCATGATCCACCCACCTCAGCCTCCCAAAGTGCTGGGATTACAGGTGTGAGCCACCACACCCAGCCTTATTTTATTACTTTTAGAGACAGAGTCTTACTCTGTTCTCCAGGCTGGGTGATACAATCATAGCTTACTGCAACCTTGAACTCTTGGGCTCAAGCAATCTTCCTGCCTCAGTCTCCTGAGTAGCTGGGACTAAATGTGCACAACTATCACACCTGGCTAATTTAAAAAAAATAATTTTATTACTGTAAAACTATAAACCTAAAAACTCAGCCTCTAACGATTTCTATGTAAATAGCAAAGGATTATTTTTCAAATTCAATGATCCAGCTGTCTGTTTTTTTTAAGTCTGAGAGATTATTACTAATCATTCAAATTCATCACAATTGTGGGTGAAGAGTTTTATGAGAAGACAGATTAATATCTTTTCTTTGAAATCCCCAAGTGATGTTTAATTGAATCTTTTTTCTCTTCCACCTTGTTTTATATGGTTTAGCAAGTGGAATGCAGATTCTCTTCAAAAGTGTTTGCCCCTAAAATAGGGAGGTCAATGGTTTACTGTAGGTTCAAAACCTACAGACTTTGAAAATGTTGCCAAATTGTACATCTTTCTAACATGACATGTCGTAATTTCAGGCCATGGCAAACTGGTTAACCTTGATTAAATGCACCTTTCAGGAATTCATCCTCTCAGGTGTCACTTTAAATGAATTTGGTTGCTTTTGCAGACTTCCAAATATTCAGGAGAAAAGGCATCTGGTTTCTGGAAAAGGCAGGGCTATAAAATAGAAAACTTCTCACCAAGAGGGGAAGTTTTAAAATCAGTACATTTCAAAGAAGAGGAGGACACAGGGCCAATGACCAGTGCAGGATGAAGACTTTTGGTGAAGCAAACACATGAATAGCAGGAAGAATGAAGGGGGGCAGGGAGGAACCCTAGAATTGTGAGGGGCTTGGAGTTGGGAAGGACTTGGCCCTGGAAGAAAGGGGACTGTTGAGAAGGTCTAAGGTGTCCACAACGGTTAAGTGAAAAGGGGGGAAAAAGATTTAAGTAAAGCTTGTATCTGGTAAGCATCATTTGGGCATAATTAGATTGTTATTAAAGCTTGTATTTCTTTTACCTTGTGGTCTTATTTGGCTGTACCTCTTTTTATAAGAGCACCTGCTTTAATGAATATGTGTTTTCTTAATAAGAGAGATTGTAAGCTCCTTGACAAATGAGCCAGGGAGATCGAACTAGTAGTTTATTAATTCACTATTATATGTATATATATACACTGTATATATATGTGTAGATATATATATACAGTGTATATATATATACTGTATATATATGTGTGTAGATATATATACACAGTGTATATATATATATATATATACTTACTATGTGTGTGTATATGTGACTTGTTTTATTGCAATAATTGTTTTTTTAAAAAAATTTTTATTTCCATAGGTTTTTGGGGAACAGGTGGTATTTGGTTATATGAATAAGTTCCTTAGCGTTGATTTGTGAGATTTTGGGTGCACCCATCACCTGAGCTGTATACACTGAACTCAATTTGTAGTCTTTTATGTCTCACCCACTTCTCACCCTTTCCCCTGAGTCTGCAAAGTCCATTGTATCCTACTTATGCCTTTGCATCATCACAGCTTAGCTTCCACTTATGAGTGAGAACACACGATGTTTGGTTTTCCATTCCTGAGTTACTTCACTTAGAATAATAGTCTCCAATCCCATTCAGGTTGCTGTGAATGCCATTAATTCATTCCTTTTTATGGCTGAGAAGTAGCCCATTGTGTGTGTGTGTGTGTGTGTGTGTGTGTGTGTGTGTGTGTGTATTATATACACACCACAGTTTCTTTAACCACTTGTTGATTGATGGGCATTTGGACTGGTTTCACATTTTTGCAAATGCAAATTGTGTGAGCAGTATACATTTTTATACCTGTATATTTGACTTCTGAGTGATTTCCATGAATAGTCAATCATCTTTGTATCACTTTGGGTAACTAATACAGTATTTTGCTGGTCTCTAAACATTTGCTAAATGTATCAAATTTTGTAGGAAGAAAGGTACCAGTTCATATATAACCTCCTGTCACCTAAGAAATGCTTACTGGCTGAATTAGGCAGCTCAGCTGATGGTTATTCAAAATATAGACAGCATTTGTAGTGCTCCAAAGCTCACCTACCCATGTTCAAATCCAAGCATTTCCATTTATTAGCTGTGTGACTTTGAGAAACATCTTGACATCTCTGGGCATCAGTTTCCATATCTACAAAAGAGGGGTAATTGTAGACATATATAATACACTAAGATGAGATAGAAGAATACTTGAGGATGGCAAGTTTTCACCTTGTGGGTGTGTTTGGGTGCAAAGCCCAAAGGTTGGGACTTCCAGACAGATAGAGAAGAAGAATATTTCCCTGCCTTCAGGGAGCTTATGAGCTAATGTGGCAACAAGAAAAGATACAAAAAGCCAATGAAAGGTGCCTCTGAGTGTGCAGTGATGGTTATAAGGTTACAGGGAACCTCTGATGGGTGTTATTAGTGACTCCATTCTGGAGAACAGATTTCATCTGGGCTCTAAGGTTCAGATTCAAATTCATAATGCTGTCCTAGACTCCATTGGTGGAAAATGCCAATTATCTATTGCTATGTAATGAGCTACACCAAATCATACAGCTTAAACTAACAGCAGCCATTTATTATCTCATGATTCTAAGGGTTGATGGGCTTAGCTGGGTGGTTCTTCTGTTCCTCCTAGTATCAGCTGGGGGTTGCAGTCAGCTGGAGGTTCCCTTGAGCTGGGGATGCCAGAGGTGGCTCAGCTCACTCACATGGCTGGCAGTTGGTGCTGGCTGTCAGGTAGGGCTGAGCTGGGCCTTTGGCTATGTCAGTTATTTTCCATGAGCCTTCTCCGTGCAACTCATTTGGACTTCTTCAGCAAGGCTTTTGGATTTTAAGAGGTTGAACTCCAAGAAGATTGAAGTAAAGCTGCAGCTTTCCTAAGGCCCAGACTCAAAGGTTACCATGTCACTTACACTGCCTTTTAGTGGCCAAGTCACAGTCCAGCCCAGACTTCAGGACAAGGAGAATAGACCCCATCTCTCAAAAAGAGAAGTAGCAAAGGATTTGTGATCATTTTAACCCACCACAGGTCTTTACGTACTGTATGGTATAGGCATCATATTACCTTTGTGAAGTTAGATATGTCTCCAACCCCAAGGTGTTCAGGTAAGAGGGAGAAGACCTGGATGTGAGCATACTGTCTGCTTCTAGTTCAATCTGGTGCATGCAAATGTGGATGTACACTAACACCATGATAGAAATATTCAAATACTTTTCCCAAAAGGATGTTGAAAAACTATATATCCCTTCTCACATTTTAGGTTAATATCCAAAATGTTTTATCATAAATTTAAATAATTACAAGGATATAAATTTTTTTTTGTGGTTCAGACAATCTGTGCCAGATTAACTTTTTTAAAAAATTTTATTATTATTATACTTTAAGTCTTAGGGTAAATATGCACAACATGCAGGTTTGTTATATATGTATACACGTGCCATGTTGGTGTGCTGCACCCATTAACTCGTCATTTAGCATTAGGTATATCTCCTAATGCTATCCCTCCCCCTTCCCCCCACCCCACAACAGTCCCCGGTGTGTGATGTTCCCCTTCCTGTGTCCATGTGTTCTCATTGTTCAGTTCCCACCTATGAGTGAGAACATGCAGTGTTTGGTTTTTTGTCCTTGCGATAGTTTGCTGAGAATGATGGTTTCCAGCTTCATCCACGTCCCTACAAAGGACATGAACTCATCGTTTTTTATGGCTGCATAGTATTCCATGGTGTATATGTGCCACATTTTCTTAATCCAGTCTATCATTGTTGGACATTTGGGTTGGTTCCAAGTCTTTGCTATTGTGAATAGTGCCGCAATAAACATACGTGTGCATGTGTCTTTATAGCAGCATGATTTATAATCCTTTGGGTATATACCCAGTAATGGGATGGCTGGGTCAAATGGTATTTCTAGTTCTAGATCCCTGAGGAATCACCACACCGACTTCCACAATGGTTGAACTAGTTTACACTCCCACCAACAGTGTAAAAGTGTTCCTATTTCTCCACATCCTTTCCAGCATCTGTTGTTTCCTGACTTTTTAATGATTGCCATTCTAACTGGTGTGAGATGGTATCTCATTGTGGTTTTGATTTGCATTTCTCTGATAGCCAGTGATGATGAGCATTTTTTCATGTGTTTTTTGGCTGCATAAATGTCTTCTTTTGAGAAGTGTCTGTTCATATACTTCGCGCACTTTTTGATGGGGTTGTTTTTTTCTTGTAAATTTGTTTAAGTTCATTGTAGATTCTGGATATTAGCCCTTTGTCAGATGAGTAGGTTGCAAAAATTTTCTCCCATTCTGTAGGTTGCCTGTTCACTCTGATGGTAGTTTCTTTTGCTGTGCAGAAGCTCTTGAGTTTAATTAGATTCCATTTGTCAATTTTAGCTTTTGTTGCCATTGCTTTTGGTGTTTTAGACATGAAGCTCTTGCCCATGCCTATGTCCTGAATGGTATTGCCTAGGTTTTCTTCTAGGGTTTTTATGGTTTTAGTTCTAACATGTAAGTCTTTAAGTTTTAATGTCTTACAAACACTGGAAATTTTAAGTAAAACCTTTATATTTTCTTCTGTAAATATATCCAATAAAATCTAAATTCCAAAGTAATTTGATATCTACTATTCACTATTTTTAAACTACCTGAACAAACTCTTCTTTCATAGGAGAAGTTTCACAAAATTTGTTTCAGTCATTAAATCTGCATTTCCATTATACTTCTCTACAATATAAATATGAGTATGTATTCATATTTAATTTTCTAAAATATGTGATATTTTAAATACTCTGGTCTATATTTTGAATAATTGTGGATTTAGTTATCATTGCAATAATTACCATGGTACAATAAAACAAAAATAAAAATGTCTCACAAATTTTTATAATTATATGAAAGAACATAACATTTTATTGAAAAATGCATCCTTAGCAAGAGGGATTTTTTCTTCTATTTTCTTCCTTTTCCTTTTTATTCTTTTTTCTTTTAGTTCATATGTCCCCATATAAATATTACTTATTGCTAAAGTGAAAAAAGATTTAACATCAATTCTATTCCTATTTCTCAGTTTTATAAGTTCAACTACTTAGAAAATTCATCCACATAAATAGATGGAAATAGAGTCAGATTGTTATAACAATGCCACTCAATTCTTTGAATACTTTCCAAACTATACTCCAGAAATCATACTACATTTTATCATCAAAAATTGCTTTTAACGATCTATCAGCTGACAATTCAATTGAGTTCTCCTTCATTTTGGTTGAAAATAAAATAGAACAAAACAAAGTTGAAAACCAATCTAACTTTATTACCAAGTCCTTAGTATGGACTTCTTTCCTTGTTCCTCAAAGTGAGACTTTCTGGGATGGGACCTCATGGGATGATCAAGGAGTGGTGAGAGACAGACTTTTGTTCAGCAAAGTGGCTTTTTCCGCTAAAGAGCTAAAGGGCTGATGGATTCCCCAGGTGAGTGGAAGGCACAAGAAGGAGTTGGGGAAGGGAGGTGAAGAGTATGGTCTCCGAAACTGTGAGCCACTGCTCCACGCCAGTAAAAGCAGCTCAGCGTTTACACTTTAGTACATAAGCACTGTGGGAGAATGGCTTCCCGGCTGAGCAGTAAGAAGCCAGAGCATTTTGAGAAAAAGAATAAGCAGGTGGACATGTTACAGGGAAGAGGTGCAGAATCAGGTAATATGATGCATTTCCCTTTGGAAAGTTCTTAATGAATTGACATTAAAAATTATAGGTAGTTACATGGAATATTTTACACTGGCTGAAGAATGTAAAATGAGACTTCATGCCTGGCATCTAGCAGGAAATTAATGAGTATTTCTGAATGAGTAAATGAATAATGGGGGAGAATTAGAAATTACTTGGATTCTTTCTGGGGAGTAAGTCTCTGGGGTCATAGTATTAATGGTTTTATGGTATGTAAGCGAAGAGTGTGTGAGGTACATGTTGTTATGTTTGTCCTCAACCCCAAATCATGGGTGTGAAACTCTCCATATGAACCCTGTTTAAGTGAATATGAATCAGCAAGCATTACATAACAATGCTTTGAGAACTAGAATACAAATTGTTTGTACAGAAAGATGGAAGCAGAATGTTAGTCATCCAGTGATGTATGTAAAAGTTACCCCTTGAATTTTGAAATAGAATTGACATAACATTGACATAAAAAGAAGTCCTGTGTTTTAAAATATACGAGCAAAAACTTATTATCGCACAAGGTGTTTGTGGCACAGACAGAGAACTATCCAACAAAAAATGGTACTCTTTCTTCCATAATATAGAGATGGTTTTGGTAGGTGGTTTCCCAACTTAGGACAACATTTTCCACCTCAACTTTACATTTAAGTCTGGCCATATCCAATTATCTTCAATGTGATATGAGTGGGAGTGATATGTGTGTCACTTCTGAGCTGGGGTATTTAAGAAGCAGATATGCTTTTTTTTTTTTTTTTTTTTTTTTTTTTTTTTTTTTTGCTGTCTTTTTGTCCTTCTGCTGGTTAGAGGAAGAAGACTTTGAGGGTCTACTATAGCACCCAGGGCATAGTGGAGCCACAAGATGGAAGGCTTTAGGATCTCTGAGTCACGAGTTAAAGGAAAACTGACTACTTTCCAGGAATTTCTCACTGGACTCTTACATGATCCATGAACAACAACAACAAAAACTGCATTATATTAAACAACCAAAGTGTTGGACTTATTTGTTACAGCAGCTAGCATTGTCCTAATAAAGCAGAAGTATAAGTTGAAAATATACAGAGAGCAGAAACCACTCAAATAAATTAATGTATGGTAGGTTTATATTTTATTTAAGGAAATATAAAGTATTTATATTTAAAGAAAGCTAAGGCATATGTGTGCCTAAATTTTTCCTATTGACTTTACGTACATTCAAACATGCCTCTTTCACTATCAGGGCTCTACTCAAATATGCTAACTTTCTAAACACCTGCATTACAAATGGTTGACAGGCACATGTAAACTATGAATTCTAACACATTATGAATCATTCTTTGGAAAATATTGTCACTGCAGCATACACCAAACAAAGAAAAAGCAGCACGTCACATTATTAAAATGATTAAGAGGTAGCAGAAAAGCCAGAGCAATGGCTCTGAGTGAGATGAGGAACAGTTGTTCTGGCGGCGGCATCTGGTAATTGCATTTGAGTAGCTCTGCCTCTAGTGAATGTGCTGGTGTCCATGATTGGCAGTGGAGAGACCTGACTGGCGGAGTCCACCACCCATCCGTCTTCATCCATCTCTCCTTCCCAAAGGCCAAGGTTATTGATGCCCCAACAAGAACACTGACAAGCTGTGTCAGACTTCTGTTTAGAGCCCACCGATTGTGGGAGGGCAACAGCTTTCCATGTAATTTATACAAATGACTTTGAATGTGTGAGCTTTAATGTTGATTTTTTAAAAAGGAATGTTGAGGCCTTAATATTTTTGTTTGGGGATAACAAGAGGAATGGAACAGAGAATAGCAATCTGTCTACCCCCCTCTAAAACTAACTTACATAAAGCAGGAGAGAAATCAAATAACCTTCGAATCAGTTACGGCTAGACATCCCATTCTAAATGTACAGATATTCAGGTAACAAAACCTCTGAACTTTGCTTCATCTTCAAAGAAATCTGTTTTGATTACTCCCTGAGAAAATCATATTCAGCACACAGTATAGTTACATAGAATGCAAGTAAGTCCTACTTGCCAGAATTTTCCTAAATTCAAAAGCACTACAAATTCTTTTGGCACGGTGATTACAGCCAAACAGTAGGGCAGGCCACATCATCATTTCAGTCTACGTTTCAGTCTAGACTACCCAAGAGAGTCTAGATGTTTTGTTTATATGCTGCCAACCCTTTGTTTTTCAAACTTCTTTTTCTTTTTTTTTTTGAGACAGGGTCTCACTAGGTTGCTGTGGCTGGGGTGTGGTGTGCAATCATAGCTCACTGTAACCTCAAACTCCTGGCCTCATGTGATCCTCCAGCCTCAGCCTCTCCAGTAGCTAGGACTACAGTTGTGCACAACCATGACCAGCTGATTTTTAATTTTTGTAGAGATGGGGTCTCATTATGTTACCCAAGCTAGTCTCAAACTCTTGGCCTCAAGTGATCCTCCCACTTTGGTCTCTCAAAGTGCTGGGATGACAGGCATGAGCCACATCACCTGGCCTTCTCAGATCTTTTAAACTTTGACAAAGAAACCTTTGGCCATATTGACCTGATGCTTTCTAGGCACAACATTGCTTTACTCTTGTTGTGCAGGTACTCAACTATATAGGTAATTCCAGAATCTGTCAGTTTTCACTATATTTATTTTGCTACAGTTCCAAACAACCCTCAACCCTCAAATCTCTGGTTTATTTCTCATTCACATTTTACATTCCCTGTGGGTTGGCTTCATGAAACTTTATTCAGGATAAAAGCTGAAGGAGCAGCCCCTACTTGAGACATGTCCTGATCATGGCCAAAGGCAAGGAGCCTCAGAGGTGAGACAAACATACCAAAGTTTTTTTTTTTTTAGATGGAGTCTCACTCTGTAGCCCAGGCTGGAGGGCAGTGGCATGATCTGGGCTCACTGGAGCCTCAGCCTCTGGAGTAGCTGGAACTACAGGCATGCAGCCACACCCAGCTAATTTTTGTACATTTAGTAGAGACAGGTTTTCACCATATTGGCCAGGATGGTCTTTATCTCCTGACCTCGTGATCCGCCCGCCTCAGCCTCCCTAAATGTCGGAATTACAGGCATAAGCCACCGCGCCCGGCCCACACCAACGTTCTTAAAGCATCTGCTCAGATGCAGTGTACATACCTTGTCAGCTCACACTGCTAGCCAAAGCAAGTCTCCTTGTCCAGTCTGACCATGTGAAGAAGGGGAGGGAGAATCTTCTTCCAGGAAGAGAGAGCCAAGAGTTGACAAAACAAGTTATCCCAGTGCACCCTCTTGGCCATACATCTTCATTTCTCTCCCTCTGTGTGACGTATCTCATGCTCTAGTGGAAGAAAACACCGCCTAATCACTGTCAATCAAAGGTCAGTGTTTTCTGTAGTCTCTCCATCTGACACTTCTTGATCTGAAGACTTATGAACAGCAACAACAAAAGCAAACAACAATAATGAAAGTTATCTTTGAAGAACAGTGACACAATAAACTCTTCCATTTGTACAGATGAAGAATGGGAGGAGCCACACACGGCTGTCACATCAGTCCTTCTGGGCAAAAATTGTCAAATCTCCCTATGCTCTGGTCAAAATGTTTGTTCTTTAATCCTTTCCTGGACTTACTAATATTAACTACATGGTGGAATTCTATTATCACTCTTCTCAATACTGTTGGAATGCAGATGAGTTCTTCGGGGAGTGTTACAACTATTTTTTCAAACTCTTAATTAGACTTTGGGATGTTTCCACGGTAGCGGCTGGGTATAGACTGCTGAAGATTTTCTTCTTTTGCTAATGTTGTGACTGATACGGAAGCCCAAAGATTGACATATTATGCAAAGCGTAATTATCTAGTTATGTAACCTTGAATTCCCAAGGTGAAAACTCACAAGCATTTTCAAGCAAAGATTCATGATTTTTGCCATTTATTTTAATATATTTCAGTCTCCAAGGTTGAAACAATAAATCTCTGATGTGCCTCCATTTCCATTTTGTGTAATAATTGAGATTCAGCCACATCCCACATCCAGAGTGGGGGGCAAGCTGGGGAAAAGTGATGGGGCAACATTTGAATTCTAGAATCGAGACCATCAAATGAAGAGATGGAATTTTCCATGGAGTACTGGAAAGTGTAGGACTAAAACAGGTAAACTTTTTATTTTTTTTCTTTTCTTTTGTCCAACTTCTTTTTACTTCATTATCTTACTCCAGCAGGCAGCCATGAGAAGGCCCAAAAGTGAGACACAATCTTGGTTTGGAACCCAACTAATCAAAGAGACACGGTTAAGTGCTGTGGAGGTGTAGGTAGAGCTTCCTCACGTTGATCATAAAGAGCAGAGATAACACAAAAGGCAGGGCTCCTGGAAGGAGCCTTTCGGCTTTTCCTCTATTCCTGAAGCTTAATAAACACAGGCACCAGAAGCAAGACGACTTGATATGAGACTGATTTTATCCATAACCTGCAATAAGATCCAAAGTCCATGCTTCTTAATTAGACTCAGACAATTCCCTCTCGCGCTCAGGAGCCCTGGGGAAGTGATGAAATCTGCTTTTGATGCCTCTGTCTTACAGTCTCCTTTTTGCATTTTTCCTTTGAGGAGCCCTCTTCTTTCTCATAATAATCTACCCCATCCCCCATCACTCCACAAGCACTCTGGTCCTTCCAGATGATCTATGAATTTCAGATTCCTGGGAGGAGTACATCATCTTAGGGCCAATCATTCTCCTGCTTTAACAATCAGCATGAGAGCCACTTGAGAATCTTGAGTTAAAATGACACAGTGCTGTCTGATGACTGCCTTTGTAAAATCAACTTTAAAATGTTGCCTATTCTCCTACTCAGTCACTCTCTAACTTTTGCTGTTTTCAGTTTTATATTTTAAAGGCGACATCTCCACTATTCTTGCTTTGGTCTGTGGTCTTATGTCCAAAAGCAATAAAAGGCAAACTCAACCCTAGAGTTGAATGATGTGAAGCCTTTGTAATGTTTGCATCTTAAAGAGGAAACAAGAGTGTGCCACTGTGTCATTTGGGAGTCACATTCAAGAGGAGACAGATATTCTGTAGTTGGGGAATTTTTTCCAGGGAACCCTCACATTAAGGCTGATTTATTGGACCCTAAGTTTCCCCAACCATACATTTATTTGCTATATTATTGGGCACTAAATATGGGCTTGTCATGGTTTTCAGTACAAAAAAGACAAAAATCCCTGTCCTTATGGTGTTAACTTAGTAGTGAGAGGAGATCAACAATAATCACAATAAAATAAAGTATGCATTTTGTTAGAAGGTGATACATGCTCTGGAAAAAAAATATAGATCAGTAATGGGCATGTGAGGAGAGGGGGCGACATCTTAAATCAGATAATCAAGTAGGTGTCATTGAGACAGCGGTTTATGAACAAAGACTTGAAGGATGCAAGTGTGTCATCAAGAATCTGTCTCTATTTTTGATGTTTGACCTCTGACAGCTTTCAACTTACACCTTCCCTCTCTTTCTGCCTCACAGGCGGGCAAGATGATGGTGCCAGGGAGAAGTTCAAACCACACAAGTGCAAACACCTGCTAGAAGGAGACCATGCATCCTGTGCAGTCAGACGGGGTCTTGGGTTCACATGGTCTCCACATTTGGTTTAATGTCTGGCTGTTAACATCTTGAAATTCTTCATCATTTTTGAACCAGGGGCCCCATATTTTCATTTCACTGGGCCCTGAAAATTCTACAGATAGTCCTTTCTCCGGGTTCTGAAGCAGAACTCTGAGGAATTCTAATGTCTAAACTCAAGCCTGTACTTCCAGGTTATTAACAAAGGTAACAGTTTTTAACTTTTGAGATAATTGTAATGATAATTTTTGAGGTACATTTTGAGACAATTGTAGATTTACACGCAGTTGTAAGAAAATCTTCAGAGAGATCCCAGATACTTTTCTGCCACTTTCTTCCTGTGGAAACATCTTACATCAAAAGTATGTTTTCCCAAGGTATGAAGATAGAGCATCTTTTCTGAAACAATTTGTTAGTTTCACTTACATTTTAAATATTTAGATAAGTGGTCCTCATTTTGCTCTTGGTTTGAGTTGAAATGTTAGGATTCAAGCCACCACCATTATTCTTTGCAGCAAAACTTAAAAAAATAAAAAAAATAAAAAAGCTTATTCTCCATTCTCCACTTCTCTCAGACTCACTACTGTCTCACCTTGTCTCAGCCTCATGACTCCACAAAAGCTGCCCTTGTTAAGGTCCCCAGTGACCTTGGCATAGTTAGATCCAATGGGCAATTCTCTATGTAGCTGCCTTTTTTGGCAGCATTAATGGGGTTGATTTCTGCCTCTTCCTAGACATATTCCTGCTCCTGGCTTCCCTACACTGAGCTCTCCTAGTTTTCCTCTTGTCTCATTGGGCACTCATGAATTCATTACTGGTTTCTCTTTTTTCCCTGAATTCTGAGCTCAGGAACTCAATTCTTGCACTTGGTTCTTCTCACTCTAAGTTCTCATCCAGACTCATCATCTGTGAATGGAGGACTCCCATATCCACTCTCTTGAATTTCAGATATGTGCATCCAACTACCTGCCTGAGGAATACTCATATCATTACTTTCATACCAACAGAATCTCATTTCTTAAACCAAGGTTAAAGGCAATAAACTATTACAAAGAAAATGACAATTACATTAAATAGTAATTACTTGACCCATTTACTAATCATTGCCCAAGAGCTGCTGAAAGGTTTCTACTTTTATTTCTAGATTACATTTTATTTTATTCTTCTACTTTGAGAACTTTAGGAATAAGTTGAGATGCACGTTTCTTCTACTCCAACATGAAATATGTATTTTAAAATTGGATTTCTATTTTTACATTATTTCCAGTCATCTGTAGTTTCAACATTTTGAATTAAATTTTATTTAAAAATATCTCACAAATCCAATCAATTTATTAAATTTTGTGAGAGTTATCTATTTTTTTCTTTTCTTGCTTATTCCTTTAAATTGAATCCAGGAGGAAACTGTTCTTTTTTATATATATGAAGCTTATTTCAATGTCAATACTCTAACCTGATCCTCCAAGTTGATAGCTTAGATTAGTGAGAAAGCAATATTCGAAAAATACTGAAGTAAAAATCAACCAATTCCTGCTCATGTGAAAGTATTGCTCAGGGTCCTTGTAGCTCTGCCTGGCACCACTACCCATGTGGGGCAACCAGTTAACCAGAATTTCTAATCAGAAAAATGAAATGTTTTCCACTTTGATGGGATAACTTAGGTATCATAGAAATAGGTTAAATGAGATCAAAGTGCTATTATTTACGTTTTTTTTTTAACTTCCATAGAAAACACTTTTCTCTGGTTTAACCCAATATGCGTAGGCAACTCGGTATGGGGAGTGAGTGATGAAATTGCTAACCAGCAGAATAATCCAGAAAGGGATCATTCAAAACAAAGCAAAGAGAAAAACAAAAAAAATGAGAAACGTGAGTCCTCAATGTAGGGGAACAGTTAACTAAGGGAACGTCCCAACCATAAATGGGGGCCTCCAAGCAAAAGCCAACTGGGTCTCTGGAGATCCTCTTTGGCAGCAGCTGTGAGGGGCCAGCCCTGGTTGTAGGAGCTCAGAGTGGGAAGAGGGAGCCTTCCTTCTCTTGAGCTTCTCTCCAGATCTGTGCATCAGAAACAATGGGAGTAAAACTCTAGGGGCACGAAAAGCCAATTGATGAAGACAATATGACCATAACAATAGCATTTATTCTTTTTTTTGTTGAATATAGAGACAGCTCATGCTTATTGTGAAAAAAAAATGTAGTGGAGAAATTCAGAATGAAGAACGTGATAACCACTTATCTGTGTGCTGTCAGTCCTCCATACCTGTGGGTTTTTAAATGTTGTTAAAAAATGGAGAGTTGCATCTGTACTGAACATTCACAGACTTTTTCTTGTCATTATTCCCTTAACAACATAGTATAACAACCGTTTATGTAGCATTGGCATTGTATTACAGATGATTTAATCTACAGATGATTTAAAGTACATAGTAGGATATGTGTAGATTATATTCAAGTGCTACATTTTAATAAGAGACTTGAGCCTCCATGGATTTTGATATCCATAGGGAGTCCCAGAACCAATCCTCCATGGATAATGAGGGATGACTGTACAAACTTCCAGTTTTTCAGTGCATACTTGTATAAATATACAAAATTAGGATTATATCCCATACATACTGTTTTACAACCTGTGCTACTCACCTATGTCATAATGTAATTACATTATAAAAATTTTTATGAGTATCTCATAAACAAGTTTCCATGTGTTGAAATAGGCATTGAAAAGGCCATAAGATTCAACAGGCTTCATTATAGCTATAGAAAATTCATTTGATTATTCTTTTATTGTGAGGTATTTATGTTGCTTCCATCTTTTTACCAATATGAGAGCCTCATACTGGCAATCTCTGTCCCCAACTTTTGCAAACCTCTTTTATTATTTCTTTAAATTAATTTGGAGTGAAATGGTCTGCACGGTTTTGTTTGTTTGTTTGTTTTGTTTGTTTGTTTGTTTGTTTGTTTTTTTGAGACGGAGTCTTTCTCTGTCGCCCAGGCTGGAGTGCAGTGGCGCGATCTCGGCTCACTGCAAGCTCCGCCTCCCTGGTTCACGCCATTCTCCTGCCTCAGCCTCCTGAGTAGCTGGGATTACAGGTGCCCGCTACCATGCCCGGCTAATTTTTTGTATTTTTAGTAGAGAGGGGGTTTCACTGTGTTAGCCAGGATGGTCTCGATCTCCTGACCTCGTGATCCACCCGCCTTGGCCTCCCAAAGTGCTGGGATTACAGGCGTGAGCCGTCATGTCCGGCCTGGTCTGCATGTTTTAAAAGCTCTTGTGAAGTATTTTTCTTTGTCACATTTATACAAGTTTACATGCCCATCAGTCAGAGAAATAAGAGGGCAAACACATAATAATCTCTGTCAGTTTGGTAAATGGAAATAATATCGTTAATTTATTTTTAAATTTTTTAGTAAAATTTCTTTTTATATGTGAAATCTATTTCATTTCTCTTTTTATGAGTTGTCTTTCATTCATCTTTTGTTTGAGACTGTCTTTTTCTTAAGCATTCTTTTTTCTTTTTACTTCCAAGTTCAGGGGTACATGTGCAGGTCTGTTACATAGGCAAACTTGTGTCATGGGGGTTTGTTGTACAGATTATTTTGTCACACAGGTATTAAGCCTAGTATCCATTAGTTATTCTTCCTGATCCTCTCCCTCCTCCCATTCCCCACCCTCTGATAGGCCCAAGTGTGTGTTGCTCCCCTCTATGTGTCCATGTGTTCTCATCATTTAGCTCCCACTTATAAATGAGAATATGTGGTATTTGGTTTTCTGTTCCTAAGTTAGTTTGCTAAGGATAATGGCCTCCAGCTCCATCCATGTTCCTGCAAAGGACATGGTCTCATTTTTTTGTGGCTGTATAGTATTCCATGGTGTATATATGCCACATTTTCTTTATGGAATCACCCTAAATGCCCATCACTTGAACTCTCTTTATATGTTTAGCAGCACTCACATGGTCTACCCATATCTTGCCAGTATAAAGTCCCCTTAACTTTAGAGACTCAATCAATTATGGGAGCTCAGTGACCCCTAGCCTGATTGCTAAAAATTAGCTCCCTACAAAGCATTTTCTCTGAGTTACTTCTGGGAGTCCCCAAAGGAGTGCTTCACACGAGCCAACGAGCCCAGTTGGTGAGCTCCCATCCCACCTGCTGTCTGCCTTCCTCTGCGCGTCTAGCGCTGGCTCCCACTTGCCCCTGTCTACTGTCAAGACACAGTATTGGGAAGCCACACTGCTGCCACCAACAGTCAAGAATACCCTGAGGAAGTCAACAGAAAAACTATCGTCTCTTGGGTGGAAAAAGAGTGGTGCCAATCCCATAAACTCTGCCATGCCTGTTCTAATGTTGCAAGAATTTTCCACACTGCATGCAGTGACTCACATCTGTAATCCCCGCACTTTGGGAGGCTGAGGCGGGAGGATCGCTTGAGCCCGGGAATTTGAGACCAGCCTCATCTCTACAAATAATTTTAAAAATTGGCTGGGTGTGGTGGGGCATGCCTGTGTCCCAGATACTTGAAAGGCTGAGGTGGGAGAATCGCTTGAGCCCAGGCAGCTGAGGCTATGGTGAGTCGTGAAATACCACTGCACTTCAGTCTGGATGAGCCAGTGAGACCCTGTCTTAAAAAAAAGAATTTTCCAGGCTTCCAGAAATAGGGAATATGCTCTTTTTTATAATTTTACACTATATCTGATTTCCTAGGCCTAGAAGCATTTCTCCTAGGGCTTGTGAGTCTCATAAAGTTTCTCATGAACTTTCAAAGTCATGAGTCCCCCCATATCTTCTGGTCTTGCCTAAAATACAGGAGCACAAATGTAGACCTCCTTCTTTGAACTTTGCCTTTTTCATGCCTCCCATCCACGTTGCCTTCCCTATTACTGGGGCTAGCAGAGAGTGTAAACTCTTACTGAGATTTGCGCAACACAGTGAGTTGCTGGGGAAGGAGAGGTAGAGTCACTGTTTGTACTGAAGAGCCTCTGGAATCCAGCTTAAATAGCCAGATATGCCACGTTATACAAGTATGCTGACCACTTGTCCCTCACAAATGTTGTAAATATTGTTTTCCTGTTGCTTCCATTGCGATTTATTAGGTTGAAGTAGGTAACAGTTTGCAACTTCATGGATGAAATTAGGGAGCTGACTTTTCTTTATGGAAACAGTTAAGTAATATGAAACTATACTACTACAGAACACCTAGAAAGGCTAGAAAAAAATAAACTCAGCTTCTTTGAAATACATAGCTAAGCTCAAAAGAAAGTAAGGAAATTCCCAAGGCCACAAAATAAAGAATAGATGTTCATTCAGTTGTGTTGGGTGAGTTGGAGGTGGGGAGCAGGGGGAAACAGGGTGTGCCTTTCTTGGTAACCAACGACCATAGGCATGGATTTTAGGGGTCAGAGGAAATAAGTCCTTGGGGCATGCATGATGATGTGGTGAAATCCCATCCCATCCCAGTACAGTCAGCCCTATTGAACAGGCATGTAAAACATCCACTCACCAGCAAATAGATAACAAAGAGATTGTCTTCTGGGATCTTGGTGGAAAAAACTCTTCCCTTAAGATAATAAGTGTTTCTCTCATAAGGTTTTAGTTTGATGTGACTATACTTGGGAGCCCCCAAAGGAGGAAAGTAACAACAACAAAAATTTATCCCCGCGTGGTACCACTCCTAAATGTCCAGAACCTTCTAGGAAAGGGAAACTTTTAATCCAGGACACTCAGGATTTTCATAAAGCCCCACAGAGCAAACAAACTCACAATCTACTTTTAAAAATCATAAAAAGAACAGGCTACGATGTGCGAAAATTAGCAGAAAACACAGTAGATTCAGATATGAGAATAATAGGATAACGACTAAAAAATTAGCATGCTTGAGATACTAATGACACAACAGAAAACAGAAAATAAGTTCAACATTTTGCCAAAAGATTATGTAAATTCTAGTAATAAAAATTATGTTCATTGAAAATAGAAGCTTAATGGGCAAGTTAAAATAGTGAGTTAAACCAGATACATCCAAAATGTGGAGTTTGAACAGTTACATAAAGACTTATTCACCTAATTAATATCATTTTGGATATCAAATGCTGGTCTGACAGAATTCTGTGTGGATGCCCATTTTGGAAGAGTTAGAGGAAAATGAAATGACAGCAAAAGATCAGATAACCTTAAAGGTTTGGATAAGAAATTTCCCAAGAATTCCTGGTTGGTAGGTTCACTAATATTCTAGATAAGGAGATTTAGAGGTAAACAGCATATCCATGCTGAATTACATCTTTAAACTAATTATAGGTTGTGTTCTAGATATTTATGCTGAACATTAAAAAGATGTACATAATGCAGCAGAGACTGTTCATGTTCTGCAATATAAACTTCCTCTACTTCTTTAGCAATAAAAACCCTTGTCTGGGGACTCTGACATCCTAAAAAAGTAAGTTTATTCCTGAGATTAAATTCCGAATAATGGGATTGAATGAAGTGATGCGTGAAATCTCCAAATTGTGCCTTACTTAATAGGCAAGATGATAATACCAACCATCTCACTCCCCTCCTATTGGCTGAAAAGCAGATATGGTGCTGAGAAATATTGGGCCATAGAAACCAGAAAATCACCAAGGCGTGGTAAAATGACAAGGAGAAGGAACCTGAGCACCCCATGACCTTGTAGAGCACAGTTACCACATTAGATGTTTATGGGAGAAAGCAATAAACTCATTTTGTGTTTAGGTCACTGCAAATTTGGATCATTCTCATACACAGCTGAATGTATATGGCAGAATTTGGTATTTGGAAGAGAATGTTGTGCGTGGCATTTGTTAGAATCCAGCTGGCCACACTGATGTCATTGTCTTAGAGAAAGCATCTGGACAGTGGACAGCAAAAATGCAGATTTTGGTGGGTAGAAAGCTGGTGACCCTTGTTATGCAGGGACAAAGCATCTAATGACATTGTCATCTGCAGCATCTTGGGATGAAGAACACAGGGCATGACCAACATTAGGGGAAATGATCAGAAAATTCAGAATGTTGATGTTTTGTTGTTGACACTTGACACTTTCAGCGAAGTCCTCATGAGAGAGGCCAATTTATGCTAGAGGCGGCTGGACATCAAGCAAAAATGAAAGAGAACCAGAGCTCCGCTAAGTTAGATCCTCTCATGACAGGAACATCCTCATGGCTCACATAGTCAACTTGAAGTGAATATGAGTTATCTTGGGACTTTGCAAGTTTGATAAAGCCAAACCTTATCCAAAACTGAAACGGTGAGAAGAGGTGGCTCCAAATAGACTGCAAGGGGAGGAGATAGAACTGTGTGATCCTATTTTGCTAAGTCTTCTCACATACGGAATTTTCTGCCAAAAAATGAGAGACCAGAATAAGGGGATTTACTTCCCGCAAAGACTATGTTACTGAAACTCCCAAGGGAGACACCATTAACTCGAGAGGACTTTTGGCAGTACCCAGAGGCCAGGAAATAAAGAAGCGAAATCTTCAGGTTTAAATGACAGTTGCCTGCTAAGTTTTTGAGGAAATTGTGTTGCCAAAGAAGCCACCAGACAAGCTTGATTGGTGACTCAGACCACCCTGCTGGGCGTGAGTCAGGCCACCCTGCTGGGGGTGAGTGGCAAAGGCTGTGTGCCCCAGCTGAACCAGAGCAATGCACTCTGATATGGCTTGGATCTGTGTCCCCATTCAAATCGCATCTAGAATTGTAATCCCCATGGGTTGAGGGAGGGACGTGGTGGGACGTGTTGGCTCATGGGGGCAGTTTCCTCCATGCTGTTCTCATGATAGTGAGGGAGTCCTCATGAGATCTGGTTGTTTGATAAGTGTCTGGCAGTTTCCCCTGCAAGCGCTCTTTCTCCTGCTGTCATGTAAGACGTGCTGCTTTGCTTTGCCTTTGCCTTCCACCATGATTGTAAGTTTCCTGAGGCCTCCCCAGCCATGAGGAACTGTGAGTCAATTAAACCTCTTTTGTTTATAAATTACCCAATCTCAGGTAGTATCTTTATAGCAGTGTGAAAATGGACTAATACACCCTTCCACACACTCCTAGTGATCTCCTTCCAGAGAGTTTCCCAGGGGATACCAGATGGAGTGACTTCACTCTTACAGCTGGAACTCTTGGGAAGCATGCCTTCATTAGCAGGGATCCACCACTGCCATTTGTCTGCCACTGAAGTTTCTTTTCCTACTCTACCATTCTATATTGGATCCAATGGGTGGACAGAAAACTTGTCTTTTAGTTTACAGTTGTTCAACTGAGAGGAGGAAGCCTGGATGCAGTGAATAACAGTGTGTGTCAGGTACAGATCATGAACTTGAAGGTGAAAGCAGTAGCAATAAGATATATACAGAGATTGCCTCCCTTAGGTGGGGAATACGTGTGTTCTTTATGTGAGATGAAAGGTAAGCACAGATATTGGATGGCCAGGGAGTCAACTAAGAAACCTCTAGGTAGCCCTCAGTGACCATTGTTTCTTCTATTGGATATAATACTATATACTATATTTAGCTGGGTGCATGGTGACCCACAATCTAGGTCTGTCAATGCAAGTAAGTTCTGGCCAAGGAAGTGCATGTGTGCCATCCAGGGCACATTTGTATGGGGAAAAGTATGCACTCCACTTCTCCTTTCTCTCCTCCCTCCTGGCTGGAATTTTCAAGATGATGGTTAATCATGGACCATGACGATGTGGGCAGCCCACTGAGAATGGCAGAGCCACAGACAGAAGGAGCCACATCCCTAGGAAATTTGCAGATGGTTGCAAGCCAACAGTTCTGGCTCTTCGCTCTTCTTTCTCCTTCTTCTCCTCCTTCTCCTTCTCCTTCTCCTTCTCCTTCTCCTTCTCCTTCTCCTTCTTCTTCTTCTTCTCCCCTTTATTACACACACACACACACACACACACACACACACACTTCTACACTGAAAGGTAAAGCAGTGAAGGATAAATACGAGCCTCTTTCTTGTAAGGAACTGATGAGGATAGTGGCATACTGCAGTGGGAGGACTGGCCTAATTGCCAGGAGACCAGGCAGCAGATGCAGCTCCGTCCCCAACTGGCTTTGCAAAGCTGGGCAGGACACATAATCACTTCAGCCTCAGTGTCTTCATCTGTATGATGAGGTTTAGGATCAATGATCTTGAAAATCCCTTCTAGCTCTCAAATCCTATCTTGACATTAACAAAGTAACATTAATTTTGCTGTTTCATAATCTGCAATTATACATTCTCGTCTCCAACTCCATCTGCTTGCTGACCCCGGGAATGTAAGCCATTAAACTTGGAATAAAAATGCTTAGAAGTTAAGTTTGCCTTTTCGTTATGAAATAAAATTAAAGTGCCAAGAGTGTTTTGTCAGTTCAAAGTAACATTTGGATGCAGGAAAGCCCTGATTTGTGTATATGGAAGGCAGTGAGCAGTCTTTTTACTCGCTGCAGTGTTCACGTTTTCTCAGAGTTAGGAAAAATAAAAAATAAAAAAAAAAAACATGCTTTGAAACCAAATGAGGTTTTCTTTTTCCAATTCAAAATAGTTTGGAGGATTTTTAATTTCCCACCTGTTTTTCTAAATAAAGTGAACCACGAGGCTCTGGTTCAGTCACAGCACTGAGATTTTAAATGGCCTGTGCATTGCCTTGCATCTGGCTGTTTACCCAAGGGGGAAATCAGTCCTGGCAGGTATCCTCTGCTCAAGTTATATCTAGGTGTGTCCAGTCAGCCTGATCCTAATCTTTTTTTAAGAACTGGTTTTGCCGGGACTGGTAATGCCTTCTGTAAAATCCCATAACCTACGACTTCTTTTTTACCTCATCTCTAAGGAACAGTATCTTGACAAACAAGAGCTGCTTCTTATGTAGGATCATAACTTGGGGCAGGCTACATTTAATGTGACTTGGGAAAAACTCAGGGCTATCTTAAGGTGTATATTCTCTTTAAATGCGTGAACTGGGAAAAATGACTTACTATACCATACAAACAAATTGCCTATATTAGGTAATGTCATTCTCTGAGGTAGAGCAATTTACTCCAATCCTGAGTATTTTCATCACATTTTAAAATTAATGGGAACGACCTAACATAGCATTACAGTCATTCATTTGAGTTTCATTCCACGAGCAACCATTTTTGAGTACCTAGGACACAGAAGCCACCATCTCAGACACTGTGAATACCAAGAAGATAAAAAATGGTCTTTGTCCAGAGACTGCGAGACAAAGGAGTCTCTAAGTCATCATGACTTAGAGGAATGGTAAGATTTTACATTAACGTTGATTTGCTTTCAGAAGATAACCTGCAAGCTGTGTTTGTTAATGTTCCTTTAGGCAGTGGTTCTCAAAGAGTAGTTCCTAGATCCACAGCATTAGCATCACTTGGGAACGGCTAAAGATGCAAAGTGTGGGCCCCATCCAAAGCCCACCGAATCAGAAACTCAGGATGTTGTTGGGCACCAATCTGATTTTAGAAAGTCCTTCTGATGATTTTAAAGCATGCTCAAATTTGAGAACCACTGGGCTAGAGCAGGGATCAGCAAACTATGACCTGGAGGCCAAATCTGGTCTGTTTTTGTAAATAAATTGTTATTGGAACACAATTCATTTACATATTGTCTAGAGCTGCAACAGAGACTGTATGGCTCACAAAGCCTAACATATTTGCTCTCTGGCCCTTTATGGAGAAAGTTTGTCAACCCTGGCCCTGGTGCACCATGGAGGTGTTGGGGAAGAGCCAGTCTCCGAAGCCAGCTATGCCACTGTCTGTCTCCCAATTATGCCTCCTAGCTGTTTCATCGTGGGGGAATTTACTCAACCTCTCTGTGCCTCAATGTTCTTATCCATAAAGTGGGGGTAATAACATTCCCCAGCACAGACAGTTAATTCAAGAGGTCGATACATTAACATTTTAAACCTCTTAGACCAGAGCCTGGCAAGCAGGAAATACTCAAAACCTGTTAGTTATTGATATATGAAAGGTATATTGTGAGACACTTCGCTAGGGAATGCCACAAGCCTTAGATATTTATAACTTCATTGATACTGTCACCACATAGGGATGAATCTGACATTATGTCCACACACCCCACCCCACAAGAATCCAGGGGATGAAATAGAAGGCAGTCCAGCTCACCCAGTGTTTGACTTGGTGGAGGCTGGAAGGTGTGGCAGAATTTTCTGGGAGCAGTGTATTTATATAGGCTATTTCTGCAGTTGGCCAAAATTCTGATATATTTCCCTGGGTGAGTTGAAATGATATTATCTCCTAGAGGTAGGGGAAGGGTGAAGTAAACATAATTGTGGCTCTTATATTGGCATGATTACATAATCATGTCTGTGCTGATTGAGCTGGGAGGTTGGGGTAGGAGAGAGGAAACAAAGGTCAATGGGGCGTCCTTCCTCAGTTCATATCCCAGAGAGGGCCCTTCCCCCATGCACACAGCTGTGAAAGCTGATCCTAGCAGAAGAGAAAAGGTGTGTGAGTGACAGAGCGAGAAACCCCCCATAATTTACGTAGTCCCTAAAGTAATACATCTGGCAATGAGAATTTTGCAGACGACATTACTGACAAGCAAAACACTTTATAAAAACAAATTGATAAAAGTGGGTATTTTATCAATAAATTGATACAAGTGAATCTTTGAGCACAGTAAGCAAACACTAAGACTCTTTTGTGATTACATAAGATACTGAATAGAAAAACATGCTTCTCAATACAGTCCAAGATGGAATGAGTTTCTATATAGGGCACACAAAACAATAATTCCAGACATTAGAGATGGCCAGGTAAATACAACTGGGCCCTAAAGTCTGTTCTCTTGGTCCAGTTCTTTCTCAGGACTATTGGAATGATCTGTGCTTTAAAAACAGGTGAGTTTTGGTACTGAAAATAATCTGAAGTCCACTGGTTCTTGAACAGGCTGTGCGTCAGATGCACCTGGGGAATGTTTTTGAAATCACAGGCCTGGACCCCACCCCTGGGAGACTCTGATTCACTACGTATAGCATCAGCCTTGGCTTGTGTATGTTGAAAATATTCCCCAGATATTTCTGATTAGTCATACTGGTTAAGGGTCATCCCCAGCTCCTTTGAGGGGAGTTATTGGAGATTAAGATAAAATTCCATTGTATAATTGTTAAAGTTTACTGTGTTGAAACTTGTATAAGCAGTTTGGTACTGGAAAGAGAATGGAGTTTGGGGTCAAATACTCACGGGTTCCTTCGGTTATTAGTTTGGGATTTGCTTTGTAGAGGTTCATTCTCTGAACCACATTTTCAACATCTATAAAATGATTTTGCTTGTGGCTATTGTCTGTTGAACATCCTGTGTCACATTGCTTCGTTCACTGAAGTTTCTTTCTGCTGACTTAAACATCTATACTGATCACCCCTCTAAGATGCTGGTGATCGTCCTCTCGTTGAACAACAGTAATTCCACTGCAGCCCCTATTATCACGAACACATCTTGGACCACAAGTAAACTTTCAGATTCTGGACCTCATCTAGTCCTCCAATCTGTTGAAACCATGATCCTTTTTGTCCCTGTGTCCTCCTTGTTAGCTTACGTTGTGTGACCATCCTTAAAGTCACCTCCCTACAGACATCCTCGACTTTTCTGTTCCTCTCTCCTGTTTGTCTGGGGAAACCACCTCCTGGTTGGAATCAATCATCCATGTTATCCACACCTGTGCCTGAGCTACTGAATGTTCCTAGAGAAAATCTCACAAACATGCTGATGGGGTTCACTTTAGGGTGATGACCATGAGCCTTGACTGGTCGTCCAACACAGCATGGAGATTCCAGTACACACTCCCAGTAAGTTTGTTTGCCTGATTTCCAAGATGTTGATTTTATAGTTTCTCTAATCTTTTCTAACGTTCATGTCTTTTCCCTACTGCCCACCCAAATCTAGCCTCATACTTCATTACTAAAACATGCTGCCCTGGAACAATTTGCACCACTGAAGATTCCATTTCTGCCTCTACCTGGTCTCCCTGGTTCCTACTCCAATGACCATTCAAGGGGGGCTCTACTGTCTCCAAACGAACACCTATGAACTCTTATCTTTCCAAAGTCTTAGTTCCTGGAGTTCTCTTATTTCTCTATTATGTAGACACTTTCTTACTATCCATGGAGTTATCTCAACCAACATATAAACATGCTTCCAATGACCCACTGTGGAATATAACCCTCTGTGCACAGGTCCAGCTGCTACCAGTTTCTTTGTTTCTCTTCAGGACAAAACTGCTCTAATGAGTTTCCACCTCCTGTCTGCACTTTCTTACTTCCTATGAACCCTCTCTATTGAATTATGAAATCTTCTGAGCATACAGAAAAGGATAATAATCTAATGAACCACCAAAGCATATCTGTCTGATCTTAACATCTTTCATTATTTGCTGCGTATTTTTTTTTCATTTTAGTGGAAAACAGAATCAAAGATAAAGTTGGTGGCCTTTGATGATCTTTGCACAATCCCCCTTTTCCCTCCCTTGACATATTACTGAATTTATTTTTTATCATTTCTGTGCTATTTTACTACTGTGATGTATCCATACAATATAGATCTGATTTTTTGGTTTACGTACTTTATATAAACTGGCGGTATACTACATGTCCCTTCTGCAACCTTGTCTACTGCACTGCAGGGAATGTACATTTTAGACATTGCAAGAGTGGCCAAAATGCCTTCCCAAGTGATTGTACCAATTTACACCTCTAAAGGTCCCCTTGCCAGCATTTGATAACAGCTGGTATTGTCAGATTTTTTCATTATTGCTAATCTGGTATGAAATGATGCTTCCTGGTTTTAACTGACTTTCCATGATTATTAGGGAACTTGTGTTACGTTCTTACACTTATTGGCCGTTGAGCTTCTTGTTTCATTTGTACAGTTTTTGCCTTGTCCTTTTCAAATGGATTGGTAGGACTTTGAAAATATATTTTGCCTACCATCTTCTGTCATTTGTATGCACTGAAAATTCCCCTAGGCTATGGCTTGTTTTTAAGTTGTATATCATCATATGGAAGTTCTAAAGTTTAATGTTGTTTGCCGTATTGATTTTTTTTTCTTTATGGCTAGTCTTTATATATTGTTTTAAGAACTGCTTCCCCATCCTGTGGTCATACAGATAGTGTCTTGTATGTTTTCCTAAGTAATGTTTTGTTTCTCACTTTTGCTGTAAACTAATTCAAAGTTGTTCTTATAAAGCTTAAGGGGGAGGTACAAATTCACTGTTTTTACATATAAGTAGTCAATTGTCTTAGGCCCATCTATTGAGTACCTTCTTTCCCCAGTGAGCCACCATACATCTTTTGTCACATGTCACTCAAGAGGGAGTCTATGTGGGTCTGTTTATAGGCTTCATTTATTATTCTCTATGTCTGTCCCTGGGTCAATATCTCAATGTCTTAATTTCTATAGCCCTATGAACAATATTGACATGATACTCATCAACCTTGTTCATAATCTACGGACATTCCTTAATCACTCATGGAAATTTGTGTTTGCTTTGCGTATAAACTTTAGGATCTTAGGTTTCATAAAAAGCCAGTTGAGATTTTGATTAGACGTACATCGTATTGAAGGATAAATTTGGGTATCATGGATATTTCTGAATGAATATTTTATTTTCAAGGTATTGTATACTGAATCTTCCAATACATCAATGTGGAATAGCATACATTTATTTTGGTCTTCTTTAGGATCTTTAAATTTAGCTTTATAATTTTTTTCACAAAAGTCTTTCAGAACTTAATAGAAATTTCTCTTTATTCTAATTGTTGATATGCAGACTTACTTAAGTGTTTTTATTAGATACAATTATATCATCTGAAACTAAAAGTTAATTTTTCCCTTTTCAATCACTGTTTAGATGTTGAAGAGAAATATCCATAAGGAGGTTTGATTTGTCCTTACAGATATTTCTCTTCAACAACAGTGATTGAAAGTACAGGTTGTCTTGATCTTCTCTTTCAATTGAATGCCTACGACTTTTCACCACTAAATAACAAGTTTTTGGTGATTTTTTTTTTGTCAATTTAGGTAAATTCCCTTCTATTACTAGTTAGCTAAGAGGTTTTTTTTTTTTGAATGACAAACACGTTTAATTTTATCAAAACATATTCTGCAGCTATTGAAATAATCATTTTTAAAATTTGTTGATGAGGTGATTTATATTAGCATATTTTCTAATGATAAAACATCCTTGAATTTGTTAGTATTTGGCCTATGATTTTTCTATTCACTGGAATGCTGATAATAAAATAAGGATTAATTTTGCCTTGGAAGCAGTGACCAGATACTGAACCTACTGGTGATTTGATCTTGGACTTCTCAGTCTTAAGAACCATGAGAAATATATTTCTATTGTTTATAAAGTAACCAGCTTAAGGTTTTTGTTATAGCAACCTGGAATGAACTAAAACAGAAATTGGTAATGAGTAGTGGGGTGCTGCTGTAGCGAATACCTGAAAATGTGGGAGCAGCTTTGGAACTGGGTAATGGGTAGAGGCGGAAAGAGTTTGGCAAAGTAGGCTAGAGAAAGCCTAGATTGCCATAAATGGACTGTAAAACGTAAAGGCTCATATGAAGAGTTACAGACAGAGCCTCAGTCTTCTTGGAGATTACGTAAAAGATTGTAATAAAAATGTTGTTAGAAATATGGATGATAAAGGTCATTTTGATGAGGTCTCAGATGAAAATGTTCTGGAAACTGGAGGAAAGGCTATCTTTGTTATAAAGTGGCAAATAACTTGGCTGTATTGTGTCCGCATTCTAGTGCTCTGTGGAGGGTGGAATTTAAGAGTGATATACTAGGATATTTGGTGAAGAAATATCTAAGCAAATTGTTCAAGGTACTATGTGGCTTTTCTTGACTGCTTATCATAAAATGCAAGAGAAGAGAAATGAATTAAAGATGGAATTTACAATAAAAAGGGAAGCAGAACTTAAAGATCTGGAAAATTTTCAGCCTCGCCAGGTTGTAAAGATTCAAAGGGCATGTTCAGAAGAGAATACCAAGGGCGTGGCTAAGCAAATGTAACTTTTGATATGAGATTAGTGTGGCTATAAGGAAGCCAGATGCTATTTATCCAGACAATAGAAGAATGACTCCAAAGGCATTTCAATCTTTGAGGCTGCCGCTCCCATCATGATCCCAGAGTACCAGGGCCTTCAAGTCAGAAAGGTTTCAAGGGAGGGGCCCAGGGCACCCATGGCACCTCAGGTTTCACTGCCTAGGGCCTCCTCAGATCTTTGCTCCCCGCATTCTAACACAGTGCTTTTTAGCTGCCCCAGCTGGGGCTCAAGTGGACTCAGATGTGGCCTGGGCCACCCTTCTGAAAGGTACAAGTAATAAGCCTTGATGACATTCTTGAAGTGCCAACTCTGCAT
The DNA here is from genome assembly GCF_000001405.40 of Homo sapiens. NCBI lineage: Eukaryota > Metazoa > Chordata > Mammalia > Primates > Hominidae > Homo > Homo sapiens. The sequence continues at coordinate 9,553,511 of NC_000005.10, read as the reverse complement.
GTATATAGAGTGTATGAGCTGTGGAGGCATGGCTGTCTCCACGTAGATTTCAAAAGATGTCTTGGAGAGCCCAGAGCCCAGACAGAAAACTGCCACAAAGGTGAGATAGGTGCAGACGGTCCCTACTAGGACAATGATCAGCAGAGCTGTGGGGTCAGGGTTGCCTCTGAGATCCCAAACTGGTAGAGCCACCAGCGTGCAATGCCAGCCTAGGAGAGCCACAGGCACTGGACTCCAACTTGTGAGAGCTACAGCATGGGCTGTGCCCAGCAAAGCCATGGGGGTAGGGCGGGTGGGACCCTTGGATGTCCAACCCTTGCCCCAGTGTGTACGGAAGGATGAACATGGACTCAAGACCATTCTCAAGCCTCAAGATTTAACAGTTTGCCTTGCTGGGTTTTGGAATTCCATGGGGCCTGTGACCCTTTCTTCTTGCCCATTTCTCCCTTGCAGAATGGGAATGTATATCCTATGCCTGCACCACTATCGTATTTTGGAAGCACATCGCTTGTTTGATTTCATAGGCTCAGAGCTGGAGGAGTGTGCCTTAGGATGACTTGTACCTTCAGTCTCAGCTGTATCTGATATAGATCATATTTAAATGAGACCTTAGACTTAGACTTTAAAGTTAATGCTGGAACACGTTAAGAATTTGGGCAATAAGTTATCGATTTTGGGATGAATTTTGTATATGAGGACACGAATTTTGAGGGGTCAGGGGAAGAATGCTATGGTTTGACTGTATTCTCCCCAAAATTCACGTTGAAAGTTAATCCTCAATCCAACAATATTATGAGGTGGGGCCTTTTGGAGGTGATTAGGCTATAAGGGCTCTGACCTCATAAGTGGGATTAGTGGCTTATAAAAGGGCTGGAGGGAATTAGCTGGGCCCTTTTCTCCATCCAGCTCTTCAGCCATGTGTGGACACAGTGTTCCTCTTCTCTAGAGGATGCAGAAACAAGGCACCATCTTGGAAGCAGAGACTGTGCCTTCACCAGACATTGAACCTGCTGGTGCCTTGATCTTGAACTTTCCAGCCTCCAGAACTGTTATAAATAAATTTCTATTGTTTATATATTACTGAGTTTAAGGTTTTTTGTTATAGCAGCCTGAAATGGACTATGACAGTATTTATTGCTATTCATTTGCAATTACTATTACAATCCTTGATATGTTAACAAGTGTGTTTGAATTAAATTCCAAAGTTAATCTCCATTTCCACCCTTTTCTGGAGTCTTACTCTTATCCTTTATCTTTCCCACTTTCTTGCTGGTCTCTACTCATCCTTCAAATCTCATCTCAAATGCTACTTTTTCAGTGATGCCTCTCCCATTCCCCATACTAAACCAGACACCCATATATTTGTCCTTCATAGCATTTATCAGGGTTTAGAATTACATACTTGTGGGTTCCATAACTCAGTAAGCTGTAACTCGGTAAGCTGTAACTTCTGAAAGGGCAGGGATCGCCTGTGTGTCTTTTCATTCTATTTTGAATGTGCAGCCATGCGTCTGGCACATGGTGTGCAACAAGCTTGGTTGCAGATGGGAAAGCTGGGTGGGAGAAAGGGAGAGGGGGCACTGGCTGCATAGGCCGCAATGTTGAGGGATGAAACTGGACCCAAGCTGCAGGGTTGCCAGACCTGGAGGAACTGAATCCCCTCCATTGGTAAGGAATCACATTCTCCTGCTAAAAACAGAACAGAAACAATGATGGCTAAAGCAAAACAGAAAGTTCTTTCTTTCTCATGTCATGAAGTCTGGGGTTAGGTAATTCAGGGCTGAGGCAGGGGCTCCATGGAGTCACCAGGGATTTAGGCTACTTTTTACACCATCATCCTTGGCTCATAACTTATATCCTCAAGAGCCTAAACTGGTGCCTGGCATTTCATTTTTTGTTTGTTTGTTTTGGGACAGAGTCTCACTCTGTCACCCAGGCTGGAGTGCAGGTGCCTGATCTTGGCTCATTGCAACCTCCTCCTCCCCAGTTCAAGAGATTCTCCTGCCTCAGCCTCCCGAGTAGCTGGGACTACAGGTGCGTGTCACCATGCCAGGCTAATTTTTGTATTTTTAGTAGAGACAGGGTTTCACCATGTTGGTCAGGCTGGTCTCAAACCCCTGACCTCAGGTGATCTACTCACCTTGACCTCCCAAAGTGCTGGGATTACAGGCATGAGCCATCGCACCCGACCAGTGCCTGGTATTTCCACCATCACAATCAACTTCCAGGTGGGAATCCAGAAGTAGGAGAGAAGGACAGGAAAGACCATGCCCATTTAGTTGTCTGCCCCCTTTTACAAAGCCTATCTTAGAATCCTACTCCACTTATATCTTATTGGTTATGGCTGAGTTCTATGGCCTCACCTAGCTGCAAGGGAGTTTTTTTTTTTAAAGCCAAGTAGTTTCCAATTCAAATAAAATCAGGTCTGTGTTATTAACGGTAATGATGATGATGATGATGTATGTGTGAGGGGTGGGTGTGATGCTGCTGATTGGGGAATGATCACTGGAACTGGAGTCAGGAAGACGGTAAGAGGAGGTGTTGGTAGTTTGGGTGAGAGACACTGACACTGTGAATTATGGTAATGAGAATGGATTGGAAAGGAGGGCCTGAAACAACACTTGATGGAGGGCCCACTGGATGCTTGATGGCTCTTCTTTCTATGGATTTGCTCAGGAGACATTTTACTTTTGGGTTTAATTTCACTTAATCATCTTTTCATTAACTCAAGGTTATTTTGAGTTAATCTCTCTGGTAAATAATGAAGTAAACTAAGGCAGAGTAATCTGTGCTTCTAAATCTAAGCAGGATGAATATTATTTTTGAAAACATATTTCCAAAGGTACTTATTTTCCCCCAAAGCTCTATTTTCAAAGGCAGAGGAATAGAGAGGACATTGGTTAATAAGTATAAAACATATCTTTTTAAAAACAGTATAGCCATTCTTTGCTTATAGACATTCAAGATATATACAAGACTCAATGTCGGAAAATAACACCCTGGAAACCATCCAGAGGCTTCATCTCCATTACAAGCTATCTGTATTTTCTTCAGATATTCCAAAAATCTTTTAAACTTAGCATTTTTTTCTTCTCCCCAGACCACACTTATAAAAGATGACTTGGGCTTTTTTGACACAACAATTTTGTTTAAGCAAATTGAGTTGCTAGACAATATATCCAGAAATTTAACCAAGAGGACAAGGCAAAACACTTTCAGATTTCTAGAATCCTTTAATTGTCTGCACCCATAGCTGAAGTAAAATACAATATCTTATTAAAAGGCCCGTACTGAAAGAAGAATCAGTAAACTCTTCTTAAGAAGAGTCAGCTGCTCCTGCGAGTCAGCGCATCTTCTTAAATGCGTGCTCTGCTTCTGGTATCCTTGAGTCATTGCTTTAGCCAGGCTGCTTCCTTGAACTTGGCTGTGAGGTGGGGGAATGTGGTTCTCCCTTGAGAAATGGGTTCCAGAGAGCTCGAAGATGAGCAGAGTTTGCCTGGGTTAGGTGAGGTCCAGGTCATGCTGTGCCAACCTCTGGGAACATGTAGCAGTGGCAAAGTGCAACCCTCTGACCAGACATGGGCAGAGGCAGACTCTGACATTGGGTCTTGTATATATATGTGAGGCAGGCCCTGGTGGACTTGAGTGGAAGCTCAGACTGCAGAGTGGGGCACATGATGGGGTCCCAGGCTGTGCCTGGAGGAGCAGACTGACCTGGCCCTTCAGTTTAAGGGCCAGGAAACTGCACTTGCTATGCACATTTGTGCTCATTCTCATCTGTGCCTCAAGTATTTTCTGTCTAAGTTTCTGGGTGGCTCCTTTTTAGTAAAACTGGTCTGCTTAACTTTGCCAATAGAGTGGGCTGCCACACTAAAGAGGAATGCGTGTTTCTTGGGGTAAGAGAACCCTAAAGACGTTTTGGTGAAATCCAAGTGGAGGGGCTATTTCCCTAAAATCTCCCCACTTGTAGGTTCCTAATCCATCAAAAGAACCTGACAAAAGAAACCTGTCTGGGGGCAACACAGCATCACCTGTACCCATAATCATGTTTTCCCAATACTTTGAAGTAGGTGAGCAATAAAGCAGCCCTAGGCAATCTTAGTGAGACATCAAACTTCACGTCTTTGTACCAATGTTTAGCATTAGGAAAAAGACTGATGGGCCTGATCAGATGATCTTTCCATTTCTTCAGTTTTTAAATGTCATGGATCTAAAAGAATGGAAACAGGGGTAAAAAGAGAACACTTATGGAGGATGATTGTAATGCATCTCATTGGTAGGAAAATGCAGTTAAGATGTAAATGTCAAGAGGCCACGATTTCTGGATTGAGGTTTTTTTCTATAATTTTAATACAATCTTACCACATCTTAAAGACCACAGATACCCGGCTTTCCTTTGAAGGTCACTCATGGCCCACAGTCATGTCCTGATTTCTTCCAGGTGATGTTCTTTCCAGAAAGCCCCCCTCCCTGTTCCTCTGGTCTGAGATGGCAGCTTAGGGATGTGGCTGAAATTCAAGCACTAGGGAGGGAAGTAAAGACAAGACAAAATTGGTCAATTAGTGCAGAAACATAAATGATCTTTCATAGTTCCGAACAGAATTGAGGTGAATCAGGAAATGGATGGCATTTTTCAAGTCACATGAATCAGCGCCCCAGAATTCATCATTTTCACCAAGTGTTTTGTTGGTTTCTTCATTCTTTCACATTGTGTGCATGGCTCACCTAAAACAGTTTAGGGAAAGCTATATTTTACTTTGAAAAGATAACTAAATACTTTTGTTTGTTTAAAAATGATCATCCTTAGTTTTATAATGTGATGAGAAGCAGCTTAATGCAGATAGCTTTCTAGCAAGCAAGACCTTTGCAAAGCAAAACAAACAAAAAACAAAGAAATTTTGTTTAGAAAAAAGAAATACTTGTGGATACCTCAAAATGACTTTATGAAGAGCCTGCTTATATGTTGGGTGCTCGGTGAGTATTTCACACAGATTACTGTCTTTCTCCTTTCAAGCAGACAGCTGACATACCCCTGCCAGGCTGGTGTGTCTAAGCTCCAGGTGAAGAGACTGTAGCTCAGAAAAGTTAAAGAACTTTCCCCAGATTAAAACTCAAAATTATATCCTCAATTTAGATCCATTTCACTTTAAACAAAGGATGCACTCTAAATTATAATTTGGTTTATTTACCTGCTTATTAGCAATTATTTTGTAATTAATCACAATTATCACTAAAATATACATCTTTTAACAATGCATTGGTGCAGCCTGTAAACAGCAAAACTGAATTCAACTCCCCCCTACATATATACAAAATTATGTAATTTATCCAGTTAAATGTTATGTTATCAGACCTATTGGGTCATGGTTTAGAAAGCTATCTTCTTCCCACTGCTTAGCTCTATATGCCAAGAGTTTTTTTGCTTTTTTTTTTTCTTTTCAAGTATTAACGGCAATGTTCAGAGGCAAGAAGAGGATTAGCTGAATACATTGGGTTCTAATTTCTGTCTCCCTCACCCTGGCCACGTAGGCTCCACAGGTCCAGGCAAAGGCTGCAGATCCAAGCATAAGGCAGCTTCCTCCCTACATCTTTCCCCCTAGAAGCAGCCAGGCAAGACCTTGGCCTGCCTCTTCCTCCCAGGGAGGCTCCTAGGCCTCTGTGCCACGTAGGCAAGATAATCGGAATGTCTGGAATGGAACTAGTGCTCTAAGTGCCAAGCAAGGGAAGGGAGAACGGTTAAGCTTTTCCTTCAGGTCCCCAGGAGCCTGCAGCTGCCACACAGCAGGCCGGGAGCCCCCGCCACAACCCAGGGAGGAATGCTTGCCAAGAAGGCCTGCCCAGCTACTGACACTTCCTCCCAGAGGTCTTAAAGGAAATCCCAGTAAGGCCTGAGTACCCAAGACAGCCAGATCACCCGTGCCAGAGACTGGGCATTTGGGGATGGGCTGGGCTTTCATAGAAACCTTCGGAATTGCTTTCACTTAATTCTTTTATTTTAAAAAAAAGTTCTAGAAAATAAAGACACATCGATAGCAATTTGTATTTCCATTGTCCTCTTAGGTCTGCATGGCTACTGTGCGAGCTATGACACCCTGCAGCCTGCAATAGCTTCTTTGTTTTATGGATGAGCTCAATGGAACCCTTATGGACGCACCGGACCATGCCCAGGACCAGCGAGGCCCATCCATACCCCACCACTGGCTGGAAGGGCGCTGGTGTGAACGTGGGTCCTTGCGGGGGTCCCTACCTCACTGCGGTCAGGAGGGGGCAATTCACACATTTCCTCATGCAGGGGACCTTCAAGCCTCCCTCTGAGGCGCAGACTGAGTAAAAAGGGCCCAGAGATACTGTCCCGCACCCCCATCCAGTGGGAAAGGGCCACTCAAGGCCAGTCAGGACTCCCAACCCAAGTTTTATGCCTTATACTCCTATAACTTTACCATTTGCTCTTTTCGCGAGGCTGACCCCCTCCCTCTCCCCCCCCACCGCCTCCTCCAGAAACTGAAGAACTGCAACAAAGTGTCCAATTATACACGTCTTCAAAGGTACTTTACTTGCTTCCCAATTATCAACTTTTCACCTGAGTACTTAGTAAGGCCCAAGGATCCTGCAAAAGTGCAACAAGGAATAATTGACACAGAATTGGACGAATGACTTTGACCATACGGGACTTCTCTCTTAACGCTCAGCGTGGCTACCTGGGGACGCCTTCTCTGGCCTCCCTGATTCGTCAGATTTGTTCATTTCCTTGACTTAATCCCGCTGAAATCGACCCGAACTAGCCGGGAGTCTCACCCCCAAAGTGCTCCTCCAAGAACCCGCAACGACTGACTCTCTCGTCTTCTTTAAGGAGTTTCTCCCTCAGAACGGATGAGGATGTCACACAGAAAGAACAAAATCACAAAGTTCGAGTTCCGGAGGACCAGACGGCCCCTGCCCCCCATCCCCCGGGCCAGATTTAGCCGAGGGAACCGCACGTACCTGAAGCCGAGGCCGGCAGAGAGGGAGCGCCACGTCTCAGGTCTCGGCCGGCGCCCCCCTCCGGGGTGCAGCCACGTCTGAACCGGGACAGCGGGCGGGGGAGCCGCAGAGGGACCCAGTGAGACGGGGGAGGGAGCCCCCAAAAGTCAGCGCTCGGCCGCACTCGCACTGGGGAGGCTGGAATGGAACTCCTGGGGTGCAGCGGGGCTCCCAGGAGCGAAGGTGGGGGTCCTGTACCGGGAAGGGGCGGGGCCCGGGGAGGGGCTCGGGGAGGTCAGGCGCGGGTGGGGCGCTCGAGTTTCACCCCGGCGGGGAGGAGGAGGAGGAGGAGGCGGCGCGGCGGCGGGGGCGGGGCAGGGGCGGGGCGGGGCGGGGGTGGGCCCAGGCTGTCCCCCGCTCCCCGCCCAGCGCTCTCCGCCCCGCGCTCTCCGCGCCCGCTCGCCCCGCGCCGATCTACTTGCCGGGAAGGCGGCGCCGGTGGCGGCTGCTCTCCCTGAGCCCGCTCCCGAGCGCTGCTTTCCCGCCGCGGGTGGGCTTCGCAGCCTCAGGCCAGCCGCGGCCCTTGGCCCGCTGCAGCCCCGGCCCTCCACCTTCCCCGTGCAGGGGCGGCCCGGCCAGTGTCGCTCATCCCGGGACGCTCCCTTCTCCCACCCAGGACTGCCCCGCGGAGCTGGCTTGGACACCCAACTTTGCCACCTCGAGGGTCGTCTCTGCTGGGCGCGAACCTGCCCACCCACCGGTTGGCCGCGCGCTCGGGGACCGTGCTCGTGGCCCCCAAGCCGGTGCCCCCATTCTGGAACTCAGCGAGTAGGGGGCGGCTCTGGGGAAGTGGCAGGGGGCGGCTGCAGCTGCTGCCTCCACTTCCCTAGCCAGGTGCTGAAGAGGATCCTCGGAGCCGCTCTGGCCCCCAGGCGCTGGATGACTGGCACCAGCGCTCCTCGCACCTGGTGAGCGACCCCCGCCCGATTCCTGCGTGGCCTTGGCAGGAGCCCCTGACCGCGCCGCGCCGCGCCGCGCCGCTGGCCGGGACCCGGGGACTGCAGCGGTCGGCTGGTGGGTGGTGCCGATCTCGGGTGGGATCCATCAGCAGGCACCTGGGCGGGGGTTGCGCGTACAGGATTAGGACGACCGTCAGTCCGGGGGCGCCCACAGTTGAGCTAGTGCACGGGCTGGAAGTTTGTGTACCCGCCTGTGCCGAGGTCTGAGCATGGAGAGGTAAGGAGCCGGAGTGTCGCGGTGGGCGAGACGGGACCCCTGCCCAACACCCGGAAAGGTGCGCACACTGGTCTGTGCCCGCCCCCGGCGCGCCTCCAGGCTCGCACTGCCGCGAGCCGGGGGCAGGGGACACGGAGGTCGGGACTTGGCGGTTCGGGAGCGGCCACCTCGCAGCCCCACCGGCTTGGGCAGGTTTTCCTGCTTTCCTTACAGGGGAACCGGGAGGCAATGGGACTTGGGCTCAACTCCGCCAAGCGCCTTGGTTAATGAAAGACACTAAGGCGGGGGATGCAGAGGCCTGGGGAACCACCAGCCAGGTGCGCTGCAGCTAGGCGAGCCCCTTTCACCAGGCATCCCTCCGCTGCTCCACGGATTTTGCACACCGCGGCTCAGGGTTTCAGACCCCAGGGTTTCGGGCAGATCGGGCTCCAGAGGGAATGGTTTCTCCCAAGATGTGCGTGGGAACGGTCGTGGAGGAGTGATTCCCCCGGCTCGCTCCCCGCGGCGGCCGGTGCCTGGCTTGGAGCGGTCACATCCCTGTTCCCCTGGCTTTGGCGGGAAGCGCGTTCACCTCCTCGCCCTTTGCTTGCTTTGTACCAGGATGCCGCGGCCGGAGTTGGGATTTAACTTTCCTGCGCCTGCGGCGTCCTCGGGATTCCCGGCAGGGGGCGCTGCGAGCGAGCGCTCGGAGGACGAGGCGCCACAGGCAGTTGCTGGGTCCTGGGCGAGTGGGCGGGAGTCCCAGGCAACAAACAGCAGAACCAGGCAGATCTTGCAATAATTTCATTTTGGGGGCCGGGGGTTGGGGGAGCTGATCTGGTGGCTATAGAGAGCTGTCAGCCTTGCTAGGAGAGGGGACAGGAAAGGTGGTGGCCAGACATAAATGCTCTAACTAGAAAGGTCTCTTCCAGAGAAAAAGATCGCTGTAAAGTCTTCCTTGTCTGGGCATCTGCCTTCCTTGTGACTGTTACATTTACTCAGAAAGAAATCGAAATTGAGGGAAGATAACGTGAGCTTTGTTTAATACCGTTCTGCTTTTTAGGGGTACTTTAGTTAACACATCAGGAGTCACAAATGATTGTTCTGGTTTGTTTTGAAGAAAGACAAGTTTTACGTCTAGCTTACCGAGAAGAGCTCTGTCATAATGGCTGAGTTTGGAATCAGCAGATATGTTATTAATTATAGAGGTAGTCTGTTCATAAGGAGACAGAAACACAAAACCAGGCTTTAATAAGAAAGATTTTTCAATACCTAATTAGGATTGCTGAATTTGTTGCTAATTAATGCCAGTTTCATTATTTTAGAGAGTGTAATGTTTATCATGACCACTTTACACAACTTCAGTTCAAGCAGATAATACCATTAAGTTATGTATAACTGAAATAATTTTCTTGTCTGTGCCTGTATTTACACCAAAAGAAACATGGATTTTTTTTTCCCCTCCAAAAGATTTCTTTTTCTATGTTTTTTTTTTTTTTTCATGAAAAATACAGCCCTAAGTGTAATTGTTTGGTTCACTTGAAACACAGATGTTTTTTCCCTTGAGTTTCTTTCTTGTAAAAACTTTGGAGATAGAAGCTTGCTCATCCACGTTGCTCCATGCAGTCACACTAAGCATCTGTATACTCATTGAAGTGTGGGGTTGACAAACTGACATCTATTTCTATGTGCTTTTAGCCAATATGTACTTTTATTAACAGGGAGAAGACAGATGATGCTAATCATTTTATGTCTTTTGTGAATTGCACTAACTCATTTGGTTGTTATAATGTCAAACAGCTGCGAGATCCCTGCTGCGAGTAAAGCTTTGGCCTCCTGGGTGGTAAAGCTTGTCTCTGTCCAGAGGAAATTTTTGAGACGTTCAGAATTTGGTAAAAATAAACCTGCGTTCTTCACTGCCGTTTCCCTTTAAAATGATTTCATCACGTGTCTTGGGAGAATGAAACGTAGAAACTTACAGCTCAGAGGCTGTTAAAACTTATTGACCACGAGACCGAAATAAATACAAGCACATTTATACAAACTTCTGCATAAATTTTAGAGTCATGGGCCTTCTGAAGCCCCGTCCATGGATTTGCAGTAAGAAATTTAGTTCCAGAGTCATGTTAGCCTCTTGCTGAAGGACAAATGTTACAACCAACAAGCCTTTCTCTGTACCGTGTGCTAGTGGCCCAAAATAACAGATGCCAGCTCTTTGGGGACAATGTCAGATGCTCCTGATGTTAGAGAGAGCTGCCTATCTGAATCGTGACACAGTTTTACTTAACTTGGTGATTAGTTTTAAGAGTTTCAAGTGATTTTATTTTTGGTCATAAAGTCATTGAAATTGAGCCTTTGCTTTTGATACAGGAAGATGTGGAGGAGGAGCAGAAAACCTTTACTAAATGTCCAGCCAAGAGTATAAAGGCATTGCATTATGTAGACAAGTGATCATGAACCCTAGAGTTAACTAATATCAAAAACTCATCCCAAGGAAGAGGTTTGAGCTACAAAGCAGATGGTGTGCAAGATAGAACAAATGAGTTTATAACATATCCCAGTCAAGGAATCCATTTTTATAGTAGTATATGTACAACTATTTGAGTACAGCAGCCGTACATCCTGCAATAAATCCTCCATAATTCTTGATTCTAAAATTATACCAATTTTGTATTTAAAAATGTTTCTGCAATTGTTGCTATAGTTACCCAGACAAATTGCTTGGGGTATAATTATACCAAGGTGACAAGTTTTTATGTGTTAAATAATGTTTAAAATGTAAATTATGGTGTCTAACAAATTGAGTTACAACTAAGTACAAAGTGTCTAAAGTGAAGCATTGTACATTTCTGCTCACCTGCATCTACTTGCAAATTTATACCAAGAAAGTTAACTGTTTTCTTGAATCATAAAATGAGCGTCTATAAGTACTTTCAGTTGTCTTGAGTACAGTTGACAACATAGATAATTTCACATATGTTCTCAGCAACCTTTTAAAATTGAGATGCAGAAGTTTGGTTGAAAATTAGGTTTTTATCACTCTGCTACCCTGCAGAAATGATAGGGGGCAATCTCCTGTTTCCAATTCCTGTATAGATTGGGAGCAACTTGGGGATAAATTCAGCAGGTGAGATGTGGCTGCTGGGAAGCACTTTGGAGAAACAGATATGGGTACGCTTGGTAAATATATAGCATATTTTTCAGATGAATTTTTTAAGAATTGGTTATCCAGATATACAAAATCAATTTCTGATAGGGAGAAAAGAAGAAAAAGCAAAATTAAAGTAAGCTAGAATATACATAAACTTTTCAATATAAATGAACCTGCTCAAAACTTGCTTCGATTCAAAATTGAAGCAAAATAGAACAAAACAAATGAAAACTTGACCCAAGAGAAGGTATTGGATAATAGGTAATTTATTTCAACATACTAGTATTGACAGTCTTTGCCATCTAAAAGGTTGTATAGCTAAGGAAACCAGGCTGTCCATTTCACAGAGTATTTTGAAGCCAGGCAACTTCAAAGACAAGTCATATTTCACCTTGTGCATGAAATTTAAAGTAGGAGTGACACAACAGTGGATCAAGAAAACAGAAAAATTTCCCAAAGGAATTGCTGTTGTCATCTTCTTTCTTCTTTTTTGGTCCAAGATTAATGGTTGTTTGACAAGAGCAAAGACAAGCACACTTTATTTCCCTTTCCTACATTTTAAAATGTAGTGACATAGTATTGCTGCATTTGGAAAAAAGAAAATCATTCTGTTTTTAAACTCTTTTTTTCCTTATTGGTTTCCTAGAATTGGTTTCCTGATTAACACTTGGGGAAAAAAAACTATTTTAAAAGAGAATAATTTTTTTAGAGGATGAAATTCTTTTATTATTGAAAGGTCATGAGCCCACTAATCTTTTATCTTCCCATCTTTCACTCATTATTTGTCACTGTATTTCTGTAGAATTGGCTAAACTAGGGTTCATGTAGAATAATGAGGAAGTATACACTGGAAAAATGTTATTTTATGTTACATTTTTATGTACAATTGAGAGTAAATTACACTACTGCAATAGGTAATTCAATTACAGATATGTATGATAAATAACCAGTAGAGTGATTCTATCAGAAGCCAACTCTGTGGGTGAAATAATACTATATTTGTTGAGACGTGAAATTAAGTAAGTTATAGGCGAGTGACAATCAGGATAACACAAGGACAAATCGTTCACAGAAAATCGAGCCTCTTTCAATCAGTTCAAATCCACCCAATGTTTGGCAAGGATGTATGATGTACTCATGGAAAGAAAAACAGAGTCAAGGAAAGCAACTAAGAAAAAATTTGCTAAGCAGTTTCCTGTGATCTGTCTGCAAAATCATAAAACCGAAACTTCTATTCTCCTGAATCACAGCAGAGATGGCATTCCTCACAAAGTGACTTCAAATAAAATTCCACACAAAGAGCTTTTCTTTCTGTAAAAACAAAACAAAACAAAACCGGAGATGTGACACGTCTTGCAGAGGGCCCCCAAAGCTGTTCTGAGCCAGCTACCAAGGCAGCTGACTCCTGCCAGTGCCCCCAAACCTGCTGTGGAAAGAGAACGCTTCGGAGGCCAGGGACATTTATGGTTGGGCATCCTGTAAACAAATGGATTTTAGAATCACAACTGGCTTCCGTGACTCCTTTTACAGGACTGAGATTTAGGTTTGTTGTAAAACTACTGATTTTCTTTTCTTTTTTTCTTATTTTTGAGACAGAGTCTTGCTCTGTCACCCTGGCTGGGGTGCAGTGGCGCGATCTTGGCTCACTGCAACCTCTGCCTCCTAGGTTTAAGCAATTCTTATGCCTCATCCTCCTGAGCAGCTGGGACTACAGGTGTCCGCCACATGCCCAGCTAATTTTTTTTTTTTTTTGAATTTTTAGTAGAGACGGGGTTTCACCATGTTAGCCTGGATGGTCTCGATCTCCTGACCTCGTGATCCACCCGCCTCGGCCTCCCAAAGTGCTGGGATTACAGGCGTGAGCCACCGCGCCCGGCCTTCTCTCCATATCATTTTGCAGAACTCCACGCACTGCCTTTATTTCTTAAAGTCTTTCACTGATACAGAATGTCAGCTTAGGAGACCAATGAGACTGTTTTGTTCGCAGCTGTGTTGCCCACGCTGCCTAGAACAGTGCCTGGCACGCAGGAGGCTCTCGGGCCATCTTGGGTAAGTGACCGAATCAAAAAATGCCCTTAGAGACTATGTATATAGTATAGACTGCAATAGAGTATACTGAGAGAAAGGACTAAGGCTTAAGCAAGACTTTTGGGGGCTAACCATGGACTCTAAAACTACTTATATTCTTTATTTAGAGAAAAATGTTCCAAATGCCTCCAAACTGATTTTTTAGCACAGTCTTAAAATACAAATGTCTTTGTAAACTGGCAGGTGGAGGGTTGGGAGAGGGACTGCATATTTCCTAGTTCCTAATACACAACAATTTGCACAGTAAGTCAGTGCTTGTTAAATGAATTGACGACCTTGCATGACTTGGAGATTAGCATAAATATAATTTCTGTGTACAGATTGAATATTCCTAATCAAAAAATCCCAATTCCACAATGCTTCAAAATCTGAAACTTTCTGAGCACCGACATGACCCTAAAAATGCTAATATATATAATACAAATATTCCAAAATCTGAGAAAATCCCAAATCTGAAATACTTCTGGTCCCAAGCATTTTGGGTAAGGGATACTTAATCTGTATTAAAACACAGAAAAATTGAAATTCAGGGATGTTCTCATTTAAAACAGCACCCTCTCCTCCAAGCACACAAATTCCAGGGAACATATTGTGTCTTTATTACATATGTTTACACATTACAGAGATTTTAGACATCCTAGAATATTTTAAAAATATGGCAGGCTTTTTCTTATATTTCCAAGATCAGACTAATAAGCCTAGTCATGTAGTTGGATTTATAGATTTAATAAGTTGAAACAGAAGAATAGGTAAACAAAATGTGGCCTATCCCTACAATGGGCTACTATTCAGCAATAAAACAAATGAACTCTTGATATATGCTGCAATATGTATGAACCTCAAAACCTTGTGCCAAGTGAAGGAAGCCAGTCACTGAAGACCACACACCATGTATTTCCATTTATAGAGATGCCCAGAAAAGGCAAACCCATAAAGATGGCAGGCAGGTGAGTGGTTGCCTCGGGCTAGCAGTGGGAACTGGACATGACTGCAGATGGGCAGCCTAGGCCTTTTGGGGGTGATGGAAATGGTAAGAAACTGAATTGTGGAGATTGTCATACAACTCTGTACATGTACTAAAAATCATTAAATTGTACACTTACAAAGAGTACATTTTATGGCATGTAACATATACCTCAATAAAACTTTTTTAAAAAGAAAATTCTGGACATCATCTCTAAAATTAGAGTAAATTAAACAGCCAGTGGCCTAAATACGAGTCCTGCTGCGTCTACTGGGAAATGTTTTCTGTGTTTACATTACTTGTACAAAGCTTAGCGCCAGGGCCAGTGGGTGCTAGGATGAGCACATTTCTTTGATACTGAAACACTTTCTTCCTGGGAAGTCTATCTGAGCTGTGATCTCTGTTATGAAAACAAGCAAACTTAGGTTGTTTCCGGATGCGACAACATAACCAGATTAAATCAGTTAAACTCATCAGCCAGCCTCGCCGCTGAATGTTGGGTACACCCCAATTCCCAGTCATTGCTTAGAGTATGCTTCTCTGCCAATTTTATTGTTTTATGGGCATAGCTCAGGGGGAACATCTTTGACAACACAGAATCTTGTGGTCTCATTAGAGCTGCAGAGTCTGGAACTCCTAGCATCATTCTGCTCAACAAATGAGGTTGCTGTCCTTTGATGGGGGAGAAGTTCATGATGCCTGCTTCTGTGTCCTTGTACACTTTCTTAGCAAGGCCTTCGCTTCAGCTGGAGTGGCAGGTAACTTCTAACAGCCAGACCCAGTGGCAGAATGCAGAGTTTTAAATGCCCAGAGCCTGAGTATTTAAAGGGGAGTGTTTCCCACCCCGCGCACCTCCCCCCGCCCCGCTCTTAGAGAAGAATCAAAGAATTGCTTCTAGCTCTTTCCATTCTGCTTTGGCACATTTTGCAGTTAAAATGTAATGCTGAATATAGGTTTTGGGTAGAGATACATACGAATTGCCTCTCATTTCCTTGCTCTTCCACTGTTTTCTCTGGGTAGAAGTGAGTGTCTTTAGCTCTCCCACCTTGTTTACTGCACCTTCCATCTGTTTAGTGTATTAAAATCCTCTCTGCCTCCTGCCACAGGCTTCCTCAGCTCTCTTGTGGGCACCTTGCTTTCCTCACACCAGTTGGTTTCCACATAGTGGCTTTCCATGGGAGTGTTTACTTTGGCACAGGTGGTCCATGGTCCAGATACACTCAGCATGGCTTTGGGGATGTGGTCCAGGCTAGCTGGCCTTTAGCACTCATATGCATTTCTCCACTGGTAATAGAGTATTTTTTTATCCAGCCCTGTGATGCTTCAGGCAAGCATTTTCATAGTGCCTAATTTCTTCAGTATTTCTAGTTACTTGTTCACAAAAATGGAGATCAACAGCGTTTTAAGTCCTAGTGCAATAGCTTTATTGACCTTTTGCCAGGGTCATTTCTGACCAGCTCACTTTGAACTTGCCTCTTTCCAAACATGAAGCCTAGCTTACAAGCAAATTAAGAGTAACATTTACAGAACGACCATGTTTTTCTATTACCAATCCTAAATTATCACCCTTCATGAGTGGTAAGGAGTTATTTATGAGGATACACTAATATTTCCTTCTGCTGATTAGATGGCAGTGGGGTGGGTGACATTTTTATCTTTCATACCACTTTTGATGGTTTCAGTTAGTCAATAAAATACTGTTTAGGTAGGTACTTTTTGTGGTTTGGTTTTCTTTCATTTTCAACAAGCTAATGTTCTCTAGATTTCAAGGATAACTAATTAGCCATTCAGTTAAACAGACTGGCTGGTTACAAGATTGGAAAAATGTCTGTGTTACCAGGGCAGGTATTTAGTTTTGAAACAGAAGGATTAAGAAAGCAAGGTAATTTTCCCTTATTTTAAAATCTCCTTTAATCATAGATTTGTATTGGTTCCGGTAGCTTCAGTTGATCATAATTAAAGCAGCTCATAGTGTTATGTATAGAATTATGTGAAGGCATTGTCCTAAGTGGATAAAATGTATTAGACCATTTTTTTTAATGATTTCTACTTTTTCTAACCATTTTCTTTTTTGAAAAGCATCCAAATGTTAGCCTCTAATATTGATTTTGGACACTCTAAGATGTATGGGATTTTAACCTTATTCTGACAGGTTAGAAGCTAGGGAAGGGCCTCGAATGTTCACTTCACAGCCTGGCAGGGTGCCCATGTCCAATGCCTTGTGTCTGCGGCACCTCCTGTCCTCCTGTCACTGTTCTGAAGTTTAAAATCAGAATATCTTTGCCAGTGTCAGTGAAGAGAAACTTCATTGAAGCTTGAGCCTAGGAGTTAAAGATAGACATTTTATTTAAGTTTAATATTTCCAGGCTGTAAATAGAAAAGAAAAATGGTGTTTTACAGAGCAGGGGTCCATTGTCCAGATATTATTGAGCCTTTGCCCAGGACAGGGTGTCTGGGTGATCTAAACTGGAAAGGGAAATCCTAGACTGCAGTTTCCTGTCTTTTTTTTTTTTTCTTTTTTGAGACGGAGTCTTGTTCTGTTCTCCAGGCTGGAGTGCAGTGGTGCGATCTCGGCTCACTGTAACCTCTGCCTCCCGGGTTCAAGTGATTCTCCTGCCTCAGCCTCCCAAGTAGCTGGGAATACAAGCATGCACCATCATGCCCAGCTAATTTTTGTATTTTTAGTAGAGACAGGGTTTCACCATGTTGGTCAGGCTGGTCTCGAACTCCTGAGCTGAAGTGATCCACCCACCTTGGCCTCCCGAAATGCTGGGATTATAGGCATCAGCCACTGTGCCTGGCCTCCTGTCTTTTTGCATAGGGCTGCTCTTCAGATACCCTTTAGTGACTTTTCCCCCATCTATCAGAGGAATTTTCCTTTTCCCCCTCCTTATGATTGTCGTCCTCTGGTTAATTTCTCTGCTAAACCAAAATAATTTTAATTATTATGCTCTTTGTTCACCAGAAAGTTTTGAGCCAAACCGTCCTCCCCCAAACCCATGTAAAAGTGGGTGCACCAAGTTTTGTGCTCTGTGTCTGATATTATCAGGTGTCTGTAAGCATCTGGCCACTTTGCTGTGGGATTCAAGCTGCTGCTGCTATGACAGGAGCAGGAGCACGTGTCCTTTTTCTCCTAGTCTTGTTCCTGGGTGGTTTCATGTTGGCGCCTATAGACAGGACCACATCTAAGTCAGTTCTGAGTATGACAGGCACGTATGGCTATTCAGTTACATCCCGACGTCTGCATCACACTGGACGGTGCTCTTGAGCTTGGGAAGATCCAGCATCTGCCCGTGGGGTAACTCTCTCCTGGCTTGCCGCAGGGCAGTAGAGATTCCCTCCCTTCTTCATTCCTGGTTCCTGGTGGGAAAAATCTGGAGTTTCCAGGCTATGCTTCTTAAAGGCCCCCCTCTTTTCCATCTTTGAATCACTCTCACTTCCTTCGCCTCCTTACTCCTCAAAGGTGGTGCTGAGCAAGTGGGAAGACCTGAACCCAACCCAGGTGGTTGAGTTGAAAGTATTCCCACTCTGCCGATCCACTCCTCCCTGCATTTTTTTTTTAAACAACACATACTTTAAACTAGTATTTTTTTCTAAAGCTTTCTTCACCTAAGAATGTCACACTGAATGTCAATTGTGTAGCGGTCGTGGGTGGGTTGGGAGAGTGGAGGTGAGAGTTGGGAAGGAGGGGCCCCATATAGAGAGAGCATCTCAGCGTGTCCAGGCAGCCCATCTTGGCTGTTGCAGCTTTCCACGCTGACTCCGAAAGTCAGGCCTGGAGCCAAATTTACTTTCCGTCTGCCAGCAGTGATGGAATTCCTAGGTTCTATCACCAGCTTGCGAAAAGAAATCATTCAGGAAACTGCAAGCTGGCAAGTAAGAATCGCAAAGATTCATTCACTTGAAAGCTTACGCCTGCGAATGTTACTTAACTTTGAACAGTTTTTCCAGGCCCACCTGCGGAGTTTCCAGCTCCCTGAGGTTTGTCTTGCTGCATAGGAAAGCCCTTAAGGATTCACAGCGAGGATCTTCAGGATGAAGCTGGGAGGTGGGAAGAGCAGAAGGGCTTTCCCGGGGCTCACACCTCATTCAGCCCTGACCCGACTTTGCAGTCAGGTCGCTCTCTACAACTTCAAGGAGTCAATGTAGGTGCTTGGACTTTAGGTCCTGAAGTCTTACACAAGTCAGGACAAGAGTCAGGCTTCACTGTGGTTATGTGCCCTGTCCATTGAAATCCTGAAAGGCATTTTTAAAGAGAGTATCTATTGAGGAATTGTCTATTGAGGTAGGCTGAAGGAAATCAATGTTTTGAACTTGGACTATGGCTAGAGGAGAAGACTGACTTGCCCAATGTAAACCCCAAATAAAATTCTAAACAACCCCCGCCCCATGCTGCCCGTGCCACTGCCACTGCTGTGCCTGTGGAGTAGCCATTCTTTTATTTCTTTGCTTTTAATAAACTTGCTTTCACTTTATGGACTCGCCTTGAATTCTTTCTTGCACGAGGTGCAAGAACTCTCTCTTGGGGTCTGGATCGGGACCGCTTTCTGGTACCATGATGTTCCATGGGGATGCAACACTGGCTGGCTTGCCCCTCAGAGTGGGCTCCATCATGGCCCTTAATAAGTCCTGGCTACAAGATCACACCCAATGATCTGTAATCAAGAGTCCTTTTAATTAGTGGTGGTAACACATGGACTTTAGTGCAGTTTTGGATTTGTTGCTAAGTGTTTTTCAATGAGCTTTTAATTTGTTGTTGTTTAATTAAAAGTGTATGTTCTCTGCAGAACAGGCTTTTGGGCCCACACTTCCTGCCTTGAGGTTTTTGGAGCTGGCCCTAAGTGGGGAGAATAAGCATCTTGACTGGGGGTGTGGCAGCGTCATCATTAAGAGTCGGGGGACAAAGGGCGCAATTAGTGAATTGCTCATAGTGGGGCCTCATGTGGGAGGCCCTCAGGGCCCAGTGGCCTTTGTGGATTCTTTAATTGCACTTTTAAGTGAGACAGAGTTGGCTACTGGGTTTAATTAAGCCTTCAGGGCTAAACCTATGAACACTAATCAAAAGCAGGTTAGGGAAAGCTGCTTTCTTGAAAGTTTATAGGGTCACTCGCTTTTATCTTTGTTCCTCTTCAGGTGAGTGCTGGTGTATCTTTTTCAACACAGCTTTTGGGGTTGACTTTGACTTCTGCTGGTTTGCGGTTTTGCTTGATAATTGCAGTGGCCCAAATATGTTGCAGTTTATGTCAGATGTTTTAAAAACCCATGAGGAAGGGGGCCACGGGTTCCAGCTCACTCGATCTTTTGTGTCTTTCCTATGTGTGGGAAGAAAAAGTTTTTGTAGATATATTTATAGAAAAGAATTTGGCCTTAGACTTCTCAGAATTGGTAGAAAGCTAAAGGAATTTGTATAAAGACATAATTAGAGGCACATAGGAAACTTGTAAAGTCTGCATGTTTGAAATGCTTTGCTTCTCTGAGCCATTGGGAGTTTATTAGCTGTTTCCTTTTCCCACATTAACTTTCACATGATTAATTGGATTCACTTAATTAAATGCTCTATATTTAAGTAGAGTGGAGGCACAGGGAGTATTCTGAAAATAGTATCAATTGTTTCATACTGAATATTTTAGATGAATATTTTATACCTAAAATATACAATATGGTCTGTTCATACTTGGAGAAAAGACATTAAATTCTATATTTACAATCTTTTACTATGTATGTAACCTTTTACACTAAAGTGAAAGGTCTATTTTAAAAATCTTATGGACAAACTCGAAAATTCCGTATCATGAAATTTGACTCCTTTCCTGCATTCCAGAGGAGCAAGCCAATGTTGTAACTAGGAGCATGTCTCTGTTGATGCCACAGTAAGTTGAAATGTTCAGAGGGGTAGCTGGGCTATTTTTAACAAGTTCAAATGTATCCTGTGGTGGAATATTTCCAATGATCCAAAATTAGTGATGGTATCTTGGACACCACAGTATCATGGGCTCAGACGAATTGGCGTGTTCAACATCTTTCAATTGTCAACCTAAATCTAACACTAGGATTGATGGCTTTGGTCAAAGGATGCTTCATTCTTTGGAGAAAACAAAAGAATAACCTCTATTTGTAAGCATGGGGGTTGGAGGCTTTGGAATTAGGTGCTTGACAAAGTGAACACTGCATGAAATTGGGAGCAGTTGCAGGCTATTAGAAGATGACAGTCTTTTGGTGGTAAGGACCATTAATACCTACCAAGGACATGTTTATTGTATTGGCAGGGAGCATAAAGGAGAACAGCTGAGATTTTTCCCCTCACTCTTCTCTTTGGTTTACATGAAAAAAGTGTCAAAGGAGAAGCCTGGTGGAGAAAGGGCTTGGCTATCATGGCAACCTTTATCTGTGGAAAATAAAAGGAAGATACAGTTGCCCTCTGTGAAAAGATCTGTGATAACACTCGTCCCCAATCATCGGAGAGACAAATGACCATTTCTCTTTGAAAGAATTATATTTACATTTCCCCATGTCTAGAGAAATGCCTTCTTATTAAATACACATGCAGGTCGGGCACAGTGGCTCATGCCTGTAATCCCAGCACTTTGGGAGGCCGAGGTGGGTGGACCACCTGAGGTCAGGAGTTCGAGACCAGGCTGGCCAACATGGCAAAACCCCGTCTCTACTAAAAATACAAAAAAAAAAAAAAAAAAAGAAAAAAATTAACTGGGCATGGTGGCAGGCACCTGTAATCCCAGCTACTTGGGAGGCTGAGGCAGGAGAAATGCTTGAACCCAGGAAGCGGAGGTTGCAGTGAGCCGAGATCACACCATTGTACTCCAGCCTGGGCGATAGAGCGAGACTCTGTCTCAAAAAAAAAAAAAAGTTCATTGATTACTGTTTTTCCCCAAGGTTTTTTGTTCACCTGTAAAGTAATATGTAGTTGATAAGAGGATGGGGGGGATATTTAAGATCTTTATTCTGACAAACACTTTCTGTTGTCCTAAACTGATGTGGCAGATAGGATAGATTTGAGTCAAAGAAAGGGATATGGATTTGGTGAATTATTGTGCCTTATTCATTGAATATTGACTGCCTTCAGGTTGATAAAAACATTCCATAGATTTCTAGAACCTGGAAGACACAACTGAGGTTTTCCAATTTATCTCTTTGTCCACAGGTAGGTCTTTTTCTAAACTTCATAGAGAGATGGTCATCTATTATCTTCTTAGAGAGGGGCTTATGATGGGGTCCCATTATAACTTGGATCACTTGTTTGCTTTTAGTGTGTCTTGCTCCAGCAAAGATACTAGGGTAAATGGTAGTATTTGGTCTATGAAGCAGGATATTTACTAGAAACTTTCTCTGGGACAGACCCTAGGCTCTGCCCTGGGAAGACAGTGTGTAGAGGCTAGAGATGGTTTTTCCTCTCTCGGTATCTGTTTTCCAGTTGGGTGTCCCTTGTCCTGGCATGGATACCATTTTTTGCCAGCGTGCCTCAAGGACCTGAACCAATGTTGCAGGTTCAATTCAATCAAACCCTGAGGCTTTCCTAGGAACCTCAGGGCAGAATTGCAGTGACAGCAGGAGAGAGGAAGAGTGGGGTGTGGGACAGTGAATGACAGAAAGAGTCCTGTGTGTCTGCATGCCCTGAGGGAGCTTCCTCACTTGCTGGGGCTGAAGGAAGCTTCAAAGGTACATGCCCATCTGGCACAGATACACTGTTGGTACTTGCCCAGGGCTCTGAGAGGACCCTCCAGCTCAGGGTACACAGCCACATCTGTCAAACCACACAAAGCCAGGATATGGTGTCTGCAGATATAGTTCCCTACGAATGTAGGTGGCCTGAAGACCAGAAATGGTCTCAAGAGTGCCAAAGAAAAGATAGAACTATTTACAGTCTTCCTTTTCAGGATCATAGAGAAGTTTGGAGCTGGTCACCTCTCTAGGACCTTGTTCTGGGGGCTGTTTCTGGTCAGAGTGCTTGATGCAGAGACCTTGATATCTGATGTGCTCGAGGTCTCACAAGGACTCCCACGCAAGATGCTTCCTGGAGTTTTTTAGGGACAAAACCCACATTATTCATCTTCATTGCAAGATGACCTTTTCCAGTGTTGAAAACACTTTGCAGTCAGGATAAGGAAGAGGAGGCTGACCTTTCTGGGAATGGAAAAGCCTCAAGATGTGAAGAGGGTACTTGGAGCTAGAGCAGTCAGGTAATGAAGCTGCTTATAACTCACTTCTAAGGAGGCTTCCCTGCTGACTGGCGGCACATTCTCGCCTCTCTCCCTCCGATTTTGTAGCTCCTTAGCATAGGAGTTGGGGTTTCCTGGAAAGCTCCTTTTCCAGGTGATTCCATTGTGCAAGTCAAGATTCCTTGATTAGCCTCTGAGCTCTGGAGAAGGATCTCTCCTCGCTTCTACTGCCCACTATAGATGCATCCTGAGTGCAGCTGAGGTCTGAGTTGAGTGGTCAGAATACCAAAGACTATTTGCATTTCTCAAGATGTGGGCAAATGCAATTAATTAATCATTTCTCCTTACATAAGGGCTTGTGAACCAGAATAATTAACTTCTATTCTGTTTTCTTCCTTTTGTCCTTTTATGTAAACCTGAAAGAGAAGCACCTGGTTTGGGGATACATTTTGGCAAATAACTTTAAAATAAAAAAAAAGAACATTTTATTATTTATTTGGTCAGTGTGTTGGTTGAGACTGGAAGAGTTTATAAATTTGCATGTAGTTTCTTTTTGGATGTTTAATTTGGATAAATGTATTTATGCTGTAATTATCCATCAAATTCTGTGCAATCTCAAAAGACTACATATAAAAATGTGAATATCATACAAGATGGAAATCTCTGAACTCAGCTGTCATCACAAGCAACCATGTGTAAGCACATTTTTTTTTCTTTTTAACACATGATCTGTCCCTCCATGGTATAACTCAACACAGCAAACAGTTGCTGGCTTTGCTTGTGGAACGTATCTGTGGAAATGGTCGCATCTAACATGGCCAGAGGAGGCAGAGAGTCAGAGCGGCAAGAGTTATGCACAAATGTCCATCCTAACGCGGCCCGCACACCTCCCTGGGGCTTCCCAGCCTCTGCCTTGCCTTTGCCTGCTCTTCAGAGCCTGTGCTGGCTGCTGAGCCTTGTCGAACACCAGGTATTGAGGCTATTTCCACGTGACACCTTTCGGATCTGATGGTACTTGGGTTTCAGGGAACTATGCCTAGGGCTACAGGTCCAATGATACAAGGGAAGATGAAAGAAGGGAGGATCTGAGTCTTCTAAGACTGGAGAGAAAATGTGGTAATAGCTCAGGTTGCCAAAAAGGATTTTTATTCCACACTTCCTACCCCCACCCTCTTCTTGAGGAGCTTCACGTAGAATGAATGAACAATAGGAAGCTAAGTTCATATTTACTTTCATATACCCATGGATTTTATAAGGGTTTAAATACTAGGAGGAGTCCGGTATTTGAAAGCATGTTACTAGTTTATAATGTGAAGGAAAAAAAATTCTGGCCCCAGTTTAGTAGATGTCTTAATACTGTTGGCTGGCAGAGGCCTATAGGTCAATGTCTGAAATATTCCTGGAATATGAAGATTACATGTTTTATTTTATTTTAATTGAAATATATTAGTAGTAATTTCAGCTCTGTAGCTCAGCATGACATAAAGGCCACAGTCCCATACCCGGAAGCTACTGGGAGGAGCTGTGCAGCTGGTGGGTGTCCAGGCAGGGCAGGTCACGCTCTTGGCTTCCCACAGGGGCAGGCTGCCCACGAGGGCTGGCCAAGTAGGATCCTGACCTCTAGGAAAGGTGCCGAGAAGCCTGGCAGCTGGGGAGGAGGCTGTGGGGACTTCTGCTTCAGCCATGCAGGGCGGAAATGGTGAGAGGCAAAGCTGGCAGGTGCAGGTGGGTAGCCCTTTCACCAGAGGCTTGGCCACCATCCCTAGAGCACACGGCCACAGTTGGGTGGCAGTTCCTCAGACCTTGATGGAGCTGACAGCTGGTTGTGCTTTCAAAACTGGAAGGAGTGACTTGTGGTCATAACCAGAACCATCTGGATACAGTGCTACCATGGGTTCAGAATAGAAAAGGCAGCTCTTCTGCCTAGCTCTTTGGATTTCTTGTAAGTACAAAGTCCTACAAATAAAATCACCATGACCTAAGAACCAGCTATCCCTAAAGCCCTGCCTGGTCTCTGGAGCCAGGTTCTCCTGAAATCTAGAGACTCGTGGCTCCCAGGTGAAACTGTTCTACCTGGGAATGTGAGCAAACAATGTAGTTCTCTTATCTTTTTCCCTCTTCCCAAAATAAAATGCATTAAATAGGTAAACTCATTTGTTCTGGAGATCTATTGGTATACAGAAAATTTTCCCATAATTTAGTGACTTAAACCTGCAATTTGTTATTATGTTTCACAATTCCTTGGGTGGACTGGGCTCAGCTGAGTGGTTCTCCTTGGGCCTCATGCAGTAGCAGTCACCTGGTATCCTGCCACATGGCCTCTCTGTCCTTATGGGAAGGCATGGGCTTCGATACTGGAAGTGGACGTTTCTAGGCCCTTTAAAGGCTGTGCCAAGGACAGGCATAGGACCACTTCCACTGTATTCTACTGGTCAAAGCAGTCCTAGGGCTCAGATTCATGGGGTTGGAGAGAGTGCCCATGGACAGGCAAGTGGCAAAGCACACTGCAGAAGAATTTGTGGGTGGGGAGACTGTGCTGAGGCCATAATGGAAAATGCCATCTCCCACCCCATTTCTCATGTTTAGTGAATAGGAACCCAGAAAAATAAATGTGTAATCAGGGACCTGAACTTGTAGCCTGAAGCCAGGCTGCCCTAGGACTTCTTGGGGACCTTCGGTTGCTGATGGCTTGAGGGTTCGTTGCTAAAAAGACCATGGGAAGAAATTGCTATAGTGTAACTGAGGGCTGACACCATTTTCTTTAGAAAATTGGGATGAACTGTGTTCTAGGTCAGTCTCACTAAGTAGATATTCATATTTTGCAAGCTGAAGTCTTTGGTAGGCAGTGGGAACTTACCTAAGTTGATCATATTCTATTTCATTTCTATAAAGACAATGTTTGGAAACTGACACATGGACACATAAGGAAATGCTACGTGCAAATGTCATATTTACAAATTACAAAATAGGTGATTGTTTCATAAAAATAGATATTTTTATTCTATGAAGAAGATTAGTTGCAGGATGTCTTTAAATATCAAGATCTTCTAGGCCTTTTCACTGTAATTTTGAGGCAGTATAAAGGTAGTGGTTAGATGAGCAGATTTTGGATCCAGGTTGCAGGCTTTGAAGCTCAGTCCTGCCCCTTGGTAGCTGTGAGGACCTGAGGAACATGCTCAATCTCTCCATGCCCCACTTTGTCCAATTCTAAAATGATAGCAATAGTTCCTACCTCATAGGGGTTTTGCCAACATTAGAAATTGTTAATGCATGTAAATTGCCTGTTCCATAGTGAGCACTCCATAATGTTAGCAAGTATTACTTTGTGATGATTCAAGAAATAGAAATTCTTGTTACAAGCTGAAGTGTGGTTTAATGTCTTTGTTCACTTGAAAGCACTTTGCAAAATGCAGTTGAATCGCCACCTCTGTTTGGTCACCTGCACAGGAACACCCACACAGAGAGCGAGAAGGAAGATGAGAGGAAAAATTGGAATTTGCTAAAAATAAAACCAGGGCTTGGAATTGTTGCTTGACTTTGCATAAGAGCAAACATCTCTTGATGGTAGGAAAAAAGAAAGAGAAGTATGCTGGGCATCTTCTGCTTATCCTTCCAGATCCTCTGGAGCCTCCTCCAGGCTCTGGACTGCATTGAAGTCTTGCTAGCCCTCTGCTTCTGGTTGGCTTTTTCCCTTGGGGGCCATGGAGAAGATGAGAGGTAGAAGGGCTTGTGCTCTGAGGGGTCTCCTAGGTCTGGCTGCATCCTTCCACCCAAGGCCTCAGCACACTCGGGACCTGGTAAGTGCTCACTCCTCCCACTCTGTCAGGATTCAAGGTGATAGCTGAGCCCACTGTGACTAGCCCTGTCGCTGCACTATCCCTTGTGTTTCCCTGGCCTCCATCCACACTTTCCGTCTTACACTCCCCTTACCATACCCAGGTGGAGTTTGCCATACAACCCTTCTGAGACCCTGGGAAATGTCTGTCACCAAGATAATGACCATTAACATCAATTTTCAGTTGGTTTTGTGATTGCAAAGGGGAACAGCTTGAGAAGTTAAAAACTCCAGCATCTTTTACTGAGTATGTCAAGAGCTATGTAGATGCATTGTCTTATGAAGTCACTGACAGCCCAGTAGGGTGGGTAGCTTTCCCAGTTCTTGAGTTGTCACCTAAAGCCCACAGTGCTAAGGCAATTTCCAGCATCCTGACCCTCTGAGCATTGCCTGCAGGCCCTGTCTCACTGGCCACCAGCAAAATGTGAACTAGGGGACGTGAATGTACAGCTGAAGCCAAGCTGCTCCGGGGCTTCTCCGGACCTTCAGTTGCTGATGGCTCAAGGGCTCATAGCTAACAAGTTCATGAGAAGAAATTGCTGCAGTGTAACACCATTTCCTTTAAAAAATTGGGAGCAACTGTGTTCTAGGTCAGTCTCTCTAAGTAGATAATTCTTACTTTGCAAGCTGAAGTCTTTACCAGGCAGTGAACAGCTGGTTTACATAATTAAAGGTACCTGTGAATTAGTTTTGAAAAAATCAATGAACTGTATGACCCTGTGACAGCTCTTATATATGTGGTTTAAGATACATTTAATGTCAGGTTGATAAACATGCACATATCTATTTAGCTATTAATTTACTTACAACACATCCCACTTGGCTTTCTAGTTTAATGTTAAACTTAAATGTTTTTAATATGCTTTTGGATAATTGAAGTAAATGGAAAAGAGGAGAACTTTCCTCACTCAAGCAAATTCTTCTCTACCTTTCAATATTTATAAATCCCTGGGAAGCATTTGGTAGTAAGACTTTGCAGCTCGATGTACAATGCAAGCTTTATAGCAGGTTATGTTTTGGCTGTAATGTGTGGCCTATTAATGAAGCAGAAAAGGCTCCTTTTGATTACTTTTCTATTTGATAATAACCCCAAAGGGATTCCCAACTCTAGAACTCTCTATAAATCTTTAAAGTGTAATTACTGCAATCATTGGAGTAATTATCCTTTATCATACAACCCTAAAAAGGGCCACAGGAATAGATATTCTGAATAATATAGTTTTTGCTCTAGACTCAATTATTTCACATCTATCAGAAATTAATTTTCCTAATATAACTCTTCTATCATGCTGTTTACATATCCTTCTATTGATTCATGCGTAAAGAAAAAAAGATACAATTTCTCAGTCTGGTGTTCAAAGAATTTTGATCTCTGAAACCTTATCAAAGTTTTCTCATTCTAGTTCTACTTCATGTGAGGATTTTAGCAGGGACAGGACCTGGAACCAAATGGGGGCATTTTGAGGTGTCCCAGTGATTGAAGTTCTGGAGGCCAGAAGTCTGAAATCAAGGTGTTAGCAGATTGGTTGAAAAGGCTCCGAGAGACAAGTGCTCCTGGTATTTGGGGCCAAAGGCCAGTACAGCCATTATCATCCTCGCCATCCCCTGGGTCCTTGTCCCTTCTGTCCTTAGCTTGAACTGTTGCATTGAGAGCCTTTTTTCTTCATTAGAATTCAGCTTCTTTCTCAAGTCCCAGTTTATGTCTGGAGTCTCAGATGGACACACTAGTAAGGATTCCTTTTACATTGATCTTGGCTTCTTCTGAAATCCTGGTGCCTTTACTGTTGCTGCCAGTCATTTTAGGTTAAATCAGGGATCAGCAAAGTTTTCTTGTAAAAGGTGAAATAATAAGTATGTTGGGCTTCTAGGGTTATATGGTCTCTGTCATGACTACTCAGTTCTGCTGTTGTAGCGTGAAAACAACCATTGAGACTATGCAAACATATGACATGACTGTGTTCCAATGAAACTTTATTTACATAAAGAAGCAGTGGGCCAGATTTGGCTTATGGCCATAGTGTTCAACCTTTGGCCTAAACCATATGAAATAGCTATTTTTGTAGTTCAAGAAAGGTCAACTATTGGCAATTTCATATGATTCAAACAACAGGTTGTAAACTTTGTTGTAAATATTAGTATCCTCTGAAATCTCTTTTTTCCTCTCTCTCTTTTTTATTAGCTTGATTTTAGCCTGCCATGGTATCTAAGCCAAAGTGTCAAATTTTGGGCATTCAATAGATATATGGTTAGTATATGACTGTGAGGCAGGACCCTCACTCAAATCCCTTCATGGGAAGAAAACTAATAGTTCATTAAATATTTGTCAAGTCACCCAAAAAAAGTGTTTATGTATATATTTATTTTGCATTAATAATGGTTGAAAATTAGCTAAGGACTGATATTGTGACCAAGGGGACTTTCATCATTATTTTTGTGGTCATTGTTACCATCTGTATTTGCTTCTTAGGGCTACTATAACAAATCAGCACACACTCGGTGGCTTAAAGCAAGAGAAGTTATTCTCTTGAAGTTCTGGAGGCCAGAAGTCTGAAATCAAGTTGTTAGCAGATTGGTTCAAAGGGCTCCGAGAGACAGTATATTCCAGGTCTATCTTCAGCTTCCTGTAATTGCTGGCAGTTCATGGCATTTCTTGGCTTGTAGAAGCATCATTCCAGTGTGGAGTGTCTATGTCAGTAGTCACGTGGAGTGCTCCCTGTGTGTCTCTGCCTTCATGTGGCCGTTTTATGAAGACCCCAGTCATTGCATTAGGGCTCACTCTAATCCAGTATGATCTTGTATTAGTCCGTTCTCACATTGCTTTAAATAACTGCCTGAGACTGGGTAATTCATGAAGAAAAGATGTTTAGTTGACTCATAGTTCCGCATGGCTGGGGAGGCCTCAGGAAACTTACAGTCATGGCAGAAGGTGAAGGAGAAGCAAGCACTCTTTTCCACATAGAGGCAGGAGAGACAACTCAAAGGGAGAAGAACTATACTTTTCAACAACCAGATTTCGTGAGAACTCCATCACAACACTGCACTAGGGGGATGGTGCTAAACCATTAGAAACCACCCCATGATCCAATCACCTCCCACCAGGCCTCTCCTTCAACATGTGGGGATTATGATTTGACATGAGATTTGGGTGGGGACACAGAACCTAAAGCATATTAGACCTCATCTTAATTTAACTCTATTTGCAAAAGCTCTATAACATAGTGATAACATAACACTGAGGTTCTAAGTGGACGTGAACTTTTAGGGGACAGACACTAATTGACCCTGTACACCATCTGTAAGGGAGCGGAGCACAGAGGATGACCTGGAGGTGGCACCTTGTTGACAGAGTTGTTTTCTGCTCCTGAGGATCATCCCAACTTATTTGCACTGGACCTTGTCCAGAGAATTCAGTTTTTGCATGCTTTTAAGAACTTGCTGATTTTTGTATGCCTGTATGCCTCCTCCTCCAGACCAACTGTTGACAAAGAGAGTTCACCCAGGAGGGTGATTATTTTGCCATGATTGATGACTCACTGCTGAGACTCTGAGTCATGTCACCTTCCCTTTGTCCCTCGTTATAGATTTGTATGGCAATTGAGAGACACTTAGAATATGTTTAATTGTTTGGCTTTTTGAATTTTTGTAAACAATTTTACACAATATGGAGTGGTTGCAATTATAGCTAAGATATGAGACATCCTAGGAAGGATTTTCACTTTAAATGTTTACAATTCCTGCATTTTTATGGGATTCATGAACCTAAGTAAGATAATCACTTTAGATACTGAAACCACACCCTTCAAAGAGAGACCAGGAGCTTACATCTCTAACAGGGCTGTGATAGGATAAGGCTCTGGAAAAGGAGGCAACGATGCACACATTCCGCCATTGCCCGGGTGCTGTGTTCTGCTGGAATCCCATTGTTCTCTGCGGAGCTGAGTTTGGCAATTATTACAGTTCTCTTGTGTACGTTTCATTTGTTGATTTCATTTTCCTCTTGACTGGATGAGTTAATTCCCATTTTACATAAATAAGGAAAAGATTTCTTCAGCTGATATTAGGTTTTAAACACTCTTATTAGCTGTGTACATGAAACCACCTTTATTACTTACTACTTGCTTTATCTTGTTAAAAAAAGAGACCACAGAAACTCAAAATATGTATGTGCGTCATCATTTAGAGAAGTAAAAATGGCCCTAGAGAAACTGTTTAATAACATTATGAAGAGCTATGAGAAGGGAAGCCACGTCTATCTCAGTGCATAAAAGGCTGTGTGCATTCAATTTCAGTTGAAGACCAGTTCTCTCATGAACTGAAATGTTCCATGTCAACAGGAGATGCAGAATCATACTTGTCATTGGAGACCAAATTTGGTAAATTTCAAATTCCTTTAAATATTGTTAGTTCCATAGTTATGGTGGGCCTCAAATGTTTGGTTTAACTTTCCAGGTTAAAATCATTCATTTTGGAGGGCGTGGAGTTAAACACATACAGGAGAGTAAAGAGACATACTCTTTACCCCTCCTTTTTATTTATTTATTTTTTTTGAGATGGAGTTTTGCTCTTGTTGCCCAGGCTGGAGTGCAATGGCGCAATCTCGGCTCACCACAACCTCTGCCTCCTAAGCGATTCTCCTGCCTCAGCCTCCTGAGTAGCTGAGATTAGAGGCACGCAGCACCATGCCCAGCAAATGTTTGTATTTTTAGTAGAGACAGGGTTTCACCATGTTGGCCAGGCTGTTCTCGGACTCCTGACCTCAGGTGATCTGCCCATCTTAGCCTCCCAAAGTGCTGGGATTACAGGTGTGAGCCACCGTTCCCCTCCTACTTCTCCTCTTATTTGCAATTACGCCCTTTGTCTCTGCCTCATTTTCTCTGTCTCGTACGTGCAGGCTGACTGCTTCCAAGGTATGAGATTATTTATTACATTAGCCCGATCTTGCCTTTCTACATGGAAGTTGTCAACATCCTTTCTTGAGTCATGTGTGGGTGTCACCATGGTGTCAGGCTGTGGAGGTAACAGAGGAGGGAAGAAGAAAGGGCTGCTAAGTTCAATCCATGCAGGCGAAGGCTATGCGACGGGGAGGCTGTCTGAGACCCTGTTTTGGAACCCAGGACGGTCTTGGACCTCAGAAATCAGGTGGAGCCTCTCAGTGGCACCCTGGACCCCTAAAGAGAGGGAGGGAGGATCCTGAGGACAGGTGTGACAGGCAGCCTGAACTGAGCAGGTGCTGTCCTCTCTGCCCCTCCTCCCTGTAAGGTGTCTAGGTCACCTCCTTGGAGTCAGACCAGGCATGATTTGTGGGGTGAAGGGAGGCTCAGAACACGGCTGCAGGGAGCGCGTGCTTTATTAGGAAAGCTCTCTCTGAGGACTTGAGGCACTGCTGACAGGAAAGGAGGTTTTCCTTGTAGTGTGTGGCCCTGGAAGAAAGAGCTGGGACCAATAGGGAAAAACATAATCATTCAGAGTTTCAAATAAATGGAATGGCCAGCTGTGAGGGCTCCAGCAGATTTCATAAACCGCTCAGCAGGAATAGACCGAGCGGTGTTAAATCCTGACTCATTCACCTGTACAGTTGTTTCACATCCACCTTTTTTGTTTGTTGCAGTTTTTATTCTGGAATCATTATTTCTAGATAGAGAGCATTTGCATCTTTTTTTAACAAGATAAACTTTTAAAGACATTTCATTTTATTTTTATTATTTTTATTTTTTTAAGACAGTATCTCACTCTGTTGCCCAGGCTGGAATGCAGTGGCGTGATCTCCGCTCACTGCGGCCTCCACCTCCTGGGTTCAAGTGATTCTCCTACCTCAGCCTCCCGAGCAGCTGGGGTTGCAGGCGTGCGCCACCACGCCCGGCTAATTTTTTAAATTTTAGTAGAGATGGGGTTTCGCCATGTTGGCCAGGCTGGTCTCGAACTCCTGACCTCAAATGATCTGCCTGCCTCAGCCTCCCAAAGTGCTGGGATTACAGGTGTGAGCCACCAGGCCTAGCCTAAAAAATGTTCTAGAATAGTCTTAGATGCCCAGAAAAGTTGTAA
Organism: Homo sapiens; assembly: GCF_000001405.40. NCBI lineage: Eukaryota > Metazoa > Chordata > Mammalia > Primates > Hominidae > Homo > Homo sapiens. Next base: position 9,521,082 of record NC_000005.10, on the reverse strand, counting down.
AGTCAGTTTGGAGAGTTCCTATGCACTCTGTGCCCAGGTTCCCCTATTGCTAACGCCTTGCACTTGTGTGTACATTGGCCACAGCTAATGTGCGACACTGATGCATCATTACTCACTGAAGGCCACGCTCTATTCTGACTTCCTCACTTTTTCCCTCATGTCCATTGTCTGTGCCAGGATCCTGTGCAGGACCCTCCATTGCAGTTAGCTGCCTGTCTCCTTAGGCTTCTCTTGGCTGTGACAGTTTCTCAGACTTTCCTTGTTTTGGATGACCTTGATGGTTTTCAGGAGGACTGATCAGGTAGTTTGTCAAATGTCCTCAGTTTGGCTGTGTCTGAGGTTTTTCTCATGACTTGCCTGGAGCTAGGATTTTCTGGAGGGAAACAGAAATAAAGCGCCATCATCATGATATCAAGGATGAGTGCTATGGACAGGACTTACCAGTGATGCCACTGACTTTGATCTCCTGGCTGGGAGAGTATAAAATATGGAATAACAGACCAATCCCAGACCAATCCCTATCTTCAATAGGCCCAGATGCTGGTGAGCAGTGCCTGCTCTCCCACCTCCCTGCTCTGAGCTCCTGTCCTCCCCCTACCCACCCTCACCTTCTAAGCCCCTCTGACTCCGCCCCAGTGCCCTGTCCTTCAAGAGGCTCACGTTCCCCTCACTCCATTTCAGCGACTCCCTCCCTGCCCTATTCCCAGCACGCCATTCCTCTGTTCTCTTCTCCATCATCCTCCATAGGTTTACTCATGTATTTGGTGGTTTACCTCCTCCCGTGGAGTGTGGGTCCCACGAGGCAGAGCCTTTGCTTCCTTCACTGTATGTCCAGTCCTGACAACAGTGCCTGGCCTGGAGTAGGTGCTTAGGAAATGTTGGACTGATGAATGATTTGTAGGAGGAAAGGTCACAGCACTTGGAGAATGGTTCTGTACCTCTGAGGTTACAATTTGGGGGTGGGAATGGCTGCTGCTAGGCCAGGTGAGGGGCCTTCCTGAGGTGCCATGGCTGGAAACTATATCACTTGGCTCTCTTTGGCTTTTCCCATAAACTTGTATTTCGAGAATTGTGGGATTCAATGACACTCCATTTTTCACTTTGCTTTACACAGGTCTAAACTTTTGGTTATTGTATGTGTTGTGACAATGTTTCAGAAGCACATTGTCTAGGAGTATTAAAATGGTTTTCAATCAGAGAAATATGTCAGAGTTCATTGAAAACATACCACTACAGCAAAAGGAAAAAGGAAGGCTGATGAGGTAAGAGAAAGCACTGGACCGCGATCCAATTTACAGACTTGAAAGGGCAGGCTGGGTTGGTCTGAGCTGGGTCTCAGAGTGGTTTTGGCCCTTGCTGGTTTCAGCACTTAATTGTGTGGATTTCGTAATACTTCACAGTTACGGTTTTCTAGTTCTTGGCTTCAGCACATGCATGGTGATGGGAAACATATCTAAGGAATTTTTCCTTCTATTAAGACATGGAGGGCTCAGTGGCAAGCTGTAAAAGACTTTCTTCAGCATTAATTATGTGGTTAGAGAAAATAAATGAGCAAATTAGAGAATTAGCACCAAATTAAAACGAAGCTGGATTGGACACAGCAGCTAGTTCAGATTGTTTTTGCATTTTGGTGATAAAAAGATTTTTCTTGCTTGTCAACCCAGCATTGAACAATGAAAAGTTTAGGGACATACTTCGCTGTTGATGCCATCTGAAGAAAACAGTATTAAACTTAAGATTTTTTGTTTTTTAATTTGGTCAATCCATCAACAATGTGTTATGAGTGCCAACATTTAATTGGGAAAAAGGTTTTAGAATTCTTTTTCTAGGTTTTAGTTGAAAGTGGGATACTCACCTAAAAAAAAGTCACAACCAGGATGGCTCTGCAAATGATATTGGCATTTATTTCCACACTCCGTCAGTATACAATAACAGACTGATGCCTTAGCAGCTCCATGTTTTACAGAGAAAGGAAGAAAACTCACCACAAACACACAAAATGAGACAAAAACTCACATAAATATGCTGGGAAGAGTGGAGCTCAAAATTATATTTATGGCTTTATAATATGCCATAGTTATTAATTTAACCCTGATAGTGATAATTCAGGTAGCAGGTATCCCCAAATGAGTCTTTGCTTATCAAGCTTAAAAAAAAATTTTCTGCTCTTGCTTGGAGTGAAAAAAAAAATAGGTGAAAGATAAACATGTCATTCTGGGCTATAAAAGTATCACTGAGATTCATATTTTTAAGGAAGTTCTTTACTCTCTTCTGTTTTGAGTCAGCATCTCCTCTGTTTTTTAAAATAAAGTGGTCATTTTCTCCTTATGGGGTTCCATTAAGATCAAGCAGTGCACAAGCTCGTCTGAAAAGGAAGTAACATCTGATCTGAAAGTGGGGGAGGGATACAGGAACATCAAACAGATAAATGGGAGAACACACAGAGAAGTTGCTTATGGCAGTGGAATTGGATGGAAATTTCTGGGCAGTGAGTAGGTTGGCATAATTGGGTGAAGTTTTCCTGCTTTATTTTCTCTCCATAAATCATGTGTACATTTATTTCAACCTTTAAATAGGATATCCAGAGGACCAACTTAGTAAACAGATAATAGCTGGAAATTTTGAGATCATTCATTCAGCTTCCTTAGGTGTAAATTAAGTGTTTTAGACAAAATATGCATTTCTTAAATCTCTAACATTGGTGATAGGCCACCTACTGACCTTCCAAAGTTAATTTACTGCCAAAAGAATATGCCTTTTACCTGAGGAATTAGCTGGCTCAGCTAAGGGCCCATTTTATCATCAGGACACATAAAATTGTAGATTTAAATGGAGTCACAGCTAAATAACCGATTTGTAAAAACATAATTTAACAATTCTGTAGCAAATCAAACAATTTATGATGGTGCATGAGCAAAGCACTCACATTATGTCTTCTGCAGATCCAGCTCTTCTTGGGGAAGGTTTCGGTGGATTTTTTCATCGTTAATTTTTTTGTTTTTTGGTGGGTGAAATAGAGTTGTTCTGCTCTTTGTGAATTGCAAGTCATTTTCAACGTTTTTGTCTGGTTTCCATAGTTACTACTTACGCTTTTGGAAGAGAAAGCAAATGTTTCTTTTAATGTGATGAGGCAAATCGTTGCTTCTGTTGGCCTTTTTCACCTGTTGCTACCATAAACCGTGACCAGAAGGGAGAACAATCCTCTATGTTAGTTTTCTGTGTTTTTTCTTTCTAAGTCTAGAAATTGAGTCACTATGATTACAGGAAAGCAGACTGGAGAGGGTCGGCTCATTGGTAAGGCACAGCCCTTAGATGCTTTTGTGACATTATTTTCTTCATAACCAGCTAGGAAAATAATCTTTATAAACTTCATAGGTTTAGTGATGCACAAAAACTGATCATTTTGCAGATTAATTACATTAAAACCCTTCTCTTAGTCAAGGGATTCCAAATCATCACTAGCTTCATTAATTATAAAAATTAATTTCAGTCAATTATTTGAAAAAGTGAACTACAACAGGTAACTTCTTTGATCTTGTTTGCACTCCTGGTGTTTATTCCACTGATTCTCCAACCTAAAGGCACAGAGGACCTGGGGATTCTGTGGAGATGCAGAAGCTGGTCCAGGGGTTCTGAGGTGGAACCTGAGAGTCTGCATTTCTGTTTCCAGATAATACTGATGCCACAGGTCCTGGGACCCCACTTAGAGAAGTGAGTATTGATGCCACATGCACTTTCAGAGCAACTGCAATCCTTGGAGCCAATTCCCTTTTCCTTCTGCAAAGACATTTAGTGAACAGACCACATGAATTTAAACTTAATTTATGGTTCTTTAGAAAAAATGTGGCATTCCCCATAGGCTTCACAGAATTGGTTTCTCTGTTGGAGTTTTGGTAGTTCAGTAGTGGCCACAAGGTGGGCTTGCTCCCACCCACTCCGGACTGGACATGTTTTAGTTTGAAAAGAACAGATCGTACTTCCTTGACATGGATGTTCCAGTGTTAATGTCACTGAGAAGAAAGTAAACACTCAGGGATTGATATGATAGTCATGAAGTGCACTGTGTTCACATTGACAACCTTCTATACTTTTGAAGAAGCCCATGTGAGAATAACAGGATTTGGTAGAATGTAGAGATCCTTTTCAGCTCAGTGGTATTATTTTGCCACCATTGGGATAGGATGTAAATAATGGGTGTGTTCTTTAAGTAAGAATGACCATGGATCCCTGGTTCCTAAATGCCTCTCAGTGCTTCCCCTGTGTCCCAGAAGACGCTGCCCCCATGTGGCTCCAGGATGGCCCGTGGTCACTGCTTTTCTGATTCTCATTGGTCTTCCAGTTGCATGGGGAGGGGAGCCAGGCTTCTTGCACACAGATGCGGTTTGATACTCTTCCCTCTTCTGGGGTTCCAGGATGCTTTGATGAAGCAACGTCTTAGGAAATGGCTCTCTCCTTGTAAATGGTCAACCCCTTTCTCCACACAAACTGTCGTGTCTCTTCACACTGGTTCCCTGGGGTGGGATGACAAAGGATTCTCTTGTTCATACTAAAGTGAAGACAGTTTTCTACATTTTAAAATTTTGTCCAGTGGGCGTTATAACCTTCACAGCTGACTATACGGGTAGTTCACTGTGAGAGAGTGTAGAAATGGTAAATAAGAGAAATCTCTTTTTCTAGAGATTCTAAGTGCTGCTTCCAACGGTGCTATGAAATCCTTGCCATGTGTACGTTCCCTGTTCTCCATGTGATGGGCAAAACTCCTGCTCTTCATGGACAGCAGGTGTGTGTGTGGTGTGTGTGTATACGTGTGTATTTATGTGTTGCGTGGTGTTTGCGTATCTGTGTCTGTGTGTGGTGTATACGTGTGCAGAGGTATGTATGTCATGTGAGTGTGTCTGTGTATGTGTGTGTGCATGTCTGCACACCTCTGTAAAGGCAGGGTTCACATTGGACTCAGCAGTGCCTTGCACAGTGCTTTATATACCGTAGGTGTTCAGTAAATTTGTTCAGTTAAATTGAATTAAGCACATGGTACCTGGGCTATGTTTCGTTCAATAAAAAGAGATTGTTTTTGCACTGATTTCACAAATGTCGTAACTATATTCAGATATGAGAAAATGATTTAATAAGAGAAAAGTGTCCCTGTCCCACTTTCATTTATGAGGTGCTACGTGGGTGGCAGTTGATGGAGAAGTGAGATGTCCTATGGGTCTCCACCTTGACTAGGGAACACAGTTTGGTTCTTAGCATACTATTTTTTGGGAAGGTTAACAAATTAAAATCCCATGATTAAGTGAATTTCAGATTTTACACTGACATTAAGCTGTTTTCTTCTTCATCTTTTTCTTATCAGTTGCTCTTAAGGAGCTGGATCTGACATGTAGCAGCACCTTCCTGACAGCTGCTATTCCCGGGGACTATCAGGTTAGCTGCATTACCCTTTGGACTGGCCGGGGTGTGACAGAACATATCTGTCATTTGTTAGCAGCTGCAAGCTCTTCTGTTTGTGTCATTCTTATGGGGTCTAAAATTAATTGGGAACATTGCACGTTCTCCCAAGTTCTTTGCCAACTCCCCTATTGCCATAACCATATTACACATGCATTTTTCACACTTATTTCAAGGTTCTCAATGAAAATTTCTTAACGTCAAATTAAGCTGCCCTATGTTAACTTTTAAAGGCATTTTTAAGTTTCCGTTGCATGACGAACTAGAGATGGTCCCTGCCTTCAGATGGTTGGACTTACAGTTTTTGACTTCATGATGGTGCTAACATGATATACATTCAGTAGGAGCTGTACTTTAAATTTTGAATTTTGATCTTCTCTCAGCCTAGTGATATATGGTGGACACTCTCTTACCATGCTGGGCAGTGGCCATCAGTCACAGCTCCGTCAGCCACTTGATCACAAGGGTAAATGTCCAATACTCTACAGTGGACTGAGTTGCCAAATGATTTTTGCAACTGTAGGCTCATGGGAATGTTTTGAGCATGCTTAGAATAGGCTAGGCTAGGCTATGATGTAGTTTAGTATATTAAATGCTGTTATGAAAATACGATTTAAGTGTAGGAGAAAAACATTTTGAGGAACATGGCTTTAAACTTTTTAGTATTCTCTGTTGACAGAACGAGAGAATTGCAGGATCCCACCCCACAATTTTTTATCCATAAGGTTAATGATGCATGGAGCTGAGGATTAAGTTTGAGTGGAATCTACACTAACCAAAACTCTTTTTAAGAATGATCTTTTTGAAGGAACCTTAGCAAGCATATTTTCATTTGCAAGGTGATTTAAAAGTAACAGTTGACTCTCCATATCCATGGGTTCCAAGTCTATGGATTCAGCCACCTGTGGATCAAATATATTTGGGAATAAAAGGGTGGTTCTATCTGTACTGAACATGTACAGACTTTTTCTTGTTATTTCCTAAGCAATACAGTATAACAACTATTTACTTAGCATTTATATTGTATTAGGGATTGTAAGTAATCTAGAGATAATTTAAAGTACATGGGAGGATATGCATAGGTTATATGGAAATGCTACACTATTACATATCAGGGACATGAGCATCTGTGGATTTTGGTATGGGGAAGGGTCTTGGAACCAATCCCTCAGGTATACTGAAGGATGACTGTAGTTCTAAATGATTGACATTAAGAGGTTAACCTCTGCTGCTGTGGAGGGTGTGATAGTCCACTCCAAAGACGTCCCTGTCCTAATCCCTGGAAGTTGTGAATGTTACCTGACATGGCAAAAGGAATGATGCAGATGTGATTAAGTTACGGGTCTTGAGGTGAGAGATTATTCTGCATTGTCCATGTGGGTCTTAAATGTAATCGTGAGAGTCCTTATAAGAGGGAGCAGAGGAAGATTTGCTGCAGATAGAGAGGAAAAGGCGATGTGAAGATGGAGCAGAGAGAGAATTGGAGATGCCCTGCTCCTCCCTTGTAGATGGAAGGGAAGCCCTAGCCCAGGGAGGCAAGCAGCTCTAGAAGCTGGAAAAGGCAAGGAAGGAAACAGATTCTCCTCTATAGCCTCCAGAGGGAGCAGGGCCTCGCTGAGGTCTTGATTTTGTCCCAAGGAAACTCGTTTTAGATTTCTTACCTCCAGAAATGCAAGAGAATAAATATGAGTTGTTTTAAGGCACTAAGTTTATGGGAATTTGTTACAGTGGTCATTTGTTACATAGGAAACTAACGTTCCACTCCACTATCTCACTAGTGAGCTTTTGACCTAAGAGTATTGAGTTTTAAAACATAAAATTAATGTTTAAATGTATAATGAGCCTGTATGAAGCTATAATTGCTATAGTAATTCAAATAAGGGGATAATTAAAACGTAAAAATATTCTGAAGTCGACTCTGGGGCATAGATTGTTAGGAAAGGCTTCAGAAGTAGATGGAATCAGTGAATCTTTAGTTGCTTGGCATTTTAAGACACAGCTCTGTATTGTACCATCTGTTTTGTGTGAGGAGCTGCCGCCGCCACAATATCATACAATCACTGGTTGTAAATTTTGTTGAAGCCATTATGATCTCTTTCTTCCCAACCTTTCCTCTCTTTTCCCTCTGTCTTCCCCTAAACACAAACATGTGTTCCAAGTGGTTGAAGTTTTCTGGAGAACCACTGTATAAGCTGTGCACATTTTTGATTTAATGAAAACTTCTAAGACATCCTGAAAAGAAAAAGTGTTTTTCCTTTTAAAGAAATTTGATGGAATCTAGAGGATTTGATGCCTTTTTGGGTGAAATCCAATGATAGGATTCTTTGCTAGATTATTACTTTTTCACTCTGTAAAGTTTTCTGGTTTAATACTATTATCGGAATGAATTATTAACATCCCTAAATTTACCAAGACACACATTTAATTCATGTGATTGTGTGATTCTTTTTAAAAAAACATATCTTGAGATGGGATATTTATTTTCTTGAAAAATTTTAGTATGAAAATTCACATCAACATATTATATTTACTCTAGTCCTCAGCTTGCATATATATATATATATATTATATATATATATTTGCATCTCATTTCAGCAAAATAAGGCAGAGCATTTTTTGCAACTTGGATTTGGCTTCCTTTTATTCTTCGTTTTCATTAATGCGTTCCTTGCTTTGGCACAGAACTCTATTTGGTTTGCAACACTCTAGGAAAAATGCTTAATTACTGAAAAACTTTGAAATTCAGGAAGAACATGCAGGGGAGCGTATTTGTTCAGGTCACGTTTATGTGACTTTCAAGAACAGATAAAAATAATCTGTAGCTAAACCAAATTGGTGCTTTCGTTGAAAGGATTTGGTTGTCAGTGGGACAGAAAGAAATGGTGGTGTCTAAGGCTTCCTTTAATTTAAAATGCCTTAAAAGGAAAAGCAGGATGCATAACAGAGCCTCTGCTGGCATGGGATCAGGCTCTTCTTGAGATCTTTCCAGAATACTCAACACCGTGCAGCAGAATTGAACATTAATGTTGACTTTTAAAACCACTCCATGTGCACTGAGAGACTGCTCAGTTACTATGAACATCTGATCTTAAAAAAAGAAAAAAAAAGATAGAAAGGAAAATAACACCGGATTATGAGTTAGAAGACCAGAACTTCAGCTTTTGGATTCACCACTTCCTACCCACATCACTTTAGACAAGTCCCTGCTATGCACTGAGCTCTGGCTTCTTCATTTGAAAAGTAACGATACCTATTTTGCTTCCCATTCAGAGGGCTTAGGAGGATCTAAGGGTTAGGTATATGGAAACACATAGTAAAATATGATGTTATATATAATAAAAAGGAAATGCAAAATTATGAAGTTATTTTGATTGTTGCTAAAGTCATACAAAAGTAAATGTTTAGCACGCTTTTTTATGTATGGATGAGGTTGAGAATAATCAGTTATGCTCTTATGCTTTGAGACAAGGGAGGTGGAGCTGGGGCTATGTCAGCTCCTCTCTTTTCTAGAAGCCACAATTTTGACTTCCTTTGACTTTCATTGCCAGGAACATAAGACTGATGAATACTTCTCTGCCTTCATTCATCCCCAAACTGTGAAGGATGTTTCCAAGACTTTTCTTCTTTTGTCTCTGGTCAAAAGAGAACAAGATATCTGTGTAAAGAAGAAGACAAATCATATTTTGTCAGGATAATGTTGTCTGCCTTAGTGTTACATACTATTATTTATCATAACTTGCCCTCAAATTGTTTGTTTTCTAGTTGTTAACAGGAATTCATCTTCATTATTATTTAATTTATTTTTAATTGACAAAAGTTATATATATTTATAGTGTTCAACATGCTGTTTTGATACATGTACATCTTGTGGAATGATTAAATCCAGCTAATTAACATATGTATTACCTTATTTACTTATCTTTCTTTTTTTTGTGGTGAGATCACTTAAAACCTAGTCTTAATTTAATTTTAAAATATACAATAAGTTTGTTTAGTCACCATGTGGTAGAATGTTAACTTTGCTTTTAGATTATACCTGGGGCACAAATTACACTACAATATTTCAGGTTACAGAGGTCTTCTGAAAGAGCTAAGTGGTCTCAGGCTCTTTAATCAAGACTGCTGTCTCCAGGATATCAGAGACTTTTCCTTGGATTCTGAGTAGCATGAAATGATACTGCCCAAATAATTACCACTCGAGATAGTTTTCACCGTTGGAATTACCTTCTGAATTAGCCAGATGAAAACATAAGGCTCTGTTGTAAAAAGAATGTATCTCTTTAACTTAAGGGAGTGTGAACTGGGAACAGGATATATTCCAATTCCATATCAAAATGAGTAACAGAGATAAGAGGAACATCACATTATGACATCACAAAATCTCTTGAATGTGATGTGCATTTGACAAGCTGTAGAAGGACTATGTAGCACTGTTGTAAATATACCTATAAAATTCATCACTCCAAGAGTTAAAGAATATATTATAATGATTCATTGTAAATGAATTCCATAGGGTTTGAATGAGTATATGAATTAAAGAGCCATTAATGACTACTGGAAAATTCAGAAAATTTCTGGTACACTAGATATCAGGAAACACAGTGTGTGATACTCACGGCCACAGATGCAAACGAAAATTTGAATGGCCTAAGACAACAATGACTTCTCGGGTATCTTCTGGAATGGGCATGGCAGGCCGAATGGACCATGGTTCAGTTGGTGACAATTCGTATGTCCAATAGTTGTCACCAAAAATATGCTCCAAACTTGTTTAACTCAGTTCCTTGAATTATCTGAAATTATATTTTAAAACATTTCTCTATTGAGAAATTACAAAGGTAGCCTTAGGCTGAAATTCTAATTGGGAGGTAAATGAAGGGAATTGTGATATATACCAATACATGCAAAATTTTCTAAATTTGCATTAACTTGGGAGAAGGATTAGAAATATAATATGTTTTAAGAAAATGCAATTTCATTTGTTTCAACTATTAGCTGTAAATGGAATAAGGTTGACAAATAGTTCCTTAAAGGAACTTATATAGTTCCTTAAAAAGTTTGCTATAACCCGTTTATAAAACTCCTTTGCAACTAAAAGTACAATGTAAAATATCTTTTACAATGCTATGTAAAAGAGTTCTTACAAAGAACTTGAAAAATCAAGTTTCCAAAATGCGTTATTTACTTCCCAATAGTTTGTGCTTACCAATCTAGAAATAAATAGCATCTATGAATTACATGAAGTTGCCATTTGTATGTCAAAATCTGTCAAATACTGGAGGTTTTAATGTGTTCAAATACACACTAATTCTCCCAATAAAGCAATAAACGTTTGTTGTATTATTACTGTCTAACACAGTGCTTGGTGTGCTGTGAATCCTCACTGACCCTTTGTAGAAGGAATGAATGAGGTCGTAAATGAACAGAAGATTGAATGAGTGAATAGGTGAGACTTCTGGGCTGGGCGTTGTGCCAGATGCCACGGGAGTTAAAATGGCATGGCTTTCAATCTTAAGGCTATTTCTTTTAATGTTCTTTCCAGATTCCCTGGAATTAATTTTTCCACCGTCGTGGCCCCTTGGAGGTTGCCTCACCAGAGAGTCCTTCCCTAGACATTCTATCCCCATGTAAAATCTGTTGCTTTTTCCTCTGCGTTTAGTTCCTTTCTCCCTCCTATTACTTGAAATAATATTCTTTCTAGTTTATATACTTTTTGTTTTCTCTCTTCTCCAATAGCGTTCATGATTGGAGGCACCTTGTCTTGTTCAGTAATGTCTCCCCATTTCCTAGAAGAGGGGGTGGCATATGGTAGGTTCTCAATACATGTTTCTTGAATTAATGAATGAGTGGTTTGGAGAAAAACTATCTAGTGAGAGCAGCTGATTTGCCAGTGGTCTAACTCAGAAACTCAACTTTAAGATGAAATTCTGAGGCTTCTTACAGAGTTTAGAGTATTACAATGATAAACTTTGGGTACATATGGATAGTCTAATACTGTGGTATTGCAGGGGCTCTGAGGCTGTAGAACCTATATCCACTCATTAAATAATTTTATGTTGGGGCCGGGCATGGTGGCTCATGCCTGTAATCCCAGCACTTTGGGAGGCCAAGGTGGGTGGATCACCTGAGGTCAGGGGTTCGAGACCAGCCTGACCAATATGATGAAAACCTGTCTCTACTAAAAATACAAAAATTAGCCGGGCGTGGTGGTGTGCGCCTGTAATCCCAGCTACTCGGGAGGCTGAGACAGGCGAATCACTTGAACCCGGTAGGTGGAGGTTGCAGTGAGCCGAGATCATGCCATTGCACTCCAGCCTGGGCAACAAGAGCAAAACTCTGTCTCAAAATAATAATAATAATAATAATAATAATAATTTTATGTTGGATGCCTACTAAGTGTCAGGCAATGGGTACTTAGCGGACCATAGAAGAAATGTAAAAGTGAACTTTCCAAATTCCTCCTCTCATCCTGCTCTTTTCTTCACCCCTGTGGACACCTGCCTTCCCCTTGTAGTGATGCTGTCCTGGTGAGTAGTAGAAAGCACCACCTTGTACCCACCCATACCCTCTGCTTGGCCAGAATTGCTCAGTGCTTGCAGATTATGTAAACTCCCTTCTCTTTTTAAGTCATTGATTTATCATGCCTGCCATTTTCACTGTTGAATCTGCAGAGTTCTGATAAGCATCCTTGGGGTTGCCTCATTGTAAATTTGTCCCTAGTTGTAGATCCACTTTTTCTTCATCCTATGTTTTTAAGCATTTACTCTATAATAGGTACTGAGAATACAGTGACGGAGAAGACAGACATGGCTGTGAAACCTGTCAGAACTTCCTTCGTGCCAAAGAAGATGGGTAGTTGCAACATGACTACAGTGAAGTGGCAGGAGGGCTGTGGAAGGGAAAATAGAGAAGGATCTGGAGCACAGAGCAGGACGGTGGTAAGCAGGGGACTTCAAGGAAGACCTTACAAAGGAGGACCATTCTCTGGACACCCGCAGAAGGGAGAAGGCCTAGGTAGACAGAGGGGAAGGCTATTCCAGGCAGAGGGAGCTGCATGTTGAAAGGAGTGTGATTTAAGAAAGTTTGCAGCAGCCAAAGGACTGAAAATGCTGGATCTGGCTAATGTCCATTCCACAGTCACTGGTATGCATTGATGGGAATTTTACAAACTATCCCTTCTGCAACGTGGAGAATGGATTGCAGCAAGGAGCGATCAGACGCAAGGAGACCACTACAGTGGCGACATTTACAGTGGTGATAGGGGAGTGGGAGGGAAATAGGTCCACTTAAAAGATATTTAGGAGGCTTGATGTACACGATTCGGTGACTACTGGATGCGGTGGTGGTGGGGGCTTCATGAGGAAGAGGGAGATGACACTCCCTGGCATCTTGCTCAATCCATAGAACAGGTGCTCTAGTGACCAAAATGAGAAACAGTGGAGAAAGCATATGCTGTGGTTGTTTGTGGAATGCAGGGTGATAAATTCGAAGCTTTGTATCTTCAGACTCAACCTCCTCACAGTGACTCATCTTTCCCTAGTTGCTAGGATTCTATGATCACGTTCTGGAAATGCTTCCCCAAGCCAGCTTTCTGAAGTTTTTTCTTTTTTTCTTTTCTTTTTTTTTTTTTTGAGACAGAGTCTTGCTCTCTCGCCCAGGCTGGAATGCAGTGGCGCAATCTTGGCTTACTGCAAGCTATGCCTCCTGGGTTCATGTCATTCTCCTGCCTCAGCCTCCCGAGTAGCTGGGACTACAGGCGCCCGCCACCATGCCCGGCTAATTTTTTGTATTTTTAGAAGAGACGGGGTTTCACCATGTTAGCCAGGATGGTCTCGATCTCCTGACCTCGTGATCCGCCCGCCTCGGCCTCCCAAAGTGCTGGGATTACAGGCGAGAGACACCGCACCCGTCCCTGAAGTTTTACCTCATGCTAGAAAAGCAGCCTTCCACGGTGGGTGCCTCTAGGGTAGAGCACGAGTTCTGCCTGGGTCACCATTCAGCACTTGCAGGTGCCTGTTTCCTTCTCTCTTACACTGACTGAGACTTTATCTCAAAGACTTTACAGGAGATTGCGTCAAATATGGAAGCCAAGAAATAAGGAAAGACCTCAGGAGTACAACCTGTAAAGGGCAATAAGCATTTAGAGCTGTACTGTGTAGAAACCATGGAAAAGCATATATGACAAGAGAGTCAATTTATTCCTGAAGAAGGTGATTAAGGCATGTGTGGGAAAAACAAAATGATGACATTTAGATAAACTGTTACCGGGAAGTCGTACTGCACCAGATGGCATATTCTTTAAGACTGCTCACATCCCCTCTCTCTGAGGAACTAGTTAACATGTAAATCTGCACCAAATACTCTGGGATGGTTTTAACCTGAAAGTGACTTGAAGATAATGGAGATACACACCCACTATTTTAGGGCAATGGTGAAAACTCAATCACGCCTTCCATGTCGACTCAGGTGCTTCTTTATTACAGTGAGAAAACATGATTAAACCTAATTGCAATGAAACACACCCATGTCATTTATTACAATTATTTTATTTCTAGTAAAATAATACCTATGTTATCTTACTAATGGCACCTCCTTTCTAACAAGAGTAAACATTGCTCTACAAGGAATTGATGCCCATTTGATTTTTGTATTGGTTGTAGCAAACTTAAAAGAAACCAGCTTTCAATAAATACTCAGTAAGTATTCAATTTTAAAAGTTATCTCAGCACAAGCTCATGAGTCTGGGAGGTTACAGGAAAGAGCTCCCTGTAGGAAACACAGTGATCCTCGGATAGCACATAGAGGGGGAGGCATGATTTCAGCATGAAAGTGAACCCATGGGAATTGGTGTTGATTGTGTTCTGTGACCTGATGACTGGAGGTGCTGCTCTGGAAGCTCCCTATTGGCCTTGGCTTTCAAATAATTTGTTTTGATAAATTTCATCACCTTCTTAACATGTCCATTTGCAATTTTTGCCCACAATTTGTAAGGGATGCATTGAAGCCATACTGAGATTTTGGACCCCATAAGCCATCTTAGACCTTATTTTGAGCATACAAGAGACCTAGGACCTTCCCTTTCAACCCTACCCCATGGGGCCATATTTCGTTGTTCATTAAGCATGGCCTCCGCTTTAAATGGGATCTCTTGTCGGCAGTCTCTCTAAGCACTGAACCTTGTAAGACTGTCTGGATAGTTACTTGCAGCCCAAAATGAAAGGTTTCTAATATGACCCATTATATTAATTTTTCAAAAATAATTTGGGAGTCACCCTGAACATTAGAGCTGTTTAATATCTTATTAGATCTTCATGTATTAATACATTGCATAGCAGCTAAATGCAGATATAAACAAACTAAGAAATCGGGCAACTTTAGCAACTCCTCACCAATGGCTTGAATTTAAAGCAATTTACATAGCCTGCTAAAAGAGTGTCCCCATTATAGCTAAAATAAAATTAAAACTTTTGCAACTAAATTGGCCTTTGTCTATTGCTCAGTCTTCTAATGATTCTAAAAAGAAGCCTAAATTATCTAATCCTTTCTATTCTTTTATCAATAATGTAAATTATTCTGGTGGATGTGTTACTTTAATTATACTTGAAAGTTTCACATGAGGTTGAGGACCACCAGTAGTCCAGTGCCATTTCTCTTGATATCTCAACTCATTCTTTATGGTTTTAGTTTCTGCATTTTTCATCTGGCTCTGTTTTGCAGCTTGCATGACAGTTAATCTACCAGGACAAATTTCTGATTGCTCACTTTGAGACTATTCCTATTGATCACAGAAATTGTAAGCCAGAAAGTCAAAGACAACAAAGAAAAGTCATGGTACTTATCCATAACCCTGCACGATACCTCCTAGCAGCAGTTAGAAATAAATCATTGACTTAGCTTCGGCCATTTGGCCTTCCTCTTGGGAAAAGCTGCCAGCAGAGGTGTTTTGGGAGCCACCTGCAAGGTTCTCCTTCACCAGAGTCCTGGGGTGACTATGTTTGGGTTCTGGCATTCTGGCTGCTCTCCTTTCTGGAAGAGAGAGACTAAGTAACTCTCCTGCAAGCGCTTCAGGGGAGTCAAATGAACCAGTCTGGTTTGACAACTTGTAGCATTCAATCAAGAAGCCTTCCAAGGGGAATATGAGGCTACAATCTAGCAGACTATTTCCTGTTTTCCAAAACATCCAGGCTGTATCTGAGATCACCCACTGTTAATTATTGAAAATAACTGATGGAGTGTGGGGGTGGTTTGAAAGTTTGAGTCATAGGCATGTGAAGTTTAATTTTTAAAAAATTATACTAAATGGATTTCCTCAGGAAAAACCAAGCCCAAATGAGCTCTCTACTGAAAGCGAAATGCTTTTGCCTTTTGCCTTCTAGAAATAAGTGCTAGATTCAGGGCAGGGAAAGGGAACTGGGACTCACATCCTTGGTCCCCTTGATATGAAATCAGCTTATCATTGTAGGAATACTAAATATTTCTAGATTTTTTTTTTTTGTTTTAGAATTTGTCTTTTCTGCTCAAATGCAGGATAAATAGTAAAACTAAATTAGAATTTCAATTCTTCAGTGTTCTGAACTTTGTTGGAATTTTTGATCAGGAGAAATTATGTACTAAGTAACAAGTATTTATTTCAGTTAAAAATGAGTTACAAGGCTGCTATGATGATCGGATACTATCTATTACACCAAGCACAGGGGTGAGGAAAACAGAGAGGAAAATGGAAGCCTTTGGAGAAGGTGATAGATTGAAAAATGAGGATATAACATAAAAGGAACCCGATGCTTTGGCCCTTGCCATTGATTGGACATCAGGGTATAATCCGCTGGCAGTGTTGCTGTCAATGTGGTATCTCTGCTCGGGACCTGTGGTGACCCAGCTCCCATGATTTGGCTCCCAGCTCCTTCTTTGCCCTCATTCACTGATTCCTCCCTTGCACCTGTCCTTCAGCCTCATGTACTCACTTTTCTTTAGGAAGGGTTCTGTGCTGATGCCTCCTCTTCAGGGGCAGCTCTACTGACCACTCTGTGTAAGTCCTACGAAGCATTCCCCTTGCGCCTCACCATGCTCTGCCCTTCACAGCACTTGTGCTTACCTGCTGTTGCATTTGAGACCCCGGTACTTATTGGTTTATTACCTGTCTCCTGATGTGAATCCACGTTCTGCAAGAAAGGGGACTTTGCCCTGCTTACTTCTGCATCTCTAGAGCTTGCAGAAGTTTCTGGAAAACAACAGAAGCTGAATATTTCCTAAATACATTAATGAAAAGAGGTTTTTTGAGTTTTGTGGAAACTGTATTTGTAAAAATAAACTTTTTTTCTTGGTTTTATAATATTAGCAAGAAGATTGCAATGTATAATATGATGCTAGTGAAATGTATTTCTTTTCTTTTCTTTTGTTTTTTTTTTTTTTTCTTTTTTTTTTTGAGACGGAGTCTTGCTCTGTCCCAGGCTGGAGTGGAGTGGCGTGACCTTGGCTCACTGCAGCCTCCGCCTCCTGGGTTTAAGCGATTCTCCTGCCTCAGCCTTCCCAGTAGCTGGGATTACAGGCATGAGCCACCATGCCTGGCTAATTTTTGTATTTTTATTAGAGACAGGGTTTCACCATGTTGGCCAGGCTAGTCTCAAATCCCTGACCTTGTGATCTGCCCGCCTCGGCCTCCCAAAGTGCTGGGATTACAGGCATGAGCCACCGCGCCCAGCCGTGAAATGTATTTCGTTATAATTAGAGGGAATGGTGAATGCCAGATGCCATTTATTTAGCACTTTGTCTGTTCCAGGCATTACTCTGGACATTTATTGACTTAAATGATGCCAAATCTTTGGGTTTTAAATAAATCTATGACTTAAAATTAATTTTTGTTTCATCCTAAGAAGTTGTTTTATAATATTCCCAGTGTGGCGGGCAATGAACTCCTCTATCCTTAAAGAGAGATGGCATTGTAAGAGCAGTGCTGTTATGCAGATCTTCATCCATGAGAAGGTGTCCAACATTTGAAGTGTTTATTTTTAAAATTTTAAATGCAACTTTAGGATGCTACATAAAATACACAGAGATGATTCCATGTGAAGTTGAAACCATTCAAGGTTGGCTCCAGCGTGTGGATGAATCTGCTCAGTAGCACATGGTAATGGAGTGAACATGGATGTTGTGAGCCCAGGCTCTTGTGTTTGGCTCTGAAATTAACTCACTGGGAGCTTTTCATGGAAATAGATAGTCTCTAGGACACCACCTCCTAGATACAGACAGGCTTTCCCCAGCAACCTGCTATGAGCATCCAAGATGTTACCTGTGCCTGGAGCCCTCGGGGCTCTTTTAGCTTCCTCTTCCCTGCTGAACCTCACAGTTCTGCCTTAGGTCATGGTCTGTGTTCCTAAGGAAGAAAGTCAGACAAGTCTCTTCCTCCTGGGGGGTGAAGAAGTGCCCCTCTTATGCGTACCTAGTCCTGCAAATGGATGAGTGGTTTCACAATGTATTTTGAATTCATTCATTCTGTCTCTCTCTCTCTCTCTCTTTTATGCTATTTTCAATACTGGAGAAGCCAGAGGCTCTGTTTCCTTTCACTGACAGCTTTATCCCAGTTATTCATGTATTCCCTGTGCTATCATTATTTGGACACAGTGCAAAATGATCAAGAAAATGCCTTCACTGAAATAAAACTTGTAGCTCTGGTTGAGTCCAGGTTTAATGTGCTACCATCCCTTTGGGAAAATATCCAGGAAATCAAAGAATGGAACAAAATCTGTTGACCCCTGACACTTTTCTTCTTGTCTTTGCTTTCCTTTCCTTCTTCCTTCTCCGTCACTCTGTCCTTCCCCCAATTAGAACCCTTTGGGAAAGGGTATTTAGTTGTAGAGTGGCCCCTGTTTTCTCAGGCATCTTGTCTCTGGTGGATTTCAAAGGCTTGCTCCTCTCCTTGAAGTTGAGGACTGCAGTGCTAAAGGCCTCCCACTATGACTGCGCTCTCTGGTTTCTCTGCGAGCCTGCCAAGTACCAAGTGACAAGCTCAGCACATGTTTCCTTGGGCAGGACTAGGCTGGCTGACACTTGAGGAAGCCCATGCAACTCTGTAAGCTCAAGACACAGGATGTTTAGAGATACCCACAGCTGAAAGCGACTCCAGGCCAGCTCTCTGCTATCTCTGGCCTAAGTTTTTGCTGGGATACTGTCAGTCTTGTCATGAATGTCTCAGCTACTTCAAATCACATGTGCTTAAAGTATGGTTGGCTCAGCCTGGCATTCTCACCCTGGGCCAAATGGTGCCTCTGATATTCATATATATCTGTGGATAATTCCTTAAATATATAGGGAACTTCATCATGTTGCAAATAGTTGGCTGCTTCTGCTTTTATTTAAATTCCAACTATGCGTGTTACACCCATCCTCTGTCTTAACTGCTACAGAGAAATAAACCCTACCCTCAAGGAGAAATAACCATGCTGAACACAGGAATGTGTTGTGTTTCCTCAGTTCTTAACCTGGATCTTTCAGTGACTTCCTCAA
Source organism: Homo sapiens (assembly GCF_000001405.40). Taxonomy (NCBI): domain Eukaryota; kingdom Metazoa; phylum Chordata; class Mammalia; order Primates; family Hominidae; genus Homo; species Homo sapiens. The sequence continues at coordinate 9,502,134 of NC_000005.10, read as the reverse complement.
TATTGTTGTTTTTTATTTAAAAAAATATTTAGGGACAAAGAGTAAGAGCCAATTCAGAATGCTCATGATTAAATATTTGTCCATTTAGGTTTCTGTGGTAGCCTTCATCAGTTTGAATATAGTCTCTAGGCCACAAAAAAATATAGATACCTCAATTCCATCTTATGCTTAGTAATTACAGTAGAACAATCTAGAAACTGAGCAAGTTATGTTTTCTACGGGTGGATGAATGGAAAGTTTTGGGTTTTCCATTTTGTAACAGGAAAATGAGTAGCTGCACCTATGGGAAAACCCAATTGGTGGCACATTAGCCAACCAAGACCTGTGTTTTTGTCATGTAACAGCTATGTGTCCTGAGTCCTTGGGTGCTCTTGGGGTGACGATTGGAACCCAGGCTTTTTTCTCTTTTGCTCAGTCATCTTTGGCGAGTAGTTTTTGTCTTCATGTCAGTACTTAAAGGGTGTAAACAGCTGCTGCCCCTGCAGCCCAGAGCCCGGATTCCAGCAGGAGGAGGGAAGGGAGCTGGTCGTTCCTTCTCTTGAGTAGGGGAAGGGATATGGCTAACATCAGCATCTACTTCATGTTTCTGAACTCCTCCATTGCTGACATTGCTTTTGGATGCTTTCCTTTGCCCACTTAATGCTCTTTCTGTATTCTCTACATAGGAAAAAACTCAGAAGGATGTGTGTGTATGTTTTTATATGTATACTTAATACAGTATTTCATGCACACACACAAATACACACACACGTAGACACATATGTATATGTTGACACTTATCTTTAGAGTAAAGGTAATTCATTGGCAATTTAGTTTCTCTTATCTCAGCCTTCTACATTTTAAGAATGCAAGTAAGCATAGACTTTAGTTTTCTGTGTTATAGGAAATTTCAAATAGAGGTCAGAGATTAAATTGTGTTAGCAACCATTTTGACACAATTGCATGAAACTGCTGTGGTGTTTTGTTATCCAAGTATATTTTAATTGGATAAAAGCCATTTTATTCAGAATATTGTTGATTCTTCCCATAGTCTTTGTATTAAATCATCATAAATATCAAGAAAATCAGTGTAAGAAATTCTAGCCTCACACAGGGACCATTATATTAGTATCTAGATTTTTTTCATAAAGGCAGGGATGGTTAATTCTTCCACTAGGATATTAACTTAGCTTGATATTTAATTAACAGTTTAACTTCTGAAGATATTGATGAAAGATTCTCATACAGTCAACGCCAGATTAGAAGAGGTGTGTTGGCAAGCTCCAGGAAGGCAGGGAAAGCCTCAGGAGGGAGCAAGTGTGCTTGGAATTGTAGCATAAACATATTCCTCTCCTAAAACACATATAATGTGGACCGCAGCCAGGCACAGACCACAACCTGAAACTCTGCATGTGGGGTTGCCAGAATTAGCAAATTTTTCAGTATAAGTATACCCTATATACTGCATGTGATATAGTTATATTAAGATGTTATTCATAATTTATCTTAAATGCAAATTGAACTGGGTGTCCTGTATTTTATCCAGTGCCCTATCCTCAGCAAACCTCAGTGTGGGCCATTGTGTGACATCAGCATGGATCAGCTCAGTGGGTTCCCTGAGGATGGAGTGGGATGATGTCTGGATCAGTTAGGAGAAAATGAGTGTCTTGCTGGTACTACAAGACGCACTTTCATTACAAATGCACATGTCAAAAGCTAACATGATGAAAACCGTTGGAAGGTTTGCTGTTTTGCCAGATATTTCTTAACATGTGTCTTATGAGCAGAAGCTCTCTTGTCATTTGGAAAGAATATCACTTCAGAGGCCCCATGGGGATGACATCCGCCCCACCATCAGGATCAATATGTAGTGAATTTATGAAGGAGCAAGTTCAAGCCATGCGCTGCATTTAATAATGCATTATAATAACATAAAATGAGCTGAGGATTAATCAAAACTTTATAAACTGGTGCTAAATTGACTTAGTAATTTACATCTGGCTCTGTGTGGTTGGCCCATTGACAATAACTTATCTCCAAAAAGTTGCATAGCCATTTCTTCTTAATTGCATATGTTGCGCTGTAGGGTGATATAGAAGATATTAAAATATGAGTAACAGATGGATACTGGCTAATGGAGCTTCAGATCTCATATATTTTCTTATTGTTTTCTATTTATTTATGAACCTATTGCTGTAAAATAAAACCTTTTTTTTTTCAGGGCAGAACCAGCTTCAGACTTTTTTCCCCAAGCCTTCTTATTTCGGTTTCTTCTTGCTATATTACTCTATGATGGAAGCACTTCTGTGCTCTGTGCTCCATGTGATGTTTGGTTTTTGTTATTAGTGGATGAAAGTTAATGATACACAACCAGACTGGGACACTTTGAAGGTAACAGCAATATCTGTGTATAGATGGGGTTGTGGTTTTGTTATTTATCTGCTATTGCTGTAGTATCCTTTGTCTTGAGCGATAAAAGAGAAGTAAAATACTAAAGAACTGAACTGTCCATTTCTGGACCATGAGTAAAGATGCTGCCTGTCAAACTTCCTGTTCATACATTAGTTTATTTATAGAGTGTACTCTCTATGTAAGGTATTGACTGATAATGTTACTTTGACTTCAGATAGCTTGCAGTTTAATGGAGGAAGAAGACAAACATGCAAATAACTAGGTCAATGAGGCATCCTTTGTGTTCCATTGGAAGCTAGGCTGCTTTGTAACCTTGTTAATTTCTGTGGTTTTGGAGTGCATTCATTAGCAAATACACCCCTTGTTCTTATCCATTCTCTGCTTTTTTCTTTATTTGGCATTTGATGACATTTTTTCATGTGGGGAAATTGAGTCAGGTGAGGTGGAAAGAAAATAAGGACACGACACTAAATTCTTTGATGTTTTTCCTTAAAAAATTGTTTTTCAAGTGCTCCATAAAGGTTTGTGAAGTTTTAAGAGCATAGGACTTGGATTATTGTGAAGAGTGTCTCTAGGGGCCAGTTAACCATTTCAGGACTCTCTTCTCTCATCTCCCTTGTTCCACCAGGTGGCACCACAAAAGCACAAGCCTCCTTCTCATGGAAGGTAGGAGGAGGACCTTTCGCTGCCTATGTTTACATCCACTGCTTTGCGTTTACACACATAGTTGCGGCATTGTCATAATTGCAGCATTCATACATTTTCATTACGTTCCTTATAGCTTGCCATAACTAATATATCTGTTTGATAGAGTGAATTCTGTAATTGTTAATCATATACACAGAACATGTCAAATAAATACAGACGAAAACACAGGCTAACAATTCCACACCTAACCCAGCCCAAATCATGCTAAACATGCCATATATATTCACAGTTTAAGTTTGATTCCAGGTATGCAGTCTTGAGTCATAATGGCCCCAGGCATGACAAGGTTACTGGGTCATAGTTGGTTATCGTAGTACTTAGACAACGTGCTCATGGGAAACAAACGACTCCAGGGTGTGTGCCGCCGATTTGCAATATGAGGCTGATCTACTGTTCCCACTGTTTTATTCCCTGCTGCTATATCTCGGCTGGGAAATGTACGCTGTGGACCCCGCATCTTCATAATGATGGTCCCTCAATGATCAACCACCTTCCACGTAGCATCCATACAGTAGTCTGAGCAAGCTGAAGGATAACAAGCTTAAATTTATCTTTTAAAAATGTCAGAACTTCCAGAAATTTGTATTAAAATTTCTAAATTGTATTTCTGAACCGAAATAAAGTATTACAAAGTTTGTAATTATCTCCAAAGAATTCGATGGATGGTGAATGAAAGTCCTTTTCCCCTCGTGGTGACATTGCTGTATTTAGACACCTCAGATTATGATAATGATATACTTCCAAATATATTATCATAAATGTGGTGCCTGGCCCCAGGATGGTTATGACAGAGGAGTAGTGCCTCCTGGGGCCATATGGCCCAAACAGAGGAGGTGTGGCTCTGCATCAGTTAGTTTTCATATCAAAGGTAAGCTCCAGGTTGGGCCCATGGCCATCTTTAAGAACTGACTAGCCCAGGGAGGGGCAGTCTCTTCCCAGCCAGAAGGCTTTTTTAAACTATCAAAACATCGTAGTATACAGAAAATTTAAAAATATTTACAATATACCCACTTACATACAGGATCAGATAGACTGTTAGGGTTAACTTGGGATGGTGTCTTGGCATACATCTCTGTATACAGCTTTGCCTGTGTCATGTCCCCAAGGAGTTGCACATAATTTACTAAGTTAGAAAATAATAGAATGAATCTTCCTCTAAGCAGTAGCCAAGAGTCAAACGACAGACCAAAAGAGGGACTAACGGGAAATGTGCAGTTTTAGGAAGAAATTAATGAAGGCAAATCAACCTAGTGGTTAACAGCAATAGCTTCATGGCTGAGCCACTGTTCCATCACTTACTTGCTGTGTGACCTTGAGGAAGATATTGACATCCCTGTGTCTCTTTTTCCTCATCTGTAAAATGAGGACAATGATAATACTTCCACATAGGGTTTTTTGAAGATTAACTGTCACCATCTGGGACGTGCTTAGATGCCTGGTATCTTGAAGTGCAGGCTAAGTATTTGCAAACACAGTCTTTATCAAGTGCCTGCGCCAGAGTATGCCGTGCCACTCGACGTCAAGTCTCACATATTGTGAGGTGTACCCAATTATTGAGATGTCCTGGAAAACAAATATCTGAAGCTCTGGCTAGTTTCTCCATTATCGGCACTATAGCCGTCTCTATCCCCAGTCCATTGTGTCTGAACCGTATGGACTGTATATTTGAAAATATCTTAGAAAAGCAGCAGTCATAAAATGTCAGGGCTTTTTTAAAAATAAAAAGATACTTGTGCATACATTTTGCAGCAAGATGAACAATGGTGATGCTTTTCCTGAGAAACCAGTGATGCTGACTATATAGAGGCTGGTTACTCTTGGGAGCTCATCATTGATCATCAGCTGATTATCTCCTTAGCTTTGTGGCTTCACTAGCTCCCAAGTGTTTCTGAGAGAAATACCATGTCCCTATAAGTATCTAATGTGCTCAACTAAAGGGGAGAGAAAAATGCTACCATGTGATACTCTCTTTAATAAGGCATTGCATTTGTAAGACTGTACCAGATTAACTAGTTTAAAAGACAAATATTGAATTCATATGCAAGGCTATTTCAAGGCCTGTTCTCTCTATGCATATTAAAACACAAATGAATGGTGATTATCTCAAATGCTCCACTCGGAGCTTTGTCACTCCTGGTAGCTGGTAGCAGGTTGTGTGTGTGGTTTTATGGGCTTTAAAAAGATCCTCATAGACTTATCTGTAAATTGTGGAAATGTATATCTAAAAATTCTGTAGAAGTGAAAAATCGAGGCAGTCCCTTTGGAGACCCAGCCTTCCTCAGGTAATTGAATACTCCAGGATGGTCATTTTTTTCTTGACTACTTGGCAGGCAGGCTGGTGACCGAGCAGACAGAGTTTATACCTTAAGTTCCAACAACTCTGAATTTCAAATTTTGACCCTGCCACATCCCAGCTGGGTTGAATTAGACATATTTTCTGATCTGAAAAAAACATGGTAATATTTCTTTTGGCTATATTCACTGTAATTCTAATGTTAGTGATAGCTGCTTCATTACAGTTCAGTGGCCTCTGTGGACTGTCTAGGTGGAAGTTTCTAGTGCTTCCTTATAAAATAAACTTCTATTAGTATATTACACTTAAGCTTCATCTGAAATGCATTTTAACAGATTATACAATTATACATTCTTCATTAGTTGACATTATTCCAATGTTCACTTAAGAAATATTGAGGCTGGGCATGGTGGCTCTTGCCTATAATCCCAGCACTTTGGGAGGCCGAGGTGGACAGATCATCTGAGGTCAGGAGTTTGAGACCAGTCTGGCCAACATGGTGAAACCCCATCTCTACTAAAAACACAAAAGTTAGCCGGGTGCGGTGGCACACGCTTGTAATTCCAGACACTTGAGAGGCTGAGGCAGGAGAACTGCTTGAACCCAGGAGGCAGAGGTTACAGTGAGCCGAGATCATGCCACTGCACTCCATCCTGGGTGACAGACAGTGAGATTCCTCTCAAAATAATAGTAATAATAATGAAATAAAAGAAATATTGAGTTCCCACTATGTACCCAGCATGCTGGGGATACAACAGTGACAAAAATCTGGGTCCTCATGAAGTTTCCATTCTAGTGTGTGTGGATGGGAGAGGGGAGCAGAGGGGTAATGAGTAAACCAATGAGTATTCAGTCGATCAGGTAAAAACAAATACTATGAAGAAAAATTAAGCAGGCTGAATTAAGAGTTTAAGTAAATAAGAGGGACAAATTGCTAAACTGGAAGAATTAAGGATAAACTACAAATAGTCTGATTTATTATTTACCCATTACTGTCTACTTTCAAATGTAAAGAAAATGGGTTTGCTCTGTCAAGAACTAGTGGGAGCCGGAGGCCCCGCCAGTTTTCTCTTCATCCTCCTGTGGACGCATCCTGCTGAGTGTACGCTTGTCTCACTATAGTCTTGTTGAGGGGCTGGTTATTCAATGATGTAAACTCCCTTACAGTGGGGCTCAGTCTTGTTCCTTCATATTCGAGGGCTTGCTACAGGGCCTGGCACTAGTAGGGATTCAATAAATATATATTTAATGATGGAGCACAGATTCTATTTCTAAACATGGTCCTTGTGCAAACAGAGAACCAAGCTGTCTTGCTTGGGTGGGTAAAAGCTAAGGGCAAGAGAACTCCTGTAACAATCAGCTTCTCCCCTCCAGTTTCAACTCATTTACTTGCTTGCTTTCCCTTGAGTGGGCTTCACGGTAGCTCTTGAATTTGCTCTTGTGTGACGTTGTTATTCAGAAACTCCTATTGTGGACACAGCCTGCCTGCTGACTCCTAGTATTGGTGGTTTAATCACTGCCTGGGTAATTACTCACAGGGACGCCAGGTATCCCTGAAGATATCGAAGTCCTATGGCTTAGAAGGAACACAGATTTTTGTTTTACCTAAAATAATGGCAGCCTCAAAGGGGAAAGAAAAATAGAATTTAAACACTTTGGAATATCCTACAATTACTTTGGTTTTGAAGTTGGTTTGTGCACATAGGTACAAATATTCTTTTACTGAAATTTCTAGTTGTAATTTCAGAATAAATATTTTAATATATATGGACAGTTAAAAATTTTTAAAAGAAATATGTCAAAGGTTGCATTTGTTATTTCTTAGGAAGAACCTTGAACACTTGAACCAGATACTTTGGAAAGCATAATTTTTTGTACGTGATTTGATGCCACTGATATATGCTAGTCTAAAGCACAAAATACTTGTTTTGGAAACATCTCTTGCCTAATATCTAAATTTAACCCATGGTATTTATTATTCACTGACTGAAAACAGGAACACGTTATACAATCTGTGTTTTTTCATCTAAAAGATGGCAACAATGATTTTGCACAGAATTAAAAAATTAGGAGGATAAGGGACATTGTGGAAATTCTAAAGTGCTGTACAAATGTTAGTTTGGTTCAGGGGGGCATTGAAGGGGGGGATTTGGCAGAAGCTGACTCATCCATGACCTACTAAGTGAGAAGATCAGGGCCTGGGGGCTAGGAGCAGTGTCAATTAGGAAGCATCTGCCCTCCTGATGAGCAGCCGCGTTGGGGAGCCACTGACCTCGATAATTATCAATATGTGTCCTGAATAGACTCTGTTCTGATTAAGGTCTCATTTGTGGAAATTCATCTGGAAAGCAAAGAGATTATATTCAGAAGGAAAAGGAGATCTATGTCCATCACCATATACCTACTCAATTTTTGAATGGATATTGTACTGCCTTGATGTTCTATTTCTATGATTGTCTTGAGTTTGAGAGCTAAAAGATAATTAACTTTGATGTGTCCTGTTTGTCTCTCCTATAGCCCCCAGAGATAGGCACCTTGAGGCCAAGATCTTAAATTACATCTTAAATTTTATTTATTATTATGCCCACAATACCAATTGCACAAGGGAGAAGAGCTCTGTGGATAGTTGCTGATTTAATTTGGTTTGATTAAACAGGAATTTTTATGCTCAGCCTTTATGAAGAACATTTTGAAGTACAGGTCCAGATAAGAATTTATATAAAATATATTTTTTAAAATTTACCAAAAATAGGTACAATATTTAGCACATGCTGGAAATAGATGCTGCTTGTTAAAGTTATGGTAACCTTACATTCTTTGCATTGAACCTGAGCATATTAAGAAACAAATTCAAACAGATACTTTGTTACTTGCTGCTAGAAAATATTCTTTCAAAAGTTTCCATTTCTGTAAAGCTCGGTTCTGAGAGGCTGCTGGTGTGTGTCACTTCATGTTTTGCTGACATCTTCCTGATAGTGCATCAAAGAAATCATATTTATTTTCTGTGAGTTACAAACATTATAGCATGGGAAAAGTTGCTTGCAGGGGCATACCACACATTTCTAAGAAGAGAAAACACAACACTATTGACTTCACATATTAGTAGTTGGGAGGAAAATAACTTTAATCCTATTATCAAAGGCTGTCAGGCCCTAATTAGATTTTTCTCTTCTTAGTTCCATTGCCCCATGGCTTTCAATTCTGTTTTATAAACAGAAATACTGTACTGATGTTCTCCCCATAGAAATAAATAAGTTAATAATTAATAATTAATTTTACCGGGCATCATTCTTGAGGAGTCTCACAGTGATCAAACTAGGCAAGTGTGGGAAAGATAGAGGCCATTTTCAAAAAAATGTATAAGTGTAGGATTGTACAACCTTTTGAATAAACATTAATATGAGATGACAGTATGCTTATATATATATAATGTTTTATATATATAGATAGATAGATAGATGCTGCTACATACATATTTACAGGTATATATATTTATATATTTATGAACTAATAGGCCTATATTATATATATTTATATATTTATGAACTGTTAGGCTTTATTTTTAGAGCAGTTTTAGGTTAACAGCAAAATTGGGCAACAAGTATAGAGTGTTCTCCTATCCCACCTCCCTCTTACATTCACAGCCTCCTCCATTGTTGACATTCCCCACTAGAGTGGTCTATTTGTTGCAATCGATCAACCTACATTGGCACATCATCATCACCCAGAGTTCATAGTTTACATTAGGGTTCACTCTTGGTGTTGTATATTCTACAGATTTGGACAAATGTGTAATGACATGCATCCACCAACAGAACGTCATGCAGACCAGTCTCATGCCCTAAAAATCCCCTGTGCTCTCCTGTTCATCCCTCCCTCCCCTCAGCCCCTGGCAACCACCAATCTTTTTACTGTCTCCATGGTCTGACCCTTTCTAGAATGTCATATATTTGGAATCACATAGTATGTAGCCTTTTTAGATTGGCTTCTTTCACGTAGTAATATGCATTAAAGGTTCCTCTATTTCTTTTCATTGCTTGCTAGCTCATTTCTTTTTAGCACAGGCTAATATTCCATGGTATGCTATTTTCTTCTAAATAAAGATTTATGTAAAAATGGAAAGTAAATAGAATTGCATGTTGCAAACATTAGGGAGATGATAATGAGGAGCTTGGGTCTCAGGGAGGTAAATGGATGTTGGGTTGTCTGGTGTCCAGGATCAATGTGTTAACTTCTTGCTCAGAGTGCAGCATGCATAGAGCCTGGTTTCCTCCATTCAGATAACTAATGGGGTCTATTTTTGGATTGCTTAAGGGTCTAATTGTGAAATGACTAGAAAAACTCCCTCTGATGTGACATGGAATCCCTGCATTAGCTTTCCCATTTGTGTGAATTTCAGCAAGGTTCTTAATCTTTCTGAACGTTAGTTTTCTTTTCTGGAAAAAGGTGCAATAACACTTTATTGGTAATTTGTGTTTTTCTGGCACAGAAGAAGTCATCAACAAGTGATTATAGTATTTTATGGAACCTACCACTTTCCAACTCATAACATTTACTTTTGAATGCTGTTGGTTGTCTTTCCTACCTCATCCAAATACGAGCTCCATTGCTTATCTGATTTGTTTGTTGATGGGTCCGCAGTTCCAAGAAGAATGTGTCATACACAGCAGGCATTTAATAAATAGCTTTTGGGTGAAGGAATGAACTTTCCAAATGAACTGATAGACTTTATAAAAGCTGTTGTGTGTCTTCTATCTGTAATCCAGGAAGATTGGTCATAGATTTGCCAAGGAAGAGAGAGAATAGTGGCAAGTTGTGTTTGTCTGTAAGTTGAGGACCACTGCTGGCAAGTCAGTTGATTTTATCTGTGGTTCCTTCTTACAATGCATATATTGAATAAGAATATCCACTCATGATTGTAGGACTACCAGGTTTACCTTCAAGGCATTAGGGCATCATGCCCCTTTTGAATGGGTAAAATGTTAGTGGTAATACAACATCTTTTCTTAATTATTATTAAAGAATTGTTATTTTTGTGTTGTTTTTCTTTTTACTTTAATATTATTTTGGCAGTGGTAATTTAAAGGTGATCTGATGAAAGACAACACTGAAGTTGATGATAGAAATCTAAACCTGACTTTAATCAGGAAATTTGCCAATATTTATTGCCTGTTATAAACTGTTACCTCCTTATTGTTTTGCCTGCATTTGCATCCATTCAAGTCTTCAGGTTGTGTATGCAATCTAAGTATATAAATATAGAATAACTTCAAAGTGCTGATGTGGGTTGTGTGGCTGGTGGGGGTGGGGCAATCGATCAACCTACATTGGCACATCATTATCACCCAGAGTTCATAGTTTACATTAGGGTTCACTCTTGGTATTGTATATTCTATGGATTTGGACAAATGTGTAATGACATGCATCCACCAATAGAACATCATGCAGACCAGTCTCGTGCCCCGAAAATCCCCTGTGCTCTCCTGTTCATCCCTCCCTCCCCTCAGCCCCTGGCAACCACCAATCTTTTTACTGTCTCCTAGTGGGGGAAACTGAGGCAAATGGGTGTGTGTCATATAAGTATGACCGTTTCTGTCCAAAACTGAACTTGAGGACATCGCGAACAATGTGCTGGCCACATTCTATAGACATCTGAGGAGAATAACTTGTCCCTGTCTCTGTGGGTGGAGACTCCTGGCTTCCATTTTATCTGTTTTTGCCCATGGGTTTGGACAACTCTGTGGCATAAGAGCCACTCCATGAGGCTGACAAAAAGCAATAGGTGCAGTACCTGCTGTAACTGCTTTGTATATCTAGAAGAAGACACAGTGGAAAGGCAGGCCACATGTGACAGTGGGGACAGCCTGAGCATTGGCCAATTGCCACTTACCAGCTCTGAGATAATTTGAATAAAAGAAGCCAGATTTAAGTCTTGCCTAAGTGTGAGGTCATTGTCCAGGACACTCTTCCCCTGGGCAGGCTTCCTTAGACCTCTCTAAGTAGGTTTGCCCCAAGGAGTCACAGGGGGCATCCCCGGGAAGAGGGCCACATACTCAGGACAAGATATGGGATTAGGCATTAGTGTTGGAGCTTTGCAGACCATTTATTTTAAGAGCTGCACGTGACCCTTCACACCAGCCTGCTTGAGTACAGCAACTGGATATTGCCCTGAAAGAGGAATACATTTATTTATTTATTATACATCTGCTTTAGTGGATGATTTTGATATCTCATGAAATAAAATATTGATAGCCAAAGCATAATTTTAGTGTAATAATTATTAAAATTTTTTTTTCAAATACGGAGAAAAATAATGGATCCTATGAAAGAAGAAAATGATCTTCTATTTTCTTCTTTCTCAGTCCTAAACATCTGATTTACAGTCTCCAAAAACTACAATGTAACCATAGGTTGTGTCAAAACAAAGCTTGTGTCAGTTTAAATAAGATATATTATGTTTGCCTTTGGTTTTCTCCTCTGCTGTGTTAGGCCTTTAGTGAATTCATATTGGGCCTGTTTTAGTATTCTCAAATTGCATCCATTGCTATTTTTTTAAATTTTTAGTCAAATGAGCAGAAGAAAGTTGACAATCTTATTTGTTAAATGCTTTTATTTTGATGAAATTTGCTCAGACATTTTATGTATTTTTTATTATCTTACCTGCATAGCCTCACCAAGGAATTCAGTATGTTTGGGGAGTAGATAAGAATCATTTTCTTCTCTAATTATGAGTTTCTGGAGTATTCATTTCAGCTAGCCTGCCAACTTCCATGTCTTCTGCAAAATCACATAGCAAGAAGAAAACATCAACAGCAGCATGGAGCTAGAGGCATGTGAGATCATTTAGTAGCAAAGAAAGTTTGACATCACATAGCCAAAGATTAGAAATTTTGAGTGGTACTTGAAGTCAGTGTACTTAAAGCAGATACTCACTTGAGTAACTTACTAGATAGAAATTTGCACTGTTATTGGAATGGATGATGTTAGAAATAATCTATCCACTGACAATTTATATCAGCTATTCCCATTTAGAGCCACTCGTAGCCTCCAAGCCCTTTTTCAAAAACACTTTTGTTTCTTAAGTGTTAAATACCTACTTCACTTAAAAATATTCTATTTGAATCATTTTGATCATGCTATTTGAAGAGTGGTTTTCTCAAAATTTCTTATACTTAAAGTGAATATTATAGATCAGACATATTGGCCGTGTAACCCACAACATCTGGCACAATCCATTTACTTGTGGCAAAATACATTTACCGCCATCCCTGTGGGTGCCCTGGCCCTCCTTCCCACCTTACATTTCTAGCCAGACACAGGGCCTGTTTCCTAAGAGAGATTCCAAAGGTATGCGTTTTATGGAAAGGCTGACATTTTGTTCCCTTTTGCATAATTTTAATTAGATGGAAGGAAACCCTTATACCCCAAGCCTAACACCGCACCTGCCATTTAGTAAGCATTCTGAGAGCAGGTATATATATATATATATGCTAACATTTGGTTCTTTGTTGAGCAATTTTCATTAGAAGTAAAGGAACTCATTGTTAGCTCAATTCTGTTTCTTTTATTTGGGCCAAAGCTGCTGAAGGATGCTTTTTGGATGTAATGGTTGTATGTGTCAACCTGCCTGACTGAGTATTGGGAAAGCCCTTGAGAAAATGGTACATGAGCCCTGCCCAAGATTTCACGTTATTCAGAGGCCTGATACTCATGAAAATGTTAAGTGATTTCTCTCTGGAGGTAACCACAAAGTAAATAGCCAGAAATGAAACCAATCAAACCAACCAACCATTGAACATGTCAAAAGATGCTTTTGAGAAGAAGATGGTGTTGACTTAAAATGCAAAAGAACACAGGAAAATAGTCCATATTAAAATATGCTCGATTCAGAAAGAACTTCATACATAGATTTCTAACATTCTTCTTTCCAAAATCTTTGAACCTTATGGTGGATTTGTCCTAGACCTAATGCCCTTTTGTTTTCAGAAAAGACTCCAAATGGGAAAATTTTATTCTAGAATATAACAAGTAAATGTTGTAAATAAATACGTGTCATCTGGGAACACACAAGGGCTGCGTGAGAGAGCATAGGCCGCATCAGTGTAGGAATTGATTAACTTGAGGACAAAGTCTTATGTCAGACATATGACCCATGCAGCTATCAATGTTCAATAGATACAGAGTTGAGATTAGTCATTGATTTTCCTGACCTGAGGGCCATAATGAATAACATGCTTTCAGGCTGATAATAGGACAGAATGATGGTAGAATATGATAGTTCAAAATTAATGTCCAGAGTTCTTTCACAAGAAGCTTACATGTGAAAGGCAGCATATTTTGCATCTGGAGTCATCTTATAAGTGTCTCTTAAACATCACGCAAGATGTAAAATGTCCAGTGGTGAGATCTAGGAGTGTGGTTCCTCTGAGACTTCATCTGGGTTCATGTGTAGGTGGACATGCCAATCTAGACCAATTTTACATGTCCAAGGAAGGAGGAAAGAGCCAGTAATTCAGCCTGAAACTCGAGAAGCCAAAGTGGGGACTGAATAGCCTCACAGGCAAGCGTTTAGTAGAATGTTCAACAGCTCCTTCAGTACCTATAGACACAGAACATAAACTACCCTATGGGGTAACCAGCTTCTTCCCCTTAAAGGTGGTGAAATGATGAGGTCAGCTATCCCCGTATGATTTAATGCTTTAGGGAAGTTCTATGCAATACAGCTGGATAAAAAAGGATAGAAAAATTTTGCATGTTGAAGTGGAAAATATAAAATTAGTCCACATTTTTGGCCCCCCAAACACAAGATGACCAATTATAAGTATTAGAAAAATAAGAGTTCAGTAGGGGTATGAGTTACACAATAAATGTGCGAAAGTTAATTTTCTATTTACTAACAATTGCTCATTCATATATAACAACATAATGTGATCCATTCACAATGACAGGAAAAATACAGAATACCTAAAAATTAAAAGAATATGTGGCAACCATATGGACAAGACATAAAATTCTACTAAGCAATATAAAAAAAGACTGGAGTGAGTGGAGGGGTGTCCTATCATTTTGGAAATTGTATGTTCTATTTCTGTGTTAGAGATCACACTTAACACTTTCACTTAACTCTTTAAAGTAGAGTGAACTATATCCTCTTCCTCCACATATGGAATTATTATGGAATTCTAACCAACAATCAAACAAGAACCTTCCTCTCCCCATTTCACTGCTTTCCATCTTTCCCCCAAACCTCCACCCTTCAGCCTTGACGCCTGAGCTTATGGGTTGCCTGGAGTCTCTGGAGCCGATTCCCATGGTTGGTGTCCTGCTCAAACCCATCCCTTCCTACCTCTGTGACCTTTGGCCAAGGTTTTAACTCCCTGGCCTTCAGTTTCCAAATCTATAAAATGATAATAGTAGTAAATGCTTTTTAGGGTTATTGTGAAGATTAAGTGAGCTAACACACAAAAAGAGTTTAGAATAATGCCTGCTGCCACGTAAGACCATAATTAATGTGAACTTCTTATTTTCCAGGGGTTTTAGTTCCAGATTGTTATTAATTTTTTGATTTCCAATTAACAGTTACTTAGGCTTAAATGAAAGTTTTATTGGTTCTTGTACTTACCAGTGTATCTTTCTTACTTTATAGTGTATGTTACTTTTCTTCCCATAACTTGTGATAGTGTTTTGTTTTGTTTGTATGCATTTTCTACTAGTTTTTTTTTTTCAGAGACAATCTATGGTTGGCAAACTATGAATTTTTGCATATCTAGAAATCTCCCAGCTGAACACAAGTTTGTGGAGTAGAGGGTGCTAATTTCAAAATCACAACAATTTTTCTTTTGAAAATTTGAAAAGATGACTCTATTGTCTTTTAGCATTCAGTGTGGCCATTCAGAACTGTGAGGAGAAGCAGATTATCATAGGTAAAGTTTTCTACCTCTGGCCCCCTTTTTAGACAGCTTTTCAGATTTTCTCATCATCTGTTACAGAATTTCATCACTTTATATGTAAGGTTTCTTCTTGCATTCTGTCTTATTATAGTCTGAGGAGTCCATTTTTTTCCATGCATTTCTATTTCTGTTTCTTCTTTTTTTTTATGTGAGTATTTCCTCCCATCGATGATCTTTGTTCTTCCCCTCTAGAACTTTCATTCAGTGGGTTCTGGAGCTTACACATCTCTCTTGACTGTCTCCTTGTCTCAATGCCATCTTCCAGTTAATTGATTTGATGTTTAGCTGTGTTAACTTTGCAATTTAACCCAGGGAGTTGTATTTATCTATTTATTTGTTTATTTATTTTTGATTTTACTTTAGGTTCCAGGATGCATGTGCAGAACGTGCAGGTTCGTTACATAGGTATACATGTGCCATGGCAGTTTGCTGCACCTATCAACCCATCATCTAGGTTTTAAGCTCCACATGCATTAGCTATTTCTCCTGACACTCTCCCTCCCCCTCACAATCCACCCCACTCAACAGGTGCCTGTGTGTGTTGTTCCCCCTCCCTGTGTCCATGTGTTCTCATTGTTCACCTCCCACTTATGAGTAAGAACATGTGGTGTTGCGTTTTCTGTTCCTGTGTTTGTTTGTTGAGGATGATGGCTTTCAATTTCATCCATGTCCCTGAAGACGACATGATCTCATTCCTTTTTATGGCTGCATAGTATTCCATGGTGTAGATGTACCACATTTTCTTTATCTAGTCTGCATTGATGGACATTTGGGTTGGTCCCCAAGGAGTTTTATATTTTTGAAATTACAAATAATCCTATTTTTTATTTCTAAAATATGCTTTCCCCATTGCAGCCTGTTCTTTTTCATTTATATTAGATGATATCTTAAATATTTAAAGATATTAATTACACTACTTTTAAAGCCTAATAGTTGCTACTTTAACCCTGTTTCTGCATGTGTCTGCTCTTCAATGCCTCTTTATTTTGATGTTGGTTTTTCTAATAATTTTGGTCATCTTGAGAGTCTGTGATCTCCTATCTGTGGATTCCATTTTGCTTTCCATATAATTGGAGATCATTGAGGATGTTGGTGTATAGCAGGTTCTCATTTTCTGGTGCACCCAATTATCAACAGTCATTCGGGGCACCTCTCTGCCTCTATAGCCCAAGCGGTCACCCTGGTGGCTCTATCTAGACAGACTATGCTCCTGCTGCTTGACACAGGGTGGAGCAGCAGGCACTCTTTGTTCAGCACTTCTGAACATGCTCCCCCAATTAATCTCTATAGCTTCTGTTTCGTTTGCTCATTGCATTTGTTGTCTCTGAGCTCGGGGCATCCCTAGACATACTACAACATTTTCCAGCAACCTTTTTAGTTCATTTCTGAGGCTGCAATTTCCTCTGTTAAGATGAGCCAGGTTTCTTTCTGTCTTTCAGGAATTTCTCAAGGTTTCTGACCCACATGACACCTTCTCCTTGTCTTCTGTCAGTTTTGTGAAATTTCTCGTTAAACACATCTATTTTTTTTTTTTAATTTCCAGGGCCTGGGGGTGGGAGAAGGACAGGTACATATGCTCAGATGGCCATCATGGTCCCACCTAGAGGCAGATCTCTAGACCATAAAAGGCTCCACACATGTTTCCCCTGGGTAGAGTTGCCAGATAAAATACAGGGCGCTTAGTTAAATTTAAACTTCAGATAAACAATGAATAATTACATTAGTCTAAGTCTGAACTGTAGCTTTACTAACAAATTATATATCTTCTGTTTATCTTAAATTTGTATTTAATCTAACAAAAATACTCGATGTTTCTCTGAAATTCAAATTCAGGTCCACATCCAGTATCTTTATTTGTTATATATGCAGCCCCACTCATGGGTGTCTGTTGGATAGATACTACGCTGACTCTGGGGCACTTGTGTAATGGAGGGTGTGGAGGAGGAGAGAAGGACCCGAACTTTTGGGATGTTGATGCAAGAACCTCCATAGAACCCCAGTGCTGTGGATCCATTCAATACCATCCACCCTGAGGACTACATTCAATGAAATCCTAGTTCAACTGAGACCGACTCGCCTGGTATCAATCAGGCCATTTCTTAATTACACCTTCAATGTTAAGCATATGAACAATCCAAATAACATTTAACTGTGATGGCATTTATAATGATTAATAAACCGATATATAATGATTAGCAACACTTCAATCGTGCTACCATAAACTCTACAGAGTTATTTCTGGTACTTTTCTTGAAATGTAAAAGACTTCAGTAGCATTATTAAAACATGCTCATTAATGGCACTTCTAGTGTTTCCATTTAGTGTCATTGACTTCAAAGGGGTTGATGTTGACTGTGACAGCCAGCCAGCGATTTGCCTACAGCCTCCTGATGATACACTAAATAACAACCGGTGTGTTAAAATAAAGAGATCATGGAAGGAATTTCTTTTTATTATTCTGACTGTGGGAGGCCAAGGAAATCATGTTGGTGGCTAATTCTTGTTGATGTATTTGTCAAATGACTGTAAGAACTGGGAACACAGCCTTCAGTTTCAGTTAGCAGAGGAACACAGAGCACGTACTTTGCCCTAATCCTTGAAATTCAAGCTTTTTAAAAAGTTGTCTAAAATGTAATGGTTTCAAGTTGAAAATCTGTTCTTTTTTCCTCTGAAAAATCTGTGGCTATCAAGAATTCATTTTATCCTTTCCTTGTTATTGTGAAGTGGCAGGATTTGATTTAGTACTTCCTGGGACCCTGCCTTCCCGAATATGATTCTGTGAATATAGAATGAGCTCCCAGCGCCTGTCTGGTTTGGAGTTCTGTTACTTCCTGTCTGTTGATACATATGTTGGCCACACAGCCTGTGTCAGGCAGAAAGAAGGAATCACCTCTGGAATGATCTGTGTCTTTAGTGGGCTTTTTATTTGTCTATTCCCTTCAAAGCTGTTTTTTTCTCCTCCCCCCAAGGCTTTGCGTATTTATTTTTTAAAACTGCACTCATTTTGTAACATAAGCTGTTTCAATGTTTACATCTAAATTACTTTTTTCTTCTGTATCTTTTGATATATAAAAATGTTTAAATCAAAGGCTCGGTTGGCAGGTACCAGGGTAAGGGGAACCAGAGAAGAAAAGGGAAGTAAAACTCAGGATCCGTATTGTGGGATTTTCAGCCAGCTTTAAGTGGTCAGTAGTTTACTCCACGTCTGTATGTTCTTTTTTGTCATGTTGTACTTGTTTATGGTACATAATCTCAAGTGAAGTCCATATGCCTAATGCATAGTACCTCTTTATGCATGCAGAGCTTGTTCAGGCTTTTGTTATGCCTGGTATTTTTCAGTGCTTCCCTTAGTTTACCTCTTCCTGTTGTCTCTACATTCTGGTATGTCATTCTTTTAAGCATGATTAGCAAACAGAGACTGGAATTGTCAGACACATTATGCAGATAGGACGAGAAATCTTTCCCTTACTGAGAAGTTGAGAGAAGAGTGAGGGAGAGGGGGTAAGGGGAAAGAAGTTGAGAAAGAGATATATAGAGATACTTGGAAAGATAAATGGGAAAGGGTTGGAGACAGCCCCAAAGACAGAACATTATGGGAGAGAAAATGAGAGAGAGGGAGTGGTAGAAGGAGAATGAAGAGAGATAGGGAATGAGAAGGTGAAAATCTTTGTCACTAAATGCCATGAACAGCAAATTTCTTCAAAACTAAAGTGCTTCTGAATCTCAATTATTGGCATGGCAATTTAATGCAATATTTACCACAATAAGGTCACAACAGGAGAAAAAACTGAGCAGTCCTTTGATGTTTGAATTTAAGTTACTATGTGCTCATCATGAATTTTTAAATTCCTAAGAATTTCACAGAGCAGAATTGGGAGTGACAAAGGAAACAATCTCCATTCAGTTTCTGAGACTAAATGATCAGGAAAGTCCAGCTGTGTCAAGACAGAAGCCCCATACACACAAATCGCCTGTCAAAAGAAGTGGGCACCAGGCCCCTGCCCAGCTTCTTTTCAGTTCCACTTCCTGTGCCAGGGGTGCTCTGTGCTGGAGCTGTTCCTCCTACCTTGTGAGAGCCAATTGTGTGCGTGTCTCCCTGTCTCTGTGTTCAGTGACATTGTGATAGTAGCTTAATGTAGGCTATGGTGGGAGTGTTTACACCATGGAAATTGGCACACACCACAGGTAAGGGCTTCTTCCGATGGGTGGTCATTAAACATTGGCTGGCACACCACTGGGCATCCCCAGTTCCCTTCCAGTGAGTGGTATCCACATCACCTGTTATTGTATGCCTGAGAGGGGCTGTTTTTCCTCCCACCTTCCACTCACCCAGAATCTTGGCCTTTAGGTATGCTCACTCTAGGTAATGTCTTGTGTTTTTCCTTTTTCTTCCTGTCTCAATCAAAATTTATTTGCTCTGAGTTCCATTCCTGTAAGCTGCTGCTCTACATTACAAGGCCTCCAGTTCCTCTGATCTCAGACCCCATAATTGTGCTGAGTTAATAAGATATTTTTCCTTTGTGCCACATTTGGACACATGCTATAGATGTCCTGAATCTTCTGGAGTAGGAAAAGTCTATAATTTAAATGGGTGAAATGTCAGGTACTGTTCAGCTCTCAGCTCCTGGCATATTCACGGGCATCCCACTCTGTACTCAACTGGACTTGGTGAGCACAACTGCGATCACATTAAATGAGAAAAGAAAGCTATGTTTGGGTTGACAAAAGTAATTTTTGGGTCAGTGAAATTTCATGAGGCACTGAAACTCTTTATGTTTTGTTGACTGAAACATCAGTTTGATTTTAGTGAAACAAAAGTGGTTTGGAGATGTGATTTCCATTTTGTGCTCTCATTGGGGATCTGACTGATCCCAGGTCTCCAAGGCCTGCGACAGACAGATGTGTGTGTGCATAAGAAATCTTGGTCCCCCTGTTAGGGATGTGCTCTTTGTTTAGATATCGAGGACAAGTCAATGGTCAGGGGCATCTTCACATTGGAATCTTGTCAGTGGCCTTTCTGTGATTTCCTGGTCTAAGTATCTGACTTTTTGTGAAGCCTCACAGCTTGCCGCCACCTGTAATTATTAGAGAATCTGGGCTCTAAACAAATAAGTGGAACCAAAAAAGAAAAAGGAGAGCAAGAAAGGGAAAAGGAAGTAAAATATATGGTAGAAATGGAAGTGCTAAGGTTATAAATACCCAAGGAAAAAGAAAATCTCTAACAGCTTATGGAGAAATCTCTAGAATTTCTAATGGTTTGTCCCAGTGAACAGGACTATGTTGGTTTATATATTCTTCTTCCTGATGATTTTAAAAAAATAATCCCCATTAGCTACTGTAGTCTGTAGGGCTTTGAGTTGACCTCCTATTGACCACAAGAGAGTGATAGGGACACCTTCCACATTGTGATCTAGACCAAAATAAGCCACCAAAATAGGTCCACTTCAGGGACCTCCAGCAGTTCCTGCAGCCTAAATTGTGAGCAAAGTTAAAACAGGAAAGCTCTTGGATTTGCTTCACCAGACGTATATTTAATACTATGTTTTGGGCCGGGCATGGTGGCTCATGCCTATAATCCCAGCACTTTGGAGGCCAAAGTGGGCAGATCACTTCAGGTCAGGAGTTCAAGACCAGCCTGGCCAACATGGTGAAACTCCATCTCTACTAAAAATACAAAAATTAGCTGGGCGTGGTAGTTATGCACCTGTAATCCCCGCTACTCAGGAGGCTGAGGCAGGAGAATCGCTTGAACTTGGGTGGCAGAGGTTGCAGTGAGCCAAGATCATGCCACTGCACTCCAACCTGGGCAACAGAATGAGACTCTATCTCAAAAAAACCAAAAAACCAAAAAAACAAAAAACCATGTTTTCTAGTCTCTTAGTGGTTAAAGTAGGATTGTTTATCACTAACAGTAATAAACTGAGCATATCTATGTGTCCATGGCTCTAAATTTTACCTGATATAATTCATCCCTGTCTTGCTCTGGATTAGGGCTGGAAAGTTAGGGCAGGAACAGTGAGGACTGATGCTGACACCTCTAATTTGCACACCCCCAGTGCATGGATCTGTTCTGTGTGAGGCACACGTGTAAGTGATGAATGTTCCCAGCCTGTTTCCCTCCTCTGAAGGCTCCAGGACCACTTGAACTGCACATCCTCCAGCTGAAAGGCAGTAAGAGCAGATTTGTGAGGTACAATTTTCCTGGTTAATTGAAGAATAGACATGGCGTATTCATACTCACAAAGGCAGGGTTGCCACCAAAAACGAATCTAATTGGCTAAATAAATAACTCTAGGGTCTCATTGCCTGCAGCCTTTCCTTTATTGAATTATTAATGCTGTGTCCCCCTCCCCACCCCCAGAATAGCAGCAGTTAAGGACTGATTTGCCTTAGGCGGTTAATATTCTCCAGTCAGTTGTAAATTGCTCTAAGGACTTGCTATGCTAAGTTATAGCTATATTATTTGCTAAGCCTTCAAAACAGCTTTGGATTCAGGGACATAGTAAAAAGTTAAGTTATTTTTAGCCTCAAAAATATATTTTTTTGCTTTCCTATAGTCTGAACCATTGGTTTTTACTGGAAGTGATTTTGCCCTCAGGGGACATCTGGCAATGTCTAGAGATGGTTTAGTTGTCACAACTTGCCCTTGTGTGTGTGCTATTCGTGTCGAATGTGCAGAGGCCAAGGATGCTGGTGAATGTCCTACAGTGCACAGGGCAGCCCCCAGCAACAGAGAATAATCTGGTCCCAAAGGTCAGCAATGCTGTGGTGGAGTACTCTTGGTTTAAACGAGGAGAAAAAAAAGAACATTTATCAGAGGATTTCTTAGGTGGGCAGTTCATTCATTCTTTCAAGAAGTATTTTGTGAGTGCCTGTTATACTGATGAATTACCTCCACCACCTTAGAGGTGATGTGTGTGATCATCAACCTCCTCTCCCTGTAGCCTTCTCTTATCATCACCCTCTGGTGATGCTAGTGAGGGAGTGGCCATCTCCGGAGTACCTGCCAGCCCAAGGTGCCTCTCCAGCGAACAGGTTGTATACATGATTCTTGATGGGGAAATAGCAAAGATTTCCCTTGTTCTGAAATCCTGGTATGAAGGGAGAATTAATACCCGAAGAAGATTTTATTCCTTACCACAAATCTTACCCACATCATGTTGCCAATAATAACCACTTCCGTTTCTGGATTGTATTAAGTCCAGGGCACTGTACATACATTCTTTCTACCCACACAACATTCCTACAGGGTAGATGTTACAGATGAGGAAGCTGACGCTCCGACACTCCAGATGGAACACTTATAAGCTGCAGAGCCCACGTCCAAGGCTTTGCTTTGCCCACTATCCCGCCATCGCTTATTGTAGAAAGGTTCTGCTTTTTTCTTTATTAAGTTTTTTTTTTTTTCATAGACATGGTCACACTAGGTTACCCAGGCTGAAGTGCCATAGCACAATCATAGCTCACTGACCTCAAACTCCTAGGCTCAAGTGATCCTCCTGCTTCAGCCTCCTGAGTAGCTAGACTAATACAGCCATGTGTCACCATGTAGATTAGTCTGTTTTCATACTGCTATTAAAAAAACTATCTGAGACTGGGTAATTGATAAATAAAAGAGATTTACTTGGCTCACAGTTCTGAATGGCTGGAGGGGGACTCAGGAAATTTACAATCATGGTGGAAGGTGAAGGGGAAGTGAGGCACGTCGTACATGTAGGTGGCAGGAAAGAGAGACAAATGCCACACTTATGCCATCAGATCTTGTGAGAACTCACTATCATGAGAATACAATGGGGGAAACTACCCCAATGATTCAATCCCTCTCACCAGGTTCCTCCCTCAACATGTGGGGATTACAATTCGAGATGAGATTTGGGTGGGGACACAGAGCCAAGCCATATCATCCCACCCTGGCCCCTCCTAAATCTCATGTCTTTCTCACTTTTCAAAACACAATTATGCCTCTCCTCAAAGTCTTAACTCATTCCAGTATTAACTCAAAAGTATAAGTCCAAAGTCTCATTTGAGACAAGGGAAGTCTCTTCCACCTATGAGCCTGTAAAATCAAAAGCAATTTAGTTACTTCCAAGATACAATGGGAGTACAGGCATCGAGTAAATGCTCCCATTCCAAAAGGGAGAACTTGGCCAAAACCAAGGGCTACAGGGCCCATGCAAGTCCAAAACTGAGAAGGAAAGCCATTAAATCTTAAAGCTCCAAAATAATCTCCTTTGACTCCATGTCTCACATCCAGGGCACACTGATGCAAGGGGTGGACTCTCAAGCCCTTGGGCAGCCTTGACCCTGTGGTTCTGCAGGGTACAGCCCCTGTAGCTGCATTCACCAGCTGACATTGAGTTCTTGCAGCTTTTCCAGGTGCACAGTGCAAGCTGTCATTGGATCTACCATTCTGGGGTCTGGAGAATGGTGGCCCTCTTCTCACAGCTCTACTAGGCAATGCCCAGCGGGGATTCTGTATGGGGCCTCCAACCCCACACTGCCCCTCTGCATTGCCTGAGTAGAGGTTCTCCATGAGGGCTCTGCCCCTGCAGCTGACTTATGCCTCGACATCCAGGTGTTTCCATACATCCTCTGAAATACATGCGGAGGTTCTCAAAGCTCAACTCTTGTTTTCTGTGCACCTGAAGGCTGAACACCACGTGGAAGCTGCCAAGTCTTCTTGGCAGAAGGAAGCTACCTTCTGAAGCAATAGCCCAAGCTGTACCTTGGCCCCTATAGTCATGTCTGTAGCTGGAGTGGCTGGGATACAGCGCATCATGTCCCAAGGCTGCACAGAGCACAGGGACCCTGGGCCCAGGAAGGTCCCTCATGGGCCTCCAGGCCTGTGATAGGAGGGCCTGCCATGTAGATCTTTGAAATGCCTTGGAGACGTTTTCCCCATTGTTGCTTATGCAAATTTCTGCAGCTGGCTTGAATTTCTCCCTATGAAATGTTTTTTTCTTTTCTACTGCATGGTCAGACTGCAAATTTTCCAATCTTTTATGTTCTGCTTCCCTTTTAAATATAAGTTCCAATTTTAGATCATCTCTTTGTGAACACATATGACTATATGCTGTTAGGAGCACCCAGGTCACATCTTGAGTAATTTGTTGCTTAGAACTTTCTTCTGACAGATACCCTAAATCATCTCTCTCGAGTTCAAAGTTCCCCAGGTCCCTAGAGCAGGGGCACAATGCCACCAGTCTCTTTGCTAAAGCATAGCAAGAGTGACCTTTGCTCCAATTCCTAATAAGTTCCTCATCTCCATCTGAGAGCACCTCAGCCTGGACTTGATTATCAACATCACTATCAGCATTTTGGTCAAAATCATTCAACAAGTCTCTAGGAAGTTCCAAACTTTCCCCCATCTTCCTGTCTTCTGAGCCCTCCAGACTATTCCAACCTCTGCCCATTACGCAGTTCAAAGGTTGCTTCCACATTTTTAGGTACATTTATAGCAATGTCCCACTTCTGGTACTGATTTCCTGTATTACATTACATTCCTGTTTTCACTGCTATAAAGAACTATCTGACATTTGGTAATTTATAAAGAAAAGAGATTTAATTTACTCACAGTTCTGCATGGCTGGTGAGGCCTCATGAAACTTACAGTCACAGCAGAAGATGAAGGGGAAAAGAGGCACGTCTTACATGGTGGTGAGAGAGAGAGAGAGAGAGAATGAGAAGGAGAAAGAATCACACTTTTAAATCATTATATCATGAGAACAGCATGGGGAAACTGTTCCCAGGATCCAATCATCTCCTACCAGGTTCCTCCCTCCCTTGATATATGGGGATTAAACTTCGAGATGAGATTTGGGCAGGGATACAGAGCCAAATCATATTACCATGCATGGCTATTTTTTTTTTTTTAGTTTTGTAAAGACATGGTCTTGCTATGTTGCCTAGGCTAGTCTCAAATTCCTGGCCGCAGGTGATGTGTCCTCTTACCTTGGCCTCCCAAACTGCTGGGATGACAGATATGAGCCACCAAATCTGGTACAGTTCTGCTGTTTTCTAATGGCAATGGGTATTTTTATTTTGCCTTAGTAGATGTTGTGGTAAAGATGATGGAAAAGTATGTCACCTGAAATGAAGAATAGGCATTTAAAAAATAATAAGGCATAGTGTGCAGAAGTGTGGGTAAGGTGAGAGATGCGTTAGGCAATTGGGCTGGAGATTCAGAGCCCAGGGTGGTTTGAGCTCTGTGTGGATGGGAATCATGACTCCATCCAGCCTGTCTTCAGAGGGTTGTTGCTCTTGCCATAACCCTCCTGGTACCTGGCATGGAGGCATCAGTCTCCTTTAGCTTTTATCAAGAAACCAAAAAGGCAGCTAACAGTATGAAAAGCTGTTCAGCTTCACTCAGAATGAAAGAAATGTAAACTATCAACTATTTTTCACCTATTAGCTTGGTAAAGATTAAAAAAAAAAAGTAAACCCCCAACATGTGCAAGGGTTGATGTAACTATAATAGCTGTTTGGTGCTTTAGGAAATTTCTATCAACATTAATTGATCTGATGCTTCCACTTCTGGGGATTTATCTTGTATTTATGTCCACCTAATTACACAATTGTAGATGTTCATTGCTTTTTTTATTTTTAATCGTGGAAAAAACCTTAAATGTCCACAGAAGTGACCTGGTTAAATAAAGCACAGAGTAATGTACGGCCTTTACATAGAATGATGTATCTATTTTTGCAAACATGGAAATATCTATTATATGTGAATGAAGGGTGAATGAAGAAAGGTGTTAAACAGCATGTATAGCCTAATATCTCCTTGCATAGGTATTTTTGATCATTAATGCATGGATATGTTTCGAAGAATATACATTGACTTTTTCTCATTAGCTACCTCTGTAAAATGAGTTGAAGTTTGGGAATGGAAGGGAGATTTTCTTTCCACCTGTGTCATTCTATAGTTTTAAAGATAACTGCCATATGTTAGTTTAAAACGTGAACACTTTTAATCAAAATCACATTAATGGAGCACTTATTAATTGCCAGGTTCTTTGCTTGGCACTGATAATACAAATATGAATGAGACTCTTTTTTCCTGCTATAGAGTAGCTTCCAGTCAAACTTTTAACAATACCAACTGGCTAAATCAACTTTATTTTTCATTTTGGGGTCCTTAGTTACTTTGTTGCTCAGGACAATTAGGTTATAATATAGATAATGCCACTAGGTATTATGCAGATGAATTTTTCTTGCATATTTGTAAAATCATTTGAAAACTTTTATGAAATGGAAAATAAATGTTACTTTAAAGGCTGCCTTTTCATTAAACATTCTGTGTTTGTCCTGCTTTGACCTGCTCAAAATTAGAGAATGTATTCACAGAGCCTCCACTACTTGACAGACACCCATGACTAAGAAGGACACGGTCCTTTCTTTGGAAAATCTAACCAAGGCAATAGACAACAAATAAGAAAACAAAGACTGTGGTACATAATTAAACTTGAGATGAGGGTGATGGGAGAATAGGCATGGTGAAGATTTTGACACGGTGGACCACAAAGGCCTCTGTGAGGCCATGACATTTAAAAGCAGATGTAGAGCAGGTGTGGTGGCTCACACCTGTAATCCCAGCACTTTGGGAGGCCAAGGCGGGCAGATCACCTGAGGTCAGGAGTTCGAGACCAGCCTGGCCAACATGGCGAAACTCAGTCTCTCCTAAAAATACGAAAGTAGGTGGTGCATGTCTATAACCCCAGCTAGTCGGGAGGCTGAGGCAGGACAATCACTTGAACCTGGAAGGTGGAGGTTGCAGTGAGCTGAGATCGTGCCACTGCACTCCAGCCTGGGTGACAGTGAGGCTCGGTTTCTAAATAAATAAGTAAATAAAAGCAAACATGAAGAATAAGAAGGAACCAAAAGTACAAGAATGGAGGTGGGTTCCAACACGTGAAGTCCCAGAGGCAGGAAAAGGCTCACCTGTTTCAGAAACCAATGTCCCTTGAGGGTTGGCTGGTGTAAGCTGGTATGGCCAGAGTGTCTCGGGCGAGGGGGTGAGGCAGGAGAGGTGGGTAGAGCTGGATGACATGGGGCCATGTAGGTGGCAGTAAGTTTCACTGAGTTACCACCATACAGAGTGGAAGCAGCCATTTCTACTCTGACAATGGAAATGATTCTGCAATCACGGGCACATTCAATTCACTTTGAGCTAGAAAAAGATGCATGCCGCTGTGCCTTGCACGTGGTGGGTGTTTCTCTTGCAATTTCTTAGTGAATGGATAAATCTTTAAAACATGTGTAGACTCTTTCAGATGAAATACCAGAATGCCCTATTTTTTTTTTTTTAAGCATGCTTCTCACATGTGCCTATTTACTCTTGCGTCTTTTTCAAGCCAGACTCCTGTTTCCTGGTGGGAAGGCTCTGTTCTTTGATTCATGCCTCTCACAGCTGGTTTCCCCATGTGTGTCTGAGCCCTCCCCCAGAATCCCTTTAAGCCAGCAGATGTTTTGGGTTAGCCTTGGCTTCAGGCACACCCCCACCCCACACATCACATTTGCACCTGGCCTCAGCTGGGTGTACGGGAGTGGCCTTCTTTGGGATGCTCGGACTCCACGTAAGATCCTTTCTCTCACTGATCAATCTGATCATCAGCTCTGACGGACGGAATTCTTCACCTTGGAGAGGACTTCTTTCTGTCAGCATCCTTGCCTTTTATTAGCCCCTCCTTTATTATACTCTTCACCGTCTTTCTAATATTTAAAAAAAACTCATTTGACATCGCTTTTTGTGGGTAGACGTCCATGATGTATCTTACATGCCCCATATGTTGTGGAGTGGGCATTCCATTCCTATCTGTTGTATGATCTTGCTTCTCACCAGCATCTTTGGACTCCATGTGGTCACCCTGTCTTTTGATCACTGATTCACAGCTCTGCTCTTTCAGCATTTGGACTGCTGTGCTGCTCATCTGCTCCCCTCCCTCCAGCTCATGAGAACACATGGCTTCTGCAGCACTTGGATATTCATGCCTGGTATCCTCGTGCTGATGCATGTGTGCCCTTCTCTGCCAGTTTACAGGGCTGAGTTTTTCCAGAAGCCCTTCTGCCAGTCCACCCATGGCCATGCACACCACGTTCCCTAAGCCCATATCCCTGAGCCTGTTTCTTTCTCTTCTCCTTTACTCCTCCCCAGCCCCTCCTCTTCAGCTCCTTCCCTCCTTCTTTCCTCCTCTCTCTCCTTCCTTATTCCTCTCCCCAGTGAATATATTGAGCCCTAGGTTTGGCCTGAATTTTGGGGTAAAATCTACATACCCTGCCTGCTCTCTGCCTTCGTCTTGGTAGCCTGATCCCCGGTGGCTGTTCCTGGAGAGTCAGAACCAGGGTCACAGAACCAGGGTCTACATGGGCTTATTGGTTGGTTGGTAGTCTTTTTTTTTTTTTTTTTTTTTACCACTGATTGCCATATGCAGCCAATAGGTTTTATTAATTAAAGAAGTATTAGTCACCAGTAAAATTGTTACAAGTAGAGTTTTTAAGTTTGTTTTTGTTATTGTAAATCATTTACTTGACTAGGTGATTTGGTAGTTCTTTTCCCTGCTGACTTTTATCATTCTTTTTTTTTTTCTTATTTTAGCTCCTTTATGTAAATCATATGCATATTTATGACTTAGTTCCTTTATTTTGTGGGCATTATATATATATATATATATTTTATTTTGTTATTATTATACTTTAAGTTTTAGGGTACATATGTAAATAAACAAAATACAGAAAAAAGAATGAACAACTTAAAATATGGGGCAAAGAAATGGCCACCGGTAAGGAAATGATGAAATGAATAATGCTACGTACATGACATGAATATTATGCAGTTGTTAAAATTCTGCTTTTAAAGGATTTCACTTTATATGCAGAGAAATATATCCTATACATAACTTATTCAATAAATACTAATTCTATATAAGTATATGTATTTTATATATTTTTATATATACTTCTAATAATTTTGAATAAAGATTAGAAAGAAATGCATCAAAATGATAGTGATGATTATCTGTAGATACTCAGATAGTGAATGCTTTTTTCCCTTTCTTTTATTACATTTTTCTAAAACTTTTACAGTGGACATATGCAGCTTGCACAATGAAGAAAAGTAGATCTATGAAAACATTAGGAGACTATCTGGAAGTGAACAAAATTATTATTATACAGTTTTCTTGACTGCTTCCTCATCACCTCCCAACCCCCAAGCCTCCTTCAGGATCTGCCATTTTAGACAATTTCTTTGGCTTTTGCCCCAGACTGAGCTAAGGATTGTTTCTGTGTCTATAGAACAATACAGGGAAAAATACTTTCTAGCCTCAATAAAACTAACTCTGTCCTTTCAACACAAGGCAGGAAGTTTTCATTTCAAACCTTATTCTCACAGCACAGAATTGATTTCCAAAGTCAGGTAATGCTATCAGAGGGTGCCATAAAAGAACAAGAATCAAAACAAAGCATCTTCCAGGGCACTAGATGATGTCTTTCTTATGCTCAAAAGTGTCATGAGGCAGATAGAAGAAAAACCAAAGGCAAAGCAAAACCTCACACTGCCAAGTTTTAGAGAAGAGGTGGAGGAAATATTTCCCAGAGGATGCATGCTGTCAGAAAACATGATTGGTTGTGTGTATTTGAGAGATAGAAGCAATGAGTCAATAGTCAATAGCTTTTTTCTAATGTTAAATGAAGAGTTAATGGGTGCAGCACACCAACATGGCACATGTATACATATGTAACAAACCTGCACGTTGTGCACATGTACCCTAAAACTTAAAGTATAATAAAAAAATGTAGCCAGATTCTTAATAATTTGCATTATAGATCTTACACTGTATAAAGCATTCAATCATTTTTCTAAGAGGAGCAGGTTGTTACTTTTTCTACTTTTCTGCATTCTTCCTTCAAGAAAAATTGGGAATAAAAGCATACCACAGAGCATTTAATTTTGAGCAATGAGTTTGCATTTAAATTTGAACAATGAGTTTGCTTGTATCGTTTAGCTGTATCGTTTAGCTAGGTATTTAATGAATCTTGTTAAAAGGGGTACATGCAGACTTATTGGTTGCAAAGATTGTTAATAGCAACAGTTACTCAACTTAACAAACATTGACTTATAAACTTATTTAGGATGCATAGTTTGGATATTTAAAAACTCTCTTTGCTACTGTTTCTAACAAACCAGTTTCTAATCGGACGGGTTACTTTGCTAAAAATGTTTTTTTAATTGTCGTAAGTTATTTCTAGTCTTAAATCAAGCATTCCTATCCTTACTTATGCTGGTACTGAAAAACTTCCAGTCTTTCTGGTGGATTATGTATTGGTAGGAAGGGCCACACCATTCTCTCTCTAATTAACTCACTCAATTAGAGAATTAGAATACAGAATACAATTAGAATACAGAAACCTCTGGAAGGCAATTTTAGGCTATCTCTGGGCAGCTTTCCTTTGCCTCGTTCCTCTTCAGATACCCAGTTAGGCAGTATTTCAGGGACACTCCCAAGAAGGGTCCTGTAGGAACTGAGACATCAGCCCCAACATGTTGAGACCCCATCACTCGTTCATCCTCAGGACACTCATATTACCGTTCTTGTAGACTTAGGTGTGTGATATACGGATGTGAAGGGAATTGGGTTCTCCTGGTTCCTAAATTAGACTCTATGTCAGTGAGCCCTGACCTTTTCCAAGGCAGAAAGCAGAGTCAGTTCTCAGAGGGTCCTGAATGAGGGTTTCGTCTTCAACATTACATTGTTTTTCTTTTCAGCTACCTACTCTACTTGAGAAAGCCCTCCTTATCATAATTATTATTAATGTTTTGATAAAAAATAACTAGGATCGCTTTTTCCAGCTCTATGGAATGGACTAATAAGCTACTCATATTAAAATCTGCATCAGTTTCTATGGGCCAGGTTGCTGTAACCAACAACCCCTAAATCTCTGCAGCTTCAAACAACAAATGTTCATTTCTCATTTGTGCTCCATGTGCATCTGGGCTTGCTGGAGGTGCTCTTTGAAGAGGTCTGTCTTTGGGAGGCAGGCTGATTTCTGGGGTGGCTGTCATCTTGAGAGTTGCTGGTCACTGTTAGGGAAATAAGAGAACATGGCATATGGTCCATTGACCCTGGGAAGGCTTTCATCCAGAGGAGGCATGGTTTCCTTCTATTTACATCTCATTGGCCAGAGAAATCCTGGGACTATGGCCAACTTTGAAGAGGTGAAGAAGTGGGAGGAAGACTGGACAGCGCTCATGGATACTGTAATTCCTGTATGAGTTTTTTGTTTTATGTGATAGACATTGTTACCCTTACCTTTGCATATGTCATGTTGTCTCAGTCACTTCTCACATGAGCTGGAAATTCAATGATCTTTATTTTACATATGGAGCTTACTGAAGGTAAGGACTCAAGAGGCAGTGGTACTTCCTGGACAGAGTTGGTTGTGGAATCTAATTTTGTTTATTTCCCCAGAGCCAAATCTCAGTCATTGTACAGTATTGCTGCATAATTTGTTTGAAGCACACACTATAGGAACAAGGAATTTCCCACTTCTGAAACTTCTTTGTGCAACCTGGGGACACACCCTAACATCAAGGGAATAGAGTTTCCAGCCTGTGGAGTTGAGATTACCTTCTCTCTCCTTGTAAGTCAAAAACCTATGCTACCTCTTTGTGACCTTGTTTGAAATAGTGGAACCCCCCCTAACATGCTCATCTTAAAAGCTGCCATTTCTTGAGGACTTACCATGTCCAGACGTTGGAATTACCCTTCTGCATGTACTGTCTCTTTTAATTCCCCCTCTTTTTCATTTCACAAATGAAGATTGGATTTTCCATTTGGGGCCTGCTCAAAGTTGTACACATCCTAAATTGCAGACTCAGGAATAAAAGCCACATTTGTCTGGCTCAGAGCTTGCCCTCTTAAACATGTGTTCCTCAAGATTTAAGTAAAAGTACTCCAAATACCCAAGGTTCTTACAAAATGCTTTTAATGCAAGCCTGCTGGGGGTTCTTGCATGCTGAAGGTTGCCTTGAAGCTAGCATCAAAAACATTTCTGCCATTTATAATTTGGAAGAAGAAGATTAAAAAAAATCATGAACAAAAACATTCTCTTGTCTACCCTGCTCAGGGTCTCCAGCACTTTTAGTTTCCATTGATATCCCAGTGGGATGGAACAGATGCCCTAGGGCCGGTATCCTGGCTCCAAACCTAGGATCAATGACCTGGAGCGAGTGAGTGAATCTTTTTGAGCCTCATTTTTCTCAAATGTGAAATGGGGACACCTTGCTTGCAAAAATCTTGTACATGAGTTGTTTTTATGGTTGCTTAATAGAAGGTGGTGGCTATTTTGGAGATGGGTAAACATTACCTTTCTCTGTTTTCTGGTAGCCCTCTCTCACTACCCCAATTAAACATTCCGCATAACTAAAATCTAGGCTTTAAGCATGACCTTATGCTAAATTCACTAGCTATTAATTAAAATCCATTGCTGGCCGGGTGTGGTGGCTCATGCCTGTAATCCCAGCACTTTGGGAGGCCGAGGCAGGTGGATCACAAGGTCAGGAGTTCAAGACCAGCCTGAACAATACGGTGAAACCCCATCTCTACTAAAAATACAAAGATTAGCCAGGAGTGGTGGCGGGCGCCTGTAGTCCCAGCTACTCAGGAGGCTGAGGCAGGAGAATCGCTTGAATCTGGGAGGCGGAGGTTGCAGTGAGCCGAGATTGTGCCACTGCTCTCCAGTCTGGGCGACAGAGAGAGACTTCATCTCAAAAACAAAACAAAACAAAACAAAACAAAAAAATCCATTGCTACTCTTAAGCCTCACCAACATAGAAATTTTGGAGGCTCAGAAAAATGAACCTCTTACAACATACGAAAGTGGAAAGTGATAGAATATTATGGAGAACAATGTGACGGTAGGTATGAAATGCTTTAAATATGTATGAATCCATTTACTCAGTGGCTCTTCTTCTAAAATTTTGAAATTAATAGAAATATTCATGAAAAGGGATGTTTATCTGGTGTTGTGATACTAGTAATTCGAAACCCCAAACTATCATGTAGCTGGAGATTGGCCGAGTAAATGGATGCCACCATTTGACGGGTTGCTATGTAGCCATTTAAATCAGATTTTTGGATGGTATTCAAGGATTTGAAGAAATATAGACAGCCTGAATTTTATATAGTTTAAATGTAGGACACACCCCCAAGTGTTACCAGAAATCACTTATAGTACTAGGAAGAGTTCACATACTACCATTTTCTTTTTACCATTTCATATTTTCTAAAATTTCTTTATTTAGAAACATATTGTAATTTATTAAAAGAAGGATTAAAACCCCCACTAAGGACTGTTTAGTTCGCAAACCTACACTTTTTAGGTTAACCTGGAAAGCCTTAGTATGTAGGAGTCACCATTCAGGAGGAGCCCTAGGGAAGCTGGTCCCACTCTGGGTAAGATTTGTCAAAATCCTACAGTAGACGTTCCAGTAATGAAGGCGTCTGCCTAACATCTCAAGTCAGACATTTCTAATTGGGCAAAATTACTGTCATTTACTGTTATTAAAGCTGCAACAAGAAAAAAACCAACAATGCCTGCTTCTGTCACAAGTTCTGTTCTGAATCATGAGAGTCTCTTTCCCGGGCCCTCCCTGCCGTTTTTGTGGCAGCATGAGTCAGTGGAGTAAGGGGCAGCCTGCTGTTCTGAGTCTGGACTTGGTAGTTACCAAGATGTGAGTAACGCTGATCTTCCTGTAGCCCTGAGCAAGTCCTCTTACAGCTCTCTGTGCTCCACATAATAGGGATAATAATATTTATTTGCTTACCTAGCCCACTGGGGTGTTGTAAAGATTAGTTAGACTCTGCTAGTCAAAGGACTTTGAAGTTTTAGTGCCCCGAATGGTGTTATTACTAATAAACCTTTAAAACTTTCATCTGCAGTGTTTCCTTATTTGTAGCATTTAGTAATTCTGCACAAGGAACCAGCCTCCCGCAGGCAGGACGCCAGACCCACGCTGGGCCAGGGCGGGCTTAGGCCTGCCTAGACCTTCCACCCACCCCGGCTCCCACCTCCAGGCACAGAGCTGCTGCTACCTGCCTCAGCTTGATCCTGGCTTAGAGGCTCCTGGTGCTTGTTTACCAGATTCTGTCCAGTTGGAAAGCCACCCATGCTTACAGTCCTCTAGTCTGTGCCAGGAAACAAAGAGCTTTTTCCAGGTATACCCACTTGGCCAGCTGAGGTGTTCCTCAACATGGCATGGACAAACAGAAGTTTGGAGTCCTCCAGTAAATACCCTGAAGTTCTCACCCATGGAAGTGGAAGGTGCCTGGAGTTCTAATCTGGGAATAAGCAAAGGCTCATCAGGCCTCAGAACAGTTCATGCAGCCGGGCGCGGTGGCTCACGTTTGTAATCCCAGCACTTTGGGAGGCTGAGGCGGGTGGATCATGAGGTCAACAGTTCAAGACAAGCCTGGCCAAGATGGTGAAACCCCGTTCCCTACTAAAAATACAAAAATTAGCCAGGCACAGTGGTTGATGCCTGTAATCCCAGCTATTCAGGAGGCTGAGGCAGGAGAATTGCTTGAACCCAGGAGGTGGAGGTTGTAGTGAGCCAAGATCACACCACTGCACTCCAGCCTGGGCAACAGAGCGAGACTCCGTCTCAAAAAAAAAAAGAACAATTCATGCATCTCATCTCCCTGTTCTTGGCATCTGATTCTTTTAGCTCAAAAGATGAGAAGGGCCAAAACTTTGTTTCTGGGGAAGGCTATTGGTTTGGACAATGATTTATGAGGATGCCTTTCTGCCTTTTGATGCTCACTAAGAATAACAAAACTCTTCTCTGCATTGTTACTGCCAAAGCTCATTCTCCTTTTCCCTCACATCTGCCCACTCTTGTGATAAATCTGAGACACACCAATCCGAAAAGGCAATCTCTCCCTTGGCAATGACTTTGAAGAGTATTTCAGAAACACTCATTGGGAGTGGATCCCAATTATTTAATGCTGAGTGGGAAGAGGAGGAATGAGAAAAATCAGCCAAGTACACAAGTGAAACCAAGCCCAGATAATTAGCTCTGAAATATTTATGATAAACATGGAAAATAATAACTTTATAGTAATGTAAGAGCAGATTGTATTCATTTAATGACTTTTTGGTAATTGGATTTCCTTATCTTTGTCTGTAAATACACGAATCTAGTTTCCCAAACTAGAAATCTCAGAATCATTCTAAGTTTTACCCTTTTGTTTTTCAAACCCCCTCTCTAATAGCCACAAAATTCTATCTCATAAATAACTTCACTGCTCAGTAGCCCTTCAATAGCCCTTCTTTCCCATCCTCTTCAACCATGTTGATAGTGTGAGGCATGATTCCTTCACTGCCTGGGGACTTTTCTTTTTTTTTTTTTTTTAAATTTTATTATTATTATACTTTGAGTTTTAGGGTACATGTGCACAACGTGCAGGTTTGTTACATATGTATACATGTGCCATGTTGGTGTGCTGCACCCAGTAACTCGTCATTTAGCATTAGGTATATCTCCTAATGCTATCCCTCCCCCTTCCCCTCACCCCACAACAGTCCCCGGTGTGCCTGGGGACTTTTCTTATTCCTACTGATTTAATCCTGTTTCCCAGTGATCTCCACATTGGTACCCAGGTATCTGTGTGCACAGCTACTCAGATACTTGCACCCCCAACTCTCAGACCTTGCTGGCTTGACATTACCCTCGAGAGAAAGAAATGTTAAGGCCTTCTTGGTCAATAATTAGCATTGGTTTAACTTGTAATTTCTCTCTGAATTCTCCACTGGGTCCTCTGTGGTTAGCAACACTGGACGTCTCTCTGAAGTTCTCTTCTCACTCTCTCACTTCAGTGCCATGCATGCTCGTCTTTGTGTTTGGGGAACCTGTTCAGATATCACCTTATCATTCTGGGCATGACATGTTGTTTTTCCCAAGGACCCAAAACAGTAAAAAGTAATGAAATAACTACATGGCAGTCAGCCCAGTGGAATATAGATGGAGAATAAAGTCATCCTCTGTATCCATGGGGGATTGGTTCCAAGAACCTGTGGATACCAAACTCTGTGGATGCTCAAGTCTCTGACAGAAAATGGTGTAGTGTTACCATATAACCTGTGAGCATCTTCCCATATACTTTAAATGATCTCTGGATTACTTGTAGTATCCTATGTAATGCCTATACATCATTTCATTTGCTTGGATTCAACATAGTATTTGGCACACAGTAGATTCAAGTTTTGCCTTACAGCACTTGTGGAATTTCTTTATCCCAATTACTTTCCATCCCTGATTGTTGAATCCACAGATATGGAACCAATGGATATGGAGGGCTGACTGTATTAATATATCTTGGCACACGATAAGTCTTTAAAATGCTCCTTTTTGATGCATAAATTTCTCCCAACCATTTCAAGATTGAGACATGGAGTCTCTTTTGGGAAAATCTGCAAGTTTCAGCCCTTGGGAAAGTCACTATATTTTACATAAGATTCTTATTTCAACTTGAAAATTACGGAAACTCTTGAATACTGACCCACAGATAAGCAGAAAGTTTCACAGGGATCATCTGGTAACATGTTAACAATGAGACTGTGTTCCCATACCCAGAGGTCCTGATTCAGCAAGTCAGGAGCGGGCCTGGGGCCCAGCATTTTGACATTTTCTTATTGATTCTGTTGGGGATCCAGGATCCAGAATCCAGAATGAAATGACCTCATGTTACACAGTTTTACAGCTCGTTCCAGGTGACTGTAGTTGGGGCTCCTTAAAGAAGCATTTCAAGGAAGCATTTTTGGGGATTACTAGGAAACACGAGCCACAGGTCCGCACACGCTTGCAGACCATCGTGCTGGACAGAAAACTCAGACCTCCCTTCATGGTGGCTGCAGACCGCTGTGAGACTTGCCACTGGCATCTGCTCCAAAAGAGACCTGAGTGCTTTAGGACTAAGGATCTTATTCCAGAGAACGATGACCACACAGCGAGCAATCCTTTGTGGGCTTTTGTGGCACTTTCTTCCATTTTATTCTGTTTTCCACTCAAAGGAGGCTGTGATGGTCTACAAGCTTCCATGCCAGGGCTGGGGCTGCTGCCGGCAGATGGCATCCAAGCCTGGGGCCCAGCTCCCTCAACGGGGGCTTTGGAATTTCAAATGGATTGGAAAACCCCATTTTAACTCTAATTTGACTGAAAATCAACACCTATTGCTTTCTAAAAAATATATTGAATGTGACTTAAAAATATGTTATTAAAATTATTTAAAACATGATTGAAAAGGGGTACGTGAGTAAACTGTTCAAACAGTAGGAAAGTGTAAACAGTTCACTCTCCAGAGGCAAGCACTATTAACATCTTCTTAACAGTTCTTTCCAGAAATTTTCTAAGCCGATGGAAACGTGTGTATGTATGCATACTCTTAGTAAGACATGGGAGTTTAGACATTATTCTGGCTCCTGTTTTTTTCCTGTAACTATTTATCTTCCAAATAGGGAAGCAAATAGATTTACCCTATACTTTTCAAGGCCTCATTTGAAAGTTATACTATTAAATGGATCTAACACAGTGGCTTTTAATCAGGGGCAACTTTGTTTCCTAGGGGACATTTGGCAATGTCTAATGATATTTTTGGTGTTGTCATTCAGGGTGGGGAGAGCTGCTGCTGGTGTCTTGTGGGTAGAGACCAGGAACGCTGCTCAGGATCTCACCATGCACAGACCAGCTCCCCCATGACAGAGGATTATCTGGCCCCAGATGTCAACAGTGTCGAGGTTTAGAAAATCTGAATACAGCATCACAGATTTGAAAAGACTCCTTTGGATTTCGCCTTTAGAGTGTAGCTTATCAACCAGTAACAACATAGATAATGTTCCCCCAAAGCCACAACGCAGACACAGTGAAAACACCTTCAGGGGGGTGTGGAGTACTTTTTCAACAGAGCCAGATGAGAACACATTCCAGGCTAAGTCTGATGGTTACAGCTGTTGATTTGAAACAACTTTGGTGGTCTAGCATCTACTACCAGAATATTCAATACACCTTGCCATTTCTATGACTTAGATTCCTTGGAAGACAGTGAGCTGCTTAGGGACAGAGGAAAGCCCCACGTTGGCAGCAGAGGTCTCAGTGGCTTGGAGCACCTGCTGAACCTATAATTTTGCAGCAAAATGAGAGTATCCATTTTTAGCACCAGAGTTTTTTTATGGTTTAGATTTTGGCTTCTTTATTTCTATAGCAACTTCACTATGTTTACTCAGGCTCAGAATAAAGGCCCCTTTTCTTTAGAGAATGATTGCCACTGACAGTTTAGAAAAATAAAAAAAAAACTAACTTGCCTGGAAAATAATACTTAATTGTTCATGATATTGTCCTGACCTCCTGCCCTTCCCTCGAGAAGACTTTAATATTTAGGAGATACCATAAGTGTATGGAGGGTTTTGTTTTTTCTAGATCTAAAGGAACTCTGTCAAATGCAGTTTATCACAAAACCTCCCTCTCTCCCTTTAGTTGTTTCAATGATCTTTTATTTAGAATTCGTTGTCAGAATCCATACTTCGCACTTGAGAACGCTTTCACTGTTTTTCTTCAGACTAGGTGGTTCCCCAATAAGACTTTCTTGCTCAACATAAATTAAGATGGTTTCCCACAAGATGAGTCTTTTATCAGAGCTTGGATGCAAGTTGCATCCTTATTGTTCTTTTCTTTTTTCTTTTTTTAAGCATCCACAAAAGGCATTTTTATTGTTCATGTCCCAGGGAGTTCTTGAAAATTCTTTTTTTTTTTTTTTAACTTTTATTTTAAGTTCAGGGATACATGTGCGGGTTTGTTATATAGGTAAACTTATGTCACGGGGGTTCATTGTACAGATTATTTCATTGCCCAGGTATTAAGCCTAGTACTCCTTAGTTATTTTTTCAGATCCCCTGTCTCCTTTCCCTCTGCACCCTCTGATAGGCCCCAGTATCTGTTATTCTTCTCTTTGTGTCCATGTGTTCTCACTATTTAGCTCCCACTTATAAGTGAGAAAATGCGGTATTTGGTTTTCTATTCCTGTGTTGGTTTGCTAAGGATAATGGCCTCCAGCTCCATCCATGTTCCTGCAAAGGACATGATCTTGATTTTTTTAATGGCTGCATAGTATTCCATGCTATATATCTACCACATTTTCTTTATCCAGTCTAAAATTGCTGGGCATTTAGGTTGATTCCATGTCTTTGCTATTGTGAATAGTGCTGCAATGAACATACACACACGTGTGTCTTTATGGTAGAATGATATATATTCCTTTGGGTATGTGTATCAATTAATGGGATTGCTGAGTTGAATGGTAATTCTGTTTTTAGCTATTTGGGGAATCACCACACTGCTTTCCACAATGGCTGAACTAATTTACACTCCCACCAACAGTGTCTAAGCATTGGTTTTCTCTGTAACCACGCCAGCATCTGTTATTTTTTGACTTTTTAATAATAGCCATTCTGAGTGGTGTGAGGTGGTATCTCATTGTGGTTTTGGTTTGCATTTCTTCAACGATCAGTGATGTTGAGATCTTTCTCATGTGCTTTTTGGCTGCGTGTATGTCTTCTTTTAAAAAGTGTGCTCATGTAAGAGGCAATTTTGGGGAAGACTTGGTGAACATTTTGTTTAGGTTTGGGATAGAGATACTTCTAGAACTCGAGTATGAGAAAGTCTTGGGATTGAAGTCTTTAAGCCAAGGTTGTAGATAGCAGTGCCACCATCCTAACAATGGATGTAGGCCAATGATCAAGACATTTGTGTTTCTGCCTTTTATGTTGCCACAGTTTCAGTGTCTCTTTGATCCCTGATTTTTTCTGGCTAGAAAGGCTAACTTGGAGATTATAGGACAGAGTGGAAGTCCCCTCCTAGGTAACAGAATGATAAATGCCAAGCATCTGTGGAGTACGTTCATACATATGTGCAAACACACCAAACTATTTAGACTATACTCATAGTTTTTTAAATAAAAGAATCGTTGCCTGTCTCTTACTTAGTTGTCTCTGCAGGACTATACTATTGCTGTTTCCTCCACATATGATTGTGCAGTGAAGTATCTCTAATTACACCGCTTCTTACAGATGCATCCTTCAGGGAAGAGAGGTAGCAAGGTGTGCTGGAGTGATATCACGGTGGTGTTTCTGAGCAGGTGTTCCTGACCCCACATTTGATTCTACTGTAAAAAATCAGAAGATGATGGGCCTCTACTTGGAAAAATATCATTCTCTATGCCATTCTATTGTCAGGTCAACCAGTACTTGGCAGCCAATAATTGATTTTTCAGTTTCTAACTAAGGACTTTGCCTTACCTGGGCCATTAGTAATAACAGGGGCAAGCTGAGGTTTTCAGGCAGCTGACTGCTATTGCTGTAAGCATTTCCATTTGGTGTCAGCTCTTGGTCATTATATTTGCTTTTTCCTAAGTTATAATCTTCCATGCCTTTAAGATACCCTGGAAGATTCAGTGAGCATTCTCTGTAAGACACCTTGAGGAGAACAAAACCAAATCTGAAATAATACCTGGTATTCAGCTTTTCCATATTCCTGCTTTGCCACAATAGTTTCCTAGCTGATCTTCACACATGAGCTTTTAACCATCATTTCCATGCTAGGAAATCTCTATGCTAAGTGTATGTTTGAGAAAAGCCAACGACCAAGGAAAGAGGCGTTTCCATGAATGATGTAAATTACAGTGAGCCTGTCTATACTCAAGTTTTCTCATCCATCTTTGGAGTTAAGACCAAGAGAAGTGATAGAGTACTTGCTAAGCAAGGTTTAGGGAAATCTAAGATAGCAAATTGAGGGAAAAATTGTCAGCTTACTCTTCATAAAAATAACAAAATAGATACTTGCTTAACTACATTTAAGTCTTAAGGTAATAAATAAGCTGAAAAATTTCAAAACATAATGACATAGGTTATCATAGGTGCTTCTTAGTAAGGGAATACATGGCTTTAATATAGCAAATAATTTCATTTGATTGTGTCATATACTATCATTAAAAGGATAATTAATTTTAGAAGATAGCAATCCCTTAATATCTGGGAGTTCAAAAATGGAAATTGGAATGTTTCTTTCAGTTTCAAGTTAATAAACATTTCAAGACTGAAAATCATTTTTCTCTGTTTTCCCAAAAAGTAGAGAAGTAATCAAAATCGTTTTGCTTCGAGTGAGTAGATTTTGCTACTTGAACATCTAGCATATTATATTTTATTACTTTTTTAATCTTTAATAGTAGACAGATTGAAATAATATACTTATACTAATTATGTTTAAATTAATTCATAAATATGATTTTAAAAATACTTTAGTATCTGCATAGGCTGTTTCATGTTTTGGGTATATACTTAATCTGTTGAAATAGACTTGCATCTTTTCTTGAATATTTTCTGTTTTGTTAAAACTGTTTTGTTCTACGTATTTTTAAAGTCTATATTTATGACAATATTAAATGTATTTCTGTGAACTCACTGACAGTTGTTCTAACCCATGAACTCCTATCATTACACAATTTAGTAATACAGTACTTTACTGATGCCTGGTCAACAATCAGATTCTTCATTTGTATTATTGATAAAATCAGAATAAAAATCTCCTACTGAGTATTCTCAGAGGTGTTTTATATGAGCTACCAAAAATTTGAAAACAAATCTTGACAGTAGATGATGTGGCACTGTCTAATCATTGTAGGTCAATTTAAAAGCTGAACTCTCCATGGTAACTAATGATCAAATGCTGATATTTTGATGTTATTTTATTTCTCTTATTTGATTATGACCTTGCTTTCTTTAGAACCACTGCAGAATTGTAAATGGAAAAGGAATCAGTTATCTGCAATGCCTGATTTTGTGCTGTAATTAAAAAGAAGCTTAATAAAATCAGGCATTTAAAATATACATTTATATTTTATTATAGACCAGTTCCATTGAATAAACAATCATATAGATTTATTTTAAATAAAATTATTTATCTTTCTCTGTATTTAACAACTTGAGATTTAATGATCTTTATCAGTTATCTACTAATATTAACTCATAAAAATATTACAACAAACTTAGTGACTTAAAAGAACATACATTATATTATGTCATCATTTCTATGGATTGGGAGTCTAGATCTGGCTTTGTTCAGTTTTCTCCGAGGCTGCAATCAAGGACAGTTGACTGGGGCTTGGATCTCATCTGAATGCTCAGCTGGGGAAGGATCTGCTTCAGGGTTCACTTGGGCTGTAGGCAGAATTTGTTTCCTTGTGGTTGTAGGACTGAGGGCCTCATTTTCTTGCTGGAGGCTTTTTCAGCTCTAGAGGCTGCCTGCACTTCCTTGTCGTATGGATTTCTCCAGCATTGCTGTTTGAATCCAAAAGCCAGCCAGGGAGAAAGGGAAGCTGCCAAGATGGGTGCTGCAATTTTATATAATATAACGACCTAATCATGCATATATATTATCTTTGCTGTGTTCTATTTGTAGAAACAAGTCACAGGTCCCACCTACCCTCAAGGGATCATGCAGGAGTGTGAACAGGAGGAAGCAGGTATCAGGGTAGCTGCCTTAAAATCTGTTTAAATTACGATCCCTCAAAGGCTTTCCAGGAAACAGTTCTAATTTTTAAAGAAAATAGTGTAATTATGGGACTTTTTTTAAAAAGTTGAGATTTGATATTAGCTATTAACCTTATATACTACGTATAGCATATTATGTACACTATTTATTGCCACTGGCATTGATAAAAATCATTCTGGTTCATATTTTCTTGTGAAAATAGATCAAATTATTGGCTGAGTCTTCCAAGACTACTTGAATCAGTTTTCCTACAACACAGCTTACCTTATTCTAACTGAAGCTGAAAGTTGTCCCTGGGGGCATTAAAGGATGCCTTTGATACAAATCTGATTGTAAAATGTGCACATCGTTGGGACTCCCTGCCTAGGAGCCTCTCAACTACTTGTATCTGTCGTTTGTCATTGGGTTCCTCCCAAATTGATGCTCATACGTGTTCCGAGGAGCTGGCACTGTTATTCATGGCAATTCAGGGTTCCTGTGCTCCATTTTACAGCAAACTCAGCTTTGAACATGGAGCCCTGGTTTTCTGTAGAGTCTTCCCTCCCTCACCCTTGGAGCTTCTGTGTTTGGCTCTCTCCCACAGCCCCAGAGCAGTTTGCCACCATCTTGTGTGGCTTGCTGGGCAATCTGACCAAAAGCTGCCTTGGCGTGCTGGGTGGCGTATGGGCGAGTGCCTGCTATCTGAATCACCTTAACTGCCTTGTTGCTGATGTGCTTATGAGGAGGAGCAGCTTAAAGTTTGATGAAGGAGTGTCATTGGCAAATGTTCATCTTAGTTTAGGGTTTATGGGTTCTACATTATTTCAAAAGCTTGAGAAAGAGCGAAAGATTCATCAGATCAATTTTTAGGAGGTAGCAGACTTGATGATTTAGAACAAAACTGCTATGACTAGGGAACAAAGAAGGCCCTTTGTCATTAGCTCTTTGTGCCTTTACACAATTGTGATACATAATGGCTTTGTCTCATCCTTAAATAAAAGGAGAGATGCTGGGCCAGGCGCGGTGGCTCACGCCTGTA
Organism: Homo sapiens; assembly: GCF_000001405.40. NCBI lineage: Eukaryota > Metazoa > Chordata > Mammalia > Primates > Hominidae > Homo > Homo sapiens. The sequence goes on along the minus strand of NC_000005.10, from coordinate 9,458,179 downwards.
ATCCCAGCACTTTGGGAGGCCGAGGCGGGCGGATCACGAGGTCAGGAGATCGAGACCATCCTGGCTAAAACGGTGAGATCCCGTCTCTACTAAAAATACAAAAAATTAGCTGGGCGTGTTGGCGGGTGGCTGTAGTCCCAGCTACTGGGGAGGCTGAGGCAGGAGAATGGCATGAACCCGGGAGGCGGAGCTTGCAGTGAGCCGAGATGGCGCCACTGCACTCCATCCTGGGTGACAGAGCGAGACTCTGTCTCAAAAAAAAAAAAAAAAAAAAAAAAAGGAGAGATGCTGGTTTTTCAAGAATTATTTTTCTTTCCTTTTGTACCTCATATCAAAATCTTATCCTGTGACCCTTTCAAAACATGTAGCCCCAAAAGGCATCAAATTAATGTATTTAATTTTTCTTTTTTTGAAAAGTTGTTTGGAGGAAAAAAACCTTCCTAATAGCAATAGGATGAATCCTTACAGTTGTAAAATACAGAGGAAGAATTCAAATTCCCAGACAACTAGACTTGTTAGTCCTCAAATGGGCCTTAAAGAAATTAATCTAACATACCTTATTTTTTATATTAAGCAAGGAGGCACAGATGGGTAAAGTCATGGATGCAGGCTCGTAGAGTAGACCATTCCAACACTCTTAACCATCAGCCCTTTGGTGTCAGAAATATTTGTTTGTTATGATGATAATAATATTGAAGGGTTAAGAGCAATTTTGAGTGAGGAACTTGGTATGCATATTGTTGGAACCTCAACATTTACTTGCAACCTGGTTGCTGTTACCTCTCTTTTACAGAAGAAGAAACTGAGAGAAGTTTTACAAAACAAAAAACAACAGAAATACATATCCACTCTGCACAGGTAGAAATTGGTGACAGGGTTTGAACTTAGATCATGGTGCGATTTCTACTCCTCTGAGGAGCTTTTGAGAAGTCCTCTTCAAGGAGAGTTTGCGTGTTGTAGGTTTACCACGTTTCCTCTTTCTTTTAAGTATCTTAGGAAGTTCTAGGCCATAGTTTGCACATTCAGACATTGAATTTAGAAGCAGCACGTGGTTAGTACAAACAGGGAGACTAGCTATTTTCCTAAAAGCTCTGAAATAGATACATATTTGGGCTAATTTGCTAGGCTCGATCTAGAATGTGTAGGGGGTATAACAGTATGAAAATTCCAGATCTTTCAATGTCTTAGAGGCTTTAGTTACGTTCATGATGGAGAAAGTATTCCTGGAGAGATGAAAGGCAAGTTTAGTTGCTCTGTAGAAAAGTGCGAGCAGGGCAGGGTACTTCTGATCTCTCTGTTTGATCCTGTTCTACTTGGGTAAGACAGCCTCTCTGTTGTCATTTAAACACCTCATTGAATGGCAATTTCCAAATGGTTCTTTAAAATGATGTCTGCTGAGAGCCAGTGCTTCTTGAAGTTTCCCTCAGTGCTGTTTTTCCCCCCTTGCCTTGAATCACAATGTTTATTTTTAAAAGCTTTTGTGGTTCCAGCCTTCTGCCTTTGTTATTGCAGCTGGGCTGACTTAGACCTCCCTTTTCTCCTCCAGCCCCTTTGTGGTTTGGGGTCCAGTTAGGCTGCATGAGGACTGGGCTGAAGGGACGGGAGTCTGAGGCCATGACACATCTGCTTTTTGTTAGCTCCTAAAATCACAGGTGTCCTTAATTGTGCTCTGCCTGCTCAAAGAAGCCTTCCTTTTTTTCTACTTGTCCTTTTTCCTCTGTTTTCTCCTTGAAATCCCTTGAAGGTTAGAGTTTTTAATTTTCTTGTTTTGTTGTGTTTTGTTCTCTGCTTCCTAACCTCCTTCCTCTTCCTTGGTCAAATCCTGGTGCTCATCTGCACCCAGACGCTTGTCTTTACAGAAGCAGCCAGTTGCAGAAGAGGATAAACCTCCCAGGTAGGGAGAGTGTGGCTACCACACACAGTTTCCTCCTTGGCATGGCCAGGGACAGAGCAGCTCTGGGTCGAGCTGTGTAGCAAGTGGCTCAAGCCACACTGACAGATGAAGCTGGTGAGTGGAAATTCTTCAGGGAATCTAGAAAGATTTGCTTTAATTAGAATTTATGCCCCAATCTAAGTCCTGTAGCTGCAGGCCTCTCTGAAACAAAGAGCTGGCTCTTTCTGTCTTTGGCAGAGACTTGATTCTTTTTAAGCACCTCCTCTGGATTGTCCTGAAATTCTTTTCATCCCTTTCTCCTCTCAGTGCTTTGTGCATTTGAGATTCTCCATAATGTGTCCCCTGCTGACTCACTCCTGCTTCCCCGAAGAAGAAGGGTCTTCTGTAAGTTTTAGTCAAATAACAACCATTTCTCTGCTTTTCAGTTCAAAATTTTAGTGGGTCGTAAGCCTTCCTTTCATGTTGTCACCAGATCTTTTTAAAGCTCTCAGTTAATTTATTTATACACACGTCCTTGTTTTAGCTTCTAATATTCTGAGAGATTGGGGGAATTTTAGAGCCTGGTTTGGCTGAAAAGTCAAATGGAATAGTCATTTTTAAATAATTCTCACAATTTCTTACTATAAGATTGCTTGATTGCAGTTTAAAACCCTTCTCTGTTCTGGCCCATTCATGTTGACATACTGCTTCCTAGTCCTGATGCTTTCTCTAGAAATAAACTGCAATATGCGGCTGGGCGCGGTGGCTCATGCCTGTAATCCCAGCACTTTGGGAGGCCGAGGCGGGCGGATCACAAAGTCAGGAGATTGAGACTGTCCTTGCTAACATGGTGAAACCCCGTCTCTACTAAAAATACAAAAAAATTAGCTGGGCATGGTGGCGAGTGACTGCAGTCCCAGCTACTCGGGAGGCTGGGGCAGGAGAATGGCGTGAACCTGGGAGGCGGAGATTACAGTGAGCAGAGATCAGGCCACTGCACTCCAGTCTGGGTGACAGAGTGAGATTCTGTCTCAAAAAAAAAAAAAAAATAAATAAATAAAATAAAATAAAATAAATTAAACTGCAATATGCTATCTGAGCAGGAAACTCAGACAGAGGTGCCGTTAGTCTGCAGTTCACTCAGCTTCAGGGACAGGGACAGGGTCAGGTAAAGCCCCATCTTATGCTGGTGGAATGAAAATTCTGGTACCTGAATCCTATTTGTAACTCTTGAGTTTGATTTGTCACTCATAAATTATTCTGATTTTCTTCATGAATCCATTTTTGGAGACTACCAACTTAGATTTTTTGTGATCATGATAGAAATTAGTCTTCTAGGATTTGCAAAATAGTACGTGTATCCCTTTATTAGTACATCTCTGAATCTGAGAACACATGTCATCTAGTTCTTTTATTTTTGTTCACTTTCTTTTGACAACTGACAATGTAGAAATGGAGGTAGAGAAAGATACTCAAATTTCCTTTTCGTCATAAAGAGAGGAAAGTGGTTTAAAAGGAAACCAATTCCATTCCAAAAGGTAGTGGTTATAGTTCTTAAGATTATAATACAGAGGAAAACATTGCTAGAGGAGAAGCGCTTAAGACTATCAGGAAGCAATAAAGTGAGGGCTTTGGACCTTTTTATGCTGTGACATTTATGAATCACTTTGCTTTTTTGTTTTGTTTTGTTTTTACGTTAAGATCTCAGTGTACTAAAAGTCATTCAATTGAATTAAGATGCTTTCCTGGATTGGAAAAAAACAGCACTGGCTGTTCTGTACTGGTTTAACTTTTTCTCCTTTACACATTTTGTAGCAAGAAAACCTTTTTCAATTCAACACAGAACAGATGCGAATATATCAAAGGGACAACTTGTGACTGTTGGTATTTGAAGGTTCAAGTTAATAGCCTTGGTTAGCCTTGGTCATCAGGAATATATTATCACAAGTGTAATGAGACACAATCAGCTCTTCAGATTGTAATCACCCCTTTAGTCTGGAGAACAAAGATCATTATCTGATGAGAAGATGAGGATCTGGTTCACATTATGTAATGAGAGCAGTAAAGAGTCCCATGAGTCACAGCCAGAGCCTCCTACCTCCATTCAGCACGTGACCTTGGCCACCAGCCTGTCGTCCCTGATGCCTGTCAATGGTACAGATTTGTGTTTCTGAGGAGTCTATTTTTCACTCCAGGATGACTTCAGAAAGGTCTCCGCCCAGGGTGGCTAGTGCTAGACAGTCAGGCACCAGTGGCTCCCAGCTTTCAGTTAGCAAGATAAGTTCTGTGCTCCCCTGAAGCAAGAAGGCTAGTACTTTGCTTTCAGGAGTGAGTAGGTAGCTTCCATTGGATCTCCCTCTGTGGAGCTGATTACTCTTCTGAGTGAACTGAAAAAACTCTACTTACACAGTCCTTCAGGTTGGCCTGTGATGATCCTGTGTCAGGCTGGGGAAGACTGTTAGGGTGTTATATCTGTTGCTCATGTCCTTTGATATTTTACGTCTTTTCTTCTTATCATTGAGAGCATGTGGTAATTATGCTCTATGAAGTCACTGCAAATACTGAATTAGCAAATCCTGAACCACTGCTCCTAGGGGAAATATAGGGTTTGGTTCCTGCGAGCCTCTGGTCACCATATTTTTGTCAACTGATCAATAAATAACCTTGTTTCAAGTGCATTTTTTGTTAAAAACAACTTATTTAATATGCAATTGGTTCATTAACATTGAACTCATGGTCAATAGCACTATAATTGATGCCTGAACAAGGCTTATCTAACACATGCATTTTCTTCATAGGGCACATCACAGCCTTCCTGCACTTAGGAATACCAGCCAGTTCTGCAGCCCTATGCTTGGGGCCATTTTAAACAGACAAATCACCAACAAAAAGTACAAGAGTGCAAAAAATGTGGCACGAAATAGAGGATGTGGCACTTATTTTCAGTATGAGAGCTGAAACAAGAAGGTGATAGGATTGCCTTGTCAGACCTCGGCTGGGAATGCCTGTTGTCAGGAGACTCAAATTTTCACTGCTCATGTCCATGAATGGCTGGGAAGTGCCTCAAGTTTTGATTCTGAGGTTGCAAATACACTTTAGCTAACAGGTGAATTTGCAAATATGTAATCTCTGGATAATGAGGTCCAACTGTATTTTTCTTTTATGAATCTCAATTACTATGTAAAATAAATAACATCTAGACTGATCTGACTCCTTTTGCACTTTTAATCCCACAGGTATAAAGTACGTGTTTAGACTTAGGATAATGAAGCAGGATTTTCTGTCTATGTCAGTGAGTATCTGTGGTGGTTGCAGCATTTCTGGTGGCAGATCAGAGTCTGGTGGCATTGAGTCATTTGACAGGCTTTTCCCTCTGAGGCACCTCTCAGAGTAGTCCTTCTTCCTGGATGATGTATTAGACCCCGTTGGGAGCCTTAAAACGAGCTTTTTGCCTGCCCTCCTGATGGCATTATTGTCGTTGGGCTTCATTGCTTCTGCATGGACCTGGAGGAGAACAGTGACTCTGGAGCTTTTGTAATAAATAGCTTCTTCAGTAACAAACTGGGTAGGGAAACTGGGGTTCCTCTTATTATATAATTTAGACCTGCATCTCAGTTTTTCTTTTAAAATTTTGTTTTGGGAGAGTGTGGCTAGAAGCTAAAAGAAAGTTTTGTTTGGTCTGGATTAAAAAATGCAGCTGTATTTGCGGGGGCTCACCTTGACTTTCATTTCAACATAGCCTTAATAATTCCTTCCAAAGCAGAATGCCACCCTGTTTGCCCTGGTGGGAGCAATTAGAGGCAGGGCTGGAATAATCTGAGGTGGGATGCATCTTGCCTGAGAGAGTGTGTATTATCAGGTGTCAGGGAACGCTGGCTGTGACTGGATAGCAGTTCTTCTTCAAGCTGCTGACTTCTGTTGACAGGGCTAGGGCAGCTTTGGAATTCCAGTGCAGCTTCAGCTCCGGGAAGCAAACCACTGCTTCACAGCCATGTGTCTGTCAAAGCAAATTGGAATTGAGGAGAAGGGGGCTCCCTCTGGCCATATGAGCTAGAATGAAGATGTCTTTTGAGCAGTGACAGCTTCCAGAGTGAATGTTCTTGGGGAACAAAGCCATGTCATTGTAATTTCTCTGACCTTCCTTCCTTTAATGGTCTGTCCTCAGCATTAGGAGACAGGGCAGGGCCAATTCTGAGCTGTAGGGGTGACAAATGGAAGAAATCTGGTGGAAAAGGTGAAGGAAGTGGGTGAAAGGAAGAGTCTGTTTCTACTGACAGAGTTTATTATGTAACATCAGGCAGATTAAGTGTAGGGCTAACGCCTTTCAATTATTCAGATTTCCTTCATCTTTTTTTCCTCCTCTTCTACCAGGTGGCTCGGGTAGAACTTCAGTCCTTACTTGTTGTTTCCTCCATGCTGGGTAGATTGCCTTGTCTGCTAAGGAGAGTTACTGTCTGCCATCCTCAGCCGTGCAGGAAAGAAGACGGGGAAGGTGACATGGCCCCAGGTTCACAGCAGAGAGAATCAAGAAACCTGGGCCATTTCTTACCCTCCTCATTTTATTTCAGGGAGGTTGTGATCAATTTGCATCTTCTTAGCTACTGGTGAAAGAACTCTGTGTACTCCAGAATGTAAAAATAGGAGAAATCTAACCTGAAGGGATTGGGAGTAGTTGGTCAAGGAATAGCAATAACCACCATATTATTGCATCAAATTATGGTTTGGTGGTTTACCTTAGAAGCCTTTGAGATAAGCAGCTGTCACCAACATTTCACCCCACTTTTCTGACTATGGCTCTTTTACAATAGTTAGGAAAGTGGCATGACTTATGAGATTGTCAGTGAATAATGGATAGCTATGCCCCTTCTTCCAGCGTACCCTGAAAAAGAGAAGCAGTAAAGGGCACATAGGGCAAGGCAGTTTGTTCCCAGTCTAATGATGGGTTTTGTCATCTCCCCAACAATGCTGCCAGCTTTCCATTTGAATGAGGAGTCTTGTTTGTTGTTTAATTTCCCAAGCATTTACAGTGGCTGCTGTAATGATAGGATGGTTCATGATTAGATGGTTTCTCTGACGGGATGTGTGAGGAGACAGAGACAGATTTTATATTAGCATGCAGCAGAGTGGCTAGATGTCTGCTGATCTGAGAGAGGATATAGATGAGAAGCGTAACCGACAACAGCCTCTTAGTTGAACCCTTGAGTCTGTATATTAGAAAAAAAATCACAAACAAGGACAGGTCTTTGAACTGCTGTAGTCTGACTTTATTTCTGCGTCATTGTTTTGTCCCCTTCAGAGTTATACAAGCCTTTCTTTTTAAAGCTCTGTATTCAATTATTAGGCTGATTTCTCTTATGGAGTACCTTCCCATCCACAGACCTAAAAAGCAGTTGATGAGAATTCTAAGTGTGAGCTAACCAAGTACAACATGTAATAAAGTCAAGATTAAAACACACATTTTGAAGTCAAGCACAGAATGCTGCTAAGGACATATTGATTTTCTGATGCTGAATTAACTAAAACTATTTTCCGTTTCTTTTTTTTTTTTTTGATGTGGTAGATCACATTATAACTTCACTTTTATTTTAGCCAGAGCACATATGTGTTTTCTAAAGCCTTCTGTAAAATAGAAAACTGGGCAGTGAGAAGAAAGCTCCTTCAAACTTTTCTCTGTGGCTGACTGGGGAGAGGGGACAGCTGGGTGAGTGGAGAGGGGTGTAGGTGTGACAGGCAGCAGCAAGGGAGATGCTTTCAGGTCATTGGATGGGTGAAGGAGCCTGAAGCCTATGATTATGGAGGGAGAATGGGAGTCCAGACAGCAAAAGTGAGGACTGTTTTAATCAATGACTGCAGAATTGCTATATAGAGGAACACTCCTATTAAACTGAATATCATTAATTTCAGATACTGGAACAATGTATACTTAGCAACTGGCCTGATATCTATGAAAAGTGAGCTTACTAAGTGGATTATCCATATAAGCATGACATTTACAAAGATAATGTTTATATTTCTAAGGGGAAGCTATTTTCCTTCTTGGTCCCTATTGGCCACCGGGTTGGCCTCGTTCTCCCCACTTGACTGTGTTCATGAGCAGCCCTTCTCCTCTGGAAATGTCTCTGAGGCTGAGAGTGGTTCTCAAGGGCAGTGGAGACAGCCGCCCCAAGGGGGTCTGTAGAAGGATCCTGGTATAGGGGACTCAGCTTAATGGACAGGAAGAGGGGAGACATCGGTATGTTTGCACAGGGAAGTCTGTGCAAAGTTGAGCTTTTATGAGCATGAACAGGATGGACAGCCATTGTTATCTAAAACAGGGGGACCTAATCTCCTATGAACAGCATTGAAGGCTTCTTCTGAGACTAGAAAACCTCCTAAGGAGGATTGAAAAGAGAATTTTATTGTGAGGAAAGATGGGATCAAGGTAGGCCTAGAGCCTCTGGAGGAGGAAGCTGCAGTTTTCTCTAGCAACTTGTAAGAAAGGGGTTCCTGCATGCTGCTATCTGCCAAACGTTACCCAGGCACCTTCTGTGTGTGTGGTATCTTCTAGATCTGGGTGAGGCTTAGGTCATCTCCAGGTACCACCCGGGTTAATTTCCCCTGCATTTTTGGGTGATTTTGACTGATGTTAAAGCTAACTTTAGGGATATGCCCCTGTTAATATTTACACACATTCTGAGATAAAAATGAGAAATGTTCATCAAACTGTTGTTCTTTTTTTTTTTCCTTCAACTTTTATTTTAAGTTCCAGGGTACATGTGCAGGATGTGCAGGTTTATTAAAGAGGTAAACATGTGTCATGGTGGTTTGTTGCACAGGTCATCTCATCGCCTAGGTATTAAGCCCAGCATCCATTAGCTATGCTTCCTGATGCTCTCCCTCCCCCATGCTCCCAACAGGTCCCAAGGTATGTTGTTCCCCCCCATATATCCATGCATTCTCATTGTTCAGCTACCACTTGTAAGTGAGAACATGTGGTGTTTGGTTTTCTGTTTCTGCATTAGTTCGCTGAGGATAATGGCTTCCAACCTCATCCATGTCCCTGCAGAGGACATGATCTCGTCCCTTTTAATGGCTGCATAGTATTCCATGATGTGCATGTACCACATTTTCTTTATCTAGTCTATCACTGATGGGCATTTATGTTTATTCCATGTCTTTGCTATTGTGAGTAGTACTGCAGTGAACATACGGGTACATGTATCTTTATAACAGAATGATTTATATTCCTTTGGGTATATACTCAGTAATGAAATTTCTGGGTCAAATGGTATTTCTGCCTCTAGGTCTTTGAGGAATCGCCACCTGTCTTCCAAATGGTTGAATTAATTTACGTTCCCACCAACCAAACTGTTGTTCTTGAATATGCTCATTTACTTAGGCCTGGCCTTGGGAATGTGAAGTCAGCTGACTAAGACAGATGCCTGCCCTTGACCAGGAGACAGAGAAGTAAACAATGGAGGGTGATGGGAGAAACAGAAAAGCCAGCATCACATGTCACGGTCACAGAGGAGAGGCAACAACATCACACGGGGATGTCAGGGCCACCTGGATTTCAGAGAGCCAGCAGGCAGGGATGTTAGGATGAATGGCTTCAGTGATGAAGTCAAGCCAATAAGATAAAATCTAAAGAGCAAGAATTACAGAGATCTGGATTTAGTTTCATAAATAAACTTCACAGGTACCACGAGGAGAGGTGTTACTATCTCAATGGCTTAGCAAACCAAAACCAAAAAGCAGACTAACACCAGCAGTCAGTTTAATACTGTTAATTCCACAAAGGGAGGGGAGGAGTTGTCTTGACAGATGATGAAGGGGAAACATAAACCCAATTCCACTGTTGGGGTAGGCAGAAGGGGCGGGGCTAACTCCCTGCTAGGGGTTTACCATGTGTCAGGCATAGCCCTAAGCACTGTCAGTGTAAAATAATGAAACACAGTTTTGTCAAACATGGTTTGCATTTCAGGCTGGTCTTGTTTCCTTCCCATTTAGTTCCACAGAGTGGACATCCATTGAATGTTGGCAGTTGGGATAGACTCTGGCTCCTTTAATAATTGGTGAACTTAGAACTTTCCTGAGATTATTCATGGTTTCTCTTCTATATGTTAGGTCCATAGGATAGCTCAGAAAGGTTGGGGAGAGTGTCAAAAGTAAAGAGGAGGACACTGTTAAATCAAGTTCCTGGGTTGAATTTTTAAGGGTATGTGTTGGGAAGCAAAGGGAAGAAGCATCTTGGCCCCTCCAAAAGTGCATCTGCTTCCCCAGCAGGTTGACTTCAGGACATGCCGACCTTTTGGTTCTGTTTGGGTGTCCGACTGGATCAGGTTGTCTCCTAGATGAGGGCTGTAGAGTGGGCAGAGAGGCATCATGACTAATCAAAGGCAGCTGGCATGGGTGCTTTTACATATTAGTGAAACTGTTCCATGTCTTCATTTGGGAGGAAGTTTCAGGACAGTTTGTGCTAAAATGGATGACATGACTCATTGCCAAATGTGAAAAAAATAAGTCATTACATTCCCCCACATGTGTAAACTCTCTAAACACAACAGTGTTTATAGGAAGGTAAGACACCATCTGGTTTGTTGTGTTGTAGCTTATTTCTCATTTTTAATCACTAATTTATATTGAGGGGATGACAAATAGAACAGAATTAGATTTTTGGTTGTGCGACACACTCAGGGATTCATATAGTGTTAAGTCCTCTATAAAACATGAAACAAACGTTTAGGTGGAATTCACATTCCTGAGCAAGTTGCCTGCATGCCGTAATGCGAAAATGAGATGCTATTTTCTTCTTTAGGCCTTGGTGCCCATCTTGGACGATGAAAGACCTGACAGGTCATTGGGACTGATTCAGGAGGATTTAAAAGTCTTCTTTTTCATGTGTTCAAAGAAGCGAACATTCTAAAATGACTCCAGAACATTCACTAGGTTTAAGCCAGAATAGAACATCAGAGTTTGTCTTCCAAGGCAAAACGCAATTGGCTTGGCCCAGATCATTGTATACCATGTAAAACAGTGACACTAGGGCTTAGGTATCTAAAATAAGTGAAGTCACAGAGAGCCCAATATGCACATTGGATTGGCTTGCACGGGTTTATACTAATCTTCTTTCCATTACTGAGTTGAAGGAGCACATCCTTTCATTTCTCTTTTCTGAGTGTGTAGCTAGAAAATTCTAAAAATCTACTGCCTGTTCTGTTTTTAGGAAAATATTTTTCTGAACAATTTAACCAATTGCCATTTCACTAATAATTCATTGTGAATTTCACAGTTAGCCAACTTTTATGGGATAAATGAGCCCCTCTCTGTTTTCATATTTCTTAACAGACTTGTCTGCCTCAGCTCAGCTTTTTCTCTGAGAAAGGTTTGGTGTCAGATGTGGTTTAATCTGTGGCCGGCATTTCGCTCTTCTATGTAATGACCAGAGGGCGGATATAAGAACCCAGCCCTTTTTTTATGTTTTAACAGAGATAGTTAAGTAACAAGAGTAGTCAAATAATTTTTTAAAGAGTTAAATCTTAATATTAAAATTAAATCTTAAATTTAGATCTAGAGTTAAATCTTGAGTCTCCTTTGTGTAGGCAAACTACTGCTTACAGAATAAGTCTTGTTGGCTGTGTAGTTCTGAATAAGTAGGAATTGAGAGACCACATTTTTCAAAGGGTCTCAGACACCCTTTTTTTCTAGGGACTGAGATTTTCCTCTACAAAGGATTGATCAATTTAGCTGTCAGAGTGGAAGCCCAGAGGCCGGCTGTCCTTGCAAATTAACTGGTTGTGCAAGCTCTTCAAAATTGCCTGCATGAAAAGTGAGGTGGCCTTTTGAAAATCTGGCACATGGTGGCCAAAATAAGAAAGTATTCACTATTCTGAGGCCCTGGTGTCCTTAGAGAGCGCATAACAGAAATTGCTCATTTTGAGCACTTGCTTAGTTTTTGGCAACCTGTTTGCTTTAATAAAGAAGTCATTTTTGCCCCCTCTCTTTCTTTCCCTCAGCCCCATGCCTCTTTGCAGTTCAGAACACATCATTGTCTCATGTGAGAGTAATGAAATAGGAAGTGTTTACTCCAGCTTTATTTCCGTTACTGAGGCAATACTGAGTGCCAGCTATTTCTACTAGCTTTAAATATTCACCAAAGGATAATCTGCATGAAGACAAAATGGAAAACAATTGGATTTCTTCCTTCCAAACTGTTGTTAGGATTAGTCAATGCTTTGAGAAACAAAATCCCCTGTTACTGTGTTTATTTTTCTTTAGCTCGGAGCTATGTTTAATATTTCTAGATCATTCCATTCACAGTGACTACTGTCTGATGGAGAGAGGGGTCTCAGGCTGGATCTGGGCATGAAGGCTCCAAGTGGGAAGAGTATTTCTCTTTCATGCCATCTTACTCTTTGGATACAACTTGTAGAAGTGCCTGCTCTTCTGTACAGGAAAGTAGAACTTGCCCCTGCCAGTCATAGAGCCAGATATTTGCATGATTAAATGACCCAGGTGTGAGGTCATGTGTCATCACATGGGGACTTATTGTCCATGAGGCCTTGACCTCTGGGACTGGTCTCCAGGTGTTCTTACTTTGGCCCTGTGGGAGCCAGAGACTCAGTGAAGGGGAATCTCACATCTGACACTTTTTTTTTTGAGACAGAGTCTCACTCTGTCACTCAGACTGGAGTGCAGTGGTGCCATCTCGGCTCATTGCAAGCTCCGTCTCCCGGGTTGACGCCATTCTCCTGCCTCAGCCTCCCGAGTAGCTGGGACTACAGGCACCCGCCACCACACCCGGCTAATTTTTTGTATTTTTAGTAGAGACAGGGTTTCACTGTGTTAGCCAGGATGGTCTCAATCTCCTGACCTCGTGATCCGCCCACCTCGGCCTCCCAAAGTCCTGGGATTACAGGCGTGAGCCACCGTGCCCGGCCCACTTTTTTTTTTTTTAATGGCACGAGAGATATTTACCGAAGGGATTCTTTATTAAATGTTCTTGGTAAATATGTGGAATTATTTCTAGATCAAATATTAGCTGGTTCCTAATGAGATTGTTTCTGATTTGGGGAAAAGCGATTCCAAAGGCTGAATTCCTTGAGGGCAGAGACCTCCCATGTCATTGTGGTGTTATGCACGTCATTCAGCACAACATCCAGCATGCTAAACTGGGATGCAGGAAAAATTCTCTGATTGGAGGTTCAAGCTGATGTGGAAAGTAAGGCCATTTATTTGCTTATTGGAATGCAATATTATTGGATATCTATAACGATCTGATTGTAAATATGTGTGTGTGTTTTCTTTCTCTGTGCATTTATTTTGTCCCACATTTTGTGTAAGGTCTCTAATGTGTAAGCCATGGGTGTTTGCATCAGTGCTGTCCCTGCTAGAGACACCACTTCATTCAGAACCTGTTTGTCTGTGCACAGCTTGGCTGGGGTCCTGCACAGATTCTGTATTCAGGCCGGTGCGGGCAAACCAAGAGGCAAAGGAACATCCTTAAGAAAGAAAAACCGTTAAGAGATGGGCCCACTATATCCCATCTCTTTCTAACTCCGCTCTCAGCATTTAGACATCACAATGTCAAATACCGTTCAAAATTTAGGTGGTGCAACTACTGGGTATCTACCCAAAGGAATATAAGTCATTATATGAAAAAGATACTTGCACATGCATGTTTATAGGATCACAGTTCGCAATTGCAAAAATGTGGAACCAACCAAAATGCCCACCAATGAACAAGTGAATAAAGAAACTGTGGTATATCTATACAATGGAATACTACTCAGCCATAAAAAGGAATGAATTAATGGCATTCACAGCGACCTGGATGAGATTAGAGTCTATTATTCTAAGTGGAGTAATGCAGGAATGGAAAACCAAACATTGTATATTCTTATTCATAAGTGGGAGCTAAGTTATGAGGATGAAAAGGCATAAGAATTACACAATGGCCTTTGGGGACTCAGGGGAAAGGGTGGAAAGCGGGTGAGGGATAAAAGACTACAAATAGGTTGCAGTGTATACTGCTCAGGTAATGGGTGCACCAAGATCTTACAAGTCACCACAAAAGTTTGGTTACACTTACTCATGTAACCAAACACCACCTTTTCCCCAATAACCTTTGGAAATAAAAAAAAAATTAAAAAAAATAAACTAAAAAAAAATTTAAGTGGTGATATTGAACAAATCCAGAGATCTATCTTTAAAAATTACATCATTTTTCATTTGAGTCCTGACCCTGTCTTGAATGTAAAGTGGCCAGCAATCTCATATTTGGGAGTCTCAATGGACTTGCTCCATGGATCAGCCTCTGACCCCAGCCAGTGCTGGCCTGTAGAGGAGAGAAGGGGTGGGGTATGCGGCTGCTCCCTGGACCATGGTAAGAGTGGTTGGGGCTGGCTGCTGCCTTCATCCTATAATTTCTTCATCACCTCAAGCTTTTGTGCATTTTGCTTTTCCTTTTCAAATTGTTTCCTTGAATGCTGGAATATTTGCCCAGGAATGTGGTGGTAGCTGGCAGCAGACGTTCTGCCAGTGGAAGGGAATGGCCAGGAACTGGCCCTCCTCCCTCGTACCTGAAGCTGACATTGCTGTTATTTGTATCCTTCAAAGATACTAATGCAGGCGTGAGAACCATATATGGTATTTAGAACTTTTGTGAAATAAGTAGATTTTAGCTGCTCTTACCTCAAAAAATGTAACTATGTGAGATGATAAATACGTTAATTTGCTTCACTAGAGTAACCATTTTACTATCTATATGTCACCCATTACATCATGTTGTAAACCTCAGTTTTCCATAAAATTTATTTTAACAAAAGTTGAAGGAAACAATAAAAGTCCATTTTATAATGATAGATTATATCATATTTTTCAGTTGGCTGCACCATTTCAGGACATCCTGTTATCCCTGTAGCTGCTTCTAGGGTGTTTTTCTTCCCCCTCTTCCTTTTCTTTTGCTCTTCCTCCCCTCTCCCCTCTCTCTGCTTTCTTCCCTATAACTTTTGCCTCAAAGCCTTGTTCTCTGTTCCTGTCACCCACTCTTTGTTTTCTTGAGTGGCTGGGGTTTCCAAGGACCCCCAGCCACAGAGATTGCCATTCTTTCAAGGGACATTATTATCCTAAATGTCCACTGTCGATTTATCCAAGCACATTCCTGTGGAGACCACCTGTGGAACAAGTGACAGAGGCTGTCAGAAGTGACCTAATGGAAGCCTGGACACCCAGGCTACGGACAGTGACAGAAAGGGTTGCAGTGCGTATAACCAGAGTGAATGGCGTTTCATTATCCCACAGCCCACATCTGAGTGCTGGGTCCTCCACATAGTTCCTGTCAATCAAACCAGTTGGCATTGGATGAAGGCAATTCCAAAAATAGTGTCCTTTACTCATTTTGTATTTTCATTCCTACTGAGAAAATTCTGATTTTCGTCATTTAGTTTATTGCCCTAAATTCAAGAACATTCATTCCTCAGTAAGTACATGCTGAGTTTTTAGACTGATGTTTCTATATAAGTGATTCTTTGCAAAAATGGACTGTGATGTTTTGACTTTTTATTTAGCATATTTTAAAATCTATTTTAGATAGTTAATATATTTCTGGGAATGTGGAATATATTTTCTTTGTGAATAATTCCAATGCGATAGGCCATTTGTTGCTCCTGGGTTTTAAATGTTGATGTTTAGGGCTGAAGCTGCACACTTAGTCATGTGGGGCCCCCTGACCCTGTTTGCCATGTGGCTCATGGGCACCCTCAGGATCAATGATTTACATGAAGAACTCTAAGAATGTGTAAAACCTGTTGTATTAGTGATTATGGTTGATCTCAGTCAAAGGGTACAGTAGTACCCTTTACACTCCAGCTGTGGAAAAGGTGCATAGCTGGAGTCCAGGAGAGGCTAGTCACGAGCTTCTGATGGTCTCTTTCCAGTGGAGACACGTGGACAGTGCTTCTTCCCCCACAAGGATGTATGACAACATGCATAGGGTGTTGCCAACCAGGCGACTTCACCTGAGCCTTGGTGTCCTGAGTTTTTATTGAGAATTGACCACATAGACATGGCCAGACTAATCCAGAGAGGCCCAAGCCCTCAGCCATTAACCACATGGTTAGCCTAGACTATCTGTGTGGCCTAAAGCCCCCCCAAAACAAAGTCTCTCATCAGGCAGGACATTCTAAGGTCTTAGAGGTGACTTCCCAGGAACTTGGCAAAGGCAAGTCCTTTGCTTGGCAAGGGCCATGTTCATCCTTCACTGCAATTCTCCTCATACCTGGAGTTCTCTGGTGGCGGCTTTTTACCCCAGCTTCTCCCCTTCTTGTCTTGTGCATCCTCTGCAGAGCTGCCATATTCACCCTCCCAAAGTTTGCTCATCCTGACATCCCACTGAACCTTCAGTGACTCTGCCTTCCTTTGGATGAAGTCTCATCTCTTTCTCATGTTAACATTCCCTACAATCTGTGTGTCATCTACTTTTCCCATCTGTTAGCTGTCTGGAGTGCCTCTTTTGAGCTCTCCATGCTCTTGCATGTGAGTGATCTTGCAGGTAGTCATCGTGGCACATGCTGCTGCTAGCCGATGCTGGCTGCCTCCACACACTCCTGATGCCACCCTCCCTGCTCCTTGGCCTGCCACCTGGAATCCACCCTCCTGTTTACTTCCTTGTCTTCCTCCAGGGACTTGAGCATGAGGCCAGATTTCTGTCTGTGATTCTTATGGCATTGCAGTCCAGATTTTTACCTTTGTGGAATTGCTTTTTTTCACCTATCTCATTCAGTTTGCACTCCTGCAAACTCTTATCTTGGTGGGCTCCGTGGTGGGGTTTCCACCCAACTCCAGGGATGGTACCAGGAACTCATGCTTTAACTCACCATGGTGCTGGCGTAAATGGCTCTTCTCTTATACCTGATGACTTTCAGCTGTTCCTCCCTCATCTACTGTTTGTTTCACCTGCAATGCACCCACTAAAACATACTTCACTGTGTCTTTTAATATCCTCCTTATCTCCTCCTCATCCCTTAGAGCCCACATCACATTTCCCATTTTCAGAAATCTTTTCCTTGACTCTTCTGCCCATAAGTAACTTCTCTTTCCTCCAATTCATAGTATATACTGAACTACATAGCAGAAAAATCATATAGACAGCTCCTGAGAGTGTAATAGGTTCTTGTTTTGTCTTCTAAGCATCCACCATGTGTGGCCATGGGGCTGTGCTGTGCATGGTGATTAACGGAGGGACTGATGATGAGAGGCCTGTCAATTAAATGCCATGGCACTGGTCTAAGTCTTGCCTTTGGGAAATGCTGGCCCAGCAGTTCTTAGGTTTCTTGAACCTGTATCTTTTACGGTTTCTTTTCATCACTCCACTAAACTTTCTGATGCCAGGTGGTCTTGTCCATTTTTATTTCCAGTGTAATCTTACTGTTGTACGGTTTCTAAATTCAGCTCATAAGACTGGCCTGGCATGTTAATTTCTGCCATGTATCTGCAGGATAAAGGCTACCACTCAGCTCAACTTTGGTCTCCAAAATAATGCTTAAGTCTACATCTTACCTCATTCTGAGTAAGTTGGGCAGGGAGAAGGTTGCATATTTTAGCAGAAAGTCATGTGCTGATGAGCACTTAGTAAGTTATAATTGGTATTCAATCTTCTTCATGTAGTTCCATCTAGAGACAATTTGAAGAGTGTAGGTGGCCACAGGGCAAAACTTCTGGGAAAGAGTTACTGTTTGTAAATCAAAAGTGTCGTCAAGATAGTTCTGCACATATATGTTCATGGTGGCATTTTTTAAGAGGCAGAACTCTGAAAATTATGACTCAGAGGATTTCAGAGGTTGTTGGCACCAAGGTTAAAGCTAAGCTAAAAGAGAAAAGAATAAGGATAATATGGAATTGAGTCAAATAGAGAAATTTATATGTTTATAAAAAATAAGCAGTTTCTTATTAAATGGGTAGTTAACTGTCGCTTAAAAATTTTCCAACTTCCAGTCTGGAGTGAGCCTCTGGGGCTTTGTAGTTTCTTTGCCTTTCAGCTTTCTTCTCAGTTTTCTAGAAAATATGTCAGTGATTTATGATTAATGCATTGGCTAATTTATGACCTTGCTGGGAGAGGACACGGGGGCTCTGCTTCTGGACCTGCAAGAATCATTGTCTGTTCCTCTAGCTTGGCTCCAACTCAAGGCCTCTGCTTTGTCACTATCATTTCTGTTCCTGAGTGCACGTTCCCAGGCACACATGGGTGTGTTGGTGAGCACCCTGTCTTCCCCAGGCAAGGGCTGACCCTCAGGAGCAGAAAGTCCCAACATGGCTCACTTGGCTGACAAGCCCCCAGGCTGTTAAAATATCTTTTTCACTATTTATGTAAACACAGGCACAGTAACAACCCTTTCGGGTGGACACCCTTGAATCCTGCTGCTGAGACTGATTTCCTGTTTAGACATCAAACTCTGTAGGAAGCTGTGTTTTCCCCCAAGCCAAGAGAGCTCTGTCCTGTGGGTATTGCTTTTCCACAAGGAAGGGGCTGGGTTTTGGAGTCTGTTGGTTGCACCAGGACTGTCTGGCGGTCCAGGCTGTGGGCTGTCCATGCTGGATTCGGCAGGGATGTCTTCTTCCTGCAGTATTTGCTCTCTGGTTGTGTTACTGATTGTGAATTCTTGCAATGATCTTTTTGGCCCCAGTCTCTTTCATTTAAGAGACTGACCCATATTCTGCAGGTGTGGTTTTGCTGTCCAGCTGAGGGTTCACATCAGCTCATTTGTGACCTCACTGGGGGAGGCAGGAGACCTATTAGCCCTGTTTTTAATGTAGTTCTGAGACATGGGAACTTACAGAAATTGCCAGCTATTCATGGCGGTAACCAGAGGATCTGTCAAACTTTATTACTTACATTTCAACTCAGATCTAAACAACTACAAGGACATTTTAGTAATAATTGTTGTAAAATAGATTTTAGGACTGGAGAGAGGATGCTTGTGTATTCAAACATGCCATTTAATAAAGGAGTTTCAACTAACATATTTTGTTGCCACGCCCAAAGGTGATATTAGTGATGTTGTGTAAAAGAAATTGGCCACTCTGAGGAATATTTCTGAGACTGAGTGTGCTTCCCTGGCTCCTCTTTTGGCTTCAAGGATTTGCATCTGCACCTTCTCCTGTCCAAAGGATGATGTCACGGACTTTTGAGGACTCTGCTGGGACTGGAGGATTGGCCGTGCTGCACGATATGAGGGTGCCTGGGCTGCTGGGGCGTCTCAGGCAGGCATGTCCCAGTGTGTTGCCCTGGGTCACCCCCTTGCTTCCCATGAACATACCAAAGGCCCGTCCTGGAGGAAGGGAGACTCATAGAGAGGCAGTGCCACCTTGACCTGTTCCCTGGCCTCTGAACCCTAGGGCTTCCAAAATGGCACTTCAGCAGGTATAACATTTTATAAATTTCCAGCTGCTGTCGTTCAGTTCATTTTCTGCAGGCAGATGGCCTCGGATCATGACTGAAGCTGACCGTGTGGGAATCACTGCCTAGAGGGACAGCCAGAATGTTCTGGGAAGTTCTTTCTCCCATTTTCCCTTCTTCAGGGTGGCGAGGAAGAATGTCAGGGTGTTTCACATTTATAGCAGCCAGAAGCTGCCACCTGGGAAGTGTAGAGAAAAACCAGATGAATGAAGAGAACAGAAAAAAGCATGAGCCCTGAAATGCAGTATTTGAAGTCACAGGCATCCTTCACTGGTGATGAACACATTTCTCATATGGATCATAGATGGAAAGTCACCTATATTTTCAGCCTCTGGCATACATGTTTCTAGGGAGGCTGGCGTTTCGTGGTCATCTTTCCATCCAATGACAACATCAAGGTTTCAGAATTTTTGTATATGAAATTGAATGACGAGATTGGACAGGTTTACTTGGTTTTGGTAAAGTGGCTTGTTTTTCACGATGCATCATTCCTTTTCCTATAAAGCCTCATAATTGTGCACCTAATAAATCAGTATGTAAATAAAAATACAAACTCAAATTTCTAGCAGAGTTTGTGCTACTGCCTTTGTCTCCTGTTCTTGAATTGTATAAGGTACCATGTGTTCCAAAAAGTGGAATGAGTCATGAAAAGGATAAATTCATATAATGAATCTTAATTTAATTTTCAGACTGCTTTAGATAATTTCAGACTGGTTAAGATAATTTTGAAATAATGGTTCTTCTGGATGTTTTATGAGAGTTATTTCATCTGTTAACAGCATTTAAATGTTTTATTTCTCCTTTTCTGAAGAAAAAGAATCCATTAGTGCACATGATCCTGAACTAGGGTAGCATGATTGTGATGCCAAGCTGGCCTGCGTCACTGCTTTAATCCTACGTGGCCAAAGCAGCTTGCTCTGATTGTTTAGGACTTTAATGGAACTTCATAGAACTCATGACCAATGACCACATCCTCTTTTAAAATGGGTTGACAGGATCTCTCTATTTTCTTTTTTGAAGTGTTGGTGTGTGAGACTTGGGCTGGAGTGCCCACGTGGCTGTGGAGTCAGTGTGATTCATGATTGAGGAAACGCGTCCTCCATCCTCTCTCTCCTTGGTAAGTGAGACATCTAAATGGGAAGTGAAGAAACTAAAAAAATTACAGATTGAAATATTTTTGACAGCTTGTGAGCTTTACTTCTGTTATTAAAAATAAGAGTAGGCTGGGCTTGGTGGCTCACACCTGTAATCCCAGCATTTTGGGAGGCTGAGGCAGGCTGATCACCTGAGGTCAGGAGTTCCAGCCTGGCCAACATGGTGAAATTCTATCTCTACTAAAAATACAAAAATTAGCCTGGCGTGGTGGCGCGTGCCTATAATCCCAGCTACTTGGGAGGCTGAGGCATGAGGATCACTTGAACCCAGGAGGCAGAGTTTGCAGTGAGCTGAGATTGCACCACTGCACTCCAGCCTGGGCAACAGAGCAAGACTTCATCTCAGAGAAAAAAGAAGAAAAGAAGAAAAGAAGAAAAGAAAAAAAAATGAGAGTTAATGAGCAAGCTTTCAGATAGAGAAATCTTTCAAGTAAAACAATTGTGGGCATATACCACCGCTACATCACTCAGGAACCCGAAGACGTGAAAAGGCTTAGATGCTTCTTAGCATCTTCTGCGCCCCAGTGTGACTGCCTACCTGGTTTCAGTTTTGTCTCCTGCAGTTACCTCTGTGCGCTGCCCCCACTTATTTGCAGTGCATACCACTGTCATCTCACTTCCTGTCCTGGGACCTTCTGCAGTCCCCTGTACCTGCTGGGTAAGCCCTAAACCTCTCATGATACTCTCAGGGATCCTCCTGGTCAGGCCTCCACACAATTTCCTCCTTCCTGTGGCCCTGGGACAGTGTAGGGACTGACCCCCCACTTCACAATGATCTGTTCCCACCACGAATCGTGCTTGTTTGGATCTTCCAAAGGCTGGCTCAGAAATGCTGGCTTCACAGGAGCCTTTCTGAAGCACTTTAGACCTAGGTGTTGCTACCTTCTGGGAAGGCTAGAAGAGAGGAAGGGGTGAAGGGGGATAGAGGACTAGTTGTGTAGGGGAGGAACAAGTAAAGTGAGAGAAAGTGACAATTTCATTCCATATACTAGTCACTGCAAAGACACTACCATTGTTTATTAACTTATTTATTTTTCTCCCTAACTAAATTACCGTCTCATTGTGGACAGGCTTATATTTTTTCCCCATTCACAAAACACTTTGCTGATTTTAGATAATCCAGAGATTTTCTGAATAATTGGTGACCATTCCTGCTCTTGGATTATGAGTTACCAGTCCCTGGCTTCGTCTATGAGGAAGGAGGCTAAATGGGTCTTAGAGCTGGGCCCTCTGTATAGATGTGTAGATGTGCTCAGCTGAGACGAGAGGTTCTCCTGTGTCGTCCTTACGTTTTGCAGAAGAAGAAACGGAGGTCTGCATTTTGTATCTTTCTCCAGCCCACGTAGATTCAGGTTCACATAGTGTCTTAACCGGAACCTCCCGTTCCCTCCCCCATGGAGAACCACAGCACCTGAGAGCTGGAAGAATGACCACATGGAGCCTGTGTTGGCTTGCTTTGGATGGTCAGCGGTTATCATGATATATGATAGGAAGAGTTATTAGCTAATGTAAGTCCTCATTGTGTGTCAGGCCCTGTGCTGAGTGAGATGTTTAAAATTCTCATAACAACCCTTTCAGGTTCGTATTCTTGGGTCACTGTTTTAAAGATGAGGAAATTGAGGCACAGAGAGCTTAAATAATCTGCAAGAGAATTGCAGTGAGTCAGAGGCAGAGCTGGGATTTGATTCTATCTTCTTAACCTTTACAGAAAACTGCCTTTTAGCACTAACCATGCCTCCCTAGAATAAGAACAGTCATATTTTAGTTTTTATTCCTTACTGGAGTTACTCAGACCTGTAGAGAGAAACTCAGAACAAATATTAAGAAATCAGTTTTTCAAACAGTAATCTAAATCAAGAATTGGCGAACGTTTTCTAAAAAGTGTGAGAAAACATTTTGGCGCTTACAGGCCATAGAGTCTCTGCTGCATCACTCTGCCGTTGTAGTATGAAAGCAGTCATAGGTATGTAAGTGAATGGGCATGGCTGTGTTACAATAAAACTTTATTACAAAGACAGGTGGTGGGCTGGATTTGGCCTCCAGGCTAAGCAGCTTTCTGAGCTATGATTGACACGATCCTTGCACTGCCGAAGACCTCATAGTATAGTGAATGAGAGTGTTTCGGGGACAGTAGGTATTAGTCCCACAGTGCAATTTATCTTGGATGCTTGGATTTTAATTATAAACAAATTTTATTGAAGTCTATTGTAACTGCAAACCTTACCCCTTAGAATAAGGACATTTGATGTTCTATTGCTTGACATGGTTTATATGCCCCAAATGTGTTAGTCTAAGTCCCACCTAAATTACAGCTTTGCTCAAATTAGGGCCTGGTAAATATTATTTTCTTGACATTTTGTTAAGCTGGTATATATAACTCATTTATGAAATAAGTTTAGATGGTATTTCCTACTTTGGTTTTTATATAGTTTCTGAATGTGACACTGTTAGTTTGCACCCTTATACATACTGCCTTTTATATATATTAGGGTAAACATGCAATTATCTTGGGCCTTCTGATAATTTTGTTGAACAAGAATGTTCTGGTCTGGTCTCGAATATCCCTCTTTTATTATGAGCAAAGATGGAGTTTGAACAGGATTGACATAGTTAAATGATGAAATAACATGGCAATACCCTTTGCCACATAAATAAATTGTGGTATGATTTTTTAAATTTTTCTTTTTTATTACAAACGGATACTTCTGATACTTAAAGGCATATTTGACTCTCTACTATATCATTTACAAAGATGGGCAAAGAAAATTGAAAGACCAATTAATTTGTGTTTCTTTAAGCAATTTAAGCAAGGAACTATTGTACTCATTCATTCGTTCATTCTTAGAAATCTATAATTGCAGCAAACTCAAGAGCCTGATAATATAGCAGAAGTTTTGGAGACATGCCTTTGTCAAGGAGCACTGGCCCCTAGGTACTTATTCCATGTGCCATGGCAAAGTGTGCTTCACCTTAATAGCAATGATATAAAAAATGAAATTCTGACCATAAAAGTAATGGAAAACTATCCTTGATTCCTTATTAACTGAGAAAGCAAATTGCAGAATAATATATTTAATATAATCCCATTCCTCTTAAAAATAAACACAGACTCACACACACAATCTCTATGCACAAGTTCATGTGTATTATAAAGTCTCCTAGAATATATATTAATATATACCATACTCTAAACAGAGATTATCTCTGGAGTACAGGTGTTTGCACTTTATCATCCATGTGGTCAGTAAGATTTTCAGGAGTATTATTATTTTTACAATTAAAAAAATTTTTAAAGTGCATTAATGTAGTGAATGCTCATTACTGAAAATATATAAAAGAAGAGGAAAATTCAACTATAATGCCTCTATTGAAGACAATCACAGACGACATTTAATGTAGTCTTTTATGGAATATTTTTGATAAGCAGTTTAAAGAGTTGAGATAATACTAGACATAAAATTCTGCATACTGCTTTTTCACTTATACATACTTTCTCATATTATTGCAAATTGAAGAAAAAACCCTTGTTTTAATGTATATGTAATACTCTATCGTGTAAAGGCACTGTAATGTCATTTCCTGCTTCTTTTGTGGAACATATGTTGCTTCCAGTTCACAAAAGTCATAGACCATGCTGAAATGAACATGAAAAGGGTGATGGGAGACTTCATACACCTGAGTTCCAATCCTGCTTTCTCATTTTGAGCAGGTCACTGTATTTGGTGCATGAAGTACATGCTTCAAAAACAATAGCAATTGTTATTGTAATACTTTCTTTTAATTGAGGGTTAATTCATTAGCTCAGAAGAGCTATGGTTGATTTACTACATAAAACCCAGGGAGTCTTAAAAATCTGCCAGTTGGCTTTGTAAAAGTATTGTAGATATTTATACTTCATTTATATGCTGGAGAATTTATTTTGCTAAAACAAATTTGAATATCATTACTCAAAAACTTTGAGTAGTATTATTAATTGTTTTAGTCAATTTGATAATATTCTTTTTTTATATATTTTATTTTTTACTCATTGTGTTTCTTTGCTAATTTTTTTTCAAGCAATAATTAGCCATTACTCTGAGAAGAGGTGAGAGAAAGAGAGAAAGGAGGAAGGGAAGGAGGGAGGGAAGGGTGGGAGAGAAAGAGAGAGACAGAGACAAACAAGCGTGTGTGAGAATTATTTGTCCAGATTTTATAACTGTTTAGCTATAGAGACTCAACATTTTTCTTACAGATTTTAAGGCTTAATTATTAAGAATATTAACTCATTATTGTCACTGTTTTTTCCGCTATTTCATTTGCTTGTTTGCTTTATCCTTTTAAATTTAAATAAGTTTATTTTAGTGATGTCAGATTTTTTCTTGATAATGATTTTAATCAGTGCTTAGGAATAAAACAAAACATTTTCATCTATAAAATGGGAATAGTAAAAAAATGAACAAAAATTCTTTACTTTCTTCTGATTGTATTAAAAATATTTAACTGTTTAATTCAGGAACAGATATTTAAAATATAGTTTTGCTTTTTAAAACCTTCTCAATGTTTTATTCTGCCTTTCTTTGTCCTCACTGAAAAAAATCAATCCCCAATTTTAATTTATTGTGGATGTTCGGACAATAACAATATTTGTACAAGTGGGAGAAAATCCCAGAAACACACTTCTCCTTTCTACAAATAGAGACCTAGTTTAGAACCAGACAACTTAAATTTTCTCATTCTTTTATTCATTCTTCGTTAGGGAGAAGGGAACTTTCTATTTTAAGATTTTATATAACCTATGACTATATTTTAACAACTATATTTCATTTTTAAAAAATTTTATAGAACTTAACCCATTATATTAACCATGATTAAATCCTGATCACAGTGCTTTGCTTCTTGGCTCATTCTTGTAGCTAACTTAAGGTGTTTGCATTAAATGTTACATGGTGGGTATCAAAGACCAAGTTAAGGCTGGTCAAATCACAAATAAGATGTCCTCGTTTGTGCAGTCTCGAGCACTGATGTAAAATAGTAATTTGTTGTGATGTGCGTACAATAATGTTAAGGGCAGGAGTTCCAAAAGATTGAATCTAGATCTCGCTTTTTGAGATTCATAACCACCTGACCGTGGACAGATCGGACCAAGAGTCAGCTCTCAGTCTTTACTTGTCTTGATTTTGTTAGATTTCTTGGCTATAAAATAAGGAAAGTGAGAAGACATAGGTTTGGGTGTGATAATAGGTAATGAGGGGTTTAAACTAGACAAAGAGACCAAATATGAAAAAAAAAGTGCTTGCTGAGTTGCTGACGGTGTTTCTTTCGGTGCCACGTTCCTGAAAGGAATTTTATTTTGTGATATTTTCAGGGCATCTCTATGTATATTGTTGATACAAGGTACACACTTGCTTAAACATGCTGAGTGGTTGTAATTTGGGATAAAGGTTTAGCCTGTCATTCCTAATAATGTCAGAAATACAGGGCTGTAGACACCACTCCTGAGTCCCATCCGATTGTGTACTCAGCCTGATGGAAAATCTCTGTGAGGCCATCCAGAAAGGCCCGTGCAGAGCTGATCTGTTTTGTCACAAGCATTTCACTCCGCTTACCAAAGCTCACTGACAGGAGAATTGTCAGCTTCCATTATCTCCATCAGAATGCATTGGAATTCCCCATTATGGAACTTGGGAAATCTTGCCTCTCTCTCTGTTCTCTGCTGTTTGAGATTTGGGCCTTTTCCCCTCTTTTGTTTAGGTGAATGTCTGCCAAGTGTGTTATCTTCCTGAAGGTCACCAGCTTTATGGCTACTATAAATATTTGTGAATCACAGCTGTGTGGTGAAGTTCAGAATTCATTTTCTTTTCTTAGTTTCGTGATTGAGTGAGGCTGGGAGGGATTGACGTGTGCTGTTTATTCTCAGACACCCATTAGAGGGGCAGATGTGTGTGGGGTTAATTGCTTGGATTTGGATTTACATGTGCACGTAAGGATACTGCCCTCTCAATTACACTGTGTGTAAGATCTCTTTTTTTGGCAGAACTTTCCTGAGGGCATAAAAACGACCCCACGTTTGGATCTTTGGATTTCATGGGACTTTGGGGATTTTCCTGCCCTGTGGTTTCCAGATCAGAGTATTGGAGAGGCCTCTATAGCTGCAGGGCTGCAAACCTAATCAGTTCATGCTTTATCTAGGAAAGCTAGTGGGGGTTTCATGTGTGTTTGTGTCTTTTTGAGCCTCCGAGGCCACAAAGAAATCAGAGTCATTTTGCTTCATTTGTTTTTGTTTAAAGCCTGAGCAGTAACCACTATTGGTTAAACCAAAGCAGAAAAAGCAAAGGTTGGGAAGTTGGTTGGGAGATTCTGGGAAGTAAATATCACCACATTTTCATGTAACAGTATCTAAGAATAGTGCACTTACATTTCCAGTGCTGAGGAATTAAGTGGGTTGATCTAAGTTGTTTACTGTAGCTCAGATTTTTTTTAGTACATATAAATTGGGGTACCCTTATCACAGCTCAGGGGCCACATACTTTTTGAGAACTGTTCCTCTTTTCTTCATTGCAGGCCACCTCCTTACTACAGTGATGTTTTAAAGGTGAGGTACCTACCCAAGTGGGCCAATCACAATATTCCAGCTAGTGGACACTGATTAATTCTGATGGAAACTCTTAACCCTAGTTTGGCCAAACTGTATCCCATTCCTTTGCTCCTACAGTACTTAAGCAGTTATTTCCTTTCTTTCCTACATAATCAGCTTTTATTTTTCCCTCTATGCTGTTTATTTTTTTTTCCAATAGGAATGGAAACATCTATCATCCTAAGAAAATTTGACCTGTGGCCTCTAATTTCCTCTTTAGTTATAATACATTTATCTCCTCTTTGCTAAAAAAAAAACAAAAAACAAAAAAAACTTGGTTTAAAGTATTTGCCTGTACTTGTTGTCCTCCATTTCTGCCTTTTTATTTTATTTTGAGCCCAGTCTGATCCCTTAGTCATTCCTTCAGCACTGCCTAGTCAAGATCACCCAACACCGCCATGTTGCTAAATCCAGCAGTCGAGGCTCAGTCATCATCATACTTAACAGTTAGCAGCTTTTATACCATCGACCCCTCCCACCTCCTTGACATACTTTCTCTACTTGGCTTTAGGATGCTCCATTTCTCTGGCCTGACCTCATATCTCTGGGCTTTGCATCTTAGCCTCAAATGGTCATCTCCCTGCCATCCAAGCACTGGAGTCCCATAAGGTTCAGTGTCTGGACCTTGTCTCTTTTCCCACCATTCTCACCATTTAGAAATCTCTTCCAGTCTCATGGCTTTAGTATCATTTGCACACTAATTACTCCCACATGTCTATCTTCAGCCAAAACCTATCCCTAAGCTCCAGAATTGTTTATATATTCAACTGCCTATTTAACCTCACAACTGGATGTCTAATTTATGTCTTCAAATTAACCATGTCCAAACTGAACTCTTTTCTCCCCACAACCCCTAGCCATGTCCTTCTGTAGAGTTCCTCATTTTATTAATGGGAAGTCCAGTCTTCCACTTGCTCAGGCTGAAACAGTTGGAACAATACTTGATTATTCTCTTTCTCTGTCACCCCACATCCCAGCTGTCAACAAATCTTATTGTTGTTCGTTTTTTTGTTCAACATATATCCAATATCTTACCACTTCTCAGCACCTTCACTGCTCCCTGCCTCAGCTAAGCTCCCAGCAACTTGGTCCCCGTGAGTTCTCAGGTCTTCCGGCCGTCTCGCTGCTTCTGCTCTTGGGCCTCCGTGGTCTTTTCTCCACACAGTGACCAGACAGGCTCTCTGCTGAGAATCCTCCAGCAGCTGCTGCCTTATTCTGATGGAAAGCCAGCTTCCTCCCTTGGTGCGCCAGGCACCACGTGTCCCTTCTTTGTCCTCATCCTCTCTCTTCTCTATCTATCTTTCTCTCCCAAGCACCAGCTTCAGTTTCACTGGCCTCCTTGGTCTCCCTGGAACAGAGTAGCCACTTTCCTTGCTCAGTCTTTTCATTCTGACTCCTTTCTGTGCCTGCAGCACTCTTTACCTGAAGATCCCTGAAGATTGCTCCTTGGCCTACTTCAAGTTTATTCAACTCTTACCTTGTCAGGAGATATTCCTGATCAAATGACTAAAATGGAAAGTCTCCCTGCTATTCTCTATTTTCCTTTTCTGCTTTATTGCTTTTCTTGTAAAGAACTTAGCACTGTCTGATACATGAGATATTTTGTTTATCAATTTTACATAACTTCTGCCCCTGCCTTCTCATGTAAGCTCTACCCTGCCAGGGATTTTGCTTATTTTGTTCACTCACTGCTCCATTCCTAGGTGAGGTAAGGGACTAAGATGTAATAAGATGCCAATAATTATTTGTTGTGTAGATGGGTTGATGGATGGATTTTTCTGGGACTTTCTGAATCGCATGAGTAATACCCTATTTCTAATTTGGACACAGAGCTGGAAGGCTATGGGCTTGGCTAAGAGAAGAGGAATGGGATTCTTCCTCCCCCACCCCAATCAGAGATTCATGCATTTGGTATAATTTCCCCCACATTGTTCAGTGGGTAGATATTTGCTTGTTCACCAGTTCTCAGCTAATCTGTCTCATTTTCCATGAACCTTTCTCTTCCTTCTCCATGGCCGGATGAATTAAGTCACACCCCCTCTGTGTCCCCACACTCCTGTGCACATCCCTGCAATGGCAATTTAAAGTAGGATTCATTGTAGTATTTTGTAAATACATATAGTCCTTCCTTTTCACACTGTGAAGTCCTTGGCTTGATTATTGCATCCGTCTTCCCAATACTTAACACTCTGGCACATAATAAGCACTGAATACGTATATGTTATTTAATGAAGTGATTCAGATGGAAATTTTGTAAAATATAACTTCTCTAATGGTCCTTAAGAGTGTGATTAAATGTACTGCTCTAGCCTTCTGATTGTGCTATATTTAGTTTAAGAAGTTTATTGCATAATTTTACAATAATTAAATAATTATATTTGCTGTAGCCATTATAGACTGTCCCCATATTGTCCAGCTGGGGCCATTCATTTTACTGCTTTCTCAAATAGTCTTCACTGTTTTCCAGTGTAATTGAACATCACTTACAGTGTACCAAAGACAGGAAAGACTGTGAGATCCTTCTAAAGTCCGTTTCTTATTAATGGTTATCTATGAGATGTAGAAGAGAACAGAAAAGGAAGGTGAGGTATTCAAATAGCACCAAGACCGAAACCAATGTAGCTGCTTTCCTGCACTGTAGGATTCGGTATCACTTCCTTCCTGGCATCTAACCTTTCTTAAAGTGAGCATTTGAACACTATCAGTGTTACAGTGGAATTTCATAGTATCATCTTCAAGGAGTACATATTAAACATAAAAATAGCGCAGCACAGCATGACTGTCAGGTTGTGGGGTGAGCCAAGCTCAGAAGACTGAAATTGTATTTCCTGTAACATAGTTATCTGGATGTACATGTCCAGAGGACAGCACTAATGTTTAAGAGTATCTGCCTTGCTGTGACCACAATTCTGGGTCAATTGGATGGATGGATGGATGGATAGATAGATAGATAGATAGATAGATAGATAGATAGATAGATAGAGTTGAATATATATATATATATATATATATATATACACACACATATATATATTTACACACATATATGTAATATATGTAGATAGAGTTGAATAAACAGAAAGATAGAATATCCACCTATATAAATGCATGTATGTAAATTATATAGAGATAGATAAATAGATATAGAAACAGATAGAGAAAGCCTTATAATTGGATGAAACCCTACTGCATTAGGTGCACTAAGGCAGGGTTAAAATCTCTGAAATCTATATGTAAAACAGTATACTAACACCCAGCTATGTAACTTAATTATGAATTTGTGGCAAATTAGGGGTAGGCTGCTCAAGGATCCACCTACTAGAGGAAAATCACAACCTAGGTAGCACCTTTTAAATAAAACCTTTTCACTAACTTGGTGCTACATACACATGTGTGACTGTGGATACACACACGCACAGTATGGACAGTCACTCACCTTCCTTACATCCCTGAAGCTATAACTGTGCCTTATTACTGGTTGTGTTCCCAGCTGTGAGCAGCAGTTGTGATGTATTCATCAGCCCGGCACAGGGATGCACCAACCAAGAAGGCAGAAGGTTAGTAAAGCAGGAGAAGGACAGCACATTTCCCATGTTAGTTCTCAGGCTGAAACCTCATCAGAGAACCAACACATGCTTTGATAGGCAGGTCTATTCTTTTCTCCCAAGCCACTATCATTTTTGTGTATTTTCCTGAAATTCCTTTCTTCTCGACTCAACTTGATATGTAGTTGTATGTTTACTTTATCATTCTGCTGCAGTATTTTCTAGGAGTTGATTTCATCTTTTTCCCCCCCGAGACAGAGTCTTCTCTGTTACCCAGGCTGGAGAGCAGTGGCGGGATCTCGGCTCACTGCAACCTCTGCCTTCTAGGTTCAAGAGATTCTCCTGCCTCACCCTTCTGAGTAGCTGAGATTACAGGCGCCTGCCACCATGCCTGGCTAATGTTTACATTTTTAGTAGAGCTGGGTTTTCACCATGTTAGCCAGGCAGATCTTGAATTCCTGACCTCATGATACACCCGCCTCAGCCTCCCAAAGTGCTGGGATTACAGGCATGAGCCACTGCACCTGGCCAATTTCATTTTTTAAAATAACTTTCTCTTTTATGTACTGGACTATATTCTTTTAATATTATTTTATAAACCAGGTGTTAAGGTCTATGTAAATGTCTTAGAAGTGTCTTCTGGGACATCATAATATTAGCAACAATAAAAAAGTGAATTATGACAGTGTGACTCAGTTCTCTGATTATAATATTAAGTGTTTTGTTTGTTTTCTAACTTTGACTCTCATTTTCTTGCTCATTTTTTGTCTTTATGGCAGATAATGTACAAAGTTATTCTTGTTTTCTTGAGCAATTACTAAATGATCAGATACACCCAGAACGAACATTTCTAATCACGTGTGCATGATTTGTGAAGACTTTATTGATTTGAAGTAGCTTTTCTTGTCTTTTCTTAAGCACATGCCAGTTCCCCAAGTGTAGAAAGAATAGAGTGTAGCTAATCCTGGGTCACCTCCACGGGCCTGCGGTAGTCATCTGTGTTTGCAGCCAAAGGAGCACTTGAACATGCTCAGAGCAAGTCATTAAACAGTTCCTTGTAATGTAGCAATGACAATACACATTTATTTTATTTTATTTTATTTTATTTTATTTTATTTTATTTTATTTATTTTTTTGAGATGGAGTCTCGCTCTGTTGCCAGGGCTGGAGTGCAGTGGCGTGATCTCGGCTCACTGCAAGCTCCGCCTCCCAGGATCACGCCATTCTCCTGCCTCAGCCTGCCGGGTAGCTGGGACTACAGGCGCCTGCCACCGCGCCAGGCTAATTTTTTGTATTTTTAGTAGAGACGGGGTTTCACCGTGGTCTTGATCTCCTGACCTCATGATCTGCCCGCCTCGGCCTCCCAAAGTGCTGGGATTACAGGTGTGAGCCACTGCGCCCGGCCACAATACAAATTTAATAATGTGGATTTTCCAACATTTCCAAATCTGAAATATTTTTTGAAGCACTGCTAATAACTTGGTGATAATTCATAATGCTTACATTATCTGAGCACTTCCTGTGTCCCAGATACTGCTTTATGCATGCCATTTCATCTTCTCAACAAGCATGCAGGTTCTAATATTATCCCCATTTAAAGGTGAGTGAACAGTGTGGTGAGGTTAAGAAACTTGCCAAGGTCATGCTGAGGCCTCCTGCATGGCTGAGCCCAGTGGATAATATATAACTTCTTAATGCAGCATGTGTTTTACCCCTTTTATTTTCTAAAGGTCCCCAAGGGATTCCTCTTGGTAGACTATTACAGAAAAGAATTATAAAACAATAAAACCCACCTATTTTACAATTTATTGCAAAGTAAAGCAGCTATAGGTTTCTCCAAATGGAATCTTGGTTTTATTTCACTGAGCTAGCAAATATTTTGAGGGTTGGAACCCACCCTTACTGTGTAATTTCCTTGCAGAAAATACATGATTGGTGGTTGATTTCAAACAAAAATCCCTTAAGGACAGACATCTGTATAAACAAATGGTGTCCCTGAAACATCTCTTCCTGTACATGGGGTCACCAAGGGCTAGTGGTCGTCTCAATTAATGTCTGATTGGAAATCGTGCTTCTACTGTTGCTGTCACACACTGACTGCTTTTCTTGAAAATTGCAGTCAAAGTGACCATGAGAAATAACTTGCATTCTCCCTCCTCCCCAGGTATTTGTGTGTGTGTGTGTGAACACATGTAGTGTGTGAGCCTCGGTTTTAGGCACTGGCGATATGCACGTAAGCAAGACAGATAGGCTCCTGGCTCTCTGAGCATACATTTTTGGTGGAAGAGTTAGACCATAAGCAATAATTGCGTTCACAATAAATAAAAAAAGTATTGTCCAGTGGTTAAGTGCTATGCAAAGAATTCAGATGGGTTCATGTGACAGAGAGTGAACAGGGGACAACTTTGGATTGGTTTGTGTGTAGTGGGGAAAGGGACAGTGGTGTGAATTGAGACCACAGAGGTGGGTAAGGGTTAGCATATGTAGGGCTTTGTAAGCCGGGACATGAAACTTCTATGTCTATTAGGGGCATTGGGAACCCTTTGGAGAAGCAGTGGTGGGATATGAGTTATTTACGTTTCCAAATTGTCGGTTATATTATCAAGGTCACCACTGGGTCAGAGAATGGATTCCAGGGTAGCTAGAGGGGAAGCAGGAAGACCAGCTTGAAGCTCTCACAGATGATGGGGTCAGGCGTGATGGTGGCACAGACTACAGGGTTGTTAGTGTAGAAGGAGAAAAGTGGATGGGCTTGACATATTTAGAGGTAGAGTCTGTGGTGCTCTGATGGATTGGGCATTGGAGAGAGGGGAAGATAAATTAAGAATGAATTGGAAGTTTTGGACCTCAGTAAGTGAGTGGATGGTGGACAACTTACTGAGACAGAGAAGCCCTGGGGAGGTATAGGGGTTGGAGGGAAACGCAACAGTTCTTCTAGGGCAATGTTAACTTTGAGTTGAAGGCTTTCATTTCTCATCGGGTCTAGAGAGTAGACAGATACACAAGTGTGGGCTATCGAGGAATGATTGGGAATAGAGCTGTGTATCTGGGGGTCATTGACATATTGGCAGTATGTTTGAAATCCAGGGCCTCTGACCTAGGAGATGCCTCAGACATGTTTGGGAAGGTATTGGCATCTGTTGCAAAGCTCCTCATAATATTTCATTTGCTATAGTAGTGCTTTGATACTTCAGAAGTGATCTTAAAAGTGACAGAAAATCTCAAAGGTAATTCTCCTCTTGAGGGATTTCATTCAACATCTTAGTAGCAAAATTCTCCACTGTTGTATCGTCAAATGCCATTCTGGCTATAGGAAATAAGATCAGACTCTTACAATGAAATATTTGATGTGAGTTCCTTTCAGCACTTATTTTGCCTTTTTTTTTCTCACAATCAGCAGTTCAGGCTTTCATTCTTCTCAAAGCCAGGCTCTTTCCAGTTGAGTCTTGGGAGGTGCTGGGCAAAGTAAGGCATAGGTTATAATGATTTTTCCAGTTTTCTTAGTTATCAAATTGCTACTTTCTGACATTAAAAATTTGCTGCACTGTGTTCTCACTCCACACTGCACTTTTAATTGTTATAATTTTTCCCCAGAGACCTTGGGCTAGGGAAAAGTTTGTGTTTGAGAGGCCTGCTGAGAATTTTTGTCAATGTAGTTCACATTTTCAGTGTCAGTTCCAGCTGCAGTAGGCATACTTGTTGACTCATTGAATCTCTGTGAACATTTGTGATGTGTTGGGCGAGAGGCTCTTTGACCTGCTGTTAATAAAATGCAGCAGTTAGTGATGCAGGCCAGAGAGCCACTCAGTGTGTGATTCCCTGCAAGGATTTTTGTTAACCTCACTTGCATTGTTCACACCTTTTGTAAGAGGATCAAACCTGTGAAGCTCAGGATGTCACCAGAGTTTTATCAGTGGCTTAGAAGTTTGATTTTCTATCAAAGAGAAATACATTTGGCCTATTAATGTAAAGCATAAGGCTCACATTTCTCACAGTTAGTGAAAACAAGATTTGGCACTGGCCATTAGGATTCCCTGAGGCAGAAGTATTCTGCTGTAAAGTAGAATATATGACTGTCTGTTGAGAAGCGGTGGGTTGTGAGCTCCTAGAATCCATAGGGAAGCCTTTGTGAAAAGGCTGCGCATAGTTTGTACTGCACAATGATCAAGAACTTGTCAAAATAGATGAGCTCAGGAATAAAACAGATAACTAAGGATAAGTCATTTTCATCCAGTGGATCATTTCATTGGTAAAATGCCATTACGGAAAGTAGTTTATAAGTAATCCAAAATATCTCACTTTAAAAATTCGTGATTTTTTAGCACTTGTGAATCACCTCTCAAGAAAGCCATTTGGAACAAGTCTAGTGGGGAAGCAGGTGGTCGGAAGTCAGCCTTCTGCGTCCACAGTGGCCCTCAGCCTGAATTTTAAAATTATGTGATTCTCCTTCTCTGCTGCATGGCGGTGGTAAGATATCAGCTAATACACCCTTTAATGAATGATGTTGAGCTCACTGAGGGCAGTAAAATACAAAGGTGGAATTTGCATCAACTGTTCAAGGTCTTTAACGCTGGCTTGCAAGCAGTCTGTTAGACCCAGAGAATAAATCCCCTGCAATATTGCTTCTTCATAAAATGATTTTACAGTTGATCCTGGCTTGCAGATGGAGTCAGTGAAAGAAAAGTGGATTCCATTATACTTTTTAAGATTAATTTTTTTGCACTATTTTTGGAATGAGAAACATAATTCAACATCCTCTTTATTGGTGATACCAATAATAGTCTGATAAAAAATTCAACAAGATAACAGCAACAAAAACAACACTGAAAAATGCTTTGGAAGATCAGACAGAATGACAAATACATTTCTCTTTCCAGCCACCTAACAAAAAAGCCTGTGACTTTATTACTTGGAAAATTCTGAAAAATGACAGATCTAGAGAAAGATACCCTCAATGGAAATGTAAGAAACTAGTTCTCGGTCGACTGCATTCCGTTAGCCTTTTTGTTTTTATCTGTAAAGAGGAGAAAAACTTTGATACTACCTACAATTTTTAAAGAAAAAGACAGTCGGTTCTTTCTTGCAAATTCAACTTATTTTATATATAAACAGCTCTCTCCTCCCCTTTCATGATGCTTCTTCTCCGGATGCTGGAGATAGTTTTTGGGCTCAGAATTCTGGTCTGTATTTAGGTTCGGGTCAAAGACTTCATCCTATGGACAGCAGAGAGTAACAATTATAGCTGAAAATTCCCAATTTAAATGCGTTGCCCAGGTTGAAGAATTATTCAGGAGCAGCACCCTATAACATCTGCATTGAAGGGTGAGACCAACTGTGTTAATGATGGTGTATGACAGCTTCTTATAAGCCAAGGAGGGGGCAAGGTGGCATCTGTGCCAAAGGTTAAGAAAGCATTCTTGAACATGCAGTTTTATTTGTACTGGATCTTTTCCAAGTTCCTCTTTCACTGGATGTTTTATCTTAGTAATTGCAGAACGAGAATTTTCTGCTGATTCCTTCTTTTTGGCAACTTAAGGGATAGACTGTAATTTGGTTATCGTTAAACTAAACTGTGCTAAAAGATGACATAAACCATCTAAAAAGTCTAACATTAGATAGAGATAATATTTGCAATTCCTGCAATAGGCATAAGGTTGGTATTTCTAATATACAAAGAGCTCTTACAAATTGATGAGAAAAATTCAAGCAGCCCATAAGAAAATTGAAAAATATATGAATAGGTAGTTCACATAAGAGCAAATCCTCATGTCCAGTAAGTAGATGAAACAATGTTCTATCCATTGCTCTTAGGATAATTCAAATGAGATATCATTCTTCTGACTGGCCAAAAAGAGAGAGAGAAAAAAGATAACACCCATGACAGGTAAGGATGCTGATTAAAGGGGACTTTCACCCATGACTGATGGAAACATGAATTACTTACATATTTTGGAAAAGTGGTTTGATAATCCTAATTAAAAATATACAAACTATTTCACCCAGTATTACAACCCCTGGGAATATGTACTATACAAAGAAAAACACCCGTATATAATATATGAGGGCATATATATTGTAAAAATAAAAATACCAGCATACATATATAAGGGCATGTATAGTGAATGTTTATAGAAGCTTTTTTACTGCTTCCTTTCCTCTCTCCCAAAAATTGATCTCACATATTGAATGTGTACCAATCAAGTATAGATTATATGTCAGTTATGTTGTAAGAATGTCTCAGATGTGATTAAAGATTAATTTTAATCATACCTGGTTAACTTGGAGAGATTTTATGATATTATGAGAAAATCTCAAATTATAAAGTAAAATGACCTCCATCCCCCATGTCTGAATACCTGTATTTGTATGTTATTGCAGAAACATGGAGGAAGATACAGAAGGCAGTACACTAGACTGTTCACACTGATTATGTGGGTAGGGGAAGAAATAAGTTCAAAGAAATGGCCCTGAAATAGGCAGTGAGCTTGCAAAAGTATGAAGATTTTGGAAATGTGGCCATGAATTCTTTTTTGTTTGTTTGTTTTGAGACAAAGTCTCGCTCTGTCACCCAGGCTGGAGTGCAGTGGCGCGATCTCGACTCACTGTAACCTACCCCTCCGGGGTTCAAGCGATTCTCCTGCCTCAGCTTCCCAAGTAGCTGGGACTACAGGTGCACGCCACCATGCCTGGCTAATTTTTTATATATTTTTAGTAGAGACGGGGTTTCACCATATTGGCCAGGCTAGTCTCGAACTCCTGACCTTGTGACCTACCTGATTCCACCTCCCAAAGTGTTGGGGTCGCAGGCATGAGCCACCATGCCTGGCGGGGCCATGAATTCTAACCCTGTTGTTCTGGACATAGCAGAGGCCTGGTGACAAGTAAGACTGTCAGAGAGCCTTCCTATTGTCTAAAGGGCTCAAAATACTCTTACAAGGGATATAGGCCATCTCCCAGCCCCCAGTCATTGCTTCCTTATGTTAGGAATCATGTTTCTGACAACATTCATTCTTCTTTGAAAGTTCCCGTCTTAAAATACCAGCAGTCAGCAGCAGTGGATTAGAAATCCTTAAGTCTGCCCTTAGGTATTTGATGTAAGGTATTTAATATTTCCCCTTCTCTCCAGCATAGGAGTAACCCTGTGCAAGTCAAAAAGGCTCCCTGTGTCTCATTTTCCTCTTCTATGAGTGCAACTACCATAATTCTTTTGTGCATTACAGGTAGTGACAAATACTATAATTAAGGTAAATTATAATGGTAAATGCCTAACTTTTTATTCCAGGGGTGTTGCATAAACAAAGATGGAATGTAATACAGCCCACTAGCACCACTCTGTTGGCAAATGCTGCTGCTATCACTTAAAAGCAGGGGCTTCCATGAGTTTTAGCAGTCTCTGTGGTACATTTTTTGAAGCACCCCTGGGCATTGCACATCGTTCATGATGGAGCGCTCCATCATGTGTGCAAGTTACCAGTGGAGAAATGAAATAGTTCAGCCCGGGAACAAAGGCCCTTATGTTATTTGAACTCCATCTGGAACCAATATGGCCACCGAGGGGCCCAACAGTACACATCCTGAAACCAGTGGTTTGGCTGCAGATGTGCTAATAGAGCTTTTGGGATGTACATCAAAGAGTATCTACTCTAGACATAACTTTTCTCTGTGTGACACCACAGAAAAACAAAAGTTGTTCTTAATTTGCCCTTCTGAAACTTCACTTGTTTTTGTTGGTTATTCGTTGTGTTGATTTAATTTGAGCTTTGCCATATCTTGTCATACAATGATTCTTGAGAAAAAAATGGAATGCTCCCAGATGATAAACAGGAGTTATTTGGGTGTCATTTATAAAATGTTAAATCTGCCATGTACTTGTGTGTGCATGCATGCCCTAGGAAACATAAAGCCCCCTATTTTATCTCATGACCTTATCAGGGCCCACCTGTGACTCCTTAGGTTTGCACACAATCAGAAGAGGTTGACCAGATGTGTGCATGTTTAAAACCTGTACTTAGGAGATGTAATCAGCATCCTCGACCATCGTTGCCTCATCCTCTTTCATCCTGAGCTCAGAGATGCAGTTTTGCCTCACTGACCATGACCATTGAACATGACTTTGCACTGCCCTTCCTCTATCTTTCCCCTTCCTTTCTAAGTGAGGCACACACTCTGGCCAAAACATTTTCTATAGACATCTACAGAACACTCCACCCAACAACCGCAGAATATACATTTTTCTCATCTGCACACAGACTGTCTTCTAAGATCGACCACATGCTTGGTCACAAAGCAAGCCTCAATAAATTCAAAAACCTGGAAATCATACCAAGGACACTCTCACACCACAGTGCAATAAAAATAGAAATTAATGCCAAGATCTCTCAAAACTATACAAACACATGGAAATTGAACAACTTACTCCTGAATAACTCCTAGGTGAACACAGAAATTAAGGCAGAAATAAAAAAAAAATGCTTGAAATCAATGAATACGAGGACACAACTTACCAAAATCTCTGGGATGCAGCCAAAGCAGTGTTAAGAGGAAAGCATGTAGCCCCAAGACACTTTCATCAAGAAGTTAGAAAGGTTTAGAAAGGTTTCAAATTAACAATCTAACTTTGTACCTAAAGGAACTAGGAAAGAACACATCAACCTGAAAGCTAGCGGAAGAAAATAAATGACTAAAATTGGAGATTTATTTGTCCTTTACTTTGTCCTAAATGGTTAGGATGCCTATTACCTGCCTGAGCCCTTCTTAGCACCAACAGATGTCTCTGGATACATTCTATCTGTCTCATTACTGGTCCTCATCAGCACCAGGAGTATATGTAGTACAATTTGATTACTCTCCGGGGTATAAATACATATATGTCAGAGTTCCTGTTCCTAAAGAGCTTATGGTTTAGTGCGCCGTCAGTATTTGTGAACTGTGGAGGGCAGTTGTCAGATGTAGAGGGTGAAGAACACTCCTATTGCAGGGCAGGAATTTCCAGCAAATGGCAAGCCTTTGATTACCATCATGGGAGGGGGCTGAGGATTACAGCTGGAACCAAATGCTGATGCTACTGAGGCAAATAACTTTGAAAATGTAGTATTTGCCTTTATTTTGCTCTGCTTTGCATATAGGAAGTGTTATGGACTGAATGTTTGTGTCCCCTCAAAATGCATATGTTGAAATCCTAACACCCAGTTTGATAGTATTATAAGGTGGACCTTTGAGAGGTGATTAGGTTGTAAGAGTGGAGCACTCATGATGGGATCAGTGCTTTTATAAGAAGAGACACTGGGCCAGGCACAGTGGCTCATGCCTGTAATCCCAGCACTTTGGGAGGCCAAGGCGGGTGGATCACGAGGTCAGGAGATCGAGACCATCTTGGCTAACACGGTGAAACCCCATCTCTACTAAAAATACAAAAAATTAGCCGGGCATGGTAGCGGGCACCTGTAGTCCCAGCTACTCGGGAGGCTGAGGCAGGAGAATGGCGTGAACCCGGGAGGCGGAGGTTGCAGTGAGCCGAGATCACGCCACTGCAATCCAGCCTGGGCGACAGAGCGAGACTCCATCTCGA
This sequence comes from Homo sapiens, assembly GCF_000001405.40. NCBI lineage: Eukaryota > Metazoa > Chordata > Mammalia > Primates > Hominidae > Homo > Homo sapiens. The sequence goes on along the minus strand of NC_000005.10, from coordinate 9,417,992 downwards.
AAAAAAAAAAAAAAGAAGAGACACTGGAGAACTTGCTCCTGTGCTCTGCTCTGCCATGTGAGGATACAAAAGGTGACACCACCTCCAAACCAGGAAAGGAGCTCCCTCAGACATGGCATCTGCTGGCACTGTGATCTTGAGCTTTCCAGCCTTCTAAACAGAGGGAAATACATTTCTCTTGTTCAAGCCACTTGGTGTATGGTAATTTATTATAGTAGTCCAAACTGACTCTGGCAGGAAAGATGTAATAAATGTAAAAATGAAGTTGTTAAGTAGAGAGGCTGATAGGCAAGGGATGTGCTGATCGGAGGATTTGTGGTGATAAAGACAAGGCACAGAAGTAACGGGGCGAATGTCTCAAGAGCAAAGAATGTGATTATGGAATCAGGTGAATTGAACCTTCATGATCATTCTTGTTCCTTGTAACTTTGAGAACTACCAGAAGTAATAGAAGTAATCACTGGGTCCTGCATTGCAAATATAGGAGGTGCTAAGGAGTAACTGAGGACTGGTCTATTCACTATCAAAAGATATGGATAGTTGAAAGAAAAATGTACAAATTGGGATCCCACTTAAGGCTTAAAAATTCAGATTTATGTGAGAAATTTTAGAAAAGTTAGTAAAGTGGATAATGTGCACACGTAAATATGGTAACTATATTCTATGTATAAAATCCAGTGGGATCACATATTTAATTAGAGGTTACAGCTTATAATACTAAAAAAATCCTTTGGAAAACAATTGTCTGTGAATTGTGTACAACTGGTTTTATTTATTCTAGTAAAACTTCTTATGGGCAAAATGTAAAAGCAGCAGCATCTTAAAATAATACAGGAGAGAATTCAAATGGTTGCTATAAATGGCCTCTCTTATTTTTCTGCATGGCAGAATAAAGAGAAAATCTGTGTAGGATATAAAAGAAAATTAGAAAGCTGTTCAATGAGTGTACCAGGCTCCCTATTTTAGCAGCTGAGAAACATTTCAGTGGTAAGAGATTCTGGTCTTACCAATTTCTTTTCTACTTACAGAACATAATGCTACCTAAATTCCATCTCTCTTTTTTTCAGTGTAAAGCAGAGTTTTTCAACCTTGGCACTATTGACAATTTGCACCGGATAATCCCTTCTTGTCAGTGAGGGTAGCACATTATAGGAAATTTATCAGCATCACTGGCCTCTATTGACAGATACCCGTAGTATCCCCTCACTGTGGTAACCAGAATTGTCCCCAGGTATTGCCAAATGTTCCTGAGGAGGGGAAGTAAAATTGCCCCTGGTTTTGAACTCCTGCTTTGAAGGTCTCTTACTAAATTAAAAGCAGGGGCAAATTCATAAAGACATTGTGTGTATTTATGTAGCCATAAATCTGTGAAGTCCAGGTCTTGAACTTGATACACTATAACTTTCATGTTGCCTTTGACAACATTCCTGACCTTACACCAACTGCTTGTACCCAGTTTGCAGGTGAGAGGCTCTGGGGTAGGGGCGAGGTAGGCATGCCCTGACTACCCTGGTTACCTGGCTCTGCCCTTCCGCACCACCCCACCAGAGGCTCACCTCCACCTGGATCTAATTGCTGGGAAGTGTGGGACCTGCCCTTTGATGGGCGATGGCTTTGGGGTTCATTCTGTGGATACCAGTGATCAGAAACGGGTTAGAGTGGACAGTCCACTCCCCCAGTGACCCTCTATCTTCCCTGACCTCCCACCTCTCCAATTCTCAACTTTTTCTCCTCATTTATGTACTAATGAGTTTTAGGGTAAAAGGATGGAGCACATAAAATCCAATTTCTTGAGTAAAGGTTGGGGGAATTGAGAGTCAGTTTATCTAGAAGGGTTTTGAGAGGGAATTCCTCATCTGATGACCCACTGCCATAATTTTTTACCAATATCTCTCTAAATAGCATAGGGTTTAGTGTAAAATGTATACTTGGAACAACAAGTAGAAAGTCTTCTCTTTTTGTGGTTACCCCTGAAACACAGAGTTTATTGAGCTGAGTGAGTGCGACTTTAAAGCTGCCTTTGAAAGGACAATTTATTTTATTTTATTTTTTGGCTGCTCAGCTTTCTCAACTATGTCCCAAATAAGAAAGTTGTCCAACAATGGAAGATTTCACAGTCTGCATCTTTCAGCTACATCAGAGATCTGATGCCAGCTCTAGCACTGCAGAACATTATATGAATTTGGGAAACTCTTTGAAATAGAGTGAGGCCATAAACCAGTGAGTGAATTACAACGGTGCAGACAGTAATCATTTTGATTTGATAGGTGTTCAGCAGGGCTTCTATTACATATATTTTCCATTTTATTTAAAGGAAAATTGCATGTAATTTGCTTAGACCAACCATCTGGAAGTACTTTTTTTCTCTTTATTGCCTTTTGATACTTCGCCAGTTGAAAGAAAAAAAATAGGTTGAGAAAATTATAAAAATACTGATTTTGATGCAATTGATGTTAATGGAAAAGATAATTTTTCATCTTTCATTACATGCAGAATTAAATTAAATTCCCCTAAGCATTCTTTGATAATTATTTATGCTCTGGTGTGTGCGACAAAGCATTTAGATTCCTGTCCCTCCTCGTGCTATCATTTTACGTCCCCAAGGCCCCAACACATCTTACATGTGTCTGTGTTCAATGATCATAGCAGCTTTATTAGATAGGAGAACTCCATCTTAAAATCCAGCAACCCCAGATGCTGAGCAGTTCCCAGGAATGGTACAAAGCTTCTTCTAAATTGGCCAAAGGCTTTTTCCTTTCTGGAATGAAACTTTGTTTAAGAAAGCAGTATTTCTGGAAAGCTGCATCTTAAAATAACTATTCATAAGAAGCACTTGGTAATAGCTGACTTACTGAAAAATGCAACTTTTTGATTAATTTGAGTCAAATGTCTGTATGCTTCAATATCCATTCTGTCTCATGGTGACTAGATCTTTCCTTTGTGTCAAGTAGATTGATCTTTGGGAGGCAATGAATCACAAAATAATTGAGACCCATCTATGAAATGACATAATATTTTTAGAGCAGTCGCCTATGAAAGGGAGTGATATTTATAGCGGACATGCTATATGCAGGCACTGTCCTAGGTGTTTTACATATGTTGTTTCAATCAGTCATCTTGTGAACCCTACAAGGTAACGGGCTCTTGGTCCCATTTAACAGATAAAGCTGAGACACAGAAATATGTCACTTTCCCAGGGTAGAGTCATGAAGCTGGGATTCATTCCCATTTTTGCCAACTCAAAAGCCCATGGTGTGATACTAGGTAAAATGACTAATGCTTTTCTTCTCTTACTTGTGAATGATACCTATGGTTGATATTTTCTTCTAATGAATAGATCTGGTAGGTTCTGCTAATGTTTTGGGTGAGTTTCTTGTTGCATTTGCATGAAGATTTCTAGTAAAGGTCATTGCCAATGTTTTCATATTATGACTGGTAGAAAGCAGAAGCGTCAGTCTTGCCAATGATGCCTAAACGTTTGAAAGTGAACCTATTTCCATCTATTTATGCAGGATCCATAATCAGACCACTGGATGTAGATCTGTGTCATCAAATCTGATCTTTGTCCAAAGATCAAATGGACATCTTTTTATTTTATGCTCATTTAGTGAGACTGTATTGCATAGGCATCAGTAGGAAGAGCTAGAGGAAAACTGTCATCTTCGATGAAAGTAATTTTTCCTTATAGTTGAATCGCTAGATCTTAAATGCAGCCAAGTAGTTTTCCATGTCTTATGCTTCATTTATTGTAAATGAAATTAATGTTGTTTAATGGTATCCTTTAAAGCCTCAAATATTAAAATGAAATATGATGATTATAATAACGTCTGTTTATACATGTTATATGTGTTATTTGTAAAATAATTACATAATAGATTTTCATTTCACCAAGACAAAAGGGTTGGGTATCCTTTTGGCTCTCACTTGTTAGTCAAGAAAGACAGTAGATGATAATTATGAATCAGATCCTCCCAGATTGAAAAAAAGTTAGGAAATGTTCTGTTCCAGCTTCTCTGATGAGTTTTATTTACTTTATAGAGATTTTATATACCTATTTTGATACATGCCTGGCTTGTGTTCAGTGAAATTCATTGAAAGGACCAGCGATAAACTTTATAAATGCTAGGCTTTGAGGGAAACTCAAAATACAGGAATGTTTCAGAAACATGTACATTATTATGGCTCTGTAATCTGACTTTTGTTGAGCATATGGAGCTTTTGTTGTCTATGTATAACAAAAACATTGTCACATAATATCTGCTACCACTTGTCTTCCCTATCCTGTAACTGTGGATACTCAACAGGGTAAACATACACAGAAACTTATTAATTTATGCAATGATTTCAAGCATTCATTCTTACCCTCTCTTCTAAATCTGTCTTCTTCTACGCCCTTTTAGCCCCCAGCAGGCCTTATCATTCTTTTCAATTAATACTATTTTAAGGCGTAAGGTCTTTCGTTATGAAGTCTTGCTGGAATATACCAGAAGGCTTTGCCCAATATGCCAGTGTATAACAGCCCGTTTATGTGACTCCTAGCTCCATCTTGCTCAATACTCTGTACATGCCATTGAAGCCTTGGATGCTCTTTGCCTAAACTTTCAAAATCTTTCCAAAGGCTCAGAATCCAGGTGTGTTATTTCTGATTCTTCTCCTTCTAACATCTTTATTTCTGATTAATGCCATATATATCTAGTGTAGATGGTTACGTTTGCTGTCATAAGTGGCCTGTGTTTAAGTAACGCCCATTCTCCTGTAAACCATTCCCATGACAATTTGAGAAATGTTTTTGGCCACTGTCCTGTCACTGGATAATTTTATTTCCAGTTTTCCTGAGGACCTGCCCACCTTCCCCAATGTCTCCTTCACTCTTGACTGCTAGGAGCCCAATGCCTGGCCACCTGACTTTGTACCCATAGCTAGGAGTAAGGATTTTGTTTTGTCTCCTGCCAATACTTGTTATGCATACATTTCACTGGATGGGAAATATGGAATGGTACACATTATGAACGAAACACCAGAGATTGTTAATGGATGGTACAGGAATGCTTTGCCATGGTAATGAAGTATCTTTATACAAGAAAATGCAGGATGAGCATCTCTAATCTAAAAAACTAAAGTCCAAAGTGATCCAAAATCTAAAACATTTTCGAGTGCCAAGATGATACCACAGGTGGAAAATTCTACACCTGATCTCATTTGATGGATTGTAGTCAAAATGCTGTCAAAACATTGTTTCATGCATAAAATTATTAAACATATTGTATAAATCACCTTCAGGCTATGCGTATAAGGTGTATTTAAACATAAAGAGATTTCAAGATTAGACTTGGGTTCTATCCCCACGATAACTTGTTATGTATATGCCAATATCCCAAAATCCAAAAAAAAAAAAAAAAAATGCAAAATCTGAATCCGTTCTGGCCCCAAGCATTTCAGATAAGAGATTCTTAGCCTGTAATAACAAGGGGGACTGTTCCATGTGAAAAAAAAAAAAAAAAAGCAATGAAGTAGTAGAGGAATAACAATAAAACAGTTTATAATTTACTTTATATACAGTCCTGATCTGAGAGTTTAAAGAATATTGTAGGTCAATCAAGGAAATCATTCCAAAGATCTTCATGCATAGTCTATTGGGTATAGGATAATCTAATAAGTGGTAGACTACATTTTGTTTTTATACAATTAATTTTCGAGGACTTAATTAGGACAAGCAGAAGGGGGAGGTAGAAAGGAAAGGGTATTCTGTAACCCATGATAAGACTGATTTTTCTACCTATGTTTTACTGAGACGGGGAATCACCTTCCTGGAGGAGACTGAACGTTCATTTCGGGGAACACTTTGCATGGATTTAGCTAAGACCTTCTATGTCATTCTAAACAAATGCCCTAGTCCTGACAGTCACAATATCATTTACCCTTAACTAGCCTTAGTTTATCCTCCTATAGGTGATGAGTGGTGATATTTTATAATCATGATGGGATACTTAATGTGAGTTTTTATGTTTTGTGGATACAAGATTAATTTTTTTTTTTTTTTTTTTTTTTTTGAGACGGAGTCTCGCTCTGTCGCCCAGGCTGGAGTGCAGTGGCGGGATCTCGGCTCACTGCAAGCTCCGCCTCCCGGGTTCACGCCATTCTCCTGCCTCAGCCTCCCAAGTAGCTGGGACTACAGGCGCCCGCCACTACGCCCGGCTAATTTTTTGTATTTTTAGTAGAGACGGGGTTTCACCGTTTTAGCCGGGATGGTCTCGATCTCCTGACCTCGTGATCCACCCGCCTCGGCCTCCCAAAGTGCTGGGATTACAGGCGTGAGCCACCGCGCCCGGCCAAGATTAATTTTTATTTTCTCCTTTCATCCCTTCCTCATTGGTAACTCATGAGCACAGCTGAGTTCATGGGACTGAGGACGAGCCATCCTTCTGGCAGTGGGTGAGACCTGGTAATGATGGGACTGGACTATCAGTCTACAAATGACAGGAGGGAAGTGCTCAGCCTCTTCTAGTTGGGCACTGTATAGGGAGGCTCAGGTGTGCTTCTATGGGTGCGCAACTAACAACACACTTTTGCTTCCACTTCAGGCAGCATGCACGTTGCTTGCGTGTGGGCTGAGACACATAGCCTCTGATGAGGCTCAGTTCAGAGGGCACCCACTGTGCAGATAAGGAACAGAGTACACATGGAAAACTCACTTCCTATTTGTCTACTTGAGCCCAGTGGCTGAGCTAAATGATGTCCAATTAAGAAGACTTACTAAACTCTGGAGCCTCTACAGATAACCAGTGGCATAGCAAAGAACATGCTAAAGACGTGTCACTTGATTTCTATTAGGCAGCATCTGACCCTGTTTCTTTTGCCTGGGGTAGGTCCACTAGCTTAGTATGTGTGGAAGTTGACAGCAATTTTTGGAGTGGTGCTATAATCTATTTTATTTAGGTTACACAGTATACATAGTTTTTCAAATTATCACAAGATGAAATGAGAAATGCCTTTATTTAAAAAAAAAAAAAAGTCCAGATGGAAATTGTCATTTGCTATAACTCAAGAATAAATATAGTAAGTAGATAGAGAACGCTCTGTTATGGAAATGTAGGCGGCTTGAATGTCTTTTTTTTTTTTCCTGCTTTTATTCTTTAAAATTTTTTTTTGTTTTTCATTTCTTCTAAAAAAAGTGGGGTACATATTCAGAATGTGCAGGTTTGTTGCACAGATATACGTGGGCCATGGTGTTTTGCTGCACCTATTGACCCGCTCTCTAAGATTCCTCCCCTCACCCCCACCTCCTAAAAGGCCCAGGTGTGTGATGCTCGCCTCTCTGTGTCCACGTGTTCTCAATGTTCAACTACCACTTATAAGTGAGAACATGCAGTGTTTGGTTTTCTGTTCCTGTGTTTGTTTGCTGAGGAAGATGGCTTCCAGCTTTATCCTTGTCCCTGAGGAATGTATTTTTTCTTTACCTGAAGATTGTTGTATTTACTTATTTATATCTGTGAAAAGAGTAGCCTGAATGCTTTGCTAGATTAAAGACACGTGAAATGAAAATCCCAATCCTGCGGAGATTGACTGTTGAATGCCCAGGGAAGTCACGCAGTAAAACAGCCCCAGGAAAATGGAACAAAATGCTTTCAAAAGGTGAATTAAGAAAGGAAATAACTATTTGGAGCATGGTAATGAGAATGACAATTTATTAGTCATACATACTGTATTTTAAATAAGATCTTAGTATCCATTTCTGGAGTGCATTGTTATATTTAATTTTTACTTTCTTAATAGACCTACATGATCATATGATTTTTTTCCCAGTTATTATAGGTATAGGTGAATGCTTATCTGTTATGTATACTCTTTCTTTAATTTAATAAAAACAAATTACAGGTACTGAGAAATAAAACTTTTGTGTTAACTTTTAATTGTCTCTAAAAAAAGAAATTCTCATGGTAAAACAGAAGCTAAAAGAGATTTTTTCCCATCAAATTATTTTTATAGGTATTTTCATAGAAGATACATAAAATTTTTTATCAGGGTTCCATTGTGCCTGGATAGAAAAAACCCTCAGTAAAAGATTTACTTAATATGAAACCAGAGAACGGTGGGGGTGGGGGCATTGTTATGTGTTTGTTAAAACCACAGAGTTTTCCAAAGTCGTTTTCTTTACCTGGAGACTTTGATTTGGGTATCTGCATGAATGATCACCAGAAAGCACCCCGCGGACAACACAGCCCCCCGATCTAATGCCTCGTGTCTGACGAGCTCTCGCTCTGTGGCCAGGTTCATTTAATCATTCTCAACACCTCCTCAGAGAGAGAAGTGTAATTTTGCACAGGAGAAACTTAGTCATGGAAAGGCTTAAGATGGTCTGAAGGTCAGCCAGTAAATCAGTTACAGAGAAGGAGAAACAGCTGAGGAGCCTCCAGCACACGCAGGTAAAGGTCCCCTCACAGGTGTGGGTCGGGAGGGGGAGCCCAGGGCTGGGGGCATGCACCAGATCACAGGTGGATGTACAGAGAGAGGTGGAGTTTTGGTTCTGGCTTGGCCATGAACTCAGCCTACCAGATGAGTACAATTTTTGTTACATGGTTTCTCTGTTGCTAACTGGCCAGTAACTTAGTGGCCCAGGGTTGCCTGAGAAGGGCTTTGGACTCCTTAGATGAGAGGTAAAGCCTGAATCCCAAATTGCACTGTGCGATATTAGACTCTGAAGATTTAGCAAGAGGCGTGTTTGGGTGAATGATTATCTTTTGTCTTTTCTAGTGAATCATTTTCATGTGTCATCAACCATGTTTCTTACCTGGTAGATATGAAACTGCACCTTTCTGTAGAAAATCTATTTAATGATTAGCCAGGGGGCCAAGGGATAATTGAAAATCATCCAGTTGGCATCGGGACTCCAGGGTTTTAGTTTCAACTCTGCTGCCAACTAATTCAGTGTTACTTGGGTAAACGACTACCCTTTCTCAGGTCTTAGTTTCCATGTCTGTGAAAAACAAATATTTGCCGTAAAAACAGTGATGTCTAAACTGTGTTTAAAATGGGCCCAAATTTTCTTCAACGTGCTCTCAGAGGAGAGGGAGGCTGGGCTTGAGGCTCTTAAAAATAGGATTCTGTTGTTAGAAAAATCTCTGGCTATCTCTTAGACTCTATGACATTTAAAAAAAAAATAACTAAAAATTTGTTTTGAAATTGTTTTCAGTGTAGAGTAGCTACACATTGGAGTGGTTCAGAGATCATGGTGAGACTGCTGCCTGGATTCAAATTTTAGTTCTGTGAACTTGTGCACCTTTCTTGATGTCCCTTTGCCTCAGTTTCTTCATATGAAAAATGAGGATAATAATAGTAACCGTTGTGTTGTGCTGTTATGAGGATAAATCAACTGATAATATAAAATACTTAGTACCATGCCTGCACCTACTAAGCACGATGTAGGAGTTAAATCAATAGATGCCAATCCACTGGAAAGCTTGTTTCATATCATGGAGGGAATTTCTGTAATTTGTGAGCAATTCAGTATTTACTGCATATCCACTGTGCTTCAAGTTTGACTTAATAAGTTGGTAACCTAAGAATTTGTGTGGAGAGGACATCCCAGATCAAGATAATGACTTCAGAAAGTTCTGGAATTGTAAAAGTGCAGGAAGTAGAAAAGTCTAGTGGAGTTAAGAAGTGTGAGCTGGAGTGCCTTAGTGGATTATGTTCAAGGAGAAGTTTGATTGTGCTGGAGCCCAATGCAGGGTTATAGTATTCCGTGCTGTGGAGAGTGAGACTTCTAGCTAGCTGTAGTGGTGGTGGTGGTGATGGTGGTGGTGGTAACAGTGGTGTTGGTGATTGTGGTGGTGGTGGTGGTGATAATGATGTTGAAGATGGTGGTGAAAATGGTGGTGGTGATGGTAGTGTTGGTGATGATTGTGGTAGTGATTGTGGTGTGGTGTGGTGGTAGTGGTGATGGTCATAGTGATGGTAATGATGGTGGTAGTTGTGGTGTTGGTAGTGATGGTGATGATGGCAGTAGTAGTGATGGTGGCAATAGTGGTAAAAGTCATAGTGGTGGTGTTGACAATGATGATGGTGGTCATGGTAGTGGTATTGGTGGTGATGGTGGTAGAGATGGTGATGATGGTGATGGTGATGGTGGTAAGGCAGGACTACAGACTCTTCTTTTTCCTAAAGTGACTTTTGCGCTAGGTACTCACCATCCAGAGCTTAAAGGAATCTGGCAGGCCACTGCATCAACTGATAAGGAATGGCTTAGTTGACCTAGCAGCATGAGGGTAAGAGATGGGGAGGGTAGCTGGGGACTGAGGAAGATTTTATTCTTTATTGCTGATCCCTGTGAAGGTATAGCCCCTCTTCCACAGGTGAACACTTGGCTGGTAATTCTGTTGTCATTAGCAAAGCAAAGCAAATGCAGCCAGGTAGCTTATGGGACCAAAATACACTTCCCTTGGAGGTTTGTGGTTCCTGCTTAAGTTTTAGAAATGTGTTAAATGAGGGCTAAATTTCAATGTTCACTTCATTTACCAAACTGTGCTGTCCTTATTACTGTGGTAACAGAAGCCTGTTTTTCTGGTATCCATTATATAACTGATTTTTGAAACCCATGTTTCATTGTGCTGAAATTGTGTTGTACTAATTCAGGATACAGTTTTGATTACTATGCGTAGCACTTTCTGTAAGATCGTATTAGCACAGTAAGTAGAGAAGAAAATCAAAATATGGAAAATAAAATCACGATATTCTCTCTTTATGTTTAGTCTACTTGTTACATACTCTTTTTGTAGATTGTATCTTTGTATACAGCAGTGGTCCTCAATGGAAGGGAGAGCAATTCTGCCTTCTCCTCCTCTGCAAGGGGACATTTGTCAATATTTAGAAACATCACTAAGATTGTCAAGACTGTTTCTTGTGCTACAGACATCTCATGAAAAGCAGCAGGCAATACCGCTAAGCATCCTTCAATGCACAGGACAGATCCACAATAAACATGTATCCTGTCCAAAATGACAGTCACGCTGAAGCTAAGGAACTCTGGAATAGTGTTTATTCTCTGAGAAATTTGATACAGTACCTTCCTCATTCTAGAATCTCTTAATTTTCCATTTTCCAAATTCCATGGTAATAACTGTCTAACTTTTACTGAAAGACCTGTTTGAAATCTATCTACTACAGGACACCTACTTGCATTGGGCTAATTTCATTTAATATCATTTCCGTACATTCTCTTCACGTAAACATTTCACATTTGTGTTAAACTTACAGATGTTTTATGATTTTAAATCTGATATTTTATCAGTTATTATACATTAACCTATATATGTTTCTTCTTTTCTAATTTGGATTTGAGTTACTTAATACCTGTTAAAATTTCTTTGAATAATTTTTAAAATGTCCAGTGCCATCCATACTTGACATATCCAATAAATATTTAAGGCTTAAATTTTATATTTGATGCATTTATACAAATCAAAATATTTTCTTGATATTTATAACTCCTTTTATTAAAGATAAAATCAGTGTTGCTGGTTTTTTCCCAAAGCAGAAATTTATTCAATTCTCACTGGAATTGAGTACTGACATGAGGGCAGTTTGTTTTATGTTTGAGAAAATAATTCTAGTTTTCTACTTTTCTAGGACTAATTATTGTAATTTTTAATAAATCTAGGCTGGGATCTTTATGTGACTATTCCCACTGGCCAGCCTTTTAGAAGCCTGTGTTATCTTTTCTTTATTTCACACATTATAAATTAGTATCGCTGCCTCTGCTGGACTTAGCAGTAAGTAAGTCATTGCCACTGGGAAAATGTTTGTGTTTGGACAAATACTGCTCTTGTGCATGCGGAGTCCTCTGAGACAGAGCTAGTTTGTTGTTGTCATTTTAACCATGTTCGCTTTATTTTGCTTCTAACAAATTCTTCCTCCATGTCTACTTCTCTGACTACGTAAGGCAGAAGACCTGTAGTACCATCATCATTCATGGTAAATTGGAAACCCAAGTTTCTTTTATTCCTGTTGGGTAAAGACAGGTCCCAGATATTCATCATCTTGTTGTTTCTGCTGGCCTGTGAGTCCTTTTCTTTGCTGGCCACTTGTGACCTTATATGATGCACCTGTCTGCATCTGCTCACCGTGGATGAGTTGGTGACCTCTGTTACAGACATCGTTTACCTGCATATGCCTTCTATATGGCCAATTCAATGATGGAGTAATAAGTGATATGGAAGAGAATCCAGCATATTCGAAGTCCCTCCATTTAAAAGGGCATGGAGATTAATTCATGATTATTGGCCATTAGCTGTGCACCCAGCATTCTGGCCACCTTTTGTACGTATTAGCTCATTCACTCCTTGCAAATGCCCCAAGAGACAGGGGGCTGTGAGTATCCTTATTTACCCACAGAGAAACAGCACCTCATGGGGCTGAAGTTACTTTGCCAAGACTTTTCTGTAATTGACTCAGCTCTGTTCAGGTTTGAGTCTAGTATTCTCACTTTCTCTCTCCTTCAGAATCCCATTGGCTTTGATTATACATCATTCAGTTCAATGAGACTGAATGAAGCTGACACAGGCTCAGAAGAAATGTTGTCCTGGGGCTTTGGACTTTAGACATTGCTTAAAATTAAGAAAGGTGCTGCCTTTTGAATGGAAAGTTTAGACTAAGTTAGAATTCATGGCTACTGGATGATAGGAACAATTTTTCCAGAGTACATATGTCTGTCCAAATGGTGAGATTCCTGGGGAATTTTGAATCTCTGGGGAGTCTGTTTTTCTGTGAAGTTATTTCTAATGTTATTCCCATCCTCAGGAAGGGCAGAAATGCTGTAACATGTGGGTGTTTTCAACAACCTATTTTGTTTCTTGTTTCTTGATGTGCACACGGTCTCAGAAAACGTTCCTGGAGTTAGCTGTTTGGGCTTGTTGTTTCATGATGGGGTAAAATAATGAATATCTTGCTTAACATTCTGTAACTCTAGAATTTGCTTCCAAACCACATAGCTTCCCATTAAACTGGGTGAGAGAACATACTCTGGAGAGCTGGTTACCTTATATTCGCCCTTTCTTTGGTTGGCTGGATAATCCATCCTGGAATCTAATACTTTTCAAAAGGAGGGCATAACTTGTTGGTTTCTGGTTGTAATGGCAGTATCCTTTTTACATGAATTAACCTTTGGAGGTCACCTGAGACAGTCCACCTGGAAGGTCTTAGTATTTGTTTATTCACTAGTGGCTGCATTCTTTCTGTGATCTCAATAACTAGCTATCAGAAGTTAGTCTAATCAGAGTTTTTACCCTTAACAAGGGGAAATTGCCTTCAAATTATTTGTGTACAACGGGACACTGGAATGGTCTTTCATAAGATAAACCTCCTAATCACTCAGTATTGCAAATACACATTTTTAAACAATTTGATTAAGTAAGAAACCTAGTGATACAGCATTAGAGACTTGAGCTGTGTTAACAAGTTTATAAATGATTTAGCCTTCGCAGAAAGATTTATTACTGGTATTAGAAGATTATGGGCACCCAGGCTGCGATATGGGTGCTATTTTTCTCTTTAACATATATATAGTGGAGGTTGTTATTTGAAACCACTTGACTTTATGACTTTGATTAGAAAAAATCATTGATGTCTTCTTAATCTAACTTCATGGCAGGCAGCTAATGAAAACGCGTATCACCATGGTTCTGGGAAATATGACAGCTGTAGATTTCATAGGTGGGAAAATGAACAGAGAAATCATATGTAATTCTTTTAAAACCTATTCACAGGCCAGGCATGGTGGCTCACGCCTGTAATCCCAGCACTTTGAGAGGCTGAGGTAGGCAGATCACCTGAGGTCAGGAGTTCAAGACCAGCCTAGCCAACATGGTGAAACCGCATCTCTACTAAAAATACAAAATTAGCCTGGCATGGTGGCATGCATCTGTAATCCCCGCTACTGGGGAGACTGAGGCGGGAGAATTGCTTGAACTGGGGAGGCAGAGTTTGCAGTGAGCCAAGATCATGCCACTGTACTCCAGCCTGGGCAACAGAGCGAGACTTCATCTCAAAAAACAAACAAACAGACAAACAAACAAACAAACTGATTCACAGTAGGAGGCTGGGTGAGGCTTAGAACTTGGATGTAAACACTCTATATCCAGACCTTTGCCATGTTTCTGACTGGCTGTAGTGGCAGAAGAGGAGAGCTGTCTGTGAACAGTTACTGTTTCCCTTTTCTCTCGTTCCCTCCTATTTTAATAAGTTCTTTGCTTCTAAGCCTTAAGCCTCTGTGGACTGTCAAGGAGCATTCAGCAAAGAGGATTGGCTCATTTTTCAGCAGAGCATGAGATGGCTTAAAATTGGGGGTTCCAATTTTCATTATAATGTGGCAGCAGGTATGTGTTAATCATTGTATGCTAGTCAGTGTGAGATGATGCATGGAGGGTATTCAATATTACAATCCTTATAGCAACCCACAAGGAAAGTACAATTAATATGCTAGTGTTGTAACGAGCAGCTGAATGTTAGTGAGGTGAAATAACTCGCCCAAAGTCACCCAGCCAGCAAGGGGCAGTACAGAGACTTAAACTCGGGTGCCTAGTGGAGGAGCTGGGCTTCCTAATCTTTCCTTGTGCTTCCTCATTTGTCTTACAAACATTGCCTGTGTCTCTGCAATGTTTCAGACCTAAGCTCGATTGTGATAAAAATGTGTACTGTACTAAAAGAGTGTCTTTGCTTACGGTCTGGTTTGTATTGGGGAGTTAAATTCATAAACAGTTATATCACTTTGTAAGTGAAATAATAAGGGGTATATACAATGAGTTTGAATGCAAATTGGAAGGAATAATTCATTCGAATGGGCCATGACAGAGGGTAATTAACACAGCTTTTGTGGATGCATTTGTAGTGGATCTTCATAAAATGGGAGAAGATAGAAAATTGTAGTTTGGAGATGGCATTTGGAGCATAAAGAGCAAGGGGCATGTAGGCATGAAAATGCTGGTGTCAAGGGTGCTGAATTGTTGGTGCAAAGAGGACCATGAGGCAGGAAGAGGAATTTGGAGTGAGTTTGTGTTGCATCTTGCTGGCCATGTTCAGGGGCTGTCATAAGACCAAGTCCAGAAGTTCCTGATAGATGGGTTTAAGCCATGTTGAGGATACATGAGAGAAAAAGGAGAACAGAGCCAGGAATGATTCAACCAGGATACTGGCTGGGGCAAGGTGAGAAGGGCATTCAACAGATAACATCTTGTGGACCCTTAATACAGTTCTGATGGTGTATTGGGAACATTAAAAGCAGGATGAGATTATTGGGTCTTCAAACCCTTGACAAGTAGACGGTACCAGTAGATTATTTCACCTCACTAACATTCAAAACCCCAAAACCTTGATGAGTAGATGGTACCAGTAGATCATTTCACCTCACTAACATTCAAAACCCCAAAACCTTGACAGGTAGATGGTACCAGTAGATCATTTCACCTCACTAACACTCAAAACCCCAAAACCTTGACAGGTAGATGGTACTTCTTAGAAGAAGAAAAAAGAGAATTACCGAAGATTAGTAACTCTTTCAAAGTCACAAAGCTGGAAAGTGGGGCATATTTCAAACTCACATCTGTGTGATTCCAGAAAGAGCTCAAAGGGCCTATAGAATAGTCACATTTGCATGGAGGAATCATAGATAAAGTCATAGCATCTCTTGTGAAATTGGTGGTGAGGTTGAGACACTCCACTTTTGCAAGAGCCAGAGAGGTGATGAAAGAGCAGATAAGCTGCCAAAATCCTTTATTGCTCTGTGATTGTGTGTTTATAGCAGAACTTACTAGTCCCTGGCCGTGACTTGCATCTCCTTGTTAATTGTAGTAATTACATGAATGTTCTGTGGATCCTCCTTTATAGATTGACATTAAGAGAGATAGATGGGCCAAAGAAGTATGGTTTAGACATCTGAGTCCAGCATGTAGTGTGTACATGTATAGAGTTAATTGTAGTGAACATGTGGTTACAGCAAATAAGGACACAATTTTCTATGTTGTAGACCAGTGGAGACAAGTGTGTAGCAACACATACACGGGGCCTTATTCGACTGGTACAAACTTGTGTTTGATTTATTAGAGCATGCTGAAGACAGTGTGCTGACCTTCTCAGAGATATTGATATGGAGGGAATGGTGACAGTTGGGAGCAGAAGCAGCTGCTTATTAGGACTGTGTTGAGCTTAACTAGCAACCCCAGGCTGATTCTCATCTTTAAATTTTTTAAGGAAAACTCCTATAGGACAAAAACATTGCCCAGAAAATCCCCATAGGATGAGAGTCTTGCCTAGTGGTCAAGGCATTAATTTATGGAAAGATGCTTGCTAACGATTTATAGAACTGTGATTTTGGGGAACATAACTATTTTGTGATCTGAAATCCTGTTTTGACAGCACGTCCCACATTATATTCCTGTGCTTTGGCAATGGTGGAATGAGGGTGATTCTTTTAGGAGCTGAGAAGAGGACCACACGGGGATGCTGAGTCATTGTAATTGCACAGGTGTCATAAGATTGAGGCCTCACATTACGAGGTGGCACATATGGCCTTTGGGATAGTTCTGAGATTCTAGAAGGACATGTTTAATAATTAAGGGTGGACACCATGGGAAACATTGTCTTTGGCTGACATATGGCACTAGACCCTTTGTCTTCACTGAAACTTAACACACTGTACAGTAAAATATGCAAGCACTTGTGATACATAGTGGAAGAAATAGGTCCAGGCAGTGTGGCGCGACTTTTATGGATACTGCTCATCCACCTTCATGCTCACTGGGTCTTCCAGCTTGCTCTTCTCTTTGGGAATGACCAGTACTGAAAAAGTTTTCTTTAGCTATTTGCCTTAATTGCTTGAACAGTGGAAAAAAAATTCTGGGAAAAGAATGGAAATTTTTAATAAACAAGTTGGAGTGAAGAAATGTGTACCTAGTCTCTCAGGGTTGTCTAAGGGTACACAAAAGCATGCATTTTGGAGAGGAGAGTGAGTTCCTGAGGTCAGACACTGGTCTCCACCAACACAAGCATTAAATAAATCATGGAAATAAGTCATATAAATCATGAAGTAATTTATAATTCTAGGTAATGTAAATTATAATAAATTATAATTGTATATAATGTAACGTATTTAAAGTAATTGTAGAGTTGATTTCTTCATGAATATTAACAGGGCAATGAGCTATCTGGAGAGCTGGTGCATTTCAGTAAAAAATGTTTTGGGAGGCCGAGGCGGGCGGATCACGAGGTCAGGAGATCGAGACCATCCCGGCTAAAATGGTGAAACCCCGTCTCTACTAAAAATACAAAAAATTAGCCGGGCGTAGTGGCGGGCGCCTGTAGTCCCAGCTACTTGGGAGGCTGAGGCGGGAGAATGGCGTGAACCCGGGAGGCGGAGCTTGCAGTGAGCCGAGATCCCGCCACTGCACTCCAGCCTGGGCGACAGAGCGAGACTCCGTCTCAAAAAAAAAAAAAAAAAAAAAAATGTACATTGTGTTCAAACTATTGAAGAAGAATGTCAATTTTACATTTTTTTTTAGATCTTCAGATTGTTTAATTTGTCTAAATTGATCAAATTATTCTGAATTGAAAATGATAAAAAGAATTTATTTTTAATTTTTATTTTTTAAGTTATCTGAGTTTAATTCTTTTATTTTTTAAATTTTACTTTAAGTTCTGGGATACATGTGCAGAACGTGCAGGCTTGTTACATAGGTATACATATGCTGTGGTGGTTTGCTGCACCTATCAACCCATCATCTAGGTTTTAAGCCCTACATGCATTAGGTATTTGTCTTAATGCTCTCCCTCACTTCGCCTCCAACCCTGCGACAGGCCCTGGTGTGTGATGTTCCCCTCGCTGTGTCCATGTGTTCTCATTGTTCAACTCCCACTTATGAGTGAGAACATGTGGTGTTTGGTTTTCTGTTCCTGTGTTAGTTTGCTGAGAATGATGGTTCACAGCTTCATAGATGTTCCTGCAAAGGATATGAAGTCATCCTTTTTTATGGCTGCATAGTATTCCACGGTGTATATGGCTCTTTTACTTTGTATGTATACCAGTATCTTATCCCCCTTCACCATCTATGTCAAGCTAATGGGAACCTAGACTATGGAAAGCTTCCTATATAAAGAGCTCTCTCCTTTACTTTTGTGACTCCCATAGTCACCGCTATCACCAAACACCACTGTGGAAGCCCCTCTTACCCAAGACTGAGAAGTTCCCCTCAAGGCCCCTTTCCGTCATCAGCCACACCCTAATCTTCTTTCTCTATCACCAGCTTCTGCTGGAACCATCATCACAAGAACCTGGTAGCCTGGTTGCTAGTTGGAAATTATTTTTTAATAACAGCTTTACATAAGATATAAATCACATATCATAAAATTTACCCTTTTGAGATTTTTCATAATTTTTCATACATTCACAGAGCTGTGTAACCACCACTGTTATCTAAATTTAGAACATTCTGATGACCCCAGAAAGAACACCCGTATCCATTAGCAGAAACTCTCCATTCTTCCTTCCATCAACCCCTGGCAATCACTAATCTATATTCTGTCTCTACGGATTTGCATATTCTAGATATTTTATATACATGGAATCGTAAAATGTGTGGCCTATTGTGCCTGATTTCTTTCACTTATCATGTTTTCAAGGCTTATAGCATGTTATAGCATCCACATTATAGCATATGTCAGCACTTTATTCCTTTTACTGGCTGAATAACACTTCATTGTAGCATCTACCACATTTTCTTCATCTGTTCTCCATGTATTAGTTGATGGACATTCAGATCATTTCTACTTTTTAGACTATTATCAATAGTGCTGCTATGAATGTTCATGTACAAGTTTTATGTGAACAGATATTTTCTTTCTCTTAGATATAGACATAGGAGTGGGATTGCTGGGTTATTGAAATTCATTTTTTATAGAGAGGTAACTATCTTAGCACTATCTTACATTTGAAATGAAGCACACATTTTTCAAAGTTAAAAAATGTGGCGTTTTCTTTGATGATGATGGTACAATATTTTTGCAAATTATCAGGATACTCAAAACAGTCAGTCTTTATACCATTGGTAGCACAGGCTTGCACAGTGGTTTCCGATTCAGACACATGTGAATTCAAGTCCTGGCACAGCCACTTTCTAGATTGCTGATAACCTGGTGCTAGAAGGTTCACTTTGCCGAATCATACTTTATTTTCCAGATTAAACCTAGGCCTGTGTTTCTCAAACTCTCATAGTTTTTTCCAAAGTTTTTCATGACATTAGACACAGAAAATTGAAATATTTTTGTGGGCAAATTTGGTAAATGGAAGAGACTTTTCATCTGAAGGGCAGAAGGGCTTGGTACCTGATCTACCTGAATTGCAGTTCTTCAGTATCCTCAGCCATGCTGGTGTCTTTTCTACTCTACTGAGGCTCTTGTCTGTTAGGAAATTATTTTCTCAATGTGTTTGCAGACCTGGCCCTTGCTATAACCTTTTCTGTTCCAATCTGTGAGAATCACCATTAACCACTGGAGAAAAATATTGCACAATAAGCTACGCTTTTGAAGGGTTATGATCTCATTGTATTTTATCTTCAGTACGATATGTGGGGGAAACTCTCAAGATAAATGAAGATGCCAGCTCTGGTGTTTTTGAACACTTTAGCTCCGACTTCCATTTAGGAAGTTATGGATGCTTGCCACCAGTGCACTTAATTTGATCTGGAATTTGATGCCACACCAGTGTCATATTTTTTCTAGGCTTCTGGATATCATAGTGTTTTCCTTGACGTGTGTTTTTCTGTTTTCATCTCAGTCAGTGGTCTTTGGTCATTGTGCTGCTTATGTAAAAAATCTAATTTAAATTCAAGTTTTCTACTGTGGAAAAAAAATACTTGGCCATGTTGGATTTCCTGTAGAGAAGTTGGGCATATCATTGCACTCTATTTTATTTTTCTCTGAAGATGATAGCGTGGATCAGCTCTTCCTATCAGAAGAGCACCACTCACATGCCAAGCTCCAGGGAATCGTGATCAACATGGTGTTGTGGAGTTAGGATGAGGCTGTTTGGATGGTGATTTGAGAATTTGGTATGAGAATTCTAGTCATTTTAAAAATAATTAAGGGCTGTCTTTGACACTGTCTTCCACATTCTTGATGCCATCTTCAAGCATGACCATGTATAACAAATTTATGGGGACTGGACTTATTAGTAAAGCTACTGCAATCCTCTGGTGGTGTGAATTAGAGACAGCGCTTAAGCTCCCAATTCATCTTGATTCTTGTCTGCAGCATCTTCTTAGCAAAAGGATACATGACTTTTTATTATAATAATCATACATGCTAATTTACATTAATCTTGCAAAAACAATTGCCCCAAAGCATTAAAAATGTGCAAAGCCATATATCTCAGAATGTTCTAATGATTGGGTGTGTTTTTCTCCAGATGTTCATTATAACCTTAAAGACCTGCATTGTCATGTCTAACCATTATTGAGTACTTGCAGTGGACCTGGCACTGTTCTAAGTGTTTTACGTTGATTAAATTATTAAATCCTTACAAACCATATGAGAAAGGTGCTAGTATTATCCCCACTTGAAGATGGAAGCACAGAACACACAACCAGGAAGTGGCTGAGCTGGAATTTGCAACCTGGCACTGATAGGTGCAGCTGGTTTTATAAATTATAGAAATGTATGTTTATATTTCAATATGAAAGTGTTTTTGTGTGTGCATTCACATGAGCACTCATTTATGTGTGCAGCTGTGTGGATGTGTATATGTGGGTGTGCAACTATGTGTGTGTTTGTTTATGTGCTGTACATAGAGTTGAGTTTCTTGCCAATACACTTAATATTATAACTTGAGCATATTTATCTTAAAAGCAATGTCTTGTCTTCCTGATTTTATTTTGTCTTCTTTGGTCCTATTTTTTTTTTTTGTCTTCCTTGTTCCATTTGTATAGAACTATTTCCCTCTTCCTCAGTAGAAGCTTCCAAACGATGCTTGTAACACATAATAATCAGACTAGGTTGAATATATTTCAGTGTAAATCTTTGCTGACATCTATGTTAAAAATGTCTGTGGGATTTGTGTTAATCAAGGATGGTGAGACAGCAGAGGCAGACATGATGGTCATGAAGAAAAGGTTTATGCTCACAGACTCTGTAAACAGGAGGCTCATAATGCTACACAGGGCCACGTGGGGAAGGACCAGGGAGGGTTGGGAGGCAGAAGAAAACCGAGGCTTGCAGAGGCTTGACTGGGGTTCTCTCTGTAAGGAGTGGGCAAGGCAGGGTGAGTACACTAAGTTTAGGATTTGAGAGTTTGAGTATTTTTGGTGGGTGCTGGGCTATGTGGTGTTCCCTACTGCTGTGGTAGTTGGCTCTGGGGTGCTTTAGGTAGGGGGAACATTAGCACATTGGGTGAGAATTTGATAAAGGAGATGGTTGAGAGTGGGGGCTCTGGCTTGGCTGGTTGGTAGGTATGCAGAGGTATCCTCTGGGGTGTTGTTTGCTGTCTTTACGAATATGCTAGCCCTAGGAGGGCCAGTCTCTCTAGAAACAAGGCTCCAAATGCCAGAGGATCAAGAATACAGAAATCAAGAAAATATACCCAGCACAAAATATCTGATGAATTCCTTTGGAGAATGTCCTAGAGGTGAAACCAACTAGGCAAAGTAGATAAATAATGTTAAGCTCTTAGGATGTATTTGTGTGTGTGTGTGTGTGTGTGTGTGTGTGTGCACGCACGCGCATTAAATCAAAAGAGACCGTTCTGTTAAGCAGCCATACCAACCAACTGCCTCATGTTTGTGTTTTAAAACTCACAGTCATTAAAGTACTGCCTGATCCTACAAGTTGTAAACTAACTTTTTTCCAGACTTCTCGTGTGGGTAGCTTCCTTCCACAACCTGTCATTTATTGTGATACACGGTATTAGTTACTAAACTAAATAGATCTGTCTGTGTGCCCCTGCAAGGAAGTATCCTTAAACTGTGAGATTTGTGCTTGGGAAACATCTGACCTTCCAGAATGAAGTGTTTATTCCTTAAAGCACAGCCCCATCTCCTCCAGTTTCATCTCTGTGGTTAATGAACTGTCTCTTATGTTACTGTGGTCATAATCAAAGAGAACTGCAGGGATTTTCTTGAACAGTAAGATTAAGCAGAACATTTTTCCTCCTACATATGATGTTAGAGAAGGCACATCACTTTCATCTACTCACTCAACCAGAAATGTAATCTATTGCATACAGAGAAAAACATGTGTGCTACTTTGCCTATAACGAATTAACAGGTGTGTTCTATTTACCTAGCTACGGGGGCCACTTTGAGGACCAAAATGCAGTATGGCCAAGTCACAGTGGAAAGTGTCAATGACTATGTGCCTGAGCATTTCTTCTTGGTATAAGCAGAAAGCTTTGGATAACATAGTTTATCTGATGCAGCTGATAAAACCAATTTCATTTCCTTAGGTACAAGTGACTTTTTTCCCTCCAGGTAAACTGAGTCTAGCAAGTAAGAGGTAGCAGGTTCCAGTTTTAGGAATGGCTATCATTGACTTACAGGCTACACCTGTACGCCACACATTCTGAACATAACTTTTTTTTGGCCCAACTTTACATGAGAATAACAAAGATTTCACGTTCAGTTTGGAGAACACTTATGGAAAGAAGACCTCTGCTTTATGAAGGTTTATATCTTCACACCTCCCATTCTTTGAACCAGTTTTTTCTTTTCCGTACTGCAGCAATGGTTCCCTCCATGGTTTTCTGCTGTCTTATACCTGGCAAGTCAACCCTGAACTGGATCTAAATATGTGCATTGAAGTCCTGTCTCACTGGTTAACCCATAAAACTAATCTTACCTCCTTCCTTTAAATGTAAATATTTTGCTCATTTTAAATTACCAAATTAATAAATGCATATTGTTGAAAATTTAATATAGAATTATATTTTTAAAAATTTTCCTACGACTTAGGAGTAACCACAATTTTCTTGGCACTTACAAACATTAAAAAAATTAGTTTATTTTAGTCAAACATTGGAGTTTTTCTTCTCTATTTTTAATCTATAGATAAATAAATGTCTGCACTTTATTTTTTTCCACTCACATCATTATTGAATTTATAAACTCAGTATATAGAGTTTTACTACATTGGCTTAATAAGCTGTATAATATTTAATAGTATGGATGTGCCATACTACTTATAACTTTGGTCTTTTCAAACAAAAATGCATTTGCTACCTCCATTCTTGGTACATTCTATCTTGAGACTTTATTTCATTTCTCTGCCAAAAGTGTGGTCTCTTTATTTCCACTTCGTTGACATGATTCCCACACTTCCAAAACCTGCCTGCTCCCCCACCTCCTCCCAGATCAACCTGGGGCTTCTTTCCATGACTTGTTATTGCTCGGTTGGTTGTTATGTTCATTCCATAAATATTAGGTACTTTCTACGTGCAAGAAACTTTGGTGGGCAGTGAGTGGCCACAGTAACAAGCAGGCCAGGCTCTGGTCTTGTGGCTTTAGTGTACAGCAGGGACACCGTATCCCACATCACAGGAAGCCAGACTCCACGGCAGGGCGTGCTGAGGGCCATGGAGGCAATGGTGTGTCCTGAGCACGCTTCCTGGAGGCTTCCTTGCTTCTCACATGGTAAATGGTTACCACTCTTGGGGGAGCTGGTGTTTGATTTGGACCTCAGAGAATGGATAAGGTTCTAAAATGGACATGGGGGAGTGTGTTCCAGGCAGAAGGGTGGAAGTGGGAAAGTGTGGGGCCTAAGAAGGACTGTGGGTGACCTCATTCCACTGGGGGCTTGATCCTGGGGAATACCTCTGTTGTTCATACCACACTTATTCATATTCACAGTAGCACTACTGTGAAGCTTCCTTTTACTTTTCCTTGCACATTTACTTTTATCGAATTCAAAATATTGTTTAATTGTGCTTGTTTTTTTATTGGCGGTAAATATTGATTTACTATATTATTCTTTTTTCTCTCAACGTTCTTATTTCTAATATTTACTTTGCATATAGCTGTTGTCCATCCATTTTCACTGTGATATAAGAGACCATGAATATTTGCATTCTCTCAATGGACACCTGTATTATTTCTAATTTTTTGCTATTATGAACAATGCTGCTATGAGCATTCTTTTATAGATTTCTTGGGCAGATGTTGAATTTTCCTAAGGCTAAGGCAGCACATTCTCACTGTTCTTATTAAACACTGAACTGGTTTTATTGTCTTTTTTTAGGAAGACACTAATTTGTTTGTTAGACGTGTCTTTCCTACAAGATTTATAAAGCATTTTTCTTTTTATTAAATAGCCTTTATTTGTTTATAATTGTCAAAATTTTTTAGTGCTTCGTAATTGCCAGTAAGTGGTCTAAGTTCTTTCAAATTAACTCATATAATTTTAAGCTATGGTTTTTATCTCCATATTACAGGGCATGGGAACTGAAGCATAAGGTTAATGGTGGAGCGAAGATTTGAACCCAGGTGATCTGGATCCAGAGTCTGTGCTCCTAGTATCTATGCAAGGCTGCCTCTCCTAAACTAGCATTGGAGGCAGGGTGGATCACTGGTACTTTGTAGGCTGAGGAACACCGTAGATGGTTCTCACTCTTTTGGACTGAAAAAGGAGACAGTCAGGCATCCAGCAACAGTATTTAACCCCTTCAGTATTTAGGAGCTACTTACCAAATGGATGCAATCTGTCATTCACTTTTCTGGCTTTATATTTAGGATGGGATCATTTTTGTATTTTCATTAACATATTTCCCATCACATAGGTTTTAATATTTTGAAATACAGAAGTGAACACACTTGGGGGTTACTTTTCCACCATGGAGACCTTTATTGTAATGTCCTCCATGACCTCTCCACATTTCAGGCTAATGAACTGAAGGATGAGATACCGTATGTTCACAGCATGTGAGATTTTATAGCATCGCATATGTGCTAATCATTAGATGCTTTAGGGGAAGCTAATTCTGTACTGACTTTGTATTCCTAAGTTTCACCTAATAGGCTGACTGTGAACTAACTTGTACTTTTCCATAGCAGTGCTCCTGAAACTTGCCGTAAGCACTGCTCAATGGCTAAAATAAAGTGGATGATTCATTGCCTTTATTTAGTAGAAGGTATCTTGGCCTTCATAGTGAGTTTATCCATCACTTGGAAAATGACTATCTTGGTTTCTGGCCTTTCCACTGCCTAGTCAATCAGTTGATAATATTTATATGGGTCATACTGTGTCCTAGGCCCTGGGGATAGCAAGAGAACAAAATAAAATCTGTCCTCCAGTTACTTGTATTCCAGTGTGTTAAACAGGACTCACACAAGGACATCAACTGACTATCATAATCTAAGTCCTGTTATTCCTCCCACACAAGCATACATATCCAATATCACTGAAATGACTGAGGACAAAGGCCTCTGGAAACTATTTTGCTGTCATTGAGCTCGCCAATATATTTTATTCTGTCCCATTACTGAAGCTTCCCCCCCTCAATTTACCTTCTTTGAAGGTACTGAATATACCTGTATCTTATGAAATATTTTTATTTATTTATGTATTTACTTGTATATACCTAAGATGTACAACATGTTATTTTGATATACATACAGCACATTAAAAGGAGAAGCTGTGAAAATTATAGATCCTTTAAATCAATTTCATATAATAGGATGTAAAAAAATTCCCAAACTCAAAAATGTATCAGTCAAGCAATTTTAAGTAGTTTTAAGTGATGTGAAGAAGATAAAATAATAATGGAATCTAATAGTGGAGTAAAAGGGAGGTACTTTAGCCTGCCTGGCCAGGGAGGCTTTCCTGTAGAGGTGACATTTTAGTAAAACCTGAATAGTGAGAAGGGACCTTGGGAGAATGTAGAAAAAGATCTAGGATCTAAGGGCCAGCAAGCGCCATCTGCAAGGTGATGAGCTTGGTGGGTTTCAAGACCAGAAAGCAGTTCCATGCACACGCGTGCATGTGCATATGTGTGTGTGCATGTGTGTGGCGGGAGCACAGGGAACAGGAAGGCTGGAGATCATGTAGAAATAGGGAGGTGGCCATGGAGGAGGGTTTGTTGGTGGGGTCAGGATCTTGCATTTTAGGGAGGTTGCAAAGAGATCTATTGGAAATTTTTGAACAGGGAAAAATTACTTAATCAGATGAGCTCTTTACAAAGATTTATCTGGATGCAACACAGAAAATGGACTTTTGAGGGGCATGAATGAAAAACACCAAGGCACATTAGAATAGCTTCTGCTAAATCCAGGTGAGAGAGGAAGGTGCTTGAGGTGGGATTGCAGTAGCAGATGGGAGAGAAGGGGACAGGGGTGCGGTATACATTTTTTGAGGAAGTAGTGACGGGATTTGCTTATGGTTTAGAGTGTTGTGTGGGGGAATTAGAGCAATCCAAAATGACTCCAGCTGTGATGGCGAAGACTCAGCCAGGAAGTAGACTGGGGAAGGGGGACCACCAGTGGTTTGCTTGATCCTGGTTAGTTGGGAGGCAATTCTTTGTCTCAGGTAGAGATGAAGAGGCAGATGAAGTTGCAGTTTCAGGCACAGGTTGAAGGTGATATGTACACTTATATTCACCAGCCGATAAATGTTATTTAAGTCATGGGACTGAATGAGCCCATCCTGCCCCTCTGCCCCTGCCTCAAGGACAGGAGGGCACATGACACGGACAAAGCCATTGCGTCATTTGCTGGATTAAATCCTGGTCAGTGAGGTCTCTGGTCCCAGGGTCAGTGAATGATGCTGCAGCTAGTTACTTAGTGAAATTTTCCTCTCTAAGAAAACACATTTTCAGGCCCGACAAGAAGTTAGTTAGTAGGAATAAATCATCAGCTTATTTCTTCAGCTGGATGACCTGTGTGTCTAGCATGACTCCTAATCCTTAGTCAATAGACAATCTTTGTAGAAGTGAGAGGACAGCAAGATGACCCTGGGTTTTAGGGCCAGGGACTTACCTGTTAAAATTTTACTTCTTCCATTTGGAAATGGGACCTCCTTGAGTCCTGTCTCCACATCTGCAAAATGGCAAAGGAATGAGAACACTTATCTTATAGGTCTATTTCAGGAAACCTGTAAAAGATGTTTGAGTAGTGTACATAACCTACTTTGGATTTTTTGCATCTTTTTTATTGTCTAGTTAGTGAAATCTTTGATTTTTATATGATATGTCTTGGTAATTTTTTCTTTTAGGATGGATTTCTTATTTTTATTTTTAATATACTCACCAAAAATGGTGATTAGTGCTCTAGAGGTCTGACTTTTTTTTTTTGAGATCAAAGATTGTGACAAACTCTAATTAACTCAAAGGTATCGGCATTGACATGTCTAATCCATTGGATTTAAAAGGTTTCATCAGATATACACCGTGTTATTCCTGACTAAAATCTGAAAACATCAGATCAGAAGCCTTTCTGCTAAATAGTTTATCTAAGTTTATTAGCAGTCTATTTACTGTAAATTTATCTGATAATATTTTAAGGTATTTGTATTTCTTAACCTAAAATTATTAATTCAGTAAGTTTCTTTCTGGTGTGAATTATAATATCCTCCTTTTTTGTCCTTTGACATTTCAAGTGGTTCCAGTGAATTATCTGTGCTGGAATAACTTATCTGACCCCCTCAGGGTTCATACATTTGGTGATATCTTCCGTCTGCTTTCATGTTTCCAGGCCCAGGGGACCCCCCTTTTTTTAAGTCTGTCTGGCTATAGTAATCCCTTCATCCCTTTGACCATTAATTGGACAATTATGACATTTAGAAAGGACATTTTTCAAAACCATGGGAATCTTTATATTTGGACCAGATGTTAAGAGAATTTTAAAAGAGGGATAAAACATCTGTGACAACGAATGGCAGAGTCATAGAAGAAAAGGGAACTTGGATGGCATTTTAATGGAAGTGCTAATATTGTAAAGAGGTACAGAGGTAAGGTAGAGAGGCACATGTGGATTTGCATTCTTTTTCTCCATCAATCCACTTCTCAGGTGTTGATTGTTTTTCTGCACTATGTCCAGTACTATCTGGAGACTGAGTTTTTAACAGCCTTGTTTTAGAAGGAGGCAGATACACAGGTAATTGTAGTTCAGGATGATAAAGGCTGTAACAGGAATAAGAATCAACGTACAGTGGGGCCAGATAGGGACGAGAGAAAAGTGGGAAAAAATTCATAGAAGGCTCCATAGAAGTGATGCTTAAGGGTTGGGATTAGCAGCAAGGAAACTCAACAACAACAACAAAAATGGCTGAAATTGCAGAGGTAAGAAATACAGGAGGTTGGTCAGGACAGAGAGGAGGGCATGGATTCCAGAGGAGGGCATGGGTTCTAAATGTGGGTAAGGGAAGGATTGTCAAGACACTCACAAAATGAGGAGTGAGTTTTGGTAAGATGGAGGAGGAGGGAATGGTGGGTATCCCTTGAGCTCTGAGTTGGCTGTCTGAGTGATGGTGTAGTTAGCTATGAGAGGAAGCAGACGCAAGGGAGACAGCTGATGAAGACAGATAATGAGGCCTGCTTTAGAGCAGTTACACTGGCTTTTATATGTAAATACCCCTATTTTGATGTATGAGTCTAGATTATATACAGAGGTTGGGGAGAGGATCTAGATTTGAGAGTCACCAGTTTTTAGAGACCATGTGAAATCACATGGGTTTGAAGAAAAGGGCCTCTGAGAACGTGTAGATGGAGAAAACAATGAACATTCAGAAGAGGTTGGAGTGTACTTTCATTCGAGGAGAATGCCAGATGTGAAATAAATACAGAGAGATTGGGGAGTTACAGAATCCAGGGAAGACAGGATGTCAGGAGATATTCAAGGAAAGGTCAGTGGTCACAAAGGCCATGGAGATATCTAGTTACATAAGCTTCCTGGATTTCACAAGCAGGAAGTAATCAGTGATGTTGACCAGACTGATGACAGTAGAAGGGTATCGTCTTTTCTTCCCACTGTGGTAGCATTGCTTTTCTGTGTTGGCATAGACTCCACATCTTGCAGTGGACGAAAGAGAAAATGGTGCTCCCTTCTTTTTTTTCTTTCTTTCTTTCTTTTTTTTTTTGAGACGGAGTCTCGCTGTGTCACCCAGGCTGGAGTGCAGTGGCGAGATCTCAGCTCACTGCAAGCTCCGCCTCCCAGGTTCATGCCATTCTCCTGCCTCAGCCTCCAGGGTAGCTGGGACTGCAGGTGCCCGCTACCATGCCCGGCTAATTTTTTGTATTTTTAGTAGAGATGGGGTTTCACTGTGTTAGCCAGGATGGTCTTGATCTTCTGACCTCATGATCCGCCCACCTCGGCCTCCCAAAGTGCAGGGATTACAGGCGTGAGCCACCACGCGCGGCCTATAACTGGAATATTTTAGTGTGTCCACATGAATTTTCTGCCCTGAGGAAACATCTCTAGGTAAATTCTTTAGAAATTGCCAAGGTAGTTACATTGCCTTGAAAGCCCATTATTTAAGTACTTTTTTCTTTTTCTTTTTTTTTTTTTTCTTAGAAAGGACTTTTGTTGCTTTAGCTGACACAGAAGTAGATTGAATGAACTTTCACTTAGTTTTAAAACCTGCTGACAGATAAAATTAATATTGCCTTTGTGTAAATAATAATTTTATCTAATGGACTTCATTTATTTTTATCGTTCCTCCAGGCGATCTGGAGCTAAACAAGGGGAAGAAGACAAAAGTATAATAACAATTCCCTTTGAAGGGAGATATAAAAGAAGGTCACTGGAGCCGAACCATTATTGAAATGTATAAAATAGTTTAATGTTTGCTTTTTTCCATTTTATATCATGAGGTCCTTTTATATAGCCATAAAATTCCATCTCCTCTGAGTTCAGATATGATGAAAATCTGTGGGTAACAAAGCCAACTTCTTCAGTTACCTGAAGGTGGCAGTGAGTAGTGTTTCTGGAGTTAAGAGTGGTCTGTGTTTCAGTAAGACATTCCTAAAGATGTTTCCCTAATTCATTTATGACAAACTTCTTTCAGCTGAAACTTGGCAATCGAGACACGTGGGTTAAAATAATATAAAAAAGATCTTGTTTCTTTAAAAGTGCACTATAAAAATTGAAGAGATGTGATATATTTGTGGAACATCCTGATTCCCCTTATGGGCTCAATGTAATAAGAAGAAACCTTTAATTTCACTGTATTTCCCAAATAATAAAATGTTCAGTTATCGTTTTTGAAAAAGATTAGAAGAATCTGTTTACTTGAACATTGCATTAACTTAAGTTTATTGTTTTATTGATTCTTCATTTAATTCCATTTCCTACACTGTACCTAGAATATCTGATACAACAGCAAGAAAAGAGCATAGATTCATTTAATACATTCCTTCTAGGCCTGAACACACCGTGGGCTTTGATTCTCCTGGATTGTTTATTCCTGTTTCATTGAACGCTCTACTTGAACCTCTTTAAAGATGACAGTCTCTATATTCCCCCATTCAGGAGGATTTCTTCCTTCTTTGTTTCTGACGACTTTGCTTCTATTCCTACTTCGATTTCATAAATATAAAAAGAGCTTTTTCTTTGTTTGACTACTCTGAGCTGTGATCTGGGAGTAGTGGGGCTAGTGTCCTCTTCATCCTCGCTCCTATCTTGGAAAGCTGTACCTTGTCCACCGAAGAAATCCTTCATTATGGCTGGTTTAATACAGATTAAGGATACCCCGAAGACACTGCCCGTTTTCATGCCTTAGGTTCATCCCTGATTATATTCACTAGAGACAAGGCTATGCTCCTGGTCTGGGGGTGATTCAGGTCATGTGACCTTGTGGCCATAAGTATGTGGTTTTAGAAGCCTGAGCAGAGAGCTTGGGCTGTAGAATATAAGCAGCCAGAAGGTAGCAGGACCCATCCTGATGTGGCCTGTCACTGCACCTTTGATCTCACATGCACTGTTTAATCTCTCTGAGCCCATAGCCTTCTCAGCTACAAAGAGGGAAGAGAGACTAGATGATTTATCTTTCCTCGTTCACCTTCCAAATTCTGGGAGTCCTTGACTCATTTCTTGTCTCAGATGTACCAAGGGCCTAAGCCACCTCACAATGGGCTCACTCAGTGGCAGGGGATGGGTGGATTATAAATGGTCCATAGGACACTAGCTCTGTTTTCTCAGGTTCATTCAGGCAGCCAATTCAGCATGTTGGAGCACATACACTTGGCATTGGGACTATGTGTAGATTGTTTACAATAAAAGAGAGAAGCAAAACTTAATCAAGACTTAGAAACAAAAGGTCTGGGTCTCTCCAAGGCAACCTTTCACGTGGAAGCAGTGGTGTGGCAGGCACTCTAATGTCCCATCTGGGTTTCTGGAAAGGAGCTGCCGCTGTGGCTGGTGTCAGCCACCATGGTGTGACCACGGAAGACAGTCTGCACCAGGAGCAGTGGGAGGACTAGACAGATGAGGGGCTCATGACATCAGCAAGGGTGCAGATGTGACTACTGAGTGTGCAAGGCTGCCTCTGAGGACCCTGGCAAGGTGAGAGGGACCACAGGGAAGGTCTTGCAGTGTGAGTAGTGGAGACAGATTAAGAAGGAGCTCATTCTCAGCTATTCCTCTAAAAGCATGATTTTTTTTTGAAAGGCAGAAGCTGAATACTGAGTTTTTCAATACGCAGAACTATTTACTGGGCAGCAGCTGACAATCATGCACTGGACCCCATCTTTGGCTCTGTCAGGGTGTGTAGGGCATGGCTTCGGGGTTGGTTTGTTTGCTGGAATGATTCTTTAGTATTTCTGCATTCAGTCTGGAAGGCGACTCTAGTTTCTGTGTGAGCAGTTCATCTGATCCCTTAAAACAGGGCTAAGAAATGGAAAGAACAAATGCAAAAACAAACATTTGAAAAGCACGTTCCAGCTGGGCGTGATGGCTCATGCCTGTAATCCCAGCACTTTGGGAGGCTGAGGTGGGCAGATCACGAGGTCATGAGTTCAAGACTAGCCTGACCAACATGGTGAAACCCTGTCTCTACTAAAAAAACAAAAATTAGCCAGGTGTGGTGGTGTGTGCCTGTAATCCCAGCTACTCAAGAGGCTGAGGCAGGAGAATTGCTTGAACCCGGGAGGCAGAGGTTGCAGTGAGCCGAGATCATGCCGTTGCACTCCAGCTTGGGCAACAGAACTAGACTGGACTCTGTCTCAAAAAAAAAAAAAAAAAAAAGCGCTTTCCAACTCCTTCTCCTGCAAATCCTGGATGTTTTGTTTTTTTACATTATGACAATCTGTAACTGTTCCTAATTAAGAGACACACATGCAGCAATCGCTTCAGCCTTTTGGTACTAAGGATTGTCCTGCTGTGGCATGCATGGGACAGGACTTCCTGAGACATCTCTGAGGCCACCTCACTAGGTCAGCTCACTCACCTGACTCCTTTGTCCTTTTGCCAAAGCAAGTCTCTAATGCCATCAAGTAGGGGATGGGCGCAGGAGGGGTTTGTGGACTCTCTGGACTATACCAACAGATTAGGCTATATCCATCTTTATGATAGGCCTATAGCTCAGAAGAAACCCAGCCTCCTCTGAAAAGTACATTAAGCTTATGTTGGATCTGTTTTTACTAATAACTGGTTAGACACTGTTCCCTAAGCAAAATGCCTCATGGAAGCTTTTATTCCTTTGATTTCTTTTTTATCTGACAGCAATTTTTTTTCCTAAAAGGAGCAGTTATTTTCTGTCCCCAAAGCCTATTCAGTTTCAGTTGTAGCGTGGGAGTGAATGAGAAATGTTATTTATTGCACAAACACTTCTATACAGAGTTGTACTTATTTAGATCGAGCTTATAGAGATATCCTCCTACATCTGGAAAATAAAAGGAAGTTTAGGGGTTTCAGGGGTTTTGAAGTAGACGCACCAAAAATGCTTATATGTTGTCTCCCAAATTGGCTTTCTAGAATAAATCTTCATATTGGCAAATTCATTTGTTTCATATTAACTCACGTAATATATTTTTATTTTTCTAGAGTTGGTTGAATGATGATAGAACTTTGATCCTTTGAAAATTCCTTCATAATGTATTTCCCAAATGTAGCACATAGTTATAATTAACAGGAATTTCATATATCTTGAAATTTTGCCTGAATGACTCAACACAAATTTAGTTTGGTGTTTTATATAAGCATATTTTGAATAATCTTTCAAGTCATGGCAGCTTGTTTAACTTCCAAAGAGGGAAGTTATCTATGTATGTATGCATATGCAGATGTATGTATGCATCTGTCTGTCTGTCTGTCTGTCTGTCTGTCTATCTATCTATCTATCTATCTATCTATCTATCTATCTATATCTATCTATCTATATCTATCTATCTATCTATCTATCTATCTATCTATCTATCTATGTATCTATCTATCTATCTATCTATCTATCTATCTATCTATCTATCTATGTATCTATCTATCTATCTATCTATCTATCTATCTATCTATCTATAGCAGAGGTTCTCAACCAGGGGCAATTTGACATTGTCTAGAGACAATTTTGGTTGGTGCAAAGTTGGTGGTGGGAGGGGGTGTTACTAGCTCTAGTAGGTACAGGCCGGGGATGCTGCTAATTTCATAGAATAGCCCAGAACACGGGATTATATGACTAAAATATCAATAGTGCTGAGCGTGAGCACTAAAAGCCCTGGTATGAATGTGTTCCTCCTACACCACTGAGAGGCAAGAGCTCCATGATTCAGTGGAATATGGACCTGCTGAGTCCGGGAAGGAGGGACCTGCTATTTAGAGCTGAGTCTATTTAGAGTAAAAGCCTCTTCAAGGAGTTAGCCTTCCATGGTAAGTTGCTTAAAAAAGCCCACGTCTCTGCATGAAGACTATGAATGCCCTTTCCTGTCACCTTACTGTAATGACAGTTTACAGTACCTTTAGTTTAAGAAAAAAGGTACTATGTTGTAGTCTGAAAATTATAAACCTCAAAAAATTACCTGTTCTCATTAAATGTTCTTTCCTAACATGACAAACATGTCATTTCAGCTCATCACCCTTGAACTACGTGTTCCATTTTAGCTGCTCATTCTCTATATGTGTCATTTCCCCTCTTCTCTAATTGTCGCTTTCCAAATCCCAAGGAAAGAGCATTTCAGACACTTGGGTTATTTTTCTCTTCCTTTCATTCAGGTGGCAAAGATGTTAGGGCTTCTAACATCAAGTCTGTTAAGATCAGAGTGGAGGGCATATTGTAAATAAAGGACAGTTGCGGTCACAAGCAGGTCTGGATGATGCCCTTCATCGGTAGCAGAAGGGGAATCTATGTTGGCTTAGATGTGCACGTTGAAAAACTATGTGTAAGAAAAGAATGTGCTCTTAGTCCCTAGTTGATTTGCACTCATTCTTGGAGATAATGACAGGGCAGTGCTCCAACCCATCTCCATGATGGCTTGCTGCTCTGTGACAGTGGACTTATCATTGATATGGCTCTGGGTGGCTGTTGGGTGCCAGGCATGGGTGTGAGTGCTTGGCACCATGCTTACTGCAGAGCTAGCATGTATTAAGGATTGATTGCCACTTCATCATCCTTCCCATTTTATCTTTATCATTGCTGATCTGTTTTGATGTGGGACTGTGATAATTTACCCGAACTGATATGGGTGCCCCAAACCTCCTTGCTTTTAACAGAATGAAATCACATCTAAAGCACCTCTAACAAGTGCTATTTTATTTTGAAATACATCATTTGATAACATTTCATATCTTAAGTCTCAGATCAGGAAGCTCAGAAAAGATAGGCTACTTCATCTTGTTACCTTTGGACTGGAGTTCTAAAGCAGACACCAGTTTTGCACACTGTAACTCCTTTTCAAAAGTGAAACTCATAGTTTTAATGTTATAATCCAGGGACAATGAGCATTTTCTCATCCATTGTCCATTACAGTGCTCTGTGCTTGGGCAGGGATTGTGGGCTGGCGGACAGATGAGCCTCTGGCTCTCTGTTTTCCTCCCTAGCCCATCCCCACCTTCATGCTCAGCATCTCTTATTCCTATAGAAGCTATACTCTTCCCTTGTCTTGATTTGCAGTGCCATTACCTGTTTCTCTGCCCAACCTGAATGTTTTGGTCAATGGGAATGTTGTAGAATTCCTTCCATTCTTAAGGACCTCAACCTTCTGCCTGCTCTGAAGTTCTTGGTCCTGGTGACTCTGTACTTGGCTTCCTTATATCAACTCCATGGTTGCTGCTTATCGATGCAATAGGCCTTACCTCATGCTTCTTGGTTCCTTTGCAAATTCATACATGCATAGAGCTGAGTATGCAGTTGTCACTCAGTAAATATTGAGTGGGTGAGAGACTCTAAACTCAGCTGGACCTTCAGGTTTCTGGTCAGGTTTATTCATATTGAGCCAACTTCCATGAAATTAACCCTTAATTTTTCTACTCTTCAATTTCAAAATTTCAATTATCATGTCTTTTCCTTCCTCCCCATTTGTTTGACTCAAAAAATACAGACAGTGAAATTTGATACACCCTCAAATCTATGTTTTATTTATCTTGAAATCTCACCATTTGTTCAGGTGGTAAGCACTCCTTTTTAAAGAAGGCCTCTTTCCTTTCTTTCACTTTCTTTCCTGGGACCCTAATAGCTTTTCCCCTCAGTTTTCTCTGGATTTTCTTCCAGTTCCTCTCTCTTTTATGTATTCATTTATTTATTATTATTATTTAGAGACAAAGTCTTGCTCTGTTGCCTAGGCAGGAATCCAGTGGCACATTCTTAGCTGTCTGCAGACTTGAGCTTCTGGACTAATGCAATCCTCCTGCTTCAGCCACCCAAGTAGCTAAG
Organism: Homo sapiens; assembly: GCF_000001405.40. Taxonomy (NCBI): domain Eukaryota; kingdom Metazoa; phylum Chordata; class Mammalia; order Primates; family Hominidae; genus Homo; species Homo sapiens. The sequence continues at coordinate 9,382,181 of NC_000005.10, read as the reverse complement.
ACTACAGACACACACAACTATGCCTGGCTAATTTTTAGTTTTATTTTTTGTAGAGACGAAATCTCATTATATTTCCCAGGTTGGTCTCGAACTCCTGACCTCAGGTGATCCACCCGCCTCAGCCTCCCAAAGTGCTAGGATTACAGGCATGAGCCACCATGCCTGGCCACGTGTCTGAAACTTGATGTGCGCGCGCGCGCACACACACACACACACACACACACACACACACACACACAAAATGATTCTAATCTCATCTAAACAAAATCCATCTGCTGTTTATCCTATTAAAATGAATGGCATCACTATCCTTGAAGTCACTTACATTATCTATCTTAAGTCCATCTGTGTCTCTTTGCTCTGTGTTCCCCAAATGTAGCAGATTATAACAACCACTCTTTTATTACATTTTGCATTTGTGGGGTCAGGAATCTGGGCAGGGTTCAACTGAGAGATTCTTTTGCTCTCATAGTATCTACTGAAATTACTCAATGGGTTTCAGCTTTACTCATGGCTGGAGAGTTGGGCTCATGTGTGACCCATCAACTATAGCACCTAAATGTGTTCTCTCTAGCATGGCCATCTCAGGGTAGTTGGACTTCTGACCTAGTGTCTCAGTGTCTTAAAGAATGTGTTCTAAGCTACAGGATGTAGCAACTGCCAGGCTTTTAGGTCCTGGGCTTGGAAACTAGCACAACATGACTTCTGTTGTATTAAAATGAGCAGAGCGAGCAGAGCAGTCACTGAGCCAACCCAGATTCCAGGTGGAGAACATAGATCCAGCTCTCAATGGGAGGAATGCCCGAATCTGTGGCCATCTCTAATTTGCCGTAGTTTCCATTACCCACAGTTATTGTGTACTATGTTTGCCTTTTGATTCACATTGAAACCCTCAAAGTCACTGCTTCATTTATTTCTCTTCTTAACAATTGTAATGGCTTCAAACTGACTTCTCCATTTCTATGTTCTCATCTGCCTAGTTTCCTAGGTACACTATTGTGATAATGGTCTTATTAATATTAATAAGATCTTCTAACATTAATGTACTATGGTAGCTTGTTGCCTGAAAATAAAGACCTCACACCTTAGTGTAGTTTGCCTTCCATATCTTAACCTACTCTGTAAGCTCTTCCCAATACTTCCCTTTAAACTTCCTAGATCGAGTACAGCACACCATTCCTAAAACATGTTGCGTACCTCTTCCTCTTGCCCCTCCAATGTGCCTTTTCATCCTCCTCCCTGGGGACGGAACGTCCTTCCAGAAACCTCCATCTGTTGAAATCCTCTTTATCCTCCAGCATTACACTCAGATTTGAGCCCCTGCATGGACCCGTCATAGATCCTTCTCTGTAGCAGTCGTATTCTCCCTTGACTCCCACAGCACTCCTGTTCTTTTTGAGGTTTGCTAACAGCTTGGATTATAGTTATTTTTACAGGCCTGTATTACTTTAATGCTTGTTAATCATTTAAATTGTTCATAATCTTTAAAGTTTCCAAGCATAGTACTTTTATTTCACCCAGTAGGTGCTCGATATAGATTTTATTTGATTCACACTTGATCTCTAGCCAGATATTTTGCAGGCAGATTATCTACAATTTTAAAAGGTTATCCTGCATCACTAAATACAGAATTTAGCAAATCGTGATGATTTTTTAAAGTTGGGCAGCATAATATTCATCAATTTATTAGTAAAAGACAATGGCTGTGGCCTTCTTAAAACTAAATATTTTAAATGTTAAAAAGGGATGGGCAGGTATTTGTAGGGTTTCCACATATAGACCTGTGTTTGCGCAAGGGGTTAGGACAGGTGACCAAGGGAAATCCGGCCAATCCCAACTATTAATCTGCATTCCTTAGGAGTGAGTGTGACGACAGTACAGCTTAAGCTTGAGCATTTCTCGTTTAAAACAAATGGGCTATGTCATGCAATTATTGGGAGAATGAGAGGTCTGTATTGAGATACACGCACTCACGCATGCATTCATACACACACACGACCTGGGATATGACTAGAAAAATATGCTGCTCTAAGCCCTCCAAGCTCTCCTCTATCTCCACAAAGTGTAACCTTAAAGTTAGTGAGGAAGTTTTACCAGAAGACCACCCACCAGAAAACGAACTCACAGTCATCTGATTCTTCTCTTTTGTGTGTTTTAGGCACTTTCCACACATGAGGAGAAGAAGAGCTTCTGTTTAGAAGACACGTGCCCAGAGTCAGAGGCCCCTTGCCCACCATGAAGGGAACCTGTGTTATAGCATGGCTGTTCTCAAGCCTGGGGCTGTGGAGACTCGCCCACCCAGAGGCCCAGGGTACGACTCAGTGCCAGAGAACCGAGCATCCAGTCATCTCCTATAAAGGTAAGGAACCAGCACGCACTGATTGCAAAGCCGTCATCTAAATGCACATTCTGTGTTTAGTGATAGAAGATAATAGAGCATCACGAATGCTGTATAATCCAGTGGCTCTTGTTTCAGACACAGTTTAAAATAAAGGTAAAACTACAAAAGCCTCTATCATTAGAATTTCATATCCAGAAACTGATTACCACCTCAAGAGGGATCTAAGACAGGGATTACCAAGGTAAAAAAATCTCATTATTTCTGGTCACCTTTATTTAACAGGTACTGTGGGCCTCCTAAGTGTTTGAACCAAAGGATAAAAATGTGACCATAAAAATAACAACAAAACCAAGGAAAGCCTAAAATTCTTCACTATGGCATTTCCCTGCAAAGCCTTAGTCTTGCCACAAACCTAGCCCTTTGTTTCTATCTAGCATTGCATGGCAGCAGAATTGATTTAATGTCCCAAGTATCTCTATGGATTGGTAGGATTAAATAATTAATCTGTATATCCACTCATTTATTCTTTCATTCATTGAAATTTATTTAAGGTCCTTCACACCCGGGGCACTCAAGCATTCAGAGTGGAAAAGAAAATAGACTCTATCTCTGTCCTCAAGGAATTATATTATCAGGCTAAATATGATGAATGAGACATTGTATTTCAGTAATTCATGCAACAAGTGGTTTTATATTTTGTTGTTTTTAAAACTTTGTATCAAACACTTTCAAATATCTATGGAAATAGAAAGAATAGTCTAAGGAGCACAAAAAAAGAAAGAATAGTCTAAGGAGCATGCAGCCCCACACTTATCAATTCATGGCCCATCCCCATCCTTTTTCATCTAAATTTCCACTCATGCTTCATCTCATACCCATTAAATTATTTTGGAGGAAATTAAAAAAAAATCAAATAATTTTATCCATCAGATTTCAGTTGATAATACTCAAAGATAAGGAATTCAGTACCATTATCACAGCAAACAAACAAACAAATAATAAATGATTTCATGACATCATCAAGCACCCAGAGGGCATTGAGAGATCTTTCATGGGTTCATAAATACTTCGGCATCTTTTGGCCAGTTAAGTCAAATCGAGATTTAAGTAAATTCCATGCACTGCCATTGGTTGGTATATTTCTTGAGTCTCTTTTAATATTTTACTTTTATTTCACACCCTTTGCAAATTACAGAAACCAAGTTCTTTGTCCTGGACAGTTTCCCACAGTCTGGAGTTTGCTCATCGCATTCTGATTGTGTGCTTCAAATATTCCTCTTTCCAAAGATGTCTGTAAATTCCTAGTAATCTCAAGACACCTGCTGAGATCCAGGTTTGGATCTTTTTGTCTTGACCGTGTCATGGGTAGTGCAGCGTATTTCCTTCAGGAGGCAGAGCATATCCAGCTGGGAAATGATCAGTCATTGATGATCACAGCCTCAATCTACTGATTCATCTGTGGGTACAAAACTGGGATTTTCTCATTTTATTATTTTGCTCATTTAATGGTTAGAATACTTCTATATAAACTATCTTTCCTTCATCAACTCTTTACGTATCCTGAAGGTACACCTTATGCAGGAAAGGCAAAATAAATGTTCCCCGCCCCCCATCAATTTATACTTTTATTTTTTTTTAAATACACAAGTAGGTTGGTTCTTTAACATCCCACAGGTCATTCATTTGTCATCCAAAGGGGATGAATAAGATGTTATGTTTGCCTTTTTCTTATTTTGATTATTATAATTATTATTAATACATGAATTTCAACATATTTGATGTATTTTAATCCATGTAGTTTACATCCTTGTACATGGTGAAATTATAGCATTTTAAGCCCAGTGTAGCCTCTTGAGAGCAGCTTCTGGACTCTTCTGACTCCATCCAAGTCATCTTTGAGAGCTTCTTTACTCTCTGGGTTGACAAGATGTTCCTATTCCTTTTACTTATTTCCTTCCACAGACCTGGGAATCACTCATTTCTGTATGCTTTGAGCACCAAAGGTGCCCACAGGTCTTCTCAGTGGACAGTGCTAACAAAAGCATTTTTAAAACATACCATAAACTTCTCCTGATACTCCCAACTCATCTCCAGGACTCTAGGGTCTTTGTTAACCTTTCCCATCTTAGTGTCTATTTCTTCCTTGCACAAAATCTCAAGTCTCTGCTGACCAACCTAATTATTTCTTTGCCTTTTTTCTTTAGTACACAGTCATTTTAGAATAACAGCTTCATGCAAACCTAGTTGTTTTGGATTATTGAAAAATCTTTAAAATGACTTTTTTCTCTCTCTTTTTTTTTTGTCCTCGCGTATATATTTCACTGGAAAATTTTAGTGAAATTAGCAAAATTACTGCTTTAAAACCAGTAGAAATAATTTCTTTCTGCGTGGTTATGGCACCAACCCAAGACCCAGTTACTATCATTTGTTTAATTATTGAAGCAAAAGGTGTTCAAAGGAATCTAGCTTTGCTTCCTGTTTTCTTGATCCTATTCCAGAGCTCTTTCTGCATTTAGCTATTTACCTATATTTTATGGGTTAGGCTACTTTTGTAATAGAAGCAAAGCAACACACACACATACAAATATATATTTATGTTCTCTTTCCTTAGATGAAAGGTGGCAATTATATAGACTTGTTTCTGTGTAACATTATTTTAACCTAATGATATATGCTGGAGCCTACTCTCTAGAAGAGTGTAGAGATTGATGTCATTCTTTTTTTTTTTTTTTTCGGTAGCTACATAGCTTCCACTATGTGATGAGCCCTAACCTAATCAAAAACACCTTACTGAGAGATGCTTAGGTTATTTTCTGCCATTTGTGACCATGGATAGTGTTTCAGTGAGTAATGCCTCCTGTAAACATTATGTAATATTTTTGCAAGTGTACCGTTGAAAGAGATTATTCGAATTGGGATTTCTGGGCCAAAGGGTGAATGCATATGTCGTTTTGTAAATGTTGCCCAATTCTCTTTCATAGAGGTTGCACCACTTTGCATTCTAGTTGCCCTGGATATGAATACCTATTTCTCTGCCGCCTTTCCTGCAGAGTACACCGTCAGGCTTTGGGATTTGGACCAAACTCAGTGCATAAATGGCATCTCAGTGTATTTTTATTTGCATGTTTTTAATTCGGAGTGAACCTTCAATGAACATTTAAGAGAAGCCTGTTGTGTACAGGGTTTTTACTAGATATTGAGGAGATCAAGAAGATGCTCAGTTCCTGTTAAAAGGGTTTAGACTATTTTTAGGAATGTGAACCAAAAGGGCCATTGCGTAATATTCTGTGAAGGGTCCTAACAGGTGCCTGTGTTGGGTGCTGCAGAGCCTAGGAGAGGGGCTCTAAGCCCACATCCTGGGCTGTAGGACGGTGGTTGAAAAAGGTTTCTAGGATGAAGCCATGCCAGAACTGCATCCCAAGTGATTGTTAGAAGGTGTTTACAAAACTTATGAAAGGAGAGGTTTCCAGGGAGAGGAAAAGAGCAAGTGATAAGCCCTGAAGTGAGAGAGGGAGCATTGCGGGTCCTGGCAAGCCTCACGCACAGGAAGTCAGGACATCTTATTTTACGATATGGAGGAGGAGGTGGAGGGCATGAGGCTCACATGGCAAGTGGGGATTCGGAGGTGCCTGGCATTGGAAGTCATCTGAATAAGTTTATCCTTTATCTGGAGGATGACAAAATGCCGGCAGGGACAGCCCATTCTGAGGCTGCTACTGAGACCAAAGGGAGGAGGAACTGCATTAAGGGAAGGGAGGCAGAAATGTAGAGAAGAAGTAGATTCTGGAAATTGGAAAGGAGTGTGGTTGAGGATTCAGTAGATGTAGAGCAGGAATGAGAAGGAAGCCCTGACTGCAATCCCCACATTCTTGGCTGTTGATTCCATATAGAATCAAGAAGAGAAAGCAGATAAGAGGGGTGTGGTGATTTTAGATGGAAAAGGCTGAGTTCCTGTGAGCCACCAGATGGAATTATCTAGTTGAGGGCAAGCCTTTCTGAGAACCAAGAATGGGGATATTTTCAAGAAGGCTATGTCCAGCAGAGCGTCAGATACTGCAGAGTGTTCAAGGCAGGTGTATGCCAGAAGGAAGAGTGACACACTTGTCCTGGTCTTCCTGGGACTTTCCTGGTTGCTTCTGTTCTGGGAAAGCCAGGACAATTCGTCACTTTCTGAGAAATTCTGTCAGCAGTACTGTATTAGCTGCTTAGGGCTGCTGTAACAAATTACTGCACACTAGATGGCTTAAAACAACCTAATTGTCTCTTCTTACAGTTCTGGAGGCCAGAAGTCCAAAATTACGGTGTTTGCAGGTCTGTGTTCTCTCTGAAGTCTCTAGAGAAGAACCGATCTCTGCTTCCTCCTAGCTTCTCATGATTGTCAGCAATGTTTGGCATTCCTTTGCTCATGGACACATCACTCCAGTCTCTTAGTCTGTAGTCTCATGGTATCCTCCCTCTGTGTCCCTGCCTTTTTGTCTTCTCTTTTTATAAGGACATAAGTCATGTTGAACTTAGGGCTAACCTTAATCCAGTACGACCTCATCTTAAACAATTTGTCTGCAAAGGTGCCGTTTCCAAATACGGTCACATTCAGAGGTACCTGTGGTTAGGACTTCAGTATATCTTTTGGGAGGACACATAAAAGGCAGCATTTATCGGAGCAGTTTCAGTGCAGGGTTGGGGGAAGAAACCAGATGGTGATATGTGTGGGGATATATCAAAGGTTAGGGACTAGATGATAGATATAAAAGGAGAGAATTCATGTCAGTCATGCAAGGACATAAGGGGCAGGGAACAGCTTTTCAAAGAGCATGACTTAACCATCCTCAAATGGCGATGGGAAGGAATGAGGTGAAGGAAGAGGCTAAAGAGAGAGAAGAGAGGGGAGATGATTGTTTAAGCAGAGACCCCGGTGCTGTAGGAGGGCACAGCAACTGGGAACAGGTGCCCAGTAAAGTTATAGGAAGCCAACTCCACCTCCAGTGAGCCTGGAGGGCAGGAGGCCAAAGCACCCAGGATGCAGGAAAGCTTGTGGGTGGGGGTGGGTGCGGGAGAGGAAGGAGTTCCTGAAGATCTCTGTCTTGGCTGAAGAGGGGTAGGCAGGCCCCAGGCCAAGAGTACAGGGCCTTAGAAAGGAAGTGCTTCTCTGAGGAGGGAATAAAACTATTTTTCTCTCTCTCTGTCACACACACACACACACACACACACACACACACACGATGTCTTGTGATGTTATGCACCCAGTCAGGCCTTGAAATGGCTCATGTTACAGCTGAACAAGTGGTCTCTGCGACTCCCCGTGAACGCTTTTTTGTAAGGCACCATTCCAAGAAACTTTGAGAAAGTAGGATGAAACACTGACTAAGGGGAAATAAAGGGAGAACCGGATAATCTTGACTTAAAATCCTGATTTCCATGCAGATAGTATTATGCACTGGAGGCATTCTGCATAGGATGCTACTGATGAAGGACTGGATGGTAACGGAACGTCTTCATGCAACTTAGCATGTTCTGTCAGAGTCTTGATCTGATTTACCTGGCTAGGCAGAAGATGCTGGTAGAATCTTTTTTTTTTTCCAGCCTCTGTGAAATATTTGCCACTGCAGGCTCCTCCTGTCTAGTGGAGTTCATTGCATAACACGCTTTAACAGCTTGCTATGTTTGCAAGGTTACTTGCCTGACTCTGTGTTCTGGAATATTTAGCCCTGATTGTGCAGTGGCTGCTAAAACACCCTGACCCATTACAGATGCACCGTTCACACATATGTCCTTGTCATTTGTTTAAATGTCTATTCCAATAAAGAGGGGAAAAATAGTGACCCTTCAAGACAGCATGTTTCTCAGCATGCTTACTGAGTCTCAAAACCATCTCTGAAATTAGTTTTAAATGTTTAATGTCTACTTAAGGCAATGTGCCATATTCTGCTTTTGTTTGTTTATTGATTAAAGTTTACTCAGTATGCTGGCTATTTAGAGAGCATGCTCCTGTTATAGGAATTGGTTTGTGGGAAGCAATTTCACATTATTCACAAAGAAAGACCACCAGTGATGTGAGTCATGCTGTACTTTGCGTGGGTCCTTCATATGACTGATTTGGAGGCCTTTCTTCAGGGTGTTAGCTGGCAGCATTTAGCATTAATGCCTAAGATTACTCCTGCCTGCAGAATCAGGCAGGGCCCTATTGATTTCCATTCCCAGGTCCCAGCGATCTTTATCTTTAACTCCTTAATGTTCCTGTAGAGTGTCCTCCTACTTATGGGTTTATTGATTGGCCTGAGAATTGTTCTGAAACTTAAGCAAGAGCTGCATGGACTCGTGATAGAGGATTTGCAACATTTAGCTCCAGTGGCTTGGGAAGGGCATGGAGGGAATTGAGATGACTGCTCCAGCTTGGGCCATCACCGGGACTGGGCTAGGGGGTTGCACTTGGTTTTCTGCTGCTTCCCTAAGGAACTTGGGTTTTAACAGCTGCCTTTATCCCCATATGTAGTCTTAGATGATTGAAAAAACAGTGACTGAAAGTGACCAATTAGGATTTTAAACTTGGGTTTTATTCCCATATCACAGTATGAATGATTATTTTTCATGGATCCTATATTTTCCTTTCAAAACATATCATTATATTACATTATATTTATGTGTGTGTTGCATGCATTGCTTTGTTAAATTTTGACAGGAAGAATATCTGACATGTTTTGTAACTCTGAGTTGGCTCTTTCTCGTATTCACTCACTGTGCCCCCAGCCCCTCTCCTAGTCTAAGAAGCTCTTTCTGCCCTTCTCTAATGTGGCCATGTGCATATTACATGTTGTCATCATAACTGCCCTTCTTGCCTGTTTTCTGGCCTCCTGTCACTCTTCCCTTGACCCCGTGCTGTCTTGTGGGCCACTGGCATTGCTCAGCCTGCCACCTGCTCCTCCTGCGGCTGGAGAAGGCGTAACACGGACAGTGTCAAGGTACAACAAACTGTAACCTCTCAGAAAATGAAGGCATGCTGGATGAGTGAAGGAGATGTTTCTGTGCTAGGCTCCATGTGTGTCCACAGGTCCATGTGTGTGACATGGCTCCGTGCATGTGTGTCTCATGGCTCTATGCATATCCATGTCTCCCTCTATGTGCCATCTAAGTGCCTCCCATGGCTGCACGTGTGTGACATGGCTCCATGCATGTGTGTCTCATGGCTCCATGCATGTGCCATGGCACTATGTGTCTCCCACAGCTACATGCATGTCTCATGGCTCCATGCTTGTCTATGGTTCCATGTGTGTCCCACAGCTCCAGGCATATCCATGTCTTTATGTGTGTCCATGTATCCATGCATATCCCATCCCTCCATGTGTGTCCACAGTTCTAGGCATGTTCACAACTCCATGTATGTATGTCCCATGGCTCCATGTGTGTCCCATGGTTCCACACATATCCCATGGTTCCATGCACGTCCACATCTCCTTGCATGCCGCATGGCTCCACGCGTGTCCCACAGTTCCATGCGTGTCCCATGGCTCCATGCGTGTCTCATGATGCTCTGTTTCTTCTCTGGGATTTGGCTGTCTGGTGTCTAATGCACCAAGCAGTTGTGTGGAGTCATGGTACTGGCTGAGTTTAGCCTCTTCATTAGGATACAGCAACCTCATTGCCACAGGACAGGCTGCAGTAGAGGATTCCTCGAGTCCCTGTGAGATTCCAGAGGTTTCTGAGTCTGAATATATAAATCTTGGGTAAAACTGCTTCCAGTATTTCTCTCTGTTCATCTAGTCTCAGATCTACCACTGTGACCTTTAGAAATCATAAATGTGTGTGATTGCATGATAATGTCCTACTTTCTCCAAGGAGGAATTAAGAACATTTATTTTAATTAGAAATAGATAGCATGACATTAATTTTAATACTTAGTTTTAACATTTTCATATGAATCTGATTAACATATAGGAAGACACTGCTAACTGTTGAAAACTGTCTTGAACTCAACATTTTCTCTGTAAACTAAAATTTACATAAACCAAGTGTGATCTTCACTTGTTTCAGAATAGGATATGACTTATCCTCTTAAGAGTTTACTTGGGGAGGAAACGTGCTGTTATGGATCCTTAAATATCCTTTGTTCCATGAATAATTTGTCTTTTCATTATCATGCATATGACTGGATGTTTTATGTGATGTAATGTCAAAATCACATTGGCAAAATATTTTAATCTATTTGCAAAGGAACCAGCTAAGGTATAACCACATTGCCTGCTTTTTACATTACAAAATGCATTTTGGGATACATTTCTGATTTTAAAATATATTGTCAGTTTTCTATCTGGAGAAATGAAATATTTTTAAAAAACCACTTTTCAATTCTATAATCTAGGTATGTAATAATTATTCATGAGTGCACAGAGATGTTAGGAGAAAATGCAGCATGTAACCACTATAAGTTATTAACAAAGAGAATTGGTTCTAATACTTAGACTGGACTTTAATGTTGTTATTGATCTTTGGCTGATGAGACCTGAGAGGGTCCCTGTTGTGCATTTTTATAAGCAATAATTAGACTGACGAAAATGGTTTATTGAGTTTTGAAAATTATTAATAACTTTCATGTTACTTTTGCGTTCTAGGGCCACTAATTAAATAATTTATAAGATTGAATATTTATATTTTATCTTCAGGTAAAATTTCAATTGTTTTTTGGTTGATTTATCTCAATAGGGAGATAGTTTTTATTATTTTAAGTCTTTGAGTGGATTGCTTGTAAGTAAAGTTGTGCAATTTGATTGAGTTAAAACTGGGAATAAGGATTTGTAAAGTTACTGTTAGAATTCTGATTTAAAATAGTGTTTCCATTTGGCCTCAAATGGTACGTTATTGTATTTTATCTATCTTTAAGTATATTATAATCTTTCTAAGCATTAAATGGGCAATTCATCTGTTTGTCATACTGAAGGTAGATAAAAATCCTTATTTTATGTACAGAGGAAGAGTTGGAGATTAAATGTGGGGTGAGTAAAGTTTTAATTAGGCAGTATCTTTCTTGGATTATGTCCTCCTTTCTTCTCTTTATATCAGCACAAGGTAAGCCACCTTGGTTACATTTGGGAGACAAAGCTTATGCCATCTCCAGTGGATAGCAGTGGTGATGTCTCTCTGTTACCAACAAAACAACAGAAAAAGACTGCATGAAGGTTTCCAAATCTTATTTACTTTGGTTTTTAATTTAATCAACACTTTAAATTTGTATTTTCTTGAATCTTTTTTATTATTGACTAAAGAGAGGCTGGGAGGTAATCTCTAGCTTTATTCTTTAATTTCTCTTTTGCTCTCCCAATTCCTTCATATGACTCAGGGGCAAGTCTAATCACACATGTTCCATGAGTGAGAAAGTGTTCTTATTCATGATTAAGAGCCTGCCAGACTCATGCTGTCATCCACAGTGATGTTGTGTGCTAAAGCACCAAAATGAATGGATTCCTCTAATCCCCAGTGTAAAAAGTCGGGGTAACACTATTTGACCCATCCTACCTTGAAAATATGTCTGGGTGTGCCTTAGAGAGGCTGCAAACCCTGCTAACTAAAATCAATGAAGCAAGACCCTGACGCCAGGAACGGCTGAGCAGAGTGCTCATGGCAGCTCTCAGAAGGTGATTAACGGTTGTCATTCTCATTTGTATGTTTGATTTTTTGTGCCACTCAATTCTCTGGCTTCAGCACAGAGAATTACTTGTTTAAAGATGAAAGCAGAGGCCCAGTTCATTAATAATTCAGTCAATATTTATTGAGTGCTTATTATGTGCCAGAAATTGTTTTAGTTACTAGGGTTACCCCAGGAAGTAAAACAGAAATAAATCCTGGCCCACACTGAGTTTACATTTTATTAGGAGAGTCAGACAATAATAAGATATAGACATGTAGTAGAATTGGTTACATAGTGATAAGGGTTGAGGAAAAATATAAGGCAGGGAATGGGTTAAGTGAAGGAAGGGGTTCATCTAATCACACATGTTCCATCAGCGATGGAACTTTCATAATGATAACCAGGTATGCCTCTAAGCTCCTGCACTGCCATTTTTTTTTTTTTGGTTTGTTCTGCAGGGAAATGTTGGAAGACCTACACTACAAGAACTCAAAACAATGATGTAATTGCATGAGGAAAACTATAAGGCAATGAACAGAAAGCAGAGATCAGAAATAGGCCCACATATACATATATATTGTCAATTAACTTTTAGTGAAGAGGCTATGGTAAATCAATGAGAAAATAGTAGTCTTCAACAAGTGGTACTGGAAAAATGGTATATCTCTCTGCAAAAAGTAAACTCTAAATATTGCTTCACACAATATACAACAATTACCTGATAGGGATGACAGACCTAAGGTTAAGAGCAAAAATTTAAAAACCTCTGGAAGAAAACATATAAGAAATATTTCCAAAACTTTGAATTAGGAAAGATTTTTTAGCTAGAATATGAAAAGCACATACCAGAAAATTTGATAAATTGGACCACATTCAAATGAAAAGCATTTTCTCTTCGAAGACACCATTAAGAAAATGGATAAGCAAGCCATACACTGTGTGGGAATATTTGCAAAATATTTGACATACATACACACACACACAGAGATACACATATTTACCATATATATATGTGGTCTTGTGTCCAGCATATATAAAGTCTTACAACTTAAGAAAACAATCTAATTTTTAAAAATGGACTAGCAATTTAGACATAACTGCATAGTGAGATACCTCCACACACACTGCAGACTGACTAAAATTAGAAAGGCTGACAATACCAAGTGTTGGCAAGGATATGGCACAACTGGACCTCTTGTTTTGTTGTTAATAATGCAGGATGATGATGCATAATGATTCAGCCACTTGGGAAATGTGACATTTCTTCAAAAGTTAAACATATACTTACAATAAGTCCCAGAAAATTCACTCCTAGGTATTTTCCCAACAGTAACATAATATTGAATAATGTCTACAGAAAGATTTGTATCCAAGGGTTTATAGAAGCTTTATTCTTAAAAACTCCAAACTGGAAACAACCCAAAAGTTCATCAATGGAAATGAATAAATTAATTATGTAAAATGGAGAACTACTGGGCAATAAAAAGGAAACAAACTACAAATACAGATAGCAAGCTAGATGAAATCTCAGAGTATCATGCTAAATGAAAGAGTCTAGATACAAAAGAATATGTATTCATTATCTCATTATGTGACATTCTGTGGAAGATAGAATTGTAGCAGCAGAATACCTATTAATGGCTGCCTGGATATAGGGTCAAGGAAGAAATTGACTGCAAGGTGTACGAGAGATTTTTTGAGTTGCTGCAAATATTCTATATCAAGATGAAGAGGTGGTGACAGGTTTTATACATTTGTTAAAAGTCATTAAATTTTACATTTAAATGAGTAAATATTATTCTACCTAAATAATACCTCTATGAAACCAATTTTTGAAATTACGTTAGTCCCAACTCAAATGAGGATGCATAAACTTGTCGAGAGTGTCAAATCCAGTAATCATATTGCTTTAGAAATAGCCTGAGTTTGTTAGGATACAATGCCACATATTTTTGGGCATCACGTCCAAGCATTATGTGAGAACTTTACAATGTGAAAGATAATTCTGAATAATGTGTTATGTAACATTTAATAAGACCTAGGTGTGTGTATGTGTGTGTACATGTTTCAGCAAATTACTTGAAATCCAAGATTATCTTTAATGAAAACCCACCATAGACTGTGACTTAGTTCATTTTGCATTACTGTAAAGGAATATCTGAGAGTGGGTAATTTATAAAGACAAGAGGTTTATTTGACTAACAGTTCTGCAGGCTGTACAAGCATGGCACCAACATCTACTTGACTTCTGGTGAGGCCTCAGAAAGCTTTTACTCATGGCAGAAGGAGAAGGGGGTATGGGCATATCACATGCCAAGAGCGGGAGCAAGAGAGACAGGGCAGATGTCCCAGACTCTTTTTTAACAACCAGATGTTACATGAACTCATTTCGGCAAAGAGGGCCCCAAATCATTCATGAGGGATCTTCCCCCATTCTCCAAGCACAGCCCACTAGGCCCCACCCTCAACATTGGGGACCACATGCCAACATGAGATTTGGAGAGAAGAAACAACCAGACTATATCAGACTGTTTTATCAGTAAAGTTTTCCTCACAAAGTTATTTTAAGGGCTAAGTTCATGTTAACTTGGCATAAGAAAGTTAATTTATTTAACTCCCAAAGGCAGTCTGGAGGAAAATTTCTGAGTATACCACTTTCAGAGGTGCCATCACATTTGAGAATTGTTGATTTTCAGATTGCTTTTGAATTTAAGTGATAAAAATACTTTTTGGAATAATAGATATTATATTAACCATGGAGAGGAAATAAGAGAGATACATATTTAGCCTGAGTAGCTTTTGTAGTAATGCATGCAATTCTTCTTTTACCTTTTCAGGGTGAGTTTTCTATAGGTGATCCTTCCTTTCTTCCTGTTCCTACAATTAGAAACAGAACAATAAGAGAACTCATGGCTATAAAGCAGTGCTGGCCAATAGAACTTTCTATGATGATAGAAATGCTCATATTCTGTATTGACAAATATGGTAGCCATTAGCCATGTGTAGCTGTTGAGGATTGAAATGTTACTTCTAAAGTAATACGTTTTAATTGTATTTAATTTTAATTAGTTAAATTAAAATGTAGTCATTTATTGCCAGTGTCTACTATATTGGATAGCATAATTATAGACCTTTGCCTTCCAGCATCACTTAACGAAGATCGATGTAGGCTGTTCTGCTCAGAGACTCATGTGCCTTGGCCTCCTCTCTGAGTCAATTTTTTGGAAAGCATCATGGTTCATGTTTAAAGAATACCAGACTAGGAAAGGAAACCTGTGCAATTGTTGTGAATCTGCTGTTAACTGCTTCTCTGATGTATAGAAAATCTATTGTGTTCCATTTTCATCTCAATTTCTTCAAGTGAAAAATGAGCCCATAGGGCTACTATATCTAAGGTTCCTACCACATTGATTCTATTGCTCTTGAAACTAGGGAAATAAGGGAACATAAGGGACATTTGGGACATTCTTTATCTCTTCAGGAAAATTCCCTCCTTTCTTCATCCTCAAACAACAACACAATAGAATTCTTTATTGTGGCTGGGAGCGGTGGCTCACGCCTGTAATCCCAGCACTTTGGGAGGCTAAGGCGGACGGATCATGAGGTCAGGAGATGGAGACCGTCCTAGCTAACACGGTGAAACCCCGTCTTTACTAAAAATACAAAAACTTAGCTGGGCGTGGTGGTGGGCACCTGTAGTCCCAGCGACTTGGGAAGCTGACGCAGGAGAATGGCGTGAACCCGGGAGGCAGAGCTTGCAGTGAGCCGAGATCGCACCACTGCACTTCAGCCTGGGCGACAGAGCGAGACTCCATCTAAAAAAAAAAAAAAAGAATTCTTTATTGCAGGAGCAAAATAAAAATGGAGATTTCTGTTGACATTATTGACACTGGCATTTTTGTCACAAATATTTAGTAGGAAAAAATCAGTATATTTTATTTGAATGATGGTTTGACCTCCAATTTGCATACATTTCCACAATTAATTGCCATATAAAGAGATTACAGCCATATTCCAATTGAGAATTTGCACTGCTTCACTACCTAGAAGCAAATGATTCAGAGATGAAATATTAACATACATGTTTTAAGTCATCAGTGCAGTAAAGTTTAGAAACCCTTACCCCGAAAGCTCACTGGCTATTAAGCTAGAATATCCATTAGAAATATTTTGACTTCAGGTAATAGATAGTTAGTCTAATTGTGGTTTATATCATAAGGATGTTCATTGTCTCCTAACTAGATGCAAAGAGTAAGCAGTGCAGGGCTGGTTCAGAGCTCAACAGTGGCAGCAAGGACCCAAGTGCTGTCATTTTGCTCAATAATCCTCACGGGGTTGGCTCTTGCCCTTGGTTTTTATTTCATGTTAGGATGGCTGCTGGCAGTGTTCAGAGACAGGCAGTAGTGGGAGGGTGGGGGCAACCAGCTTCTTTGCTCTCTGCTTAGTATCAGAAATCAACAACAAAAGCCAAATCTTACATGAAGCCATGTGCAGAATTGTTTGCATATGAATGGCCAGAGCTATTTGTGTGGCTGCCTCTAGGTGTAATTGAAAAGGAAGTGTCTGGCAAGGGAGAATGGAAAAAAACCACCATTTATGTCCTGAGTCCAGCAGGCCTGGGACCAGGATTAGGTGAGTGAGGAACTCATCTTGGGTACACTATTTAAATGGTGCTGAAACACTCAGTAATCAAGATAAATAATATACTAATGCAATATTTTAAAAAGCTATCTGAATGCAAAAAAATCAAGCAATGATGAACAGCACTCTAGATTTTAAATAAAGACAGGATCAGTACAGTCTCCTGCCGAGCCCCATTGGGGCTCCAGGGTCTTTATTCAAAATGTTGATGGTTTGCTCCTCCTGGATTTTTGCATTAATCTAGACCTTGAAAAATATTATATTAAAATATTATTTATCTTGATTACTGAAATTTTTTGATCCCCTGAAATTTTACACTCCAAATGAGGTACTTACTAGCCTTGCCCTTGCTCCAGCCCTGGTTGTTTAACAAAATCAGGTTCTGTTAGCAAGGAAGATCCGTACTACGGTAGTTTAGCTTTCTCCTCAGCTGTGTTGTCAGTTCTGTATATTTTCTAATGCATCTGCCCACAGAAATGGGTATCCTTATATATGTGTTGTGGAATATGTCTGTCTCCCCTGTGATAAAACCCTGGTGAGTAAATAAAATGTATACTCCACCTTGTGCTTTACATAAGGGCTCTTTCTGAACAATGAGTACTCAATACATGTTTTATTAAATAGCTGAACAGAAACTCTTTTGACAAGAAACAGAAAACTCAACCCTTGCAAATTATTCCCAATCAATTCTGAGATACAAAGAAGAAAATAAATAATTCCTCATTTTAATATATTTTTTGTATTTTAGAAGACATTGAATGACTCGAAATTCAAAAATATGAGTCACAACAAGTTTGGGAGAATGGAAGGATCTGTTGGTGCTTTTTATGACTTTTGAGATGAACAATGGGAATTTGACTCTCTTTAGGAATAGCTAAGTATGTTTTCAAATAACTCACGTTATAAAATTGTAGAAATTATAATTAAAAATTATGAAAGCTGGTGCACAATAATTTGTCCTTCTTATAATTTTAATCTAACTATGTCTTTGGTCTGATTAAATAATATTTGATATTGATAAGCTGTTTATTTGAAACCTCTTAAGCTTTTTTCTCCTCA
Source organism: Homo sapiens (assembly GCF_000001405.40). Taxonomy (NCBI): domain Eukaryota; kingdom Metazoa; phylum Chordata; class Mammalia; order Primates; family Hominidae; genus Homo; species Homo sapiens. The sequence continues at coordinate 9,364,524 of NC_000005.10, read as the reverse complement.
AGGAGCATGATAAAAGCAAGCCATCTCTCATTGGGAAAAGCTTTAAAATCCTATTAGGATGTTCCTTGTGAATAAAAGCTATGCTCCTTCAGTGAAAATATTAGATGAAAAGAATTTCATCTAGACCTGTGAAGCCTGACTAATATAGATATGTAGTAGGAATTACATTCAGGGCTATAAAATAAGTTTGTATTAAGGGCCAAAGGCATTATTCACACCATTTATAAGATATAGTTCTTCACTCTCAAAGGTGTCTGCACAAAATTGTTCAATGTCTTCTCTGATTTAATTCAGATTTTGAAAGCTCTTAAGGGCAATCTTTGGAATTTAGAGAGAATAAAGAAAGAACATATGAAAATAATAAATTTACATGGTTGTTAAAGATGCCTGCTATAAGAAAAATTAACTTAGCAAGGAAAGAAAGAGTGGGAAGATTATAGTGAACTTTGCATGTGTTTATCATTACTATACTTATTTAAGACTTCCCCTTCCTTCTGAGCCAAATTTGAGCACCCCAGGTTTCTTCAGCAACATTTTTTAAAGGAGCTAATGAAATACTGTGCTTCTCCCATGAACATCCTGCCTCATCGCCTGCCTACTTCCATATGCCCCATGTTTTCTGGCCACTTGAAATGCCTTTTTATTTTATTTTTCTTTGATTTAGTCATGCCATTCCATGAATTGAAAATAGTTTTTGCTACAACTGAGCAACTGACCCTTGGCAGCTCTGAGTCTCTTGACAGAACCGTGTAACTGATGTTTAGGGGAGGCAAGAAATATAGTTGGATAATATTCCATCTGTGGTATGTTTTGTAATTCTCAAAGCCTCCAGTTTCCTTTACCTCCATAACTATGTGGAGCTTCGGTTGATATCACCAAGAATTTCACACTCCAAGTGAGAGAAGGATATCTCCCAAAGGATGTGTAATTCTATTATGCTGCAATGCTCTTTCTGTGACTTCAAGCCAAGTGAAAACATTTGCTAGTTCTGGAGGTACTTTTCAGCCAGTCTCACCATGTGACCTTCTAGAACTTCTCTCACTCAGGCAATTTGCTTTTGACCCATTCCTACCCCACCATGTAATTATGACCCCCCCTTACCTACTGCAGGAGGTGGGGGTAGCAGCCATTCACTGTTTTAAGTGTAGATCCAGTATGTGGCCACATCTGCCTCCCTGCTCTGTTTGTTCTTTTCTTCTGTAGAACATTAAATGATTAGTGTGCATGGTTCAGGCAGGAACCATCTTCAGATGGAGTAAAACAGAAAAGATTATATCAGCGCTTTGCAGTGATTTCCTGTGTGCTATATTTGGTTATGAACAGATTAGAAAGACTTATGCCTTTTATAGTCTGAGACCAAACTCCTCTGGCCACATAACCACACAAAGTAATATCCGAAGAACCTAGGATGGTTATAAGATCTCATGAACAATTCTGCTTTTTTGAAATGTACTTTAGAGTCCTGGAATCTTTAATTAATGGATTTTCCTGACCCTATTCAAAGAAATAAACTCAAAAGTAAAAAGTAAGACGCATTACAAATATTATGCTGAGGTGAGGCAGTCGCTGAGAAATCCTGAACACTCCCTAGGAGCCAGGTGTGGTGCTGAATGGTTTCAGCCAGTCTGTTGTTTCTCATTTGTGCATTTGCAGATAGACACTTTTGCACATAAAAAAATGAAACTTGTAGTTGAAGACTAAAGAGTTTCTGCTTTCAACTCAGCTCCTAACCATAGAAATCATCTTACATTTGATATTCATCTAGACATGAGAGCATACTACAGAGTTTGGGAAGTGTGTGGGCTGGGTTTCAAAACCATGGGGGCAAGTACATTAACTGTGTTCACTCGGGTTTTCATATCCTCTTTTTTTGGGATATAATTAATGGTTAAATAGTAGTTTAAATTATATTTTTAAATGCAGGTGTAAAATTGAAAGGACGGACTTAAAACTACCTATCTTCCCTTAAGATTTAAAATGTTCATATTTATCAGCATGAAAACATTGGAATCGCATTCAAACTAAGTGTCTCTGCCCTCGTAGGGTAGTATTTCTAGTTACTCTGGAATTGAGGTGAAAACATACAGAAGATAGTTCTTTTGTAAGATTTCCAGCAAAACAGTAGGCCGAGTTGATGGTTGAAATCTCTTACCCTCATATAATGGCATTTAAAAAATAGCGTCCCCAAAGCAAGAAAGGGACAGTTCCAGGGGACAGAAATAAAAAAGAGAGGTCAAGTCTGGAATCCTCAGTAGGAACCCAAGTTGAAATGCCTCTGGGGGCTGGGGCTTATAAACATGCTCAGGGATGGGAGAAGCAGGTGAGGCTTGAGCCTGATGAGCAGGGAGGCCAGAAACTGAATCCGGAAGCTACAGTGAGCTGTTCTACCTGCAAAAGGAAAACGCAAAAGAACCGCAGATTCACCCCCCAAGACGAGAAGAGGAAGATGGCTGTGGGTGGACATTGTCTCATGAAGACGAAACTGGGGCCTCAAGCCTGCTTTCTAGGTTCCCACGAGGTACCCAAATAAGAACCTTCCTTGCCAGCAGGGGCCTTAACACCAAATCTTCGAGTTTGAGAGCGCCCTCTAGTGTTCATGCCCATGGCAGTGTTCTCAGTTCTGGATTTGGGGCTCTTGTAAACACAGCTTCTTGGTGATGGTGAACTCAAGTCAAAGGGTACCCACTAATGAAACAATGAATGGAACTAAGCGCATCAGCAGAACAATCAGTGACAGAATTTGGACCCTAGATCCGCAAAATAGACCAACTCCCAACAGACTTGAAAGTGTTTAAAGAGATACATAGGTAAAGAGCAATTACTTTTGCACCAACCTAGTAGCATCAATATGGTCAGAGCAAAAGATCATGATGTGGATGAGACAGAGTATAGACGTAGTGAGAAAGAGCATTATGAGGTGGATGAAAATGCTGAGGAAATCTCTTAGAAGGTGATGCATAGGGAGGAACAGATTAACTCACATTTAAACCCAGAGTAAGACATTTATTAAGTATTTATCTAGAACTCACAACATATAAAAATATATGTGACTCAGTCCTACCTCACAGAAAAAATGGCGGTAATGCTGGTATAATTTTCATCACTTTCCCTCCTTTCTGTATAACAGAACCATGTCTTTGTCTTATTTTTAAGGAAGAAAGTATGTGATGCTGCATAGAATTGAGTTTTTGTTGTTGTTGTTGTTTGCAATTTTTTTTTTTTTTTTGAGACAGAGTCTCGCTTTGTTGCCCAGGCTGGAGTGCAGTGGCATGATCTTGCCTCACTGCAACCTCTGCCTCCTGGGTTCAAGTGATTCTCGTGCCACAGCCTCCCGAGTAGCTGGGATTACAGGCGCCCACCAACTTGCCCGGCTAATTTTCGTATTTTTAGTAGAGACAGCGTTTTACCATGTTGGCCAGGCTGGTCTCGAACTCTTGACCTCAGGTGGTCTGCCTGCCTCGGCCTCCCAAAGTGCTGGGATATCAGGCATGTGCCACTGCGCCTGGCCAGACTTGAGTTTTTAAAGGGCAAGATTTCTGTCTTATTTATTGTTATGCCCCTAAAAAATACTTTATAGATCTTGGTGGAGAGAATGACTATGTTTTTAATCCTTTGCTGTTAAAGAACTTAATACTCTCTCCCCTAGGATGAAGAAGATAGAAAATCAGGCATTCAAAAGATAAATCACAGACTGATAAAGAAAATTATAAAATGAAAAGAATCGTTTGTGTTTCTTGCTTTTCCTTAGAGTTCTAGTTTTCTTGCATGAATAATGTAAGTACTAATACATGGCTTCATGGATTTTTCAAGGATTCAGGAATGTGTATGTAAAATACCCACTGTGTTGCTCAGCCTAGTGCCGAGAATATTGTATGCACCCAGTGTGTCCTATTATGGGTGTCATTATTTTCATTGCAGTTTTATTATTTTCACCATCATCTGAAAAGGTATTTCCAAGAGTGTGTACTAAAGCTTCATTTCTTTTGTAAGCTATCGTGTTGTTTTAAAAAGCAAGGTACTGGACTTAATAAAAATTTATTTGCTTTGGGGGACACAATTGAGATAGTTCTTTCCTGCATCTCTATCTCATAATCTACTCTCTCTTTAGGGTAGTGTATATTTTCTCAATTATATGTATTTTGAAAAACACCTTTACTGATTTTTAGACTATTAAAATGTCTCTTTTGTGATATATTTAATCTATCCAATTTCTTAAGACCCTGACTGCTGTATTCCATCAGTGTCACCTACAGAATCAAATCCCATCCCTCTGGAGAACACTGTACACATTATCTCTGCAGGTGTGTGCATACCTGATGCTAGCTTTTGATTAATTTACTAACAGTACAGATGAAGTAGGATGACCTACTGCAGAGGTTAATACCTGCAAAGGCCAGTGGTTCATCTAGTGAGTAGTTCATTGAACAACACAAGAGATTCAAAGGCTATTGCTGAGAGATAATGTCACAGTTGAAATTCTTGTTTATCTTGAATTTAAAAACTAAACAAAACCATGTCTATATTTCTCATTATATTTCCATAAAACAAGGATAGCAAAAATTTTTAAATCTATTAGACAACCTTAGGAGAATCAGCCACCTAGTGTTGTCAAAGGAATAATTTTATCATTGCAGTTCTGAATTCTAGGTCATTCTCCCTCTTCTGCCCCAGTGGTTCTTAATCTTCAAAACTGGATGGACATTTTGCCTTTAAAGGGTAATTTTTTTCATAGTTTTTTGTTTCTTTGTTTTTCCTCTGCAAGGAAATATTTGAGAGTTACTCTAATTTGAATACTTAATTGCCTAACAAGCCAACATGGAGTGGTGGCAAATATAAAGACGGAATTAATTGGAATTGGTTAAATTTTGACTTAAAAACCAGCAAAATCAGCTGTAGGGGAATAGTTATTATAGGTGCAAAAGTTACATCATGACCTTCAGGAAAGGAAGGACTGACTCATTTCAGATTCCATAGATGTCTAACCTATCATCAACTCAGCTTCAGTCTGGTTATGCTAGGAAATTCCTTCTCTGGCCATTCCTTTATTCTGGCCATTATGTTATAAAGGGAATCTACTGGATAAACACCAAGCCAAGCTGAGCATAGCAATGTCAAGTTCAACAATGCCTCACAATAGCAATCCAACAACAAATGCTTACTGAGTGCCTTACATACAGTATGCCATTCAGTCTTTATAAAATTGTATAAAGTGACTATTTTTCCCCTTTTATGTAGCTGAGGAAAAAAACTAAGGAATTTAATTAACTAGTCCATGAACCCATGGTGCTTATGGAACAGAGCAGAGGCTAGATTCCTGGCCTGTTACACTGCAAAGGCCAGGTTCTCATATTCTGCAGCCTCTAGCTGGTGGGGGGAGGAGCTGCTACTGTGGTATTCCTGCTTTGTGTGTGTGTCCGTGAGTGTGTATGTGTCTGGTTTGGGTGCTGCTGCTGAGGATCTGGGGGCCTGTCTAGGAGAGGAAATGGACTGAGCCCTAATTAACATGTATGTGCTCACCTTTTTCACTTTGAGTTTTTCCATAGCCCCACATCCTACTGTCTTTGCAAGAGGGTCTGAACCAGTGCTTTGCTCCTTGAATCAAAAAATTTTGAGAGAAAATTATCTCATCATGTACCTCAATGCCTCAACCTAGAGCCTCCTTTTCTAGATTCCAGGCATATTTGTCATAGCATAGAGGACAGGTATGCTCCAAATGTAGTTCAAAGAACTCTCTCCTAGCATCCCAAGCTTTGTCTTATTTTCCAGCTTCGTTTCTTTCAACATAGAGGGTGCACTGAATGACTTATGTTCATTCATTCATCAATGTGTTTGACATTTATTCATTCAGCCACTCTTTGAACCCACATCCATTCATTCATTGAATCACATCTTTATCAAGTGCCTGCATCAGGGCAGCCTTTGCATTAGGCACTGGGAGTGTAGGACATAGCAGCGCACCTGCCATTTAGTGGAAAGATGGATGTGTCAATAGACAAATTGAACGCTGCAGCATAGGACCTGAGAGGCAAGGTCTGGACACTGTGTGCACAGGGAAGACCCTTCCTCTTGTTGAAGGAGATGCACAGAGAGGTTCTGTGGCAGCTGTCATCCCAGCTGGAGTCAGAACGACAGGCGTCAGACCACCAGGTAAGGAAAGGGAAGTCAAGGGAGCTCTGGGTGGTCCCTGGACCAAAAGCACTCACTACAGTTAGAACCAAAATTGCACAAGGGACAGCACTGAAAATGGGTTTGAAGGTAAAATGGAGCCAGTGTGGTTCTTAGTGGCTTTGGTCTTATTGAGGTTTCATGTTAGAGATGCTGACTGGAGCGCCCAGGCACCAAGGAACAGACTTGGCATAGGTGGACAACCAGTGATGGAATGAGAGGTATGGAGGGTCCAAACAAAAAGCAGTGGGGACAGAAGAAAGTGTGTTATAGAAGCTGGAGCAACAGGACTCTGAACATATGTTGGGGAGAGAATCAGTGCTAGATACTCCAGATGATCCACTGTCTCAGTCTAGTGTGACAAAATTCAACAATCCCTGTTTCTTAGTTGAATTTCAGCACTGGAAAATGCACTGATCATAATTCCTGTCCAAATAATGTTTGTTAAATAACTGTAGTTTAAAGTGAGAGAGAATTTTGTCCATAGTTATTCATCCATACTGTACGACATGACGTGGAGCTAAGTAAGTTTTGCCTTATATATCTTCAGATGTGAAAGATCCCAATGGCCCCTCATCTTCACATGGGGCTTTGGAGTGCTCACTCCTCTCTGTCCAGGAGAGGTGCCTCACCTGGGGCTTCCCGCCTTGATGTTACCAGGTAAAGTTTAGCTTGTTGGATAATAGTTCCTCCAACCCTCTCTTGGCACTCTAATCCTTTTAACAGACTCAACATTTGCAAAAAGGCTTATGTCTATTCCCAGAGTTTGCAGTTATACTGTCAGGATCTCCTCTCCCTGGGTATTTTTAATGGAGTAATGTTTATGTTTGGGGAGGAGCAAAAATAGAAATGTTTATAACTGGTGGGGAAAAAAGAACTAATGCAAGCTGGAGTCATGGGCTTGGTCGGTTGTTTGTGAAAACAATTCTCGCTAATTATAGCCCTTCTAGAATGACAGCATTATTATACTGACCATATGCAATTAGCTTGACTTTTCTTCCTCTGTGGATGAAAATAGAATGCACTGCAGTTTTCCCCTTTCATATTCCTAAGCAAGGACTACACATCCTTTGGTGGACACAGTCCAATTTGAGTCTTTTTTTAAGGAGTTCTAAAATCTCTGTATGGCATTAAATTTAATAGGTCCAGTATATCAAAAATAGAATTATAATTATGAAAAGTCAGTTAAAAGGAGGTTGGATGGTAAAATGAAATGAGATTTTTAATGGCTTGCCAAGAGTTGTAATTAATGAGATGGAGATTTGGCCATGCATGTGACCTTCAGGTAGGAAACAGTCAAAGCCCTGTGTGAATGGGCTCAGGAAGGAAAATGATTTTTCAGAAGGAATGGGTTCTCTATGTCTTGCAAGCTGGTAATTCCTCATCGTTCGGGGCTTTCTCTTGAAGTCAGGCTCACTGAATATGTTCAGGAGGCTGCTTGGAGTTCATATCAGGTGCATGAGCGTTTCAGTGGAAGAGACAAAGCTAGCAACACGGTGGAATCCTGGAAGAAAGGAGCTCTTACTTAGACAATAACTGCTTTATTTGATGGGTCACTTGTAATTTTGCTCATAACACAGAGCTGCTTGTCATGACAATGTTAATTCGTGGGTATGATCTACTTCAGTATCTGTTTTGCACAGTGAATTTCTTTGAACCCCGGTTGCAAACAAAGAAAGAAGAAAATAACACAAAAGCATGCTGGCTTGAGTGCCTAATGCCATCCTGCTGCACAACTTCCTCACACACCACACGGGCTCCCGAGGCTATAAAAATTGTTTTTGTCTGATTAAACACAAGTCCCTTTGAACTTGGTGGGGGTTCTTTTCCGCTTGCACTTTCTTCTAACTGTGTGCAGCCTTTTCTTTTTTTTCTGGTTTGATTTGGAATCCAAAGTGTCTACAAGTTGGCCCACTCCACCTCCTTCATCCTTTTCTTAAAGCAAAAAATGTGTGTTACTGTAACATCTGTTACATTCCATTCCCTGAGGCACAGACAGGCAGAACTAAACACTCTTCACTTGTGTGTGTGCACGCACATGCACACACACCAACCCTTTCTTCTTCTAATATACGGAACGTGGGTTGACTGGAAGGCAGAAGCAGATCAGAACAAATTATGTTCACAATTATGTTAGTAAACCATCTAATCATAACCAACAGAGCCTCTGTCTCTCAAGGTAACCCTCAGAGAAGAAATGCGTCTTCAGTGGGGGCTGGGGACTTACCTGGGGCTATCAGCTCTCACTTCTGGGGAAAGAATTGAAGGGAAGGAGCAGGTTCCAATTTATATGGATGTCAGTAGAAACAGAATCCAATTGGGAAGTCCTTAAAAGCCTGTATGAAGATAAATGGGTTATGTATCAGGGATGGCGTTAAATAATCAAATTGATTCTAAGATCAAAATCGTCATAGCCATCGCTCTGAAATTCTACAGTGAACTATAGAGGTTGTAGATAGAGAGGAATAAGATGACCCTCCTAATGCAGGGATGTGGGCTTTATTCATTCATTTCTGCATGCATTCATTTGTTCTAATGCAGAACACTCCACACATCTTTCTTCCAACTCTCAGTAATGAGTGGCCATTTTCTTCTCCTTCTGTCGTTCCTCACCTCGATGTCACCTCTAGCACCGTATTAAATGACATCTTTATGTTGAGGGCTACCAAACCTTTATCTTCTGCCCAGCCCCTCTGAGCTCCAGGACTTCTCTGTTCCCACCTTACTCACCTCTCCATTGCAATTTCTAGTGAAGACCTCCGCGTAGACATCCAGGAAAGAACTATTGGATTGTTCCCCAAATTTACTTTTTCTCCATCTCTCCTGTCTCAGAAATCACCCCATAGATTGAGCTGTTCTAGTGAAAATCTCGGGTGTTATCCTCAGTTTCTCACGTTTCCTTATTTCCCTAATCAATTAGTTCAAAATGCTTCCCATATCTGCCTCCTTTCCTCCATCTTCTCTAGACCACTGTGGTCTATCCCATTTCCTGCATTCTCCATCCTCTGCAGACCATTCCCCATGCTACAGTCCTAAGAGTTTTTAAAAAATGCCACGCAGCTCATGCCTCCCCCTTGACTGTTCCATATACATACCTTGGCTTCCTAGTGCCATAGACAAGGGTTGGCAAAACTATAGCTGCAAGCTGAATCAGCCTCCCACTTGTCGTTGTGAATATTGTCTTAGTGGAACCCAGCCACACCCACTCTTGTCTGTGGTGGCAAAGGCAGAGTTGAGTAGTTATGACAGAGACTATATTCCCACAAAGCCTAAAATACTATCCAGACCTTTGCAACAAGTTTGCCAACCTCTCCCATAGAATAAAATCCAAAGCTTTTTACCTCTACTTGCAAGATAATGCATGCAGTGGCCCTACCTCCCTCACACCTCTCCTCTCCTGTCTCTCGTTACACTCCTGTCCTGCTTCTCTTGCTTAATTTGCCCTGGATCATCATCAGCTTAGGGCCTTTCCCCAGACAACTCCCTCTCTTGGAATGCCCTTTGCCTAGACCTCTATGTGGCTTTTTCTTGTCATTCCAGTCTCAGCTTAAATGTTACCTGCACAGACTGGCCTTCCTCACAGACTCTACCATGTTGCTCTAAGTCACACTCTACAAAGTTACTCTGTTTTAGTTACATCATGGCACTCCTTATTTCATTGATTCTGCCTCCCTCATTCGGATAAGCATTCAATGAGAGGAACAGCCTTCTCTACTTGTTTTCCTGCAGCGTCTGTAGTGTCTACAGCAGGACCAGGCACAGAGTAGGTACACGTTTGCTGCCCGAAGGCTTGAATGAACAAACAGCTGTCACGTGCCTGGGAGCAGACGGTCTAGTGAAGAAACATTAATGGGGTCAAGCAAATAATTAAAGTTCACCATGACAAACACCATGAAAACTGGGCCCAGAGCAGGAAGGGTCTCTGAAGCTGTTTGGCACACATCAGGAAATGAGAATATAAACATGTCAAGAAAAATTGGAAACAAGATTAGAAATGAGACTGTGACATTGAATTCACAACTCTCTCCCAGGAAGTCAGTGGGGCTGTAAATACAGCTTTCTAGTTTGTCCATGTGATGGCTTCGTCCCACGCTGGGAAACAAGAGTGACTATTATACCCCCTGGCTTATGGGTCTTGGCAGGTTAGTACCTTGAAATGAAAGCATGAAGAGATTGGCCAAAATACACCAAAAAGGGCAAAGCCAATGGAAGGACATTTATTTTCCTCATTGCCTTATGAACCTGTCTTTGCAGAGGCTGGTGATTTGGAGGTGTGGCATGCTGAGCTCTCTGGGGGTTGCTGGGCCGTGGCAGAAATCCACCTCTGTTGGAAATAAAAACCCTGAAACCATAAATGTCAGCTTTTGTTTCTTTTTTTTTTTTTTTAACACGTGCTTTTTCTTTTTTTAAAGTTTAACATCTTTGGTGTTTGACTTGGGGCTGCTGATACCAAAGCAAGCCTGGGGGTGAGGCCAGTGACTTTATGGGACTGTAGATAATATTAACTAATAGGCTGTGCTAGGAATTCCAGAAGGTTTGCTTTTTATTTTATTTTTTCCCTCAGAGGAAATGGAAGTATAGTAATTAGCTGGAGTTTCAAAACGATTTTGTGTGAAAGTGTAGAAAATACTCAACTTGTGAAGAGGGTAATGATTTCCTGCATGTCCTTATCATTTTCACCGGAAGATATTAAATGCCATATAAAACTATGGGATGCAATATTGTGGAAGTGCTCCTCCTTATTGATGCCATGTGATATATGATAAACCAGATATATGATATCTGGTGAACGATTAGGGGCTCTTTCTAAGCTAATCCACATTGATATCTAGCTGGGTGAATTTCAGCAAGACCCTCTACTCTTCTGGAGTCTTAGGGAAGAGGTATGAGTAGATATGCCCAGAGGTGGTTCCTTCTTACTTTAAAATTGTCTTTCTTTCCTTCCTTTCCTTCCTTTCTTTCCCTTCCTTTCCTTTCCTTTCCTTTCCTTTCCTTTCCTTTCCTTCCCTTTCCTTTCCTTTCATTTCCTTTCCTTTCCTTCCTTTCCCTTCCCTTCCCTTCCCTTCCTTTCCCTCCTTTCCTTTCCTTTCCTTTGCTTCCCTTCCCTTCCCTTCCCTTTCCTTCCTTTCCTTTCCTTTCCTTTCCTTTCCTTTCCTTTCCTTTCCTTTCCCTTCCCTTCCTTTCCCTTCCTTTCCCTCCTTTCCTTTCCTTTCCTTTCCTTTCCTTTCCTTTCCTTTCCTTTCCTTTCCTTTCCTTTCCTTCCTTCCTTTCCTTTCCTTTCCTTTCCTTTCCTTTCCTTCCTTTCCTTTCCTTCCTTCTTCTTTTGTTCTTTCTTTCATTTCTAAAACACTATGCTTAGCATGTTTAATTATCTGTAATACATATTTGTTGAGCCTTTTACTCTATGATTTTCTAGAGCAGGGGTTGGTATAGTTTTATTCTGTAAAAGGTAAGATAGTAAATATTTTGGCCCTTGCAGGTCAAATAGTCTGAACTCAACTCTGCCAGTGTAGCACAAATCCAGCCATAGAACATATGTAAACAATGGGCATGGCTGTGTTCTGATAAAACTTTATTAACAAAAACAGGTGATGGGATAGATTGGGCCCATAGGCCATAGTTTGCCAATCCCTCTTTTAGAGCCTAGAGACTAATACTTATATTTCATAAATGTTAAAGATGACCTCTTTCACTAAATTCACAATATTATTTGGATATAAACAATCCCATGTAAAATGATTAGAAGAATGATAGAATATAGTTCATAAGTGCTTCTCGAACACAATCACTAGTCAAGGTATATCAAATTGGGCCAGGTATGGTGGCTCATGCCTGTAATTCCAGCACTTTGGGAGGCAGAGGCCAGTGGATCTCTTGAGCCTGGGAATTCAAGATCAGCCTGGGCAACATAGCAAAATCCTGTTTTTACGAAAAATACAAAAATTAGCCAGCGCCATAAACTGATCTCTAGATAGATAGACGATAGCTAGCTAGCTAGATAGCTAGATAGCTAGATAGATGGATAGATAGATACAAATTAAAAAATAAAATAAAATAAAAAGATATATCAGATTGGTAGTGTCTGGTGGCCTGGAAAGGAGGGAGGTTAGTGAGGTTATTAAGGAAGAATACAGATGACATGTAGGACTGCATGCTGCTTTGATATGACCCATGTTCCTTTTAACACATGCATTGAAGACTATTTCACTAGATAAGAGAACACAGATATTAGTAAACTTATACCCTACTCTTAAGTAACCCCCCCGACCTGTTACATTCATTAGAATTTGAGTAAACAGGGAGTACATAGGAAGATAATTCAGACAGGATGGAATCCTGATATCAACATGGAGAAATGAGAATCAGTGTTATAGCAAGGCTAAGGGGGTCTCCTTGAATGAACGATGAGAGAGAAGTGAAAAGCAGCGGAGTCTGAGAAAGAGTGAAGGCTAAAGGTAGAGTGCCTTGGTCTCTAGACCCTTGCAGACAGAGAAAGCCAATGCAAGTAGAGTACAGCTTTGAGACTTGAGATTTGATTGGCTTCCAAAAGTTTTTAGCTAGTCCATATGTCTGGAAGTCCATGGGGACACCATAGACGAAGAATATGTCTTCATCTGTGTGGGTGTATTTCACAATGAACTGGGGACACTCATGATGTGGGATCTGACTTTTCTTCTGTCCCACTCTGTTGAAATATTTATGCAAACCAGATTGCATTTTGGCTTTCTTCATTGAATAACAGTGTTAATTGCTCAATAAAATAATGAAAAATGGAATGGAATGTCTATTATTTTTTCTTAATTTGTTGGTAATGTACTGGTTTCTGTGAGACAGTACAAAGTAAGAATACATAAGGCAATAAACTTCTTATGTTAATTTTGAAAAAAAAACGGTGGGGGCTATAAAATATGTGAAGAAAGATAACAATGAAATGCACTAATTATATCATAAGTGGCATTTGTCTAGTTTCTAGCCACATATCTATTACAACTCATAGAAAGCTTGATTCTAGGAAGGAATTTACCCTTTGGAAAAGGTACAGGCTGGCTGCCTAAGAGATTTGATGCTATTGGAGGGAACTGGATCATGAGTGGCATTTGTCTAGTTTCTAGCCACATGCCTATTATAACTCATGTAAAGAAGTTTCAAGCTTGATCCTAGGAAGGAATTTACCCTTTGTAAAAGCTAAAGATTGCTGCCTAAGAGATTCTGATGCTATTGGAGGGAACTGGATCTCTTCCTAGATAAGCAGGTACCATAATGCCCTGATAAAGTGAGACAGTGATTTCTATATATTTCTGACTCTTCCAAACTAACACATCTGTGTCCAGGGATATTTATACAGGTTTTATTATTGTGTTTACTGTGCTTATCATCACAAGAGGGAGAAGCTTTGAGTTGGTGGTCTCCAGTACCACTGTCAGGTTCAATGATTTTCTAGAAGGACTCACAGAACTCAGAAAAGCATTTATACTTGCAGTTAGGGTTGATTACAGTGATGGGGTAGATGTAGATTAAAGTTAGCACCCATAAAAGGCATGTGGGGCAAAGCTTAGGAAAGACTGTGTATAAATCCTGAGCTCAGAAAAGCTTGGGAAAGATTGTTCTCTCCCGGTGCAGTCATAAGGACAGCACTGTATTCTCCCAGAAATGACATTTGGCAAAATGAATGGAATATTGCCAACCAAAGAAATGCAATGTAGCCTTGGTGTCCAGGGATTTATTGAGGGTTGATCACAAAAGCATGGAATGCTTGCATGGCTGACCTTAGTTACTCAGACTCCAGCCCTTCCTGAAGTCAACCAGATGCAGCCTGGCCACAGGTCCCCACTGTAAACTGCATTGTTAGTGTAGACTATCTGGCATGGATCAAAGATCTCAGGTCAAGAGAGAGAGACACTCCTATCAGGCAGAATATTGTAAGGGCTTAGATATTATTTCCCAGCAGCCAGTCAAAGACCAGACACTCTCTTGGAACATGCTTGGCTTGAATACCGCAGACCTGCTGAGTCAACCCATTATTAAACTACTCACTTATGAATACGGTTCCCGAGAAAAAAGTTCTGCCTGTGAGATTCCAACCTAAATCAACCAAATTCCAAGGACTGTGTTACTTTCATCAGTATATTTGGTAAATGCAGGGTAGTTTTGTTGGAATCAGTGCCTGATTAGGTTGCGCTGACCTCTATGGCAGCTGGTTCTAAGAAGACAAGTTAATTTGTTTTTCCATCCAACAAAGGCTCCATGTTACCAAGGAAGCCTGTTCTTAATATCTTGGGTATGTGCTGTCCAATCGTGTAGCCACTCTCCAGGTATGGCTTCAAAGTACTTGAAAGGTGTCCAGTGCAGTAAGTGTAAGGATTTCGAAGACTTAGAATACACATACACAAAGATACCTCAATGAATTTTATTTTGATAGCATGTTTTTTTTTTGTTTGTTTGTTTGTTTTGTTTTTTTGAGATGGAATCTTGCTCAGTTGCCCGGGCTGGAGTGCAGTGGCGCAATCTCGGCACACTGCAACCTCTGCCTCCTGGGTTCAAGCAATTCTCCTGCCTCAGCTTCCCGAGTAGCTGGGATTACAGGTGCATGCCACCATGCCTGACTAATTTTTTTGTATTTTTAGTGGGGACAGGGATTCACTGTGTTAGCCAGGATGGTCTTGATCTCCTGACCTCAAGTGAACCACCCTCCTCAGCCTCCCAAAATGCTGGGATTACAGACGTGAGCCACCGTGCCCAACCCTCTTTAACAGCATTTTAACATGGCTACTGGGACATACAAAATTACATGTGCAGCTTACATTACATTTTCATTGGATGGTGCTGCTTTAGAGCATTTATCATCTTTATGCTTTTCCCTGGGATCAGATAGTATTTATCTTCTTCAGTTTAACTCTCTTTTGTGTGTATCTCATCTTCTTAGCTAAATTATAAATGTCTTGAAGGCAGAGGTCTGTCTTATATAACTTTGTATTCCAGGCAGTACCTACAGTTGGTTCTTCTATGTAGCAGGTACTCAATAAATAAATATTACTTGACTACGTACATGAATTATTGTGCTGCCCCAGTATTTTTGGTGCACATCCACCTAATGCTTAACCCTAAAGTTCCTGGAAAAACCTTGGTCTGACTTGGCAAATATGTTCTAGTTCCGATGTGTAGATAGAATCTGTACTTCGGCAAAGAGGCCACCTTGGGACTTATTAGACCTCTCTTCAAGCAAGAAGCCTTCCTTGCATGACCCTGTCTTGTCTCCTGAGTTCCACAGCTTTCTTCTTCCCTTGAATCCTAAGGTCTGAAGAAGTAGTGGCTTAGATTAGAAGCTAAAGATTTTCCTATAGTGAGGAGGCAGACAGGAAACTTACGTGTGAATTGTGAGAATGTGACAGAAAGAGATTTTCCTTAAGCAAATGATTTATTGTCTTAAAGCTGAGGTCTGGCAAATTCTGAATATGTAGCAGAACTATTCTGGATATTTTAAAACCACACACCCTAAGGCTCTAAGAAATCTCTGGCACGTTCCTCTGCAATCTCTGTCGTTATCTGGTGGCGAATGGCTTTCTTTGCTGTCAGTCTTCTGGCTATCACTGTTTACACAGCCAGCACTTTGGCCACTTCTGGAATAATCTAAGTGCCTATTGAATAGAAATTGTTCATTTTTGTAATTTTAGTCATATTAACATCATTTGTAATTCTAAAGTTATAAATCTAAGGGAAATTACTTTTTGTTGTTCTTTGTCACAACATGGAGATTTTGCAATTAGATTTTATAGCCTAAAATCATATGCTGCAGGTCAGGAGTCAAAATGAAAACCCTTCTGCACTGGGCAAAGTTTCCTATGGGTGACTCAAAGTACTTTGAAGCCACGTAAAGTTGAAGGGAGGGGCAGGCTGGGCACCAACTTCATAGCCTGAAGGACAAAGTTAATCACAGTCCAGGAATTTGAGGGTCATGCTTAGTTTGTGTTATAATATATGAATTTGCATAATCTTATAAATTTAAAAAAAATCTGTCTTTCCTGATGGATGAGTAGAAATTGCTTCTTCTAGGAGTTATCTAGCAATAAAACCCAGGCACTTATCAGCTTGTTTCTTATCCTAATTAATTGCTTCAGATGGTTTAATGAAATAGGAATTTACCAAGATCTTGAAAGTTATAAACAAAAGGGAAGGCAACTCTAGCCTGTGAGGCAGATTTTGAACTCAGATTACAGACAACTTTTCACTAGTGTCTCTTTGCACTTGCCAGGTGGGTCTGAGGCAACCCTTGAATGACTCGGAACTCCTTGGGCTGGAGTAGCCAGACCCTCACCTAACACTGGCATTTAGATCCTGAGATTTGACAAGTTATTTGTGGTATGGCCTGAAAATCATGCAAAGAATTGAAAACGTGGGGTAACAGTGGAATTTATTAATCCCACCCCTGTTTCAGAAAGGTAGTGCATTTCAATTGGTTACAAGATGGTAATTGGTTCCAGTGAAATTTTGCTTCCTAAGATTTCTCTCAAAATACCAAGGAAAAATATGTTTAGTTGTTCAGTATTATCTTGTGACGACGATCTAGCTTAGAGAAACGGTAGGTCTGGAAAGTCACACAGGAGTCCCTTCTGGACATGAAGCCTGTCTGCCGCCTGCCCCAGCAGCCTTGATCACCAGCTGCCTCTCCATGCAGGTCCCTGCTCCTGCCCTCACTGAAACAGTGCACGCATTTTTTCCTACAATCACAGGTTGGTGGTTAGTATTTAATGCTGATTTACATTATGGATACATTTTATGCCATAGATTCCAGGATGTAAAAAAAAAAGAAAAGAAAAAAATGTGTGACACAAGCTTGTAGTTTTCAAATGGTGTTTGAAGGAAGACCCAATCAGGAACTCATCGAGTAAAAAGGAGCTATCACAGCTTTTTGGTTTCTGAGACATCCACCAGGAAGCCTGCCCAAGATGAAACAGTGAACTTCACAAGAATCCAAATCCAGAGTGTAGACCTTTTGCAAAAGTTGTAGTTTGTGAATATTTTTCTACAATGAACATGTGAGAAATGGGTTAGGTATACTATGTGTTAATGCAACAAAATCATATGAAGACTTGATAGAACACTTGACTCACTTTCAACAGACTGCAATAGAAACCAGAAAAGATTCGAAAAAGCACTGCTTGCATTTTTAAAATGCTGTGTTTTCAGTGTCATATTTACAAAGGAAAATGCAAATGAAAGATGCTTTATGCTTCCTGCTATTTTGGGTCTTTTTTCGTGATACGAAATGTTTTAATTTCTCTAATTGGTTATTATTAAATATTTTTGTTTTTTAAAAGTTCTATAAATGGGACAGACTCATTTCCTGTAGACATTTTTTGAGATAATTTTTTTCTTTCTACTGTAGTCTATTAAGTGTCTATAATATCTATTTGAATACACTTAGGCAAATACATATATATATATATACACACACACACACACACACACATATATATATACACAATGACCACATTGATGCCTATATTTATATATCTATGTGTGTATGAAGCCAGATATTTCCCTGACCCCTTCCCAGGACTTGTGATAGGGATGCCTCATTTACTCAGCCCTCAGCTCTCAACTCCTGTGGGAGGGAGTGTGCAAACGAGGCCGGAAATGGAGTGCACACACGCTGGAACCAGCTGGCCACTTTGGCACTAGCAGGGGTGAGTTCCACTGACTCAGACCCTCCGTGTTCCACCCCATGCTGGAGGGAGCATACAGGTGAGCAGATGCAGGAGCCAGGGTGAGCAATTTTGGATGCTGGCAGGAGCCAACTCCCTGTAGGCCCCGCACCAACATCTAGTGGGGAACCTGTGACCCCTGAAACCCCAGAGGGCATATTACAGTGCTCTTTTAGCTCTGCTGCCTGCAGATAGCTTAAATGTTAACAGCTCAGCAGGCCCTTTTGTGTCTGCCCCCATGGTTTCCAAGCTCTTGTCTGGTGTCCAGGAAAAATGAGGTTACATGAGCGAACTGAAGGGTGGTAAATGTGGAGGTAAATGGTGATAAATGCCAATGAAAGTGGGTCTCAGTGGAAGGGGAGCTGGAAAGGGGATGGGGCAGGAAGGTTATCTTCCCCTGGAGTCCGGACATCTCTGGCCAGATTCTTCTTCAAAGTTACACCATCAAACTGTCCCTCTGAAGTCAAGCCAACTTCTCTCCAACATCCAGCCATAGTCCACAATGTCCAGCAGCTTCTCCTCTCTGCCAGCTGAGTCTGGGGTCTTTATAGGCACAGGATGGGGTGGGGTGGGAACATGGGTGGTTTAGGAAAAGGTAACATTCAAGCAGGAAAACAGAATATAAGTTGTCACTTTGGGCTGCAGTCTGTCAGGCTTTTAAGCTTGAGGGTGATTCTTCTCCAGGGACCCTCCCATGTCCACCTAGAATCTCTCTGCCTTCTCTCCCTATCATGTATATGTGTGTCTATATGTATACAGATATATAGAAATAAATACATGTGTATACATATACACTGCATACATATACACAAAATATGTATTGTGTTGTGTATAATACAGTATATGTATTGTGTATATACTTATATACAATATATCTAGATACAATATGACTATAATCCACATTTGGAAAGCTTAATCTACTTCACTAAGTGCAGTCTGCAAGAGCTTTCTTGTTCTTATACTGGGTAGTTTGAAGGAGGATGCTTGCTGAGTGGGATGGCCTTGGGACTGAGATATATTGATAACTATAGATACATATAATTTTGGTCATTTAAAATACTATCATTTAGAAATTTTCATGTGCTCAGATAATGTGGTCAGCCTGGTACAGACCACTTTTTTTTTTTTTTTTACATCCTGGAATCCATGTTATAAATATATATCCATAATGTAAATCAGCATTAAATACTAACCACCAATCTGTGAAATTGTAGGAAAGAATGCATGCATTCCAGTGAAGGCAGGAGCAGGGGCCTGCATGGGGAGGCAGCTGGTGACCAAGGCTGCCAGGGCAGGTGGTGGACAGGCTTCATGTCTGGAAGGGACTCCCATGTGACTTTCCAGGCCCATCATTTCTCCAAGTTAGATTGTTGAAGGATAATATAGAACAACTAAAGAAACATGTTTGATATTTTTCCTGGATATTTTAAGAGGAATGTTAGGAAGCAGAATTCCATTGGAAACAATGATCATCTTGTAACCAATTGAAATCCACTACCTTTCTGAAACAGGGGTGGGTTTACCTCATGTTTTCAATTGTTTGCATGATTTTCAGGCCATACCATAAATACTTGTCAAATCTCAGGATCTAAATGCCGGTGTTAGGTGAGGTTCAGCCATGGTACTTCTACTTAGATATTCTACTAGTGCTGTGATGGGGAAGAAAATAGACCAGCAAAGGAACCTTAGGACCTGGGATTTTCCAGCTCACTGCACATGCATAGCCTTGGGCAGGTGGTGTAACACACCTGCCCTCAACTATAAAGTCAAGGGCTGGACTGAAGTGCAGCTAATGTCATGCCCTGCTGTAACCTGCTTTGATTCAACTAAGCCCTCAATAGGAGTTATACTGAAAATAGTAGAGGCTCATATATTTGGAGATAAAAAATTGGCCTCATATTTTCCAACCTTTCTACAAAGCAAAAGTAAGGTTTAGCATATCTGTACATTTTGGAGTTTGCTAATGTAAATAGGACTTGTCTTGGAAAGTCATTTGAGGGAGATAAATTCTCCAATATTGAGATCTTCTTTCCCCTGGACTTCTTGCTGCCTGGGGTGTGCCCTGGTTTCTTTCTGTTTTTCTCTGGGGTACTCCTCCTTCACTTATGTCCTGCTCAGTGGGCAGCCAAGCTGGAACATTCCTGTCTCCTATCTGGAAATTACCAGCTTCCCTTCTTTCCAATTTTTCTCTCCTTTGCTGGGTACAACTACCATTTTTGATAAATTAATCCATGCGTATATGTTACTAGGCAGTAAGGATTCATGCTCTTTATGCATTCCTTGGAAAATTGATTTTTAATCTGTGTCTTATAGAAATATTGCCTTAGCCTTATTCTGGATGTAAATTCCAGTTTAGCTACTTATTCCTTATGTCATGTTTGGATATTTAACTTGTCAAAATTTCAGGGTTTAAAAAAATTTTATAACAAAAATGATAGCTCTCGCTTCACAAGATTATAAACATAAAAATAGTTAATATGTAAAAGTATCTCATACAATTCCTGATACCAAGTCAGTACTGAAAATATAGTTAGTAAATAAAGAAGTATAAGTAAGAAATGTTGGTTATTCTGATATGTATGTTTTTCAGCAGCATATTTTAAACATCTATGAATGTGCATGTTTATTCCCTTATGACGTGTTTTGCATTCACACGCTGGCACCAGACAAGTGTGTGAAGCTTTGGGACTGAAAGCTATGATAATCACTGAAAAGATTTGAGGGAACCAAGTTGGTTGAAAGCCTGATGTATCTTATTTTGGGGGTACACGTGGCATGGGGTTGCTGCTGATTTATTGTCCAAAGTGAGATTACCTTGTTCTGAGTGGTTGTTGAAGTAACAGGCCTGGTAACGCAAACTGCAAAGGAAAGGGAAGGAAACTGGTAGCAGGCAAGACACAGCATAGTAAACCAGCACAGACCTGCCGTGCTCTTCTTCTACTTGTGTTAGCTTTTAAACATTCCACTCCCTTGTTTTTCTATCATAGTTTTGGCTCAGATTTCATTGATAGGATGGTTTATGTAATGCACTGAAACCAAAAATGAAGTCCATAGAAGGGAGAAGCATGCCAACTTTAAGGAGTAATAGGTCCCTACCTTTGAGGTAGGATGGATCTTTTCACAACTTCAGGAAGAGGTCAGAAAAAAGAACTTCCAGAATTTCTCCACAGAGAATATGCCCTGTACTTCTTTTCCTGTGCTGCTCACAGAAGGTTCCCATCTTGAGGAGGTGAAGACACAGCTCTTTCATTTTCAGGACAGTACCTTGTCCCTGCCCCCCAACTCCTGTATTGGAGTTGAGTGGTTTAGACTGCTTAGAAACTCAAGCATTCCACAGTGCTTGTATCATTCCTACGTTCTGATTTCAGAATGTTCTTTACTCCAATAAAGCAGATCAGTACATGGTTGTCATTTTCTTCCTCCATACTTACATAAAGACACTTGGGTAATAAAAAATGATGAATGGTTTTTGTGTAGATCATCACCCTTATTAACATGGGCAAAAACAATCAATATTTTATTCACAGGTTAAAGTAGTAGCTGGTTTTGAGAGACCCAGCTTTCTGTTGTATTTCATTTTTCTCTAGTCCATAGTTGAAAACTGAGTGCGTAGTGATTTTGCTTAACAGTCTATCAATGGGAATAGAGTAACTTTCAAAGTGGAGAGGCTGTCGATTTTTCTTTCTTCCTGTAATTTTCCAAATGTGCTGTATAGGAAGCTAAATTTTATATTTGCTGAAGTTTAATAATATAGCATAGTGGCTAGAACCACAAAAACTATGCTGGTTGGGTTTGTATCTTACCAGCTATTGATCTTGGCAACACTCACTCTTACAATGCCTCAGTTTCTTCACCTATGATAAGGCAGGTGTGAGAAATACAGGAATTAATAGTTATAAAGTGGATAAGATAGAACCTACTATTTAAACATTAGCTATTTTTGAGCTGTCTTGCTGATAATCATATTGTTAGCGTTATTTTGTCATGATGCAGACTAAATCGGTTACATAACTACATGATAAATAGAAGTAGGCTGTGATATGCACTTGTATTTCTACATACTGTACTTATGTGTGTTATGTAAGTTGCTCTCCGTGCTTTTCAACAATCTTTACCCACCGTCCCCTGGCCCCACCTAGTTTGGCTTGAATCTTAGTTTCCAATGTGGGTTTCAAGTCACCCATATAGCTTTTGAAATCCTGCTTTCTCAGCCCCTTAATTAACTGAAGTTTGAAGGTGTGAGGAATGAAACAGGTATCCGGAGCCAGCCCTTAGTGTGCCTGGGAGGTTTCCCTGGTCAGTGTTTGCTAACAAATCAGATTGGTTTCTGGACAGTTGGCGCTGCAGGTGTTAGCATGTGGAGTGGCTCTCAGTCAGATTTTGGAATGACTGTCATGTCTTCCACAAGAGCTGCCCTTTATTGTTTGTTTGTTGCTGTTGTTGTTTTGGTTTACAAACATCATTACCTTGGCTATATTTAGAGTGTCTGCTTTTTTTAAAAGAGTAGCTTTTACCCCTCTTTCCCTTTCTTTTTCTTTGCATTTCTTTTTTCTTTGATTTTTTTTTCTTTCTTTTTTGGAAGGGACATTAACTTGAATCTATTTAGCTTATCTCTAGTTATATTTGTCAAGTATTTTGGACCAAATTATTAATACTGACTTGTTCATAAAATAAATCGTTTCTTGAAGTTGTAAGACTGGATTATTAAAAAAAATGGAATTATACTTTTGATAAAATATTTTATACACCAATCACATGCGAGCTTATGTAGCTGTAAGAGAAGGCAACTAAGAATCAATGAATGTAATTTTGCAATAAAAAATCATTGCTGGAGACCATATTTCAACAATCACGTAAATATATGTGTAAAAATTGGATTATCTAGGATAGTTAACCTCAAATATTATGAATTATCTATCAAGTGTTCAGTTGGAATTTACAAATTTTATGTTATAACTTAACTTCCAATTTTATATATATATAATATATATTATATATATTATATATATATAGTCATATTGGCTGCCATATTTAAGCTCCATTTCATCATATGGTTATTTCAGCAATATCAGAAAATAGGGATAGGAGGAAAAAGGTAAACTCACTGGGGGCAATGAGCATCTTAATGTTATTGAAAATTGTATCCCCTCAATTCACCACTTGCTGTGGACCCCCTCCTGCTCCCTCACTCTCCCCGAACTTCCTCTGGCATCTAGTTTGTGACCAATTGCCCTGAACTCTTTTAGATCTTCTATTTCCAAAACTGTTCATTTTCTGATTCCTTAGAAAGCAGTATTGATGACGTTTTCCTGCTACTACTGAAATCTGTTATTGTGATGATGAATTATAGTAATAGGTTTTCTGTTACTAAGCTTGCTGAGCCATCCTTGCGTTTCTGGGCTAAGCCCTATTCCCTATGAAATATAGTGTATGTGTGTGTGTGTGTGTGTGTATGTGTGTGTGTGTGTTTGTATGTGTGTGATTTTTTTTTTGATATATTGCTATATTGTACTTGGAAGTTTATTATGCATTTTATTGGGGTTTTTGAAGCTATAATAACAAGGGAGTGTAATAAAAATATGTAATGCTTTTTGAAATAGGAGAGGATGTACATATAGGCAGAGGGAAAGGGACTAGGTAACATTGGAGATTTTAGAGGAAAGCCTAGGTAATTGAGAAGCGATTAAAGGGGAAAGAAGAGATGAGAGCAACTGGTCTTTGAAAAGAGGATTGAGTGCCTTTTCTCTGATCTGTTGGGAAAGTTGGGAGGATAGGTATTGGTGCAGGCTTCTTTTTAGTTCAAGAGGTGAGTTGGTGCAGAGACTTTCTTGCAAGGCTCTCTTGGTATCAGTGAGATAGAAGCCAATGTAATATGCAAAGTTGAGATGGCCAACCTTCTGGAGGAAAGAGAAGGGAATATGCAGATTACTCAACTTTGATCTATGTTAACCATAAAAATACACAGTTTTATTGGGAAAGTTCATTAGAATTTCAAATAAGGAAACTTGAACAATATTGACAGAACTACATGCTGTTAACTCATTTTTTCCTCTGTACATGACTCCTTTTATTACTTCAGGGTATTTTAGGAAGTAGCAAAACTGCCTTCCCGTTGTTCAGTATAGGGACCAAAACCTGATGTATGTCTCTTTAGCCTGGTTCCTGTTGGCCACTTTCTTCCAAGTCTTCTAAATAAAAAGAAAGATGAATGCATGGGAAAAGAGTAACCTGATTTTCTTCTATCTTTCGTAGTCTTTTTTCCTCTTAGAGGCTCATCTCTTCACTCCCCTAGCAGGAAGGTCAGCCCTTGGCCCTCTGTTCTTCCCTCATGTGGTTTGAAGATTGGATGTGAGCCCAGCTCTGGGGGCTGTGAGTTGTGGTGAACAGAGCCCCTGATATTCACTCTGGAGCCTGGTCCTGGCAGTGCTCCCTGGTCATGTGTTTCCCATCTGAATGATGAACCTCCTGAACTAGAACATCTTTATGGACATTTCTAGGTCTTAGCGATGTTTAACAATGGCTGTGGGCCAACCTACCATTGGAAATTTTTCACCTGAAACATTCCCATTCTTGCACCTGAATTTACTATCTTTCTCTAAAGCCACCTCAAACTCTGATGCCTGTCTCAGTCATCACTGTTTTCTTCTTCATTTAATTTGGTAACTGTTTTGTTCTTTTTAAGTTGTTTACCTTGACTTCATCTCTAATCAGTGATCCCACATCTTCTTTATTCATTTTCAAGGCCAATACCTAAATTGTAGGTTTTTAGGTTTTTAAAAATATACTACTTTTCCTTCCATTCTCTACTCTTTCCAGACCATTCTTTCTATCAAGGGCTCATTGATATTCCAAAGACATCTGCTCAAATGGGTCAAGAGTTTTCCTGAAAACGTTTCAAAGCTTTGCTGTCACATATGAAATCAAGTCCAAACCTTTTAACCTGAAAGTGAATTTTTCTACAGTTTGTATTTAAATACACCTTTCAGTTTCCTTTCCTAGTAGTTTCTTAAGTTGCTATTACTTTTTCTTTTCTCCTTTCTCTTTTTCTTATTTCCTTTCTTTTTGATTATTTCTCTCTTGAACTCACTTACTTGTTCTTACTTCATTTCACATATTTATTATTTCCTATCGCATTCAATGTGCTGTTTTGTATGCTGCATGCACTGCAGGGAGCAATGCAGACGCAAGAGCCATTGGGTTCTCTTTTGCCCAGGAATGGAGGCATTGATGGAGTGAAGATGAGTGATACCAGTTATGGCCACAGGGGGCACCATGGCCTCCCATGTTGCTGTCTTGCTTTGCCCCTCTAGGACATCTTTCCTGTCACTCTCTGGTCAAATCTTTCCTCTTGTTTTACTGCAGCTCTCAATCATCTCTTCTTTTCATATAAGAATAATTCCTGTAACCCCACAAGCCCCTATAAACACTTGCATTGATAGACACCCTGTTTAAAGATACTAGTGCTGTTTCTTTAACTGAATTATAAAGTCCTGGAAGGATTATTAATAACTTTTCATAGTTCCATTGCCTTGTACATACCTTGTTCTACGTATTTTAATTGATTTGCCTATAAAATGTAGAAATTTATATGAAAATCCTTAAAAAAATCAAGCTATCATATACATTACAAGTCCCTCTCTATATGACTCACCCCTGGTTTCCTTTAAGCAGAAGATAAATTTTACTTGATATCACTTCCCCCTCGTAACTGTTAGTAGAGAAAAGACATGTTTATTATACAGAACCATTCCTGAAAAAATAGTCCCTCTCATTCACATCAACAAAGCGATTTCTTTAGGATATGAGACGGAATGGGGGCATATTTCCATATGCCCCCATTAAAAACATAACACTGATGTGTTTAGCATCAGCGTTTGTTGGAGGAGATTCTTTCCTGTATCACACACTTTTTCCTCAAACCAACATCTTCATTGATTTGACAGTTGTTATGTGCCTGGTTAGTCAGGGTGGTGTTATTCAAAATACTAAATCCAAGAAAAAACGACAATCAGATGTTATGGTTAATTGTCAATGATAATGATAAGGTATCCCACGTTTGGTGGGCAACTCACTGAATATTTTTTAGTGTTAAAAATGAGCTAATGAAAGTTGCAAAAATGGCTCATTGAAGCAGCATCCTATCTCTCCTCAAATACTGTCATTTTATAATTATCGGACTCTGGGCTGGAGGCTGTCTAATAGGAGTTAACCGTGCTTGTAAAAGCCTGTCTCTATAGAGTGGCTATTTTCTGATTTCCCTTAGAAAAAAAAATGCAAATGAAGCCTAGAAGTAACTGTGGATTTCTCATCTAGAAAGGTCGGAATGTGTTTAACAAGTCTAATCATGGGGCCAAAATAGAAACCCAAAGGACAGGGAAATGGAACATCTAATTTGAAAGAAGGCAAATGATGCTTGTGTGCTTGGTCCTTGCTCCTAAGGAGGCTTTTGTAATATTTAAAAATCTGCAGCTCTTTTGAGTCAAGTTGCACAGGAAATGGTCTTGTTTGCATTCAGTATTCCTCTGATGAATCATGTGAATGCTGTGTTATTTTCTGCCCAGCCCAAAGCCAAAAGGAAAATGCACATCTGGCTTGTAAATCACAACCAAGCATTGATGCCTCGCTTGCTCTTTATTGGGTGGCTGCCCTCTGTGCTTTACAAGTTCTTAGTATGGCTTATGGGGCATCCTGAGGGAAACCTCCAGTGGCCTCTGAAAGATGGCATAGAGGGACCTCCGAATCCTCTCTGAAATGTAACGTCTGCTACCTGATGTGCACTATCTGTGGTCCCCAGAGGAAAAATAATTCATTTTTATCTTTTTATTTATTTATTTTTTCTATTTAGAAATTGGCCCCTGGTTACGGGAGTTCAGAGCGAAGAATGCTGTGGATTTCTCGCAGTTAACATTTGACCCAGGACAGAAAGAACTTGTTGTAGGAGCAAGGTGAGAGATATTGTATTTTGCCACCACAGATATTTTTGGACTTCATTTTACATCTGTGCAGTTACATGTGACCTTCACTGACAAAACTGAAGAATGCTGAATAATATTATTTCTTATAAGAATGAAATACAGTATGAGTGTCATAAAATATACTACTGCTAATAAGATGTTGATGGCTGCCCGTTAGAGTAAGCATTGATCGGGCCCTCACCCTGTGCCAGTAACTGTTCTAACATGAATTAACTCATTTGTTCCTCCATTCAAACCTAAGAGGTAGGTACTATCAACATTGCTGTTTTAGAGATGTGGAAACTGAGGAAGGAAGTAGATAAATAAGTTGTCCGGGGCATATGCCTAAGAAAAGATGGACCTGGGTTCCAAACCCAGTCAGTTTGACTCCTGAAAACATGTTCCTGACTTCCCACTATATTCTTCAGTAGGATTCTAGAGATCCAGAGATCTTGATGTGTACCCCAAGGCCCACCACCACCTTTCTTTGTTACCTTGATTAGGCCATATACCAGTAAATTGAGATTCAACGAAGTTATTTTTATCTTTATCTCTTAAGGGTGTGAGTGTTCCCGTATCTAGGTCAACATCTGCATCCCAGTTTGACAATGAGGCCACTGGAACACAATCCAAACAAATTTGAGTTCTTTCCCCTGTTTTCACTATCACTTCCTTAGAAAACCTGCATAATCCTTGCATTTAAATTACCTATTTTGGGATTATATATCCATCTTTTAGGAAAATTGACATTAAAGTTTAAGAAAGGGTCCATTTGTAGAATTGGGTTCCTCTGGCATCTAAGGATGGCACATTGGGCAGTGGAGAGTTCATTATATTTTTTGTCCAAATGTACCAGAGTATAAAGCATGCCTGCCATAGCTACAGAGGTTTTGCAGTCTCTCTATAAACACGAGTGCAGCTAAATCTAGCTTATAGTCTGGGCACTCTAGATAAACATTGAACAGTTTCTAGGATCGTTGCTTTTGCTCTTGGATCTTGAGGTGTCCTTGTACATCCACTCAACACTTGAAGTGATGAATGGTTGTAATTTTACATGAGTAGGAAGAAGTTGGCATAGTTTATTGCACCTAGCAAGTTACCTTCACCTCTTTTGACGTTTGTGAGGAGGCGGTGAGTATGGATTGGACAAGGCTACTTGGTGTTCTCTTCCTTACCTTAGTCCAGTAGCAATACTGGGGGATTTCTGATGCTCACTTCCAACAAATTTCATCACTTGGAGTTCGGCCTGTGTTTTGCAGTGGTGTTAAATCAGTCTCCTGGCCTCCAGATGTTCTCCTCCTTCTGCATACCACAGCCAACATCATCTTTTAAAAATGCCCACCTTCAGTAGCTCCCATTGGATATAAGCTGTCTCCCTGGTGTGGTACGCCAGCCCTTCTGCCCTGCATTCCCACTTCCCTTCCAGACTTGCCTGTTTTCATTCTCACATGGTCCAGGCATGTGGAATTATTTATTCTGCCTACACTTATGGAATATGCTCTTTCTTGCCTCTGGGCTTTTTCCCTTCTGACCTCTTTCTCATTTTCTGGAATACTGGCTGCCACCAACCCCCACTCCAAATTATCTGCTTGGTAAACTCCCACTTGTAGTAAGGACCTGGCTCAAGGGTCCACCAGCAGTCCTGAACCACCACATTCTCTGTCCTGTGTGGCCCTAGTAACATACTGGACATCTACTTTTTTTTTTTAACTGCACTTAATGTACAATATTGCATTATTTCTTGACAAGTCACCCTTATCAGATGGTGACTTACCAGAAGGCAAGGGAAGTGCCTGTCTTTTCTTTATTTCTCCAGCATATAGCACAGATTTTTCCTGCTTATAGAAGCTCAAAGATACCTGTTGATTCAACACATTTATTTCCAGAGTTGAATTTGTCTATGTTCCCCTCTGCATCCAGGTGAACACTTAGGGAAAAGGGGGTTGGGATTATAACAATTTATCTCAGACACCTACATCTGGCAAGGGCATGAGCCAGTGGCAGGCTGTATACACCAAAGCTCACCCTGAGGGAAAATGAGCTTTCACTCTGAGTCAAGGGAACAGACCCCTTACCGGGGTGGGGCAGGTACAAATGTGACCCCAATTAGTGTTTTGAGTCTTGCATCCCTCATTCATCTCTAAAGAACTTTGGAAAGGCTTTTCTATGACTTTGACTCATGAGATTCTCTTGTTGTCTCTGGAGGTCCTGGGTGCTGTGTGAACAGACCAGCGCTTCATTCTCTGCAAGTGGTTGGCTTTTGGTCAGTGACTCAAGATTTTCCTAAGGGATGTGAGAAGCCACAGAGCAAATTAGGGTATTTTGAAGAGATGTCTTATGCTCCTGTTCTGGCTGTGGATGGCAGCTGGGAATTGTTTTCAAGGGGTACCTGTCCCAGGAGGTCTTCATCCCAGAGTCCCTGGAGTTCTCTATTCCAGTGTCAGTGGGGTGTCTCTCTCTCTCTCAGTATCCCTAGAGGTCTCTGTCCAATATCTCCAATGGTTTCCATCTCAGCATTCCTGGAAGTCTCTATCTCTGTGTCTTCTAGTTTCCCTGGAGCTTCCACCCCAGCATCCCTGTCGTCTCCATCCCAATGTCTCTAGAGTGTCCATCCCAGCGTCCCTAGAGTCTCCATCCCAATGTGTCTTGTGGCTTCCATCCCAGGGCCCCTGGAATCTGCAATTCAATATCCCTGGAGTCCTCATCCCAGACCTCATTCCTGGAGGTCTCCATCCATTGCATATCAACATGGTCTGCTGGGAAGGATCGGATGGGCCGCTGAGTCAACCTAGCATGCTGTATGGCATGGTGGACATGAATACATAGGATTGCCAGACTTAGCAAATAAAAATCCATGATGCCCAGTTAAATTTGAATTCCAAATAACAACCTTTTATATGTTTATCATAAGTATGTTCCAAAGGTTTGGTGACCCCGGGAGCATGGGCTGTAGTTTTTTATTCTAGAGCAGTGTGTGGTACATTATAGACACTTGATAAATAATAACAGAAAAAAAAAGAGGCTGGCCCCTACCTAAGTGACTCTAAGCCAGTTTCAGAGCCTGATTTTATCACCTGTAAAGATGATGCAACAATTTCTACCCCTTTCAGCTGTTGCGAAGATGAAATAAAATAACCCGTGAGAAGTTACTGTCACATTAACAGGCAGGCTGGTGAGCGCGCAGCCCTAGGGAAGCTCTGAGGGTCTTCATGGGTTTCGCATACGTGTGCATATGCCTTTCAGGCAGACGCTACCTAAAGAAGAGAATAGGAATTTCACCTGGGAAATTTCATGGGATTAGGCTCAGAAAGTTTGAGAGGGCATATGAGTAAGATATAAAACTTTAAAAATAACCCAGCCCTCAGATTCCTGTTTGGCAAAGCTTGATTTAGCAAGAGTAAGTTTAGATAACAGGTGTATATTTCAGAAATCAGTAATGGTTTAAAAATATGAGTTGTGAAAAAATAGAATAATAGTCGATTTTTTTTTCTCATAGCACTAGGCATTGTGGAACCATTTATTGGATGGTTTCACTTTATACTAGTGATACTGTATGTTCCTGAAATTGAAACAGTTAAAGATTCTTTGTACTCTTTGATAAAGGAAGTTCGTTAGGCTGCAAAAGAAAAGCCTCTCTTTCAGCCATTTGTGGTTATGGAGAATCGGAAGGTACTTGGATCTGAATTCAGGGAATTTCTGGAAGAAGTCATACATTTTCATTTCCAGGATGCACATGAACTTTCGTATTATGTTAAATGCATCAACAGTCATATCTTGTTTTCCCCCAGTCTCTTTAAAAGTTAATAATATTTGTGTTTTCAGTAATGAAACTTAGGTATCTTCATTTACAAAATGTAGAATATACAGTAAAGCATAAAGAAAAAAACAATTTCAGAGATAATCACAGTGAAGCATTTCAGTTATTTCCTTGCATTATTTGATTTCTATTTGTTCCTACTCTTGGGATAATATTTGTTGAATGATTGCATACTTCTTTGTCACAAATCCTACTAAGATCAGTTTCTTGGTATAAAAAATTCAAAATGAAAGAATATATTATGACTGGTTTTTGTATAGAAGATTATAAAAGGAATGGCAGTGATAACACTCCACACACTTGATACAAGTGTAAGTTTCACTGCAGATTGAATTGTTGCAACAGATACAAGGGAGGGTGATTACATTTTTATTTCCCAAATGAATTAGTTCGTCTTTAGTGTTTCAGGTTCATTCTAAGGGTGGCAAGTGATTCCATCCCGAATTACTCTGATATGTATTCTGTGCTGAATCCAAGTATTATTCCAAATGCCAACTAACTTGGTTGACACATAAGGCAGTGTTTGAATGCTGTTGGACATTTACAAATTGGCCATATTTTTATAATGCATAAAGACCTACAGTGCTAATGAAAAAGAGTTTATTATCAAAGCATCTGTAGCATGAGTCTTTGCCACTGAACTGTGGGGAAGATGTGGAGTCACTCTTTCTGGCTATTTAGGTGCTTTTCTTCAAAATGTGATTTTTCTAAATGAAAACATTTTTTAACATCTATCTCAGTTTCTAAAATGTGAATTTTCTTCAGGTTTTTAAATGTGTTTCTTGGTCTTTAAGTTATTTTCATCCAATTACTCAATTCTGATTCTCTTACTTTTCCCAAAAAGCTTGAGTGTAATATAAACATAAATCAAAGGGTACAGTCTTACAAACTGTGGTATTTTAGTAAG
The DNA here is from genome assembly GCF_000001405.40 of Homo sapiens. Classification (NCBI taxonomy): domain Eukaryota; kingdom Metazoa; phylum Chordata; class Mammalia; order Primates; family Hominidae; genus Homo; species Homo sapiens. The sequence continues at coordinate 9,332,979 of NC_000005.10, read as the reverse complement.
AAAGTTCGTCTGTAAGCTCTCAAACAAATACCTGTGAGTCCACATGGCCTAAACATCTGCCATGGGTAAGGTGGTGGGATTGAGGCCCACAGACCCAATACTTGGATCAGGTAATGATCATAATTCATAGCAGATATAATGATTTATGTCCTTGGAAATGTTTGATTTTAATTCTATACAAAATAACATCACAAAATGAGAACATTAAGTCACCAAGGGAACAAAAGGCACTAGAGATGCATGAGTCTTCTTGCACACCTGGCCCAATGTGAGTAGCAGCCCATAGCTGCATGCCTCACATACCTGATGTAATGTGAGTACCAGCCCATAGCTGCACACATTGCACACCTGACCCAATGTGAGTAGCAGCCCACAACTTCACACGTTGCACACCTGACCCAATGTGAGTAGCAGCCCATAGCTGCATGCCTTGCACACCTGACCCAATGTGAGTGCCAGCCCATAGCTGCATGCCTTGTACACCTGGCCCAATGTGAGTACCAGCCTATAGCTGCATGCCTCACACACCTGACCCAATGTGAGTACTAGCCTAAAGCTGCAAGCCTCACATACCTGACCTAATGTGAGTACCAACCCATAGCTGCATGCATTGCACATCTGACCCCATGTGAGTACCAGCCCACAACTGCACACGTTGCACACCTGACCCAATGTGAGTAGCAGCCCATAGTTGCACACCTTGCACACCTGACCCAATGTACCAGCCCATAGCTGCATACCTCACACACCTGACGCAATGTGAGTACCAGCCCAGAGCTGCATGCCTTGCACATCTGACATGATGTAAGCACCAGTCCATACTGCACACTTTGCACACCTGACCCAGTGTGAGTACCAGTCTATAACTACACACCTTGTACTTCTGACCCGATGTGAGTACCAGCCCATAACTGCACGCCTTGCACACCTGACCCAATGTGAGTATCAGCCCATAGCTGCCTGAATACCTTGCACTAAACCCCTTGACTTACCATTACAGTATTTCTAGATATCAGAAGATATGTCTGTATAAATGTATGTGCAACAAATAGTATGGATTTCTGATCCTTTTCGTTTATTATTTTGAACCATTTGTTTGGCTAATGGTTTGAATTTACAAAACTACAGATAAAAAAGGAAAGATTAACTTGCTGTTTTTATGCTCTGGCTGAATTTGCTGTAAGTATTCAAAACCCTTAAACGATAAACTTAGGTGCATTAAAATTTTAACAAGTTTATTTGAACATTTAGAGATTTAGGAATCAAGCATCACCAGACTTCCAGCAGCTCTCCACTTGTGGGTGGGGGTGGCAAGGGAGGAAACTTTTATAATATTCTTCCCAGAAACAAGACAAAGAAAATGCCTCTAGTTGGTTAAAGTGGAAACTCCCTAGTTAGAGGTTAGTTGGTGGTTTCTAATTGGTTAAGTCTGAAGTTAGACTTTAGTTAGGGTTTTGTTTCTGATTGGTTAAGCTTAAGTTTCCTTTTACTATTTACATTGAGTTGAATTTTGGTTTGTTTACATAGGAACCCAAGACAGTGAAGCCTCCTCAATCTAATGGCCTCCCAATTATTTTAACATAGCATATATTCTTATGAGACGCATAAAATAAACGGTAGGCTTCTATTTAATGAGTTTCTTCTTTACAAAATGACTTTATCACACTGGTTCTAAACAAGGGGGATTAATTTTAAATTCACATAAAATTTATTTTAAACAACTGGCCAATATCATTATTTTTCGGTGATTATAATTCTTATTTTTACTTGAAAATTTTACCTTGGAATTACTCTTTTGGAGGCAATATATAATTAACAGGAAAACTGAAGATGTTTATCAGATCAGCGATTCTGCTTCCAGTAGCCACACTTATTCGTCTTTTCCAAAGAGTATATTTTAGTCAAGTTGACACAATTAAAGGGAATACATGCTGAGCGGTATGAAATCAGAGATTAGCAGTGAATGCAAAAAGGAGTAGAACCCCATTGTGGGAAGAGATCCCAGGTAATGCTGATTTTCATGTTGTGTTTACATTAATTATGACTTAAGACAAGCAGCTGGTGATGGAAAAGGAACAGTGCTTTTCACTGCAGTCTTTTTTGTCCTCTTCCAATCAAATCTTTATGAACCTCCACTTTAGGGTTTAAAGGTTTCCCCTTCTCTGTCCCTTTCCTTCTCAGGGCTGGCCCCTATGCACAGGTATGTCCTTTATGATTCTCTGGGCTTATCTCTCTCTTTCTTCTACTTGTTCTCCCCTTTCTTCTAATTCGCTTATTTGATTAATTTACCCAATATATGTTAAAAAGTCTCCTTGTTGTCTGCTGGCTTTGTTACCTTTTGTCCAACATTTGCCAAACATTAATGTTCTTAAGTATTAGCTAGGACATTTGTTCAAAATTAAGATGCCCCTCCCAGCTCTGCTGATTTAGCTGGCTCAGGGTGTGTGCTTTTAACAAACTGGTGGCCAACTGACATGCCTGGGAAAGATTTCTAACCATTCTGTTCCTTCTGCTATTGTAAAAAAACAAAACAAAACAAAAACAAAAACAAAAACAAAAAAAACTAATCTGTACTTTTTTTTTTTTTTTTGAGACAGAGTCTCGCTCTGTCGCCCAGGCTGGAGTGCAGTGGTGTGATCTCAGCTCACTGCAAGCTCCGCCTCCCGGGTTCACGCCATTCTTCTGCCTCAGCCTCCCGAGTAGCTGGGACTACAGGCGCCCGCTACCACGCCCGGCTAATTTTTTGTATTTTTAGTAGAGGCGGGGTTTCACCATGTTAGCCAGGATGGTCTCAATCTCCTGACCTGGCGATCCGCCCACCTCGGCCTCCCATCTGTATTTTTTTTTTCCCTGCTTGAGTTGGGAGAATATCAGCCTAGTACAACAGTTATCTATTTAGTTATAAGCAAGTAAGTACATACAGTTGGTCCTCCCTGGGTTCTGCATCTGCAGATTTAACCACAAGCCTAAAATATTTGGAAAAATTAAAAACAAACAATACAACAATAAAAATGATACCAATAAAAACAATATGGCATAACGACTATTTACATTTATAATGTGCTCGATATAAGTAATCTAGAGATGATTTAAAGTATATGGGAAGATGTGCATAGGTTATAGGCAAATACCAATCCATTTGATATCAGGGACTGGAGCATCCATGGATTTTGGCACTCGAGGTGGTCTTGGAGCCAATGCTCTGGGGATACCAAGGGACAGCCGTAAATAAATAAATAAATGTACAAAGGCTTCCTATTTCCCAGATCCCATGAGCAAACCAACAAAGGGCTGTGATAATAATTGAATAACTTATTTGCATGTACATGTGCTACAGACTGAGTATTGAGAGCTTTTCTCCTACCAGGTCCACATGGGGTTCATCCAAATGTATTAGTTCATGTAGTTCTTCTTTCAAGACTCTGTGTTACTCAAATATTTATTGAACCTACTTTATGCCAGGAAGCTTCTTAGGCATTAGAGAAACAAAGATGAAGCATCTTCTCTACCTGATGAGGACTTTCTAGTCCAGCGCAAGGGTTGGCAAGCTGGGGCCCCAGAGTTGCCTCCTGTTTTTGTAAATATGCTTTTATTGGCACACAGCCACACCCACTCATTCACACATCTTCTGTGGCTGCTTTTGAGCTAAAACTGCAGAGACGAGTAGTTGGCACATAGACCACAAAAGCAAACTATCTGCTCTCTGGCCCCAAAACAAAAAGTATGATGATCTTGGCCTAGTGGGTGAGACGGGCACAAGCAATTAGATTCTCCAAGGGAAGCCTGAGTAAAGGGTCCTGAAAACACCAAGAGTAAAGGGATATGATGGTGCATCGATCTGAAGAGGCTGCATAGAGAAGGTGTTCCTCCAACGGGGCCTGAGAGATGCTTGAGGAATCTGGCAGGGAAGACAGAGAGTCACATGGGAAAAGTCAGAGATTCTGATGAGGCTGAAAAGTGCTTGGCTCCGTGGCACCTGTTGGTGACAGAGAGGGGGAAGTAATTATAGGTGAAGCTCTGAGCATTAGCTGGGGCCAGATTATAAAGAAGTTTAGACTTAGTCCTCTAGACCAGTGACTCCAACTGGGCCAGTCTTAGGTTCACCTGACAGGCCTTTCAAGAGTGTAGATGTCCAGGCCTGTCCTCAAGTCCTCTGAATTCCACTTTCCGGAAGTAATGCCAGAATCTTTTTTGTGAGAGAGAGCATCACTCTTGTTGCCCAGGCTGGAGTGCAGTGGTGCAATGGTATGATCTCGGCTCACTGCAACCTCTGATTCCTTGGTTCAAGCAATTCTCCTGCCTCAGCCTCCCGAGTAGCTGAGATTGCAGGCACCCACCACCATATCCGGCTAATTGTATTTTTAGTGGAGACAGGGTTTTACTATGTTGGCCAGGCTGGTCTCGAACTCCTGACCTCAAGTGATCCACCCACCTTGGCCTCTCAAAGTGCTAGGATTACAGGCATGAGCCACTGTGCCCGGCCAGAATCTTTGATTTAATCAAGCTCCCATTGCTCTGCTGGCTTGGTAAATTTGAGAACCTCTGCTAAAGGCATTGAGGAGCCCAGGAGATTTCTACATTTATATGTTCACATAATCATATTTGCATTAGGAAGATACGTCCACCATATTGTGTGCAGGATGCACTAGGCACTAGAACTTGCAGAATTTGGAGCGAGGCATGGCAGTTGCGGGTTGTGGATCAGGTGAGAGTAGAGGGTGCTTAGACTTAGGCAGTGATGATGGCAATGGAGATGAGAAGCCAGATTTGAGACACGTTTCAGTTCTGATTTTGACAGCAATTGATGGCCAACAGAGTGGGTTGGCTGGTGGGAAGCATCAAACCATTCAGTGAGTTTTGGGAGTGTGACTGGGATAGAGCATATGGGAGGATGAGCTGTAATTCTTTGATTATTAGAAGATACATGAGAAAAAAGATCTCAGATTTGTATGAATACTGAAGATAACCTAGAAAATTAATTGTATATGGAGATAATTTAAAGCATGAATAGTCCTAGGAAATCACAGGTTAAAGGAACCATAGAAATATTCAGTTGGCATTTTTTTTCAAATGAAAAATTATCTCTGTTAACTGAAAAACAGAAAGGAACAAATCAGATACCCAGAGGACCCACAAAGGCAAAAGTCGCGAGTTAAATTTAGAGCAATAAATCATCATCTGTAATCCTCACAGCACTTAGAGATTTGCAAGTAATAATTAAAGCATAATAAAATGTAAACTATTAGTGTAATTATTAACAATATTGATTAATAACTTTTACCCTAAATATATTTGTGGGAAAATATTTTCCTGATTTTATATCTCTAAGATTTGCTGGCGGCATTGTTTAGTTACTGCATGCCATTAAAATGTATCTTTGTTATTTCATTCTACTTGCTAAATAATAAGAGACTATCCATCTATTTTTGCACCTTTTAATCTTGGTATTTAAATATATAAGAATGCTATTAAAATGGTTTGATCTCAGTTTTAGTGTGTTCTTTGAAATTTATTTCTAATAACCAAGACTTTTAAGGAGCTCAAAATGCTCTTTCTGGGATAGGGAATGAAAGAAGTTAATATGATTCTGGGAGAATGGGTACCAGACACACGTAACAGTATTAACAGCAACAAAAATTAAATTACAGTTATCTTGAAATTTGCATAGCCCGAAGAATACATATTTACTATTTTTGAGGAGGGTAGAGAAAATTCTGACTGAGGAGATAGCTAATCACATGACCATATTATAAATTTGTCACCATATTTTAAAATATTTTAGAAAAAAACTCACAAAAGAATTAAAAACTGTGATTTAAATGTGATCTAACTATTTAAATATAATGTGATACTATTTGGAAAGGCTTTGTAATTTTGAAATTTAATTATCTTCTGAGAAACCCATGAAAAAAATACATGAAGCAGACATTTTTTAGGATAGTTATAACCACAAAATAAAAAGTCTCCTAGAATTTACTTAGAGTCGACCAGCATAATGAAAAGTCTTGGAAATCACAATTATAGACATGCTGGTGAATTGGTGAATTATATGAGTTGGTTACATGATTAAATTAAATCATTATATTTAAATTTACTGATATGATCACGATATTAAATATTTACACTTAGATAATCAAACTAATTTTACAACACTTTATGTTTTAAAGGATATAGTTACTATTTTTCCTTATTTTATTTATTTATTGAGACTCGCTCTGTAGCCCAGGCTGGAGTGCAGTGGCAGGATCTCTGCTCAGTGCAACCTCCACCTTGCACATTCAGGGATTCTCGTGCCTCAGCCTCCCAGGTAGATAGGATTACAGTTGTGCACCACTACGCCCAGCTAATTTTTTTGTATATTTAGTAGGGGTAGGTTCCCGCCATGTTGGCCAGGCTAGTCTCGAACTACTGACCTCAGGTGATCTGTCTGCTTCGGCCTCCCTCATGCCTGTAATCCCAGCACTTTGGGAGGCCCAGGCAGGGGGATCACCTGAGGTCAGGAGTTCAAGACCAGCCTGGCCAACACAGCGAAACCCCATCTCTACTAAAAACACACAAAAAATTAGCTGGGCATGGTGGCGCGCACCTGTAATCTCAGCTACCCTGGAGGCTGAGGCACAAGAATTGCTGAATGCCTGCGATGGAGGTTGCAGTGAGCCGAGATGCTGCCACTGCACATCCAGCCTGGGCAACAGAGCGAGACTCCATCTCAAACATAACTTGTTATCTTCAAAAGTCTACCAGTGCAATTGAAAATGTGCGTATCATGTAGGATGTCACTATACTTGAAAAGTTCTGTGCCAGTTAGATGTTGACAGCAGTGAGGATGGAAGGAAACTTGCAGTGAGGAAAGTATTGTGTGCAGGAAGCTGGTGCAGGGACAGGAGAGACTGGTCAGCTCTCAGCCTTCCCCAACTGGCTCATGGGCAGTGTCTGTTTTGTCTTTGGATTGTTTCGTGATCAGCCTTGGTCTAAACTTTTATTAATCAGCAACAAACGTTTCTGTCAACATTGTTAAAATGTCTTTATACATTTTATCGGCTTCTGCCTTCATTTGCTCTAGTACAAAATACAAATCTACCTTCCTTAATTCTTCTTTTCTCAGTTGTAAGCAAACCTCTAACTCATACGTTCAATAGGAACTTGTAATTTTTTCTTTGATTTTATAGTCATATTCATCAGAGGCCAATTGAGTTATTCTAAGAGAATGTCCTTTTAAAACACCTGTGTCTTTCATAATTTATGGAGGTCAAAGTTAAGTTTTATAGTGTCTCTAGATGAAATGAGTCATTTAGTTAATATGCTCATGATGGCTCAACCTTTTCTTTAATGCCGGCTGCATTTTACTACTTTACATGAAGATACAAATGAACTTCATCTATTAAGGTCCCCACTGCTCCCTCCGAGAATATATTGTTATGCTTAGTGATTTGTTTCTAATAGGCCACTGGGGGAAGTGATGGGACCCAGGAATGAGTTATTCAATCCTAGAGTCAGTAAGCAAGAAACTTTGGTGAAGACGTAGAAAACGCACTCAGGTGTCTAGTGGGGAAACGAAGAATGGGCTTCAATATTGTGATTTTGCATCTGCCAAACTTAATAGCTTTGTGATTTGAATTATTCAGCCCATTGGATCTGTGTACTCCTCATATGTTATTACTCCTAAAAGGAATCTGGTTTATTGCACGTGAATGTGCAATGTCAAATTTTATTCCATGGCATTTGAGAAAAAAAAAAAAAAGTAGATCCATACCACAGGCAGAAAAAACTCATGTTTTTATTTGCTATAGCCATAACACTGAACTGTTACACTTTGGCAAACTCTTGCTTTTCATTTTGGTAATGACAGGAGAAAAATAGAAGTATAGAATCATTCCTCCAAGCTATACAACTAATGCATTCAAAGAATCTAATCTCTTAACCTCTTGCACCACTGCCTTTTTCCCTGAAGAATGGCAATATTCCTTATTACTACCTATTTACATCTAGGGGTGTTATGAAGATTAATGAGATCACTTAAATGCTTTGGGTTGCTCAAAGCATTGCCCTGTTAGGGAGACTGACCCTACTTGCAACATTTGGTTAGCATTTCCAGTTGGCCAGGGGCCAGAAGCATTATTCCTTCATGTTGGAAAGGCTGGTGGCCTTTCTCATGAACCTCACGCATATTGTTTTCCCTCCTCTGTGCTCACACAATTGCAAGATAAAGTGGTTGCCTCTTCTGTAATACCTTGGAGGACAGCCACTTGCAGGGTTCTGTAGATCTTACTTTAGTTTGTGAGTGGCCCAACACCTGGGAATATCAATTTTTTATCCCCTTTAGAAGGTTTTCTCTCTTTTTGTAACCTTTAACTTTGTAGGTCATTGACCTAAACTGTGATGGATCAAGCTGTCTTGAGAGATTTCAAGTCCCTCATGTTGCCAGCTGGCTTGGAATTTTTCCTACAGCAAAAATGCATTTGGAGTTGTATGTGGGGCCAAATAGTTCAAGGAAAGAGATTTGAGAATAGCAGAATCCACACTGTGTTTTATCAGATTCTTAGGTTCTTGGGATGTGATTAGGGAATTCCACAAATGTTTTACTTATGGTTCACCTTTTAAAATATTGTTTAGGCCAGGCACGGTGGCTCACGCCTGTAATCCCAGCACTTTGGGAGGCTGATGTGGGTGGATCATGAGGTCAGGAGATAGAGACCATCCTGGCTAACACGGTGAAACCCCGTCTCTACTAAAAATACAAAAAATTAGCCAGGTGTGGTGGCGGGCGCCTGTAGTCCCAGCTACTCGGGAGGCTGAGGCAGGAGAATGGCGTGAACCCAGGAGGCAGAGCTTGCAGTGAGCCAAGATAGCACCACTGCGCTCTGGCCTGGGCGGAAGAGCGAGACTCCATCTCAAAAAAAAAAAATAAAATAAAATATTGTTTAAAATAGCTGAAAATTGTAATAAGGTGAATACTAAACTGTTTGTGTAGTGAGGTATTTGACTACTTGGGTTTTCCATGGACCATAGTCATTTATTAAACTAATATTTAGGCCAGGCGTGGTGGCTCACACCTGTAATCCCAGCACTTTGGGAGGATCACTTGAGGTCAGGAGTTCAAGACCAGCCTGGCTAACATGGTGAAACCCTGTCTCTACCAGAAATATAAAAATTAGTCAGGCGTGGTGGCATGTCAGTGTAATCCTGGCTACTGGGGAGGCTGAGGCAGGAGAATTGCATGAACCCAGGAAGTGGAGGTTGCAGTGAGTCGAGATCATGCCATTGCACTCCAGCCTGGGCGAAGAAGCAAGACTCCATCTCAGAAAAAAAAAAAAAAAAAAAAGGAAAAAAAGAAACATTTAAAAGCACCTACCAACTCTGTGCCTTAAAAATCAAACAAATAAAAAATCAACAAAAATATAACCAATCAACTGGCATGAATATACACATTAAATAGATGTTGATCTGTGTAAGATGATAAATAGTTCTGATAAGTGGAGTTTTAATTTTTTTAAGAAAGCTTCATCAACTGATTTTATTAACAAATACATAAGTACTTATTACATCAATTTATACTATTAAAGAATTATTGTATCTATTTTATATGTTGAGATTTCTTTTAAGATTATTTTGAAATAAGTTACTCAGTTGTGAAAAATAACACATGAAAAACACTTCTCAGGAAATGATTTAAATTTGCCATAATAAAAATACTTTTGTTGAATGGCCATTTATTCGTAGAACTTAGTTAGGCAATGTGTATATCTAAACATGGTCACAGTCTTTTGGGAATTTGTATTATTTAAATACATTGAGATAATTGTATAGTTTATCTCTTTCATTTTATAAGTTAAGAAATAGGGATATTCTTAGAATTAGGTATGGGCAGGGAGTTGTTCAGGCAAAATAAAAAGAGAGAAAAGAGGTGCCATTTAAACAGCCAGACCCGTAGGCTCAAACTGTTCTCCTCAAGGGGAGACATACATCACAGCCAGATCACAGTCCCAGAGGTGAAAATTGATGGCCTAGGATCAAAAGTTTGTTATTAGCAGAACTAAGACTTGAATTTTCTTAAAATGATTTGTAAATGTTGCTGTAAATGACCAGTGAAGTTATGAAATGGTAGTAGCATAAGAGCTGTTACTGTGTTTGTTTCTGTGTGTGTGCATGTTTGGTGCAGGTGAAATTAGGAAGGTGACATTGAATAACTAATAGGTGGGGCCTTGAGGCATAATGGGACAAAGGACACCAAGACACGGGGGGCTTGTTTCTAATCCCAGGACTTTCTCTGAAACCTTACAGTATTGGACAAATCTCACTGCAGCTGTTAATTTATAGAAGTTTTCTCATCTATAAATTGAAGGGTATATACTCTTTAGTGACTCTTAGTTCTTGATTTCTTAGACTCTATATTATTAGATTAAAAATATGGAATGGGGTAAAATAATCACCAATTTTTATCTTGCAACCCAGAAAATACTACAAAAAGAAAAGTTCAAATCCTCTGGTGCTTTCCTTCCTGGGGTATTGGATGTGGTGATGGTGATGGTGCTGGTGCTGGTGATGGTATTTCATAGTAACTGTGCTATTTTTCCTAGTAAGCATGCCCCTCCCTCCTCTTTGCCCCTTCCTTTCCCCTATTGAATACCTCTGCCATATTGATTTGTTATTACTGATGAGATGATTGGAAGGGCACCATAGCTCTCAGGTATTTGGAAGGAGAAGAGGTAGATGGTTAAACTCCACTAGCAATGTTTCTGGAGAGGAGGGGTACCTTTACAGCCCATTGGAACTTGAGAAGCAGAAAAATAATGATCAGAAGAGTTATATTTGCTTATGGAGGTGTGGACTGAGAAAGTGGCGTATTTTTTATTATAAGCCATTATCTTCTTCTATGGAAAACACCTGAAAACCGGAAGCAGGTGTTGTGGATGGCGATCTCTGTGTCTCCTCCACTCCCCTCTCCAAGTAGACAGAGAGCTCTCTGCTTGATCTGCACAGAGCTCTACAGAGCACTGCAGACTGTGCTATCGTCTTTTCTCAAGGCCCTGATGCACTTCCAGCTCTTCCTTTGTGTATGAAAGCTTCTTTTCAAGAAAGTTTCTGGAGACAGATACCATAGTGTGAACATACATGTGCACGTGTATGTGTGTGAGTAAGCAAGAAAGAATGAACCATGAGATATCACCAAAGCTCTTAGGTAATTCATTTACTAAATGAATGAGTTTCTTTTATTGGAAATATTTACTGAAGAAGTCCTTCTTAAAATTGCCAGTGGGTTGAAAAGGAGTAGGGTGACTGGATTCCAGGACCAATGACAAAATTAACATAGAAGTTGGCACCATTAATTGATGCTTACAATGGGTCAGACTTCATTCCAAGTGTTTTTCTTAGATTTAAACCTCACAACAACCCTAGGGAATGGGTTTGATTATTAGCTCCATTTTACAGATGAAAAGACTAAGGCATAGAAAGAAATGCTTTCTTCCTGAGATTGTATAGAGGCAGAACTCTGGTTTTTGCATGAATATTCTTAATTGCTAGGTAATGCTGACTCCCATAGCAGAGGGGCAGCCTCCTGAAACCAGAAAGACAGTGGGAAATATGTGAGGGTGGGGAGCTGAGCTGCTCATAGAGGCAACGGGTGTACAATGGCTAGTAATTTCCCTGGTGCCGCTATGTACTAGTTTGTTCTCACACTACTATAAAGAAATAGCTGAGACTGGGTAATTTATAAAGGAAATAAGTTTAATTGATTCACAGTTATACATGGCTGGGAGGGCTCAGAAAACTTGTAATCATGGTGGAAGGTGAAGGGGAAGCAAGCTTGGGCCTTCTCACATGGTGGCAGGAGAGAGAAATGCAAGCAGGGGAAATGCCAGATGCTTATAAAACCATCAGATCTCATGAGACTCACTCAGTATCATGAGAACAACATGAAGTAACCCGCCCCCATGATCCAATCACCTCCTACTAGGCCCCTCCCTGGACACATGGGGATTATGGGGATTAAAATTCAAGATGAGATTTGGGTGGGGACACAGCCAAACTATATCACACTGGTAAGCCCCGCTTCTGAAAGACTTGTCTGTGTGTGTGTGTAGATTTCTTGCTTCCCTTAGAGGAGGTGTGCTGGTTTCAAGGTCACACTGGGTGAAAGCTTGGCTAATGTTGAAATGCGAGTCACCCTCCAGTGCCACCTACCTTGGCTGCTTCAACATACTCTTCTGTATGTGCACCAAGTTCACATTTGTTCCTCTGAAAAGGACTTTTTGTTGTTGTTGAGACAGGATCTCTCTCTGTCACCCAGGCTGGAGTGCAGTGACAGGATCGTGGCTCACTGGAGCCTTGACCTCCCAGGCTCAATGGATCCTCCCACTTCAGCCTCCTGAGTAGCTGGGACTCCAAGCATGCACCATGCCACCTGACTAATTTTTGTATTTTTTCTTTTTTTGTAGAGATAGGGTCTCCCTATGTTGCCTAGGCCTGTCTAGAACTCCAGGACTCAAGTGATTGGCCCACCTTGGCCTCCCACAGTGCTGGGATTACGGGGCAATGTGCCTGGCCTGCAGATGACATTTCTGTTGGAGTCCTAGTCTTCTCATGGCACTGACTAAATCAAAAGACTTTCCTGTAATATTCCCTCCCCTCAGAGGTATCCTTAACCTGGTTCTACATAGAGGGCTGTAGCATTATAATAAAGGACAGGGGAATGTTTCCTGAAATGGCTTTGTGATGGAGGTGGCATGTGCCAAGCAGTGCTTCTGGGAGCTTCTCTTGGGGTATATCAGAGGTGAGATTTGAAAGGTGGAAAGAGTGTGGTAAGGAGACTATTGCTGTGGTTTGGGTGAGGCTGTTTTCACTCGGTTTAGAGAGGTGGTACCCCCATGTGAGGAGGCAAACTGTGTGAAACCTGAATGCCCAGGAGGCAATGCCTGGACTCATGAGACTACCTGAATGTGAGCCTAGTCCTCTTTCATCCTTCAGCTGTGTGTGTACATGTGCTTCTGAGTGCCGGCTTCCATGGGGGCTTTGTCCTCCCTAACTCTGTCCATAACTCATAGGGATGTTTCTTGGTCATCTCAAGGCTATGCCCTTGGGCCTCTTTGGCTGTCACTTGTCACTTCTACTGGGATATATGTCCAGTTTATATACCTACCCCCACCCCCCGCCCACGATAGTGAAAATAGTCAACATTTATGTCTTATAGGTGTTGTAAAACCAATAAGAAGTGACCTTGGACCAGCCCATTATAACAGCATCCTTGGCTTCTTGGAGATCCCACCTCGTGCTCATTTGCATCTTAGAGTTTGCTTACCATTATGTGCCAGCATGTTCTTGACATTATTATTTGCACTTAGGCTGGCTTTCTCCTCCCTTCCTCTTTGGGGTGCTGCTGGTGCACATCCCCGCCCCATCTTCCCATTTACATGATGCCAGGATTTCAGTTAGAGGCTGAAGCAAAGAATACTGAGGTAGGTTAATGAGTTGTTTCTAAAACCTACAACACTAGAGTCCAAAGCCCAGTGTAACTAATCTATCTTTTTTCTGTGTCCTCTACTGATCTCCACTGCATGTTTCACTATTCTTCCCCTTCTTTGTTGAAATTGATATTTTACTTTTCTCTAATTTCCTATTTTATACTTGGGCAGTGAAACTTGACTCTTTGAAGCCCTTGATGTCATCAGTTTCCTTTGGGCAGACCACCAAGTTCATGTTTCTTTTCTTTTCTTTTTAAACCAAATCCTATATAATGCAAGTTATATTTATGTATTTATTATTTATTTATTTATTTTTGAGACAGGGTCTCGCCCTGTCACCCTGGCTGAACTGCAGTGGTGTGATCACAGCTTACTGCAACCTCCACCTCCCAGGACCAAAGCATCCTCCTGCCTCAGCCTCCTGAGTAGCTGGGACTATAGGCATAAGCCAATATGCCTGGATAACTTTTGTATTTTTTGTAGAGACAGATTTTGCCATGGTTCCCAGGAGCCTGGCAACCTCTGCCTCTCAGGATCAAAATATCCTCCTGCCTCAGCCTCCCAAAGTGCTGGGATTACAGGTGTGAACCACCATGCCGGGCCCAAGTTCATATTTCTAAACGTTTATTACGTACTGAATCCATCTTACAAGGTAGAGTACTGTGAACCTCAGAGCATTGCTTGAATTCAAAATCTTAATTATAAAACATGGTGAATTTAGGTGATAATTATAAAGGAAGACCTATGAGGAATAGTTGTACATCATCTTAAGTAAAAGAGTTTCAGAATGGAATGCCCATGTCCTTTTATTTATTCCATATAGATCAAGAGATCCAGTTAATGACTTACACTTACCGTAAGTATGTACAGACACACCCCACTTATTCGTTAGCTTTCTCACCAATCTCTAATGTGTATTTGTTGACCTCTTGAATTCCTCTTTGTACTCTAAGATCCAAGGAAAGTAGTGCTGAACATATTCTTAGAAAGAAGATGCTTTTGAAGTCAAAATTATTATTTTCTTTGTTCTTGAAATTTTTATAAACTCTTAACTTTCTGTGATCTATTAAAAATAAAACTGCTCTGTTTTTGTATTTTGCAGAAACTACCTCTTCAGGTTACAGCTTGAGGATCTGTCTCTTATCCAGGTAGGTGCAATTTATTTTTCTCAAGCTTTCATTTTCCATCCCAATTAACTCACTGTTTGAGGGGATGAAGACAGATGCATGTAAAGGTGTTAATCCAGCCTGAGCAGGGGCTCGTTTCCTCAGCAGGTCAGGCCACGGGACTAAGGCGGCCCTACTTGTTACGAGTCATTACCTCCCTTAATTCCTGATTAGCCTTTTCCTCCTGTCAGGTGGCCCTGTTTGTTCCGTGGATGTGATCCTGATTTGTCCTTCCTTAGATGACAGACCATTCAAGGAACATTGCTTCAAAGCCTGGACACATTCCTTCCCCCACAGTTACAGCAATCATCGATTATTTAGTTTGATGCATCCGGGCATCAATTTCTTGTAAAACAGCTTTGTTTCCTCTTTATAATTTATATTAACATAAATATGAATACTTGGGTTAAAAGCTATCTATAACAAAGAATAAAGGGAAATAGATCAAAATGAAATTTACCTACTTCTGTTGTTGCGGTTTGAACAATGGACCTGAGATCTTGTACTTAAATGAAGTATTTATTTTAGTAGCAGATCTGAGTCACAAAAGCCCACTTTTCCCTCTAGTCTTTAAAAAGTGTCTCCTAGAAAATAAGAGAGTTAAGACACAAATATCTTCTTCACCAAGATTCTGGAACTCCCTACAGACTATGCCAGAATCTTCGGGCTGTGTAGAGTTTGGAAAAAGTTCTTCAACCAATTTTCGTCTCACTCTCATGTGCTAGAGCTCTAAGAGGTGATTGGAGAGGATTTTATATTATTTTATTCTCTCTTTAATGCTGCTGCTTGTGAACATTTAGGGAACTTCAGAGCTAGGTTTTAATATTAAATCTATCTTTTACTTAGCAAGGTGTTAAAATCAGCCAATCCCCTGATCAAAGCTAATATTGATAAAAAGCAAGGGCTTTGAAGACACATCAACCTGATTTGTGATCTAGTTCCATGACTTCTAGGAATTATTGGTTCCTCATCTGTGAAATGGTCACAAATCACTGCCAACTCCATACTAGCATGGCGAAAAATAAGTAAGACGTTCAAAAGAGATAAAACATTGCAATTTATCAAGAATTTTCTATTATTCTTGATTTTTTAAAGTGATGATAATAAATAATAAATCTCCATTATAATAGTTTTATCACAATTGACAATAAATTGTCTTTCCACTGCAATTTAGTACATAACTGGAGTCTTTCATTGAGCTAATTGAGTGGTAAAATTATGAATTTATTATTAAGGAATCAGAATGATCAGCAATTTGAAGACATTACCTTCAGTGAAATAATCCAGGCACAGAAAGACAAAACTGCAAGATCTCACTTATGTGTGAAATCTAAAAAGACAAACTCTTAGGAGCAGAGAGTGGACTGGTGGTTTCCAGGGGCCCAGAAGGTCAGGGAAGGTGTTAGGGAGATGTTGGCCACAGAACAAGAAATTCCAGTTAGACAAAGGAATAAGTTAAAGAGATCCATTGTATGACATGGTGACTATAACTACTAACAATGTACTATGTGCTTGAAAATTGCTAACAGAGTAGATTTCAAGTGTTCTCAACACCAAAATAAATAAATAAATAAATAAAGTATGTGAGATACCTGCATATTAATTAGCTTGATTTAGCCATTCCACAACGTATACGTATATCAAAGTGACATGTTGTACACTATCAATATATATAATTTTTATTTGCTAATTAAAAAAAGAATGATCAACAATTTAATCATAATGCCATTTTAAAGATTGTTTTAGATAACCTTTTCTAAAATATATATCGTTTAGTAGATAGAAACTACATATTATACTCATTTTGATTCTCATGGTATACTCTCTGGCATATCACTTGTGTTAAAAAGTGAGGTTTTGTAGGTCTGTGTGTGCACAAACATATATTTACATATACGCATTCATTTCTTTTTAAATTTGCTAGCTCCGTCAGCTGAGAGGGTTTAGAAGTATTCTTAGTAGCAGTGAACACACTTGATACATGTTACTTTGTTTCTAAACTTAATTCTCCATGAAAACAAACGAAGGATTTTTTTGAGAAGTGACTTAATCTAGAATTGGGCAAGGAGAACTCAGATAAGACTGGAAGAGCTTGTTGTTTCAGAAATTAAGGAAAATATTTAAAGAATGATGAGGGTGTGTCATAAGAAACTAGGAGCCAGCTTGAAGTGGGCTCGCTGAAGAAATCTGGGGCAATTTGATTGTCAAAATAGATAATGCCAGAGGTAGATTATAACACATTGAATAACATAAGAATCCATGAGTAGATGCTAACATAAAACATAAATAAATGAGTAAACAAATGCCAACTAATGAATATTGAAGGAATAATTTGATTAGGAGATTATGATTTGGCAACCATTATACTAAAAATCGATTTAGGCAAAAGTGATCAATAGATGCTAATTTATGGGTCAGAGTTTGATGACAGCCAGGATATTTATTCATGGTAGTCTTAAAGTACTTACCTATATGATACTTATTAATTACAACAGGAAAACTTATAACTTGATAGTAAAGAAATCTGGCAAATAGCCCATGACCAAATAGTCAAAGGTCAAGGGGAACTTCACCAGCAATGGGACAGAGTTCAGTGATTTGATGCACAGAGGACGCAGCAAGATGTCCTTGATATTTCAGCCAAAAATTATAACCAAAATTATAACTAATAACTTTATCATGAGGAACCATCAGATACACTGAGGGACATCCTACAAAAAACTGGCCTCTACCCTTCAGATATCACGAAGTCATGAAAGGTATGAAAAAAGAAGAAATAATAAAGAGCTCTTCCATCATAAAGCTCAACAAATAGACATGGGGATCAAATGCAATACTTGACCCAAATTGAATCTTGCAGCAGATATATTTTTTCTTACTATAAAGGACATTATTTGGACAACTGGAGAAATTCAAATGTCTGGATAAGATAGTAGAAATGTATTAATATTAATTTGTTGATTTTGATAACTGTAATATAGGAGAATGTCATTGTTTTTTGGAAAAGCATGCTAAAAGATATAGGGATAATGGATATCATTTCTGTAACTTATATCAAAATAGCTTTTAAAATTGTTATACACATACATACATAGAAGCTATACACATGTGCAGAGGCAAATATAATAAAGCAAATATGATACAGTGTTAACAGGGGAATCTAGGTGAAGGGCTTATGAGAGTCTATTGTGATATTTTTGCAAATTTTACTGACATGATGTCCAAATAAATAGATGCAAAAAAGTGAGGAGATGTATTTCCATTAACTCATGTGTATATATTTTTGTGAGGTCAAGGAAACTGATTGTACTTTTCTCATCATTGCCTCCTTGGTCTTGGCTGCCTTCGGTGGAAATCAGGTTGCAATTATTGATGGGATTGATGAGCTGTTACTGAAGTATAGGATGCCCATCAGTACCACCACGTGGTGAGAGCTTAGTCTACTGACATAGCACCAAGCAAGAAGACGTGACTTTTTGAACTGTGGTTTTAAAAATGCGGCTCTAATGATAGAGGTCAGACTGCTGTACCATTGGTGCAAAGCAGGGCAATTCTGCTTTTTCATATTATGTGGCTGTGTACGGAGTTCTGTAGCCTACTGTTTACTTAGTCTGGAGAGAGAAGGCTGGCAATTCATGACACACTTTTTTTTTTTATATCACGTGTCTCCAGCAAAGAGGCCTTGTTGGTTTCTATGAATATTTTATTTTAATTTACATGACAGTTCCCAAGTATAACAGAAAGGAATAAGCACACTGGTAGACAAAGGGTCTTATAACAGTGCCGTCTGATAGAAGCACCATGTGAGCCAAATAGGTAATTTAAGATGATCTGCTAGGCACACTGAAAAAAGTACAAAGAAGCAAGGGAAATGACTACTAACAGTATATTTTACTACCTCAATATATCCAAAATATTTTAATTTCAGCATAGAATCATTGTAAGAAATTAATGATCTGTTGCACTTTTTTTTTTTTTTTCTGGAACTCAGTCTTCAAACTCCAGTGTGTGTTTTATATTTCCATCACATTTGGATTTGGACCAGCTAGAGTTGAAGTGTTCTGGATCGCTGGTGCGCCCCATTGGAAAACACAGTTTTAGATAATAAGTGACAGAACGTTTGACTTGTGTGCTTTCAATTATTACATAGAAAGATGGTTTTCTACCACAAATCATGGGGGTTGATTTGTATATCTCAGGTTAATATTTTTCTCCTTTTCTCTCTCCAAAGTTAAAAATTATTGTTTAAATGTAGAAAAATGATGAAACAGATCAAGGAGGACAACCAATTTCAAGAAAACTGGAGACAATGAGAAATGAATGTAGTTCACCAGTAACCTTTATTTAACACTAGACAAGGCATCCTTGGGTCCTGCCCCTATGCAGGACAGAGGTTCACCTCCAGGTGGCAGTTTGCATTACCTGTGACTCTCCTGATCACCTGAGGGCAGTTTCTACCTTGTCTGGTCATGTCATGCTGCATATTGTTTTCCAAACTGTAGGCTATTTTCCAACTTGAAGCATTTGCTCTTGCTGTCCTGTCTCAATCACCTTCACCCTATTTATCTTCTTCCTGAAGAAAAAGACTGCCCATCCTTGAGTTTCACTGGAGACAACACCTCTTTGTAACCCATTCTGTGCCTGCTTGGCTGGTGACCCTCTGAGGCATTTCACAGCCTCATAGCCTTTACTTCTGACTAGTACTTATTGTTTCATGTTGAAATTCATTCTCTGTGTTGTAAGAAGTGTTTTCTTTCTTTTTATATGTTCAGAATTAGATGATATTATTAGATTAGGTTACCTGGAAGGTGGTAGAGTCAAAACAGATGGCTTACAAGTTTCTGTCCCTTAGTATTTAATATGCTTACTCTTCCCTAACCTTTTTAAACATAACTTTAATGGAGTGGGAGGTAAACATCATATTTTTGTCCCTAAATTCAAGAAAAGAAAAGTAACGTTAACCCAGAAGCTAGAGTTATAAGAAATGCTTTCAGAAGAGACATCCTAAAACACACATGTGCATACTGTCACCCCAGGGGACAATTCGTGGATGAGACAGGCAACTCCTGACTGATATATTCATTCCTTACATACTAACCACTTGTCTTCTCAATACTGTTTTACAATTTTCCTCTCTCCCAAATTTTTTCTCCTGCTTTGACATTGGTTTAGCAACAATGATGAGAAAGCGGATGTTGAATAATGATTCTTCTTTTTTCCTACTTAGTGACATTCATAGAATTCTGGAGACCCCACTGCATTGTCCCTTGTCAATTGCCCTGAAATCCAGGGTGGTATTTTCCATCCAGCAGCCAGCACACTTCCTGGCTACAGTAGGAGCACGGGGACACCACCTTAGTGCACCCTCTCCACTCCTCTCCCACCATTCTGTGACCTTATGATATCTATCAAAGCACTGTCACACATGGCGGCTCAGCTCTGTAGAACCATACTGAAATTGAGTGATGAGAAAAATAGGCTTTTGTGGGGTGGCTCCCAAAGGAGAAAACTCACTTCCAAGACAGGTTGCCTGATAAATCTGGTGTAAGGAATATTTTGGACATGGAGTCAACAGTACTTCAAATCGGAAGTCTCTTCCCTTTTGCCAAAAAAAATCTTGTCTTTTTGACAAACTAGAAACATCACTGGTGGAATTGCTAAAGCCGTGAAGATTTGAGCAGGAATTGGGATACAAGTACTCTGTTACCCTGAGTGAATGTTATCTGTATGAGGTAAATCTCTTGGCATGACCATATGAATATTCACATACAAATGTACTATGAAGTAAAATGGCTATATTTGGAATATTTCTTATGATTTTCAGACAGGTATGCCTTAACATATTAAGAGAAGATGTCTCTTAACATTTAAAGACCAAGAGTTGCTTTTAATTTAAGAAAATAAAACCTGTTTATCATCAATGACTAGAGAATCAAATGTTAACTTATTTTCACTTATAAGGCACCTGTTTGCTCAGAGACTGTGATAATTTTTTTTTTTTTTTTTTTTGCAACTCACTGCATGCTGAAGTTTAGCCATCCCCTATTGAAAACCAGTCATTTTCAGGCATAGTGATGGTTGGCCATAATTTGTTTCTTTTACCTCATGTCATAATAACAGATTCAAATCTTCAGTATAAGTTTTCTTCTTGCCTTAATCATGGAGATTATTTTATAAGAACAAAGCTTTTTGAAAAATATAAAAATGGAGCTGGCCTCAGACTAATTCACAGCATTTGCCCATCTGGGATCCTACCGCAGATGGCTGGAGGTAGATGCTCACTGAACAGAGTTCAAAAAACACAAAGGGGCTGGAGCTCATTTAACCTCACTGTCTTACTAAAATTCTTTTGGGAAATAGCTCCAAATCCATTTTTATATTGTTTTGTTTCTAACGGAAATAAATTCACTGCTTGTTTCTCACTCACAAATGCTGGGATAAGCAGAAAAAATGAAATCTGTGTTCCAATTTGCCACCTGCCTCTCTATGGTTTCTAAATTGAAAACTTAAATCTCTCTGACTACATGATCAATATCGGTAGAGAATTCTCTCCAAAGTTAAAGTGGATATTAACTTCTTTCTTCTTTTTATTTTATTTTATTTTATTATCATTATACTTTAAGTTTTAGGGTACATGGGCACAATGTGCAGGTTTGTTACATATGTATACATGTGCCTTGTTGGTGTGCTGTACCCATTAACTCATCATTTAGCTTTAGGTATATCTCCTAATGTTATCCCTCCCCCCTCCCCCGACCCCACAACAGTCCCCGGAGTGTGATGTTCCCCTTCCTGTGTCCATGTGTTCTCCTTGTTCAATTCCCACCTATGAGTGAGAACATGTGGTGTTTGTTTTTTTGTCCTTGCGATAGTTTACTGGGAATGATGATTTCCAATTTCATCCATGTCCCTACAAAGGACATAAACTCATCATTTTTATGGCTGCATAGTATTCCATGGTGTATATGTGCCACATTATTAACTTCTTTCCTGTATATCTGGGTTGGGGGGATTGAGTTTCAACGTGAGTCAATTTTTAGACTAGAAGTTCTCAACTTCCGACAATTTCACCTTCTGGGAATATTTGGCAATATCTGGGGACATTATTAGTTGTCACAACTGGTGGGGGAAGCTTTGACTGGCATCTAGCGTGTAGAGACCAGGGGTGGTACCAAACCTTCTACAATGCACAGAGCAGGACCCCCCCGTTGAGCGAAATTTACCTGACTCTGAATGCTAACAGTGCCAACGTTGAGAAACCCTATGTTCCTTGATTGTTGCCTCAGTTTCCACATGTTTTAAAGAAGCCATTTTCTAATCTGTGATATTAAGATTACTTGATTGAACATATAAGATCTTTGATGTGCTTAGGGAATTTTTCGGTTTAGATTTCTATGTATATATGTTGAATATATATGTCTCCACATATGAAGAAATCTAAACACTAAAGATTCATATGTGTGTTCATGTATATATATATTATATATGCAATATATATATTGTGTGTATATATATACACATATACATATGTGTGTTCATATATATATATATGTATATATGCAAACTATGAATCTTTAGTTGCCAGTTCTAAAGAAGCTGCTGGGATTCTTGTGTTTAAATTACTTCCTTTTATTAATATGAAATTAAATTTAAAAATAAATTGAGGCAATTTATAATACCCTCTCTAATGGGTCATAACACTATAATATAACTACCCTCTGTTGGAATTCTTCTGTATAATTTAAAGCATGATATATTAATTAATAATTTAGAATAACTATTCCAATGAGATATTCACAATGATTAATTTTTTAAATTATGTTTTATATTTATTGGGCAAGGAGAGACTGGTCTCCCCCACAGCTCTCAAAAATCATGATTCTGAGCTCATTTATTTTTTTGCCTATCTTTGTCATATGTTCTTATTGTCATAGAAGTGGATTTTAAAGATTATTTTTATTAAAATCTTTCAGGAGTTAACAACTAAGGTATGTTGATCATAGTAAAGGTATTATTGGAACATAGCCATTCATTTGCATGTCGTTGGCCTATAATAATAGTTAATGAAGTTTTATTTGGAATCCAGACATATTGTTCATTTTTTTTTAACATAACATCTATGGCTGCTGTTCAGCTAACTTGACCAGTAGCCACAGAGACTGCCTGGCCTACCAAGCCTAAAATATAAACTATGTGACTCTCTCTTCCTTTAAGAAAAAGTTTGTCACCTATTATGGTACCTAGTACTCGGCAAGTTCTCAATGAATATTTCCTGAATTGATGAGTGAACACAATATGACTCAGTATTTTTTTTTAGTTTATCAATGTTTGATTGCTGTGTTTATTTGGACTCGCTGTGTAATAATTACATGATCCCCAGTTGATCTTGACCCAGAAGTTGGTAACCTGAGACAGCGTTACCAACGGTCCTCCTCAGATTCTAGGCTCTTATATCTGTTCCCTTGGTGAAGATTTTCTGTCAGATGCTGTTTTATATACCGATTTATTCAAACATATTTACTCTACTTTTTAAATAACGTTCTGGAAGATTTATAGTTGATTATGTATATTTTATGTAGATGAGGACTAAGATTTTACTAGTTTCAGAGAATATGAACCAAGTTAACTGCCATTAAAACAACTGCGCCCTCCTAGAAGCTGAACATTCACATGCAGAAGACTTATTCCTCCCTCGCAAGTGAGTCCAGTGCAGTCTGTGGGGCTTGGTTCCATGCTGCCGTTCAGGATCCCACAGTGTTCTCTTATGGTATCCCGTCTTCAATCCATGCCTCCAGAGGCAGTAGGGAAGAAAGACAAATTCGAGTGGAGGATCATGCAAAGGATCATGCCATGCCAGGAAGTGCATCCCTTGTGCCCAAATTCCACTGGCCATAACTCAGTCACATAACTTCAAGAAATCACAAGGCAGGTTGGGATATGTGGTTTGTATGCATTCAGACATTGACAGATATTAGCATTTTCTCCTAGTCTGTGCTAGGGAAAACAAGACCGGCCCCTGGGGATACACTTAACTGTTCCCTGTTCTACCCTCATCCCACCCCGCCATACCATTCTAATTTTTTTGCTACGTACCAACAGATTTCTTCATGATTCTAACATTTCTGTAAATAACAAGCAGGAATACTTTGAGCAAGCCACTTAACCTCTCTTTACCTCAATTTTCTCTATAGTACATTTTGGAGAGGACAGCCAGGAAGAAGAGTACACTGGATTTATCCCTGAATTCTCTGCCAGGATTAAATTTTTAATATGCATCATCCTTCCACTTACTCTTTCTTCTGTCTTGCTTAAGTAATGCCTGAACTCCTGTTTAAGGAAAACATTCCCTACTAATTTGAAACTTGGCATTATGCTTATTTGATGTAACTTTAATGACCTAATTTGTCATGAAATCATGATGACAGCAACAAAAATAATAGCAGGCATCACTCATCCTGCCCTTACTCTGTTCTTGGCACTTTGCAAGCATCATCTCATCGAGTTCTCCAGCAGCACTAAAGTGGGGGTATTATTTTCAATATTCAACAGCAGAGGAGTTGAGGTCTACAAGTTTATGTGATTTAGCCAAGATCAGCCATCTGATAGGTGGTAGAGCTAGGATTTGGACCTGGGTGTGTAGGGCTCCAGAGGACAATTGCTGCTTTATTGTACTCATTTGTACTGGCCAGCATACGACCTATAGTTGACATCTGGCTTACAGTGAATATAACCGTTAATTTTTAATTGAAATTCAAATATGGGTTTTAGGTTTGGTACCCTGGAAACACAGTCTGAGATAGGGGTTCTCAAGCATGTGATTTACTTAAGGCATGCTCTCAAAAGGTAGGGAGTGTGTGACATAGCAAAGAAAGGAAGTAGGCAAAAATTTCCTGTCAGCTGGAGTATAGCCTCAACCCGATCCCAGATGCAGCTCTAGAGCATATATAGAACCGCTGTTAATCCCATTTGAGGCAAGGGCTGTGGCGATTTATAACCAACTCTCCCTTGTTCTTCGGCTGCCACATTTGGAGTGTTTGGTGACATAACTTCCTGGTGAGGTGGCTCTCATTAACCAGGAGCAATTCTCCAGAGAGTTGGGAAGCTATGAACCAGGATCAGCTAACAGTGACAGCAGCCAGGGATACAGTGTCCTGTTTCATAAGAGCTGGATGGGGTGCCGATAGCACCCACTATGATTGATAATACTCAATACTTTTAGGTATCTTACTTAGAGTTTTCTTGATGTTCCTGACTCTGACCGAACAGACACTAGTCTCTGCCACTGAAATGAAGTGTTTTTATGTCTTTGACAAAAAAGTACATACTTTATTATTGAATTCATTCTTTTGTGTTGTGCATATCTTAATTTCTAATAACTCTCTTTATCCATTTCTAAATTGTTGCTTTGCTTGTGGCCTCAAAAACTAAATTGAAGATGCATGAATATATTTGTTAGTCATGTATATCATTTAGTTTCATGAAACGAAGTCAGGCAATTTATGTAATCCAATAGCAAACACTGTCTGACAATCACAAGCTGCTAGATAAATGGAGGAGTTCATTTCATTTATCTAAAATGCATTTCTCCTTCTATGTCAAAAATGGCCCCCATAAGTGCCATGACTGCTGAGTGATGGGCATGCTCAGAATTCTCTGCCCTGTGTTCATTTCCCTTATCTGTATGTCCCTTCCAAAATGCTAACAAAAATAAATAAGCCAACATACCAGGAAAACTCATTGCTCCAAATTTTAGTAATGATTTCTTGTTTGAGTAAGAGATAATGTGTTCTGTAAGCTGTCTCCCAATTACCTAAGAACAAAGTGAAAATAAAAAGCAAAGGAGAAACATAAATGAAAAAAAAAAAAGTCACATTGGCTGACCACTCTCTGGAGTGGATGGATTGGAACCCTTAATTTGTTGACTCTTTAACATGTAAGCCATTTGTCATCCAGAATTTATTGATAACTGTCACAGAGATGGGTAGAGTCATTGTGGATAGGGCTGCAATGGACAACACCCTTGTTTAACATATGTTTGACAAACAATCCTTTTGCTGTGCTCTCATAGCTAACCTTTAAGAGTTTATATAATACTTCTTCATTAGAACACAATGTTTAATCTGCTTGTATCAATTCTTACTGTTGTGGGGGCTATTGCCACTTTTTCAAGTGATACTACATGATCCCTTCAATGATTTTATATGGGTTGGTTGCTCAGTTTAATTTTTGAAATTCAATTCTACTTTCAATTTTTGGCAATACTCAGTTATTATTTACATGCATCTTAGATCGCAGAGGCAAGTTGCCCATGCAGAAATTCCCTACTAAGAATAGGCTGCTTTATACGAAATTAGGCATGACTATACATGTAATTTTGGTAATATCTGGAGTCCGAAGACCTCATGCAATTCATTGCCTAAGAATTGCCAAGCACCATTTGAATAAAGGAGCATCAAAATCAAATGCAATTTTAAACCATAGCCATTAGTTTCTGATTCAAGATGAAGGGAACCTATGTACTGTTCTTTCATTGATTTAAAATAAAGCATTTAAGTGACAATAAAGGTACATCAAAGGAAAATCTCTATGAACACAAGAGACACCCTACCCAGCTCTCCTTATAGAACAGGGCACCCTATCCCTGGCTATTGTGAGGGTTGTTTGATACTGGTTCATAGCTGCCCCTTCCTCTGGAGAGTTGCTCTTGGCTGATGAAAGTGACAGATGATACAGTTAGTAAAGTTAGCAGAAGGTAACTTTAAATAATTATGATTAATATAAGGAAGAAAGTAGAGGATAATTTAGACAGATTAATTAAAGAGTGGAGAATTTTACCAGAACATTAGAATAAAAAAGAATCAAATAAATTTTCTATAATTTTTTAAAAACAAATAATATCTGACATATGGAACTATATGAATTATTTTAACAGCAGATTAGACATAGCAGAAAAAAAATATTGTATTAGTGAACTGGAAGACCAGTCTGTGGAAAATATTCAAACTGAAATACAGAGAGGAATTGGAAAGGGTAGATAAAAGAGTATTAGACACACATGACACCTTGAAAACTCTAACTCACATACAACTTGAGTCTCAAAAGGAGAAGGAAGAGGACAAGGCAGAAGCTATGTGCCTGGTAATTATCACTGAAACTTTTCCAAAGTGATGAAAGGTATCAACTCACAGACTAAGAAGCTCTGCAAACCTCAAATACAATAGATAACCACACCAGCACGTTATAGTCAGACTTCTGAAAACTCGTGGAAAAGGGATAAATCTTAAAAATAATCAAGTAACAGAAAAAGACATAACCTTCAGAGGAGTAAAAATAAGATCCATAGCCAGTTTTTCAAGAGAAACCACAAACTCAGGAGACAATGGAAGAAGCAGTTAGAACCCAGATCTTCCTGCTCGCTCACTTTGTGTCTCAACACAGTTGTTCCTCTGCCATGCTGGAAGAAGACAGTAGTGCAATTCTGGAAGATGACAAAGCTGCTGATATATTGGACCAGGGGACCAAGATTTCCCCTGAGAACTTCCCTTAAAAAAGAAGGGGAGAATTCAGTATATATGTATATGTATGTATGTGTATATATGTGTGTGTGTGTGTGTGTGTGCGTGTAAATATATATATATATATATACGCACACACACACAGTATATATACTGTATATTGAGATCCTAGCCCTTCTCCCCGGTGTTGGTGTTTCTCTTTGCATATATTTTATATGGGTTTTGGCGTACACTTTTGTTGGTATCTAATCAGCTTACAACTAGAACCTTAAGGATAGTGACATCGGTGGTCACTCTAATACAAAAAAATCCCACCCAGATTAAGCAATGATGGCTGGTCTACAAAGCAATGTGGGTGCCCAGCTCTAATGTTCTTGCAGTTCCCAGTTACGAAAAACACAGAGTGAACCAAATTAAATAAGAAACTTGGAAGACAGAGAGACAAGAAATTATGATGAATGTCTTCTGAAATTAGAGAAGATATTACTACCATGAAACAAGGAGAAAAGAAATATTCAGTGTATTTCAAAAGGCTTCATAGATTATTTTGAAAATATATGATCATAGAAATAAAAATATCCATGGAAAATTAGTAAATAAATTTGATAAAAATTTCCCAGAAAGTTGAATAAAGACTAAGAGATGAAAAATCAAGGGAAATATATGAATGGTTAACACACTAGGCCCAGGAAATAGAGGCTCCAATACAGGCGAGAGGGAGAAAAATATTCCTGGGATGAGGGCAAAGGGAGATAATTGTGGAACTGTTGTGCGGCGGGCCTTGGGAGCCACCAGTCCAGGTTGGAGTAGATGATACAGTTACCGAAGGCATCTTTCCAGGAGGATATCAATAATGGGATATCTGAGGTGTTTGAATGCATTTAGACAAAAAGGAGACTTACATTTCGGTGTGGGGGACAAAAAGATAATAACTACATAGAAAAACAAGAGACAATTATTAACTCTAAGAAACGTATAATTGTTTTGAGAAACAAGATGTAGTAAAATCTTATTTCATGGCCCATCTGTGAAGAGTATTTGCATAGTTATGTAGGTACTGCATATTCCTACAGAATCATCATAAATCAATACTGAGAAAGTGGGGGAGGGAGCATGCATCTATGTTGATGGAGGAAGAGGGATAAAGTAAAAAGGAGCCAGTGAATAATATTTCTAACTGAAAATATCAAGAAACAGCAGTAAAATATTATTAGTTACAAATTTGGAGAAAAATACATAAATAAACCAGTTAAAGAGTTGAAAGTTTTTGCTTTAAGCAAACTATATAGGCTGTATGACATAGAGGGCTTTCTTTATTATTTTAGATCTTGCAGATTTCTTTATGAATTGAGTGTATGTTTAACTTTAAAAATAATATAAAGATGATATTATATTCATAAAGTATGAAAAGACTGACATGAAAAGGACAAATCAGATCGATAAAGAATTCACAAAAAATAAGGATATGTTCTTTCATAGACATAGTTCATCGAAAATTATTAAGGAACAAATTAGAAGATTCTATAAAAATGACTTTATGAGAAAAGTAGATTTTTTTACACAAATCACAAGTTTAACAAAGAGAAAGTGTTAATTATATGAAGATTATTTTTATCACTAAGAAAAATGGAAATACTATTGGAAATTATATAGACAACAAAGATAAATAGGTATACAAGAGAAAACAGGCATCCAAGAAAACTGCTCCAATTATAAAACAAATAGGGTTATTTTGAGTAGTTGAGTCTAAGAAATGAAAACAACAAATTTTGGTGGAACATAAACACCACAGTCTACTTGTGTGTAATTTCTCAGGCTTTATTATAGTTCATGATAAAATCAATTTTCCATGTCTATTTTGTTTTTCTTCAACAAGTGATCTATCTTTTACAAAAGGGAATATTTTGCTGGAGAAATGCTCATTGTTTCCCTTCTGTATGTCTTTGAGGGTAATGCTAAAAGCAAGCTCAAATTTCAAAATATGTTATTTTTAAAATATTTTATATAGGATTTGTTAAACTTATAGTTTTCAAGGATTGTCTTTTGTTTCTTTGGATTCTGATTAAGTGATTTTTAATGTATTCCTTTAAAAATATTTATTGGCACATTGTATTTGTACATATTGATGGGATAAAATTGATGCTTCTGTACATATATATTTGGCATAATCATCAAATTTGGGTATTTAGCTTATTCATCACCTCATTCATTTATCATTTCTTTATGGTGAGAACATTCGAAAGTCTCTCTTCCAGCTATTTTATAATATATTATACCTCCTAGAAACATAAATGTATGCTACAAAGAAACATGTATCTATGTGTGTAAACTTAAAAAAAATTAATGGTATCTTTTGGGAAGTTTTTAGGAGTTGATATTTATGGTGAAGAAATATGAAGTTCAGGCATTCTTTGAATCTATCCTCAAGTTCTTTTTAAAATATATTCAAGTTCCCAGCACTTTGGGAGGCCGAGGCAGGTGGATCACGAGGTTAGGAGATTGAGACCATCCTGGCTAACACGGTGAAACCCCACCTCTACTGAAAATACAAAAAATTAGCCGGGCATGGTGGTGGGCGCCTGTATTCCCAGCTACTGGGGAGGCTGAGGCAGGAGAATGGCATGAACCTAGGAGGCGGAGATTGCAGTAAGCCGAGATGGCGCCACTGCACTCTAGCCTGGGCAACAGAGCGAGACTCTGTCTCAAAAAAAAAAAAAAATTATATATATATATGTGTGTGTATGTGTGTGTGTGTGTGTATTTAAGTTAAATTTACTATTTGAAATAAGTAAATTAGCAAGTGGTTGTTTCCATGTGGTGAGTGGTTTGGATTTTTCATTTTATACTTTACCATAATTTCCCAAATTGTCTGTCATATATATGCATGACTTATAGCACTAGCAAAGGCTAATAAATTTAGATTGATTCATAAAGAAAACAGGCAAAATTAAAAAATCTGGCTTTGAAATTTCTATCTACATTATAATTAGTATTTGTCAAGCGGCCTCTTTTTCTTCCTGCTGTTTAGAGCCTAAGATGAGTCAGGGAAAACACATTGAACTAATGGATATGTATCTTCTTTCTCACCGTCAGCAGAGTTCCCTACTCTGCTAGCATGTGACAGTAGGTGGTTCTATGTCAATTTCTAAAGGTTTATCTTTGTCTAGATGTGTTCAATATCGATATTATAGCATCTTAGGTGCTTGTGCTCTGAGATCATGCCTTGATGAACATTGCATATTTGCACTGAGAAACAGCTGTGAATTATCCAGGTTCATGAGCATAATGAACACATGAATGAGAGCATGAAATGAAATGTGCTGTTTCTACCACTATCTGTTGTTTAGCCCCACCATAAATGTAAAGCAAGTATGAGATTGAGTTTGGCTTATGTGATGGCTCAGTTCTGTAATGACGTCATTGTATTTAGCAGACAGCTGAGAGATGATCCATGCGTTAGCCTGTAAGGTGCATCTGTCAGTGCCTTATTTATTTTTCTGGGATTGCCAGGACTCTACTCCCTGTGACTTGAGCAGTATTGTCAGTGATATCATGCAGTAGGCTGAAAAATGGCCCTCCAAAAGATATCTAATTCCTGAAACTTCTAAATGTGACCTTACATGGCAAAGATGTGATTATATTAAGGATCTTGAAATGGGAAGATTTTTCTGGATTATCTGGGTGCCTCTTAGATACAATCACATGTGTTTTTAGAAGAGAGATGCAGAAGAAGATTACACACACACAGAGGAGCAAGCCATGTGAAGATGGATTTGAGAGAGATTTGAAGAGATGGGCTTTGAAAATTAGAGTGATGCAACTACAGCTAAGGAAAGCTGGCAGCCACTCAGAGCTGCAAGGGGCGATGGATTCTCCCCTAGGCCCTCCTAGGGGAGCATAGCTCTGCTACCACCTTGAGTTTGGCCCATTGATACTGATTTCTGACTTCTCTCCAGAACTGTGAGAGAATAAAGTCATATTGATTTAAGCCACCAAATTGCTGGCCATTTGTTACAGCAGCCACAGGAAGCTAATATGCATGGCTCCTCTTTCTCATATATTGCAGGTGGGCAGGTCTCCCAGGAAGCCCAACAAGAGAATAATATCCTCTGGGTCCTGAGTGCTGTAAATGACCCAAGTGCCCTTAATCAGTGGCCTTTAATGACATTGCACTGTGCCTGAGAGCTGCAAGACCAATTTCTTCTTTGCAATCATGAGCTCAAAGAGTGACGTCAAGTGCAGGCTACTTGCAGCCATCTTGTCACCATATGGAGTCTTTCCAAGAAGAAGGCCCAACAGAGGCCATTGTAACTAGGAGTAAGAACCATGGAATTCTTACAGCATACTTTGACTCCCTGAGTTTATGCTTGAATCTGTGCTTTTGTTTTTGGCGTAACCTAGTTGGCATTGAGTTTTTATCACTTGCCAGAGAGCCTGAAGGGCTTGCGTAATACGATTTTACTCCTGTCTGCTGCTCACATTAAAACTTCTCGAAACAGATTTCAATGACGTTGCACATTTTGAGACACCTGATGCTTATGAATTCGCTGCCTAAAATTTATCAACTCTGAGATAAGAGGCTGTCTTTAGAAAGTTGTCTGTGATACAAATACCAAGTGTGACTTTCTTCTGTTTAAAATACTAAACATTACCTTTGGTGAAGGAAGTCATTTAGCTCATGTAACTCATGAGAAACACTTAGCTTGTTAATATAGTTGTCAAAGTTTTTCTGAAGTCACATTTAAACCAGTCAGTTCTGGCCATTAGAGAGAATATAAGTTGTCTGAACATATTATCTGTTTAGTAGTGTATTAGCTTTCTAGGGATGCAATAACAAATTACCACAAATTTGGTGGCTTAAAAACAACTAAAATCTATCCTTTTACAGTGCTGGAGCCTGGAAGTCAGAAACTGAGATATCAGCAGGGCTCCACTCCCTTTGAAGACTCTAGGGGAGAAAGCTTCATCGCCTTTTCCAGTTCTAGTGGCTCCAGGTGTTCTTTGATTTCAAACTCCAATCTCTGCCTCCATCTTCACATGGCTTCCTTTGTGTGTCTATGTGTCTAATATAGCCCTGAACTTTCTTTTATAAGGATACTTGCAACTGGATTTAGGATTCACCAGGATTATCCAGGATGATGTCATCTTGGGATTCTTAATTACATTTGCTAAGATCCTTTCTCCAAATAAGGTTACCATTACAGGTTCCAAATAGATATATGTTTTGGGAGGCCACCATTCAACCCAATTCAGGTAGTATTCAGGAGATCTTCAGAAGAAAATATTCCTGGGTTTATGCCTCTTTGTTTGGAAGAGATTCTACCTACCCATGGTGACATAAGGCTACTCCTGTATTATGGCTGTAAGATTTGTTCCAAATTACTATCCTCTTTTTCTCCTTCTCAGAGTTTCTTCATCTCAGCACTATGGAAATGTAGGTCAGATAATTCTGTGTTGTAGGGGACTATCCTGTTCAGCACCCAGGACATGGCATTAGAAATGAGGAGAAATGGCCGGGCGCAGTGGCTCACGCCTGCAGTCCCAACACTTTTGGAGGCTAAGACGGGTGGATCACTTGAACCCAGGAGTTTGAGACCAGCCTGGGTAACATGGCGAAACCCTGTCTCTACAAAAATTACAAAAATTAGTCAGGTGTGGTGGGGTGTGCCTGTAGGTCCAGCTACATGGGAGGCCAAGGCAGGAGGATCACTGGAGACTGGGGAGCTCGATGCTGCAGTGAGCCATGATAGTGCCAGTGCACCCCAGTCTAACAGAGCAAGACCTGCCCCCCGCCCCCCAAAAAAGTGAGGAGAAACAAGAGGGCAGAATTTCAGTTTTCTTTTTGTTCGTGTTTTGGATGTCATTTCAGTACTGTAATAATATCTTGAGGTGGCAGCATTGGGAACTTCTGGCTCTCATTAGAGCAGGGCCACTGAGGGGCCTTAAAACTCTTCTGTTACATCTCAGCTACATTTGGATATCTGAGGCCTGGCCCCATCAGGGAAGGAGACGTGAAGTATGGCTTTTGTCTGTGCCATTTGGAGTAAGCACACTATGTTTTCCTGAAAATATTCTTTGGCATTTTAGAGTTTCAGTTGGGAGAGCAGAGAAAGGTGTTAACATTTATGGCCTCCTTCCCAAAACCTGTTCAAATGACAGGTGTTTGTAAATGATCAAATTCTGCCTAAGTTTATGCCTCAAGGGATGCTTAAAGTTGACATCTGAGCCCAACGCTGGCAAGGTTGACTTGGGTCACTAGTGAAGATTTTCTGCCAAGTCTTCCTCTCCCACTCCACTGGTCAGCACCCCACCCAAGATTGGAAGCTGGTAAAAATACAAGGTCAGCTCAGAGAAAGTCCCCTGCAGGAGATAGGTGTGAACTCATCATCCCCAACTTGCCTTTCTCCTGGGTGTTTGCTTGATTTCCTCCAACTGAATTCAAACCTTCCAGGCCCATCTCCACTTGCTATTTCTTTTGCTCGACACTGAACATCTTCTGTCTATACTCTCCATCCACATCAATTCCTGCCAGGTATTATTTTAATAGTCTCCCCTCTAATGCCAGGCTCCTTCTTCACCTACTCTCTTACCCGCAGTTCTAATATGAGATTCCCCATTCCAACAGGATTAGACCAGATGAATAGATGATCTCTAAGGGCCCTTTCAGCTCTAAGACTGTTGAGATTTGCGCGCACATTAGGTAAAGATGCCCCCTTCTTCTGAACAGTGATGCCCACCATCAATGTTTAATTAATACTGAGGATGCCACAAATCTAACTCACTCTGCTTTTAATGGCAGGTTGACTGTGGGCTTAGTTTATCAAGCCTGTCCAAATGACTAACTGGATGGATATTATGCCCCTAAAAGCTCCATAAGGGAAGTATGCATCTAGACTGATTACTTCTCTTCAACAGTGGGCAGAGCTGAAGGCTGTGAGAGTTCATTACTGAAATGCTGTGATAATGGTATTTCAAAATCTTATAACAATGGGGTATTTTAAAATGTTTGACGATTACCTTCCTTCTTTACTAAGGATGTGACTCAGTATATATTTAAAGCTGCAAAAATGTCAGCTACCATCACAGTCTTGAAAAAGAACCTTAATCTACAGATATTTTCCATCAAACTCCTTATTCAAAACTCTATGTCAAAGACAGAACTGACCTTATAGTCAATATTCTTAACAATTGAACCAATCAGTACAGCACTAGAAACTTAACCTATGTAAGTTTTAAAGATTACTTATGTATTTTTGTTTATTTAGGAGAGAACTTTTAAAAAAACTTAGAAGATAAAAAAAGGACTGGGTTGTGATACTTCTGTTCTACGCATGTGTATTAGTTTCTTAGACCTGCTATAACAGAGAAACAAAAGCTAGGTGGCTTAACACAACAGAAATGGATGACCTCACAGTTCTGGAGGCCTGAAATCTAAAATCAAGTGTTGGCAGGGCCATATTCTTCCCTAAGGCTCTAGGGGAGTCTTCTTCCTCACCTCGTTAGCTGCAGGTGGTTGCCAGCAATCCTTGGCATTCTCAGCTTGTACACACATCACCACTCAAGCCTTTTGGCCATCTTCTCCTGCATGTCTTCACATCCTCTTTCCTCTATGCTTGTCTGGCTCAGCATCCAAATTTCCCTTTTTCATAGGACACATATGGATTATGGCCCACCCTAATGATCTCATTTTAACTTGATTACCTCTGTAAAAACCTAATTTCCAAATGAGATTATTTGTTAGGTACTGGGGGTTAGGACTTCACCGTATCTTTTGGGGAGGACACAGTTCAAGTCATAATGACATTAGTATAATTTTTGATGACTAGAGGACATTTTGGTCACCTAACTTTATAGCTATATATTCTTTAACTCTATGTGTATTTGTGTGTGTTTTAGTTTATATAGGCTGTTTTCCCAAATACCCTAGGCTGGGTAACTTGTAAACAACAGAAATTGGCCAGGCATGGTGGTTCACACCTGTAATCCCAGTGATTCACACCTGTAACCCCAGTGATTTGGGTGGCCAAGGTAGGCAGGTGGCTTGAGCCCAGGAGTTCAAGACCAGTCTGGGCAACATGGAAAAACCCTGTCTTTACTAAAAATACAAAAAAAAAAAAATAGCTTGACATGGTGGCATGTACCTGTAGTCCCAGCTACTCGGGAGACTGAGGTGGGAGGATCATTTGAGCCTGGGAGGTTGAGGCTGTAGTGAGCCAAGATCATGCCACTACACTCCAGCCTGGGCAATTGGAGTGAGATACTCTCTCAAAAACAAGTAAACAAAAAAAACAGAAATTTATTGCTCACAGTTCTGAAGGCCTGAAAGTCCAGGAACAAGGCACCTGAAGGTTCAGTGTCTGCTGAGGGCACACACATAGTGGAAGTGGCGACTGACTGAGTTCTCTGATTCCTTTTTTATCAGGGCACTAATCTCAATCAGAAGGTGTCACCCTCGTGACCTAATCACCACCTGCAGGCCTTGAGAGGTTAGGATTTCAACATATGAATTTCTCAGAGGACACAGTCATTCACACCACAGCTATGTGCTCCTGCAGGCGTAATTCCCCCTTTGTGAAATATTTGAGTCGATAGAAAAAAAACTTAGGAAAAAGTATGTGTGTATGTATGTGTATATACAT
Organism: Homo sapiens; assembly: GCF_000001405.40. Classification (NCBI taxonomy): domain Eukaryota; kingdom Metazoa; phylum Chordata; class Mammalia; order Primates; family Hominidae; genus Homo; species Homo sapiens. The sequence continues at coordinate 9,297,199 of NC_000005.10, read as the reverse complement.
ATGTATGTGTATATACATATGTATATGTATATATATATGTATTTTTTTAGGTTGAATTTGTCACTTTCCAACATTCAGCTATTATTGCATTTTCTTGGGTGACCACCATCCAATACTGTTTTCATGTATTTTCTCATAATGGAAGCTCAGCCATGCTGATTTTCTTCTCTGAGCTTTAGCTGCACCTTTTTGGTTGTCTCCCAGAAAGAGATCAAGAAGTTTCCGCCCATAGTAACTCAGTAATCCATTAAAGCTCCCTAAGGAAATGTTTTTATATCTTTTTTTTTTTTTTTTTTTGAGATCACAGTTTGGAGCATAATGTCTCACCTGTAGGAAATATGCTGTTTCTCCTTCCCCTTACCCTCCTTTCCTGCCTGTTACTACTGCCTGTACAAATCCTGAAATTTAAAAATTGTAAAATACTACAGAAGACATTTTTTCATAAAGAAATCCTGAAATTTAGAAACCATAAGCTTTTACTTTTTGACCGGCCTGCTTTCTGAATGATGTTTTATATTTGGTCCAAGACTTTCTTAAATGAAGATTCCTTTTTGTAATTAGAGAATAACAGGTAACCAAATTAAGCTTGAGCATAAAGGTATGAAATACATAATTAAAAAACATTTTGGCATTATAAGATTTGACCACATTAATTGTTAAGCAATGCATTTGTGAAAAGTACAGTATTTCAAATAGAATACAGAGACTTTTCTATTTACATATAAAATGTATATTTATAGTTATAAATTATGTCACATCATGTACTTATAGCTGATGCAAGAAGGGCTCATTATAAATATATTACATTTAGCTGCTTTAAAAAGAAAACAGTGTTTTACCAGTTTTTGACAAATCGCAGTTTACCACAGCTGGTTAAATATAATTAATATATTTGAAGATTTATAGATCAACCTCAAAGATATGATAAGCCTGTAAACGGATATACAGATAGTAAATTAATTATACATTTTATACACTAATAGCCTTTATTGAACTTTTAAAATAACTGATATTTTTAGATTCTATTTCTTTCCTTCTGTGGGGTTCAACTCTCTATTTTCTTGCCCCAATTACACATCCCTTTAAAAATTGGCATGATTGTATTTGTGATTTTAAGTCCTTAGTTATCATGCATCACATTAAAATACCCCTTAGTTGATAAGTAATTATCTGGTTGTTCCACTGGCTGATTGGGGCTGTTATTTGGCATATGGAGACAAAGTGTCTTTTTTGATTATTCTACCTAGAATTAAAGAAAGCATTGGGTGATATTTGGATGAGAACAATGATTTCCACTCAGGTCGTCTGGATGTGTACAATGTAATTCTCTGAAGATATATAACAAAATAAAGAGGTTAAGTTTTCCTAAATCTTATGCATATAATGATGATCATAGCTAATATTGAGTTATTATTTTATATCCAGCTTTATGGTAAGAGCTCAGCATGCATTATTCCATTTAATCTTATCAGTGCTTATATTTGATAGGTATCATCTTTATCCTGATTTTGCATGAGGAAATCAGGTCAGCATCAAGTATCTGCAGCCTTGGTGCATTCCAGATTAGCTCTCAGACCACCTGGCTCCAGCTCACATGCTGATAACTTTCTGCCATAAGCTCTGAAGAGTAGAAAATCCTCCTCCTCCTCCTCCTTCCCCATCACTCGTCCTTCTCCCCAGTCACTCCCATGTACCACCTAGACAACTATCAAATTCTGCCCAGCCTAAGATTCAAACATTCAGTGTGAATTATTTGGCTTCCCATCTTTCTCTTTGTTCACTTAATTTTGAAAAGTAGATGGAGTTTGCAAACCAGAATTCCAACTCACAAAGGGGAGTTTAATCCTAGGCACTGCCTCTGTCAATAGCATCAGCATTACAAAAGGCAGTTAGGATGAGAGGCTTACTGTCTTTTGAGCACAGGAGTTCTAGAATCTGTTGATCATCAGATTCACCCAAATGGACTTTTAATAATGGAAATCCCCAAATCCTTTTTATGCTTACTGAATAAGAATTTGGGGTAGCGGGAATCCCTACTTTGAACATGAACCCTGGGAAACTAGAGCTCTGGAGCCTGTTGTGAGTCATACTTTGTGGGAATGGACCCTGACAGGGGCTATGAAAATAGTGTATCCGATCCCAGAAGCACTGGAGAGTAGCAGGGAGAGTGGGTTTTGAGGGTCTGGATGTGTAGGCCAGTTATAGGGATGGAAGACAGGAAGTTGTGCTTTGGCGCTAGTGACCTTGAGTGATGGTGAGGATTACAGTGGGACTTTCTTGTGGGTATTTGAAAGGCTAATTGAGAATTCTGGTGGTGGAAGAGAAGGAGGGGAGGGATGAAGGAGGAAAACAGACCAAGTGAAAGTGAATGAGTGAGAGACATAATGAATGAATGAATGAATTGTTGAATCAGGTAGATGTGAAAATGGGGCTGGATTATTGGCTGGTTTGGAAGCCATTTCTTCATTGAGACCTCTCAGTGTAAAGGAAGAGTGGATTATCTTCTCCATGGGGGAAGTGTTTAGAAGTCCAATTCCCTGGACAAAGCAGATGACATATGTTGTGTTTGGATTCTGAGTGGTTAAGCAAGTAGAGTGCTCAGTAAATCTAGGGAGAGTTTTCGTCAAGGTATAAGGACAGCACTAGGTATTGAGACATTCCAAGTGTAGAGTTCAGCACAATAGGTGTTGACATGAAAGAGGCATGACATCCATATTTGTGTGAGGAGCAGGCAGGGGAATCCAGGAAGGAACAGGGTTTTAGCATCCATCTCGTGGCATCTGGCAGAACTGTAATTTTTGAAACGAAGGCCAGGGTCCCCTGCCCCATTTTTGGACAGCTTTGATGATGTGGATGGAAAGTGGCCCATGGTTGTGTGCAAGTCCACAGAGTGAGGCAGGTTGGGGGTGCTGGGGCTTATACTGTAGGCTTAATGCCTATGAGGAGTCATGGCACTTTGAAGTCCCAAACCTTGAGTGGCTGCAGCCGAGCTGAGAGGGGAGGTGACGATGTACCGGAAGGCCAAATGCTGTCTGGTCTTATTTCAAAGACAGGGAGACAAGATTTGGAGATCACCCATTGCTGTATGTGACCTGAGCTTTTGTTCCCTGTTTCATTTTCATGTCTCTCTTTTTCCTTTAATTAAATGATTAATTAAAATGTAATGTGTTTTCAATTCACTTATACCACTATTGGCAGAGGGACTACCCTGTGATAAGTCATGGAGAATAACTGTATGGACTGCAATTGGGATCTTACAAAGAAAGGAACCAATTGCTCATTATTTCTTTTCTCTATGTTAGTTTACAGCTAATGTGGCCACCAACAGTATTACTATTTTTTATTTAATTATGTATTCACTTTTGCAAAAAGTACCTACCCAATATCCCCTCCACCTCTAGCCTAAACATTATTACTAATTTGGTTTAACAGTTTCTCTAGTTCAAGTACTGGACATAGGGCTAAATTAGACATATGGCAGATCAATAATTGATGTAAATAAGCCTCCATTTTGGAGGAGGAGAAAGAAAAGTAAAAGAGAAATTAGATGATCAAATAACACAAGTGCAACAGGCATGAAAGGAAAATTACACAAACACAAACTGTGACAAAATATGCAGAATTTAATAACATGTATTAGATTTATTCCTACTGTTAAAAAGCAGCAATTACTGATTGTCCATACAGTGAGTATAAAAGCTGGAATGTTGACCATTCCATGTTCAAAAGTTCAAGTTTGTGTCCCTTGGTGATAACTTCCTCTTGGAAATTAAAACAAAGGGAAGTTTATTTTTCATATGGCCCTGGGTGAGGAGATGGCTTCTTAAACCCTTAAGAAGTAAAAGACACTCAAGGAAGACATTTTCTCAGAAGGAGGCAGTTACCTGGATGGCTTTGAGTATTTCATTTCAAGTATTCAAGAAATTAGAAATTATAAACCGTGTTGACAAAAAGATATCAGATGCCACCTCCTTGCACTACATTCTTCCAGGAGAGAGAGAGAGAGAGACCTGAGAGCTCTCTAGCAGCTCACGTTCCAGTTGACAAGATAAGATTTATGGACCTGAAAAATGAACAGTGGTAGTGGCAGTGCCATCACAAGGTATTCAGTGTGGGATATGAAACAGTGCTACCAAGGCTCAGAGCAGGGAGAGGAGATGACCACAAGAAAGGATGATCAGGGCAGAAGAAACGCCTCGATCACGTTTCGCATCAGGGTTTCTGCACCTGCACACTATTGATGTTTTGGGCCAGATAATTCTTGGTCATGGGGGTTCTGTCCTGTGCAGTGTAGGATGTTTAACAGCATCCTTGGCCTGTACCCCTAGATGCCAGTAGCACACCCCACACATACTAGTAATGACAACCAAAGCTGTCTCTAGACACTTCCACGTGTTCCCTGGGGTGCAAAATCGCACCTGGTTGAGAAACCCTGGTCTACACAATAGAAACTGCTTCACCTTTTGAATTACTCATATAATCTAAACAGTTGATTTTTTTCTTTGTATGGACTTGAGTGTGTATTTTCAAACAAACATGGTTTTTTTTGCAGCTTTTATTGAATAAATCACCATGAAAATTGATTGTTTAAACTTGGAAAGAATTTTAGAATAGTTAATATTTCTGTAAATTCCCTTTGGTTTATGGAAATTCACCATTTATTTACCTGACATCCTAACTACAATTTCTGTATTAATAACTGAAGACAGTAATGAAGAGGGTTTGGGGATATATGATCTGAGTAGCCACTGCCTCAACTTACTGGGTGTGTGTCCTCGGGCAAGTTACTTAATCTCACTGTATTTCAGTTCCCTCTCAGGAATAATAGTAATGTTTTCCTTAAGGTTTTAGATTGAGTAAACGAGTTAACATATTGTTATAACTGTGAATTTTATAAATCAAGTATATACTGGTAACTACCGTGTTTGAAATTATTTGATGCAATTTAAGTTATGGACCATAAATGGGCTGGAGGATTCACAGAATTGATTTACAAACGTGGGATGTCAGGCATTCAACAAAGGGAAAGGAGGGTTAAATACTTGTATAAGTCCAAGAAGTCATTATTTCCATGTTTGACATCTTCTAAACGCCACTGTTGCTTCTGCTTCAGTTATAGTGTTGACCAAAAGTAGCCTCGAGGACTCCTGAGGCAGGGGTGACAGCCAGCCATCTTTCTAGGGCTGCAGCCTCACCGCAAATCCCAGGTAGGGGAATGGGGCTTCCTGTATGGAGACTTGGGATGGGCAGGGAGAGAATCTTGACTAGACATCCTTACTTGTAGCAAAATAATGACTTCTTGTTTCAGTTATTAATTGCTACCTAATCAGCACCACAAAACATAGTGATTTAAAACAACCGTTTTATTTTGCTCACAATTTTGTTGATCAGGAATTCCAAAATTCCAAAATTCCAAAAGTCAAAAAAAAAAAAAAAAAGAACTTGGCTGAGAAGTTTGTTTATGATTGTGTTGGCATCAGATGAGGCTGCTTGGACTGGAGGTTCCATATTCAAGGTGGTTGATCCACTCACAGGGACTGCATGCCATTGCTCCTTGGTATCTGTCTCTGTCTCCTTTCTCTCTCTCTCTCTCTTTCTCTCTCTCTCTCTCTTTCCTGCTTCTACATCCTCCTTTCTTCTCCATTTGTCATTTTGCCCACCATGTCATCTCTTTATTCTCTCCTAACATGGTGGTCTCTGGATGGCTGAACTTCTTACATGGCACCTGCCTTCAAGAGACTGGAAATGAAGCTTCCAGGCCAGTTAAGGCCATGCCTGGAACTGGCAAAGGAGCTCTTCGGTCATATTTTATTGGTCAAAGGAGTTAGGCTTTCCAGAATCCAAGGTGGTAGAGAAATAGACTCCAGTTGTGGATGGATGACCAGCAGGTTGCATGCAGGAGAGCCTGTGGGGGACATGCTGCTGGGACCATCCGCGAAGTGCAAAATCTGCCGCATCCAGAACTTGTTTAAACTCTGGGTTTTGTGACTCCACTTCTCATTGATTCTGACTCCAGTGGCCAAGAACGACCATTTTTAGCAAACATCTAAATGTGATTCTGAAGCAGGTAGTCTAGAGTCAATAGCAGTGATCTCAAGAGACGGATGGAAAGAAAATGGGAAATTCTGTTTCTAGAATGTTTATACCACAGCAATGTAAAATGTACTAATATTAAAATGTAAGTTGATGCTGGTGCCTCACTTGCTCAATATGTCAAGCTCTGACACATGCCAAAGTGAGTTTCTAAGGCATCCTGAGGGAATCAGGGAAATATTGGAAGGGTTTTGACTTACAAGTTCCAGTAAAGTGCATTTTTGTGTTATGTTATTTAACATGGGAGAGTATTTATAATGTTTTGAAATGAGGTGGGAAAGAACCATTATTTTCTGTTTTATAGGGAGGGTCTCTGGATACCTAGTGGCAACATATTTAAAGAGCTGTCATTAATTTAAGATATTGAAAAATTGTGAAGCTTAACGTCAATGGATGTGTATGTATATACACATATATCAATGTTTCTGTATATCTAGCGCTATCATCTCTATGTACCTATTTCTCCTTTTTTAAGATATAAGGGATCTAAATTTGCTGAACTTCCTGTTATTTTTAATAGTATGATGAATAGTAGGTACCTGTAGAAAAGAAATTGTCTTGTTTCACAATTAATGAGACCGTAATTGCTTTCCAAAAGAAACTCATGCAATATAGCAGCACAATACTCAACTGCAAAAATATTGAACCAATCCAAATGCCCATCAGTCAACAAGTAGATAAAGAAAATGTAGTGTATATATATGTATATCATAAAAATGAATGAAATAATGGCATTTACAGCAAGCTGCATGGACCTGGAAACCATTATTCTAAGTGAAGTAACTCAGGAATGGAAAACCAAACATCATATGTTCTCACTCATAATGGGAGTGCTTAACTATAATTATTCAAAGGCATAAGAACGATACAATGGACTTTGAGGACTAAGAGGAAAGGGTGGGAGGGGGTGAGGGATAAAAGACTACACATTGGGTACAGTGTAGCCTGCTTGGGTGATAGGTGCCCCCAAAATCTCAGAAATCACCACGAAAAAACTTATTCATATAACCAAACACCACCTGTTTCCAAAAAACCTATTGAAATAAAAAAATTAAAAGTAATTTTTAAATCAGATACCTCAGAAGATTTCTGTCCTTATGTGAATTGGTTGTTAATGATGATGCTCAACAATCACTATAATAACAATCTTACCTGATTTTTAAATATATAAATTTAGAAAATTCACTTTTGAAATGTCTTATGTGTACTTTTAACCCTTTTTTAAAACTCCCAAAAGGGAAGTTTCAGTGGACTTTAAGCTCATTTTTTAATCTTTCTGATAAATTTTTGAGCACAAGATATTGACATCAGTGAAGATGAAAATGTGCTTGGCAAATTTCAACAAAAAACATTGTCTAATTGGCAGATGAAGTTGAAAAAGTAGTATATCAAAATTTATTAAAAACAGCCAATGATGTAATTGGATTTTTTTTTTTTTATTTTTGAGACAGTCTTGCTCTGTCACCCAGGCTGGAATGCAGTGGCGCAATCTCGTCTCACTGTAACCTCCACCTCCTGGGTTCAAGTGATTCTCCTGCCTCAGCCTCCTGAATTGCTGGGACTACCGGCACGTGCCACCACGCCTGGCTAATTTTTTGTATTTTTTGTAGAGACGGGGTTTCACCGTGTCAGCCAGGATGTTCTCAATCTCCTGACCTCGCGATCTGCCTCAGCCTCCCAAGAAATTGGATTTATATATCTGTTTGAGTTGTCCACTTCAGTTATAGAAGTTTTTAAACTAAAAATTAATATAAATTGAATGTAGAAAACAGAATTTTAATTCATTCTATCATAAATTATTGCACTAAGTTTAAAAAGTTTTGTTAAATCAGACTATAACATAATATTTACTTTATAATATCAATCATTTTATCTTGATGTCATTATTTTCAGATGTGTATACTGTATTTAAAATATACTTATATACATGCACAGCTGTATGTGTTTATAATATATAAATGAAGACATATACACTGATTGGAAGTAAATGCCAGATCTCATTGATGAGGATGTGGGAGAAAAACATTTGTGAAAATACTGTTAGAGTCCTATTCAACATGTTTCGTGAGCAACACAGGTCTCTAATAGGCTTAAACCATCAATGGCAATGTCACTACGCTAGGATTCACTTTCTGACAAAAGAAGCATTTAATTTAAAAATCATTTTGGGAGAAAAAATACTTTTGTTTTTGTTTGAAGGATGAGGTAAAAATGCTTTCCTTTTTTTTGTGTGTCCTCATTTCTACTTCTTTCAAATATCAACATGATATGAATGAGATATAGTTTACAACTTGTACATTAGCTACTGTGGGCTTAATCTTACCAAGACTACATTTTGGTTCCAGCCACTTCATTATGCAACCATTTTTTGGTAAATTTATTTTTATTTTAATGTTGGAGAAAAGACTTATTCTTAGCATTGCCCTAATTTTAGAAAATGAATTTCATTCATGAGAGTGTTCTTGGCTAGAAATATAAACACTGTAGAGAACAGTTTCACATTTATTTTCTCCTGTTTTATCATCTTCGAAAGAAAGTGAACTCCTGCTGGCTATTTTCTCTTGCCCCTCCCAGCGTCTGTTTCTGCCTCTGTACTGGGAAGCTTCTATGACTGCTGTCATGCCCCTGTGCCCTCTCGCGGCCAGCTGGATAGGGCCATGGAAAAGGTCCTTGGAAGGCCTGTGGGAGAAAGGGGAGGGAAGTCCGAGCTGCGATTCCCACCACTGGCTGCCACTGGGTTACCTGGGACTGGCTGTGGCCCTGGCCTCACACCGCAGCAGCCACACCCACCTGGCTCTCCCTTTATGACCCTTTATCCCCCAGCATTCCTTTGGGCCCCTTAGTAGCCACTGGGAACTCTTGTGTTTGCCTCTTCCACACCTGTGTCTTTGTTGATAGTTGTCTTGTCAAGCCTTCTTCAAATTATCTTATGTGATGGTGTCACGTAATTCCTATAGAACCCTTGATTCATAAAGTATCCTAAAACATATTTTAATATTTTCCCAGTTTTGTGAAGTGCTTTTAATTCTATTTTAGATATGTCATGTGTCTCTTTTACATTTATCTTATACATTTGCTTGCTTATCCTCTTAATCCATAAGTGTTTTTGAAGACAGCAATATTCAGAATCTACTATTCTGGTATTCAGAATATTCAGAATATCTGGAAGGATATTCAGAATCTATTGAGTTTGGTTGAACATGATGACATTTTATTTTTTAAAAATTAGGGCTTGAGGGAAATAATTTTTAAGTTACTTTGCCATAATTGGCTAGAGCAAGACTTTGCAAACATTTTCTGTACAGGGCCAGATAGTAAATGCAGAGACTTTGCAGGCCACGTGATCTCTGGTATGGCTCATCAACTCTGCCATGATGGTACAAAGCCGGCTATAGACAATAAGTATATGAATATGGATGGCTGAGTTTTAATAAAACTTTATTTATAATAATAGGTGGTAGGCCTGATTTGGCCTGCTGACTATAGTTTGCCAAGTCCTGTACTAGGGTAACATAACATTAGAAAATTGATATAATTTATTTCAGAAGAATATAATTTTTAAAGGTTTATAAATTATAAATTCTTGCAATGGATAAGATTAAAATATTTTTGACATTTAAATTATTATTTAAATCATATTTAGGGAAAAGTTTTAGTTACGTTCCTCTAAAAATAATTGCAATGTACAAAGAAATACTCAGCTTTAGGAATTATGTATATATGAAAGGATGTAGTGTCTATTCTGCTTAAACTGAATAATATCTATTGTATTATGTGATGTCTAAAAATAGAATTTGATACTTTTGCTGACACCAAAGTTACTTAACAGATATTCAATTAACCCTAGCTGATGATGTTAATATAGATGGCATTTTTCGGATCATGCTGCTGCCTGGGTTAATATAAAGATGAATGTCTGTATCCATCGTACACATGTGTGCATGTACTTGTGCTCAAGTGCACACTTGCCTATGTCTCTGGAGGAAGTGCAGGTGGACGGGGGAGGGTTAGTGGCTAATTGACCCATTCGCTTCTGGTCCTCTGCATTCCTGGCCACCCCAGGAGTGTATGTTATCTCCCTCAATGCATTGGGTACATGTAGGAAAACAGTGACGGACAGCATTTGCTTATGATTGTTTTGCCTGCAACTAAAAAAGGAAATGTGTTCAAAGATTGAAGAGTCCAAAGCCAGTTCTGGTCCAAGGTGCAGAAGGAGCCCGGCCCAAGGCCAAGATCTCAGGGGACTCTCAGCTATCTTATCACTCAGTGTTTCTTATTCTCTGCTGATGGGCTTTACTTTGGGTATTTGCCAAGATGAATTTGCCATTTTTCAGTCTTTATATACTTAATTATAAAAATTCACGTGTGTGTGTGTGTGTGTATGTGTGTATAAGTGTGTGTAAGGGAGAGAGAGATTATGAAAATATGAATGAATGATTGAATAAAAACATATGAATAAGGAACATATTATTTGGACTGGAGGAGTGAGTTAACTGTCCAGCCCTGGTCAGTCAGCTCTTGAAGGGGTAGTTTCCTGGCAGTGAGGTGGTGAGCCAAGGAGAGGACCACATTTCTCTGCATGCAAATATCCGTTGCCCAAAGCATTACATGGGAAGTCAAACTCAATCAGCAAACAATGATTGCTGAACCTTATTAATATGGTCCGGGAGATAGAAAAAAGAGTACGGAGGGGTGTCAGAGTCTGGGGGAAAAAATCAATGGTAGGAAAAAAGTTCATATAATATAAATTTTAAAAATTAGCTTATTAAAACATTGCAATTACTTGAAAATTTGCCTTTATGTTGTTAAAATCAGTTAAAAGTAACCCAACTATATATAATACACATGGCATATTATCAAATAGAGGCTCATAAGAAGTCTCCCGGGTGTTTCTTTTTATTATAATGTTAAAGATGGAATCGTTACACCTTATCTTAGCAAGTATATTTAGTCAATATGGTGGAACGAACTCCTAGCATTCTGCAGCGTTATACAAAGATATAAATATCACTTAGTGCAGTTTGCCTCAGTTTTTCAGGAAGCATCCTTTTAAAAAAAAGTTTTATGGATATATTATAGTTGTACCTATGTATGGAACACATGCAGTATTTTGATACAAGCATATACAATATATAATGATCAAATCTGGCTAATTGGGGTATGCATCACCTCAACCATTTATCATTACTTTGTGTCAGAAACATTATAAATCTATTTTTCTGCGTATTTTGAAATAGACAATAAATTATTATTAAGACAGTATTCCTTTTGCTCCCCATGAAGCAGCCATCACCAGAACATTTGGGTCAAGGTCATTATAGGAGGTCACCCTCATGGCTTGAAAAGGGCTTTTCATCTCCTTGAGAGTGTGTTCTCCATCCTATGCTCCTGAGATCAGTCCTTGAAGCTTCAAAAGGCACCTTTGCCTGCCTGTGGAGGAATGATTGGCAGGGAGATAGATCAAGCATCTAGAAACAGATGTTGTGGGAACTTGTGAGCTGGTGTTTAAGTCTGGCTTGGAGAAGAACCAAGCCTGGCTAGTTCTGAGTCTTTTGACTGATAGTTTTAATGGGGCAAGTATAGTTTGTGTTAAACAATGTGTTTAATTTGTATGTTAGTATGTTGAGAGACTAAAGAGTTTCTTGTCAATCCCATGTTTCTTTGGGGAGGAAGGGCTCTAGGCATTTTTGTTCTTTCAAACTGACTCAAAGGCCACTGTCTTGGCGGGTTCACGGCCCAGTGATTGAAGCTTGAGATTTTCTCCAGAAGAAGGAAAGGGGGATATTTACGGAGAATAACAAGATGGTGTTTGCAGAATCCTACACTGCACTGTGGAGTTGGGTCAGTTGCATCATGAAATATTAGCATTTTCCACACAGGAACATTTTGTAACAAGAAATGTTAGAAATCATTTGTAGAGTAGAAGACATACTAGACGATAGTTGGAAGGAAAAAGAGACTGTGGAATGACGCATAAATGCTTCTAATTAAAGGGAGGGGACTCAAAAAGTGTAGGAGGCTTGAGGAATTTAGCACACAACTACAGATGTTTCTTCCTCCCTTCCTCTAGTTTGGTTCTATTATTAGAATAGGAGGATGTGAGAATTTTCTTGCTGGGAAGTCTGCCTCAGACTGGTAGAGTTTATCTGGCTGGCTAAGGGGGTGCCCCCTTCCTGTGTTATCATCACATTTTCTTGGGCAGGGTTCTGGCTGCCAGGACGGATCCTTCCCTCCCCCAGTACTAGAATAGAACTATAATTGAAGCAATGTGTGCTACATTATCACAAGGAGAGCTATTTATTAAAGCTTATCCTTTTTGTGCTGGTAGGCTTCTTCCAGCTAAAAACTGCAAGAAGAAATACGAAGGCTGTTCTTAATTTTATACAAAAACATCTTAGGTCTGCATTAGCCCATGATCAGGGATTTTGTTTCATTTGTGATTTCCTCAAAATTTTACCCCCCAAAAGAATTACTGAGTTAGCAAATAAAGGGAAAAATACCATCACTTGTGATTGTTAAAAAAAAAATTGATGAAATATGTTGAATTTGAATCAGCCCAATCCATTATAGAAAAGGAATGGAAGTAATTATGTTGCCATCTTTCCTTATATGCTGGCTCATTGTTAACTCCCAAACGGTTGCCTTCTCTACATAATTCATTCAGGATGTGCCTACATTGATACTTTTCAGGCAAGCAAATCTGAGTTTGAGTTTACATTATGAAACTGAAGGTCTTTTGCTTTCTCCTTGTCACTATTAGTTTCTCTCAGAATTCTGTATTAGCTACTGTTTTATAGTCTACTGCAAATTGCTACTGTGTTAGATATTCATTATGATATGCTTTCATTTGGAACCCTTGATTGCCTACCTGTGGAGGAATGATTGGCAGGGAAATTGATCAAGCAATCTCCTAATTTGGAATTAGAGTATTCAATCAAGAAAAAAATTTGGCACAGACAGCATCTATCTCTTATCTCTCTCTCTCTCTCTCTCTCTCTCTAATATCTATCTATCTATTACCTGTTATCTATCATCTATCATCTGTTATCTATCATTTGATATTTATTTATCATCTGTTATCTATCATCTGCCTATTATCTGTTATCTATCTATCTATCTATCTATTTTTTAGTAAGACCATGTATCACATGCGTGGAGATGTACAGTGATTAAGTCCATGTACCTCGGGTTCTGTGTTATGTCCTGCAATCATGAAAATAAGGTGAAGTTTGGGAACAGTCACTGGAGAGAGAGGAACATGCTAGCATTTGCATATGTTCTATGTATCTAATACTGAACATGTCCAGGACAGTGGACAAACCTTACTAACTTGCCTGTGTTGGGGCATTTGGTTAAAAATTAACGGGCAGAGGCAAACTGGTACAGTAGCTACTTTGCCCAGCCAAGGAGTGTGGTAGGTGGAATTCTAAGATGGCCCCAGGATTCTGCCCCCTGGTGGACCTACCCTATATCATCCCCTCCCCTTGAATGTGAGCAGGACCATAATTAATTTACCTTATATGGTAAGAGTAAGGGGATTTTACAGATGGAATTAAGAACCCTAATCAGTTGAGTATAGGTTAGTCAAAAGGGAGATCATCCTGAGTGGATTTGACCTAACAGGCAAGTCTTTAAAAGGGCCACAGCAGGTGCCCTTCTGTTGTCTTTGAAGAAGCAAAATTCCATGTTGTGGAGAGAACCACAGGGCAGACAGGGGTGGGCATTCCCTAGTATCAAGAGGTCTCAGTCCTACAGTCACAAAGAACTGAATTTTTCCAGCAACCAATGAGTTTAGAAGACTCTCACAAGCCTAAAAAGACATCTCAGTGTCAGGACAATGAGCTTCTAAACAGAGGATCTGGTTAAACCACGAATGGACTCCTGACTCATGAGAACTGAGAGATAATTCATAGGTATTGCTTCAGGGCTCTAGGTTTATGGCAATTTATTAGACAGCAAAAGGAAACTAAAACGAGTTGTATCAGTTTTGTGATACTGCTGCAACAAATTATCCTATACTCAGTGGCTTAAAACAATGCACATTGATTATCTTACCGTTTTGGATGCCAGAAGTTCAAAATTGGTCTTACTGTGCTTAGGCCAGGGTGTTGGCAGGTCTGGTTCCCTCTTGGAGGCTCTTCTATGGAGAGTCAGGTTCCTTGCCTTTTCCAGCTTCTACAAGCTACCTGATTGTCATGGCTCAATCGATTAACAGCCTTCATTCTGCCAGCAATCTAAACTTTCCCCCTTGCCATGAAGCATAACATGGTCACAGGTTTTAAGGATTAGAAAGTGGGACTCTACTTTGCCTACCACTAGGAATTTAGGATTGATGCTGTGGGATGGGGAGGTGCACATGTGAGAAGATGGAATTACGTATTTTAGAGCAATCTGATGACACGGGAGGCGGCTGTTTGGGGGTCCCTTTATCCGTCTGGTCAGCTACAACTGCCAGAAAGTGCATGATGCCTCCGTGAACCTCTGAGATTATACTGTTTTTTTCTTATTTTCTAGAAAAAGTATTTAGGATTTAGGTATAAATATACGTCATATAATGCTCATTTTCCTTAATATTCATTTTTCAGAGAGGAGTGTGTCATTTTGTACATGTGCATTACATTGGTTGAAAGTTTTAGGAATGGGCAAGTTATTGCTTTTCCAGGATTCTGCCTTTAGAAATCCCACATCCTCTTCTCTTTCATTACTGAAAACCGCAGAGACAAATATGTGGCCCATACCCATGTTCACAGGACTCACCGCTTGAATCAGTTTTGGCCTCATGTCTTTCCAATCAACTTCCTCTTTGCTTCATTTGTTTTAAATTTTGCTTTCTTCTATTTGGTGTGTTTTTGTAATTTTATTTTTATTCATTTTTTAAGTGTTTGGCCTTCATATTTTTGCTCCAAGATTTGAACTAATCTGCCATGATGCTCTTGTGTTAAAGGTGGAAGGAAACGAGGACTGAACTGTCTCTCGCTTTACTTAAAAGGTGCCTGGGCTGGGCACGGTGGCTCACGTCTGTAATCCCAGCACTTTAGGAGGCTCTGATGGGTGGATCACGAGGTCAGGAGTTCAAGACCAGCCTGGCCAAGATGGTAAAACCCTGTCTCTACTAAAAATACAAAAATTAGCTGGGCGTGGTGGCAAGTGCCTGTAATCCCAGCTACGTGACAGGCTGAGGCAGAACCCAGGCAGCAGAGGTTGCAGTGAGCCAAGATTGCACCACTGCACTCCAGCCTGGGTGACAGAGCAAGGCTCTGTCTCAAAAAAAAAAAAAAAAAAAGTGCCTGTATCCCAAAGAGGTTATGAAATTATTGACTGATGTCCATTAGTCACAGCATGCCGTCTTCTCCCCGGTCTTGGACAGCAGTATCTCTTGGTTCCTGTTAATCAGTTTGTATGATTTGCCTTACCCGATTTGCCTTACCCTATTTGGTGATCTGGGGGTCTATAAGAATCCAGATAATTCTCATTGTCCCTGAAGAACCCTGTTAGTCCATAAGTCAAGAGATAATCAATAAAATAATATGGATATGGGATTTGCTTTTCATATAAACTAGGGTTTCTCCGTCTTGGCACAGTTGACTTTTTACGCTAGATAATTCACTGTTGTGTAGGCTGCCCTGGGCAGCATAGGACATTTAGCAGCATCCTGGACTCTATCCACTAGACGCCAGTAGCAAACCCTTCCCAGCTGTCTCCAGACACTGCTGAATGTCCCCTGGGGGGGCAAAACTATCCCTATTTGGGGACCACTGTTATAAATATATACAAAAATTATAGGGAAAACATTTTGGATGGGAGTTCTTGGCTGGATTGAATTAGGTATTTGCATGAAGTGAAGGTATTTACATTATAGAAGAGAAAAATTCTGTGCTAGAGGGAAAATGGAAATTTTATTCCTATAGAAGTAAAGATACATTATCAAAGTACAGTAACTGATGTATCATTTTTGTGTATTTTCCATCCTACCAGGATCATTAAATATTAGAAATGAAATTCTGATAACTCATCTTAATTCAGTAATATAAATATATTTGGTTTCTCATCTATAAAGTAAGAATGATAATGGTTTGTAACTCATAGGGTTATTATGAAGCTTAAATGAGACTTTTAAAGTGGTTTTTCTCAAGCCTAGAAGTTCTTAATTCATGCTAATATTATTAATGAAGAATTGGGTTAAATTAACGGAGGAATTATTTAAATTGTATACACACAGATACACATACACATACAATTATTTATTGTTATTTGCTAAAACGTTACATTTTATTCATAATTGGAACAATTTCCTTCCAGGTCTGAGGAAGACAATTGGGTGAGTATTGCTGTTGTCAGTGATGTTCTCATCTTAGCAAGCCTGGTTAACTTGAGAGTCCTCCATGTAAAAATTTTGGTTGGTTTTTCAAATTCTTGTTTCTGTTAATTTCAGAGGTATCCAATTTGCCTATGTACCAAAATAACTGAAGTATTGAACACTGCATATTTTTAATGTAGGAAACTGGACTTCAAATGTCATTTTTAGATTGTCATCCTTGATATAATTTGAGGCTGGCCAAGTGAGAGCTTCTCCTATGAATAGTAACCCTGGTCCTGTTGAGGGACATAGGCACTAACACGGGGTCAGGCTGAGGGAGTCCTGGTTCTGCAAGGGCTGTGTGACCTGGGCCAAGTCCTGTGTCCAGATGTGCTTCACTTTCTCACCTGTGAAGAATGATGCTGCTCAGGTGGTCTTGAAGGACCTTTCCCACTTTCATCTTTGCCTTTCTTTTCTTTACTTTTCTATTATTCATTGACAAGATCAATAGGGATCATGTGCTTTTTGTAGTGATTGGTCCATTTATTAACAAATGGAATCTGTTGAATACAGAGATATCTGCTGCAGTAAATGTAAAGTAAAAATCAGAATCTGTAATTAGGGATCCTGGATCTGTCAGTGTACAAAGCCCTGGTATTAGATTTGCTTTTGACATCGGTATTTTTTTCCTACTCCTAGGATGGAATTCCTCCAAGAAAAAATACATGTTAAAAGAAATTGCTCTAAAATCCTGTCCCTCAGACACTCATCATTCTGCATCAGGGTTCAGTCACCTCTTTCTTGGAAAGGGCTGGATAGTTAATATTTTAGCCAGTGACAAAATGGTCATATGCAAGTTGATATTAGTCAGTTATTACACTGCTGTCAAGAACTACCTGAGACTGAGGCTGGGTAATTTATGAAGAAAAGAGGTTTAATTGACTCATAGTTCCATGGGCTTAACAGGAAGCATGGCTTGGAGGCCTCAGGAAACTTACAATCATGGCAAAAGGCAAAGGGAAAGCAAGCATGTCTTTCCATGGTGGGCAGGAGAGAGAGAGAGAGGGAGAGTCAAGGGGGAAGTGCCACATGTTGTTAAACCATCAGATCTCATGAGAACTCACTCACTATCATGAGAACAGCAAGGGGGAAATCTGCCCCTGTGATCCAATCACCTTCCACTAGGCCCCTCCACTGACATGCAGGGATTATAATTCAACATGAAGTTTGGGTGGGACACAGAGCTAAGCCATATCATTCTGCCCCAGCCCCTCCCAAATCTTATGTCCTTTTCACATTTCCAAAACAATCAGGGCTTCCCAACAATCCCCCATACTCTTATCTCATTCTAGCATTAACTCAAAAATCCAGGTCCAAAGTCACATCTGACACAAGCCAAGTCCCTTCCACCTATGATCCTGTAAAATCAACACCAAGTTAGTTACTTCCAAGAAACAGTAGGGGTACAGGCATTGGGCAAATATTCACATCCCAAATGGGAGAAATTGGCCAAAACAAAGGGTCTAGAGGTCCCATGCAAGTCCAAAACCCAGCAGGGCCATCATTCAATCTTAAAGCTCCAAAATAATCTCCTTTGACTCTATGTCTTGCATCCAGGCCACACTAACACAAGGGCTGGACTCCCAAGGCCTTTGGCAGCTCTGCCCCTGTGGCTTTGCAGGGTACACGCCCCTTGGCTGCTTTCATGGGCTGGCGTTGAGTTCCTGTGGGTTTTCCAGACACACAGTGCAAGTTGTTGGTGGATCTATAATTCTACGGTCTGGAGGATGGTGGCCCTCTTCTGCCAGCTCCACTAGGCAGTGTTCCAATGGGGAGTCCATACTGGGGCTCCAACCCCACATTCCCACTCTGCACTGCCCTACTGTAGGTTCCCCATGAGGGGTCCACCCCTGCAGCAGACTTCTGCCTGGACATCAAGGTGTTTACATACATCTTCTGAAATCTAGGTGGAGGTTCCCAAACCTCAACTCTCACCTTCTGTGCACCTGCAGGCCCAGCACCACGTAGATGCTACTGAGGCTTGGGGCTTGCACCCTCTGAAGCCTCAGCCTGAGCTGTACCTTGGCCCCTTTAGCCATAGCTGGAGCTGGGGCATGTGTGATACAGGGCACTGTGTTCTGAGGCTGCACAGAGCAGCAGGGCCCTGGGCCTCGCCCACAAAACCATTTTTCCCTCCTAGACCTGCAGGCCTGTGATGAGAGGGCTTCCCTGAAGGTCTCTGAAATGCTCTGGAGATATATTCCCCATTGCCTTGGTGATTAACATTTAGCTGTTCTTTACTTATGCACATTTCTGCAGCAGGCTTGATTTTTCTCCCCAGAAAATGGGTTTTTCTTTTCTACGACATGGCCATACTGCAAATTTTCCAAACTTTTATGCTTTGCTTTCCTTTTAAGTTCCAATTTCAGATAATCTCTTTGTTCATGCATATGAACATACACTTTTAGAAACAATCAGATCACCTCTTGAATGCTTTGCTGCTTAGAAATGTCTTCCACCAGATACCCTAAGTAATCTCTCTCAAGTTCAAAGTTCCACAGATCTCTAGGGCAGGAACAAAATGTCACCAGTCTCTTTGCTTAAGCATAGCAAGGGTTGCCATCACTCCACTTCCCAGTATGTTCCTCATTACCAGCTGAGACCTCATCAGCTGGGACTTCTTTTTTTTTTTTTTTAAGTTTACATGACTTTAATAACATTTAGTAAATACGGCTGATTTTAAAACTACTGATAAAGTAAAATAAACACATCTCCAAAATTTAATTTAAACATTTTTTCTGGGTCTATTGATAAGTCAATACTGTCTCTACTAGATGTGTTCTTTTTTATTATTATACTTTAAGTTCTGGGGTACATGTGCGGAACATGCAAGTCTGTTACATACATATACACGTGCCACGGTGGTTTGCTGCACCCATCAACCTATCATCTACATTAGGAATTTCTCCTAATGCTATCCCTCCCCTAGCCCCGCACCCCCCTGACAGTGCGTGATATTCCCCTCCCTGTGTCCATGTGTTCTCATTGTTCAACTCCCACTTATGAGTGAGAACATGTGGTGTTTGGTTTTCTGTTCTTGTGTTAGTTTACTGAGAATGATGGTTTCCAGCATCATCCATGTCCCTGTACAGGACAGGAACTCATCCTTTTATATGGCTTCATAGTATTCCATGGTGTATATGTGCCACATTTTCTTTATCCAGTCTATCATTGATGGGCATTTGAGTAGGTTCCAAGTCTTTGCTATTGTGAACAGTGCCACAATAAATATATGTGTGCATGTGTCTTTATAGTAGAATGATTTATAATCCTTTGGCTATATACCCAGTGATGAGATTGCTGGGTCAAATGGTATTTCTAGTTCTAGATCCTTCAGGAATTGCCACACTGTCCTCCACCATTGTTGAACTAATTTACACTCTCACCAACAGTGTAAAAGCATTCCTATTTCTCAACATCCTCTCCAGCATCTGTTGTTTCCTGACTTTTTAATGATCACCATTCTAACTGGCATGACATGTTATCTCATTGTGGTTTTGATTTGCATTACTCTAATGGCCAGTGATGATGAGCATTTTTTTCATATGTTTGTTGGTGGCATAAATGTCTTCTTTTGAGAAGTGTCTGTTCATATCCTTTGCCCACTTTTTGATGGGGTTGTTTGTTTTTTTCCGTGTAAATTTGTTTGAGTTCTTTGTAGATTCTGGAAATTAGCCCTTTGTCAGATGGATAGATTGCAAAAATTTTCTCCCTTTCTTTGGGTTGCCTGTTCACTCTGATGATAGTTTCTTTTGCTGTGCAGAAGCTCTTTAGTTTAATTAGATCCCATTTGTCTCTTTTGGCTTTTGTTGCCATTGCTTTTGGTGTTTTAGTCATGAAGTCTTTGCCCATGCCTATGTCCTGCATGGTATTGCCTAGGTTTTCTTCTAGGGTTTTTATGGTTTTAGGTCTTATGTTTAAGTGTTTAATATATGTTGGGTTAATTTTTGTATAAGGTGTAAGGAAGGGATCCAGTTTCAGTTTTCTGCACATGGCTAGCCAGTTTTCCCAACACCATTTATTAAAGAGGGAATCCTTTCCCCATTGTTTGTTGTTGGCAGGTTTGTCAAAGATCAGATGGTTGTAAATGTGTGGTGATATTTCTGAGGCCTTTGTTCTGTTCCATTGGTATATATATATGTGTTTTGGTACCAGTACCATACTGTTTTACTGTAGCCTTGTATTATAGTTTGAATTCAGGTAACTCCAGTGTTGCCTCCAGCTTTGTTCTTTTTGCTTAGGATTGTCTTGGTTATGTGGGCTCTTTTTTGGTTCCATATGAAATTTAAAGTAGATTTTTCCAATTCTGTGAGGAAAGTCAATGGTAGCTTGATGGGAATAGCTTTAAATCTATAAATTACTTTGGGCAGTATGGCCATTTTCACAATATTGATTCTTCCTATCCATGAGCATGGAATGTTTTTCCATTTGTTTGTGTCCTCTCTTATTTCCTTGAGCAGTGGTTTGTTGTTCCCCTTGAAGAGGCCCTTCACATCCATTGTAAGTTGTATTCCTAGGTATTTTATTCTTTGTAGCAATTGTGAATGGGAGTTCACTCATGATGTGGCTCTCTGTTTGTCTGTTATTGGTGTATAGGAATGCTTGTGATTTTTGCACATTGATTTTGTATCCTGAGACTTTGCTGAAGTTGCTTATCAGCTTAAGGAGATTTTGGGCTGAGATGATGGGATTTTCTAAATATGCAATCATATCATCTGCAAACAGAGACAATTTGACTTCCTGTTTTCCTAATTGAATAACCTTTATTTCTTTCTCTTGCCTGATTGCCCTGGCCAGAACTTCCAATATTATGTTGAGTTGGAGTGGTGAGAGAGGGCATCCCTGTCTTGTGCCAGTTTTTCGCCCATTCAGTATGATGTTGGCTGTGGGTTTGTCATAAATAGCTCTTATTATTTGAGATATGTTCCATCAATACCTAGTTTATTGAAAGTTTTTAGCATGAACATTGTTGAATTTTGTTGAAGGCCTTTTCTGTATCTATTGAGATAATCATGTGTTTTTTCTCATTGGTTTTGTTTATGTGATGGATTACCTTGACTGATTTGTGTATGTTGAACCAGACTGCATCCCTGGGATGAAGCTGACTTGATTGTGGTGGACAAGCTTTTTGATGTGCTGCTGGATTTGGTTTGCCAGTATTTTATTGAGGATTTTCACATCGATGATCATCAGGGATATTGGCCTGAAATTTTCCTTTTTTTTTATTGTGTCTCTGCAGGTTTTGGTATTAGGATGATGCTGGCCTCATGAAATGAGTTAGGGAGGATTCCCTCTTTTTCTATTGTTTTGAATAGTTTTAGAAGGAATGGTACCAGCTTCTCTTTGTACCTTTGGTATAATTAGGCTGGGAGTCCATCTGGTCCCGGACTTTTTTTGGTTGGTAGGTTATTAATTGCTGCCTCAATTTTAGAACTTGTTATTGGTCTACTCAAGGATTCGACTTCTTCCTGGTTTAGTCTTGGGAGGGTGTATGTGTCCAGGAACTTTTCCATTTCTTCTAGATTTTCTAGTTTATTTGAGTAGAGGTGATTATAATATTTTCTGATGGTAGTTTGCATTTCTGTGGGATCGGTAGTGATATACCCTTTATCATTTTTTATTGCATCTACTTGATTCTTCTCTCTTTTTTTCTTTATTAGTCTGGCTAGAAGTCTATCTATTTTGTTGATCTTTTCAATAAACCAGCTCCTGGATTCATTGATTTTTTTGAGGGGTTTTCATGTGTCTGTCTCCTTCAGCTCTGCTCTGATCTTAGTTATTTCTTGCCTTCTGCTGGCTTTTGAATGTGTTTGCTCTTGCTTCTCTAGTTCTATTAATTTTGATGTAAGTGTGTTGATTTTAGATCTTTCCTGCTTTCTCTTTTGGGCATTTAGTGCCATAAATTTCCCTCTACCCACTGCTTTAAATGTGTCCCAGAGATTCTGGTACATTGTGTCTTTGTTCTCATTGGTTTCAAAGAACATCTTTATTTCTGCCATCATTTCGTTATTTACCCAGTGGTCATTCAGGAGCAGGTTGTTCACTTTCCATGTAGTTGTGTGGTTTTGAGTGCGTTTCTTAATCCTGAGTTCTAATTTGATTGCACTGTGGTCTGAGAGACAGTTTTTTATGATTTCCATTCTTTTGCATTTGCTGAGGAGTGTTTTACATCCACTTACGTGGTCAATTTTAGAATAAGTGTGATATGGTGCTGAAAATAATGTATATTCTGTTGATTTGGTGTGGAGAGTTCTGTAGATGTCTATTAGGTCCACTTGGTCCAGAGCTGAGTTCAAGTCCTGGATATCCTTGGTAATTTTCTGTCTCATTGATCTAATATTGACTGTGGGGTGTTAAAATATCCCACTATCGTGTAGGAGTCTAAGTCTCTTTGTAGGTCTCTAAGAACTTGCTTTATGAATCTGGGTGCTCCTGTATTGCATGTATATATATTTAGGATAATTAGCTTTTCTTGTTGCATTGATCCCTTTACTATTATGTAATGTCCTTGTCTCTTTTGATCTTTATTGGTTTAAAGTCTGTTTTTATCAGAGACTAGCATTGCAACCCCTGCTTTATTTTTGCTGTCCATTTGCTTGGTAAATTTTCCTCCATCCCTTTATTTTGAGCCTATGTGTGTCTTTGCACATGAGATGGGTCTCCTGAATACAGCACACCGATGGGTCTTGACTCTTTATCCAATTTGCCAGTCTTTGTCTTTTAATTGGGGCATTTAACCCATTTACATTTAAGGTTAATATTGTTATGTGTGAATTTGATCCTGTCATTATGATGCTAGCTGGTTATTTTGCCCGTTAGTTGAGGCCGTTTCTTCATAGCATCAATGGTCTTTACAATTTGGTATGTTTTTGCAGTGGCTGGTACTGGTTGTTCCTTTCCATGTTTAGTGCTTCCTTCAGGAGCTCTTGTAGGGCAGGCCTGGTGGTGACAAAATCTCTCAGCATTTGCTTGTCTGTAAAGGATTTTATTTCTCATTCACTTATGAAGCTTAGTTTGGCTGGATATGAAATTCTGGGTTGAAAATTCTTTTCTTTATGAATGTTGAATATTGGCCCCCACTCCTTCTGGCTTGTAGAGTTTCTGCTGCGAGATCTGCTGTTAGTCTGATGGGATTCCCTTTGTGGGTAACCTGACCTTTCTCTCTTGGCTGCCTTTAATATTTTTTCCTTCATTTTGACCTTGGTGAATCTGACATTTATGTGTCTTGGGGTTGCTCTTTTCGAGGAGTATCTTTGTGGTGTTCTCTGTATTTCCTGAATTTGAATGTTGGCCTGCCTTGCTAGGTTGGGGAAGTTCTCCTAGATAATATCCTGCAGAGTGTTTTCCAACTTGATTTCATTCTCCTTGTCACTTTAAGGTAGCCCAATCAAACATAGATTTAGTCTTTTCACATAGTCCCATATTTCTTGGGGGCTTTGTTCATTTCTTTTCACTTCTTTTTTCTCTAATCTTGTCTTCACCTTTATTTCATTGAGTTGATCTTCAATCTCTGATATCCTTTCTTCTGCTTAATTGATTCAGCTATTGATACTTGTGTATGCTTCACGAATTTCTCTTGCTGTGTTTTTCAGCTCCATCAGATCATTTATGTTCTTCTCTAACTTTCAAGAACTTTTTTCAAGGTTCTTAGCTTCCTTGCATTGGGTTAGAACATGCTCCTTTACCTTAGAGGAGTTTGTTATTACCCACCTTCTGAAGCCTACTTCTGTCAATTCATCAAACTCATTCTCCGTCCAGTTTTGTTCCCTTGCTGGTGAGGAGTTGTGAACCTTTGGAGAAGAGGCATTCTGGTTTTTGGAATTTTTAGTATTTTTGCACTGGTTTCCCCCATCTTCGTGGATTTATCTACCTTTGGTCTTTGAAGTCAGTGACCTTTGGCTGGTGTCTCTGAGTGGGCATCCTTTTGGTTGATGTTGATACCATTCCTTTGTTTGTTAGTGTTCCTTCTAACATTCAGGCCCCTCTTCTGCAGGCGTGTTGGAGTTTGCTGGAGGTCCACTCCAGACCCTGTTTGCCTGGGTATCACCAGCGAAGGCTGCAGAATAGCAAAGATTGCTGCCTGTTCCTTCCTCTGGAAGCTTTGTCCCACAGGGGCACCCACCAGATGCCAGCCAGAGCTCTCCTGTATGAGGTGTCTGTCGGCCCCTACTGGGAGGTGTCTCACATTCACGATACACCGGGATCAGGGACCCACTTAAGGAGGCAGTCTGTCCCTTATCAGAGCTCAAATGCTGTGCTGGGAGATCTCTGTTCTCTTCAGAGCCATCAGGCAGGGATGTTTCAGCCTGCTGAAGCTCTGCCAAAAACCTCCCCTTCCCCCAGGTGCTCTGTCCCAGGGAGGTGGGGGTTTTATCTATAAGTCCCTGACTGGGGCTGCTGCATGTTTTTCAGAGATGCCCTGCCCAGAGAGGAGAGATGGTCTGGCTTCAGTGGCCTTGCTGAGCTGCGGTGGTGGGCTCCACTCAGTTCGAACTTCCCAGTGGCTTTGTTTACACTGTGAGGGTAAAACCACCTACTCAAGCCTAAGCAATGGCAGACACTCCCCTACACCCCCACCAAGCTCCAGCGTCCCACATCTAGCTCAGACAGCTGTGCTAGCAGTGAAAATTTCCAGCCAGTAGATCTTAGGTTGCTGAGCTCTGTGGGGTTGAAACCTGCCAAGCCAGACCACTTGGCTCCCAGGCTTCAGCCCCCTTTCCAGGGGAGTGAATGATTCTGTCTCGCTGGTGCTCCAGGTGCCACTGGGGTATGAAAAAACAACTCCTGTGGCTAGCTTGGTATCTGCTCAAACAGCCGCCCAGTTTTGTGCTGGAACCCCAGGGTCCTGGTAGTGTGGGCACTGGAGGGAATCTCCTGGTCTGTGGGTTGTGAAGAGCGTGAGAAAAGTGCAGTATCTGGGCCGGAGTGCATGGTACAATCCCTAATGGCTTCCCTTGGCTAGAGGGAGTTCCCTGACCCATTGTGCTTCCCGGGTGAAGTGATGCCCCACCCTGCTTTGGCTTGCCCTCCTTGGGTTGCACCCACTGTCCAACAAGTCCCAATGAGATGCACTAGGTACCTCAGTTGGGAAAGCAGAAATCACCCACCTTCTGCATTGATCTTGCTGGGAGCTGCAGTTCCTATTCTGCCATCTTGCCAGCAGTCCCCTTCTTTGTTTTTATTACTATCAGCCTTTTGGTCAAAAACCATTCAGTAAGTCTCTAGCAAGTTCTAAATTTTTCCACATTTTCCTATCTTCTTCTGTGCCCTCCAAACTGTTCTAGCCCCTAACTGTTACTCAGTTCCAAAGTCGCTTTCACATTTTCAGTTATGTTTATAGCCGTACCTCACTCCTGTTACCAATTTTCTTTATTAGTTCATTCTCATAGTGCTATAAAGAACTACCTGAGAATGGGTAATTTATGAAGAAAAGAGATTTAATGGACTCACAGTTTCACAGGCTTAACAGGAAGCATGGCCTGGAGGCCTCAGGAAACTTACAATTATGGTGGAAGGCAAAGGGTAAGCAAGCACGTTTTACCATGGAGGAGCAGAAGAGAGAGCAAGTAAACGGGGGAGTGCCACATGCTTTTAAACCATCAGATCTCATGAGAATTCAGTCACTATCAGGAGAACAGCATGGGGGAAATCTGTCACTATGATCCAAAGACCTCCCACCAGGCCCCTCCCCGATATGTGGAGGTTACAATTTAACGTGAGATTTGGGTGGGGACAGAGAACAAAACCGTATCAAGTTCCTTATGTTAAAAAGGAGAAAGCAAACATTCACAAATTCTTTCTTCAATATGTGAAAATATAAAACCTATTTTTAGCAAGCAAGTGATCAGAAAATAGGCAATGGGCTGGATTTGACCCACAGGCTGTAGTTTGCTACTCTGATGTACATTGGAGAAGTCTGCCTCTTAGATCTCAATAACATTATGGCTTATATTTAATCTATTTTTTTTTCTTTTTTGACCAGAAGTTCCAGGTAAAGCAAAGCTCCTTAACCTTGTCCTGGGGAAACCCTCCTCCCCCTGCCCCCACCCGCTGCCCCAACATCAGAGTATGCCAAATCTGGGCTGCTGCTTTCTAGGTATATTGGAAGCATCTCTAGTCAGTTCTCAGGCAACCTGAGAATGTGCTCCCAAAGTGAATGCTGTGTTTCCAACCAGACTCGACTTTCCCCCGCTCTCAGTACCTTTCATACTTCCTTTTCTGGCCAGAATCTAGAAAGAGTTGTTATTGTTTCCTATGGGACTTGCTCAAGTTTTGGGTCATCTATCTCTGAAAATTGTCATTTCCATATAGATTTGTAATGCTATTGAATTGAGGTTCTCGTAGATCACCCCAGGTTCAATAATTCTCCGGGACTCAAGGACTCAATATGTAGTCATGCATGGCTGTGATTTATTACAGTGAAGGAAAAAAAAATTAGCAAAGACAAGAGGTGCATGGATAGATCATGAAGAAAACAAGGTGTGATCTTCCAAGAGTCTTCTTCCAGTGGAATCACACTGGATGCACTTAATCCTTCCATCAGCAAATTGTGACAACACGAGGAGAGTGTTGTCTACCAGAGAGGCTCAATGCCCTGGGTTTCTCCTGCGGGCAGATCACACAGGACCTCTCTGCCTGGAATGTATTAAAATTGCAGACTCCTGGAAGGAAAGCAGATGCTTGCGTAAACCACCTTGCATGTATTAATAATTGAGGCACAGTGAGCCGTTTTTAACAGGGAATTGTGGAAACCCTCCTGATATCTGAGCTCCCAGAAACCAGCTAAGGGGCCAATTTTGCAAGCAGGCCCTTCTAGGATGACAGTCTCAGGCCTACTCTACTAAGTCTTCTCTGTGCAGCTGTAAAAAGGGGACTGGATGGAGTTCATTGTCATACGGAATTTAATAACACTGGCTTCCTAACTCAGAAGTGAGTGTTAGAACTAATTCTTATGTTTTGCATATGCAGATTTATTACATTTCATACTATGTATATAGACATAGAGAATATAAATAGATATTTTATAAAAATTTATAGAAGCCTTAAGGTCACCACCATGTATAATCTTACATTTTATATTTTATGTCTCTTTTGCTACTCTTACAACAGCAGTTGTAATTACAATGTTTCTATTCTATTTTAGTGTTAACAAGAATATTTTCATGAACATTATCTCCTTCAAGCTCTACCTCACCATTTTTTGGTAATTAGGGCATTTATTATTTTCTCCCCATATTTTCAAGTGAGTACGCTAACTTAGACAGGTGAGGCCATTTGCTCAAGGTTGCATAGCTAATCAAAACCAAGCCAGAACACAAATACTGTTCTTGTACTTTTTAGGAATTCCATAGCCATCTCCATTGTCTTTCTACTGAGTCAGATACAAGTCACAGCTCCAACACAATAGGTGATTATTATTAATATCTATTTCTACTGCTTCCATGCCTACAGGAGATCCTGTATTATCTGCCTGGCCATCTCCTGCCTGCCATCTGGCGCCAAGGTGTCTCTCACAGAGCTGGGGAAGGGAGTAAGCAGGGTGCTAGTCTCAGTAATTTGTTGTAGGTGAGGATGTTGGATGATTCAGCGTGATGACAAATTAGAGGCATGAGGCTCCCAGTCTCCATCCCGCGGATTTTCTCTCAGTTCATTCCCCCACCACATGTGCTGTGTGTTGTTGCAGAGGGATGCATTTCTATCAGCCTATAGATCTTGCAACCTGGAGAAACAAAAATGTGTTTTGTCCTTAGCATCCAGAAGGTAATTGTACGATGTAAATGTTGTATGCCTTCCTAGCTCTTGATCTGGAAATTGTCATCATTTCTAAAACAAATAGAAATATACTTACTTTAAAAATAAATTAGTATGTTTAAAACACAGATAATAATTTATCCCCAAATTATTAAGCAATTACAAATTCAAGCAGTTGGTGCTGATTAATTATATATATACAAGGTAGCATTTTAAAAATTTATGATAAATTACAGCAATCTGTTGAAGTGTTGAAGGTGATTATTTATGAAGTGTGATGTAAATGAAATTTGCCACAGTGCGGGGAAAATAAATTCTTTATTAACATCTAATTATCTTTTGCTCACTTATGGATTCAATATTTCCTACCTCTGTATCAACTCTTATGGCCTGGGGGCAGTAGTATTTATTAAGATGGCATTTTTAGTTCCATCATAATTTAGCTTTATTCAAATTCCAGATCAGTGCTATCACATTACTATTTACTGAAAAATTCTGAACTGTGTTGCCAAAAAAGGATAAAAAGTAAGCTTTACATTTCCTTCCCTGGGAGTCTCATGACGCCGTTTTCTGTGTTTTCCTCAGTGAATGGGTGGTCTTATCACTGTTTGTTCAGTCATCCTTCCAGACTGAACTGCTAGCTGTGCACATCTTCCACACACAGAAAATGTCTTGGAAGTTGATTCTCTAGGTTTCTAAACTCAGCCTGTCTCTGTATTTTTATCGATGTGTTAAAAATATTTGAGGATCATCCCAAGTGAATCAGCTGATTGACAGCTTTAGGGTCCATAGATTCTTAACAGATGAAATCTACCAATAAAAAATTTTCAAGGGCAAATAAGAAGCCCTACAATTGTGCTAAATGCACTACCTACAAGAACAACAAGAACCAACTACTATAGGTATAACCAATACTATAGGTGTTTCAGAAGGCACAAATTAGCATATTTACATGGCTCAAATTTTTAATCATATTTTTATTACTCAATTTATATTATTATGATACAGGATGTGATAACTTAGCTTCCTCTAACAGATCCTGTCATATGCATGTTTTTGCATGCTACACTTTTGAAAAAAGCTTTTTATCATGAAAAATTTCAATCATAGACAAAGGTAAAGAGAATAGTATAATAAAACCCTTTGTACCCAGCTGCCAATTTAAAAAGTTATCCACGTGTTCTGTAAATCTTTTCTCATCTCTTTCCTTATCCACTTCGCCCATGCCCACCCCGGCCAGAGATGATTCTGAAGTCGATCTCAGATGTGTCTTTTTATCTTTAACTATTTTAGTTGAATTCTATACTTTTGAGGTCTAGCTAATCAGAAAGAAGAGTGAAGAAAGAGACCAGGGCAGTCAGAGGAATCAGATGCCTTTTATCTGAGAAATGAGAGAAGGAATACTCTCTTTCAGAAACACTGGTCTAGAAGACCCAGGAGGAAGATTTCAGGGTCTGTAAATAAGAAAAGCACAATAATGTGGAAACCAGTTAAGAATTTATCTCTGTGTCATTAAGGCATAGACCCAGAACTAAAGAGTACAAGGTATGGGGTGATTGATGTCACTCAGTTTAAGGAAGAACTTCCTAAAGTAAAGTGGACCAAAGATTCAATGAACTGTCACAAGGAATTGATGGTTTCAGCTCAGCAGAGTTTTCAAGTGGATCGGGCAACAGCTTGATAGCGCGATATAGAGGCAAAGTACAGGAGATTCAGATGAGATTTTATGTTGTGAGTTTTTCCAAACCCAGAAGCCTGCAAAGTGTGGCGGGCTTCTCAGCTGAAATTCTTCCTGGCTCATATATTAAATAAGAATCTAATCTTTTCTGAATGTGAACATCAGGTAAGAGCCTCATCCTGCTGTTTGCAATGTGGACTCAGAGAGCTGTTCGAAGGTTTTGAGCCAGCAACCTAGAAATCCACCTTGATTCTGCTACTTTCTAGCTGGGCAGAGCTCTGTAAGGTATATCACGTCTTCACTGAATCTCAGGCTTCTAATCTGTACAATGGGATTTTAAGGGAGTCTTCTGAGAATTAAATTAGGTGCATACTTAAAATCTCTCTCCTTCATTTTGTACCTAGTTAGGTATTTTGTATTAGGTGTTCATATTTACTCTTCCAATATCCAGAGCTTGCTGAACTTTCCATATTGATACTGCTTTGGTAAAGTTGAGTTTGTATTGATTTATTCAGCAGTCTGAACTTGGGGTTCAGTAGTGAGTTACACAGGGTCTGGCCACAAGTTGGCTAGAGTTTCATGGGCTTTCTGAGCTGGACAAGTTACCTTTATTACTGTAGGATAAATAAGTTAATCATGCTTACTTTGTCCCATCAAAAGAGAATAGTTATAATTATTTCATTGCTATAATCTTCCTACATTCTTTCTCATGAGGGTGAGAAGAAGTTGCTTAGAAGATAAAATATTGTTTTCTAACACTATCTTACGGGACCAGATAAAAGTTTCTAATTTAGCCTGAAATTACATTAAATAATAATGGTGTATTCAACTTAGCATTTTATCATTAGATTGATAGAGACTTTTAAAATGTGTAGTATCTCGTCATTTAAGGAGCCATGGCCCTCTAAAGATTGTCACGAATAACAGGAAACCCTCCAGATCATTTATTTCCATTCATTCTCATTAATAATAGTATTTAAAAGCAGAAGTTTGCCAGAAGACTCTATTTATAAGATACTTAGCACAGAAGCTCACTTGTGCTTTAAAATGTGCCCTGGATAACTCTGGCATCTTGTGTTATCTGATATATCAAACTAAAACACAGAACCATGGATAGACTGTTCTCTCCTTTGGAAACATCAACCTGTATTCAGAGACTCGAACCATTCCCTGCTCTCCTAAAATGCCCTCAAGGCAGACGTAGCACCAGCAGTATTTGGAGCTCATACAGTGCGGCATTGAGGACGGATGCCTTTTGTTCACAAACAGATTGGGAAATGTGAGATAAATGGATTTTTTCGCGGTAAGTGGGAGAAAATGTGGGAGAGATTTGGAAGCAGGGCAGCCGTGGGGCAAGGAATGTTGAAATGTAGCAATTACTCTTTGGTCTTCCTCCGCAAAACACTGCCCTTCTCCGCCTAGCATTTTTCAGATGCCAGGCCCTGAACATGAAAACACGGTGTGCCTGCTGAGCCCTTAACATTCTCAAGAGCGCCTGCTGGAGAGCCAGCCAGGGCTTGCTGAATCCTGTGTCTGGAACCCAGACTTGCAGGGTAGGGAGAAAGCAGCCTTGCAGTGGCCTAAACAGACGCTAAGTGGACAGCTCACTTGAACTTGGTTTAGCAGACCTCAGAAGTTGCTTGTTTTAATTTCCTTTTGTTTGTCTTATTCGTGAGGGAGGGATCCCTTGCCCTAGAGTTATGGGGATAGCTGAACATGGGACGCCAGGCACTGGACAGATGAGATCAGCAGCAGTTTATGAGTCACATATACTCACAGCCTGGAGCAGGAGGACCGCACACACCACACAAAGCCACATGGGAGTCCCGCGGCAGAAGAGTTGAACATCACAGGGCTGTGGGAGGCAGGCCTTACAGTGGAAGGAAGGTAGGATGCCTGTGGTTTCCATAGAAGGATGGGATTGACTTGTTAGATAAATTATATGGTCTGGTAGGGAGCTGAAGCCCACACCTCATGGATAGGCAGGAACTGGGCCTGTCCTTCTAATAAGGAGGTTATTTGTCTAGAGCACCTCATCCACAAGAGGAGCCTCAGGAGGGGAATATGTAATTAGGCCGTTGGAGACCCTCCTGGTTCCTCCCAGATGCTGAGCTAGCACACGACCGTGGAGCTGAATTTTACTCTCACACCAAAATGTCTCGCGGTGGTTTGGGGCTATGGGGAATGTCCTTATTTCATCCACAACAGACCATTCACTCACAGTTTCAGTCATTCAATCCACATAGTAAGAATTTTCCCTAACTTTTATTCCTAAATGCATGTGCATTATAATGAAGGCTCCCAAAGTAAGATTAGAAGGAATTTCAGATCAAAGTCAATCTCTGTTCACGTCTTTGGGGTTTGAAACAAGGGATAATGTACTTAGTAGGTAAAGAAACTTGATTCTTCCCCACTGCACCCTCGCCCCATGTTTCTTCCCACCCCGAAGTCAGCCAGCCCCTCACACTTTTGAGAGTGATGAATGTTGTTGTTACTTAAGAACTAGATTCATTTTACTTGGAAAGATATATTTTTGTCCTCAAATATGATACATAAAATTATAAAACAGAGATGTGCTTCCTTTTTTATGTTGCCATTCCTGGTTGCCAGGATCTACCAAGGGCAAACTGAACATTAACCCGCTGGTGACCTCAGGGTGGGAGGTGTCACTATGACCTCAGGGTGGGAGGTGTCACTATGAGAATGCCACACCCCCAGCAACCTGGAACCCCGAAGCTGAGAACTGTAGGGCATTTTCTTCTCAAGTGGTTCAGCTGACATCAGTTCTGCCTTCATTTCTTTGTAAAATCATTCCCGGAGCATATGGCTGTATTTTAATTTCAAGTGCCTGGTACGTTATTCTAGGATTTGCTTTGACATATTGAAATAAAATGCGTTATTTACTTGGAGCCTAGATGGTTTAATGTTTTTTTCACTTCCTCTTTGTCCTTGCCATCCTCTTTCCTTTGACTATTCCCACTTTCCCTCACCTTCCTGGCCTTCTTTTTCCTTTCTTTTCCTCCTTCTGGGCTCCTGCTTTTTTCTGTCTTTATTCTAGCTCTAAAAATTTGGTTCTTCTTGGCTTATAGAAATGTATTTGGCAAATGTAAAATGTTCTTAAATAGTAAATAATAGGTCTAAATGAAAACTAATGTGATCTATTTGAAGGCTATGTTTTATTCTCTTCTTATCTTACCATATGGTTTCCAAAATTAAACTTGAATTTGGATTCACTTATATCTTTCATCACAGACTCATGTTTCCTAAAAAGAAGGTAGGCACATAGTGACCATATATGTGAGTTTCCAATCCTAAAATTAGTTTAATGGCAACAACAAAACTAGATTTTCTAGAGAAATTCACTTCTTATCAATTTCTGCAGGGGAGATGGGGAGAGATGAGGGGAATGTGTGTTTGAGAAAAGATACGTCATCAGAGCACTTTGAGATTTATTTCTAAATGCAGTGCACATTGAGAAATACCCAAGAGACACAGGGAAAACTCAGCCATGAGAACATCTTCTTTAGAGTAGCTCATGTGGTTAAACTCTAAATGTGATCGATGAGGATAACTTGCCTCCCACCATGGAATCACATGGCAAAGTACAGATCATAGGCATTTAATCACAGGCATGAAAACCTATGTTCTCTTTCTTTTGCAAGAACCTAAATTCATGTCATAGGTAAAGGTTGAATGGTAGAATACAAGAGTTCTAACGACTTAGATCAGTGGTCCCCAGTCTTCTTGACACCAGAGACCAGTTTCGTGGAAGACAATTTTTCCACGAGCATTGGGGCAGTGGGGAAAGGGTGGGTGTTGATTTTGGGATGAAACTGTTCCACCTCAGATTATCAGGCACTAGAGTCCCATAAAGAGTAGATAACCTAGATCCCTCACTGCAGTGCGCAGTTCACAATAGGGCTCATGCTCCTAAGAGAATCTAATGCCACTGCTGATCTGACAGGCAGAGGAACTCAGGCAGTAACGCTCACTTGTCTGCTGCTCACCTCATGCTGTGCGGCCTGGTTCCTAACAGGCCATGGACCAGGACCAGTCCGTGGCTTGGGTGTTGGGGACCCCTGACTTAGATGACCTGGAGGACGGAGTAAAAAAGAATGGGGAATGGGAATTTTTCTTTCTTTCAATGATAACAAATTCTCAAAAATTCTTAATGCACAGAACCATTGTGGGTTTCTTCAAATACAAATATTGCAATAAACAACCTAATATTCTGAACCGATTTTTTGTTGGCAGAGACATCTGTATCTTTTTTTTTTTTTCTATTGACAGAATGGATTTAGCTTGCCAAATCATTTGGAATTCCTTAGGCATTTATTTAAAATTTTATTTTTATTTTTATTTTTTCGAAAATATTTTATTTTATAAGAAATATATTTTCTTTTTTTTTTTAATTTTTTTTTTTTATTATAATCTAAGTTTTAGGGTACATGTGCACATTGTGCAGGTTAGTTACATATGTATACATGTGCCATGCTGGTGCGCTGCACCCACTAACGTGTCATCTAGCATTAGGTATATCTCCCAATGCTATCCCTCCCCCCTCCCCCGACCCCACCACAGTCCCCAGAGTGTGATATTCCCCTTCCTGTGTCCATGTGATCTCATTGTTCAATTCCCACCTATGAGTGAGAATATGCGGTGTTTGGTTTTTTGTTCTTGCGATAGTTTACTGAGAATGATGGTTTCCAGTTTCATCCATGTCCCTACAAAGGACATGAACTCATCATTTTTTATGGCTGCATAGTATTCCATGGTGTATATGTGCCACATTTTCTTAATCCAGTCTATCATTGTTGGACATTTGGCTTGGTTCCAAGTCTTTGCTATTGTGAATAGTGCCGCAATAAACATACGTGTGCATGTGTCTTTATAGCAGCATGATTTATAGTCCTTTGGGTATATACCCAGTAATGGGATGGCTGGGTCAAATGGTATTTCTAGTTCTAGATCCCTGAGGAATCGCCACACTGACTTCCACAATGGTTGAACTAGTTTACAGTCCCACCAACAGTGTAAAAGAGTTCCTATTTCTCCACATCCTCTCCAGCACCTGTTGTTTCCTGACTTTTTAATGATTGCCATTCTAACTGGTGTGAGATGATATCTCATAGTGGTTTTGATTTGCATTTCTCTGATGGCCAGTGATGATGAGCATTTCTTCATGTGTTTTTTGGCTGCATAAATGTCTTCTTTTGAGAAATGTCTGTTCATGTCCTTCGCCCACTTTTTGATGGGGTTGTTTGTTTTTTTCTTGTAAATTTGTTTGAGTTCATTGTAGATTCTGGATATTAGCCCTTTGTCAGATGAGTAGGTTGCGAAAATTTTCTCCCATGTTGTAGGTTGCCTGTTCACTCTGATGGTAGTTTCTTTTGCTGTGCAGAAGCTCTTGAGTTTAATTAGATCCCATTTGTCAATTTTGGCTTTTGTTGCCATTGCTTTTGGTGTTTTGGACATGAAGTCCTTGCCCACGCCTATGTCCTGAATGGTAATGCCTAGGTTTTCTTCTAGGGTTTTTATGGTTTTAGGTCTAACGTTTAAATCTTTAATCCATCTTGAATTGATTTTTGTATAAGGTGTAAGGAAGGGATCCAGTTTCAGCTTTCTACATATGGCTAGCCAGTTTTCCCAGCACCATTTATTAAATAGGGAATCCTTTCCCCATTGCTTGTTTTTCTCAGGTTTGTCAAAGATCAGATAGTTGCAGATATGCGGCATTATTTCTGAGGGCTCTGTTCTGTTCCATTGATCTATATCTCTGTTTTGGTACCAGTACCATGCTGTTTTGGTTACTGTAGCCTTGTAGTATAGTTTGAAGTCAGGTAGTGTGATGCCTCCAGCTTTGTTCTTTTGGCTTAGGATTGACTTGGCGATGCGGGCTCTTTTTTGGTTCCATATGAACTTTAAAGTAGTTTTTTCCAATTCTGTGAAGAAAGTCATTGGTAGCTTGATGGGGATGGCATTGAATCTGTAAATTACCTTGGGCAGTATGGCCATTTTCACGATATTGATTCTTCCTACCCATGAGCATGGAATGTTCTTCCATTTGTTTGTGTCCTCTTTTATTTCCTTGAGCAGTGGTTTGTAGTTCTCCTTGAAGAGTTCCTTCACATCCCTTGTAAGTTGGATTCCTAGGTATTTTATTCTCTTTGAAGCAATTGTGAATGGGAGTTCACTCATGATTTGGCTCTCTGTTTGTCTGTTGTTGGTGTATAAGAATGCTTGTGATTTTTGTACATTGATTTTGTATCCTGAGACTTTGCTGAAGTTGCTTATCAGCTTAAGGAGATTTTGGGCTGAGACGATGGGGTTTTCTAGATAAACAATCATGTCGTCTGCAAACAGGGACAATTTGACTTCCTCTTTTCCTAATTGAATGCCCTTTATTTCCTTCTCCTGCCTGATTGCCCTGGCCAGAACTTCCAACACTATGTTGAATAGGAGTGGTGAGAGAGGGCATCCCTGTCTTGTGCCAGTTTTCAAAGGGAATGCTTCCAGTTTTTGCCCATTCAGTATGATATTGGCTGTGGGTTTGTCATAGATAGCTCTTATTATTTTGAAATACGTCCCACCAATACCTAATTTATTGAGAGTTTTTAGCATGAAGGGTTGTTGAATTTTGTCAAAGGCTTTTTCTGCATCTATTGAGATAATCATGTGGTTTTTGTCTTTGGCTCTGTTTATATGCTGGATTACATTTATTGATTTGCGTATATTGAACCAGCCTTGCATCCCAGGGATGAAGCCCACTTGATCATGGTGGATAAGCTTTTTGATGTGCTGCTGGATTCGGTTTGCCAGTATTTTATTGAGGATTTTTGCATCAATGTTCATCAAGGATATTGGTCTAAAATTCTCTTTTTTGGTTGTGTCTCTGCCCGGCTTTGGTATCAGAATGACGCTGGCCTCATAAAATGAGTTAGGGAGGATTCCCTCTTTTTCTATTGATTGGAATAGTTTCAGAAGGAATGGTACCAGTTCCTCCTTGTACCTCTGGTAGAATTCGGCTGTGAATCCATCTGGTCCTGGACTCTTTTTGGTTGGTAAACTATTGATTATTGCCACAATTTCAGAGCCTGTTATTGGTCTATTCAGAGATTCAACTTCTTCCTGGTTTAGTCTTGGGAGAGTGTATATGTCGAGGAATGTATCCATTTCTTCTAGATTTTCTAGTTTATTTGCGTAGAGGTGTTTGTAGTATTCTCTGATGGTAGTTTGTATTTCTGTGGGATCAGTGGTGATATCCCCTTTATCATTTTTTATTGTGTCTATTTGATTCTTCTCTCTTTTTTTCTTTATTAGTCTTGCTAGCGGTCTATCAATTTTGTTGATCCTTTCAAAAAACCAGCTCCTGGATTCATTGATTTTTTGAAGGGTTTTTTGTGTCTCTATTTCCTTCAGTTCTGCTCTGATTTTAGTTATTTCTTGCCTTCTGCTAGCTTTTGAATGTGTTTGCTCTTGCTTTTCTAGTTCTTTTAATTGTGATGTTAGGGTGTCAATTTTGGATCTTTCCTGCTTTCTCTTGTAGGCATTTAGTGCTATAAATTTCCCTCTACACACTGCTTTGAATGCGTCCCAGAGATTCTGGTATGTGGTGTCTTTGTTCTCATTGGTTTCAAAGAACATCTTTATTTCTGCCTTCATTTCGTTATGTACCCAGTAGTCATTCAGGAGCAGGGAGACAGAAAGTCAACAAGGATACCCAGGAATTGAACTCAGCTCTGCACCAAGCAGACCTAATAGACATCTACAGAACTCTCCACCCCAAATCAACAGAATATACATTTTTTTCAGCACCACACCACACCTATTCCAAGATTGACCACATAGTTGGAAGTAAAGCTCTCCTCAGCAAATGTAAAAGAACAGAAATTATAACAAACTATCTCTCAGACCACAGTGCAATCAAACTAGAACTCAGGATTAAGAATCTCACTCAAAGCCACTCAACTACATGGAAACTAAAATTTTATTTTTAAATCTCCCCCAAAGTGAAGAATAATTTCAAGTGAACATGTGGGGAAAAATTTGGTACTACAAACCTTTTGAGAATATTAAAAGCAAATTTTGCCCAGAAGCAGTTTGCATTTCTCTCTTCCATTGTAGCTGTATTTCCAAGTGAAAGGCAGATAGCAAAAGAATTAGAATGGGATTAAAAAGGCTTTTTGTAAAAAATAATGGGGCCGGGCCTGGTGGCTCATGCCTGTAATCCCAGCACTTTGGGAGGCCAAGGCAGGCAGATCACCCGAGGTCAGGAGTTCCAGACTAACCTCGCCAACATGGTGAAACCCCACCTCTACCAAAAATACAAAATTAGCCAGGTATGGTGGCAGGCCCCTGTGGTTGCAGGTACTTGGGAGGCTGAGGCACGAGAATTGCTTGAACGCTTGAACCCAGGAGGCAGAGGTTCCAGTGAGCAGAGATCATGACATTGCACTCCAGCCTGGGCTATAGAGCAAAACTCCATCTCAGGGAAAAAAAAAAAAAAAAAAAAAAAAAGAAAGAAAGAAGAAAAGACAAATAATAGTGGAAGTAATTATGTAGTTAACAATATCACAGGCTTACTATGTGCAGACACTGGATTAAATGCTATTTGTAAGCACTCCTTAATACTCACCAAGACCCTTTGAGGTTGCTATTTTTATTATATCCAGCAAGCAATGAGGAAAAATGAGGGATAGGGAAATAAAAAGACTTGAGTAAATCTCATCACCAGGATTCAGCCCAGCTCTTTGTTCCCCTGGATAACCTAAGGGTGATTAGGGCAAGACTTCTTCCATTGTCTTGTACACTTAAGGAGAGAGAGAGAGCCAGTGCATTGAGGCCTTGGCATTTGAGCCTGCGAGTGGAGAAGACAGAATGAGATAGGCCTGTGGTCTCTTGCCACCTCACTGAAAGACAGCACGCCTGGTTGGCTACCAGTCTTCAATAGGTAACCTAAATCCAATCCCAAGACAAAGTAAGTTTGATCAATTCATTTGTAACCCAATGGCCAAGATGTTCATTGCATAGTAAAATTTTGGTTCCCTGAGCCTCTTAATTTAAGAACTTACATGAAAATATAGAGTTAGGACTGAAGCTAGCATTTGATAACCTATTTGAAGGGGCGATGGTAAGGCTTCTAGCTTCTCTTGATATTCTTTTCAAATCAACAGGAATGCTTCTTTTTTTATGTTAGTAATATGCCATGCCATTTGACAGTTCTTCCCCCTTGTGTTTCTTCTCAGCGACTTTTCAGTATTCAGTCCAAATGTGTATTCAGCAGGTCAAAATCTCAGCATGTTTGCACTAGGTGCTGGCAGCTAGTTGTAGGGTGTAGTGGTATCATCTATAGCCTCGAAGGAAGGAAACAAAACACCCTAACACCCTCCTTGCCCTTTACTTGGCTTCTCTCTGCCTTCTGAGGCCTCAGTTACTGGGTACAGAGCTGTCTAGGGGCTGACTTGCCCTGCACACCCCTGTGTACCCTGTTCCTGGGCTTTGCTGAACCCTCCCATGGATGCCCCTTGGTAGAGTTGTAATAAAACATCTGCAAGCCCTGACCACCACCTTGATGCATGTAATGGTGGTTGTAATGCTGGGGGTTCTGAACCACTAGTGGTGCCTTATGACCAAGGGGAAGGGTAAGAAGTAAGGGGACGTCATCTATTTTAAACATTATTCACTGACCTCATCTGTCAGGAGAAATTATAGTCTTTTTTTTTTAGAGCAAAATAGAATCTCAGTCCCTAGTATAAACCACACATTTTGTGTTAATGCTGACTGTTTTCATGGACATTTTCCAGGATGACATGGGAGCTTGCACTTCATTTGATCTACTTTCAGTGACATTTAATGTAGAATGGAAAAAAAAAAGATCTATGTGGGTAGTATACAGATGTGTAGAGCTTTACTTTTCCACTTAGAATAGTTGTGCAGCCATTTCCCAACGTAATGGCACATGTACCATGTGTCCTGCTGACAGTAAAAGGTGAGCTACTTTCCATCCAAGGAACAATTGAAATGTCTCCAATACAAGACGCTGTGAGAAGGTCATAGAGATGATAGGTAAAGAGTTTTCTCTGTGTTTATTACCTCTCAGTGGAGTCATTCTCTGGATTATTGCCAGATGCAAAACTCTTCAAGGGCCAGGTGGCAACTCCCACCGCCCCAGTTAAGCCACACTCACTCAATGTACCAGCAAATTCCTCCATGCCATGAATAAGCTCTCCAGTTGGTGATGCAGACAGAAGACTACAGACCCAACTATTTCTACTAAATTACTTTGCCTGAGAGTTTATACAGTGCCTCTGTAACTATCTCATTAAATCTCACAACAATTTTATGAACCAAGAAGGTCAGAGATTATTATTCACATCACATAGATATGCAAGATGAATTTGAAAACTAAATGCAAACTGATTTTTTCACTCTTCATGCTAATCTTGAACTTATACTCTTAAAACCAGGTTCACCTGATGACAAATGTGATGAGGCTCTCGCCTTGAAATTCCTACCTTCAGACAGAAGTTTGCAAAAGTAAACTCATTTCAAACTCCTAGATTATTCCTTCCTTCAGCACATATTTAATCAGGGTCTCTTATGGGGCAGTCAGACTTCCAAGTACAGGAAATAAAGTGTTGAACCAAGGGAAGGACTTCTCTTACAGTGTTATTATAGTTGGAGGAGATATTTAATCAATTAATAGTTAGGAAAAGTGTTAGAAACTGGTAAGTGTGCTGCCAAGAATTCAAATGCAGTGATGTGATAGAAAGTATTTATGAAGTTCTTGTAGATAGGGTGGCAAAGAATGGTCTACTCTTATAGAGTGGCAGTTGAGTCAATATCTGAATATTGAGGAGTCAGGCACAGGTGAGGGAAAGCACCTTTGGGAAAGAGAGCTCAGTGAATACAAAGGTTTGGAAGAGGGAACAGTGGATAAGGCTAAAGGAACCTACAGAGGTTTAGAGTTGCTGGATCACAGGGCTCAAGGAGTAGAGGAATGGTGACACACGGGGTCAGAGAATTGGAGGCAGAAACACCTCAAGCTTTGTGAACCAGGCCCAAGACTTTGAATTGTGTTTTAGGTACCTAAATGGCAAGCCACTCGAAGGTATTAAACATCATCTATTTTTCTTATTAAAAAGATACTTTTGGGTGAGTCATAGAGGAAAGGGTTATAATGGGACAAAGTTATAGGAAGGACATCCATTAGGAAATTGCATTAGAATTTAGGCAAGAGTTACTGGTAGAGAAATGGACGCATTTGGAAAGTTTTGTTTGTTAGTTCCAGTCAACATGATTTGTTGGTGGATTGGATGTTGGCAGTGAGGAAACAAGAAGACTCAAGGATGACTTGTATACCTTTGACCAGAGCAACTAAGTGGGTAGTGTATGGGCAACACTAGGGGAGAAGCAAGTTGGGAGGCAGAGAGGGAAATCATGGCTGGTGATTTACATGTATTACGTTTGAGATGCTTTTGGATATGCCAAGGAATATACCCAGGAGAGAGGTGGAAGAATTAATACTTTCCAGTAATGGACAGGAATGCAGGTGTGTTGTACTGATGGTGTTTGCTGTCATAAAACAAGGTAATATTACCCAAGGAGGAAGGAAGAGTGGAAAGTGAAGGATCCGAAGCAGATGCCAGGGCCATGCCACCATTGGAGGAAACACAGCTTAGTCTGCTAAAGGAGACTGAGAAGGAGCAGCTAGTGATGAGGAAGAAAACCTGGACAGGATGAGCCATGGGCAGAAGGTGGTCCCAGAAGGAATGCTTAGATTGTCAAATGCTATAATGGATACTTTGTTCTGTTCTTTAGGAAAAAGAGCTGTAGTGAATTGTTGTGATCCCCACTTCATGGTGATCAAGCCGTATGTCTTTGTGTTAGGGCACATTGTTTCTCACGCTCAACAAAGCTATTTCACATGAGGGTCCTCATCCTTAATCATACCCATAATGTGGTCAGCACCTTGGTGTGGACCCTGCATGTTGACCAGCTATGACAAATGCAGATGGATGATTGTGTGAGCAATTGTAGGTGACTTCTTGTTCCATTCCTTTCCCCTCAAAAGAAGCAAAGTCAAAATAAACAAAACATCTGAGCCACACTTACATCACTGTATCTCCTTTGTTCCCAAGCAAAGACATACAAAAATCAAGATAAGGAATGTTTTGTCTTTACCTCCAAACTAACTTCTTTCCTGAACAGTAGAATAGTTTTTCATACTATCATCATTTGGATGGAGCTCTTTAAACTGACCTCAGAGATCAGATTCATAACCTTTTGTCCAGAGCAATGGATGCCTTTGCTGGTTCCCCGTTCTCATTGATGGTCCCTAAATGTGTACTTATACTGTTCTGTCTAGTCTACAGCTTACAGTGCATTCAGCCTTATTCAAGCTTATTGAATTCAGCCTCGTTGCCTTATCACCACGGGCTTAAACTAGCTAATCTTTTATTAATTGTATTCTATCCTCACATACATTCTATCCCTTTTTCCTCAAGTCATCCTTCTAAACTGCGCATCTGATCACATTTGAATCTTAGCTCCTTTACTTGCTTTCTGGCCTTGGGCAGTTGTTTATAATGCTCTGTGTCCTCCATTCCTCCTGCCTCCTACTGTGGTTCATGGCTTAATATATGTAAACTATGGCATTACCTTACTGCTTAAAACTCTTAAATTTAAAAAAAAAATCCTATTTTCAAACAATATCCTGTATGAAACACCATGGTCTGACCTTTCCTGTTTTTCCAGCTTCAAGATCTGCTTATTCCTCAACATTCCTTGTGGCATTCAGCCATACACATTTCTTGCAGTTTCATGAATGTGAGATGTTTTTCCACTTCTCACAGACTTTGCACATCCTGGTACCTGTTTTCAGCAAGCATACGTCTCTCTTATCTCTCAAGAACTTCTATCTTCCCTTCATTCCTGCTCAGGTGGCTGCTGGGCTGGGCATCGCTGTGTAATCCTCCATCTTCTCTACAAACGTGTTTTTCTCTCTGTGTTCTTACAGTATATACCTTTACTTCTCAACTTGTATTACAATTACTTTTTTTCTCTTGCCTTTACTAGGCTGGGAATTTCTAAAATACAGCAGGCTTTAGAAAAGCTCATATTATATCCCAAATTCTGTTACATAATAGGTGCTCAGTAAATATTAGTTGAATACATTTACAAGTTCCACTGACTATGTAGGAATATTACTGGAGAGTTAACACTTCCTGTTTTGTGGCATTTTCTTGGTAGAGAACCAATCAAGTGATTTTATATAGTTGATAATGTTTCTATTTCTATTTTGTATGTTGTGAATCTATTGATATTAAACATTACTGAACCTCAAGGAATGTCCTTAATGATGTTAGGCATGGAGGAGCAAAGTTAACTGTTTTATCTTAGGATGATCATGCTATAATAGTTTTGTTTGTTATTCATGTAAAGGCAATATAGAAGCTCCTTCCTAATGTTGAGTTTCTTTCTCTTGAGGCTCATCATTATTTAAAGGGAAAGTAGAGGCTGGTGTAGATGGCACAGGAAGGAATTATTTTGGTAATAACCAGATTCAGGTTTCTTGAAAGGATGAGATTTTGTACCACATTTGGACTAGTTACATTTGTATTTTTATAGGTTCTATTAAAATTGGATAACGAAACACTATATGTTTGTTAAATCACCTGGATAGTGTATTAGTAGGAACATAAATCTAACAGATTATAATAATATTTGTCAAAACACCATAGGAGGTAGACCAA
Source organism: Homo sapiens (assembly GCF_000001405.40). NCBI lineage: Eukaryota > Metazoa > Chordata > Mammalia > Primates > Hominidae > Homo > Homo sapiens. The sequence goes on along the minus strand of NC_000005.10, from coordinate 9,253,566 downwards.
TCAAAATGGTTATGAAGACTGATAAAGTCTTTGAATATGCAAATATAATGATGAGCATATTGGGGCCAGAGATAGCTTCCAAAACCAGAAATAATTTCTAAATTAAAAAGCAATTCAATATTTTTAATTGCTGTTTGAATGTATGTGTATGTGGCTTGATTTTCACAGCTACAATAATCCTAAGAGAATAATTAAGAGACTTAATTATCCGTCATCACAACCCATTAAATCAGCTGTCCTTGAGTAAAAGCTTATATAGACATGTATGGAAGAAAGTTATCATACTTGGAAAAACAAAGAAGAAAAAATAGTTTTCTTAATTATTCAGCCTAATAAGAGCTTGAAGCATTAGGAAATGAGGCAGACAACTCTGTTAGCATTACTTGTTTCAGACATATTAGAGCTCTTTTGGGGTATGATTGTCCTAGAAAGCACTAAATTTAAAATGCAGTACTTACCCATTGCCTGTGTGATAGCATAGGGAGGAATGTTTAGCTCTTCCATAAATTGTTGTGTTATTGTCAGCCCTGAGACCATTTAAGGAGACTCTAATGAGGTGGATACTCCAATTAGAGGAGAGTAGGGGGATAGTGAGGCTGGGGATGAGGAAGAGCTGTGTTCTGGTAGGGAGCAGGTCAGAAAGCAGGGAGCTAGCCCATGCAAAAGGGTGAGAGCCCAAGAGTGCACTAGGCCCTCATCTTCATCTCTTCCACGGTTCTTCACACCTCCCCAGGGTGTCCCTGCTCTGAGCTGTATAAGAAAGGGCTTGGCCATTATATTCCATATGGGAAACTTGGAACCCATCTTTTACCATAAAGGAAGAATATGGAATCTTAGAATCTTAGATTGGAACTTCAAGTGCACTTTCTTGGCTGTGCTTGAATAATGGATGGATCTGTCCTACCATCTCCAGTACATAAGGCTTGATGACCTCCATGCTTACCAGTTTGCATAATGTCTCCATGGGATAGTTTTTGCTGTATTCTCCTAATTCAACGTATAAACTCGCTTAGGAAATATAACCCAGTTTGAATTTTCTTTGTATAGTGTAAAGATCTTAACCCACATATAATGTGTCAGGTTATGGAACAATATCCATGTTTATCCGTGCATGTTCTTTGTCTTGACCTCTGTTATTATTTCAAGTGGGTTTGGATAATTACACAAAATTGCAGAATAATAAGACTATTCACAATTAAGTTTACTTTTGTGTTTTCCATGTACTTTCAGAGTTCAGATTACAGGGTGGGAATGGGGGAAGCTTTCGAATCGATGACTTTGTGAAATCAGCACTGAAATCATAACAACTGGGTTGAAATCTCAGTAGTGAAGATGTGGAGTAGTGTTCTCTCTCCAGCCAAACCATTTCATTCCCCGCTTTCCCACCAAGGGCCTTTCAAAAGCACCACATTTTATTTTGTCTGACAAGTTCAAAGCAAACAAACTCAATCTGTCAATAGAACTCTGGTGAGACAGGAAGGAATTAGGAATCTGGGAGATCCTGCCAACTCATTCACTGAAAGAGTCCATCGCACGTGGGTTAAGATTGTGGACCCTGGAGCCAGCCAGGGTGGCCTGACTTCATAATCCCAGGCCATCCATTTAAAAGCTCAGTAATCTTTGGCAAGTTGTTAAGCTCCTTTCTACCTACTGTGTAAGATGAATGTAATACTGGTACCTATACCCTAGATTGTTGGGAGGGTAGAGTTAGTTATGATGGGCAGAAGAGTACCAGCCATCTTCCCCATCAGGAGTTGATTCATTCTTATCTCTTGAGCATGGATGTGCTCCTTTGGACTAACTTTCCCAATATGTCTTGCCGGCAGCTCTTTTAGGCTGTTGTACTGTCACACATTGTCTGATTCCAGGATTCTGTTTTTGCTTTGCTCCTCTATTATAGTTACACTTGGAAACATTGTGTCCACTCCAGATTGATTGATGGCTTTCTGCCGTATACATTTACATATTGGTTCTGGTTAATCTCATAGTGCTGATCTAAATGTTGGTAGTCATGACTCATAGTCATAGTCAAAACTTGAGAAATCAGAGTCATACCTAAAGTATTTTTAGAAAATAGCATTGAATTTTTGCTGTTGATATTGTGAATTATAATTGAGACACAGTACAGCTGAAACTTTAGTGTGAATTCTAAAGTTGGCTGATTAAGGAAGAAATGCCCTCCCTCTTCTAGGTTGGAGACAATTAATATCAGCATTTAATAGCATGGCTCTTTTCAGAATTTTTCTCAGATGTGATGTCTAGCACTTTTTCTGCTGTTAGATTACCATAGGCTGGGTAATTTATATAAAATATTAGGTTATTTGACTCATGGTTCTGGAGGCTGTGAGGTCCAAGAGTTTGGTGCCAGCTTCTGACTAGAGTCATCCTAGTATGGAAGGCATCATATGAAGAAAGCTCATGAGACAGAGGGAGAACACTAGCCCAAATTTATCCTTTTCTCAGAAACCCACTCCAGTTATAACTAACCCACTCCTGAGACAATGGCATTAGTCCCATTTAGTAGGACAGAGCTCTCAAGACCTAGTTGTCCCCTAAAGGTCTTACCTCTTAATACTTACAACAGCAATTAAATTTCAACATAAATTTTGGTGGAGCATTAAAACCATAGCATGTGAAAATCTAAGAAAAATGTAATACTAATAGATATGAAAATCTTAATTTGTTAGTCTATTTTTCTTATGTTTTTCCACTTTTAAATTCCAACTTCTTTAGCTTTGCTAAATGTCTTGGAAGTCAAGAGTTGTAAGTTTTCTCTCATTTTGAAATTTATGTTTGTGTAATTTTTTATATCTTATTTGCTTGACTTAGGACACAGAATTCCAAACAAATAAATCATTATTGTATTACTTTGAAAAAGAAGTTCTTGTACTGAATTACTTTGAATTCCTACAGTTTTAAAGGTAACTTTCATGTGATTCATAAGATTTTCTTTGGTTGGTTTTCCATTTGTTTTAAAAATCCAGAATGTATTACCAATGAACTAAAGTGTGTTTGATTTAAAAGTGTGATGATCAAAACATTGTATGAATTCGGTCTTTTTTCTTGAACTACTTTGCTATTTTGGAAGATTTACTGTCTTATTGTGTTTTCTTTAAACAGGATCGTATAGGTAGTTTTATTTGTCTAAGGTTAAAGTTACTTATGGGGGTGGAAAGAAAGCAGTTCAGAATTGTGTGTGGCATTCAGTCCAAACCCAGCTTAAGGAATGGGTGGGAATTAGTTTCATACTGTAGATTAGGCAGACTTGTGCTACTGCTGTCCACCCACACATCTACATGATCAAAAGACAGTGCCCTTCCCACTACTAAATTGCTGGTTACCCATCCCTTCTTCTATCCCTATTGTCCCTGCTAATTTCAGGTTCCCAATGCCTACCTGCTGGTTGCCTGCAATGACCTCTACATCACTCTCCTTGTATTCACCACTACAGCCACACTGCTTTCCAGGTCTTATACCCACAGAGAAGTCTTTCTCAACTACTTGTCTCTCACCATGCCAATATCTTGCTTAAAATTTTATTCATGGCTTTTCTTCAACTCATGAAAAATAAATCTGAACTAACTTCTTTTAGCATGGTTCAGGAGGCCTGTCCTGAGCTGCATATCAGCGTGTAGCCAGAGACCTCTCCAATCCCCACCCTGGGGTCCAGTTCTCCAGCTTAGATGTCCTTTCTTCCCATTTCAGGCCTTTGCACCAGCTTATTCATTTGCTTTTCTTGAACATCTACTCTTCCACTTATTCACTCACTGGTCAATTGCTTCAAGATCCAGCTCAAGCCTTGACCTCCCTAAGAAATGTTCCTTCATCCATCTCCAGATCCCTACATCTGGGTTGAGTGTTCCCCTTCAAGACGCCCAAGATCACAGCATGTTTTCCTTAAGAGGTCTTTTATATCAACAACTACATCTTTCATATATATTGTAGGGCAGGAAGAAATAATTTTCCCTCTACTCTTCTAAATTCTCAGCTGGGCCCTTGTAACAAAAGACATATTAACAATAGAAAAACAAGTTATAAAAATATGTTTATGTCTTACACACACGGGAGATACCCAGGGAAATGAGTCACTCTCAAAGAGATATCTTAGAATTCAAGCTTAAATACCATCTTCAGCTAGATTAAAGAAAGAAGTGTGTGGGAGAGGTAAGTAATGGCAACGTGACCAGAAATGGCATGGTTAGCCGGAGTAAGGTTTGTTGTGCACATTTAAGTCAGTGGCTTCTCCATTGACTTATCTCCTGACCAGGATCATATTTCTCTTCCTGGTACAGTAGGGGAGACACCCTTACAAATAGAGATTTCCTTTATAGATGTAAGCTTACCTTACACAAACACAATTTCTACTCTGTTTTCAGAGCTTCTCCTGTGTCTAGGCTTTCTCAAAATAATCAGCTCAAAATAATCCCATGACAAAGGCATATTTTGGGATGACATGTTCCAATTTCGTACAATGGGCCTGGCCCAGATGTTTGGTAGATGGACACACAGATACTAACATGTCCACCCCATGCTCCTAAACTCGCTTGAGTGTGACTGTGTTCATGTGTGTAATTCATGTGTATGTATGTATGTATTAGTTTTGTATGGCTGCTGTGACAAATTATCATGAACTTGGTGGGTTAGAGCAACAGAAATTTTTTCTCTCACAGTTCTGGAGGCTAGGAGTCCAAATTAATTCTTATGCGACTAAAATAAAGGGGTCCCCCGGGCCACACTTTCTCCAGAAGTTTGGGGGAAATAATTTGTTCTTTTTCTCTTTTGGCTTCGGGTGGCTGCCGGCCTCCTTGACTTGAGGCTCCTTCATCACTATCTCTGCCTCCACGGTCATATTTCCTTCTCCTCTGTATGCTCCGCATCTTCCTCTGCCTGCTTCATATGAGAATGTTTTCAGTGATGTTGAGATGCTCCCTGAATAATAGATTAATGTCTCCATCTCAAGATCCTTAATTTAATTATCTTCAGTCCTTTTCTTTTTTCTTTTTTTTTTTTGCCGTATGAGTTAACTTCACAGGTTGCAGAGATGATGATGGATATCTTTTAAGGGACCAGTGTTCATCCTACTCCAATGCTCCACCCTCAGATATACACAAAGTTGTGTTTCAAGGCCCTAATTGGTGTAGGCAATTAATTTATTTCAAAATCAAATTCCTTTAGTAGGAAATTGAGTGAAGTTGTAACATTTGGCAATTAGTTGCCAACCCTGGCTAATCACATAACAAAAGGAATGATTTAAATAGATGGAAGGGAAGGAGTGCCTCATGTTCTCTTCATTTTGTTGTAAAATTATAACAAAAGGCATCAATTTTCCATCAACATATCCCAGATGTTACAGACATTAAAAATTCACCAACTCTTATTCTCACACTTGAAATGCTTTTGGACTTTTTTCTTAGATGGAGCTCTTATCAAACATCTTAATAATAGTAATGACAATATTTTAGGACATCTCTGGCATGTAAATGAACAAATTATAGAAGAGAGAAAAATGTTTGGAGAAATAAATGGCAAAACCACACAATTGCTGTTTAATGCTAAATTATTTATTTGATTTAATACGTTTAAGCAGATATTCATTAAGTTATGAGAGTGTTCAATATTAACTAGGACATGAATGTATCAGTCATGTTCACTAAGTGCTCATTTACCATTGTGATAATATAGTAAATAATGTGTTTCTTGAACAGAGTATATTATCCTGTTACACATTTTATTTAAAATGAGAGTAAACAATGACTACCAAACTTACACTAGAAAACAAATTTTCGTGTTCATTTTTTTGTAGCTGAAAACAAAAGCTTATGGAAATAATGCTGAATAAGGTTCATAAGGAGGGTTTTGCATATATCTTGAGATCTGGAAAATAGATCAATATGTTCTCAAGCTGGAAGTAAAGTCAATCTTTGTTGACTTTGATAGGATATATCTCAGGAAGCAAGCATTTTTAACTTGAATAATGAATAAATTCTGAGTTGTTCCATGAGTATAAAACAATTCCCCAGGAAACATTCATAATCTGGGTTTTGTAAGTGCTCCAGTGAGTCTAGTGCATAGATATTAACCCAGAACTCTAGAGAAAGTAATCAGGTATGAAGTGTTGTTTGTTTTCATGAAGCCAGTTTCAGAAGACTAGAAAAATAGAAAAGATTTATGGAGAAACTGAAAGCAAACATCCATATATTTACATCAATATTGGCTATTAGGCTGACAGTTCATACAGAATGTCTTCATTAAGATTTGGCCAGAATACACAATAATAGGACTCAAACCAATGATGCCAATATAGGTGGCTTTACATTTTAAGCAAGAGAAATCTAACACACAAAATCACAAATGGGATATTCCTCTTGAAAATATAAAAATATTTCATTCACATCAGTAAAATAAAATTCTAAGCCAAACAACAAAGAGTTGCGTGGTTTCTGCACCTTCATTTGCATTCATGCTGTGGTTGCTGGCGTCGTTTTCTACATCTGTTTCATGTTGCCTCAAAATAAAAAGATTGGTACTTCTTCTTACTTGCTACATGCAGTCCCTTTTGAACCCTTTAACTATATTCCCAGATGAAACCTTGGCATATAACTGTGAAATTTCTTTTTGTTTTAGGGACAGGATGGTTAATCTTCACTTTTACCAATAGTGCTAGAATATTATTGTCAGTAGTTAACTGGCGTGTGAAAGAAAGATTTGGTCAAAGCCACACCACAAACTTAGCCTTGTAAAAGTATTTTCAAGGCAGGCTTCATTATATCAAGTTGTGTTTTCCTAGTGTTGGTCAAGGTTTTACAGAGAATCCCATGCTAACATGCTGCTTCTCATATTGTTTAAAATTTTATCTTGTGAATTCATATTGGTGTCCCATACAATCTTCAGATAGTCTTACTAAGCTCGGTTGGTGTGACATTTTTCATAACTTTCTATAATCAACTTATTCCTTTTGGAATATCTCTACATATGCAGAATAAATGTTACATCAGATAAAACATCTAATTCTAATTTGCTTGTGATATATCTAATTGCTAGCAAACATTTCTGTTGAACAGTATACAGATATTGTGGTACTTGGATGGCATCATCCATGTGATGTAAGATATAATTGTATGTTGTAAAAGAGAGAAAATATAACATTAGATGCAATCAATTTTCCACCAAATGCATTTGGGAAATATTAAACTAGGCAAGCCAGTCCTTGGGAATTCAATCCACTCCGATGTCAATACTTTTATCCCTGCTTGATTGACTTTGAATTGGGTTCCTTATACTAATACTTTTAGGAAATTCATGTATAAAAATAGCCATCCCTCCAGTGATTTGATTTTTTTCGCTACATTTAGTCTTGCAAATTTGACGATGCACCATTTTTTAAACCAATCCTACTTGCATTCATGAAAATAATTTCTGTAAAACCCTGCAACCAAGAAGTAAGGCTCTTATGAGCCTTACCTTAGAAATATTTTTGAAGTGCACCAGTCGTTTGATGCTTCAAGGTCTGACAATCATGGTTTTAAATTTTATACCAGATATTATAATGTCCTTGATACTGTTTTTCTTCTCTCTCTCTAATGTTCTTCTTTCAAAAGATCATCCCAGCAGGGTTCATTCGTGTTCAGGAGTAGGGTCATTGGAACTCATCTTCCATCACTTTGTTTTTCTCTGTCTGACCCCAGGTCCAGCCCCAAAATTTCTTATCAGATAAATTTGGTTCCTTAAAATAGTGACTTGCCAACTGTGTTACTCAGAACCCTCAGATTCTAGAGGTGCTTCTGAGATTTGAGATATTATATTGCTTTAATCCCATTATTTAAGAAACACTTATACCAAAAATGTATACCATGTACAGAATTTTAAGACTTTAGAATCCTTCACTCAGTAAATTAACTTTTACTGTGACATTACTTGGCCTCCCTGGTTTATTATAGAGTACGGAATAAGGTGTCCGCTGTCATTTCAATTTGTACTGCCAATTTACTGAGATTCAAAGTGGTCTTATTTATAACTATTAATTTTTATAAATTTGTGTTTTTTTCAAAAGCAGGCAACCAAAACAAAATACAGAAATGCTTGGATACCGAGGGTGTTATGACTCAGCAGTCACTTGGTCTCACATTTTTCTAATGACTTAGTATAATTTTGCACTTAAAGCATGACTTTGACATAATATGGTAGTCCCTCTCTTATCTACGGGGGATAGGTTCCAAGACCCCCAGGGAATGCCTGAACCTTCTGATAGTACTGAACACTGTGTGTGCTATGTTTTTTTGATCTGATAACTGAGAGGGCTCCTAAGTGACTAATAGGCAGGGAACATAGACATGTGAATACTCCAGACAAAGGGATCCTTTATTTCCGCAGGCAGGATGGAGCAGGGTGGCTTGAGATTTCACCATGCTACTCAGAATTGTCCACAATTTAAAACTTAGGAATTGTTTGTTTCTGGAATGTTCCATTTCATATTTTTGAACTTCAGTTGACTGCGGTATCAAGAAGTAAAACTGCAGAGAAGGGGAATACTATACCACTTTTATCTCCTTTTGTTTGAGATTAGGCTGAAGATGTTACTTAAAAAAACGTTGTCTACTGCTGAAAAAGTAGTAAAATCTTTGTTCTGATCCTTCCCTTTCTGTCTTCCCAGAGCGGATGCATTCATATTCTTCTTCCCAGTGTCAGGGCAAATTGAAGTGTGGAAGAGAAATTCTTGTGGGATGTTTTTGCCACAGAGGTGCAACACGTGGTAGGCTCACCCAACCAGCTCAAGGGCTGCCAAGCCTCATGTGCCCATTCTACAAGGGGTCTCTAGAAGGACACCTGAGCGACTTCCAAGGGCATGGGTGCAGGGCATTCTATTAACACATCCGTTAATTTGTTTAACAGCTAGATATTGAGTGCTTGTGTATGTGGCACTGTCCTAGGTGCTGCAGATACAGACGTGTACCAAGCAGCCAAGCTGCCTGCCCAAGTGCAGTTTGCTTTCTAGTGAGAAAGGAGGAAGCAAATGGCAGTTTCACATATACATATATGGCTACATAGGGTCCAGCGAGGAGCTCACACTTGAACAAAGGTATGTAGGAGGCACAGCCATTATCTAGGTGGGCATCTGGAGGAAAGTATTCCAGGTAGTGGGGCCAGTAAGTCCACAGGCCATAGGGAATGTGTCTGCTTTGTTCAGAGACCATGCTGAGAAACCCATGCCACCCGTAAAAGAATGGGGTGGGGGCACTAGGAAATAAGTACCTGGACATGGCAGAATTTTCTAGATGACTTTGGCTCTTAATCCAGGAGGTGTGGGAAGCCCCGGTAGGGCTTAATAGAAGTGATGGGTCTTCAGACTGAATTTTGAAAGCAGGACATTGCTGCTGTGTCAAGAACAAACTGTGTTCTTATACAGAAGATGTTTAATTTCACAAAACCAACCCAAGATTCTTATATCATACCCTGGCTGCACCTTTCTTGACTTTAGAGTTTCATTAGGCAAATCATGGTCCTTTTAAAATCGATTCTAGGGCTGTGAATGGGCCCAGAGGCTTTAGACATGAATACATTCTATGACAAGGGAATCAATGGCTTTTTTGATTAATATTTACTGAATGCCAACAGCTCTGAACTTAGACATGCACAAATTTCTCTGCTTCAGATATGTATTTTTCTAAATTACGGGGTGGAAAACAAAGAAACTGTAAAAATCAGGTAAGAAGGGGCACTTAATTTGGCAATTTAAATAGCAGGAGAGTAGTTCAGATAACAGGCTCCAGATCCAAGTTATAAAGTGCCAATCCTGGGGCTGCCACTTAATACTCTGTGGCCTTTGGCAAGTTATTTACCCTAAGTCCTCATCCAAAATCTTATTATAATAGTACCTCTCACATTAAACGAGGTAAGTGTATAGAAAGCATTTAGCACTGTAGCTAGCACATCACACATTTAATAAATTGTTACCATTATTTTGCTTGAGAATTGGCAACTAATTTGTGGCAAAGCAATGACCCTAATTTGTGACTATGAATTGTTTCTCCAAATCTCTTATGCCATGCTGTTTGTACTGGGTTGTAGAGTATCACCCCAAAACTCATGTCCATGCAGATTCCCAGAATATGACCTTATTTGAAAAAAGAGTCTTTCTAGATGTCATTAGTTAAGATGAGCTCATTGCTGGAATACAGTGGGCCTTAATCCAGTGGCCGGTGTCCTTATAAGAAGAGGAACATTTGGACAAAGAAAAACACAAGGAGAACACCATGCGATGAGTGAGGCAGAGGTTCCAGTGATGCCCTGTAAGCCAAGTCGTACCACAGGTCAGCGGCAGACCCCAGGGGCTGGGAGAGGGGCCCAGACAGATTGTCCCTCAAAGTTTTCAGTCGGATTCAACCCTGCCAACGAGCCTCCAGAACTGTAAGAATAAATTTCTGTCCTTAAAGCCACCTGGTTTGTGGTAGTTTCTCACAACAGCTCTAGGGAATGAATACATTGTCAACTCCCAATTAGAGAACAGAACGCCCAGTGAGCATTCAACAGGCTGGGAGCACCACTCTGCAGTTCCTTATCAATGTAAGTTTAATGTGGTGTTATTATGTGAAAGAAAATCTTGGGCATTAGCATAAGGGCTTTAAAAATTATTATAACACATTTTCATAGGTATTTCTAAAGTTAAGATATTTCTTCTAATTTTAGATGATGGCAGTGTATGAGAATCAAAAAATAGTGGGATGATATGACTCTAATGCGATTCCAGTCTTTTTTAAGTTAATTTCTAAATTTTGAAATTGATCATTTAAAAAAAAATTTATTTTCCCATATGTTATTGGGGTAGAGAAGGTATGTGGTTACATGAGTAAGTTCTTCAGTGGAGATTTGTGAGATCCTGGTGCACCCATCGCCCGAGCAGTATACACTGCACCACGTTGGTTGTCTTTTATGCCTTGCCCCGCTCCCACTCTTCCCCATAAGTCCTCAAAGTCTAGTGTATCATTCTTTTGCCTTTGCATACTCATAGCTTAGCTCCCACATACCAGTGAGAACATAAGATGTTTGGCTAGTCTTTTGATTTTGAGGTTATAATTGTACTTGCTTGTATTTGACATGGACGGAAATGAAAGTATACTGAAAATTAATGTGAAAAAATAACAAACACATTGAATATCCACTAGGAAGTAAAGGCAGAGGAACATCGAACAAATCCTTCCAAATTGACTGAAATGTTTACTGCCTTTTTTCGTTCAATGCACGCCATTCTAGCTCAAGTGACACTTGTGTGACCCTGACACGTGTGACCATGAAGGTATTATAATTAGCAAAGATGTCCTCTCTCAAAGTTACTGTTATAGGTTGACATTTTATTCAAGTCAAATCACAGTTGTTTCTAGTTCCAACTCATTTGCATTTGTTTCAGTTTTGAACAAAGATATAGTCTTGCATACCCTGACGATTTGTTTATAATTGCCATGGCAATGTAACATTTCCCAGCGCATCGCAGAATACATGACATAAGAATATGAATGTAAACATATGAAAAAAGAAAGCCCTCAGGTGGTTGTTAATTTTTGGCGTTGTGTAATTAAACTAGTTTTGTTTAATGTTATCTTTTGCCAGTATCTAATTAGCAAAGCCATCTGCTGAAAGAGTAGTAGCCCATTTGCCTAGAATGTTGTTCTCTTCATTTTTATGAAGTGTCTGCCTTTGCTGGTCCCTATCTAATTAACTTATCTGGCGGTGGAGTGTGATAATACACAGCTTTGTTTATATACTTCTGAGAACTGTGGATTTATATGTATGTAACACATACATAAAAAGAGCCAATCTCTTTTTCTTTTCTCTATCTGATTTACTCTTGAGATCACAGCTCCATTTATCCTAACCGTAGTATGTCTGTGTGCAACACGGTCCAATGGATGCTGTACCTTGAAACAATGGGGGCTTTGTTGCATACCCAGGATTTATGCAGATATAAAATGGGTTTTCCATAAGCCTCTTCTTTTTTTTTTTTTTTTTTGTAGCTCTCTTTGTATGTTTGTCACATCCTGAAAGCTAATGATATTATAAGTTAGAGTGTGTCACTGGACCTGAGATTAACGTGCATATGGCTACTATAACAATGAAAATGAACACTGTTGACTCCTCAGATTTAACATAATTCTGTCTAGGCTGATGGAATACACTTATGCTGTATTGTAAATTAATATCTGATGTGTATCTCTATGTCTGTTTTTCCTTCTGTCAGTCACATAGAAGAGTGTCTTCTGTTTGGTAGGTACTTAATGAATATTTGTTAAATAAAGGAGATAATTAATGTATTTGCATAAAGCAAAACTTCTGTGAGTTGTTCCTTAGTACAGGTATTATTTGTATGTATTTACAGAAAAAAACTTACTGCAAACAGGAATCGTTGTGTCTTTTAAAATGTAGGTGTTTCAAACTCACTGCCTACTGTATCTAATCTTTGAATATTCAAGTAACCACAATATTACTGCTATATGTCTGCTGCTGAAATATATAATGCAGACAAAATATTGAATAGCCTAGAGTAGAAATATTTCTTTTCTCTACTGGGCTATCCTGAAATAGAAAAAGACAAAAGATGACAAAAATTAAATATTTTTAAAAGGGAGACTCAGGAAATGAGACTATGAATGTTGGGTTGAGATCTGAAATGTAGAATGCTTTAGCACTTGTTTTGACTATTGTAAAGATAGGTTTGGGTTAGTGGAAAAACATCTTTTGAATACAAGTGGACACGTGGCTTCTCAAATCAGTAGTGAGACTTGTTCTATAATCATGATACATGAAATAATAAAAATTTTCACTGAGAAATGAAAGAGAAGGCTTGATTAAGAGGTATTTGGTTCATTAGAATGGATCTAGAAGAATAAGGAAGTTGTGACCAGGTTAAACAAACAGCCTAATTTCAAACAGAAAAATGCGTCACTGTGAGAAATAAGAACCCACAGAGAGGAGGTACATTGATACTCTTATTTGTCTCTGATGGATTTTTTTTTTTAATTTCATGTCTGTCAAGTGATGAAATAGGCAAAGTCTAGCTGACCTAGTGAATAGGAGGACACTATGGGATGAATCTGGAGCATCCCATTCTAGTATAATCTGGAAAAGCCACTTTTCTCCATTCTATTCCTTTTCAAATTCTGTGCTATCCAATAATATGTATATATTCCTGCTGTCTTCTGGAATAAGTAAAGTTCCATTCTTAATATAAAATTTCCCTTTATCCTGTTCTCTATTCAGGTAGAAAGTGAACAGAAAAGCTGTACAATCATGGTCTTTAATTAATTCTGGATTTGAATATTATAGGCAAGCTAGTGAGGCTGTAATAAAATGCCTTAGGAAATTAATTTTTTTTCTTTCTAATCACTATCTTCAGAAAATCTGTAAGATTTGTCATATTTATTATTGGTCTAATAAACTTGTAAGAGCAGTTGCTATTTTTTGGTATGCTGGATAAAAATAATGAAATATTTTTTAAAACTCTCACATTCTTTCTTCTCTTATTTTCCCTTTCAATCTTTGGCCAATATTTATCTTGAAAATGCAAAGGCTATTTGGGCATTAGGTAGACTTGTGAAGCTGTTTGTTTGCCATTTCAGCCGCAGGATCTGAACAATTTTGATGGCATTTGGTAAATATTCTTCTTCCTTAGCCCTGGGACTAATCCTTCTCTTTATAGCTTTCATGTTTATAGAAGAGAACATTATTATTTAACTTTTAACAAAATCACTAGACCAATGAAAGCCACCGTGAATGACTCTTTATCTAAAGTATTTCACTGTATAGTTTTCCTAGTAATTGTGTAACACCAGTTCCTCTTGGTGATATGTAATACTGAAACCTCTGGCAATACACAATCAAAGTTATAATGAGTTTTACTCTGCTGAAAGAATATATCATATTCTTTCAGTCCTCAATACTGTTTTAATCAATCCTCAATACTGTTTTAAGTTTAAGTAAAGGCCAAGACGTGGATATCTACTTAAATACAAAAAAACTGAGTAATATTTTGTAAAGAGATCTAAGAAAGGAATATACTAAAGGTCAAATCAGATGAACAACAACACATTTATTTTCATTTATTTTATCTGTACTTCATGGGGATATAGTTATGCAACTGTATGGGAGGCTGTTTTCTCTGGAGGTGTCATTGCTTTTCATGAAAATATTTGTCATCCTGGTATGGAATTCAAATCATGTGTTTGCATCAGATGCTGATTAGCTATGACTGTATTGTTACCATCAAACATTATGAACAGGGAAACAGCACAGAAGGAATTAACAAATTCTCTTATCAGATGTTGACACTGACAAAAATCTTCAAGTCTGCACAAGGGAAAACAGTTATAGCATTGTTTTGGTTTCAAAGACACTGAAGTGGTTCTTTCTAGAATACTTTTCTTATGGACTCATATTTGCCAAGTAACATAAATTATACAAGATGCAGTGTTGTATGATTTAATCTCTGTTATGTAACATTCTTTGGAAGGCAGAAGATATTAGAGAATGGTGTTAGCCTGACTTTGTTATTCTCCCAAGTTTGGATAATTAGAAAGAAAACATTTCTTACTAAAAAATAAGGGTGAAGCCATTATTTTCCTTCATATGATTTGACACTAGGTTGCTTTTGGTTTAGTTTATTATTTGACATTAGTCCAAATTAACAGAAAAAAGTCTCTATCTCAAAATGTCTTTCTGTTAATGATTGAATTACCGCACATCCCTGTTCCTTCAGAAATCCAATTTTAATAGTAAAATAGAAAATAATAATTCTGATAACAGGTATGGAGAATGAAAAAAATATTTTTACCCTATAAAAGTTCACACTCTATACAATGATAGAAAAGAGAAAAAAAAAAAGCCCAGGTGCCTCAATTTGCGCAAAAAACTATTCACGAGAGCTAGGCCATGGATGCCTGTAGGCATCCTTTCTGTAAAGCAAGCCCTGTCTGTTTTCTTCACTAATCACACATTTCATTTGTGAGTTAGCATCAGACGTGGAAGCACACATAGCAAATTAATCAGCATAAGTGAGATTTGGAAATTCTGAGAAAAAATATTTAAAAGCTGTGGCTCTAAACATTTAGTCAGAGCTAATAATAGTATGAAAATGACTGCTACTGGGGAAAAATCCTAGCTATGTTCTTTGCATGAGCTATCTATTGATTGATTATCATTTACAGGTATATCTTGGTAGTAAGGATATGCAAAATCATCCTTCATTATCTATGAATATTGATAAATGACATATTATTTGAATAAAATAAAAATGTTAAAATTAATATTTAAATTATCTTGTCTCAAGGCCTCTCCCTTAAGCCTCGTCTGGGTCTATTCCATAGTTTCACTGAAGTGATCATTTCTACCATCAGTGCTATAGTCACCAACTCATTGTTCCTTTCTAACAGTGACTAGATCTAAGCATCCCATCATTACTACCCAAAAGCAAATAGTAAGGGGGAAGGTCCTTATGCTTCAATATTAGAGCTAAATCTAAGCCCATGACTAAATTTCATGTATTTGGTGTAAATTCTATGAGTATGAAAATGTTGGTGCCAGGATGCAGCCATATTTCCTAATCTGGTTACCAGTGCCTTGTTACCTTGTTTATATTTTCCCTTTTATTTAGTCAAAACCATGACTGCTATTGTTTTGGTGTTTTCTACAGGCTGTGGAATGGGAGTGTGATGAAGCTACCAAAAAGGCCTGTTACAGCAAAGGCAAATCAAAGGTAAGAAGAATGCAATTATGAGCAGCCATCACCCTGTCTTGAAGGACTCTACACTATATAAAGCATGTTGATATGAAGAGTATTCCTGATTACGGTGCCATGTAAAGTGAAAAAAGCAAGATTCAAAATATGTATACGGTATATTCTCAAGTTTTTAATACTAAATTAAAATTAACCCCAGCAATCAATCATTTCCAAAAAGGATTCAGAACATAAGAAGATCAGAGCTAATTTGCCCTTTCTGTCATTAGACTAAGATAAGAAATTAATTGATTGATAGCGCTGGAAAAAATATGGGCCTGAATTTTTAAGATATTTTAAATTCCTCCTTTCTTACTTTACAGCTAAATCTAGAAAGTAATGATATGACAAATAAATTTATTACATAAAATATTATTTGTGATAGATTCTTTATCTTAACATATTCTTTATAATAAACTCTCTTTTCATACGAAAATCTACATCCCATGTTCCTATAGAATGTGCAGTTTATAGCTAAGGTTGGAAATGTGTTTCTTGAGCAATTGTACATGTTGCAGGCTTCTTTCAAATGTTTCTCTGGCTCAAAAAGATGCGTGATTCTTTGCCTTTCCAGGAAGACTATGTGTCTTTGAGAAAATTATTCATGATCAACTTGAGGAAATTCTTCTGCAGCTTGTGAACAGGCTCACTGTGTATTATTCTGTTAGTGATCTTCTTACTTTATATTGGAGCACAGACTTCCAATGGTGAATTATGCTTTGGGTTACAGAAGACAGCAGTTATACACAGAGTAGAAAAGAGGGCTTGCTATGCAAAGTTGGTCCTAGGACCAATAGTTTGGGGAAAAAAATATAGCAAATGCAGAGAGCACTGGCAAAAGATCCTCCCCCTTCTGTATTTATAAAAGAGTGTTATGTACCTTTTTTTTACCCAATTTCATTGTCTGCTTCCCTGCCCTTTAACTGAATCGCTGTGGGAGTCAGACACTGAGGCAAGTGTCAGCCAGCTTAGTTATGGGGTTTCCCAACCCTGAATAAAGGAGTAGGAAGAAGAGAAGGAGGAAAATGCAGTCTTAGCCAGGGAAACACTTGGAGACAAGGGGGAAATAAAGCAGGAATTGATGAAGGGTATTTTCTGGAAGATATTTAACCGCAGAAAAGGCCTCTGAGTTAAATCATCAGAGATATAAGGAGATTTAAAGGTACTCCAATTGTCAAAGAATTCGAATGTGATATCCTCAAATGCTCCCCAAAATAAATAAATAATCTAAAGCCCACACATCGGGGACCCCTATAACCTTCTTGTTGAGTTTGTAGAAATGATGTATAGGACTTTTGAAGAGGTGATTTCTAAATAGTTTCCTTTTTCCTCCCTGTGGTGTTTGAGTCTCAATGTGGGGGTTGTGTGGCTCGGCCCTCGGCCCCACTTCACTGGTCAGAGCACAGTCCTTTAAATAAGACCACCTGTGCCAAGGAATGAGATGGGACCTGGAGTCAGACTTACATGAAGTGAGGGGTGGAAAGATGGCTTTCTTTATTTCAACTAGTAAGATTCACTGATGCAAGCACCACTGTTCCATGCTCTCAAGGCCTGCCGTGGGCCTTGCCTGGGGATATCAATGCCTCCCAGGGGTTGCTCTGTGTGATGCCTGATATGGTTTGGCTGTGTCCCCACCAAACTCCATCTTGAATTATAGCTTCCATAATTCCCATGTGTGCTAGAAGAGACCTGGGGGAAGGTAATTGAATTGTGGGGGTGGGGCTTCCCTGTGCTATTCTCATGATACTGAATAAGTCTCACAAGACCTGATGGTTTTTAAAGGGGAGTTCCCCTGCACAAGCTCTCTTGCCTGCTGCCATGTAAGACGTGTCTTGCTTCCCCTTCATTTGCTGCTATGATTGTGTGGACTCCCCAGTCATGTGGAACTATGAGTCCATTAAGCCTCTTTCCTTTAAAATTACCCAGTCTCAGGTATTAGCAGTGTGAGAACAGACTAATACAGTGACCTAGCTCTCCCTCTTGCTTTTTCTCAACTCTTTCTTCTTGTCTTTATCTTCCTTCTGGTACTTTGACTCTTTCCTCTCCTCTTTTTCTTTCTTTCTGGGTCTCATGGACACATCAATAAGCACTATTCAGATTTGAGCAACCTAGCAGCAGATATTGTTGATGCACACTTGTCACAGTGTCTGTTCTGAAAATGTTTAGCTGATAGCCCAGACCTGAGGGGCCCCACCCTCCTTCCCTCTCCCAGGTCCCAGTGCTATTTCCTCGTCCGATCTTAACACTCCCAGCCCACGGTGAGCGTTTAAAGATGTTCCACTGAATGACTGAATGAACATGAGAAGCCCATACCAGGGTAGTGAACTTTAATTTAGGGTTTCTCATCTTCATCATTATTGATATTTGGGGCCAGATTATGCTTTGACATGGCAGCTATTCCATACATGGCAGGAAACACATTGCCAGACATTGACCTGGTCGGGAATCCCTGCTTTAATTTCCAAAATGGCAAATTTATTTGTCACTTTTGCATTGTTTATTTTGATTTTTATGCTCCCTAGAGTCCTCTCATATTTCATCTTGATTACATGTATATATTTGTTACAAAGACGTTTAAAAATTAACAGTTAACTCCCTTCCCCTTTATGAGCTTCAGTCTCCTTATACTCCTTGTCCTACTAAAGCAAAGCATCAGATTCCATCATGTAGCGAGGGGTTTTTCCTCCTCATAGTCTGGAAGTCCATAATTTACAAAGAATCTATGTGGTTGCCTTTTGCTAATAGATTATTTCTACTTGGGGTGAAAAATTGCTTCTGCTGAAGAAGAACTAGCCCACGTTTTGCCTTAAGCCGTGATCATTGGTTGTTTGGTGCTTAGAACTTAAGTAAATTGAACCCAGAGAAGTATTAGGAAAAGGCCATCTTTTGGGACCGATAGGTAATATACCCTCGATTCACGGAGGAGACCAATCGTTACTACACTTAATTGAATTTTCTTGATACACAGAAAGCAAATGAGGGAAACAAATATTTTCAAGTAAAATCAAACCTTTATGTTTCACATGCTTTGGGTTTTAATGGATTAAAAATAATGGGAAATCTTAGTAATTATTAATTGACTCAAACCGCATTTGTGAATGGATTTTTTAACACTAATATAGTAAGACAGATGAAGATGAGTGTCAAGCACCACGTACTCTGAGAAAGATAAATCACACGTTCTTTTAGGTTGCCTTAAGTATATTGATAAATTCACAGACAGTTTAAATAACTTCTGTTGCTTCGAAGTACAGCTCAGTTTATGTAGCAGAGCTGTGTGCATTGGAAATTCCTGTGTACAAAAATGATGCAGTAGCTTTACAAACATGTTGGTCTAGACAGCACTGGGCTGGTTCATGGGTGGTGAGAGGAGAGGGCTCTTCACCCACCTTTATAAGTTCCTCTTTCTTATTTGGCATCTCTCTTGCTTTCTTAACATAGTAACTGAACAATGACCATGATGTGACCAAGCTGGCTGACCAAGCCCAGCTCCTGGGACAGAGAAGGGAAAGAAACAAGGCAGCCCCTATGAACAGGGGCAACTGGACCAAATGCAGCCTCCGAAGGACTGCCCCCTGAACTCAGAATTCAGACAACCCACATTTCCCCATTTTGACAGTTCCTAGGAGCCAATTCAGAGAACATTCTCACAGTCAATTTGACTGATAGGTAACGTCTCTTTGGGTGAATGGAATGAAGACTTTTCTTAGTGGTCATGAGCTTAGAAGGCTAATTCAGCTGTTTTGTAGTTTTGCTTGTGCTGAAGTTCTTATGAGAACAGAATTACAAAGTTTCCCTTCTCCCTGAAATAAAAAGAATAATGCAAAATGTGACATCTCAAAAATGAGAAGAATGCCAGCAATTTAAACTGAAGTTGTTTTTTTTTTTTCCTACTCTGAGAAAAGTGGTCTGTGCTTCTGCACATAATGCATTTAGCTGCTGAGCTGAGCTGGAATGCATGCATGGAAGGAGGTGGCTGGGTGTGCAGGGAGGACACTGCCTGTGCCCACTTGCTGTTCTGATGGGAGCATTCCTCAGCTTGCTGCAGAGTGGAGGAGAGTAGAGATGATGGATTTCCCCTTGTTTCCCTGGGATGTCTGTATCCAGACACAGATATGATTTCACATATAATCCATTAAAAGTACAATTTAGGGAATTAGGGTCAAGAGAAGTTATCCAGATTTTTTATTTGGGCCAGGTTTGAAAAGAAGGTAGGTACTGAAGCTGCCAAGCCCTTGTAAAGTTTGAATTCTATTTTATTTAGAAAATGTTCAGCTCCCTTGGGAAAGAGGGAGTGCCTTTGCCTGCAATGGCTTAAATATTCCATGGGGGAAAAAAAGTGGGGGTGGGGAATCTGTTTTTATGGATTCAAAAACTTATAATAAAACCTGTTGTATTTAGTTCTTCTGGACATAGCATTATAGAAACTGAATTCTATAACTACTTAAGTATCTTTTACACAAATATTATTTTAAACACAAATAGTCAATTCTCTCACGACCTAACAAGAGTTCCTTGTGTGTGTTGGGCTATAATGTCTGAACTGACGTTCCTCCCACTCTGACATTTAGGAACTTTACAAAGGAAACACAGCTGATTATTATGGGAATGAAAGAGCTGCTGTATGCTTCTATTACACTTTGTGATTTTCAAAAGTTTTTGTTCATGATCTCATTTCAGGATTTTTGACACCAAGTTCCTAGAATTATTTTGCTAGTTAGTGGGAGGGTTTTGATTAGAATCCAGAGCTATGTATATTGTTCTCCCTGTCATATCCTGTGGTCCTGTTTACCAAGTTGTCAAATTATGCTGGTAAAGAGGTAAACTCCTAGTGAACAGGAGAAGAAACTCATGACACCATACTACCTAAGTGCCTGCTGGTGTAGGGCTGGATCTTGACATTTTGTACCTAAGTGCCAATATTTTGAAAGCTGTGAGTTAATCAATACATGGGACACATTGTAGCCCTGCTTTTATTTTATGTAATTGCTTTAAAAATTGAGGGTACTTTAGGTTAAATACTAACATTAGGTTAAAATTAGATTATGCACACCTAATTTTATTTTTTTTAATTGAGGTATCCAAAAAGGTTTCCCATGAAGTCAGCTCAGTTGAAAATAGAGTATGTACATATATACAGTATAGTATATTTTATATATCAATACACTGTACATTACATAGCACGTAATATATGTATATGAGTGTTTATCTCTACATATTGCATCTGTGATTTGCATGTGCATATATTCACAAGTAATACATGTATACAATTATATAGATACAACCTTTATACACACACACATACACACATACATCTGATTTGGTTAGGTATGGTTTTGCAAGAGTCACCAGGTAATCATGATTTAGGTTGATGTGGGTTCAACTTTGAAAGGCTCATGCAATTCCTGTAAATTGCTCTTCTTCAGCACTTTGATGCTGACAAAGATAACACATTATGAAGAGGACACATTGATTTCACTGGGAGCACTATGATTAACATAAAGCCTGTAGCCTTCTAACCCTTACCTTTCCTCCCTAAAATTAGTGGGCTGGGCGACGGGCTGGGTATTGCTGAAGAGATACCTGAGGGATCCACAGAACATACCTGTTTAAAAAAAAATCATGAAATGCTATATGACAAAACCAATTAATTCATTAAGAAAACAGCCCTAAAACATGTTTTCTCTGCTGGGGCTGGGGCCTTGTGTCCTTGAGACCAAGTGGGTATTGGCCAGTCTCCATGTAAAAGCCCTTTCTATGAGTCAGCAACCATGCTCCTCGGCTATCAATTGCCTTGAAGTCAAGGACAGGTTGATACGTCTGTGGATCACAGGCCCACATGGGTCATTTTAATGTTCAAGTGCTGTGATCAAAATGTAGATAGATGACTCTCATTATCAACCCTAGAAGCCTTGTGGCAGCAAGCTGCTAGAGGCCTTGGAGATGTGCACTGTGACTTCTTGGAAAATCAGAATTCATTAAATCCTCTTCACCTATTTTCAAGTTACAGAAATGGGCTAGAAGAAAAAATTCTTAGATGACAAAAGGAAAATCATAGACATTTAAGTATGCTGATTTATAAGAGAAACCTTTAAAAGAATCTCCTAAAGGGACTTCTACATTGTGACTCTACCTCTACATTGTGACTCCAAGCAGTACTTCAAGCAAGTTCAGGTAACCCATGGAAAGGCCACGTTTGTAACAGAGATTGGCAAAGTGCGTTGCCAGTGGATCTGCAAGAGAATTTGAGTTTTGAAAACACCATCAAGAGGAGACTAATTATTACACAGCCTGGAACGGTTACTCATTTCCATTTTTTTTTTTTTTTTTTTTTTTTTTTTGAGATGGAGTCTTGCTCTGTACTCAGGCTGGAGTGCAGTGGCGCCATCTTGGCTCACTGTAAGCTCCGCCTCCTGAGTTCAAGAAATTCTCCCACTTCAGTCTCTTGAGTAGTAGCTGGGGTTACAGGCATGCATTACCACACTTGGCTAACTTTTGTATTTTTAGTAGGCATGGGGTTTCATGTTGGCCAGGCTGGTCTCGAACTCCTGACCTCAGGTGATCTGCCTGCCTTGGCGTTCCAAAGTGCTGGGATTACAGGCATGGAACCACCGTGCCCAGCCACTCATTTCCTTTTATTCACAGTATTGACTGTCCAATTCCCAAATTTATCTTCTGCTCAAAAGCTAAATACTTCTACTTTCTTTTTTTTCCCTGTGTTTTCACATTCTGTTTCAGTTGAACTTGTCCCAATCTCTCTTTTCAAAACATTTATTATTTTAAATGAATTTGTTTGGAATTCACATCTGGAATTCACAATCTGTGAATTAAACATGAGGATGCCTTTAAGGGAGTAAGAACGGGAAGTACGTGAGATGCCCTTAGCCAGTTGGGTGACTGAGTTATGCTCTTGACAGTTAAGAAGAAACTCGAATACCACCCACCTCCACTCGTTGCTCCTGTAGGACTCAGTGAATGAGCACACCTACTGTTATTGGTGATAACTCAGACCTCTAGTTAAGGCTGGGGCCAACTACACTACTACCCTCCTTCATTAGCTCCTGATTGCCACAGGCTCCTCTGGGTTCCATAGGGCTGGGGCCACCCTCCATCATTTTATAAAAATTCTGCACAGACCTCCTTGCCTGATCATCTGGATCCCTGACATCTTCCTCCTTTTTTTCCACACACTCACTCCGTTCTGCGAAGAACACCAGTGACACATGGGGATGTGGCTCATCGCCAATAATAGAGCCAGTGTCTTCATGTATTCTCACGTGGTCTTAATGATCAGAACGTGCTCTTTCATTCTCTGCCCTAATTGAAATAATTCTGTCCCTTTCCTCATTTACTTTTTCTCTGATATTCTTACACTACCAGCTGGGTTTGCACTGCCCCTCCCTGGCACACTGCTGCACCATGGTTACCATGGTTATCACACATTCTGACCAACATGCTGGTTCTTCGTCAACCTTGAGAGTGGTCTTCAGGAATGTTAACCTATAGTTGCAGGGCACTGTGGCTCATGCCTGCAATCCCAGCACTTTGGGAGGACAAGGCAGGAGGATCCCTTGAACCCAGGAATTCGAGACCAGCCTGGGCAACATAATGAGTCCTTGACCCTACAAAAAAAAAAAAAAAAAAAAAAGAAAAAAATAGCCAGGGGTGGTGGCATACACGTGTAATCCGAGCTACTTGGGAGACTGAGGTGAGAGGATCACTTGAGCCCAAGTGGTCGAGGCTGCAGTGAACCACGATTGTGCCACTGCACTCCAGCCTGGGCAACAGAGTGAACCCTTGTCTCAAAAAACAAAAACAAAAACAAAAGAAAGCAACCTACAGTCTTATTTGCACTTTGTTCTTCCTTTGGGAAATTAACGTAAACACCATATTTGATATCTTGGTTATTCTCCTTTCCATAATTGACTGGAGGCCCTTGCTTTCTCTTCACCAGGGCTGTAGAACTCTGCTGTGAAATCACATCTTTTCAATCCAGATGATTCTCCTGGAACAAATTACCCTTGCCCATGTTGTTTGTGGTTTACCTTGGGGCAAGCTCTTGCTTTTTTTTTTTTTTTAAAGGAAAAAGTTTTATTACATCTTGCCTTGCTTTTAAAAGAGTTCTAAAAGCAGCATCAAAAAACAAACAAAACCTCACCCTTCTATTCTGTTTGTAATTTTCCATCCCAGTCCTTATGATGGTGTCATTAATATGTCTGTGTCATCCATTAAGTCCATCAGCTTGCTCAGCCCTGTGTTCTGGAAGATGTCTTTGTGGGTCTCCTCTGACAGGCATCGGCTTCCTTCTTTTATCCTCACTCTGCCTGCCTTTATAGGCTCCCGTACCCCTCTAGTTTCTTCCCTGGCCCTCCTGTGTTCTCTTCAGCCTGGGAAGGAAGTACTGTGTGGTTCTTTGAAGTCTTTTGTTTTGTTCTTTCCCTTTAGAACTCTCCTGACCCTTCCCCAGGAATAAAAACAAAAGAGAACAAAACAAGACAAGCCTCCCACCTCTGGTGTACCTTTCTCAGTTACCAGATTCACTGTCTACTGTTTACGAGCATTTGGTAATTCTTCTGAAGTCTACTTAGGTCTTTGTGGTTGTTTTCCATCTTCCTCAGTTCAGCTTCCAATGATAAGTGGTTACTATTACTGTTAGGAATAATGTTAGGAGGATAATCCACCCTTGGTATTTCACTTTACATTTAGAAGCCAATCTGAGCCAGGAGTGGTGCTCGCACCTGTAATCCCAGCACTTTGAGAGGCCAAGGTGGGAGGATCATTTGAGCCCAGGAGTTCGAGACCAGCCTGGGCAGCATGACAGAACCCTGTCTCTAGTAAAGAAAATACAGAAATTAGCACTATGCATTTCCGCTGTCTCGATGCTATGCAGTAGACTGGGTTATGGGAAATTAACACTTTCATCTAGAGTGGGGGTCCATTTGGTTGAAGAGAAGATGAGCTATACCATTACATCCAGATTCCCCTGATTTCCAGCATGATGTGATTCAAATCATCATGTTATCATGCAGCATCTTTCATGCCTCGTGCGTCATTCATTCGCCATGGCGTGCAATTGACTCACTATTCTGGCTTTGTCCTTTCACACCTACTACCTTGGTCTAGGCATGAAATGACAAGAGCCTGAGTTATGGAAGTGACTTCCTCCTTGGCTTCCTGACTCCAGGCTTCTCTCTTCAGCTTATCCTGCACATTGGTTTCTGAGTGCTTCTTCAGTGATAAAACATGAGAGCTCATCAATACTTCACGCAGTCAAAACATGTAATGGCTCCTTTCACATTCAGAGTAACATGTGAACTCACTACCTGGGCACACTTGGCCTGTTTCAGGCTCCTCGGCTTCTATGTGAGCTCCTCTGTACACAATGAGAGCGCCATGCTTTCTCTAGCCACGACACTTTGACACAGTCTGCTCCTCTTGAGTGGAGTGTCTTTTCCCTCCTTTGCTCAGTAAAGTCCAACAGGTGTCCTACAAGCACCCCCTCCAGGAAGCCTCACTAAACCTTACACTTTATTTAACACTTAGTTGTCAGCTCCTTCAGGAAGCCTCTCTACACCTCTTCCCTTCCCTGTTCCTTTGGAGCTACGTAATATGCTATTCCTCTGTGTGTCCTCATTACAGTGCATGGACAGCTCTGTGGTAATTGTCATGATCCTGTATTTTTCTGCCAGGAGCCTGGATTGAGACTTCTAACCCAGTGGCTACCAAAGAGGAGCTACTCAGTGAATGCTTGCTGAATAAGTGAGGAGCTCTCCAGCTCACATGTCCATCACTGCTATGACCATACCCAGGGTTTTCTAAGAACACTTTGCAACCACAAAAAGTACTCCATTCTTGGAGTATCCCTCAGCCTAGGGTTTTGTCCCAAATGTTTCGAACATCTTGTCCTCATTAAGCATATTTTCACTTTTCAATCAATGAATTAAAAATGCCTATACAGGCCGGGCGTGGCGGCTCACGCCTGTAATCCCAGCACTTTGGGAGGCCGAGGCAGGTAGATCACGAGGTCAAGAGATCAAGACCATCCTGACTAACATGGTGAAACCCTGTCTCTACTAAAAATACAAAAAATTGGCCGGGCGTGGTGGCGGGCACCTGTAGTCCCAGCTACTCGGGAGGCTGAGGCAGGAGAATGGCATGAACCTGGGAGGCAGAGCTTGCAGTGAGCCGAATTTGCACCACGGCACTCCAGCCTGGGCGACAGAGCGAGACTCCGTCTCAAAAAAAAAAAAAAAAATTCATATAGATACTTGCTTTGTATTTAAAATATGCAGTTGGATCCCATAAAGTAAAATTTGCTCCAGTTTGTGTACAGAGTTTCTCATGTGACCTTCTGATCAAAAAGCGCTTGCAGCATTTTCTCAAAGTCTGAGGAAGTTTTCCAAGGCACTGCTTCCCGAGCGACATCTAATAGGTTCCTTTTATTTATTTTCCTAATACCCGTCCAAGGCCATTTAGCATTTGTGCTACTATCAGATACAATTCAAAATGAAATCATTTCTGTCAAAATTAGATGCATGCTTTGAGAATTTAATTGAACATGTATTTATCTTCATATTTTTTATCAAACAAGGTGCAGATACAGCAATTAAATTTATTTGATAAAAATCAAATTGTTTAATAGCTCTGTTGTTATTTTTTGGTCAATATCTGAAAGGTTTATTTGTTGTTTTAATGGTTTACATTTTATTAATGGCTTACATATTTATTAGATAAAATGTATTCCTTCTCACCATTCTTCTTGTGCTCAGACTTTGTTAGCATGTTTATCATTATACATATATATATATATTTTTAATTAATTTATTTATTTTCCCTCAGGAGGAATGTCAGAACTACATCCGGGTGCTTCTGGTGGGTGGCGACCGGTTATTCACCTGTGGGACCAATGCATTCACGCCTGTCTGCACCAACCGCTCGGTATGGCTTCTTTTTGTGCCTCAAAAGAATTTAATATCAGAAGAGGCAAAACATTGTGTAAAAATACTAGTTTTAAATGAATTTCTATACACCAAGGTGTTGCTGTTCAATTCTAAAGCACTTTTTGTCAAATTGAATAAATATTTGATTTATTGATATATTTCTAATCAGGACCATCAATTAGATAAATAACTGGAAATAATTATAACTTGTATAATTAAACTTAAATATGTTTCTAAACTATTCCAACCAGCATTTTTTTCCACCAGTGACTTTAAACATTAATCCTAAACATATTCTTTTTTGTCTTATTCTGCTTTATGGTAGAGATACTGTTACTGTTATTTATATTTATTTAAAATTATTAAAATGGTCTAAAATCACAATCCAAGGGAAGAAAAAATTAGCCTACAAATTGGATAAGAAGTATGTAAAAAAAAATAAGCAAACTAAGAAATTGCACCCTAGGCAAAGTCCAGTTATAACTGATCCTCTTTCTTGTCTTTAACCTGGCAATCATTGACAGAGTAATTTTCAGCTGCACACACCATAGCAGTAGCATGGCAGGGTCAGTAGAACACACGTGGAATCTTCCTAATTCAGGGTATAAATGCAACCTTCCTCTGGGAATATCATGAAGAAATATGTTCATTCCCTGGTTGCACAACTTTCCTCAAGACCTTAATTGACCATCTGCTTTTACTGTTCATGATTTCAGGTTAGCATTCAGTTATTGGAAATAAAGGGAGGAGTTGGATGATAAGGGGTGTGAAACTCAGGGAGCTCTCTAGGTGCTGCACCCTGCCCTGGGCGCTTTCACCAGTGCCATGGTTCAGTCCTCAACATCTGCCCCACAAGATCGCTACTCTTTGGGGCCCCCTTTTATGAAAGAAGAACCTGAGACATAAAGAGCTGAAGGAACTTACCCAGGTACACATCTCATAGCAGAGCAAGCAGTGTGCCTGTACCTACCGGGCCTGACCCTTCTGCTCCAATACCTCTCAGGCGAGAACCAAGAACCAAATTGAGCAAAGATTCCACCAGTACCCAAGAGCTTTTCTCATTCAATGGCTGGTTGGGAATCCAGCATTTGGGAAGCTGGATTCATACGAAATGACTCCAAGACGCTTAGCTATCTCTCTGAAAACTGAAAAAAAAGAAAGAAAGTGTTGGAAATGTGGGCCACATAGTGTTGAATATCCACACATCCTTACTTGTGAACACATTTTTTGGGGCTATTCATTATATTTTGCTTCACTTATATTGATAGAATTATACATAATTTTTTTTTTTTTTTTTTGAGACAGAGTCTCGCTCTGCCTCCCAGGCTGGAATGCAGCGGCACGATTTTGGCTCGCTGCAACATCCGCCTCCTGGGTTCAAGCGATTCTCCTGCCTCAGCCTCCCGAGTAGCTGGGACTACAGGTGCATGCCACCATGCGTGGCTAATTTTTTTTTTTTTTTTTTTTTTTTTTTTTTAGTAGAGATGGGGTTTCACCGTGTTAGCCAGGATGGTCTTGATCTCCTGACCTCGTGATCTGCCCGCTTCAGCCTCCCAAAGTGCTGGGATTATAGGCGTGAGCCACTGTGCCCAGGCAATTATACATAATTCTTTATTGTGATCCTATTTCTGTAAATATTGACACTGGTTTTTATATTAAAGTGGAAAAGTATGCAATACTTGTGCATTATAAATCAAAGGCATATATACAATGATCTTATTTCTTATTTTGTGAGTATTCAGTGGTACAAGGTTCAGTAACTCTAAAGTGATGAGAAAGAAACTGATTGATGGACTGTCTTACCATGAGCAGAGTAGGCTCTTTACATCAGTTGGAATGTAAAAGTTGGTCATCTTGCCCCATGGGCCCCCGAGAGGCTGTTGCACAAGCGTCACTGTGATGATGGTGGGTGTGACCATAAGCATCACTAAAGGGGCTTGTGCAGAGATAACTGCTTTCCCTCTCATCCTCCCCCACAGTTGAGCAACCTGACTGAGATCCATGATCAGATCAGTGGCATGGCCCGCTGTCCCTACAGTCCCCAGCACAATTCCACAGCGCTCCTCACAGCTGGTGGGGAGCTCTATGCTGCTACAGCCATGGATTTTCCAGGACGTGATCCTGCCATTTACCGAAGCCTAGGCATTTTACCTCCTCTCCGCACGGCGCAGTACAACTCCAAATGGCTCAATGGTAAGCCTTCCGTCACTCCCTCTTTCTCACCTCATTTGTCTTTGATTCCTGGTGATTTGGTGCTCAAAAGCAAACTACAACACTCTAAATAAAAATGAATTCTTCATCTTCTAAAGAAATCAAAGTGTCGCTTGTTCAGGACTAATGATAAACAGGATATCATATGGCTATTTAGTATTTGGAAGAGAAGTGATATTCGCAACACTCTAACCATGATAATATGGCTAATGTTGATATGACCACTTATAGAAACTTGCTGTTTTTTTTTATATTGTTGTTTAATGTCTAGAAAATTTGACAGCTTGTCATGTGTAGACTCCTGTGCATTACTTCTTAACTTCCATTTTATGTGTCTAGAAATGGAAATTACTAACATGGCATGTAATTTTCAGCAACTGTATAAAAGAATGTGTTTGTCTATAGGTAACTCCAAAAAGTATGACAATTAAAAATGTAAAAAATGTATCAACTCACATACTTAGAAGTTAGTAGTAGGCATCTTCAGGGTTTATTCATTCAGTGGCTCAGTTAATAAGGAGGCGAGTATTCACTGCAGTCTCTGCCATCCACAGTCTGGCAGATGGGCCCTCAGGCCACCTCTGCTTGTGGTTGCAAAATTGTTGCTGCAAATTCAGGTATTGCATCCACATGTGGCAACATCCACTCGAAGAAGAGCCACATCCCTCTCCCCTTTTCATCCATGCATTTATTTTTAAAGAAACCAGAAACCCTTAGAAGGCTTCTTTCAGTTCTGGGCCAGAACTTGGTCACTTGCTTACTGAGCAATCAGAAGATGGTGACAACCATCCAAATTGAGGTTCGCTGTGTACAAAGCCCTGATGTGTGTCAGCTGAAATGCAGCCCTCTGTATATCTGTGCATTCATGTGTGAGTGTGGTCTCACACACACACGCACATACACATACACCTACAAAGACAATGTATATGTACCATGTGTAATCCATTGCCCCAAGCATTTATTTGATAGTTTGTACAAAAGTGAAATCTTGAGAGTTAGTAGACTTTTGCTACATATCAGCTAATTATGTAGACCAGAGTTTCTCAACCTCAGCACTAGTGATGTTTTGGGCCAAATTGTCTTAGTTGTGGGACTGGGGGGTGGGTCTTGTCCTTGGCATAGTAGGATGTCTAGCAGCATTTTCAACCTATAGTCATTATATGCCAGTAGCATCCTCCTCTGCCCAGTTGTAACAACAAAAAATGTTTTCAGCAATTTTTCAGTACCCCCTGGGAGGGGGGAATTAACTCTAGTTGAGAACCACTGCTTTAGACTCATCATATATGCAAAACCATGGATACGTGTACATATATTCAATGCAAGTATTTTGCCAAATAATACAGTCAACCTAATCATCAGAGATTGCCTTTAAAAGACTGTCCTGTAGGAAAAAAAGGATGTCCTCGTCATTAACTTTCTCAAGTAAACTAAATGACTCTATTGCTTCCAAAGGGAAACATGAATTGTTTTCCCAAACTGAAGCACTAACTAGAATTCTCCCATTAACATCATTTCTGTTGAACTGACTTCAACCGAATCAGTTGATTCTATGTGGATGGTCCCCTTTTGGCCCTGAAACTTTCATCTGTGCAGCTTCAAGTTGTTCTTTCCATATGTTTGTTGATTCTGACTGGCCAAGGAAGTTTCCACTTAAAAATCAAGAATCCCTATCCCAATAAAAGCTTTGTAATTAGCATTTGCCAGAAGCAAAGTAAAAAGCTCTTTTCCCAAAGTGACACTTTAAGAATATCCTGGAAAAACAATTCAGGTCATAGTATGAGTTACAAACACTAGCTGCCTTCTTACATGTGACTGAGTGACCACCAGCTGATCAGGTGGTCAGTATCGGTCAGCGTCCTGGTTGTCAGCATCTGTGAATTCTCCTTTTCCATTGGAGAGTCATGTGTTGCCATCCAGGCAATGGAAGAGCTAAAACAGTGTTTATCACAGTCTTCTCAGGCATAACATTGTTATTTGATTTACAAAGGCATTAATGTTTCCGATTCCTAAAACATTCTGCTGTTCATTTCTAAGATCTGATAACTGCAGACACTGAAAGTAATTCAGAGGTCAATACGGTGGCTCTACCACTCAGGCCACAAGGGCAGCACAATTTGCATGACAATGAATAGCCTGCATTTCTCAGGAAAGCAGCATTTCCACCGCCCTCCCCCACACTCCTTCCCTGGCCTACATTGGGAAGACCCTCTCTCCTAGGATAGAAAACCAAGAGCCCTGCCTGAGGACCCTGAGTTATTGCATATGAAGTGTTGTCTTCATACCTCTCCTGTGTTTTGTTAGGGCACTTTCTGCTACTGCTGAGCCCTGAGATACTATTTCCACTCCTAGTTGACCCTGATTCGCTTCTCTGATTGATCCTCCATCCAGGATGGATTCTGGTCTCTAACCACACTAGGTTCTGCTTCCACCCCCTGCTGAGCCTGAACACAGGGACATTTATCCTTCCTGGCCTAATTGGGACACAGGCTTTGCATCCCATCTGTTCTTTGCCAGATGCCCTTGTCTCAGGTCTTCCTCCTTTAGTTCTCCTTCCACTCCTGCCCGCCTGCACTGACTCCCACCAAATCCAGCCCCAGGGGGGGCCACCCCTTGGCTTCTGTGTCTCTTAAACACTGGGGTGCTAGTGAGAATCGTCCTGTGGTAGAAAGGGCAACAGAAAAGGTGGAGCCTCTGTCTTCAGTGAGGCCCTCAGGTCAGCTCCGTAATGGTCTAAGCACCCCAGTTCCTGTCCTCTCCCCTTGCAACTACCCCCACTCCAGTCCTCTCCCAGCCTCTCCCAGGGATTCTCAATGGGTTTATCTTTCCTCCTACTTTACAGAGAAATGTTAGGTTCTAAAGGGTTTTTCCCAGTAAGCCCTCAAACTTACCTCTTCTTGTCACTCGGGGTCTGTAGCTGATTCTTTCTGCTGTGTTCTGGAGTAATTTTCGTTTTTTGGACAATATTTCTGCCTTATCCATTATCTTTCTTTTCACCATAACCTCAAATTTCTTCCTTTCTAATGATGACTCATGATTTCAGAAAAATGTTCGGGGGGCCAGGCGCGGTGGCTCACGCCTGTAATCCCAGCACTTTGGGAGGCCGAGGCGGGCGGATCACGAGGTCAGGAGATCGAGACCATCCTGGCTAACACTGTGAAACCCCGTCTCTACTAAAAATAGAAAAAATTAGCCGGGCGTGGTGGTGGGCGCCTGTAGTCCCAGCTACTCGGGAGGCTGAGGCAGGAGAATGGTGTGAACCCGGGAGGCGGAGCTTGCAGTAAGCCGAGATCGCGCCACTGCACTCCAGCCTGGGTGACACAGCGAGACTCCGTCTCAAAAAAAAAAAAAAAAAAAAAGAAAATGTTCGGATGCCTTTTCTCTTAAGTAAGACAAAAACAAAGAAACCGCAACAAGCTAAAAACAAACACCCTTAGTTCTGCCGTGTCCAAGAATGCTCCCCTTTCACATGGTGATTTTAAGGACCCATTAAATGATGCTCTCAGACTTCTCTCTTGAGTTTTCAACCAAGTGAGCAAAATAAAATTTGAGAGTTGGACTTGTTGCGGAAGGAGGCTACAATGGGGTGGTGAAGGCGTAGGTCTTCCTGCTTTGGTGGCCATGCAGTGGCAATTTTCTCTCAGCAGAAACAGGAGGAGTGGAGGGTAAGTCCCTGTCCCATCAGTTGCCCTCCATTATTGGCTGACTTTGTTGAGGACGGCAGTCTTAAACTCCCATCTTCAGGCAATTCTCATCTTCTCTGCCCTTTGCATCCCACCATGCGGCGCTGCTGTGGTTCTCCCCAGTCCCACAGTGTCTAGTTACATTATTTGAGGACCGATTTCCAGCCATTACCTTAACTATCTTACTGGAAGGATGACATTGTTGCCTCGAAGTTTCTTTTACAGAAAGTTTATGCTGTACCATACTTAGGTAGTGCACGCTGTGGCTTGAGCGTCTGCCCTGTCCTTGACTCTTTTCCTTCCGCTGGTCTTTAAGCTTTGCTTATCCCTGGGAATTCTGTCCTCAATCCCTTCCTTCTGCCCACTCTTCTCATTCCACACGCTTTTCTTGGATTCCCATCTATACCAAATTTTTTTTGTTGTTTTTTTCTTAGTTTTCTATTTCAATAATTTCTGGGGCACAGGTGGTTTTTGGTTACTTGGATTCCCATCTATTCTGAAGTTTTTTTGTTGTTTTTTCTTAGTTTTCTATTTCAATAATTTCTGGGGCACAGGTGGTTTTTGGTTACTTGGATTCCCATCTATCCTGAAGTTTTTTTGTTGTTTTTTCTTAGTTTTCTATTCCAATAATTTCTGGGGCACAGGTGGTTTTTGGTTACATGGATAAGTTATTTAGTGGTAATTTCTGAGATTGTAGTGCACCCTTCACCTGAACAGTGTACACCGTACCCTGTATATAGTCTTTTATCCCCCACTCCCCTGCCAACCTTTCCCACAAGTCCCAAAAGACCATTGTATCATTCTTATGCCTTTGCATCCTCATAGCTTAGCTCCCACTTACAAGTAAGAACACACGATATTTGGTTTTCCATTCTTGAATTACTCCCCTTGGAATAATGATCTCCAGCTCCTTCCAAGTTGATGCAAAATACATTATTTTGTTCCTTTTTATAGCTGAGTAGTAGTCCATGGTGTATATGTAATCACATTTTTTTTTCTATTCCAAAATTTTAACTCCCCTGACTCACACCATGCCCGCCTACTGAGGACCATTCACAGATCTGGTCTCAGCTCCGACTTAGTCCACAGATGCGATGTTCACTTCCAGCTGGATGCTCCTTGCAGTACTTTCAGCTCAGCCTACCCCATTCATGTTCATTTCTTTGTTTTTCAATCTTGGGTATGGGCTCTGTATTAGTTTTCTAGGGATGCCATGACAAAGTATCACAGCCTGGGTGCTTAAACAGCAGACATTTATTTGCCCAAACTTCTGGAGGCTGAAAGTCCAAAAGGAAGCTGTCAGCAGGATTGGTGTCTCCTGAGGCCTCTCTCCTTGGCTTGTAGATGTCATCTTCTCCCTATATCTTCTAAACATGGTCTTCCCTCTGTCCATGCCTGTTGCCTAATTTCCTATTCTTATAAGGACAGCAGTCATATTGGATTAAAGCCCACTCCAATGACCTCATTTTAACCTAATTACCCACTTGAAGACCCTGTTTTTGAGTATAGTTACATTCTGGAGTACTGGGGGCTGGGACCTTAACATAAGTTTTGGGAGACAAAACTCAGCCCAGAGCAGGCTCCATGTTTCACCTCTCATCTGAGCCAGACACCTGCAAATCTCAGCCAACTCCTTCCCTCTCTTTCCAGACCCACTCAACCCCAGGTCCTGCAGAGACCACTTTTAGAGTGGCTCCCAGACCTGAGTCTTTCTTCTTATTCCTCCACTTCTGTGCTTGTTCAAGCCTTCCTCATCTGAAATGCTGCACTAGCCCCTCTCTGACCCACTCTCCACAGAATAGCCAGTAATATGTGGTGTGAAGCTTTGAGATAGACAGTAGAAGCTTTGGAGTTAGACGATCTGAGGCTTGGCCCTTGGGGCATAAATTTGTCTTACTGGTTCTTGGCTTCCTCATCTGCATACTGCAGATCACTGACTACCTGACCTGGACATTGTGAGAATAAAGTGGGACAACGAAGATGATAAGTATTAGTGTCTGGCACATAGTCAGTACTCCACAAATAAGGGGAGCTACTGTGAACTCCCCAAAGTCCGATACAATGTCTGAGATGTAGTAGGGAGTTAATACATGTTTGTTGACTGAATAAATGAGTGATTATTTGGGCCTGTGGTTCTTGAATTACTGACACCTTCCAACATCCTCTTTCCTCATCTTTACTGGCACATTCAAGCTACATCCATCACCATCTAATCTTGTGACTTCCAGAACATTAGCAGGACTTGGATCCTCTAGAAGGCCACCACTCAGCTAGCAGCTGCTTACATATAATGATGAACAAAACTCACTTCTTTGTTTTGCATGCTTTTCAGTTTTTTGCAACATTTTTGTGTTGAGGAAAGAAAATTGTCTCAGCAGGAGAAGTTGGGAGGGTATAGCAGCTGCTAACCTTAGTCAGCAAAATTTTTGCATTCCGATTAACTGTGATTAAATTGTGTATGAGACAATTTGCTTATGCATTTAGGTAGTCCCTCTGCATGTTTCCAATAGTTATTGGACAAACCGATGAAACGCCCAGTAGAGCAGTCACTAACTTTTACTGCGTGCTCATATACTGGGCACTGTTCTGCCCAAACTTCCAGGCAGCCAGCAGACAGCCACCAATGAATTGTTTCATCAAGCCATACCTTCAGTGACATTTTGGACAGTGCCTGTGCTTGTTTCCTAGGTTGCTAAAACAAAGTACCACAAACAGGGTAGCTCAAAACAATAGAAATTTATTCTCTTTTTTTAAAAAATATTTATTTAATTTTTAACTTTTCGGTTCTGCAGGATATGTGAAGGTTTGTTACAAAGGTAAACCCATGTCATGGGGTTTTGTTGTACAGATTATTTTATTACCCAGGAGTTAAGTCCAGTACCCAATAGTTATATTTTCTTCTCTTCTCCCTCCTCCCCGCCTCTACCCTCAAGTAGACCCCAGTGTTCTTTGTTTCCTTCTTTGTGTTCATAAGTTCTCTTCATTTACCTCTCATTTATAAGTGAGAATATGGATAGGAATGAAGTTAGAGATTTAGAAGGACAGCAAAATGCAATCCAAGGAAAATAAGGATTATAATAAAGTGATACAGAAGCTGAAGGAAGGAATAGCCCATATAAAAAAGAACTTCACAGGTCTGACAGAGCTGAATAACACAATACAAGGATTTTACAATGCAATCACAAGTATTAACAGCAGAATAAACCAAGCTGAGGAAAGAATCTCAGAGCTTGAAGACTGGTTCTGTGAAATAAGACAGTCAAAGAAAAAAGAATAAAAGGAATGAACAAAACCTTTGAGAATTGTGGGATTATGTAAAGAGGTAAAGACACCAAATCTATGAATCCTCGGCATCCCTGAGAGGGAGGGGAAGAAAGCAAACAAATTGGAAAACATATTTCAAATATCATCCATGAAAACTTCCCCAACTTTGCTAGAGAGGCCAAAAGTCAAATTTAGGAAATACAGAGAATGCCTGCAAGATTCTACAGAAGAAGATCATCCCCAAGTCACACAGTCATCAGATTTTCCATGGTCGAAATGAAAGAAAGAATGTTAATGGCAGCTAGAGAGAAAAGACAGGTCACCTACAAATGGAACACCATCAGGCTAACAGTGGACCTCTCAGCTGAAATCCTACAAGCCAGAAGAGATTGGGGGCCTATATTCAGCATTCTTAAATTAAAAATAAAGAAAAAGTCTTCAACCAAGAATTTCATATCCGGCTAAACTTAGCTTCCTAAGTGAAGGAGAAATAAGATTCTCTTCAGATAAGCAAATGTTGAGTGACTTTGTTAACCACCAAACTTGCCTTACAAGAGATCTTGAAAGGAGCACTAAATATAGAAAGGAAAGACTGCTACCAGCTAATACAAAACCACCCTTAAACACGCAGCCAGTGTCACCATAAAGCAACCACACAAGCAAGCCAACATAATAACCAGCTAACAACATAATGATAGGATCAAATCCATGCATATCAATACTAATCTTGAATGTAAACAGGCTAAATGCTCCCCTTAAAGGGCACAGAGTGGCAAGGTGGAGAAAGAGGCAAGACTCAATAGTGTGCTATCTTCAAGAGACCTGTGTCACATGAAGTGACACCCATAGGCTCAAAATAAAGGGATGGAAAAAAATCTACCAAGCAAATGGAAAAGAGAAAAAGGCAGGGTTTGCCATTTTAATTTCAGACAAAACTGACTTCAAACCAACAAAGATCAAAAAGACAAAGACAGGCATTACATAATGGTAAAGGATTCAGTTCAACAAGATGACATAACTATCCTAAATATATATGCACACAACACAGTAGCACCCAGATTCATAAGTTTTTAGAGACCTTCAATTAGTCTTGGACTCACACACAATAATAATGTGAGACTTTAACACTCTACTGACAGTATTAGACAGATCATTGAGGCACAAAATTAACAAAGATATTCAGGACCTGAATTCAACATTGAACCAAATGAATCTGATATACATTTACAGAACTCTCCACCAAAAAACTACAGGACATATATTCTTCTCATTGTCACATGGTACATACTTTAAAATTGACCACATAATTAGACATAAAACAATCCTCAGAAGCTGCAAAAGAACCAAAACCATACCAAGCACACTTTCATGTCACAGTGCAATAGACATAGAAGTCAAGACTAAGAAAATCACTCAAAAAACCATGTAACTACATGGAAATCGAACAACATGCTCCTGGGTGACTTTTGTGTAAACAATGAAATTAAGGCAGAAATCGAGAAGTGCGTTGAAACTAATGAGAACAAAGATACAACATACCAGAATTTCTGGGACACAGCTAAGGGAGTGTGAAGAGGCATAGCACTAAATGTTCACATCAAAAAGTTAGGAAGACCTCAAATTAATAGGTTACCATCACAATGGAAAGAATTAGAGAAACAGGAACAAATCAACCCCAAAGCTAGAAGAAACAGGACCTAATCAACCCCAAAGTCCTAGCTCAGGTATGCATCATATATAGCCTGTGTTTAAAGGGCAAATCTCTCTGAGCCCCACAGTGCTCATCTAGACAACAAACAATCAAAATCAGAGCTGAACTGAAGGAAATCAAGACATAAAAACTCATTCAAAAGATTAGTGAATCCTGGAGTTGGTTTTCTGAAAAAAAAAATAAGATAGGCCACTAGCTAGACTAATAAAGAAGAAAAGAAAGAAGATCCAAATAAACACAATTAGAAATGAAGAAGAAAATGTTACCGCTGAACCCACAGAAATAAAAATAACCATCAGAAACTACCAGAAATGTATTGTCTTAAAATGCTGAAGGCTGAAGGTCCAAAATCAAGGTGCCGGCATGGCCATGCACTCTCCAAGTCCTTGAGGGGAGAAACCATGGTTACCTCCTCTAGCTCTAGTAGCCCCAGGCACTCCTTGGCTTATGATAGCTTCAATCCTATGTCTGTCTCCATCTTCACATGGCCATCTTCCTGTGCCTCTCTCTAAATTAGCCTTTCCTTATAAGGATACCAGTCATGTTGGAATATCTTAACTTGATTATATCTGCAGAGACCCTGTTTCCAGATAAGGTCACATTCATGAAAATTGGGGGTTGGGACTTCAACATATTTTTTTGGTTGGGGGATGGGTACAGTTAAACTATAACACTGTCCAAAGGAAGAAATACTCAACTGTTGAGATCTGAAGTCACAACGCCTTACTTTCTGCTGACAATCTTAATGCTCTTTCTTCTACTGCTGGTAAATCTGTTTACTTCTCAGGCTTCCTATATCAGCCATATCATCTCCATTGTTAGCAGATGGCGTTGTCTTCTTGTTTCCTGTGAGAGTCATGAGTCCTGAGGTAGGGATGGTGATCTCCTGTCTGCTTTGCCCAGGGCAGAGGGCTGTTTTACATGTTTCTTCCTTCCTCTCTCTACAGTACTGCTATGGACAATGCATTCACTTGAACTGCTGCTTTGTCCACTGTGCATCGCTCCCTGCCCCTATGTCTCTGGGGAAGGGGCGCTTCTCTCCTCCGCAAGTCTCAAGAATGCAAGATCCAGCAAGTCAAGATTCATTATTGAGTTGAACAATGCTAAAACTCTTGAGCATTGCTGATGCTTGAGTTAGCAGTGAGCTCGATCTTGTGTTGCTTATTCTATATCTGAATTACTATCTCAAAAGACTACAGGGAAGGATGGCAGAAATGAGTGCTCTCATAGTCTAGCCTAAGAGGAGCACAGAGGCACAAAGCATGCATCATCAGAATGTGTGGGCAGAGCATGACATGCTGTGGCCTTTTGCAACCCCAGGACCCAGAGTTTCAGAACTAATCTTCAGGCAAATGATGATACTGGCTTTTCCATGGTGACATCTGGCCGGGATACAGAGATCCCTGAGTAAGGACCTACCAGAATTCTAACCTTCCCACCACATCTTGCAGAAACCCATCATAAATATCTGGTATGGTTCTAAAAACCTGCCTTTAGCAAGCTAAGTCTCTTGGATTTTATACTGCAGTTCCAGGTGCAATTTCTTATGACACCAACAGCATTATTGGTTATATACTGATGAATACACACTCCCTTCCCCCTGATCCTCTGCACCTCTGCAGGGGCTCTAGATGGTGGGAGGTGCTGTCAGCTGTCAGCACAAGCTGGATTGGAGAGGGCCAGCAGGCCTGGCCCGAGCTCTGGAAGCCTTTGTGGGTTCTGCCTGTTTCTTCTTGCCTGGCCGCTATGATCTGGCTCTGCCTGTTTTTACAGCCCTGGCTCCTGCTATTTTTCCCGCATGCATGCTTGGTGTCCTTTAAGGAGCAATGTGCAGTTTCGGGGGCGCATTCTGCCTTCCTCACCATGTTGCTTTGCAGTTTGTGATTATTTTGTCCTCACTTTGCTTGATTTTGCCTCCTGGCTAATTCTGGCTCCTAGTTAGTTTAGTTTAAATTTCCATTTTCCCCAGTCTCTGGTGGGTCTGTTCCATCCCTTTCTCACACTGTTCAAGTTGCACTTTCCCCCATACTACTGGAGCTCTTGGTCAGTCTCTTGCCCCAACCTTACGAGAGCCCCCATTTTACTTGCAGAGAAAGCCAGAGTGCTGCCATGGCCCTCCTGTTCCCTTCCTGTCCTCATCTATGTGCTCCCTTGGCTTTAGCCTCTGAAATGCCACACAGTGCCTCTGGTTCTTCCTTGCCTTTCAGAGCTCAGCAAACTTTTCTATAAAGGGCCAGTGAATAAATATTTTAGGCTTTGCAGTCCACATGGCCACTGTTGCATTTTTTCAATCTTTCCATCATAGTATGAAAATCTCCACAGTCTATGGATGCATGAGTGTGACTGGGTGCTAATAAAACTTTATTCACAAAATGGGCAGCAGGTAGGATTTGGCCCATGGGCTAGAGTTTGCTGGGCGCTGTTCTGCCTGGAAAGCTCTTCCCCCAGACAACCCATCTGGCCAACTGTCCCATCTTTTTTGAGTCTTTGCTCAAATGCCATCTTCTTAATGGAACCCAAGCCTCACCACCTTATTTCAGATCACAGCTCCCTCCTATCTAGCCCTTTTGACTCTTCTTACCATGTTCAGTTTTAGCCTCAGCTATTAATGTTATTTCCTCCCACCACTACAATGAAAGTTCCCAATGACCAGGACTTAACGTCTTTTTCTCACTCCTGGGTCCCACATGCTTACAGCAGTGCTGGCATTAAAGTAAGCACTCAACGGACATTTTTTCTAATTAATGAGTTAAATGGTGCTATGGTCTGAACATTTATGTCCTCCCAAAAGTCGTAGGTTAAAATTGAACCTTCAATGTAATGGTATTACGAGGTGAGGCATTTGAGAGCTGATTAGGTCATAAAGGTGGAGTCCCTCATGAATGGGATTCGTGCCCGAGTAAACAAGACCCCGGAGAGCTCCCTCATTCCTCCCACCTTGTGAGGACACAGTGAGAAGGTGCCGGCTAGGAACCAGAAAGCAAACCCTTGCCAGACACCACATCTACTGGTGCCTGGATCATAGACTTCCCAGCCTCCAGACTGTGAGAAAGAAATGTTGGTTGTTTATAAGCTGCCGAGTTTATGGTATTTTTTGTTACAGCAGCTGGAATAGATGAAGACAATGGGTAGATAGTTGACTTCTTTGTTTTCCCCACTATTTTATGAATTCCTTAAGGGCAGGGGCTCTGTGGAAGCCTGCTTTATGTGCTCAGCATCTTACTCAGTGTCTGAAACATAGATGAGGATTAATCCATATTTGTTGAATGAGTAAGACATTAGCACACTTCACAAATAGCAGAAATGTGAATAATGTTAAACATGGGAGAATGTTCTATTAATTATATATCAGAATTAAACAGCAACAAAAACACAGATATGCATATTTGAAATTGAACCTGGTCCAAAAATTTATAACATCTTCCCTTTGAGCCCTCATCTCACTTAGCCCCCCATTTCCAGCCATTATTTATTGTCATTTCTCAAAGGCAGTACAATCAATTGGATGACATTCTGGATGAATCTGGAACATTAAGTTATGTGTTTGGTAATGAATATATTTCAAAGTCATATTTTCTCCTGTGCCAAAGTCGCTCTTAAAACAAACTTATGTGTTTAGAGAAATACCTTAACAGCTTTAATGCATTAAAATATTAATCGTTAATAACTTTGAAATGATTACTGTAAGGCAGGATAATAAATGTTTAATGGTTGATGCTTAAAATAGAAAAGCAATAAAACTTGCCTTCAAGAAACTGGCAATCAAGTTGGGGAACAATAAACCCATGAAAAGGTGAAAATACATTTCCAAATTAATATTGTGCAAATTGAGTTTGTGAGTTTTGAAGGAATTATGTGCTTGCACACAGAGGAAAAACTTGAGTAGGAACTTGGAAAAACTAACTCCTAAATGAGGCTTAATAACTCAGCATGAACATCTAATCCACGTAGCCTTATTAACACTCAGAGACCAGCTGGCTTTCCTTCTCTGGTGGAAATGTGTACTTATCCCACTGAGTTCTCCCAGGGAACTCCACAGTGTCCTGCAGTCTCTGAGATTTTGGCCAGGATTTCATATGGAGGTGAACTCACTTGAAATCCACAAGCATTGTCTTTTCAACTGTATCATTTTTTATGAGCTATTATAATTCTAGTTGAGAAAACTCTTCTGGTAACAATGTTAAATTCTGTTTGTTTGAAATACATTGATGATGTTACTCAAGCATTAAGTAGACCCTTGAGGTCTTTAAAATGCAACTATGAACCTTCTAATGATTAATGATAATTTACTTGGAGGATGAAAATCTCCTCCGTGCTTAAGTCAAGGAGAAATTCTTTCTGCTTGTCCTGAAGAGAGGTGCTTTGGGGAGCTCAGTGCTTCTCCTTGGGACCAGGTGCTGACTCTGAACAGCCTGAGCACAGCTAGGGTGGCGTGACTTTGTTGGGCTCCAACCTGGGGACAGTGAGAGCCTGTTTGGAAGGGTATGCACAGCACAGTACCTGGAGGTGTGACTGGTCTGCAAGAGGTGCTCTCTCGACTGACAAGATTCGCTACAGCTGGAAATTCAGAAATGGAAGCAGAGGTCAGAGAACAAGCAAAACAAAGACAAATGAGGATTGGGAATGAAGTATATGTGGGTACCAAAATGCAAGTATTTGTCAAGAAAAAGAAGCTCTGTAAAGCCAGAATAGAATCAAGACTGCATAGTCAGCAGCCTATTTTTTTTTTCCAAATAAGCACCTGGGGAGATGCTTAAAAAGAATGACCTTGTGAACAATAAGTTCTTTTCAGCATTACAAGTCCAAGGCTGATATCTTATTCAAGTTTAAACTTGCTAGGGTGAAGATGAGATGACATGGATGGAAAGTGTGTTGAGCAAAGTTGTGTGACATGTGACACAGCACAATGAGATGCCCTTTTCTAATATTCAGGCCTGATCAAGCCTGTCAGCAGCCATTGCCAGTTGCCTATGCCTTGTGGGATGGCTGCAGTTCAGATATCGTGCTGTAAATCTAATCTTATTATCTTTGAGGGTCAGGAATCATTTTAAATCAATGGCCTCCATGCATATCGCCTGCCTGTCCATGTACTTATTGGAGTATCTGTTACTTGTAGTTATTACACCACCCGCAAGGAAGAGTCGCAGTAGCTATTTACAATATGCTAGGTAGATGGAAGACTCCAAATCCATGTCATCTGCCATCCTTCTTACAACCTCTTAAGGGAGATTGCATTATCCTTCTTCTACAGATGAGCACTATGGGGCTCAGAGGGACTTGCCCCCTGACACAGGCCATACCTGATGCATACCTGAGCTAGCGCTTGAAAACAGATCCACTCCAGAGCTTGCACCCTTCCTCCTTTACAAGCTGCTGACCTTCCCTTTGTTTAGTTGGCACTTTAGGAAATACCAGCGTTACAAATGGCCTCCATCTCTCTCTCCCGATGCCCACATTTTCATGCATGAGCTGCCATGAAGAGGGGTATGTGGACTCTGGAAAAGGTTGAGAGCATTTTCTTGACTGTTGTAGCCTTGCATACATGGTGCAATAAACTGGGGCTGTTAAACCCAAAGTAGAAAAGCCTGTGTGGTAATTTAATGCAGACCTTTATGGGTACAAAAGTGTGGTTAAGTGACATGAGTCAGTTCTTACGGTGCTCTGAAAACACTGTATTGCTCCATCCTGTACATCGAGCACAGAGGGCTTAAAAGCTGGGGAGCCACAGGTCCTCTCCAGTCATGTGAGGAAGCTTCTACACTTGCCAATATACTTGCCAAAGGTCTTTTACTACCTTTAGATTTTAATTTGTGCATTCCAAAAGAAAAGGGATGAGTAAATCTTTCTTTCTCCTGCTACCACATTATGGGGATACTTGCATGAACTGTATATACATGAGTCAAGGAAACCTCATAAAGAATAAATCCACTACAAGAAGGGATGCCTCACTGTAGTGAAGATATCATGCAGACGTGTACTAGAACTGCTAAAACAATTGGGAAATGGCTCAATGTTCATTGTCTAGAGATTCTAGCAGTTTCCTAGTGACAGTCTTGAATCCCTCTTGATGTCCTTGCCTGATGACTAATGTTACCTCCTTTCCTTCTTAAAAGCATCCCAGTTTAGAGCATAAATCATGTTGTCATCTTGTTTCTAAAATGCCCAGATTTATGTGTTTCTATAAATTTGTCTCTATATTATTCTATTGAACTTTTTATTTATCCCAGTCAAGGGCCTCTGACATTTGTTCACTCACTGCCACATATTGGGAAGTCGGCTCCCTGTGTCTTGGTCTTCTTTTTGCCCCAGCTCAGATCAACTCAGGAGACAAAGCCAGAGCCATCATGCACGTTTCCTTATTCTACAGTAGCTTATTGGGAAGAAGTATGATAACAACTGAATAATGTTGGAGCTCAATG
The DNA here is from genome assembly GCF_000001405.40 of Homo sapiens. Taxonomy (NCBI): domain Eukaryota; kingdom Metazoa; phylum Chordata; class Mammalia; order Primates; family Hominidae; genus Homo; species Homo sapiens. The sequence continues at coordinate 9,209,581 of NC_000005.10, read as the reverse complement.
TCTTCTTTCAGTAAAATCTTACATGGTTTTCTTTCAGTCTTTTAACATATTTTTTAGGAGTTAAAATATTTACCAGATTTTAAAATTTAAATTAACATTCCAATAAAAACCTTGTATTAATTTGATCTGGCAGATTAAATGATTAATTCTTCAAAGAAGTGAACCTGTAAATTTAAAATATCATCAGAGAAAAATGAACATGGCGAATAGAAATTTTGTGTTTTGACAATTTTCAGAAATATTCATGAAATGATATATAACTAATAGGAGTGTGTGATTTGGCAGAATTTTATAAGAGAGGGCTATGTGCTTGGAATGGAATAAGAGCAGAGTAGACACTAAAGTCTGTCACTTTGAACTAGAACATTTAGACACATATCCAGTTAATAAAACTCCTATTGACCTAAAGATATGGAGAATTGTAGGTGTGAGTTTTGGACTTGTAGGGCGGTGTGAAGAAGTGGTGCTTCTCATTTAGGGGAAGCCAGCCCATTTCCCCTTGGTAAAAGTGGTTCCTACTTGAATCAGCAAATTCATGAAAGTAGTGTATTTTCAATGGGTCATATTCCCCAGGAAGAAGGAAGGAATCAAATGTGCTAGAACTGTCTTTCCACTCCTACTGCAAGGGTCTTAGCAATAACTTTTTTCTGTCAAGGGGCTCAATGAGTGACACACCTGAGGATGCAAGGCCCTGATTGCTGTGAAAATAGTTACCAAGGATGCACTTGGCTCCAACTTCCTACCCCATCCCACACCACACACCCAGGAAACGGAGTGATAAGTTTTTCTTTAAAACTCTTTGGTGTCTCTCCAATGGCAGTTGAAATCCATACTCCTTGTTATGGGCTCCTGGCTTTGCCTGGCTTTCCACCTCCCGTCCTGTTGATCTCTTTGATCCTGACTGTGGCTTCATTCCATTCCTTGCCAGCCTTATGGTCTTCTCCCAGGCTGCTCCTTCTGGCAGGGATGTTCTCTTCCCCCATCCTTGTCTGGGTGGCCCCTTCTCAGCCTCACCTCTGCCCTTTCCCTATTCTCTCCTTTCTGATCCTCTGTTTCTCCCAGCTGCCCTGGCCCTCCATACCCTTGTCCTCACTGTAAGCACTTGTTGATCTGTCTTGTTTGTCTCCTCACACTGCTCTTGAGGGCACGGGCTGTGTCTATCAGTTTACTAAGGAGCACCCAGTGCCCAGGACAGCCCCTTGAGGCAGTGAGGAAATGCCTAGAGCAGTACTCTGGCCGGCTCCAGGCTCGTCTGTAGCATGGTCCCTGCCACTGTGTTTGGTTTCAGGCTTGATGGAATAAGTGTAGATCTTAATTTGATATACGGAATGCATACTCAATGAGTTATCTTATTAATTACTGATACTATTTACTCACATCTGTGTTTATATTAATTTTTGGAGTTATTTTTAATAAATAGAGGTCTGTATTTTGATGATTACCAGCAAAGTGCGTTTGATTCTCACAATGATACTGTATGTTGGATGTTGTTGTTATTCAAAAACAGGAAACAGAGAAAATATACTGGTAAATAATGTGAGTAAATTCACACAGCCAGTAGGTGGAAGTATTGAGCCATGTATACATATATCTCTATACTCATGTATGTGATACACACATATACACAGACACAAATGTGCGCATCCATCTATTAAAATCTATCTATTATCTATCTATCTATGTATCTATCTATCTATCTATCTATCTATCTATCTATCTATCTATCTATCATCATCTGTCTTTTAGTAGAAACCTCAGGAAAAGAACTTTAGCCTACCAGTAGCTTTTAACCTATGTTTAATTTAATTTAATTTTAAGTTATCCGCTTTTAATTTTAATGAATATCTAGATAAAAATAGATTTGCCCTGGAAGCTTCTACAGCAGTTTTATCTACATAAACTGTGACAATGGAAACAATGTACCCAATACAGAGAGGGTCTAAAATCAGGGAATGCTTATGGAAGGCATTTTGTACTGACTGATACCAACAATTTAGGAACAGAAAACTGCTGGCTGTGTGTCACATCTGAATATTGTTTCCGTTAACTCATCTTATTTTTGTGAAATAGCTTGCTATTTAAAAACTCAGCATGGTAGACCAGGGGCAGTGGCTCATGCCTATAATCCCAGCACTTTGGGAGGCTGAAGTGGGCGGATCACCTGAGGTTGGGAGTTCAAGACCAGTCTAACCAACATGGAGAAACCCCATCTCTATTAAAAATACAAAATTAGCCGGGTGTGGTGGTGCACACCTGGAATCCCAGCTACTTGGAAGGCTGAGGCAGGAGAATCTCTTGAACCTGGGAGGCGGAGGTTGCAGTGAGCTGAGATCGCACCATTGCACTCCAGCCTGGGCAACAAGAGAGAAACTCTGTCTCAAAACACAAACAAACAAAACTCAGTATGACTTATTTATGCTCCTAAAATTCTAATGACCTTTAAGCTTTATATATATATATATATATATATATATATATACACTTGATCATTCATTATCATTATGTGAAGTTCTGTTCAACAGAAATTATTCCAAGGGACATTGAGAGTAAATAAATGGTGGCTACTATTTTGCAGTCAAAAGCCACCTTGTGCGACACTTGCCAAAGTCAGGCTGGAAAATGCCTGTACACGATGCCAAAATAATAATAGCCACCATTTATTGGCATCCTGCTATGTATCAGCCCATTTAATTTTCACAGCTTTGCAAACTAGGTCTGATTGTCAGATGCAACAACAGAAAATATCAGATGTCAATGGTCCAACCAGGGCAGAGTCACAGGCATCGTGTACAGGCATTTTCCAGCCTGACTTTGGCAAGTGTCTCACAAGGCGACTTTTGACTGCAAAATAATTTATAATTGACTTTGATTCTAGTAAGATTTTTGTAGAGTTGGGATTCCTTTGTGCCTTTAATATTCATTCCCATTGTGTACAAATATTTTTATATCAAGAACCTATTAAAGATCTGCTCAATGATCAGATCGAGCCATTTGAATATGGTGTACCCCCATATTGATGCTTTAGGCATTGGAATAGAAAGAATATAGAATGGGAGGCTTCTTTTGGATTCTCAGTATTTGGTTTTGCGTGGTCGAAATCTCAAAATTTTTGATGTTTTTCTTCGCATCACTTGTAATTACATATATGGTGAGTCACTTCTCGGTAGTCCTATCTGTATGGTCACTATTATGTAAGTAAATATGCAAAATAAAAGTTCTTATATCATGAAGAAGAATTCTTATTAACATGATATATTTTGTACAACACGGTAATACATAACTCAGTATGTTTTACAAACATTAGAAAAAACAGTTTCTCCATGCATATGTTTACACAGCAGCTGACGTGCCTGTTTTTACTGTGATTTAGTTAGCAACATACCTCAGATCTCTCTTTCATGCACTCCTATCCATTGTAGACAAGAAGAAAATACCTGATTTTCCTTCTGACTTGTTCAATTCACTCAGGAGTGACAGATACTAGTTTGTGGTGGATTGCATTTTGAGAAAAGACAGAACTTAAATAATGGAAGGAAAACAAAATTCATCTTATCATCCTGCCTGGCAAGACTCTAACATCCCCTACTTCCAAATTTATATCAATAAATATAAGAGCTATTTGACTGTCTGTCTTACAATTATTCCCACTTTTTCATTGTCTTTGAAAAAGGAACAGGATGCTAGCCGAATTTCAAGAGGCTCTACTTTTCAAGAAACTGTGTTTCCCGAGTTAATGGCAGGTCACACAGTCAGGGGTCCACCCTCATCCTGAAGGATCAGTGTAGGGCCGCATGATGTGTTTCCAAATGCAGTCTCACTCCCTGACCAACATGACCTGCACTGTGTGGTGAATTAGAGAACAGCACTCACTACACACTGAATACAAATTATTTTGTTGTTTTTGCAAACCAAAAGGAAAACATGTATTTGAGCATTTCTATCTAAAATGGACGTTGTGATCTTATAACATTGGTTCAGGGTGGTTTGGAGATATGGTAGAGGCTCTCTGTGGAAAGAGGAAACTGTGGGTCAGTCTACCTGCCATTGCTCAGTCTTCTCCTTGTCTGCAAAAGTGGATGTGGTTTGCTGGAACAGACACAGGGTACAGAATGACCTCGTGAAAGTCATTTATTGGCTCTCTGAGGCTATGGTTGGCCCTCCTTGAAACACCCTCTGGAGTTGGGTCAAACACTTTCCAACAATGTTCTTGTTTAATAAGTCCTTAAAGTTGTTTCTTCTTCCACTTTTTCTTCTTTCTGTGTCATTCCTGACTTCCATGATAACTGTGGTTTAAAGTTTCATCTCATCATTTATTGTCTCTCTGGTTGGTTCTGAAACCCCCCTTAGACTGTTCCTCAGTAAACCTGCTTACCAGTCTCCATGGAAAGATGACTGTCCAGCCAAGAGCTTACCATTGTTTTTCTAAAGCAGAAAATCAAATCCTGTTGAATATTGCTAGCTTTTGATTGTTTTCTTTTTGCAAGCACTATTTATTTTTTTCAGTATAGTGTAATGCAGTGGTCCCTAAACTTTTTGGGACTAAGAACCAGTTTCATGGAAGATAAGTCTTCCATAAACTGGGGGTGGCAGGGAGGATAGAGGGGATGGTTTAGGGATGAAACTGTTCTGCCTCAGATCATCAGGCATTAGATTCTCATAAGATGTGTACAACTTAGATCCCTCACATGCACAGTTCACAGTAGGGTTCCTGCTCCTATGAGAATTTAATGCTGCCACTGATCTGACGGGAGGCGGAGCTCAGGAGGTAACATTCATTTGCCTGCTGCTCACCTCCTGCTGTGTGGCCTGACTCCTAACAGGCCATGGACTGGTACTGGTCCATGTCCTGGGGGTTGGTGACCCCCGGTCTAATGGATTCAGGACTTTCCATCCCCATCCCCCACTGCTAGTTATGTGAATTTGGACAAGTTATTAAATCTCTGGGCTTTAGTGTCCTCATCTGTGAAATGGGAAGAATAGCACAGCACCTAGCTCTGTGATTCTTGTGAGTTCAATGGGGATATAAAGCACCAAGCACAGATCTTGGCACAAGACTTAGCATTCTACAGATATTAGCTGTTTTTATTATAAACTCATCCTTCAGCTGGAAACCATAAAAGATCTTTCTTCCTTTGTATCTTCTCGTTTTTCAGCTCAGGACTTTTGAGAAACTGGAGCTATTTACTATGTGGTTTTCATGCCATTTGTCCCCAAGTTAATAGCAGAAGTGGGTAATAGTGAGTGTATTTGATAAGTTTTGGTGGACCTCCTGCATGTGTGCTGGTAACCTAAGTCCCGGGCTAGACACACTTGGACCCTTACGCCTTCTCTCTTTGTTTTCCACATTTTAGGAAGGGTTGCTTGTTGCTGTTTTTGTTGTTGTTGTTTGTTTTTAGTACAATTCCCAAACTCTAGTTTTGTTTAGCCAGGGTGCAGGACCCATTCCAAAATAATTTAGACTCTTATTTAGAATTAGACATGCCAGTATTATTTTCTTTACACATGGTTTTGAAATTGTTCCGTATCTTTGCTTTTGGGGCCTGCTTCATCAGGTAATTCTGTTTTGGAGACTTACAGTAAACACAGACTTAACACCCCCCCACCCACCACCCAGTATTTTCTTTATTTTCCAAAAACACAAGTTACAGATATGTAATCTGCTGTTTTTGTGAACATCTCTCCAGGATATTAAAGCATACTATCACAGTAAAGATATCTAACCTCCATCTTTTACAATGTTATGCAATTCAAGTTTTTTTTTAAACAGTCATTTAGGGTGAAAGCAATAGTGACTTAAGAATATGTTGGACGGTTTATAAATTAAAATCACCTCAGTATATTACTTGATATACTTCAATGACTTAACAACGTATTGTACTGAAGGGAAAAGTATCATACATAAACCATTTAGAGTATTTATTACATTTTTAAAATGTAAAGTTGGATTAAATTAAAACATTTTGTGAAAATATCGAATATAGGTATTGATTGAAAATTGGCAATAGTCTTCCTGGACAGAATAACAGAGTAGTCAATCCCAACCCTTTGTCAATGTCTGAAGTCAACTTCTGCACTTCAGACCTTAGGTGATTCCATTTATGTGTCTTACTCTTAACATTAATGGCTTATCTTGCAGCCACACATATTTTTAGTTGTCCTGCCAGTAACATGTTATTATTGCAGTGCAATTGTATCTGGAAAGGTACAAGGCCAATTGAATTGCCCCAACAAACTAATTGTCCCTGAAAATGTGTCTTTGTGAATATACTTGTTGTCTGTATCTTTCCATTAATTTTGGACACCAAAGGTTACTGCTATAATTATCCTAATTTGCACCAGAAAATTAAGATACTTGCTGATTGAATGAATAGCATTTAGAAATAGCGAAGAATAAAACCTTGTGATTAGAGTTTTAAAAGCAAATATTACGGAGTATGTGTATCTCAAAATGTACTATCTCTATTATCACTGGTTTCAAACCGGAAGTTAGGAAGCTAAAACTTCAAATGCTGTATGTAAAATTCAGTTGATAATGTATATTTCCTAAATTCCTGAAGATCTTGGTGATTAAGTAAAGGCTTTGCCATAATTTTGCCATTTCTTTGTTTCCCCATTTTAAAACTAATTATGAGACCAGAAAACTACAAAGCAATGTCTCCATCCCCATACTCTTCCCTCCTCTAAATGGTTTACCCAGCAAACCAGAAATAAGAAAATCAGAGTTGTTTTTCACTATTCCATGGTCACCATAGCAACAGAAATTGCTACAGCTAATTCCAGACACACCTTATAGTTTTAGTCTTTATTTTCATTCCCAACAATGAAAACATTTTTAACGTCCTTAGTAAAAGCACATACATTATGTCGAAGTCACAGGAATGTATATAAGTCAAATAATTTTGTTGTCTTGCACACAAATAGGATTGTAGACTGCTATATTCTGAACCACATTTCATCTTTTTAATCATATTTTCTCCCTCTCTGAAGGTTATGTAAGAATTTGCAAATAAAGTAATACATATTGCTCTAAAATGTACTGCAAATATTTGCTGCCAATTTTTGTTGGTATTAACGTCCCATTAACTTGAGCCCTAATTTAGCTCGGGATACTTGAGTGTGTAATCATACCAGTGACTTCCCATTATTTAGAATCTGTGTATGACACTGAGTTTCCCAACAGTGTAGATCATTAAGCTGCTCACGGGGCCTCCCAATAGTCCTATAGGAACCAGGTGTTATCTAAACAAAACCACGTCTCTTTGGATGAAATACTGAGCAGGCAAGACCAAAAGGGAATGACATGAATGTTGAGATTTTTTCCCTCTTTTCTATTGTTTCCAGAGCCAAACTTTGTGTCATCTTATGACATCGGAAATTTTACCTACTTCTTTTTCCGAGAAAATGCAGTAGAGCATGACTGTGGGAAAACAGTGTTCTCCAGAGCTGCCCGGGTGTGCAAGAACGATATTGGTGGGCGCTTCCTGCTGGAAGACACCTGGACCACATTCATGAAGGCTCGCCTGAACTGCTCCCGTCCTGGGGAAGTCCCCTTTTACTACAACGAATTGCAGAGTACTTTCTTCCTGCCTGAGCTGGATTTGATCTATGGCATCTTTACCACCAATGTGTATGTAACTTGAAATAATTTTTCTCCCCTCTCTCTTACTCATTCTGAATAAGTCTTCTGTTCTTTGACCTCTGAGGTTTTAAATTTACTTTAGAGAAAATCTTTCTTAATTTACTGGGCTAACAGACAAAAAAAGAGGACTTTTCAGTAGACTACATGTTAGATAAAGATATGTGATTTGTGAGACTGGTATTAGGAAAAATACGCCAAATCAAGAAAGTTTTTGTCAATCTTTAGGATATAGTGACATTAAATTATTCTATTATAAATTGCTCCTTCCTGATTTGCCATTGTGTTCTGGGCACTTTTTGAAATACTGATACATATTATATGTATATTTTTTCTATATGCAAGTCATGCATTTGTGTATAATGAAAATAGTGTTGCCTGGAGAATCTGAAATCTTTGAGATAACATGGCTCTTGCTTAAACCTTGCTCATATTTGAAATGCACATTTTCCATAGCTGCATTTTACACTATTATTCTAGAAGATTGCTTACTTGAGCACACATTTTGTAAATGTCAATTATACTTTTGAAATATTTTTGTAAAAATTATAGTATTTTTTGTCTGGGGGTGGGACAGGGAGATACTCCTAACTTTAGAATGAACAATATTTCGGCTGTCTTAAGCTTATGAAGTTTTCTGATCTCTTTCACTCTTAATCTAGTGGAGTATCACATGTCTCCAGAGTTATTTCCTATCCTTAGCTGGTATGCTGTGTAAGACTCAGGAGGAGCACGTGCCAAACCCAGGAATCAAGGCTCACATTGAGACTCTGAGCATCACTTTCCTACACACTGGCTGTGCTGCTGCTGATCCTACACTATGGGTTCTGATTTGGATCACCTTTGAAATCTCTTGTCTTGTGACTTAAGACTTTAAGCAAAAGCTGAATATTTGTATGCAAAGTAAAGGATCAAAATCTGGATGGGTTGGAAGTGCTGATAAATGAGGTAGGATGACCAACAGTCCTGAATTGCCTGAGATTATCCCAGTTTTAGCATTGATGACAGCCCTGTAACTAAGGAAACCTCTTTTTCCTGGGTGAACCAGGACAACTGGTCACCCTATGATGTCCTTTCTGCTTCCTAAGTATTTTAATTTACTTTTTCATCTCTTGGGCATCAGATGCCTGCCCATGAGTGGTATTTCTAAAAAGTCCCTTTACCTGCAGCTTATTTCCTCATTAACCTTCTCTTCCTGGTCTCTCCACTGCTTAACTTGTGTTAGTATTTGCTTAATAACAACTTTTACCCCCCATGAAGAGTCTTCTTTCTGACATGAGGTTAGAAAAATAAGGCTAGTATGGATGGCTCCACACATATCCTTGCTCCACCGTGGCCATCTTTATTTTCATAAATCTGGTCTTCAACCCAGAGATTATTTCTTCTCTTTGATAAGTTACTTTAAAAAATCAATTTACAGTTTCTGAAGTTGATTTTCTTTCCAAAACCTTGTTTAAAAACTAGTGTAGTCACACCCAAGATAAATGTGCATTTGCTCAGTTGACATCAGTTTTATGCACAAGGAGAGTCTGGTTTACTTAGCTCTTCATTCCCCTGGCTCTGGGCAAAACAAAACAAAACACCAATTTCAGAAGTTATAAAAGTACCATGCCTGGAATATTGCAAGATGGTGTATGGTCAATTTAGATAGTTGCAAAAATAAGTTTCAGACTACTCTAGACTATTTGTTTAGTGTTGCAAATTCCCATCATGTCAGAAGTCACCCAATGTACGGAATCTATACTTTTAGAGATAGAAGTGCTACATCTCCCCTTTCTCCCTGGAATACTAATTTGTGTTGGGTCTTGAGAATGCATTTCTAATATGCCCAACTCAAATTTCACAATATTTTCCACCTCCTTTTCATGTCTCAGACAAGGTTTTTTTCAAACGGAAAGAAAAGGAGGATCAGAGGTCTTATGAATCAGAAAGCTGTCCGATACTGGGCTGAGCTTCAGGGCTCAGAATGTTGCTTTGCCTCTGTACATTCGTCAAGGTTTCTCAGCACTAGGGGAATGGGGAAAAGATAACCATTCCGACTCCTTCTGTTCCTAGCACGACTGTGTAGTTTTCTCAGTCACTTGAGCATGGGTTGGCCTGCAGAAAATGGTGTGCTACTACAATGGAGTCTCTAAAGATTTGGCTTTATTTCTAGGTATCTAAAAATGGTGGCTTACCATTGTAGTTGTTTATAGTGTAGATAGTAAACTGTAGAGATTGTAGTAAAGTATTACTATGTATAGATATGGATATAAAGATAGTAAAGTTGCGGTGGGGGGTAGGATTTTTTTATTGCTCTTGTAAGTTATTACCTTGATTGCTGATAGAAGCCAGATTGGAACAGGTGGCTGCAGGTCTGTTGTCCAAGTGAGCTTGTTCATACTGATTCCAGCTTTAAGCCTTCTCATTCTCAAGGTCATGTTCTAGACCTGGGCTGCCCTCGCCTGCCCACAGGTCTGGAGACCCTGAAGAAGCGAGTGAATATGTACTTCCTGTAGACAATCCCATCCTAGGAAGAGCGGGGAGGGCAGAGGGAGGAGCACAGTGGAGTCACACAGGCCCGTCCTTTGCCCCCAGAGCACAGCAAGTGAAAGGGTAGAGGGGCAGGCATGGGCTATACTATACCAATTGTGCTCCCCAGGGGATGGCACAGGGGACAGGAAGAAGTGTTCCCACAACACTATTAAAGGATGCTCAGACTGGCAGCTACTGGGACATCCAGGGGAGTCTCTGGGTGACACCAGAGCCCAGGTCAGCCCATTCAGTCCTGGTGGTTGTAGTGAACAGAGAAACATTATGCCAGCAGGAAGAAGATTAGGTTCTTCCTTTACCTGGAAGCTGCCTGGAAACCTGGGGCCCCATGCAAAGCAGGTACAAATCCTGCTTTATTTCTCTGCAGCCTGTGACTTGGGCTGCGTAAACTCTCTGTGCTACTGTTTTCTTACCTGTAAGTCAGGGTCTTCTCAGGATCTGTAGGTTCTCAGTGAGAAATTAGATGATCTGTATCAAGTGCTTAGCAGGGGGCTCAGGGAAATATTGTTATTATTCGTAATATCCCCCATTTGCCTGCCTCTGCACCTGGCCCAAGGCATGCCTGGATGGGATATCCTGTGTCTAGCCATTCTTACTCCAGCACACTTATTTTCTTGTCCTTATTAAAGTCCACTCACATGTTCAAAGGCCAGTTTCTTCCCTGTACTTGTGTTTTAACTTCTCCCATTCTCTCTAAGGATAATGAAGAGTCAAAAGAGCAAAGTGAACAAACCCATAGCTGGTGTTCGCCCCTTTATTTTCCAGCGCCAGGCCCTGTATGCATCATGCTGAGCCTTGTCCTTGGTGCTGGACTTCTGGAGAAAATGCAGAAGGCCCACAATACCCTCAAGGCCCTACTTTTCCATAAGGATGTGTTTACTGTCTGCTCTCCTGAAGTAGAATCCTGTCTACTTCACCCACAGATATTGCAAAGGATTGGAAATCCTGGCATTTGGAGCCATACTGGGGAAAATCCGGGCATTTGGAGCCAGCCTTAGGTTCAAGTCCAGCTTCCCCATTTAGTAGCTGGCTGACATTGGGGAAGGGTCTTGTCCTCGTTGTGCCTGGTTTTCCTTACCTGTGAATTTCCTTCACCTTATGAGGATTAAATGAATGGGAATTAGTAAAGTCCTTGGAATAGAGCCTAGTTCCTATTCAGTATTTATCAAATCAAAGAAATATAAGGTAGGTATTTCAGTTTTGGAGTTTGACCTTTCCTTTGATGCAGGAAAAGAAAATTGATGAGAAATGCTTGTGGTATTGTCTCAGAGCAAGAGAAAATATATGTAAGCTTTCTTGTTTTATCTCCACTTCCCCTTTGAGAACCCGGACTGAGCTCAAAATGCAAATTTACTTAACCAAATAATGTTGCTGTTTCCATACTTAGTCAGAGGGCACTGACCTTCTGAGGGCTCCCATTTATGACTTTCTCTCAGAGCCTGAATTCTAAATTATGGCTTCAGGATTTCATATGTCAGTGCTATGTCAAATTTTTCTCTTTGACCCTTTGAATTTAAAATCTACTTTACATTAAAAGAAAATATGAAGAGTCAGACAGTCACTTTTTATAAAATACTTTGAGTTGATTTTTTTAAAGGATGACAAATAAAACAAATATCTGGGTTAAAACACACACACACACACACACACACACACACACACACACACACACACACACACACACAAACAGCTTTCCCTGCTGCTGGGCAAAGTGACCAGATAAACAGGTCAGGAAGGGAACTGCATGAGGCTGATGAGAGACGCCATCCGTTGGAGAAGGAAGTCTTTTTATTCCAGAATTTGAAAGGTGAAGCAGATAGCTAGCTCTTCAAATTCCCTCTTGCCCCTGTTGCAACTGAGTGAATTAATCCTGGCTGACAGGATTACAAGGTGTTAAATGCTAACTAGCCTGGTTTCTGTACCAAGATGTTTGTTCCTCCACAGGGGAGCCCCATTCACGCTCTGACTTCATCCTTTTGGGATCTTTAAGAGACTGTGGTCTTGAGACCTCTGGAAGCTGTAGGTCACAGCTGCTGCCCAGTCCATAGGGGGAGGTCAGCAGGTGCTGCCGAGCTCTCTGACTGCCTTCTCTCTCTCCCTCCGCTCCCAGGAACAGCATTGCGGCCTCAGCTGTGTGCGTCTTCAACCTGAGCGCCATCGCGCAGGCCTTCTCTGGGCCCTTCAAGTACCAAGAAAACTCGCGCTCGGCCTGGCTACCGTATCCCAACCCAAACCCCCACTTCCAGGTAATTTTCGGGGGGCAAAGGGGCACTGTTGGCATCCCCCATGAAGAATGCAGAAGCCTTGTGTAGACAGGCAAGGGTAATTTAAACCGCGGGTGCATGCACCATGCAGCTGTCTCCCTGGCCCCTCATGGACAGCCCCATACTCTGCTGGCTAATGTCAATAGACCAAGGCCTTTTGTGAACTGTGGCGCCTGGACCCAGAAAGGGCCTTTTGTCAGCTGTGATGCCTGAGACTGGGCGGAAAAAGGCCAGCATTCTGCAGCAGGTTAGGAATCCAGGCTTCAATTAGTACTAATGATGCTGGGCTCTGTGTCCTCAGAATCTCTGATCCCTAATGAATGACATTCTAATGAATGGGGTCCAGGGCACAGAGCAGCAGAGACACACAAACAGGATTAGAGCGCTAATTGGCAAATGTGGTGGGATTCCCTGTTGGGAAGGACAGAATGTGATGCAGGCAGCTGAGGAAAGAAGAGGAGGTGGAGGCCCTTCATCTGTTATCACAAAACTGCAGGAGGTTCAAGCTTCCAGGGCTTTGTGAGTCATCCATCTCCCAGTGTTCAGAAGAAGCTGGGACCCAAAGAGATGAAGCAATTTACTCATGTTTGGTGAGTTGGCAGGTGTATTAGTCAGTTTGGACTACCGTAAGAAAACACCACCGACTGGGTAGCTTAAAAAAGAGGCATTTATTTTCTTACAGTTTTAGAAGCTAGACCTTCAAGACAAAAGCGTGAGCAGGGCCATTTTCAGGTGAGGGCTCTCTCTTCCTGGCTTGCAGGTGGACATCTTGCTGCATTTTCACATGGTGGAGAGACACCTTTGGGGTATCTCTTCCTGTTTTGTAAGGGCACCAGCTCCACTGGACCAGGGCCCCACCCTTATGACCTCACTTACCCTCATTTACTACCATTAAGACCCCATCTCCATATACAGCCACACTGGAGGGTAGGAATTTGGGTGGCTTACAGACATTGGGTCCATAGCAGCAGGCTTCCCTGGAGGGCCTTCTGACAGCTTTCTTAAGATCATCATCATCATTATCACAGCTGTCATTTTTAGCACCAGCAAGTCCCAGACCCTGTGCTAGATGCTTCAGATAGATCAGCTTGCACACTGGTGGCAGTGCTATGGTGGGTAATGCCTTCTCCATGTGCAGGGAAAGACAGTGGGCCTGGGGCAGATCACCTGGCCAGGGCCACACAGCTGATAAGTAGCCAAGTGAGGATTCCAACCTCGGTCCTCAGATGCAAAATCCTAGCCTATTCCAACTAAATGGCCATTAGTTACTATTATTAATCAGTGGTAGAAGTGGGTCCTGTATCTGGGACTCCCAAAACTGGGAGTATGGAAAGGTTCAGTGATTTTATACTTTACTTTGATTTTTGCAAGGACCATTCAATTATGATTGTTTTGAAAGAGTTTTGTGTTTGTTGTTGTCTTTAAGCTTTTGAAGGAGCATGAGATTAAAAATAAGATGGCTGGCTTACATGTCATCTTTCCATGTGCTGCTTTCCTTGAGCAAATTATGTGCATTTTTATCACACATCTATCTATTATGCATCTTTATTGCATATTTCCATCAACAAAGGGGGAAAGGGATAAAAATGCATGCAAATAGTTTAGGAGTAAATTTTGATAACACTGAATAATGTGCATTGTTTACTGTATAAAATATTTGATAAATATAACTCTTAAGGGCTGGACCCAGAGGCTCATGCCTATAATCACAGTGCTTTGTGAGGCCAAGGCAGGAGGATCTCCTGAGGCCAGGATTTCGAGACAAGCCTGGGTAACAGAGTGAGACCCTGTCTCTACAAAAATAATAATAAAAAAAATTAGCCAGGCACGGTGTCATGCATCTATAGTCCTAGCTATTTGGGAGTCTGAGATGGAGGACTGCTTGAGCCCAGGAGTTCAATCAGTGAGCTATAATCCATCCACTGCACTCCAGTCTGGGTGACAGAGCAAGACCCTGTCTCTAAAAATCAAAAAAGAATCATTTATTTGGTGCCTTCTACATATCAAATGTTGTGTAAATGCATATTTCGTCTCATTTTCTCCTCTTGAATACAGGAAATACTCCTTTTAAGAAAGTCCTTTGTATAATAAAATCCTGAAGGTTAAATAATTAATAATGCTTACTGTATTTTCCATACAGTGATGTTTTTATTGCAGAAGGCCTTACTGTGAACAGCGTGGCTTAGTAAACTTCATAGCCCCTTACCACCTCCAGGCAGTGGATAACTTGTAGCCCGTTCATCAGGATACCTTTGCAGCACACAGCAAATCTCATTTCCTAAGGCCAGGAGCGACTGGTTTTATAATGCCAGTGTCACACTGAATGGCTTACTCTCATTATGGGATGGAAGCCAGTCCATGTAGCATAATGAATGAAGCATGCAGAAATTGGCATGCGTTTCAGGCAGGAAGCTTGCATTCCTGAGCTGTTCTTCTCTGAGTATTATTTAAGACTCCAATGGAGCTCAAGTTACAGATTATGGTGATTCTTTGTATAACTCCTAGTACAAGTACACAGCAAGTGTTTTCTTTATGTTTACTCTATTTGATAACCACACTGGCAAAGTATCCTCACAGACATTCATGAAACCATCCAGACTGGCATAGAGTGGGAATTCAATTTGAACTAACGATCCCTCCCCAGACATGTATAAGAGGCCTTATGTTTGCAATAACCAACAATGGAAAGTGGTTAGATTTTTTAAATTCTTGTTTTTCCTACTGACATTTAGGATTTTGTGCAGTACTTACATACTAGAAGTAGCTAATTAATCAGAGAAGCAGAAAGCAGAATTGGATTCAGGAAGAAGAATGGGTTAGGAGAGATGGTGCATGATATTTCAACATTTAATATAGAAATCTCAAAACAGTAACAAAGCAACAAAAAGTATCATTTTTTTCGGACAAAATATATAAACCACTCTAGGCGGTGCTTCAGAGCCCTGCCCTGTTAGAGGCTGCAGTCCTCAAAGTCATCCAGACCCTGACCCTCAGTAAGACACGCGGCAATCACTGATATAAAACATCACCGAGGCCCAGTGGCACAGCTGAGCTGTGACAGACTCCAGAATTTTCTGTGCAGCTTTGATTACTGTCACTCTGAAAGGATGGAGTTGAAATGGACGAATAGACCCTCAAATGTAGTTAAGTGGATGAGGAGGCAGTTGTTGGAGGAGCAAGTGCGTAGATCTGATCCTGTCCATCAGGACCCTTTGATATGCAAAGCAGATTTGTTTTGTTTTGTTTTGTTTTTGAGACAGAGTCTTGCTCTGTTGCCCAGGCTGGTGTACAGTGGTACGATCTCAGCTCACTGGAACCTCTACCTCCTGGGTTCAAGCAATTGTCTGCCTCAGCCTCCCAAGTATCTGGGATTACAGGTGCCCACCACCACGCCAGGCATTTTTTTGTATTTTTAGTACAGACGAGGTTTCACCATCTTGACCAGGCTGGTGTTGAACTCCTGACCTCGTGATCCACTTGTCTCGGCCTCTCAAAGTGCTAGGATTACAGATGTGAGCCACCGCCCCCGGCCTGCCAAGCATGTTTGCAGCAAGATGCAAGGGAGTAAGTGAACAAAGGGACCATTAAAATTGGGCACTCCTGCAGGAGGTTAGGTGATTGTGGGCTTGACCACCATGCACTAGTGTGCTGGAACAAGAATGGATTTGTTGTCCTAGAAACAAGTAAATAAACAAAAGTGCAAATATTTATTATCATTTAAAAAAATTGTAGAATTACTGACTGAATTACTTGAAGAGATGTTGGCATGAAAACTGTTGTGGATTGTAGGGCACATGAGAGCAATGGCTGTGCTTTTACTATTTTTATTGTTTTCTTCTTGCATGGTGAACCCAGGGAGTCACACAGTGCCCCACACGGACACAGCGGGAGTCCAGCATAAAAGGCAAAGCTAGAAAATTTTCAGGTATTAGAGAGCTAAGTGGGTTGCTTATGATCCAATACATAGATTCTATAACTCTGAATACTCTTCCAACTATTTGAAATAGAAGCACTGGGTGGAATATTATAGCCAGCAAAATAAACCAAGAAGTAGTAGAGTATACCTCAAAACCAATTCTTGGCAATTCTGGCAGTCATAAATAAGATTGATACAGGCGATATATAAATAAAGATGACAAGGCGTAGCGAGTGATCCTGCCTCACCCCTGCCACCGAGAACTCCCTGTTAGGTGTCCAATTTTTCTGGGTTCCTTAAGAACAGCAAGAGATTCTTATTTGTATATTATGCCATCCGGTTTTCAAGATACCAATTTTTTTTTAAACACTATGCTTACAAAACAAGACCTGTGTGCAAACTTCACCCAGCAGGTAGGCAGCTAACTGCCGCCGTGACTTGGGTATCACCACTGATTTCAGGAATGTAAACCACCACACGTAACATCATGCTCAGAACTAGAACCTTTCTGCGTAGACATTAGATCAAGCCTAGTAGAGCTCTTTTTCATTTTTTAAAACATGTGTTGACAGGTAAGGACTTGTCTCTGACCTCCAAATGTTACTATTTAATACTGTAATTATATAAACTTTCCTAGCACATCCCCTCCCCCCCCCAATTACAACTACTTGTGTATTCACTCATTGTTTCCTTCCCTTCTTTGTTTATTCACTCATTTCCCTCTGGCCACTGAAGCTCAACAGACCATAGAATTGCTGTCCTGCTCCAAGACCAATGCATTTACCATTCACCATTAGTTGAATGGCTTCTCTTTAGTGCCAGGCACATTGTCTTGTTCTTTGGCATTTATAAGGACTTCCAGTTAATTTACAAATGCTTTCCACGGATTATCTCAGCTGGTCTCACAGTAGCCCTGAGAAATGAGCAGGGTAACTATTTTCCTAGCCACCGGACAGGTAAAGAGACAGAGACTGAGAGGCGAGACCTCACCTCAGACCATGTGGCAGGACAGCTGCCACTCACCTGATTCCATGTGGCTTGAGAGCCACGGAGCCAGAGTAGCACTTGGGTCATGGCAGGGCTGAGCCCTTCACCTAAACTCACACATGGGTCATGGCAGGGCTGAGCCCTTCACCTAAACTCACACATGGGTCATGGCAGGGCTGAGCCCTTCACCTAAACTCACACATGGGTCATGGCAGGGCTGAGCCCTTCACCTAAACTCACACATGGGTCATGGCAGGGCTGAGCCCTTCACCTAAACTCACACATGGGTCATGGCAGGGCTGAGCCCTTCACCTAAACTCACACATGGGTCATGGCAGGGCTGAGCCCTTCACCTAAACTCACACTTGGGTCATGGCAGGGCTGAGCCCTTCACCTAAACTCACACTTGGGTCATGGCAGGGCTGAGCCCTTCACCTAAACTCACACAGTCCTTGCCTGTGGAACTTGGGGTGCCCCTGCAAGGGTGTGATAGTAAATTAAGCCTTGGACTGGATGCATGAAATCCGTTTAACTCTCAGATTCTCTTTTTCTACAATCATCCCATCATTTTATGGCTTATGGAGCATTTTATCAAATGCTATACAAATATCTCATCTACTTTTCAAAAAGCAATTTCCATCTTATACGTTTGCACCTCTCACCTGTTATAAAACCACATATTAGACATGACATGTTATAAAGGGTAGTTTCAGGTGGTATGGGCCTGGAAATTCTTTTCCATCAAACCTACTTATGTGAAGTTCTACTGGGGATCAGTCACCATTTGTACCAGGAATTAAAGTTTATGAAAGACATGAGAAGGATTGGTAGTAGTTTCTGATTCTGAGCTTGGCTCTAAGAAAGCAGTGCTTTCCTTTCTATCCCTCTTTTTACCTCATCCTTGCCAGAAACAGTCTTATATAACATCTGCCAGCCTCCCCACAACACAGCTCTGAATTTATTTCCCAGCATTGTACAGGGCTGAATTTCCCCTTGCATATCCCAGGTTCATCTCCATGATATTTGCTCTATCTGAAATCTCTTTCCTTCCTTCTTCCTTCTTTATTCCTTTCTACTCTCTTCTCCCCACTCCTCTCCTTTCCTTCCCCATTTCCCTTACCTCCTCATCTCCTGTTCTTCTTATAAATTTGCCATGTTCTTTTCCATATTCCTGGACTCTAAACATTTTTTAATAATTTCTTCTAATTGGAAATACAAGTAGAAAACAGTAAGGCCAGCACAGTATTTTTGTAGCCCATGTGAATGCTGTTCGATCTTACAGATGAGAATGACCTAATGCTATCAGCTTGAAATCCATGCCTTGCTTACAGACCCCCTGCTGCAGTAGAAAAACTAATACATCTATATGAGATCCTTGATTGTTGCATTTTCAATTTGCTACCTAATTTGTCAGGCAGATATAATAGTATGTGTTTAACCAGACAGCTTTCAAGTAACTCGACGGGAAAGGAGGAGTTTCTATGCATCTGCTGTTTAAAGTTAGCAATCACTCCCACTTTAATTTTTTTTTAACTTCTGATCAGTTCATTTATGATGATGTTGGGAGACTCCCAAGATATGAGTTCAAATCTAACATGAAAAGGATGCTAAGGATAGGGGCTGCAGGGAGGATGGAGAAGCAGACATGTTTGCATACTTCAATGATGGATTGTGGCTTACTTGATTTCCAAGTTACTTTCCAGCTAGGGTGGCCACAGCCAGCTGTGGGTGTCCAGGCTGCCGGCTCTGGTAACCTGGCCCGTCTTCCCTTTCAGTGTGGCACCGTGGACCAGGGCCTGTACGTGAACCTGACCGAGAGAAATCTGCAGGATGCTCAGAAGTTCATTCTGATGCATGAGGTGGTACAGCCAGTGACCACAGTGCCCTCCTTCATGGAGGACAATAGCCGCTTTTCCCACGTGGCAGTCGACGTGGTGCAGGGCAGAGAAGCGCTCGTCCACATCATCTATTTGGCCACAGGTAGGAGCTCTGGCCCCCTCTGAGGGGTTTTCTACCATCTTCTGATTTTGTGTTTTAGATTTAGATTCTAAACATTCAATTTCAATTTCAAGCTTTACGCCTGATGTCTCTTTTTGCAACCAGCAAAACCCGCGATGCTCACTTATCTTCCTCAGCCTCTGTCCCTCTTTTTGGAAATCTCAATCTATTTTCACTATATTGGTCATAACTTTAATTGGAAAGACAATGGCTTGTTTCTTTGCTATTATTCCTCAACTATTCATAAAATAAGTCTTTTCTTGGCAAGACCATTTGAATTTGGATAATTTAAGACAAAGGTATGCTTTGTTGGAAGATGTTGTTGGGTGAAATATTATCTTGGGATTGTCATGGTTATTTCTCATTTGTTCAAAAACAGTGCCTTCAGCAAAATATTTGCGTGGATGGTGGTACATGGCAGTGTTCAAAGAATATGTTTTGGGGCATAAATAATGGAACATTTACAGCAAATGTAGGCAGTGATACTTTCAAATTACAAATGACAATTAGGTCTCTTCAGTTTCCAAAGCAACTAGAGTGTAGAAAGCATGTTCCATCTCAGTTCATTACACAGACGGCTCTGGGTGTGTGAGGCCAGCTGTAGGGACCTGGCTGAGCTCTGTGGGCTTGTCCTTCTCTTTCCTGCCTTCAGATTCCCATACAGAGCCATCTCATGGTGGAGTCTGCCCCTCCCCATTCTTTGTCCAGTGTTCTGTATAATTGTCATTTCTCATGGATCACGATTACTGTTTTTGTTGCTGATAATAATATACATTTTTTTTCTTCTAAGAACCTCTCAATTCCTAGTTACATATTTACCACATATTTACCAGTTAGTTTTTTTTTTTTTTTTCATGAAGTTGCTACTATCTACTGAATCTTTACTATTTGTGGAGTTCATTTGAAACACTGGGAAGGAAACTGGTGAACACATAGGCATCACCTGCCCTGCTGGACCTTACGTTCTAGTGGGGACAGCAGATAATAAACAGAGCAGTCAGTAAGATGCCAGGAAGGTGACGGTGAGCAGACACAGCAGATGCGCAGAGACAGCCCAGCAAGCTCCTGCATTTGCTAGTTAGCATTGATCTCCGCCAGGAGGTGATGATGAAGCTAAGCAGGGACTGAGAAGGCAGGGCCAGCCCTGCACCCATAAGGGAAACAACCAATGAGCCAGATGTGGGACTGGCCAGTGGCAGGCAGTGCCACTGAGTGGTCAGGTAAGGTAAGGACAGATGTGACCACTGAGTGGGCAGATGGAGGCCACAGCTGCTCCTCAGGGCCAGTCTGTGGGAAGAGGAGGAACTGGAGAGGAGGAAGAGCACTGGCCGAAGTCAGATGGAACCAGCTGCTTAGGGCATCTCCTCTAGAAGCTTTTCAGGGAAGGGAAATGGAGGATTGATGAGTTATCTGGAGGGGATGGGAGGTCAAGGAAAGGATTTTGTTGATTTTTGTTTGTGTTAAGAGAAAGGAAGGATTGTTTCTCTTTATTCTGTCATGTATTTCCTTAATTTTCCCCAGGGTACCCGGCACGGAATAGGTTTGTGGGATGAATGAACTGGACCCTTCCATAAGAGTTCCTAGTTTTTCACCATAAATGTCCAGGCTGATGACACGGAGAATAGGGCCATCTTCTTCCAATTCTAGGAGGCAGTTGAGGACTTCCTTAGTACCTTGGGAGTGGGAGGGATTTTGATGGGGGTTGAGGCTATTCTTGAGTAGACCTGAATGGGTCAGTGAAGAGCAGCCTGAGGTCTCAACCTGAGCCTTTGGACGTACTCCCCACGTAAGTCCAAGTAGGTCATGTTTGCTTCTCTTGTGTTTATAATGAACTGTAGTGAACTTCTGAGGATTTCTGATGAAACTCCTCTATTTTTACTTTGATGAGTGTCTTAGTCAGTTGCTACAACAAATTACCATAGACTGGGTGGCTTAAACAACGGAAATTTATTTCTCATGGTTCTGAAGGTTAGAAGTCTAAGATCATGGTGGCTGATGACTCATTTCCTGGTGACGGCCCTGTTACAGGTTTGCAGATGGCTGCCTGCTAGTTGTGTCCTCACAGAATGAAGAGAGATCTTCTCTCCTATGTCTCTTCTTATAAGGACACTCATACCGTTCCTAAGGGCTCCAATCCTAATGACCTAATCACCTCCCTAAAGCCCCGTCTCCTAATTACATTTCATGGGGGATTAGGGCTTCAACATATGAATCCTGGGGGGACACAAACATTCAGTCCATAGCTACAAGCAACTTCTTTTACCATTGTTTAAAACCACTATTTAAAAGTTTCTAGAAACTTGCTTGCACATGTCTGTTTTGAATGATAGCATGATTGGACTGCTGCTCCCAACACCCTCACCCCCACACCGTGTTGAGAGTAGCTCAGGACTCAGCTGCCGCAGGGATTCCAGACCATCTGATCCTGTCTGATGTGCAGATCTGATTCCGATATTGATATACTATGTGCCATTTGGCAAATGCATTTCGCAGAGATTCGCTTTATTGTTCCACAAACCTGATTTTTGGCTTTTCTTTTGATCTACTGCCTGTGTACAAATTCAATTGTGTTGTACATGTACATCAAGATACTGTTAATTTGAATCACAAGTTGGGATTATGGGTAAAGATGCCATATGTAGAACTCTTTGACAGTTTCCATCTCTCACTAGTTGGATTGTTAGTTAAACTCAAGAGGAGGAGAACTTTGTAGTGGGTGAAGGTACTTTCCAGCAGAAAACAGCCATAGATACCCGGGGCCCAACACAAACCCTGCTCCAAACCATATGCAGTGACCCAGGGCAGGTACAAAAGCAGTTCTACTGAAAAGTGAATTCCCAGAAAGCATTTCAGCTTGTTTAGACTGGCTTGACAATTTTAACTGAACAACCTCTATAATTACATATTTCATGTCTCAACTAACTTGTGGATCTTTTCATTTACTCTTATAGCACTGTTTAATATATTTTGAAGGAGATATAGTCTTTTTTTCAGATTTTAATTAAGAATGATATTCAGTTTTAAGGGATATTTTTTTTTAACATACAGTCTTTATGTCCAAGGAATTGAATACTGGAAGGTATAATAATATACATTTTAATTTAACCCTCTAAGAGCCAAATAACCCCCAACAAGCAGAAATGTTAAAGACTAGAGATTTTGACATTTTGAATTCAAAAAGCTGATGTT
Source organism: Homo sapiens (assembly GCF_000001405.40). NCBI lineage: Eukaryota > Metazoa > Chordata > Mammalia > Primates > Hominidae > Homo > Homo sapiens. The sequence goes on along the minus strand of NC_000005.10, from coordinate 9,187,059 downwards.
TTTCCGGTCTCTTATTTATAACTAGCCCCAGTAGTTACATCAAGGCAAACCAGGGAAATTCATCTCATTTGATTTTAAAACTGATATAGAAGCGGGAGGGATAAAGAGAGATTGATTAATGGGTACAGATACAGACATAGATAGAAGTGAGACCTGGTGTTCAATAGATCAGTATGGCAACTGTAGTTAACATTAATTGATTGAATATTTGAAAAAAATCTAGAATAATTCAGATATTTCTAGAATAAAGAAAACATAATATTTTAGGTGATGGATTTCTCAATTACTGTGATTTGATTATATGAATGTATCTAATTATCACATCTACCTTGAAAATATATATATCTAATATGTTTCAATTAAAACAATTAAAAAGGTAAATCTAAAAAAGAATCTGATATTGAGCACACATGCTAGAGTCCTTTCAGTCTGGGTGCACTTGCTATACCATATCCAGGAGTTAAACGAGTTATCAACTGATAGAGCATGGGTAAGACATTCATAACTAATGAATGTGAAGCTAGAGTCCTTCCTACCTTACTTGCAGAATCAGTTTGATATCCTTCCAGGCTTGGGAATCCAGGTTTGGTGGTAGGTGTATTTTCTTTTACTTTGATTTTACATGAACACATGCAAATGGGAGGAAACCAGCCAATGGCTGTTTGAAAAGTCAGTTTATTTTATTTGTCCATATTGTCTACAGATCCATGTGAGCTAGACTTCTCTTGCTGGTGTAGTTCATCTGCGTCTTGCCTCTTTGGTGGCATTTCCCACTGCTGCCACTATGCTGAGTCAGCAGTCTTCCCCAGATACATTCTGGGTCCATTTTCATGCTACTGCCCTGTATCTCTCCTGGTGTCCATCCACCCAGGGCCAGGCATGTTATCTGAATCATGACTGTGCTAATATTTTGTAAGTTGGTTTTTGAAGATTTTCTCAGAGCCAGAGTCAAGTGGAAATGGTAGAATATTTATGACTGGAGTTCTGTTAGTGACGGAGTCTCATATGCTATTGAGTTCTCTACAAAGACAAAATTAAGGTCATGCTGAGCAATCAGGTATTCTGGGAGTTTCTCCCTTACTTGACTTGGAAACACTTCTCCACTGGCTCTTCCCCACCACTGTGACAGTCCCTCGCAGTCCCACATGCACTCCTGGTCCAGACATGTGGCTGCCGCTCTGGGCTTTTTCCACAGCATGGCCATGGTTGTTCTAATTCTATGCTCCCTCCCCCACAATGCCATTCAGTCTTGGGCTTTCTATTCTCCCTTCTAGGATGAGATATATCATTTTTATTTTCACTTTAACTCAATTCTAGTGTTTAGAAAAGCATTTGAACCTTAAATTGTATATAATCTTAAAATGTTCTAAGCTTAGATTGTGGCAATAATTGCACAACTCAGAATATACTAAAAATCAGTGGGTGAATTTTATGGCATGCAAATTATATCTCAATAAATATATTTTTTAAAAGGAATGTGATCTCTTTTTGTGTTATATTTTATAAATTGTTTTAGTTAGAGGATAATTCATAAACATTTATATAAAAACACCTATCAGGCACTAAAGAAATGTAAAGGAAGAAGACATACACACACACATTTTGAATCATTGTTTTTCATTTCAAACTTGCAAAATTTTACATAGAAAAATCAGGGGCAGCTAATAGATGAATATAAAGCAGGAAACATTCATATAGAGGTTTATATGCTTCTAGCTGCTGAACTCATGTGAGATTGTGCCATGTTTATCACCTCTGTTTCCTTCTCTTCCCCTAGCCCCAAGGTTAATTGTATTGTGGAATGAAATATTTATAGAAATCTCAAAAAATAGAGCTGGGCACAGTGGCTCACACCTGTAATCCCAGAACTTCGGGAGGACAAAACAGGAGAATCACTCGAGGCTAGAAGTTTGAGACCAGCATGGACAACATAGTGGAACTGCACATCTACAAACATTTTTAAAATTAGGCAGGTATGGTGGTGAGCACCTGCAGTCCCAGCTACTCTGGAGGCTGAGTTGGGAGGATTGCTTGAGCCTAGGAATTTGAGGCTGCAATGAGCTAGGATTGCACCATTGTACGCCAGCCTGGGAAGCAGAGTAAGATGCTGTCTCAAAAAGGAAAAAAAAATATGAAGGCTCAAGACCTTCAACAAAGAGGGAGCCTGGGCTGAGCTTCCTTCTCTGCATCCCTGTCCTGTCACTTCAGTCTACAGAAAAGCAAATGGAATAGAAGGCATCCCAGCAGGAGCAGGACATGTGCCACAAAGTTACTTTGCTTGGAAAAAAAAGGGAGAGAAATGTAAATAAAGTCAGTACCCAGAGTTGAAATGATGAAAGAAACAAAATGAGATGAAAAGGAAGTTCACAGAGATAAGCGAATAAATAGAAGATCAAAATGACGTGCTATTCTACTACAAGAGTAAAAATTAAATTAGAAACTTCATGGAAACAAAAACACAGCTAAAGCTTAGACACAGAGTAAATGTTTGCAGTGATTAAGGTGGAAAATGTAGAAATAAAAGATAAGGTTTTAAATATGAAGGACCCACAAAGACAATGGACCACACAGAGTGATTGGTGTCTTTGAACCAAAGAACCCTGTCTGTGGAGCTAAAAACTTGTGCCCAAAGACACTATTGGAGAAAATTACCCTGCAATAAAGGAAGAATTGAGTCTGCAAATTTCAAAGCATACTGTATTTGTGCAATATTAATTCAGAATAAAGGAACACTAGCCAGGTAAGTTTTTAAATTCCAAGAATACAGAAATAATTATTTAGGTATTGAGGAGGAAAAAAAAAACTAAAAATGAAAAAAAATCACATGGTCTCAGGATACTCTGCAGCTGTATAAATCTGTGAAACATGGTTATGCAATATTCTGAGAAAAAGAAAATGTGAATTGAGCATGTTATACTCATCCAAGAATAAAAAAAAACAGACACTCACAAAAATGAAAATCTCAAGGAATAGAAAACCAAAAATCTCTTTTACAAACATGAAATAAGACTAATTAGGGGCTAAATTCAGCCAAATGATGAGAGAAGGTTTGAGAAAGTAAAACCAAAATAGGGGAACACTCAATACCAGATTTCAAGTAGAACAATATATACACACATTAGAGGAAAATAAATGTGACTCAAGAATGTTATTCTAGGCTAATCTTTCCATCAAAAATAAAGGTACATGGAAAATTTAGGGATAATGTATCTGTGATTCCTACTTCAAAAACAGACAACCTTGGCTGCTAGCCAAAGAAGAAAATCAGAACAAAAACCTCAGGAAAGACGTTGTGGAAAGAGGGCAAGTGAGGTGTTGGGGACCCATTTTACTATCTGAGGAAGAAGCAATAAGGTGTCACGTGAGCCAAGGCTCTGGGGTGCAATGGAGCATAATGAGCTCAGACAACAGAGAAGGACCGCTCATTGGTCAGGTCGTAAGTTCAACCGCAGGTTCTCTCAGCCTTACTTGACCCTGAACCCTTGGCCATTTGCTCTGCCTCAGCTGCCCCCGTGGCTGACAGATTCCTGGGCAGGACCAGGAGGTTCCTCCAGTTGATGCTGAGCAGCTGGTGGTCAGGCGTCTGTGGCGCTGTTGCTGCACCTGGGCTTGGATGAGATCGCACGCTTCTGGGAGTGGGATATGGCTTCTCAAGCAGGTGCTGGAAGAGCTGGTAGCTGCAGCCCAGAAGTGCAGGAGGATGAACTCTCCATGAAGCAAGCCTCACCCAGAGGGATGTCGGGTATGGGCAGAACGCAACTGGTGAATTCCCCTTCCATTTTCACCTCCAGGCGGCTGTCCAAGGGCAGGCTTCTCATGTAGCCAAGCAGATGTCTCTTTCTGTTTCATCATAAAGGAAGAGCCCCATGGTAACAAATCATATAGCACCACTTCCTGCTCTTTCCTGCTCCCTATTCCTTTCCCTCACCACACAGCCCTGGGATTGCACCCCCAGTAATGCATTAGCACCAAATACTTGAATCCTTCCCTCTGTTTTCTAGGCAACCACAGTAAGAGATCCAACAATGCCTGGAGTTCATTCAACCCTGTAGAGTTTCTAGGCTCCAGATGCAGGCAGGGATAGCTAATATGTGCCTTCTAGCTATGTTTAAAAATTCAGATTTTAATCTAAGCATAATAATAATTACTGAAAGTTCTGTAAAGAAAAGAAGTTACATGATATGATGCATGTTTTCAAAGATTACTATCTATACATCCTGGAGAATTAATCAGAGGATAACAAAAAGGGTAGAAGGAGGGTAAAGTTTGGGGTACAATTTCTTTCTAAACCAACAGTACTGTATTGCTACAGGATCCGCCATTGTATAAAAATAAGCAGGCATTCTAGATGTCATTGCATTGTAACTGAGTAAGGAAGAGTAGGCTGGGGTCAAAGCTATTGAAGTCATCAAGGTGGTCTAGGAGGAGGTGAGCATGGCATGCTCAGCCAGAAGATAGGCAGATGTCACCCTCAATGAAGCAAACATTGGTTCTTAGGGGGACAAAAAATCTTATTTTTATTCAAATAGACATGGACTATACAAGCAAATATACAGTACAGAATATCTGTAGTAAAATTTCATGGGTGAGGGGACAATCAGGAAAAATGTGAGAAGTCTTCTTGTAGAAGTGATAATGGAACACCTATCAGTTTGAGAAATGCTGCTCTTGGTTAATTTCTTGAAGAGAAGCTGACAGATGCAGCAGGTGTTTTGGAGGAGTGAGAGAATGGGTGCAATTAAGAATGACTCCTGATGTTTTTGGTTTGGACAGTTGATACTTCTCGTGGCCTTTGCTGAAAAGAAGACACTGGAGTTTTTGTGCCAAAATTCACTGGAGAGGGTTCAGCAATGGACAAGACAGACAGACACCCTGTCCTCAGGAAGCGTATTTTTTTTTGGGGTGGGGGGCAGAAGCAATAAAACAAGCAGTTGCATTAAATGTTAAATAGGAAAAAACGAAACAGGAAGATGAGATGGGGGAGGCAGGGCTTTCAGTGGTAAGAAGAAACGTGCAATGTGCGGAGAGAAACAGGTCCATTAAAGTTGGAAGTTGTGCTGTCTTTCATGGAAAATTGGGGTGCAGAGAGATTGGGGTGAGTTGAGGAGGAGATAGAGGTCAGGAAATAGATACCCATCTAGACAACTTCTTAATAGATGAGGGACTCTGCGGCTGGGAGTGAGATGGGGCAGGGGGTTGGGGGAGACAGCAGATTGAATCGAGTACCATGCGGGGTTGGCAAGGGTACTTTACCTGTGGGTGTCAGCAGACAGTTTTGCACCTGTCATGGGGAAATGCATCTGTAAATGTTTCTAGTCCCCCCTCTCCATCTCCACATACTCACTGTCGCATCCCTTCCGGACCTCAGAGGAACGTGTTTCTATCAATCCCATCCCCAATCTTCCAAGATGCAGACCTAGAACCTGGGCTGAGAAGCCAAGGGGAAGGAGAGGACTTGGCTGAGGGGCTGAGTTAGGCCTCAAAATAAAGCACCAAAGGGAACCAAGAGAGGGTGTGAGCTGGGGAAGGAGGCGTGACTGTGTGTGTTTGGTGGGGTGCCAGGGGGGCTGCCAATTGAGGAAAAACCAGCCACTGGAGAAGTGAGAAAGGCAACAACAGAATAGTTTCTAAGGGCAGCACCTGAAGTCCATGCTGTTTAGTGCTTTTGAAGGGTATTAATACTAGGTAAAGATGGAATTCCACCTGTAAGGACTTTGGGGTTTTGGCACATGCAATTTTGACTGTTTTCAGTACAGGTTAGATCCTGTGAACCTATGAATGTGGCTTTTAAATATTTACTACTGCCAATGGGCATCATTTCACCAAGGAGGAAGAATGAGGGAGTAAGAAAGAGGGGTCCCCAAGTTGGGGAGGTTCTGAGGTGCACAAGGGTTGGGGGCAGAGGTCAGAATAACCTCAGGGAAAAAAGCGGAGATGCCCTGATGTACCTGGGGGCCTGAGACTCATGCCTGTCACCTTCACTTAGCTTTGCCCTGAGCACCAGGGAGGAAATGTAACCAGGGACCTCCCCTGTTCTCACTCTTCCCTTCCAAACTCATTTTAAGTACAGAGGAGTATCTTTTTATGGTTGCTTGCTACGAATCATTTTTTAAAGTCAGGAGATCAATATGACTTTCCAAATGAACTTGTAGAAAAGACAAACAATGTTCTATGTACTCTAGAAGTTTCTTCTGCAAGAGTGATAGTGGCCAACTAGCTCAACAAATGCTAAAATTCTGTTTCTAATTTTCTTTTCTCCCTGCAAATTTTTTTTTCTAGCACCTAATTTTCAAGGTTTTCAGGTTCCTATCTAAAAAAAGTAGGGCAAGGCTGAGTGAGGAACAGAACTTGACATTCCCTTTGTCCAACATACATAAGACTTTAGAGACCCCAAGGATACCCTTCTGGGTACCAGAAATTAAGTTAATACATTTACGGCTGCCATCACTCCTGAGAATTATCTCACTCAATGTTTCTAAGCAATTTGCAACTATCTAAGTGTCAGGAACAAGTATTAACTTGTGAAAAACTATCATGTTGGAATTTTTTTTTTTACATTCACTCCAAATTCTGTCCTTCTCACCAGAAATTATAAATCCAAACCAAGTCTGGACTTGCATTACGTGTGCTTCTTTATGTAAGGGGCTCCCATCAACTGAAGGGGGTACATTACATAATTTGAGTGCTTCTTTGATAACATTTAATGAATTTTTCATTTACTGAGGGAATAATTGCAGCAACCAATAGCAACTCAATTACCTGGTGGTGTGGGTTAAAGTGTGTTCCCAAAGAAGGTATGTTGAAATTCCTAACCCTTCAGTACCCTATTTGACCTTCTTTGGAAATAGGGCCTTTGAGCATGAGCATGTAATTAGTAAAGTCCAGATGAAGTCATACTGGAGTACAGTGGACCCTTAATCCAATATGACTGGTGTGCTTGTAAGATGAGAAAAGAGGCAAACCAGGAGAATGCCATGTGATAACACGGGCAGAGATTGGAGTGCACAAATGCAAGCCCAGGAACACCTGGAATGGACAGCTGCCCTCAGAAACTAGCACGAGACAAGAATTCCACCCAGATTCTTAAGAAAGTATGGCTCTCCTGATACCTTGATTTCAGACTTCCAGCATCCAGAACTGTGAGCAAATACATTTCCGCTGCTTTAAGCCCACCAGAACATGGTACTTTATTGCAGCACCCCTAGGTTACTAATATACCTGGGTAGACTTTGCCACACTGCATCTGCTCTTACAGTCAAATTTAAAGAGTAGCCTGGTCTTCTCCTACTCCCTGAACTCCATGAACACAATTAGTTCTTTAGTATGAGTTTGTTTTAGGCCCGATTAAAATGAAAAAATAGTGTTGAATATAATTTAGTATATGCCAAACCACTTAAAATGCTATAAAAACAACTAATTGTTTTGTTTGATTAAATGTGGGAGCATTAGTTCTTGTATTTTAATGTGTTTAGCTTTTAAACATGTTTTCTGAATATTTTTAGTAGCTGATGCCTGGTCTCCCAACCACAAAATAATATGAAGTTATAACCTATGAATTAGTAAATTTCCCAGTATGTTCTAAATAGGATGCAACCAACTTCATCTTCATGGAGCAGATAAATTTCCTGTTTTCTTCTTGGTCTCTTGCTTCCTCTCCACCTTGCTTTGCTTTGGACCCACCTGAGACAGGTGACTTTCCTCTCAGGTTTCACATGATTAGTATTGACTGGAAGTTGCCCTCAGTAGTAAAAATTGTGGTCTGTGGACAAAAAATACATAAGTAAATAAAATTGCTTATCTTTACCTTTTTTCATACAGATCCTGCCTGATACAAATTTTTGATATAACTCCTTCAGGTTTAATGGTAGTGGCTAGGAGATGAAGCCCAGTGGATTCCTGTTCCCAAACCTGCTGTCCTCTTGCTTATACAAAAACCCAGTTAGGGTAGTATTGTTTCTTTTTGAGATGATGGTATTATAACTACGAGGATTTTTCATAATCTTGATTCAGTGCCCCAGGTTTTCTTATTTTTTGCTAAGTCTAATCTCTACTTCTACAGAGGGACATTCAAACCATTTTCTACGTGAAAGCTTCATGAGACATGTCTAATGTAGAACACGAGTTACTGGAGTATATAATGTAGACACAGGCTTAGGAATTTTTAACAGATATTTATCCTGGAAAATTCAGTTATGAGAAGACCCACTTGACTGCTAATTTGATGACGAATCTGCAAGTGTTTTTACAAAGGACTTTTCTAGTTGATGATAAGAACATAGGTCTTTATAGGTACTAAGGGCTTTCAATTAAATGGCTCCTCCATCTTCATCCATATCATTTGTTGTGGTAAAACATATTTTACAATCATTACCAACACTTTTTAACTATTATCTATACAGAATACTGGCATGTCTTAAAAGAGAGCTTATCTGGCTGGGCGCGGTGGCTCATGCCTGTAATCCCAGCACTTAGGAGGCCGAGGCAGGCGGATCATGAGGTCAGGAGTTGAAGACCAGCCTGGCAAACAGGGTGAAACCTGTCTCTACTAAAAATAAAAAAAAGTAGCCGGGTGTGGGGGCATGTGCCTGTGATCCGAGATACTCAGGAAGCTGAGGCAGGAGAATCACTTGAACCCGGGAGATGGAGTTGCAGTGACCCAAGACTGCACCATTGCACTCCAGCCTGGGTTACAAAGCTAGGCTCCATCTCAACAAAAAAAAAAAAAAAAGGAGAGAAAAAAAAAAGAAAGAGAGCTTATACATTTTTTTTCCTCACTCAGGAGCTCACTTTTGTAAGACCCAAGTGTGCAAATTGAACATAACTGAAAGTGTTTCCTTTGTTCAACATATTCTGATGAGAATATTTTTAAACAAATATTTAAGAGCAGATTCTGCTGGTGATTTAACTTGGATAATGAGATTCTCGGTAGTTTTTTAAAAATTATTTTCTCCATAAGAAGCATTTACCAACTAAATTTTTTTTGAGGAATAAATCCAAGTTCTGTCACCATGAGACATCAATTTTGTTGGTTTTGAATGAGGCAGGCTGAAGGTTTCAATTTATCTGATGTACTGTCATGTAAATTCCAATTTATTATAAGTTCTGCCAAGGTGTTTATGGATATCAGAGATAGAACTGAAATTATACTGACAAATATGTAAAAATTAAGTCTTCGAAAGCTAATCCATTTCATCTGTTGGATGGTGATTCTTGACATGTGTCCCCGTGTGTCCATTTCCAGTATCCTCATGCTTAGTTTTAGAGTTCTAATAGGGTGCTAAGGCTGGGTTCAAAGTCAAAATCCACATAACCCTAGTAACCTGTGAGATGCAGGATGTCTTTTAGGGTCACCTGGCAGCAGCCCAGGCCTGCATCTCCTAGGAGTATCCTGGGATGCCCCAGTTTGGGAAGAGACAATGGAGATGAGCCTTGGTGGCTTCTCAGGACCTGCGTGGAACTCACCCATGGTTGTGAACAAAGATGAACAAGTCAATCTTCAACGAAGGCCAAGTCAAGGCACTGACTTCAGAAAATGCATATCAACAGAAAATACACATACATTTCCACCAGAATGAAGCCCTCCAAATGTTCAGATGAGGCTATGTCAGGAACACAACCTGCCCTCATAGAACCTCAGGCATATTGGGATAGAGTCAACATCACTGTTTCCCACAGTTGTGTCTTTATACCTGCAATTAGAAGAACATCTGAAATGACTCCATCATTTAAAGCACTCATCTTGTCCTCTACCTTCATTTTCTGTAACCTGCACCCTGAAGTCAATTCTTTAGGGTAACCAGGTTCCAAAGAGACTTCAGCAGCCTATAACTGCCCCAGTTTTCTGGTTTCTAAGTAACTATGCATCTGGCCAAATAGGAAGAATTTAAGTACTGTCACTCCAATGAATCAACTGTGATCACTGCTGCTCCTGCTCCTCTGAGTCTGTTTATGGGATTAATTCTGTTGTGTTGCTGGAGCAGTCCAGTTACAGTGGCACCCACATGCTGGGTAAGCATGGGCTTTATTATTGTCCCTATCTGATAATTCTATTTAAATTCTACCTAATTTCAATTAGATTATTCTGGCAGTGAGGAAATCCTTGGGTTATTTTAAGCAATGGGGTATATTTTAAGGATACATATTTCTGCTGCCCCATCAGTGGTCACCCATCTGTGCATTCTTTAACTCACATTCCTGAGAGGGAGAGTCTGACCTGAATACCAGATCACCATTATCCTGAATGTGCCACATGCTACAGGCTAGGCCACTTCTGAGGCTGCTGGTCAGCTGGCAGAGTGGCCATCCTTGGGTCAGGGGCCAACCTCTGACACCATCAGCTTTGGGAATAGGAACTGGGTCACCTCTGCCAGAACTGGGGCCCCTTTTTTCAACAAGAGCAGGACAGCTAACCTCAGAGGGGACCCTGGGCTTCACACACAGTTCAACAAGGTGTTAAATAGGGTATTCAGAGGATGTGTTATTCTTGCATTGTTGTACAACATATTATCATATTCTTAGCAATTTCAAGCATCATACACTTATTAGCTCACAATTTCCATGGTCCTGGACCCCAGGCACTGCTTAGCTGGGTCCTCCGTTCAGGGTTTCACTAGGCTGCAATCAGGATGCCAGCTAGGGCTGCAGTCTCATCTGAAGGCTTGACTAGTGAGGAGTCAGTTTCCAAGCTTATTCAGTTCATTAACAAAGTTTATTTCCTCATGGTGTTGACAGAGGGCCCTAGTTTTGTCCTGGCTGTTGGCAGAGTTTACTTTCACATCCTAAGACCACCTGCAGCTTTCCACCCATACCCTTCTTCAATGTGGCCACTTACTCTATGCAACCAGCAAGGAGAGCCTCTCTTCTCAGAGAGGCCCAGTCTTCCCTTTAGGGTTTTTCACTTTATTAAGTCAGGCTCATCCAAGATGATCCAGCTTTTGATTAACTTGAAATTAACTTATTTGTAATCTTTTATCTGCAGAATTCCTTCACTGTGGCAATGTCACATGATCTAATCACAGGAGTGACACACTGTCATATTCATAGGTCTGGCCAATACTCACCAGAGAGGACTACATAGAACATGAACACCAGGGGTTGGGAATGATAGGGACTGTTTTAGGAATCTGCCTATGGTAGGAGGTCTATTAGATGCCCTCTGTCTTACAGATGACACCTCTTATTCTCATCCCCCAAAAACCCTCTAAATATGTTTTAATTTTGAAAGTTTAAAATTAAATGTAAAATGGTTTTCCTTGGAGCAAACAGCTAGGACTCCAATTACGAGGCTGTTCCTATTTAAAGGGAGAAATTGTTCTGGTTTGAGCTGCACAAGTAATTACGTTGGTTATTTGCTCTACATCTAGTTATCCAGACCTGGCTGAAGTGCTTCCACCAAACGGAGTTATTTTCCATTTTTGCAAGTGCTCCATGAGCAAATGTGTATAATGAAAAAGAAAAATTCTGGAATGTAGAAGAGAAGGACAAAAGGAAGATGCCATATGTTGTATGGCATTCAAAGGGTAATTTCCCACTAACTGAAATCAAGTCAGTGAACAAACCAAACCCCTACCTGTCAGTGTTAAACGTGTAAGGGCCACCGCCATCTCTGCTTGCACCCCTCTAGCCATCTCTGCACTTTCTTTCTTTCCTTTCTTTGTACTGCCAATGGGATGGGTGTTCATTTCCTAACTGGAGGCATAAACATGTGCCTAACTGGAGGCAGAAATACAGGCAGTGAGGTGACTGCATCTCTGTCCCAGGGCATGCTGTGTCTCTGATACCCAGTTATTCAAGGACCACTGAGAGAATTTAAGGAATCCTGCAAGAAAAGAGTATCCACTGCTTGGGAGTAACTTGACCCTCCATGAACACACGGGATCTGGATGACCTTTGCAATTCCTTTGGGGATGCAGGGAGCAGAATTTTAGAACTCTACCACACCCCCACTTGCTGCTGAATATTAGAATAATATATAAAATTCCTGTCACCTGGCCCACCACAGTCATTCTCTAAGCTGTGAAATCAGAAAACAAAATACTTCTTAGAACCATAAAATGTGGAATAATTTGATTCTGCTGTGATGTGTTAACAAATGGAATCTTTGCTCAGGGAGACCTCTCTGACTCCAAGCTCAGATCACCACAGAGCTGTCGTCTCTTACGCCTTCAAAGGTCTGTAGAGTAAAGCTTCCTATTATGATGTAGTCTAACATGAAGGGCACGGTAGCAGAGACTTTCTGAAGGAGTGAGGTTGCTTGGGCTGTATTTACTGGTGCAAAGTGGAAGCACAGCTAATCATAGAAGTCAAATTCCTTGTAGGACTTTTTTTTCTGCCTTGGCTTTGAGTATCTGATGTTTTTATTTTGGATCTAAGCACATCCTGTCATCCTTGTTAACTTGTATAGATGGCCCCTGCCTGGCAATGATGACCAGGCATTACTAAGCACATTTAGGCCTTGACCTCTGTAATTAAATTCTAAAACAGACAGCAGTGCATTCTGAAGGACATGGAAGGAATGGGTGCATCCTCCAGTGCGTGATAAAATAGCAGTAACAATGGTGTTACAGACGAACTTTCCTCCAGGAGTTGTTACAAAGCAGAGTGACTGGAAGAAAAGGTACCTCACCACATCTTTTCAAAAAAGCCTTTGCAGAGAAGATGAGGATACCAAGATACCTTAAGGAACAGAAGGAAGATATTTCACATATCTGGGATTAAGAGAGGGTTGGGAGTAGGAAGTAAGGTGCAACTGTCAATATTGCAGTTCCCACCTGGAAGTCATTAGTGGAAAAAAACTCGCCTCAAATCTCCCAGCAAATTAACACTTAGAACATTTCCTTTCACCAGAATGTCTGCAGTAAGCTGTAATTTACAGCGGTGCAATTATTGACAATGGCCAAGTCTAACTGCATACTTGTCCCAGGCATGGGAAAAACAGTATTTGTCACTTGCAGAGATGTAACATCAGAATTACTTTTATTTTGGTTGTTTCAAAACACAGCCTAAAAATCTGCTCCATTATTTATTGGTTTATAATATTTTCATCTCTCTTTCCTTTTTGAAACCTAGAGAAGTCCAACACTACGTTTCTTAAGTATGGTATTTTCTGGGGTTTAAACAGAATTGTTACCAAAGGATGCTGTGGAGTTTCATAATGTTATGTTTTCATAATGTTAAGAAAGGAATGATGTTTTGAGCTATGTCCCTAGGGGCAATGCTGTTCCTACACGATCCTGTCTTACTCATCAGATCAACATTTCCTTGGAGAAGCTGAGGACATGCAATGTGTTAACGAGACCTTGTTTGAAGAATCAAAGGAGCCTGTCATTAACCAGCCCTCTTGCAATGATACCAATGCCTGTGTCCCTCCAGATTGAAAATAAGTTGAAACCTTATTCCCAATGTGAGGGTATCTGGAGGTGGAGCCTTTAGGAGGTGATTAGGTCATGAGGATGGATTCCTCATGAATGGGATTAGTGCCCAATAGAAGAGATCCCAAAGAGATCCCTCACCTCTTCCACTATGTGAGACACAGAAGGAAGGTGTCATCTGTGAGGAAGTGGCTGTGACCAGACATCAAATCTGCAGGCACCCTGATCTTGGACTTCCCAGGCTTTAGAACTATGAGATATAAATCTCTGTTGTTGATAACCCCCCCAGTCTATGGTATTTTGTCATAGCACCCTGAATGGACTAAAGATGCTCCTAAAGTTGAGAATATCTGAAATTATAATTATGTAGCCAGTTATTCTTCTAGACCAAAAAAAAAAAAAAAAAAAAACCGGGTGAAGAAAACAACTTTCCCTGTCTGGAATTTTCTGACTGTAGTAAGTGCAAAATAAATGCTGAATGAATGAGTTATTGGAAAGCAGCAAGCCATCTGTCCCTGTGTGCATTCCTCCTTTCTTCAGATCTTCAACAGTGCCATTTCATTATTTTGACTAATCCCAAAACAGAAACAATATGGAAACAGCAGTAAAGAGCTTTTGAATTTTTTTCCCATTTAAGAGCAATCAACACACGTTTAATAAGTTTCTGACCAAGAGAACACTTATCACCAGATTCTGGATTTTGAAGGCTGTGAAAGCTCAGCTATGTTTGAAAGTTTTAAACCATTTTGAGATTAAAGCATTGTTTAGAAGGGCATTTCTTGCTACCTATAACCACTGTGTTTCAACTGAGTATAGTGAATCTTGTTAAATACATAGTATGTTTCTTTGAGGAATTAAAATTGAGAGAAAGGAAAGGAAAATTTGCTCAAGAAACTGAAGATTTCTTTCTTATAACCAGAAAATATGTATTAAGAATTGTTCTCATGTGTAACTAAAATATTGAGCATTATTGTCTGAAATTAGTAAAAAATCCTTTAAAGTGATCTTCAGTTATGCCAGGTAGAATTTGATTTCTACACACCCAGAACAGTTTAGAGGTTTCTGTAGGCTTCAATTTTCATGTGTTTGTGACAATGATAAAAATTTAGTAATTAATTTTTTGAATGCCCAAGTACAGTTAAGGGATTTTAGTTAAAAAAGTTATGATTTTTAGTATTGAAGTGATCACCAAGATTAATTGTCAGAGTAGAAACTTCATTTAGGCCTTCAATGATGTGATCATTTGATTAATTTTAAAAATCTGACCTTGTCCTTAGCGGAAGAACACTGATTCATAGTGAAAAAAATAGTTTCAACCACAAATGCCTTGATTTGTCCTTGGTAAACTGTCTTTAAATGGCAATCGTCACAAGGAACTGCTGCTCTTTGAGTTAAACTATAATCTTCCTTCAATTAGAAATCATATTGATTACACGGTGTTGGCATTTTTAATATCTCTAGGCAGCATTCATTTCTCTGTGCACGGATTGGATAATAGCCAGTTGTCTGGGGCTTTATGGAGTTGCTGACCTGCAGTGACTCACCTGGCAGCTTGTCTGTGGGACCCTCTAACACTTAACCTGCACTTCTAGTTCCCTAGATTCTGGAGTTTTCCAGCCTTGGAGTCAGGGCATGCCAGGAGCTCGGGGGCCCAGGCTCAATGCTACCTCATCTTTGTCCTGGCTCAGCTCTGACCTTTCACCCAGTTTGAGTGACCTGGCCTTTGACATCTTCTCAAGTGATCAGTTCTTTGCTCTGGTGTCTGAGCTTTGTCCTGTGTCCTAGGACATATCCCCATCTCAGAATTAGAGCCGTTTCTGTGCCCTGTAAGTTGGTGCCCGCTCCCTCTCGTCCCATCTCCAGGCACTGACCTCTCATCCTCCAGGTCTTCTGACTCTTGCTGTCTGACTGGAACCCTTGCCGCAGCCTGTGTGTTTAGCTGGAGGACATATATCTAGTGTTGGAACCCGGCTCCCTCTCAGCCATCTACATCCCAGTTAGGGAAAGCAATGAATTGGTTAAGACTCATGATTTTCCTGCTGCCCAATAAGAACTGGCCTGAGATTCCTCATAGATCATAAATAAATCTGCACCCATGAAAAGATTTGGGGAGTCTCACTGGAAAGTCAATGGAAGCTGGAGAGCTGGGGGCCCTGGACTCTGCATCATTAGCGTGGAGCATGTTTAGTGACTGAATCTTTCAGCTTGTCGTCTCGACCATGAGTCCCAATTTAAAACAATTTTTCTCCAAACTGATGTTTAAGAAAACTTGTCACTCCTGCCCCTCAGATGCCAACTGGGCCTTTCCTGCCCTCCAGATGTTTGCTGTTTGCTTTCATATTTCAGACTCTCAATTTCCTGCCTAGGAAGTCCACAGCCCTCCCCATCATTTCTGTTACCAATCCTTGGGCTTATGCTCACCAGATCCTGTTGATATTCAGGGTGAATGAATTTCTCTCACTGTCAAACACCAACTCAACCCCTTCCCCAGAGCGTGTTTTAAAAGAAAAAAAAGGACAGAATTGTGTGAGTTGAATAGATTATGGGAGGACCTGTGTTCACAAGGAAGGATTGATGGAGGTGTAGGCATCTTTTTGCCATCATTCTAGTTTTTCACTCTCACCCCTTTTCTTTCACTTTTTCTGTTTCTTTCAGGAGGATAGCAGAGGAATTCCAACCCCTCTCCCATATGGAGCCCCTTCTTCTCTCAGCTCTTTTGACCCAACCAATATGTAGGTCTGGGGGCGAGGAAGGAGGAGAGTGTAGGCTTCATGTCAAACTCTGTACAGGGCACCACCCAAAGGATGGCTGGAAACTCCCCAGTAGGACTGTTGGTGAATGAAAGGGTCTCCTTTATCATATACTTGTCTTGGTCCTGGCTGCTATAAAAAACTACTGTCGACTGGGTGATTTAGAAACAACAGAAATGTATTTCTCATAGTGCTGGGGGATGAAAAGCCATGAAATCAGGATGCCAGCATGCTTGGGTTCTCATGAGGACCCTTTTCTGGCTTATAATTAGCTACCTTCTCCCTGTGCCCTCACAGGGGAAAGAGACAAGGCAGGGCTCTGAGACCTATTTTATAAGGGCATGAATCCCATTCATGAGGGCTCCACCCTCATGACCTAATCACTTCCCAAAGCCCCCCACCTCCAAATATGACCACGTTGGGACTTAGGATTTCAACCTCTAAATCTGGGGGTAGGGGGGCACAAATATTCAGCCTATTTCAATATGCATGTCCTGTCTCTCATTTTTTAATGTAGACTTAATATATTTGCATCTAAGAGTAGGTTCCTATAACATGTACATGTTGGGTAGTGGAGTATGGCACAAAGTACTAGTGACATGCATGGGTATCTACTTCAAAATAAGTTCACAAAAGTCAAGAATTGTATTGGGTATCAAAGTTTCACATGTATTTTTCATTCCACATTTCTTGCAAATGAGTCACCCATGTTCATGCACACAGCTGAGGTTCCTCCACCCTACCAGGCTGGACATGGAAGGTAGGACACTGAAGCATTTGAAAGCCCTCAGAATGCACAGACCCTGTTCATACTTAGGCTAGAAAAGGGGGGCATTGTCACTCCTGACTTGTTAATTCATATGCACCATTAACTGTGGCTCACACCTCCCAGATGGAATACTGACAGTGAAAATAATTCCCTGCAAGTAACACTTTCCCTCGGGTGAAGGAAATCAGTGGACATTGAGCCCAGTATCCAAACATCAGAAAACCTTTGGAAGTTGATATTTTTGTAGCAAGAGCAGCTAAGCCAGAATATGACCCAAATAAGTTCTTAATAAATATTCACCTAATGAGCAAATGAACTAATGAGTATTTGTGTCCTAGGGCAAATAGTTGGTAGTTCTGAGTGGGTAATTATCATGAGGGCAGTGTCATTTGAGTGGCCCATCACAGACCTGAGCAGCCTGGAGGCCCTTCCTTGTCATGAAGCAGCTGAAGGAATAGTCAGTCCTGACTAGAGGCCACACCAAAGTTGCTCTATGTGTTGAAGGGAGAGGAGAGTGGGAGAGCGTCTGACTATGCCAGGGTTTTATTTGTTCAAGAGCAGATGGAAAATGATAGAAGAATGTCAGGTGAGCAAGCCCATCTTGGCCAAATGTGTCCTTTGCATCACGTGAACATTACACAGTTCTGCTCCTAGAAGGAAAGTCCAGTTAGTAAGTACTAAACAAGGGTGTGACACGTTTACATGCCGTGGCTATCATCCAACTATCTGAACAAAGCCAAACTCATTATATATGTATTACTCCATGACTAATAAGCAAGCATGGAGAGAGGACACATTACTTACTGTGTGAGATTCAAGATATAGGAGAAACTTAAGAGGTGGTTATTATGGGTTTTTAAAAAATACAAAGTGTATATATTTGAGGTCTGCAACTTGATTCAATATGCGAACACATTGTGAAATCATCACCACAATCAAGTTAATTAACATACCCAGGAGGTCACACAGTTACCCTTTTCTTTGTTCTTTCTTTTCCTGCTTGCTTGCTTTTTTCTTGTGGTAAGGACACTTAAAATCTACTCTCTTGGCAAATTTCAACTGTAAAGTACAGCATTGTTAGCTATAGTCTCCGTGCTGTACATTAGACCCCCAGGATTTTTTCATCTTTTCTAACTCAAATACTTCATCCTTAACTTTAAGGAGGTTCCAGTTTTGGCAGAGGGGTCTGAGTCTTGTGATGTCATTAAGGAATGACTCAAATGTGTGTTAAATGTAACTCTTTGGGTAATGGTTAATGCACTATGATTTTAGAACAAGAATGAGATTAATATATGAATAAAGTACTTAGAAAGGGATCAAGCCACAGCAACATGGCCTGGAGGAGCATTTAAGCCTTTGTTCCAGGGGCATTTGAGTCAAATATTCCCTCCACCTCTTGTAAGCTGGGTGCTGTCAGAAAATGAGGAAGCCTCTGCGAGCCTCAGATTTTGCATCTGTCAAGCAAGAATCACACTATTTATCATGCATTAAATTGGAAGCAGTGTACATCCAGCCCCTGTCACTCACAGGTTGAAGGTAGTATCCCTGCCCATTGGTTTTTTCCTGTAGCAGTTTTAATATATGGAAAGAAGAGCTTCTGAGATGGAGGGAGGCCCTTGGCCGTGGCATCCTCCTCCCCCTCACCCACATGGTAACAATGATGAAGACACATAAAGTGCTTCCCTTGACCTTGGCACCATGCTAAGCCCTTTACATAAGGGCTCCTGGCAGTTAAAGAATAGTCAAGACTCAAAGCTCCTTCATCACTGACCTCACTGTTGGCATCTGGTGATATGGACTAAAAACAGCCCCTTATTGTTGGTCAAATCCTAGATCCTTTGAGTTAGAGTCACCTAGAATGTTTGTTAATGATTGACGATGGTCCTCAGGCCCACTGCAGACCTCCCAAATCACGGTCTCAGGGATGCACCTGGAAGGTCCATCTCAGGCTTCTCCCTGAGTAGCTTCTCTAGTCATAAAGCTTGGGAACCACTCTGCTGTACTTACGGCTCTCCTCCTGTCACACCTTCCTTTTCAGATCCCCACCCCACTCCATCTCACTTCAGCTTCTCACCTCTTGGGCAACTTTCAGTGGAGTGGGCAGTGAGAGGGGTGCATAGGAAGTTAGGAGTGACCTGTGTGCTCTGGACACCTATAGAATTTTTAACATGGTTATTCTGCTATTTCTTGGCAATAACCAGGAAAATTGAAAGACATATTTCCACCTTGAGCTTAAAGATTGACTTCTGAGGCATGATTCTAGAATTGTGAAATCCTCATATGTTCATTCACTAAGACTCAACTGACGGCCTACTGTATCCCGAGAGCATGACGGTGGTCATGAATAAGGATAAGGCTCAGCATATCACACCAAGGAAAGCTTATGTCCCATAAAAGATGGACATTTATTCTTTGGTTTGACTTAATGCACTATCTTAGTTGAAGGAAGAATACCTTCCATAAGCACACAGACTTTGGAAAAACTGAGCTGGCCTGGGAGGTGAGAAAAGGTTCCCACTCCACCCGGACCAGAGGCCTGAGAGCTGGCTCTTGGGGGATGGGGAGATGGCTGCCTGGTGGAGAGGGCACAGAATATGCAAAGCATGCAGATCTAGAAAGTCCTGGGGTGTTCTGGAAAGGGGGAGACATTGAAATGAGCTGCAATTGTGGGTGAAGAGATAGGAGATGAAGCTGAACAGTAGGATAGTCATATTGACTATTCCATCCTAGCCAGTGGATTCAGGATTTCAGGTGCATGGACAGATTTGATACAAAGGGGAGACATTGAGTTTCCAGTTTTGGGTATACTGAGTTCTAGTTGCATGCGGTACGCCTGAGAGTTGGTTGGAAATCCTTCTTTGAAGCCAGAGAGGAAGGTTTAGGTCAGTAATGGCAGCCTCAGGTTTTCTTTGAAATCATAGAAATGGATAAGACAGTGCCTAAAGAAAGCTCATAACGAGCTAACAAACAGCTTGGAACATCAGGCACTAGTCGTAATTGGTGTAATGTAGCCACTGAGAAAAATGACAAAATAATTTTCTTATTCCACTGAGTAAGAGAGCTCTCTTTTTTTCCTTTAGAATTAATGTTTCAAAAGTGCAAAAGTGCTTAGCATAGATTTTTCTCAACCATCTCAATTGACAACTAATGGGACCAGACACAGTATAAATTTCACCACTGGGGGCTAGAGGGTAATTTAGACTCTGGATGCCTGCCTGGTGACTGTCAGAGAAGGGCTGCCAACCTTACCAACTGGGTGGTTGTTTTGTAATTTAGATACAATAAATCTAAGGCAAGTAATTTCCTTTCAGAAACTTGAATTGCTTCCTTAACAGAATGATTGGAGTTATATTTAAGCTGTGGGTTAGATGAGAGTTTAGAAAGGATACCCAGAGGGCTCTATTAATTGCACTCTTGTTTTAAAAGTAATATGGTTTTTATTCACAGGAAATGCAGTGGTAAATTTCCTATAAGCGCTGGCTTATGATTTAGGGTACTGCAAGGAGCTTTTGAGGTTTTGTTCAGCAAGGCAGCCAAAGCAGCTGTAAAAGAGTTGTCATTTCTCCTCCTGGCATATGTACAGTGAGTAGTGGTGGAGCAGGGATCTTGCTGATTTTAGACAAAACTTGAATAGGACTTATCATTTACAAGCTAAACATTAATAAGAAAAGAATAGCAGCAAACTCTTATACAACGTGTCCTGTGTACCAGGTACCATCCAAACAAACATACAGTTAAACTCACTTAGTGGCCGCCGACCCTGTGAGCTGGGCACTGGGGAGAAGGCAACAGAGATATGAGGGATCTGCGCTCGGTCACACGGCCTGTGATTGTGGGAGCCTGGAGTTTAACCTGGGCTGTTGTGCCCCAGAGGCCACACAATGAACATGTCTCTGCTTGAGCACCTACTATGTGCCAGGCTTTGTTCTGGAAACCAACAGGGTCACAGTGAACAAGGCAGGCTGCATCCCCTAGTGCCGGGTCTCCAGAACTTACATGCAGAGGGTCAGGCTATGAGAATATGGTTTAAAATATTAATACTTTGTGATTTTAAAATTTTGCTTTTAATTTATGACCAGGAAAGTTTAAACCGACTGACTATCCTTTTCAGGGAAAAAATAAGCCATTAGTTGAATCTGGTAACTGAGTGAATTAAATTCTCCTTTTCAAGCATACACTAGCCAAGAAGACCTTTTTTTCTTCTCTGAATTCTCCTTTTCTATATAAATGTAATATTGAGCTCCCAGTGCCAAGACCAATTTAATTCATTTGCTCGTTTACAAGTTAAGAGAAAGAACTTTCCTTAACATATTAGCTGTCTGCTGCTTTGGGATAATGACCAGCTGAATTGATGAACTTTATATAATGATCTGTTGCCATGGTGACGAGCTGCCCAGTGAGTGGAAGCGGGTATTTCATCATTACCTCGCTGATAATGCTTGGTATGGTAACACATACAAATACAAAAGCTTTTCTTTTACTCTGCAGTGACTCTGGGTCGATGAGCCAAACACTAGAAATGCCTCTTGGACATAGCGGCAGAGAATCAAATAGAATCCAAATGCACAACTGGAAATAAACTAATTTAGCTTCCCAGGTTAGTGGCCTCCTTGTCCACATGAATCTCCAGCCTTGTCACAAGTGACCATTGTCAGGGGTGCCACTTGTCTTCCTCACACGTTTAATTTCTCTATTGGATTCAGCACACTGAAGGCTGAATAATTTTAAAAATACCTTAAACTATAACAAAAGTTACAGAATTAATAAAAAGAGAATGGAATCCAGATAATAGATTTCACCATCCAATGCTTTGCAATAATCTATTTTTATATCACATTTTCCTCAATTCGTTTCCTTTTCTTTGTGGGTAGGACTTTTTTCTTTTCATACAAAATAAGAATTTTTATATATATCAGATATATTACATTTCTACCCTTTAAGTTTTTTATTGCACCTTAGAGAAAATATATGTTTATCTTCTGTTTTGGAAGTGTTTTGGGCTGCTGTTGTTGAGACAAAATAACTTCTTTGAGTATTTTTTGATTGCTCAGTGTTCCCAGGTGTCTCAGCATTTAAGCCATTATACACGTGAGACACAGGGACTTTCACGTAAATACTGTTTAAGCATTAAATTTTTTCATTGTTCATGCACTCATGATGATAGAAGGCTATCTAATCATACACAAGTATGGACAATTGTGCACTGTTTTTACTCGTTGTGATGGTAAATATTATATTGGATTCACTGTGTTTCCTTTCCCTCCTGTCTCCACCCCTCGTTTCCCACTTTACCTTCTTCCTTCTAAAGATTTATTTCCGTAAAATTTTCAAATGTTGATGGAGCTAAAATTCTAGAAATCCTTCAAAAAGAAATTCATTATAATCAGAGACCTTTTCTTTAGGTACTTGAAAGTTCATTCTTAAGTGCTCATTTAGTTCTCTCTGAATTTCCCCCAAAATCACCAGAGGCAGTAGCATAAAGGTTTTAAGCAGTAGCACCAACCATATGAATTATTACATATTGTTGATCAAAATGCATTAATTTTGCAAAATGTTATACGTCCTATGACATTCCCTGCGACTTTTCTAGATCAGAACTACATATAAAGGTGGTTATGTGAAATAAATGAAAACATTTACAAATAATAGGCTATTCATAATATGAGTACAAGGTTATAGTACAAGGTTAAAAAGATTGAATCTAATATATAATTTATAATGCTTCCGTATTAGAATTTGAATCACAATATTTTAGAGGAAAGCAAAAAAATATTTATAATCTAGTTTTTAAATTGCGCTTAACAGTTTATCTGGATGCCAGAATCTATTATTTCTATATCCTACTCTTGACATATTTATATTATATATATTTATAATTATATAAATTATATAAATATTTATATCATATATTTATAATTGTATAAATTATATAAATATTTATATGCTATATTTATAATTATATAAATTATATAATTATATATACTATGTATTTATAATTATATAAATATTTATATGATATATTTATAATTATATAAATATTTATATGATATATTTATAATTATATAAATATTTATATGATATATTTATAATTATATAAATTATATAAATATTTATATTATAAATATATATTATATTATATAAATATTTATATTATAAATATATATTATATTATATACATAATATATAATTGTTATATAATACAATATTGCTGGGACTGCCATAACAAAGTACCATAGACTGAGCAGCTTAAACAACAGAAATTTATTTCTCAGCCCTGGAGGCTGGAAGTGCAAGATCAAGCTGTCGGCAGGTTTGGTTTCTCCTGAGGCCTCTCCTCCTGGCT
The DNA here is from genome assembly GCF_000001405.40 of Homo sapiens. Classification (NCBI taxonomy): domain Eukaryota; kingdom Metazoa; phylum Chordata; class Mammalia; order Primates; family Hominidae; genus Homo; species Homo sapiens. The sequence goes on along the minus strand of NC_000005.10, from coordinate 9,163,827 downwards.
TACAGATGGCTGCCTTCTCTCTTTGTCCTTCCATGGTCTTTCTTTTGTGCCTGTATCCTAACCTTCTCTTTTTATAAGGACAACACTCATATCAGATGAGGGCCTACACTAACGATTGCATTTTACCTTAAATCACTTTAGAGAGCCTGTCTTTAAATACAGTCACATGCTGAGGTCCTGAAGGCCAGGACTTAAACATATGACTTTTGGGTGGACACAGTTCAGCTCATAACAGACTCTATCTTAGTATAAGGCATATTTACCTTACAAATGAGATATTGTTACATTTGTGTTCATTTAAATTGGCCAGTACTCTGAAGATGCAAAACGGAATCTTGTTCAAACCATAAAATTCATGTTAGCTACTTAAACATTGAAAGTTAAAAAATAGCAGCTATTTTCCCCCAGAGCAAAAAACATGGTTAATTTTTCACCACTGATAATTGAATTATGCACATGAGAGTCTACATTATATATAGCAAATAGTGATTTAAGGGGCTTATTTTTATTGTCAATTTTAATGTTTAAACAAATCCTTTGTCATCTAAATTCTTTTTTTTTTTAAATGAAACAGCAATAGAAGGTTTTTTTTCATCGTCTGTTTCCCTGTTTGCTTCATGAGCCCATAGAAATGGGAGCTTGAAGCCTGATAGAGAAGTCTGATCTGCCCTGGGCTTGGCATCCTTTAGACACTAGTTTTCTGTGTAGTCAGTGGTATGATAAGATAAGCACATGTCTATACATCACAGCTGCATCTTTTCCTGGAATAACAACTGCTATTTAATATGCTGTTGTATCAGTTCACCTGATTTTTAGGAACTCACAATCTATACTATTACTGAGGCACCATTATAGGGATTGCATATGTCTCTTTTTATACTTTTGAAACAAAAATACCTTCAAAAATTCAGAAACCAGCTCTTGATCCGTATGAACAGGACCTAAACTCTGGCCCAGTAGTCTGACCTTTGGAAATCAGTTAACATTTCTGGACCTTGCTTTTCTCAACTGCACAATTTAAAATATTGTTTTACGTCCCTTCCAACCTTAACATCCATCATATCTTTGACTGTTTGAAAGGTTAACTTGGAAAATATAATGATGAAAGAAGGTTCAAATTTAGAGATGACCAAAATCAGTAGGATCACTCATAGTCTCCCCAAGAATGTATCTTGCTGGATTAAGGAAATCGACTGCATTTCTTACATTAAGGAAGAAAAGATGGTTTGTGTGTGTGTGTGTATATATATATATATATATATACACACACACACACATATATACACACATACATATATATACACATATACACATATATTCCTATATATACACATATACATATATACACACACACATATATATACACACACATATATATACACATACACATATATATACATATATATACACACACATATATATACACACACACACACACACACACATGTTTGTTTGAACATCATGCTATATACCTTTGCTTGCTTTTCCTTGTTAGCTTAATTTAGGAATAAATACATCTGATTTCCCCTGTGATTTGCACTTGCTTTAATATGTGGATTATTCAGGCTCTGGATGATGGAAAATCATGTTGGCCGCAGTGTTTCTGTTTGGGAGGTCAGTCAGGGTTATTCATAAAAGAGACACAGAAGCTATACTCCAAAGAAAAGTAGGAACTAACTTGACTTCTTGGTAGATAGAAAACTCTACAAAGCAAACAGATGAAAAACAGAAATAACCTTTTCTAATGGTCGTGATTGCTTTCTGTCCATCAATAAGTTTCTGAAATGAACTACCTACATGGCATTCACTCCCACAGGGCATCTGCCACTGCCTGTGAGCTGTGTGCCAGCAAGTGATAGCAGGTGTCCAGGTAAGGATTTAGAGACCAGGTTCCATTCTCATGGCCACATTTACTGGCCGTGTAGCTGTGAGCTGTCACTTCACCTTGGTGAACCTCCATCATCTTACTTGAAAGAGGAGGCAATTGACCTGGTGCAGGGATTTTTAAACACTTATAGAGAAGGACCTCTATATTTGAAAAATAGGGCAAGGTTCAATATGTGAAATGCAGAAAACTGAAGCTCATGATGTTGTGGGTTTGGACTTGTCTCTTGTTTGCGTGTAGCCAGGAGTACCTGGCTCTCCAGAGCAGCACCAGGACACCCCTGTACATCCTCAGGCAGTCCCGTACATTAGCCACAGCCTGCTGAAATGTGTCTCTGGCCAGCTGAAATGTGGTTAGTATGAACTGAAATGGACTATAAGTATAAAATACACTTGGATTTCACTTCATATAAAAGATCCAAATATTTTATATTGATTACATATGATATATCACATAATTTTTTTGGAAACCTTGGGTTAAGTAAAATATATAATTAAAATTTATTCACCTGTTTCCTTTTTTCCATTTTAAATGTGGCATCTAGAAAAATTTAAATTACTTTTGTGGAGTCTGATGTGTCACCATTGGACAGTGCTAGTCTAGATAAACCCTTTCGGTTCCTACCTCCTAAACCTCAGTGCTTGAGGGTTTTTGTGGGGATCCTAATTGCTATTGCTGCTTCCCCAGTTCCCGCGTTCAGGTCACTGCGTTCCCATGAAATGCATTAGGAATTTATCCTGGTAGCTTTACTTACTGCCACATTCTGCTCTAAGAACAGTATTTCATTCAAACTCCCATTAAAAAAAAAAAATTCCCCACTAAAAAACACATTTCTCTTTCCAGTTATTCTTCCCACAGTGTACTTAGTAACTTATTTGTTCCAGGACATGAACACGTTTTCCTGTGGGATGGGGACTGGGAATATAAGATTCAGTGTTTCATGGGTCATTTCTTGTGGCTGGAATTCTTTGGGGGTAATTTCTTTTTGTCCTTTTCAAGTTACACTCCTGTCTTTTGATAAGCATTGTGTAAACATTTCTTCTCCAGTAGTCATGTTTCCAATGGAATCTACTACTGTTTTGTGTGACAGTGTGCAAACTTTACCTTTGTAAACTATTTTCATTTATGACCTTTGCTTTTTCTTTTGGTCATTTTCCTAATGACTCAGATTGTAGAGGTTGAAGGGACCATCTCTGTCATTATGGTAATCCAGTTTTACCTCTGCATTTTATACCTGACATCAGGTTTACTCCTGGTCTTCTTTGACTGCATTGGTCACCAGCAAAAAATATATATATATTAAGAATTGTTTAGACCTACAATGTAGTGATCTGTGCCGAGGAGGGTTCTCTTCTTCTCATTGGCAGGCATGCCACTGAAGCCCTTTGCTTGTTCGAGAGTTGGTCTGGTGACAGCATGTTATGTGGTCCTTGTTTCTTTAGGAAATCATCCTTTTATCTTATTCTCAGAAACACCAACATTTAATTATACACATAACTTCTACTCATCTATAGTTATGTGAACTTTTCTTTGCATGTTACTCTCTTTAAACAGTTGGTTTAAGGGAGCAGGAAGGTCCTTCACTGTTTGCCCAAGGATGCTCGAGTCCACCTTGTATGTACAGAGGGAGGGGGTCATTGAGGCCAGAAGAACATATTGCCTTCTGACACAGATGTGCCTCTGCTTGTCCTTGAGATGGATGACAGACAAAGTCTTCCAATGGAGGAGAATGCTGACTTTTCTTTCTTTATTTCTTCTTAACAACAACAATAGCAAAACAGGATACATATGCAGAATGTGCAGATTTGTTACATAGGTATATGTGTGCCATGGTGGTTTGTTGCACCTATTGACCTGTCTTCTAAGTTCTTTCCCCTTACTCCCCTTCCCCCAACAGGCCCTGGTGTGTGTTGTCCCCCTCTCTGTGTCCATGTGTTCTCAATGTTCAACTCCCACTTAAGAGTGAGAACATGCGGTGTTTGGTTTTCTGTTCCTGTGTTAGCTTGCTGAGGATGATGTCTTCCAGCTTCATCTATGTCCCTGAAAAGGACGTGATCTTATTGCTTTTTATGGCTGCGTAGTATTCCATGGTGTATATGTACCACATTTTCTTTATCCAGTCTATCATTAATGGGCATTTGGGTTGGTTCCATGTCTTTGCTATTATAAATAGTGCTGCAATAAACATATGTGTGCGTGTGGCTTTATAGTAGAATGATTTATTTTCCTTTGAGTATATACCCATTAATGGGATTGCTGGGTCAAATGGTATTTCTGGTTCTAGATCCTTGAAGAATCATCATACTGTCTTCCACAATGGTTGAACTGTTTACATTTTCACCAGCAGTGTAAAAGCATTCCTATTTCTTCACAGCTTCACCAGCATCTGTTGTTTCTGGACTTTTTAATAATCATTCTGACTGGCATGAGATGGTATCTCATTTTGGTTTCGATTTGCACTTCTCTGATGATCAATGATATTGAGCTTTTTTCAGCATTCATTAGAATACTGACTTTCTTTTCATTGCCCTCCAGTTGGCTAAGTTCTATGACTTCTAGAAGAGCGGATAGAAAAAAAGGACAATGCAATCAAAGCACAACTACCTCTTCCCCTGTTTCAGTCTGTATCCTCAGTAATAGCCTTATAATTAATGTTCACTGTGGAGTCCATTGTTATAATCCTTTATTTCATTCATCAACATTGAAGTGAAAAGGCATTTCATGTCTAACCAGTTCATAGAAAATATGTATCAGTTCTGTTCTCTAAAACTCAATATCGTCACCTATAAAGTAGGAATATGTTGCTACATATATCCAACATATCTTCACTAGCTTGCCAAGATGATCAAAGGAGATGTGATGTAATAGGGCTGCCATATATAGCAAATATAAATACAGGCTGCACACTTAAATTTGAATTTCAGATAAATCATGAATAATATTGAATAGTGCATACTAATACTAAAATATTATTCATGTTTATCTGAAATTCAAATTGGCAGCCTGTATTTAATCTGGTAACCCTAGAATATAACATCCCTTCTCTTCTGCTAAGATGAGACAAATATGTAGTGAAGTATAATATTTAATGATGTTTTCATGTAATTACAAGTATTTGTGTCTTTTGAATAATAACCATATCAACACTAATGGATATTTAAAGTCTTGAAGTAGCTCTGTCCCTTTCATGATGAGTATCTATAGTTTTCTATTTGAGAGAGAAACTATAAATAGATGACACTCAGATTTGTGTCCATAGCATAATGAGTAGGGGACATTTTCACAAATGGCAAATACTATGAGAGTTTGCACTGAAGCAGTGTCCATTCTGAGCATCCTCTGGTCAGCACTGATTCTGCAGCTCCACCTCACATTGTCGTCTCTCCTTGGGAAGGGGAACTGAAATGGACAGGAAATGCCTATTTTTTTTTTTTTTTTACTTGTTGATCTCTGAATGTTAAAGAATGATTAAGAAGATTTTACATATTTCTGGCACTTTTTTTCATGCAAATAACTTTGGTTAGAGTATTAAATTTCAGAAGTATAGAAGTTTTGTATGGCTTTATTTCTTGTGGCAAATTTTCGGAGTTAATATTTTCTTGGATGAAACCAATTCTTCATTCATATTTAGTTTATGACATCTTGGGTTGAAATCTTTCCATATTGGTGAAATTCATGTTTGTTGTTTCACCTTCACACTGACTAATATCATAACTCCTGCTAGAGATTATAATGGGAAAAATATTAATCAGCGCTCTTTAGCAAATGTGGGAGTAATAATGACATTCTCATTCCAGGCTGGCTACACTTCTTTCCCTCACTCATTTGTTCAGTCTTTCAGCAGAATATATTCATGAAACATCTAATCTCTACTGGCCCTAATAGCAGCCACTACACATACATCATATGACACAACTGACATAGTTCTTTTCCCTATGGAGCCTAAGATCAAGTGTAAAAACCACAAAACAAGTAAGTTAGTAACTAAAACCATGGTAAATGTTGTAAAGTAAAAACAGCAACCAAATACAAATAGCTTTGCAAGATCCACCAGGGTCCTGCTATTGTCCTCCTATGTCAAATAGAAATCTATGGGGTTTTTCGGGGTGTCTCTTCTATAGGGCCATCTCTGTCTTTCTGCCACTGAAAGAAAATAACATTGTCATTTGTCACCTCAGGCAAAGGAGCTGCATGTCCAGGGTATGCCACAATCACAGGCTCTTGGGCTGCAAGTGCTTCCTGGTGGCCGTTGCCAGAGCACAGAGAGGCACAGGCAAGGATGGAGGCATGAAGGAGCATGGGGCCACCATGTGCATGCCTGGAGCCTGCCTCTAGATGCAGTGAGATGTGGGTGACAGAGGTGTAGAGGAAGCTGCAGGAGTGGCAGGGATGACAGGGGCGGGTGGACGAGAACTAGGTGAGCTGTGGGTGACAGGGAAGGAGAGGTCCCATCATCGGCCCTGGGATTATGGTGCTGCTGTCCCTTAGACAAGGTCACAGGAGGTGGGACATGCTGGTAGGCCACATGGAGAGTCAGGGAGGCCTGTCAAGTTTCTGGTGTCTCCAGTCCCTAACGGTTGAGTTGCAGATACAGAGCCAACATTCAGCTTTGAAGACAGATCCCGGCTTTGAAGACAGACCCTAGGGTAATCATGAGGACAGGGGATGAGAAGGCTGTGACCAAACATGTGAGCATGCAGGAGTTCAGAACAAGGGCAGGGCACAGGCAGGGGAAGGAAGAGCTTCAAGGAGACAGGAAGGGTCTTTGTGTGCTAAACCTGATGCAGAGGGAAGGGGGAACTGTGGAGGGGACTCGTCACATGACTAGACACTCCAGGGAGTGAAGGATGCACGGTCATCCATTGTGGACCAGCATGCAAGCCCACGCTGAGCACTTTGCTCTGAAATGCTAAGCCCTGTAGTTTTGTTAGTTCCCACTAGTTGGAAAATCAGATACAAGGTATGCAGAAATATGCAGTAAAAGTTTATGATCAAAGATGGCTCACTCTTTTAAGTCAAACTATCACAGATCTTTAAAAATTTGATTCTTTCCACAATTACTTAAGAATTTGAAATACATATGAGCATATTGACATTTGGACTGTTGTTAATTTGGGCAGGTTTCTCAGAATCATAATCCTTCAACAAAATAAATAATAAACAGCAATGAGTCTTTGTTAAATTCTCAGATAGGCTATAGTTCTGTAAACTCTGTTTCCCATGCCACTCTAGGCTGGTGAACAACTAGTGTGACGCTGGTCACAGCACAGTGATCCTCCAGCTGGATCCTGACTCTAGGCAGGCCACCCACCCCTGAACTTCTATGAAAGCTCCTGTTTCACCCAGGGGTCTCTCACATAAGTTCTCCCATGAGCCTTGCTTCCCCTGCCTCCCTCCTAACATGTGTCTCAGATGATGTCCTCTTGTGTAATGATGTCGCAAAGGCAGCCACAGGCTCTATGCCCATCACTGCTCCACAGGAAGGCTGACACCTCCCTCTGCTGGTGCCTCATGGGGACCTCCTTGCAGGGCCTGTGGCTGACACATGTGAGCTGATGTCACCTTCCCTGAAGCCCCCATCTTGTCCCTGTTAGTTCCTTGGTGCTGTGTAAGTTTATTGACTCTTCGCTGTACCCCAGGCAGAGAGACCTAAGAATCATTGAGGCTGAATTTTCCAACAAGCTTATGAACTGTGATGTCCAAGTCAAAATTAATTTGAATTATAGAATTAAGACATAAATTTTTTCTTACATGCTTACATCTGTGAACTGTGAATTTGCTAAAATGTCTGCCTCTCTACGCCACAGCTGCCCCTTTCTCTTCCCTCTCTCGTTCTCTCTTTTGTCCTCACCCTTTTACATGAACACAAATACATGCTCTTTCCTCAAGATCATTTTAAAATCTTCCCCGCATATAGCATACTTCAGTGTATGATTGACCTTTTTAAAAAGTAGCATATTTAACCAGTTAGCTTAAAATGAAAGCAAGCAATTGTTTGCCAATACTGTCTACATGATTTTTCAGTCAGTGTATAATCAGAAAATGCTCACTGGAGATGTTTCAGATATGCTTTTTAAAGTAAATTCAGGCTAAAACATGTCTGCTTATGTATTTTTTTAAACACAAATAGCCTCCATCTCTATGGCTTTCATAGAGAGAGAAAAATGTAAAGTATTTTATCCAAGGTCTTTTGCAATGAATTGCTTGATAGGAGGCCTTGAAGTCAAATATTCTTGACTACTTCTGGTTTTAGAATAACTCCTTAAACTCATTTTCTGTGTTTGCAAAATAAGAACCATGATGTTTTGAAACTCGGGATCATGGAAGGTTTTATTCAGTCAGGGCCTTCAGGATGATTCCAGGTACTTGAGTGGATCTCTAAGCGGCTTCCAGAAGGCTGGATTTCATGCCTGGGATTTGCAGGGTGTCAGCAAGGAGTTGCGGGGTGCAGCACAGGGTACCTGGGAGAGCAATGTTCGTTTCAACTGTGTGTCCCCCTAAGCTGGGAAGGCTGCATGGCTCAGGGGCCGCTCACCCTCCAGCAGTGCTAGCAGTCAAGCAGATAAATAAGTGCACAGAAACACCCAGGGAGCAAGAAGCCTGGAGCGGGGAGGGCTTGGATCAGGCCAGAAATTAATACTCAGAAGCACAAGAAAGAAAGTTTGGAGGAGTTGAGCCCAAGAAAATCATCCCAAAGAGCAAGCACTAGGAGGAAAGAAGGAGCTAATGTAGACAGAGGAGAGAGGGAGATGGAGGAGGGTGTACTTCTCGTGGCAGGAAGGAGGAGGGGGCATCACAGTCGTACTGGATATTTGAAGCTGCCAATCACATTGCATTTTCCTTGCCCTGCTGGGCACCAAAATCAGCATCTCTGTCACTAAGAATCCAAGATCGTCCCTTGAGGGTCTTTCTTTCCTGATGTTTTCCATGGGATGGCACAAAGCTTGCTACTTTGAGCTCTCCATCCCGAGACTTGGAACTGGAAGGGTCCAATCGGACATGATTAGTCCTCATCCCTTGCTACATGAGAGCATCATTTTAAAAGATACTGCTGCCTGGGCCCCACATCCAGTGCAGCTGACCTAACTGGTCTGCAGTGGTGTCCAGGTGTACTGTTTTTGAAGGATGCTCAGATGGCTTTCCTGGCTGAAGATCCATGGCTGCATACACAGCACACTCTGTTTAACCAGGGATTGGTTTGTGAGACCCTCTGACCTTGTTTCCTTTTCATCCTGTGACCTTCATAGATTACGGAACCATTAAGAAAGTGCGGGTACCCCTGAATCAGACCTCAAGCAGCTGTTTGCTGGAAGAGATTGAGCTCTTCCCTGAGAGGCGGAGGGAGCCCATCAGGAGCCTGCAGATCCTGCACAGCCAGAGTGTCCTGTTCGTGGGCCTGCGGGAGCACGTGGTCAAGATCCCCCTGAAGAGGTGCCAGTTCTACCGCACACGCAGGTAGGGCATCTCCGGGGTCAGGATGCACTGGTGTGTGTGTGAAGGGCCCACCCAGAGAGAGCCAGGGAGGCTTCAGATGCCCTGAAGTTGAATGGCCTCAGAGCCACCCTTCATGCCTCTGAGAGTCCTGTGCTCTAGGATGCAGAGCTTTCATTAAAATAGATTCACTGTGATGAGAATAACCCACCAGTTCTCCTCAGAGGAGGAGCCACGTTATAATACCTGTAAGAAGTTGTCAGGGTTAAAATAAATTATTCAGTGCCTTAGAACACTCAGTGGTAATACTGATATTTGATGACTGTATTAATATGTTAATCTGGCACAAGCTTATATATATGTATATATATATACACACACACACATACATACATACACACACATACACACACACACATATATATATATATATATATATATATATATATTTTTTTTTTTTTTTTTTGAGACACAGTCTCACTCTGTCACCCAGGCTAGAGTACAATGGTGAGACCTCAGCTCACTGCAACCTCTGGCTGCCAGGTTCAAGTGATTCTCGTGCCTCAGCCTCCCAAGTAGCTGGGAATACAGATGTGTGCCATCATGCCTGGCTAATTTTGGTATTTTTAGTAGAGACAGGGTTTCACCATGTTGGCCAGGCTGGTCTTGAACTCCTGACCTCAAGTGATCTGTCCACCTCTGCCTCCCAAAGTCCTGGGATTACAGGCTTGAGCTACTGCACCTGGCCTCAAGCTTGTATTTTATTTGAATATAGAAATAACAAAAAATATTATAAGGTATACGTCCTTCTCGACCACAGCTCATATGCTGATAACCCCTTGAGAAGAAGGAGTGGTTGATGTTGCTGCAGTGGCACCCACTTTCCGGGACACCCCCCCCTCCCCCGCCACTGTCCTTGGCACCAGCTCCCCTGGAGTGCTGCTTCTCTCCTGAGCCTGCAGAGAGGGTAGGGAGGGAGGTCTCCAGCCACAGGGAAACCCAAGAGTCATTGCATCTTCCTTCACCCTCAGGCCAGTCTTATCTTCCGTGGGACATCCACGATCAACCACAGTTGTGTTTAAAGTTTAATTTGGAAACATGTTGGCCCAGGTACTTAGGAAATGAAAAAGTACTGTATACATCACACACCTGACCAGCACTTTACTCCGGGAGATTGTATATACACTCTGATCCCTGACAAAAGATCGCCCTTGGGGAAATCAGAATCTTAAATGTTCTTAGGCATCTTGTTTAATTCCACTCCTAAAGCAGGGTGTAATTGCAGATTTGGAGTAGAAATAGTCCTTTTTGATATATCACTCACAGACATCTACCCTACACAGGCCACTCTCTCTCTAAACAAGGTGCCAAGTTACACTGGCTTTGGAACTCAGAAGCTAGGGTTCATGGAACAGACCTGTTGTTGCCTTTTTTTTTTTTTTCTGAAATGGAGTCTTGCTCTGTAACCCAGGCTGGAGTGCAGTGGTGTGATCTCGGCTCACTGCAATCTCCACCTCCTGGGTTCAAGCGATTCTCTTTCCTCAGCCTCCTGAGTAGCTGAAATTACATGTGCCAGCATGCCCAGCTAATTTTTGTATTTTTAGTAGAGACAGGGTTTCACCATGTTGGCCAGGCTGGTCCCGAATTCCTGACCTTGAGTGATCCACCTGCCTCTGTCTCCCAAAGTGCTGGGATTACAGGCGTGTGCCACTGCGCCCAGCCCTGTTGTTGCTGTTTCTTGACCCAGGTCGCAAAAGTATTTCAGAATTCACTTTGTCACTCAACACATGTGAATTGCTGTAGACTCAAATAGGATAATATATAGAGTATAAAATTTAAGCACTCTGCAAAGTGAGTATTCTTAGGTGGAAGGAAGGTTTTGATGTGTAATCACAGCAATAAGCCTGTCAAGATGATTCTAGAAAATGAAGTCTTTAATGTCTCCTTTGAAATGAGAGAGAGAGTTGAGGAATAATGCCAGGAACCTCCCAGCTAATCATAATGATATTGTGAACATTAATAACAGCTAGTGGTATTTATTAACTGCCATTCTTATATATGCTTACTTCCTAAATTTAACCACTGGCTGCTTGAAATGTGTTCTGGTTTGTGTTCCCTGCAGAACTAGCCTAGGGAAGGAATTATTCTTCCTCCAGTTGCTGTTGGTTCAGTGGGTAACAGGATTGGGGTCTGGCCAACAGGATGTCATAGCTGGAATATATCTAGAAGGACACCAGTCTTTCAACTCCAGCTCAGTGAAGGATGACCTTTTTGGAGGGTGACACGGGATAACCCACAGGAAGCCGCAGGCCTGTGCTGTCTGCAGGGTGATTCTGGTGCCAGAATGGGAGTGCATGGCTTACAGAGCATGAGGCAATTCATCTTTTACAGGTTGCTCTCCTTCCTTGAGTCTGGGTCATAATCGCTCAGCCTCTTGTACACGCAACTTAGGAACTAAGTTCTGCATCAGATCAGTGATGAGAGGCACAGTGTCCCTGGCATCTCTCATGCACCTGAACTGCCAGCCCACTTGTGGATCCACAGGAGCTGGTGCTCCAGGCACAGAGGCCTGGGGAGGAGTTCACTGTTCCCTCTTTCCTTTCAAGGAGAATGATGACACTGGTGTGTCTTCACTGGGCTCCTGAGAGGGAAGGAGCTTGACATTTATAGCTGGAGCTTAATCATCCTGCTGTTTACTCTGAGAGAAGCAGTAAGAAATCGTAACTTCATTTTCAACTGATAGACTATAGTCTTCTGTGTGCCCTTCCTCAGAGGGGGTTAGTTTTTGCCTGGTCCTTTAGTATTTCATTCGAGAAAAGAAAACTAAAGATTTCAACCCAAGCATTTCTCTGAATATTTCCAATGTGTTTCTCTATTATCCTACTCCTGTAGAAAGATAGGAAACCCTCCCTAGTTAACATTCCATGGAGAAAAGAATCTTTAAAAAAAAATAACTGCACAAACATTTTTTATAAATTATAAGGAAAAATTGTGGGGTTTTTTGACAAAAGCAATTTTAATCTTTCAGAAAGATGCTTAAAGAAGTACACTAAATAGGAATAGGAAAACAATTGGGTAACGATTGGATACTAATTTCTTTGCCAATATACTTTCCATCATAGAATCTCAGTAATGCCATTTATTATTGGAAAACCAGTCTTATAAATGAATCTTGAAGTATTTAAAAAGGGAAACTGCTTATCTAAATTACCCATCTCCTTCTAAATCATGTTTACATGTTTAATTTTCTTGAGTCTTTTTTCCAAAGACAATGCACAATGACATTTATTAAAATGTGTATAAATGATAACTGATACAATTTCACAAATTTCTTTCACATATCTGACAATATGCTAGATTTTGTGAGAATTTGGCGGGATTATTATGTCAATCCTGAAAGTAAAGTAGCATACCATATCCATTGTTCAGATGAGGAAATGGCAGCTCATATTTTTGGTGTCCTGCTCAAAGTCACATAGCTACTGCAACATGAGACCTGGGTCAGAGCCGAGACTGCCCCAGGCCCATGTTGTATTACTGGTTGTTTCTGCTGCCCCGGTACAACGAGGACCACCCATTCAGTGGTCAGATTTCAGCTGAAGGAGCTGCTGGATTGCACTCTTCATGTGTGAAACTGAGAGGCAGAGCTGGTCAGTACCCAGACAGGCAGAAGCCAGGTCTTCTGAGAGAGGCTCAACCCCCTTCCCGTTAGCCTCTTCCTCATTCTGCTTGCCATCAGACTGGATCAAGCAAACATGAAGGAGGTTTTATACTCTGTTTTTCCAAAGCTTTCTAAGCTGAGTCTCCATTCCCTGGTTATTCTTAAGGAGATCCTGGGACCTCAGGCGGCGGGGGTTGGGAGTGGTGAGAGAACACCTGCCTGTACTGACCACACGTGTGTTGTGACTGATCAGAACATAGCACTGTTGCCTTAGAAAGTTATTTTAAAAGATCAATATTTCAAAATTATATTTCCGTCAAGTTTGACCTCAAAGACGAGTAAAAAAATTGTGTTTTGATGTTAGCATTTTTTTTTAGCACAGCCATTTAATAGATAGAGTGAGAAAATCATTCAAAAGACAAAGCTAACTCATTGGAATTGGTGGTGATCTCTGGGGATGTAGAGTACCAGAGAAACTGCACTATTCATGCATATCCTTTTTCATTTTAGGCCTTATTGACCACATCTGTGTATAAGTTGCAAAAGTGAGTTCACATTCACTAATTTCTGAGGAATTTGGGGATCTGGGAAGGCCCAGCTATGAGTACCATGAGTAACAGGGGAAGACAGGAAAGCTGACCTCATCCTGTGGGCCAGGCCATGCACCTGGCTCATGGTCGAGTAGCATCATGTGGTCTTTAAAGTGGGAAAAGGCTGGAAGTGGTGACTCACACCTGTAATCCCTGCACTTCTTGAGGCTGAGGCAGGAGGATTGCTTGAGGCCAGGAATTCAAGACTAGCTTGGGGAACATGATGAGACCTGTCTCTACAATGAATAAATTAATTTAGTGGAAAAAGTCTCCATGAGGAGGCACAGGATGGAGCAGCCAAGAGCAGCCACTCACTGACTTCCTGCCTTGTGTAAACACCAATGCGAAGTCAGAACCTGCTACCCTATGAGCTCTGGCCAAGAACTCATAGGCTTCCCACCTCTGTAATTCAGGAGGAAAAGAGCAGCCACAGGACCTGTGCTCTAATAATCTTGTCTAGAAATCAGGTTGTTATTTTCTCCCACAAGAAAATGTTATAGCCTTCCAAGTAGTGTGACTGATTGTACCTCTTCAAGGCTAAGAAAAGAACAGCTTAGAGGTGTGGTGATGGGAGGGCCGCTGATTTGGACTCTTTTTATTCTGTTTTGTTTTGTTTTTGAGACGAGTCTCACTCTGTTACCCAGGCTAGAGTGCAGTGGTGTGATCTCAGCTCACTGCAACCTCCATCTTCCGAGTTCAAGTTATTCTCCTGCCTCAGCCTCCCAAGTAGCTGGGACTACAGGCATGCGCCACCAGGTCTGGCTAAGTTTTGTATTTTTAGTAGAGACGGGGTTTCACCATGTTGGCCAGGATGGTCTTTAACTCCTGATCTCAGGTGATCCACCCACCTCAGCCTCCCAAATTGCTGAGATTACAGGCATAGGCCACCGCACCTGGCCCTGATGTGGACTTTTAAAGTCATTTTAAGGCCTCTGTGTGGAGTGGATCAGCATGTTGGCAAACTTTCTTTGCAAAGGGCCAGAGAGAAACACTTGTAGGCTGCACAGATGTCCAGTCTCTGTTGAAACTCCTCAGCTCTTCCCTTGCAGTGTGAAAGCAGCCATAGACCATAATGAATGGGTAGATGTGTGGGTCAAGCAAGGCTGATGGATTTGTCTGTTGAAAAAAGTGTGATCCGCTTTTAGATCCAGACAGTTTATTACTTAGCCAAAAAAAGAGCAGAAAATGAGTCTACTCACCACATCCCTTGTCCCACAGGATGACATCAAAACAAAAGGGGCAGCCGGGCATGGTGGCTCACACTTGTAATTGCAGCACTTTGGGAGGCTGAGGAGGGCAGATCACTTGAGGTCAGGAGTTCAAGACCAGCCTGGCCAACATGGCAAAACCCCGTCTCCACTAAAAATACAAAAATTAGCTGGACATGGTAGCGCATGCCTGAAATCACAGCTACTTAGAAGGCTGAGGCAAGAGAATCGCTTGAACCCGGGAGGCAGAGGTTGCAGTGAGCCGAGATCACACCACTGCACTCCAGCCTGGACGACAGAGTGAGACTCTGTCTCAAAACCAAAACAAAACAAAACAAAATGGCCAGGTGACAGTGCAGCAGGAGGACTAAGGCACTGTACTCTCAGGAGCCCGTTCCATGCTGTAGCCTGGCAGTTTTAGAGCCTAAAGCTGTATCCTAGTGCGGGTATATGAAGGGGCAGAAAGCCTTACACCTCATCAGAACCTGGAAAGCAATGAGAAGCTCCTGACAGCCTTCCTGGGACATAGGGATGAGGGAGGAATGGTTTTGCAGCAGTTCCTCATAATCCTCCCGCGTTCCAGGACCAGGGAGGATCCTGGGGCCAAAGCTTAGGTCACTTGTGAGTAAGCCTTGCCCTGTGGCCTCTGTGCACTCATGAACAGTCACCAGAGAGGAACATTCCCCAGTTCTGTGTTTCAGGAAAAGTTTAGGTGGCCGTATGAATTTGGCCACAGGCTGTGTGGTTTGCTGACCCCTAAGTTAGATTATCATCTACCTTTTGAATAAATGAATGTTCCTTAATAACACTAATTTAGAAAATTAGGTATTTCATTTATCAAATGAGTTATTAAATTACATAGGTTAATCTGTACCCTAATATTTTCTGAACACCATGGAATTTTCTACCCTTTGGATACTTACTCATACAATCTTAATTTTTTATTTAACATTCATTGAAAGAGTGTGCACTTAATCTTTTATCATAGAACAGAAAGTAGACTGTAAATTCCTGCATGCCAGCACAGGCTTCATTCAAGCTGTGGGAACATAAGCTCCCAAAGCCTGGGCTTCCTCTGTGCTTCTGAGTTCAATGAAGCCCCCAGCCTGGTATCCAGCTCAAAAAAGGGTCAGTAAATATAATATTTGTTAAATTAGCAAATGGACATTCTGCCTCTCCCTTATCTGCTAATTTACTTCATACCTTGAAAGGAAGCAAAATTCTTGTGACAAAATAAAATTCCTTTGCAGAAAAATGTGGCAATATCATACAGTAGCAAAAGGATTGAAAGCCTTTGGGCCTTAGGTGGGTTTTTTTTTTTTTTTTTTGGTTTGTTTTATTTTTGCTTAATGAACTAATTGGGGGAAAGGAGAGAAAATCTGGGAACTGGAAGTATTATAGCTTACATATAAAAGAGTCACACCTTTTAAATTGTGCCTTATAAGACTAGAGGGAAAGATGGACCATTAAGAAAAAGACATTGGGCAGGACGTGGTGGCTCATTCCTATAATCCCCGCACTTTGGGAGGCTGACCCGGGTGGATCAAGAGGTCAGGAGTTCGAGACTAGCCTGGCCAACGTGGTGAAACCCTGTCTCTACTAAAAATACAAACATTAGCTGGGCTTGGTGGCACAAGCCTGTAAAACCAGCTACTCTGAGGCTGAGGCAGGAGAATCGCTTAAACCCAGGAGGCGGAGGTTGCAGTACACTCCAGCCTGGGTGACAGAGCAAGATTCTGTCTAAGAAAAAAAGAAAAAGAAAAAGAAAAGGAAAAAGACATTGGTTCTATTGAGTGAACTGGTATTTGGGCGTTCTTAATGCAGTTAGCCTTTAATAGTATCATTTAGTTAAAGAAATTAACACCTCATCAAAAAATTAGTATGGAAAATTAGATTACTACAGGATGTTTATTGCTCTAAAGGTCAAAGTTTTAAAAGCCGGAGTTAATAGGTTGACACCTTTCTTAATTAAATATTCCCTAAAGACAGCATCTGCCAATGGAAAAAGCATACAATGTGTACAGAGAAATTGCAGGGTCTCCACGTGGTCTCCCAGCCAGACAACCTTACTCATTTGGTCATTAATCAAATAAACATTCAGGAGGACATTTTGACATGTACCCATTTTACAAAGTAAATATTATCCCCTCAGAATGAATTTAATATTTGCCAAATCTCAAAGTCTTGAGTTTTTGTTTGTGCTGGCTTTGGTTTAACCTCTAGAGAATGTGGATTTTTTGTAATTAATTCCTTTATATTATATTTATTGAACTCAATACATGCCAAACACCAAGTGGGGCCCTGCATAGAGGATGATGAATGAGGCATCCCTGACCCTGCCTTCAGAGGACTCAGAGTGTAATAAGAAATTCTGGTGTAAGTAAAATCACCTGCTGTCATGGAACTGAACCGAAGGACCTTGGAGTTGCCTTAGAATTTATTCCAAAATCGATTTATCTTTAAAGTCTGATCCCGGAATACACTAGGACCTAATCTCCTCACCTAATGTTCCTCTCCAATTATTTTTTAAAGCTATATCTGTATCATAACCAGTGTTCTAATTTTCAATTTCCAGTAGTAAGGGAATTAATCACCACTTATGATACATCCTTTCAACGATTGTTCTCTGATTGAGTTATTCTGAAGCCATTAAGCGACACCTATGAAGACATCTGTATGACACAACAAAAATGTAATAAAGCACAGCAACATTATATGGATGCCACCATTAAATCTGTTTTTAAAAATAGAGAAATGGCAGAAAGTAAATGCACCGAGTTTTTGTTGGTGCTGGCACTAACAAAAGTGGTAAGTGCTAATTAGGACAGTGAGGAAGACATGATAAGAGGGGTTCCAAGGTAGGCTTGGGCTGGAGCACAGTGTATTCCAGTGTTGTCGTAAGGTAACACCCCCAGACCCTGGGCAGGGTGGGTAAGAACCCATCAACACGTGAAACTGCTTTACAAAGAGAATGTGTCCTTGGTCTCTAAATGGCAATGTGTGTTTTCAACAGTCAGCTGGGTAAAGTTTGAAAATCTATTACCAACTGTTTGTACTTCAGTTGAGAAACACAACTAAAGGATATCAGAAAGAAAAAGTTTCCTTCTTGGCCAGGTGCAGTGGCTCACACCTGTAATCCCAGCACTTTGGGAGGCCAAGGAGGGTGGATTGCTTGAGGTCAAGAGTTCAAGACTAGTCTGGTCAACATGATGAAACCCCATCTCTGCTAAAAATACAAAAAAAAAAAAAAGCTGGATGTGGTGGCAGGCGCCTGTAATCTCAGCTACTCGGGAGGCTGAGGCAGGGGAATTGCTTGAACCAGGGAGGTGGAGTTTGCAGTGAGCCAAGACTGCACCACTACACTCCAGTCTGGGTGACAGAGACTCCATCTAAAAAAAAAAAAAAAAAAAAGTTTTCTTCTTTAATATCTACTCCACAGGCCTCCTGCTTTTGAGCTCTCAAATTTAAAGTTATGTAAGAATTCCATAGGAAAGCTTGAGCTGCCACCACTTCTTGGCTCCAGACCCCTGCACCTGAGTTATTCTAAATACGAGCACCTGGACTTCTCCTAAGATTTTTATTTGCTGCATAGTCCAGTGAATTCTTAAGGAGATAACTGTTCTCATATGTTTGCAAAACAGCTTGCCTATGGAAAGAGCATGAGCTTTGCATTCAGATGGTTCTGGATGGGGCTTTTGTGTGTGTGACCATAAGCCAGTTACTCAAAGTCTTTGTATCTTATTTCTCAACCCTGTTTCCATAGGAGTGTGTTATTGGAGATAAAGAGAGAGAGGCTATGTTAGGGGGCTGGTACTTAATAAGAATTTGACACAAGATAGTTCCTTTCCTGTTTTAATACTATACTCAGTTCATGCAGGTCCTTCTGAGCTGGCATTGCCTGTGAGTGGTCTTTTACACTTTCTGCACACTATGTTGAAGGCTGGGATTCAAAGTCTCCCTCTGTCCTAGATGTAAGTCAAAATAAAAAGTGAATGAACAAACAAGAAAGAGAAGGAAAAAAAAAAAGTAAAAATGACAGACTGCTCTTTTATGTGTGGTTTGCCTTCTTTGCCCACATATACTTCTCATGGTCTCCGGACTAAACTGAAGGTAAACTGACCAGCCAATCATTTGCTGCTCTGCCTTCAAACAACTTCATGTTGTCTGAGAGGAGGATTCTTCTCCTTTCATTCAATTGTTACCTGACTCTGCCGGGGCAAATCAACAGTTCATGAGACTCTAGCATGACCACATGATGTGCTTGGGTGAGTGATGTCAGCATGGCCTCATCCAAGCAGCGGGAGCATCTGTCCATGGATTTGCAATAATTCCCTGTCTCAAGTGAACATGTCTCTATCCACACAAGAGCAACTGGGATTCAGGCACTGATGAAGGCTACACAAGGCCAAGTGTGAAGAGAGCCAGGTGCTTGCCTTCACCACTGTCACCGGCTGCCCAGCAGTCATGAGGGCACCAGAGAATCCACATTCAAGGCAGACCTCACACTTGCTGTAACTACCCGCTGAGAGGGACAAATGTTCTTTCTGAGGGGTGGGCTGTACTACACAGAAGGGTTCCTTGGCATTGAACCTCTTCCACTCAATTGCAGTCAAACTGTTAAGTTAGGTGAATTATAAGAAAACAGAATAATACATATTTTCCCCTCTGGACTTATGCCCTTTTAAGGTTTTGAGTAAAAATTAAAATGTATTACTTGACACCTTCTGCATTCTTCAGGCATAATTGTTGACCCTTAAACCCTATTTCACAGAAGTGTTTCTCTTGAAAAAGAAAAACATGTTATATAGCAAATAAGTAATTGTGTCTTCATTTTAAATCTTAATTAGCCAAGAGGAGAGGACACTGGGGGAGGGTGAACTTTGGAGGTACCTATAATTATGCCTACTTATGGAATAGAGAATGTGGAATACCAATGGTGTGGGTTTCTCCCTGAATGAAGTGACCAGTAATTATTTTCTTTTCTTCCTGAGCACATAGACACAGCTGTTTCTGGTTGCCATTCCTGGTGAGTTACTTCCACATCGTGGAACCATGGAAGGTTTATGTTGGGCCATTGAAACACCCTGTGCCTCCTTTGTCCTGGTTTTGGTCCCCTGGTACAATCCTAGCCATGGAAGAGGCTGCCTTTCTTGGCTTTGTCCTGGAGGCAGTCTTGGCCTTTCTAGAAAGACTTTATATTTGTTCTAGAGAAAATTTACAATGATTGAAGCCCACAAGGAGGTCAAGATAAACAGCTCAGGATTCAGTGCTTAAAGAGGGAGTGGAACGGGGTCTCTGCATCAGGTCAGAAACCAAAGCTGGCAAACCAAGTTAATCACAAGTCCTAGATCCAGGAAGAACTTTTGACTTGCTTATTTCACATGTGCTCTATCTAATCCCATCACTGTTTTTTAAATTATCAATTTTCCTGAAATGCTTTACTGTAAAATGTGTATCAATCTTGTTCAATTTTAAAACAGATTTTTCAGGAAAATTGAAATGTTATATTTGCCTATGGGTTTTAACTAAAAGAACATATGCTTAGTATGCTTAATATTAGTGCCAGTATAAGTCAATTATTTAAATTTAATATTAAGTGCAAAATGAAATGTAAAAAACAGCCATTGTATTTGATCAGTGTTATTTAATGTTAAGCCGAGTAGTTTTAATACATGAAAAGTATTAAAAGTTAATCACTAATTGAAATCAAGTACATTAATTTCACCTACAAATCATAGCATGTAATGTGAATTATTGCTGGACTTAGTATTTTCAATATAGAATGTTTTCAACTACCTCAGAAATCCATAGTGTATAATAACTTGAAATTGTGCTTAGGGACTAATTATAACAACTGTATGCATCTCCATCTCAAAAAAACCTTTTTTATATACTGTCTAGCACGATATAACTCTCCAAACAGCCCTGTGAATAGGTATTTTTGTTCTAGTTTTGCAGAAGAGGAAAACAATGAAAATGTATGTTCTAGTTGGATTTACCAATTGAAGGATCTGTGGATGTCTCAGGAAGGCTATTGTCTACTTGGAATTTTCTTCAGTCTTATTTTTTGTAAGATAATTTGTTTGTTTGTTTGTTTGTCTGAGATGGATTCTCACTCTGTCACCCAGGCTGGAGTGCAATGGCACGATCTCAGCTCACTGCAGCCTCTGCCTCTGAGGTTCAAGTGATTCTCCTGCCTCGGCCTCCCAACATGGCATGTGCCATCATGCCCGGTTAATTTTTCTATTTTTGAACATGGTTCAAGACTATGTTGACCAAGCTGGTCTTGAACTCCTGACCTCAAATGATCTAGCCACCTTTAGCTCCCAAAGTGTTGGGATTACAGGCATGAGCCACCGTGCCTGGCCAGATAATGTTTTTAATTGCAGCTCTTAAAGTACAAGAATAGCTTATGAAGTATATGGTAACATGGTACTTAGGAATGGGACAGATTTTCATAGGAATTAGGGAAGGGATAATTCATAGGCAGTTTGATCACTACCACAATCATTGTAATGATAATAGAAGTTAATATTGATGTTTGAAGTGTGGCTCTTGCACAGTATTTGGGAAGCACTTTAAAGTATGCAACACTTGCAAGGAAACCCTCAATCTTTAGTGGAGCCCAAGGACTCTGCCCATTTCTCTCCTCAAGCTTCAGCCCAAGTCCAGCCTCCATTTTACCAGTTCTTCAAACTCTCCAAGTTCTCTCCCCACTGAGTGCTTTTCCCAAGCTGATCTCTCTGCAAAAAGGTTCTGTTCTTGCTGGCGCCTATCAAATGGGTCACTTCTGTTCATCCCATTTGTTCCAGTCCCTACATATCCTCTCATCCAAGGCTCACCCACCCATCGAAGTGGGGATTCACCAGACTCTTATGGCCCTTTGAATTCTTCCTTTGCAACTGGTTGTTGATATTTATCATGTAACTATTTAATATTTACTTTCTTAACCAAATGGGAAGTTCTTGGAGCTCAGTGACAGTGTCTGTTTGCCATGGTACACCCAGCACTTTCAAAGTTGACTTCATAGCAAGTGCTCGTAAGTATGTGCTGAATTGATACATGATTGAAACACTTTTAAAATCCCATGTGTAAGAATACATTTTATATTAACAAAATGGCAAAAATTCTTAATATCAAAAATAAACTGACCTAATGATAATTAGTGTGACAGTGACAAGCCAGATAAAGTCATCACTGATACTTAGATAATCTAATAGGCACGAGGAATTGTACTTATTAATAAATCTCAACTTTTCAGAAATACAGTGAAAATATTTTAATGAATAAACTTATTTTTCTGTTACTCCAACTAACAAAAAACGTAATTGCAAATTTTTAAAATGTAAAGAAATACTTTAGATATATGTTGATGTTATTGTCATGTGGAAAGGAAAGTAGACATTTATCCTGCTTTTTAGAATTAAGGCCTGTCTCCAAATATATGTTTAGCTCTAAAAAATACCCTCAATAAGTGTGTTTTTGAAAAAAATTAAACCTTCGGATTCTGACTAACATTTTTATCTAAATTCAGATACTTTCAAATACCAGGGTAATATGTAAAATGAGAATAGTGTAAGGTCATTAACACATTATGGAAATTTTAAAATTGAATGTTGATAATTATATTTGAACAGAATATATTTATGGGGTACAAAATGATGCTATGACATATGTTTACAATTTAGAATAATTAAATCAAGCTAAAACTTTTATTAAAAATATTTACCACACAAGGAAAAACATTTTCAAAGTGGAATACAGAAAAGCCACTTTCACAATGGCTGCATTAATTGGAAACCCATGATTTTCCACAGTTTCTTAAAGAGATCCAGCTTCCAAAAATAAAATTGTGTAATAGATTTTCTTAAGACATAATTTAGAATAAAGGTAGATCTCATCAGAATTTTGCCCATGGTGTAAAATATTTTGCATGAGGAAATTATATTTAAATATACATGATATTTTATTGAATGGGCATTTGTGTTTGTAAAGACATTTTAACATTTTAAAGGATAAGTGTAATGTTAAGAACGTGCAGAACCATTGGAATCATCAGAAGAAAGAGATGTTATTACATGCAGCTTTCCACTTAAAACAGCTTGAAATACTTCCCTCTAACACTGTGGCATTGTTTTAAGTCTCCAAGCAGCTTTGCATGGGAAGTCTGGGGTAAACGTGAGGAGCCCGTGGAATTTTTCCCTTTTTGGAGGTTTAATTTTAACTACTGGTCATGTTGCTTTAATAAGAAACACGAAAAGGAATGCAGGCCTTTTGAATGATCTCTAAGTGTAGCCTCGCTATGCTTTTGCTCTGTGTAAAGAATCATACACAGAGAATTCCCATATGTGATATACACTATGTTATTTTGTCAATAAAAGAATTACTCTCAGGTTTGCCATAGGAGCCGCAAATATAAATATGTCACTTTTGGCTAGTTTAGTAAGATGAAGACACTCTCAGATTCGATCTCATTGGCACAGCCAGGTGGAGTCACAGCAGGGAGCAGAAGGACTCTTAGCGCTCACCCCACCCGGGTCTGTCTCATGAGTTGCACTTGAAGGGTCTCCAGATTTCCAGCAACTTCCTCTGGGCATTTTTCTACAGAACAACACTGCACATGCAAAGTTACTCAGGAAGAAATTGCTGACACCTGGATAATAAATGCACACTTTTCATGGTCTTAGTCATTGGTTGTGATAGTTTATTCTCATCTTCTCTATTCCCTGCACAAAAAAGTGTTATTAAATCAATTGCGTGTCTTGAGAATTGAGAAAATTTTTATGTGTTTTCTACAATAAAAATACAGGTTCAAGTTTTATTCAATGAGACTGATCATTGGAATAATTTTTTATTTAAAATAGTACATTATTGGGAATCATATTCCCAAAGCTAGAGATTTTAAAATGCTTATGCTCACACTCTCTGTTATAAACTTGTAGTAATTGAAAAGGATGTCATTTGAATAACGGGAAAAGAAACCATACTCACATCTATTACTCTTCCTCTAACACCTGAATTTGTTTGTTTTGTGTGGGGTTTGAGATGTTTAGATTTTTTAATATGTATTTGTGATTTTTGATTTGTTTGTTTGTTTATGAGGAGGAGAAAAATACATTTCAAGTGGATAAAGGATAGGGAGCCAAAAAATGATACCTTAGAAGAATCAGAAGGAATCGGGGGAGTGATGTTTCTATAATCTTTAATCTTTCTATAATGTTTGATGCTTAATCTTTAAGTTGGGAAGATTTAAGTGAGAAAGATCTTAACATGGAACACACATTAGATGCTATAAAGAAAAGTGTTCATAAGTTTTACTGCATAAAATCTTATAACATGTATATCTCAAGAAAAAAATGTCAAACAGGGAAAATATTACTCAGAGAGGGCTGCATTTTAATGCAAAAATCACCCCTTCCAGTGACCATGTAATAAAATGAATGACTCATGAAAGAGATCAAATCAGGAATTGGATATGGATAGGAAGTTTACACATGGAAAATGCAAATGTTTAAAAAGTATATTCATCTATGCTAAGCCTTAACCTAAGACACAACTGAAAGAAATGAAAACAGACAATTGGGAAATTCTATTTTTTTCATATACCAGCTTTCTGAAAGACTCACCCTTTGGGTGAGTTAAAAAATATGGTAACATCCAGTGTGTAACAGGGTGAGGCAGCAGAGGCACTCCCATATTGTTGGTTGGTCCAAATTTAATAATGCCTATAACTACATGAATAAAATTTTATCATATAGAAAACCCATACAAAAATGAGCACTGCAGCCTTGCTTTTAAAGGGTAAAGTTAATAATTTTAAAGGGGAAATTTACACTGCTGGTGGGAATGTAAACTAGTACAATTACTATGGAAAACAGTGTGGCGATTCCTTAAAGAACTAAAAGTAGAACCACCATTTGATCCAGCAATCCCACTACTGGGTATCTATCTGGTGGAGAAGAAGTCATTATATGAAAAAAGGCACTTGCACATGCATGTTTATAGCAGCACAATTCACAATTACAAAAATGTGGGACCAACCCAAATGCCCATCCATCAAGGAGAGGTTGAAGAAACTGTGATACATATATATGGTGGAATACTACTCAGCCATAAAAAGGAATAAATTAACAGTAACCTGGATGAGATTGGAGACTATTATTCTAAGTGAAGTAACTCAGGAATAGAAAAGCAAACGTCGCATGTTCTCACTCATAAGTGGGAGCTAAGCTATGAGGATGCAAAGGCATAAGAATGACACAATGGACTTTGGGGACTCAGGGGCAAAGTGTAGGAAGGGGGTGAGGGATAAAATACCACAAATTGGATGCAGTGGATATTGTATACTGCTTGGGTGATGGGTGCACCAAAATCTCATAAATCACCACAAAAGTACTCATGTAACCAAACACCACCTGTTCCCCAATAACCTATGGAAATAAAAAATTGAAAATAAATAAAATAAAATGAAAGGGAAATTTAAATAAATGTTGGTTCATCAAAGAAATGGAGCACTATACAGCTGTTAAAGGGAGTAAGGTAGAGCTATATTTATTGACAAGAATAGTGCAATAATAGATTATTGGTTGTAGAAAGCAAAATGCGAAACCGCGTGCACAATCACATTTGTGTGTATTGCATATCATTATTATATAAAACATATATTTGCCTATAAACAATAACAAAATATATATATGTATATATAGATATGTGTACACAAGCATGCTTATATGTATGGATAAAATATCTGCAGAATATGTGAGTTAGTATAAACAGTATAAACTACTACTAGGGAAATAGGCTTTCCCCTTGTCCTTTATAACTGCCTTGTTTGTATTTTTGAATGGAAGTCATGTCTGCATATGGTCGCATATCAAGGAGTTTTAATGAGGTTATAGGAACAGGTAGTTGTTTCATACATTTTTGTACCCCAACCTAGCCCTACTTCTGAGAAACAGCTTTTTAAATCATTTGCACTTCTTTAGGTAATTAATAAATGACAATTGTATAATAACTTACTACCTATCAGTAGATTTATCAACTGTAAACATATCTTCCCTAGCTGTACAGCCTTCAAATCGATCTTTCCCTCCTTCAGTTTTTTCATTTCAAAGCGACAGTCAATGTAGTGCCTAATTGAGGTACTGTATTAATAAGGTTGTCATGGGGTTTAAATGACCAAATATAAGTCACATTCTTAGAAAACTGCTTTATATATGATTAATACATTTGGTGTTTTAACAATGATTATTTTGTATTATAAATATGAACAACTCATCATTACTTACTTACGCTACCTCCCTGCTGACAGGGTTGATGGTTAAGCCATGACTTCTGGTCCTACCAGATTTCTAGTCCTTGACTAGTTTGTAACAGGACCTCCCTCACTGTAAGTACTATCCTGCCTCTAAGAGGGGTCATTGGCACCTCCATGCTGGCATTGTCTCTCTTTCCTCACATCTGCTTCCTGCCCCTCCAACTTCTTGGTGCATTCACAGAATTCCCAGGTTCAATGTCCTGCGTGCCCATGACATTATCTTCTGTATATTTCTGGCTCCATCGCTATCATCTCCGTCTTCTTCCTCCCTCATTTACCTTTGCTTGTCTTTATAATGTAAAGGCCACAGCCCTCATCTAATAATGCCCATGTAGTGTATGAACTCTTTCATTTAGACAAAGTTAAAAAGAAAATATCCGCCATCTAAAATACTTCTGATATCATATGTAGGATATTATAGACACAACTATATGAAATTACTATTAAATTGAAAATTTTAATACGTTTAAGCTACAGTAAACAAATGAAAGATGCTCCTATTTTTTGAGTTTGAACTATTCATGTTGAAGAGTTTTGGATGTATCTGCATGTTGTTGGGCTAATTTCTCAGATTTTCTGTGCCTCAGTTTTCTCATCAATAAAGTGGTGGTAATAACGATGATGATTATGGTGATGGTAACAGTAAATAAAACCTGCCTATCAAATCGTTTAAGCGTCTGCATGCTATGATAGTTTGTATTATAGTTAATATGATAGTAGGTGTTAAACAAATAATACATGTTGTAAAGAGGAGGCGGATGATCATGGTGACGGTAGTGGTGAGCACAGCTATATTGTTTTTGAACATTGTAGAATCTTGATTTTAGCACTATTTATGACAGCAAAATGCTCGTGTTGGCTCATCTTTAGTCATCTGTCATGTATGTTAGATTAAAACATAGATTTTTCAAAATGTCTGTGTAAATGATTTAATATTAGGTACTTACTGGAGTGTGCAGATAGCTGTGCTCTCCAGTGTGCAGCCTAAATACCCATTGGGCTTCATATGTAAGAAATCCCATACCTCTCTGCCAAGGGACAGGTTCGCCTTGTCTTGTGTATCTTATCATGGGTAAAGCGACCTTTCTGTTGACCATTTGGTGTGTGTTTCCAGCACCTGCATTGGGGCCCAGGACCCTTACTGTGGCTGGGATGTGGTAATGAAGAAATGCACAAGCCTGGAGGAGAGCCTGAGCATGACGCAGTGGGAACAGAGCATCTCTGCGTGTCCGGTGAGTGCCCACCTTCTCCATCCTCTGAAAATGCTGCCCATGGGAGCCATGCTCCCCTGGCGATCCTCAGTCACACTGTCACGCTGTCTGCACCTTTTCATATGAGAACCATTTTTGCAAACCCAGTCTGTGCTCTCTCAGATCACTCAGCTCTTGGCTTGCACAGGGCCACGTGGAATGCTGTTATAGGTTTTTTTGTCTGTTTGAAGAGAAATGTCTTCACAGAAAACTGTGTTGATTTGATAATGGAGTTTATGGTTTGTTTTATTCTTGGATTTTTTTTTCCCCCTCCAGAGTTTGGTGTGGACTATTTTGCCCCTTACAGCGCTAATAAAAGAGAAACTTCCACACCCACAAATTTCTTTTGGGAGATATAATTCCAGAGGCTGACATAAGGAAAGATGAGAAAAGAATAAACTAAAGGATATTACTTTCACCTTCATGTGGGGCCAACCCGTAGATCCTGTTCAAGGTCACAGGAAGGTCTGGAAGAGACCGCCTAGTGTGCGTTCCCATAGAGGACTCTATGGAATGAGGAGAAACTCACCTGTATTGAGAGCCAGACTGAATCCAAGAAAAGCACATTTCATGGTTTCCTTTGCTGATATATGTGTTTGGGTCCACATTTATAGGAACCAGTACTTAGAATATTTTTTGCTTTTTTTTTGTTTGTTTGTTTTTGGAGGGTTTTTGGCCTTTAGAACATTTCATTGAATCATCTTAAATTCTCTTATGTGTTCTCATAGAATATGAACAACAGTTATTAACTTCCATATAATGGAAAAGTCATAAGTCATGTTGCCTTTACAAAACTGCTGATCTCTGCCCATCAGTTCTGCTGTATCTCTGCAAGACAGAGGTGTGGCACATTCAGTGTGTGAACTCCTTGCTGTTTCTTCCATGCTTTAGAACTGCGAAGGCGTTGCAACAGTCAGCCTGTTTCCCACCAAAGAACTTACCCTTTCTGTTATCTCAACCACATATTCATAAAGCCTGTCCTTCAGCTTGAAAGTCGGAAAACCAGGCCGGGCACGGTGGCTCATGCCTGTAATCCCAGCACTTTGGGAGGCCGAGGCAGGTGGATCACAAGGTCAGGAGATCGAGACCATCCTGGCTAACACAGTGAAACCCCATCTCTGCTAAAAAATACAAAAAATTAGCCAGGCGTGGTGGCGGGCGCCTGTAGTCCCAGCTACTTGGGAGGCTGAGGCAGGAGAATGGCGTGAACTCGGGAGGCAGAGCTTGCAGTGAGCCGAGATCGTGCCACTGCACTCCAGCCTGGGCGACAGAGCGAAACTCCATCTCAAAAAAAAAAAAAAAAAAAGAAAGTCGGAAAACCAGAAACCAGACAGGATGAAGCAAGGAAGTCTGGGGCTATTCAAACCAGTGTCATTTCCCAAATGTTGGCACCGAATCAAGGGGCCTTCACTGTAACAGTGTGTGCATCACCACATCTAGGCTCTGGACAGCTTCCTAGTAGGATTAGCTGTGGGTCCTCATGATTATTTAACTTCAGATCTATTATTTTAGTAGCCAATTTTTCTGCAAAATCCCTTTAAAATGGTTAGAAAAATGTCATTGTTTGTTCTAAGGCCCTTCCTATTTCTGAAAAATACTAAGAACACAAGGGTGCTCACCTTTCATTCTTTGCAGCTTGATAAAACATAATGTTTAATACCTGAAATGTGGTTCCAAAGTACAGACATACACTTTGGAAGAATCAGCAAATCTTCTTGCAGATCTTTGATCTTGCATTTTTAATCATAAAAAAGGCACAAGATAATAGCTGTGTTTCTTAAGTAATAAGGCCATTGTCTAGGACCCAGAGTTGTTTTAGTATATATCTGAGAGATACTAATTATGTAATTATTACTATCTGTAATGGGAGCTTCCCAGCAGGCAGCTTGTCCCCGTGGGACCCTCAACCTAGAAGGGCTTTCCCTCTGTGCTCTAGTGTTTGTGGGCTGGAGTTCATGGGCCAGAAATACACACCCACGCACTTGGTTTATAATGAATGTATGTATTGTATATGTCTTTAGTCATTAAATGGAGAGTTGGCTGGGCACAGTGGCTCATGCCTGTAAACCCAGCACTTTAGGAGGCTGAGACAGGAGGATTGCTTGAGGCCAAGAGTTTGAGACCAGCCTGGGCAACATAGCAAGGCCCTGACTCTACAGAAAAGTAAAATAATTTAATTAGGCATGATGGTGCATACGTGTAGTTCCAGCTACTCTGGTGGCTGATGTGGGAGGATTGCTTGAGCCTAAGAGTTTGAGGCTGTGGTGAACCGAGATCATGCCACTTGTATTAGTCTGCTTTCACACTGCTATGAAGAAATACCTAGACCGGTCATTTATAAGGTATAGAGATTTAATTGACTTACAGTTCTGCATGGCTGAAGAGGCCTCAGAAAACTTACAATCATGGCAGAAAGTGAAGAAGAAGCAAGCATGCACCTTCTTCACAAGTCAGCAGGAGAGAGAGTTCAGGAGAAACTCACTTTTAAACCATCAGATCTTGTGAGAACTCCCTCACTATCAGGAAAACAGAATGGGAGAAACCACCCCCATGATTCAATTACCTCCCACTAGGTTCCTCCCTTGACATGTGGGGGTTACAGTTTGAGATGAGATTTAGGTGGGGACACAGAGCCAAAGCATATCACTACTGCACTCCAGCCTGGGCAACAGAACAAGACCTGTCTCAAAAAAAAAAAAAAGAAAGAAAGAAAAGGAAAGATTTAATATTTCAGAAGTGAAGAGAGGATGGTCACTAAAGTTGTTTCCTACTACTGAGAGGACCTGAGGTCCTTGTTGCCTTCTGACCTTACTTGAGTTTTTAACAAGTAAGATCAGAAGGTAACAAGGATCTGCCATGGTGTCAAGGCTGCCTCCTCTACCATCTCTGCTTTCAAAAATAAAGCTGAGATGTGATATCTGGCTCTCAGTCAGCAAAACACTCATTACAAGGTCTGCTTCTTCTGATGACAGGGTATTTCATTACACAAAACTATGTCTGTCATCCCACCCAATGTATTTTATCACATATCAAGATACACTTTAGATAAGTTAAGCATATACAAAGAAGGCAACAAAAGACAATAAATTATGTCATTTTGCACAAAACACAGGAAAGGAAACCATATATATTTCTGGGTTATATAGGCTACCATTTTGAAAATGAGAAATTCATATTATCTAACTATACATCTCTTTCTAAAAATCTGTCTCTTAGAAGGAGATGACCTAGATGTAAATGATTTGCATTAATATACATCAGTATTAACTTAGGTATTTAAAAAAACTATTGAAATGTAATTTTCTTCCGTGTTATTTTTTAACTGAAATGGAACAAGGGCTTAATTTTATTGGGCAAATCTATCATATATAATCATTTCTGATATGCCACTGGTTGTGATGTGTACCACTGCTTTATATGTTGCTAAGAAACAACAACAACAAAAAACACTCTCATGGATTGCAAGATGCCAGTTTATTTTAGAGATGGTAAAATACAAAAAAAAGCAGAGGGAAGTTTGCAATCAGTAAACACTGTTACCTACTTCTACGTATATAGATCATAGAGGTATGTATCTCTTTCCAAAGGAAATTAAGCTTTATAAGCTGAGGGATTTTTGAATGAGACCAAATATTTTATACCTCATGTAAAAGTGCAAGCTGCATAATGAAAGACAGGAGATCCTGTTACATTGAGTGCAATAAGAGTTACAGGAATATTGATGATGGTGAGTCAACCTCAGACCCTCTTGTGTGTGACCCTCCCAAGTAAACTTTCACAAACCTTGGATCAATGACATAGCACAACTGAGTTTCCCAAAGTTAGTGTTCTAGTCAAACTTCATGCAGTGGCTGTGACTTATGGCTGTCTTAGACCATTTATGTTGCTACAACAGAATACATAAGGCTGAGTGATTTAAATTGGACAGAAATTTATTTCACATCGTCTTGAAGGCTGGTAAGTCTAAGATCAAGGTACCACTACTTAGTCTGGTGAGGGGCTTCTTGCTGTGTCCCGCCTAGAAGAAGTTGGGAGGGCAAGAGACAGCCAACTTTCTTTGTCACAACTCTTTATAAGGGTACCAAATCCATTCCTGAGGTAGGAGCCCTCCTGACCTAATCACCTCTTCAGGATTCCACTTCTTAATAGTATCACACTGGAAACACCTGAATTTGGAAGGAGCACATTCAGGCCATGGCAGTGGCTTAAATCCTCTGCTATCCAGAGAGTTTGAATTGGATAAGGGACCCCCAATAAATATTTCTAGGGAATTAGGGACTTAAAGAAGACTTATTTTCTACAGAGGGATCCCTATTTAAAAATGTTTATGGGTTTCTATAGTACAGATGACAGGGCAATAGTTTACTCACATATTGATTAATGTTCTGTTTGCTTATAAAATTGTAATTGAAAACATTACTCTCAGTTTAAGAGATTTGAAGTGCATCAGTAAAATCTAAATTGGCATATCTAGACTGATTAGAATAATATATATGTCCTGCATAAATCATAATGTTGTTTAACAAGGGTAGCATAGTCTTAGGAATCTACTTGAGTTTTATTTATGCATGAATACCATCCACACCCTTTGTGGATACATGATGACCAGGGTACCATATGATGTAATGAGTCCCTATTCCAAAATGCATCATGTATTATAGTCTGCATGTTCACTCCCCACAAATATGATGTTGAAATGTGATCCCCAGTGTTGGAGTTGGGACCTGGTGGGAGGTGTTTAGGTCATGGGGGCGAATCTCTCATGAATGGCTGGATTCCCTCTCTTCAGTAATGACTGCATTCTTGCTCTATTGCTCACATGACAGGTTTTTTTTTTTTTTTTTTTTTTTTTTTTTTTTTTTTTTTTTTTTTTTTTTTGAGATGGAGTCTCGCTCTGTCGCCCAGGCTGGAGTGCAGTTGCGAGATCTCAGCTCATTGCAGCTTCCACCTCCTGGGTTCATGCCATTCTCCTGCCTCAGCCTCCTGAGTATCTGGGACTACAGGTGCCCACCACCACACCCGGGTAATTTTTTGTGTTTTTAGTAGAGACGGGGTTTCACCGTGTTAGCCTGGATGGTCTCGATCTCCTGACCTTTTGATCCACCCGCCTCGGCCTCCCAAAGTGCTGGGATTACAGGCGTGAGCCACTGCGCCCAGCTGAGAGTTGGTTGTTTTAAAGACCCTAGCATCTCTCACTCTCTCTCTCACCATGTGACACATCTGCTCCCCTTTCACCTTCTGCCATAATTGTAAGCTTTGTAGGACCAGAGGCAGATGCCAGCACTATGCTTCTTGGCCAGTCTGCAAAACTGTGACCAAAATAAACCTCTTTTCTTGGTAAATTACCCAGCCTCAGGTATTCCTTTACAGAAATGCAAAATGAGCTATACATCATGTAATAAGTAACAAAATACAAGGAGCAAATAAACACCTAGGGGGTCTCCTAATAACAGGATTCTCCTCAATGCCATTATGTAGTTAGGGTCTTTAGAATAAAAGGGGACTTTAGCAGTGATCAAGCCCAGAGCCCTCTTTTAGATGGCAGTACCATAGACTATAGTCTAAGGGGTTTATCAAATGTTCCAAAACTGCACTGGGAAAGAAACCAGGATTTAAATTCAACATTTTTGACATTATACCTAATCTTCAGGATAATGCCCTTCTAAGCTCTCAACGTCTTTCCAAAGCAGGGGTGACACGGTCATCACCAACAGATGATGCTTAGAGAGTAGGTGAGAGATTATTTCTGAATTTTGTGATAGAATCTTAATATAAGAGAAAGAAAAGAGAACTAAGGTTTACTTGTATGTCTGGAACGTGTGCTCAGTGCCATGTGAGGCAACTTTCAATGGATTATCTCATTTAACGTTCACTGTGATCCCCAGGGATGGATATTTTTGCTTCCATTTTATAAATGGAAGAGGTGGGGCTCAGAGGTATTAGATAACTATTGCCCCAGTTCACCCATCCTATCAGAGGCTGCACAGTGCTTCAGCTTAGTTCTTTTTGGAGGCACTGCATTTCCTGTGTAACTCATTTGCAGAGATAGGCTTAGGGATGATGCTTAGTTGATATCATAGCATGAGACAAGCTTTCCCGAGGAGCATATCTAACATTCTGTTTTGTTACATTCTATGGCAAAACGTACATGAAAATTTTAAAAAGGAAGATTTTTTTTTAATTTTTGAAAAAATATCAGAATAGAAAAATAAGACTTCAATTAAGTCATGAAACAATAGTGGTTGGAATATAGTAAGAATCTAAAGATGAACTCCAGGGACCTCTGCACTCACCAAATGCATCTACATCCTTGGTCAGTTGAAATTAATGAAATGGACATGAACAAATCAAATATAGGATTGTAGATGGTGCTTGGTAACAAAATTGAATCTTCCTTAGCTAGCACTTGGAAACCTGCTATTTCCTAGATGAAGGGAAATTTGCTATTACAGAGTTGGGGGTAAAATTACTTGAAGCTAATTTCTTTGAGAGTCTCACCAAAGAAGGATCTACAAATTACTTTACAGAATGAAGTGGTTGAGATCATAGGCTCTGGACTAGCTTGTTTGATTCTTGGGTCTTTTACAACCAGAGTGACTTTGAGCAACTTACTTATCATATCTCAGCCCATTTCATATCTGTAGAATGGGCTGTAGGTGCTACAGATGTGTTGAAGATTCAAGGAGTTAATACATGTAAAGCACAGTGCCTGGCATACACGAAACTACCACTACATGGTATATGTCTCACTAAGGTCTAATGTTTAATATTAAATAGTATAATACACATACCCCTAATAGAAACTTTCATTGCAGAAATCTGGAAGATAGCACAACTACAGATAATTTATTCTAGATATGTGTCTGATGTCTGTTTAAGGAAGCCTAAGAAAATATAAAAATACCTATTCATATGAAAAAGTAAAGCCACAGAACTTAGATTGTTATTCATGGATCTGCTTTCTAGGCAGATTCTTACACGAATATACTCAGGGTCAAAATGAGCAAGTGCTTAAATGCAACACAGAGAACCTGCACCCAAAGACCCATGTACTTTTCTAAGGATTGCAAGTCCTCATTCTGAAATGTAGTAGAACCAACTACAGTGATCCTGGATTGAAAACGCTGCCCTTAAAGTCTTCAACTACTCCGGCCATGGCCAGAAACTGAATCTCACATTCTTACCCTGCCAGAGTGCAATTGCTGTGTGTTCTCACTGTGATTTGCCCAATGCAGTTCCTTTTCTTTCCAGGGTTTGGTAACTGTTTCTGCACTATTTTATTTGCCTCTTTCCTCTTCATTCTTTCATTAGCCATCACTTATTTCAAGTTCTTCCTCTATTTCCCTGTGCCTTTCTTATGAGCTCCTCTTTTGCCGATTCATATATTTGGAAAGAGAACATTTATAGCATCTCTTTGCTTAAGACCCTACTAATTCATGCTAGGCCAAAAGAAAATGAACAAAGAATGTCTGGTGCAGTGGTTCTCAATCAGGAAAAAAGTTGCCCCCAAGGTCATTTAGCAATGTCTGGAGACATTTTGGGTTGTCACATCTGGGGGTGTTAGGGCACTGGCATCCAGTGGGTGGAGGCCAGGGGTGTCACTAAACATCCTGTTATGCACATGGCAGCCCCTACAGCAAATTATCCAGCCCAAATGTCAATAGTGCCGATGTGGAGAAACTCTGGGGCAGTGGAGAAAAGGAAGACCAGTGCTTCAGATTACATCTTCCAAATAAGTAGCTAGGGATTCTTTGGGATATTATCAAATTCATATGAATCTTAGTTTAATTTTTCTATAAAAATAGCATAAAGAAATTAAATCATATAGACTGTATATGCCTAATGGTAATTAAATTTCCTGTGAATAGGGCCTAATTAAGGACTATTTTCATCCTGTGGTATATCGTGAGGCAGCAGTTTCAGGGCTGATTCTGCTGCCGAATTCAGGCAGGACAGCAGATGAGCAAGTCTTTGATTCCCTAGGCCTTCTCCTCTTGCTCACAAGATGGCAGTAGGATTGCCAAGTATCATATTCACACATAACCATGTCCAAAGCAGGAAGGAAGAGAAGGAGCAGAGAAAGCTTCCTCCTCTTCATTTGAATGAAAATAGTTTCTAGAAACCTCTTGCAGTGTCCTCTTGAGTCTCATTGGCCAGAACTGGGTCACATGTCGGTTTCTAGACCCAGCACTGGCCCAACTGAAGGGGTTGCCATGATTGGCTTATAGCCTAGTCAGGATTCAACCCTGGCCTCAGATATGTCCTGTTTGAGGTTCAGAAGCATGGCCGGTGGTGCCAGCCCAACTCACCACAGATTCCTCCTCCCTCTGCTCCACCTCACAATGGTGAGGAATAATTCCCATAATGAATGCAAATCCTCTTTTTTTCAAAGTACTTTCTTCATAAAAATCCATTTACCTTGGCTGGTGTCCCTACCTTAGCCTCTTTGGAAAAGTGGAAATTCTCAGGTTCCCTCCAGGACAGGAGATTATTTTAAGGAATCACGTGGACTGGAACTCTGAGTGATTTCTGTTTCCGTCTTCATTCGGTTGTCACCATCATATTGTACTTCCTTCTGGCCTCACAGTCTTAGATATTTCTATCATCTATATCATTATGAGTTTAGGATTTCCTTATGACCTCTTAGAGCTAAGGAGATCCTAGGAACCTCCCTGGTCATTTCCTTTGTATTTTAGATGAGAAAATGGAGACCAAAGGGGCTTGGAAAGCTCTTCTTTGCCTCAAATTCTCTAATTTGTCCCAATTCTGCCATGTCAAATGTTTCTGATTAATATTAGGGGGATTTATAAACCTTCAAAAAAATCACAAATGCATCTGCTTCATGAAAGGGACATATGTGCAAATAAACCCCCAAACACAGAAGGACCCAAGAAACCAAAGAGTGAGGCAGACAAAGTCAGTTTGTCGGTACAGGGTGAGTTTATTGGGAACTTACAGAGAGAAATATGCTCTTGGGCAGCTGCAGGACAGGTAGATCTCCATGCCATTATTCCCAGGGCTTATGAGCCATAGGGAAAGTGTATATGTGCTTCAGAGGGAATGCCTAGGAATTTGCTGAAGGGCACTGTTTGCGCTAAGTACATGCTCTTACACAAGGAACAATAGGTAAACTGGAAATCTTAGAGGCATTCCCAGAACTTGGGTTAATCAGAAGTCAGCATGGTGGATTAGCATCCAGGATAGAACTGCTTTGACCTCCATAGCATCCCAACCTGAATGACCCCTCACACCTCTGGAACAGCCTTTGCAGAATTAGAAGTGATGAGAGAATTCCAGCATGACTGATTCCACCTTGCTTTTAACGTCGCAGGCTAACCTGTTTTATGTAATTTTGTTTTACATATAATAACACAGAGACCAATGCCAAGATAACTGTGAGAGGAATTTAGTTTATGGTTAAATTTTGAGGCAAGGAAAACTTACCTCCCTGTCCTCGTATTCAGAGATTGAAACTGTATTCACAATGGTAAGGGCTTGACCTTTGCTGAAGAATAGGCATGAGCAATGACCTGCTGACATTTAACCTGCTTTTCTTTAAGCTGGTTACCACAGATTCAGGTAACCAGGGGTCACAAGATTTATAACTTCTCTAACTCACCCCTATAGATAACATTGCAATTGTGAAACCTAAAGAAGTGGTCTTTGAGATATTTTTCAGATTTAGCACTTCAGCTGACCAAAAGCTGTCCTGTAGTCCGAGACCCCCTCTCAGGAACTGACTCAGCTGCCTGAAGGCAGTTTGAACACTGCTGTGATTTCATCAACTGTTTCAGTTCCCCACCCCGGCCTGCCAAAGTACCCTCAAAAACCCCTAGCCTCTGAATTCTCAGGGAGTCAGGCTTGAGGAATTTCTTTCTGTTCTCCTCACTTGCCTGGCCCTGTAATAATTCAGCTCTTTTTTTTTTTTTGCTGTCATTCCTGTTGTTCCCAGTGCATTTGGCTTTCTGAGTGGAGGGCAAGATGAACTCTTGGAGCTGTTACACCTTCATAGAGAAGTGAGGCTAAGGATGAACAGATGTCCCAGAGAGCCTCTCAAACAGTCTCCCTCCCCACTAACTCTCTGCCTCAAGGGTCTGACCTTCCTCACATCCAATGTCCGATCCTCTTTCCCTTGCTGTCTTGTGACCTTGGGCTCAGGTAATGAGAGGCATGGGCAGGAGGAATAAGACGGGTATCACTCCCTTACCCCCTTCAACTAAGGATTGCTCCAGCCACCCTGTCCTCCCTCCCACCTGCAGGCTTAGGATGGTCACAGCTCCCATGGTGGTGTCTGCTGGGGCCTTCAGCAGCCCTAGAAGGTTTCTTAACTGGGCCCACACTGCAAAGAGTCAAAATAGTACAGACCTATATATTGTGTAACTATGATGCAAATATTCTGTCTGACCACCGTTATTGCTTGAGGCTGGCTCCATGAACAAGAGACATGCTTTTGACAGTCAAAACAATACTAGCAAGGTTTGCACAGCAAGCAGGAGTCTGGATGTGAAAGCAGGCGAGGATGTGTAAGCATAGGAACTACGTTTGCTCACAGTGAAAGTGACCTCTTATCCACTGACACAGGAGTCTTTTGGCTGGAGACAAGAGGGAGGGCTGATAAACAGGTGAAAGGAGAATGTTGAAAATCCCAAATGGTAGGGTCTTTGCCTCTTTAACACAGAATCTTCTGTATTAGTGGCTTGAGTCACGTTGTCATGCAAGGCTTGGTTCTCCAAGAAAGCTCTACGGTCTTCAGAGAACCTCATGATCAGAGTAGGCACTGTCTTTTCATCTTAGCCAATAGGGAGGCCACCGAGACCTTGGAAATGGGGATATTTTCCTCTTGGGTAGGATCCAGTGTATCACTTAGAATTGCTCTAACAGAAAACCAAGTGCTGCATGTTCTCACTCATAAATGGGAGTTGAACAATGAGAACACATGGGCACAGGGAGGGCAACATCACACATTGGGACCTGTTGGAGGGTGGGTTGTGAGGGGGAGGGAGAGCATTAGGACAAATACCTAATGCATGTGGAGTTTAAAACCTAGGTAATGGGTTGATAGATGCAGCAAACCACCATGGCACATGTATACCTATGTAACAAACTTGATTATTTTGCACATATGTCCCAGAACTTAAAGTAAAATTTACAAAAAGAAAAGAATTGCTCTAACAGATGGTGCAGCTCCATTCCGTCCGTTTTGCCACAGTTTCTTACATAGATAGCCAGGTATGGAAGGAAATTCCCAATCCCATCCACCTTACTGGATAGAAAATGTTAGAGGGTTGGTTAGAAAGGAGGGATAGTCATAATTATAGCAATTGGATTTGGCCAACCGGTCATGTCAAAAACAACGAACACTTTTCATGTTAGTTCCTATTGTATTTGGGTCAATGATGTATCAAAAGTAAAGTTTGCCTATATTTTTACCCACAAAATATGGTGTCAGCATTATTCTGAAATGGCGAAGTATGGGTATAGTTTGTAACCCGAAGAGAATGAACTGTATGGTACATAGAGTTGTTTCCTGTGAGTTGTTTCATGTGAGGATGATGAGTCTTTCCGATGGTAGTGGATGGTTCTGGAAGAGAACTCTGGCAGAGGAGGAGGGGTGCAGCCAGCTGCAGAGGGCAAGGTGAAAGCATGCGGTTCACTCATCACCAAAGGTCTTCCTTGCTCAGATTTTCTCAAGGATGCTGAAGTTTCCATATTAATATTAGGAGGTTTGGAGGCCGTGCATGGTGGCTCATGCCTGTAATCCCAGCACTTTGAGAGGCCAAGGAGAGCTGATCATTTGAGGTCAGTAGTTCGAGACCAGCCTGGCCAACATGGTGAAACCCTGTCTCTACTAAAAATATAAAAATTAGCTGGTGTGGTCACAGGTGCCTGTAGTCCCAGCTACTCAGGAGGCTGAGGCATGAGAATCGTTTGAACCTGGGAGGTGGAGGTTGCAGTGAGCCAAGATCACACCACTGCACTCCAGCCTGGGCAACAGAGCGAGACTCCATCTCAAAAACAACAACAACCAAAACAGGAGGCTTAGACTTAGGCCTTCTTCCCATTGCCTTTCTGAGGAGAGCTCTGTTTGCTGGTTTCTGGGCATGTGATGTAAGGCTGTGCCCCATGAGTCTCTCCTTCCAGCAGCACTGCCACCTCCTGAGCAGATTTGCTTATCAGATTTGGCAAGAAGCCGTCCCTTCTTCAATGAGCCAGGTACATGCTGGTGCCTCCGCCACACCAGAGCTGGTCATGCATGTCCCAGCGATGCCATGCCCTCCCCTTGAGTGCCTTCAGAGGTGCCACACCAGCAAGCTCAGGGGGCTCCCTGACCCCTCCCCATAAGGTCCCTGCCCTGGGTTCCTCCTCAGTCCTTGGTGTTGCTCCCCTGAACCACCAGCTCACCCCACACTGATGGGGAATGCCCATGTGCCCTTTGCATTTGGCAGCCTCATTCCTCTGCCTTCATCCTTGCCAGCCCTTGCTAGCCCCTCTACTTGGCTCTTTCTTCACTTTTTAAGACTCAACACAGGCTCCTCGTTGCTCTTCCCAGACCTTGTGAGCATGTTGGGTGTTCTCTCCTCTGCTCCGATAGCCCCTGTTCGTGAATCCATCGTCGGATTCTACATGGAGTAATAGTTATGTGTCTAGCTGTTTCTCACTGGCCCGTAAGCTCTTAGAAGTTGATCAGAAAACAGGTTTGACTGGGATATTCTTAACAAAGAGAAGCGCTGCAGCTGCTTAATAGATACTCTTTAAATATGTTCTGAATTGAATGCTTTCAGTTTGAGAGCCAAACCAAGTCTTTAATGATAAATGTTACTAAGCTTTCATTTTTTAAAGGCACATAAACATGCAATGGGGTTGTGCAGCTGTGATTTTTCACTCCAGTTCCTCTTAGTTTTGGATTTTCCAAATTAGTGGACAATTTGTCCATAACTTGATGCCAAGTCACTAGTATCCTTCACTCTTCCTCCTCCTCTCTTCTCAGCCCTCCTCCCATCATTCTTCTCCTTCTCCTTTTTCTTCTCCTTCCTTTCCTCCTCCTCCCCCTCCTCCTTTTCCTTCTTCTTCTTCATCTTCCTCTTCTTATTTTCTGTCTCCCCTTTCCCCCTGTCTCCCTCCCTGCTTCTTCCTCACCATCTCCAGCAATCACCTCTGCTGCTTTACGTTGAAATACTCCCTTATGCAATCTTTTTTTTTTTTTTTTTTTTTTTTTTTTTTTTTTTTGAGGCGGAGTCTCGCTCCTTCCCTCAGGCTGGAGTGCAGTGGTGCGATCTCGGCTCACTGCAAGCTCCACCTCCCGGGTTCACACCACACCATTCTCCTGCCTCAGCCTCCTGAGTAGCTGGGACTACAGGCACCCGCCACCATGCCAGGCTAATTTTTTGTATTTTTAGTGGAGACGGGGTTTCACCGTGTTAGCCAGGATGGTCTCGATCTTCTGACCTCGTGATCTGCCCGTCTCGGCCTCCTGAAGTGCTGGGATGCAGGCGTGAACCACCGCGCCTGGCCCTTTTTCTAACTGCAGCAACAACAACAACAAATTCTAGAGGAGTTTTGATTGTCTTATGAGGGATTTTTAATTTTTACTCCATTATGTGTTCAGCTTTAACCTTTTCTGACACCTCTGCTTGGTTTTGCTTCCTAGACCAGGAATCTCACCGTGGATGGGCACTTTGGTGTGTGGTCTCCGTGGACGCCTTGCACGCACACAGATGGCAGCGCCGTGGGATCCTGCCTCTGTCGAACCCGCTCCTGCGACAGCCCGGCCCCGCAGTGTGGTGGCTGGCAGTGCGAGGGCCCTGGCATGGAGATCGCCAACTGTTCCAGGTGTGCCGCTCAGAACACGCCAGTTGTGCTGCTGTGTATTAAACTCAGATTCTCGAGGAGTTTGGGACATCATTTATAATATAACTCCCTTTTGGAGAGAACTGTGGTGAAACACCAGGGACATTCACCATTTAAAACTTACATGATTTTTGCAAGGAGATTTTAAACTATAAATTGGATTACAGATCTACGCTTATTCACATACTCTTCATTAGATTAGGAAAAGTATTTACAATTTGGACAATATGATTGGCTTTGTTTAAGGAAAACATCCATGTTATTTAATAGTCTTTTCATGGAATATATCTACAAATAGTCCATTAGGGGTAGGATATAATAACACTAGGTTAGGAGGTAGAAGAAGCCAAGTCCTTGATCGACTTGCTCTACTCCATAGGATATTGGAGCTCAGAGCACCTCACCTGAGCTAACGTTAGGCACTGGGTAATCAAGAGAGCAGTTTAAATAAGATAACCTATTGAATAGCTTTCCTGTTGCTTCCGCTTACTGTGGTGGTGTTTGTTTTATTTATTTATTTTTTTTACAACTATATTCTGTTTGCTCTCCATCCCCTGCACCTATAACACCATGATCACAGAGAAATTTTAAAGCAAGTATCAGGAACACTTCTGAGATCAGTCTTTATGCTTCTTTGTCACTTGTTCATTAATTTGCAGTATTTTTTAAACATATTATCTGCTTTCCATGAGCCCACTTAGAATGAAAAAAAAAGTCTCTGGGACAATTGTTTATGAAGTCACTAACAGTGGAAATCAGATTGGGTGATCAAATTGTAGGAGAGCCCAGGTCATGCAGGCACATGCACCTAAGAGGAAGTGGGCCAGGAAAGTAAAGTGCAGGAGCAAAAGGCCGACTTTGCCCTCTGCTCACATTTTTCTCACCACCAAGGTGAAAGGAGCAAATCAGGGCCACAGAGATTAGGGTTTTTTTTTGTTTTGTTTTGTATTACAGGGGACACAGGCATATCAACATTGCATTATGTACTGTATGCTTTCTATTAAATGAAATGATTTCCACAGATGCCTGGGTAAAACTTACAAAAACTATCAAACTGCTGTTGTTTGAAGATTACAACAAGTAGCTAATACTCTTTGCTCATATTGTTTCATGGAAAAAGAAGATTATCAAATGAATTGCTATAACTTATTTATCGATCTGTCTTCAGTTCTTGCTCTAGTTGGAAAGTCATTTTCTAAGCAGAGCTGCAATGCAACTAGTAGTTATTTTAAGATTAAAAATCTAGAAAGTGAACTAGTTTTAATGAGGCTTTAAAAACGTAAGTGGATTGCTTTGTACTAATAATCGTGAAAGTGACCCCCTCCTGATCTCTGTTTACTTTATGTGACTTGTTTGGTCACTGTGTCTGCCTCTAAGCAGCATTTAGAAGTATGGAAACTCAGGTCTGGGTAATAGACATATACGTGTAAAGCTGCATTCACTTCTTTCCTCAGATATTCTTTTCCTATTACTTATATACACTTTTATTTAGTTACTACCCTATATACAAACATGTTCCATATATTGTAAATGGAATATGTCATAAAATTCCACATTTGTGGCCTGGCATGGTCGCTCACGCCTGTAATCTCAACTCTTTGGGAGGCTGAGGTGGGCAGATCACCTGAGGTCGGGAGTTCAAAACCAGCCTGACCAACATGGAGAAAACCCGTCTCTACTAAAAATACAAAATTCGCTGGGCATGGTGGCACATGCCTGTAATCCCAGCTACTCGGGAGGCTGAGGCAGGAGAATCTCTTGAACCCAGCAGGCGGAGGTTACAGTGAGCCGAGTTAGAGCCACTACACTCCAGCCTGGCGACAGAGCGAGACTCTGTCTCAAAAAAAAAAAAATCAATCCACATTTGCTAAAAGATTTAAAAAATGAAGAGTTTCCAAACAAATTTGAAAGCACCATTTGCTTCATGATCTAACAACTTTTTGCACATGTAATGAAACTTTGCAAATTAAATGTAATTTATTTATATTAAAACTGCTATTTAAATTTTTAAATATAATTCAGTGAATAACATGGATAATTTTTAAGATTTTAGGTAGCAGGGTATAAGATACTAGCTGATTATCTTTATAAGAAATGTGGGAAGATTTGTCTTATTGTGTGATAATTTTGGTTATATTATTATAGAGCAGGTT
Organism: Homo sapiens; assembly: GCF_000001405.40. Taxonomy (NCBI): domain Eukaryota; kingdom Metazoa; phylum Chordata; class Mammalia; order Primates; family Hominidae; genus Homo; species Homo sapiens. The sequence goes on along the minus strand of NC_000005.10, from coordinate 9,120,484 downwards.
TATTATAATATCATACATAAAGCTATTACTACATATTTTATTAAATCATTAGGTTTCAGTAAAGTAGGAAAACATGAAATATTCTAAGAATTTTCTCAGAAAAATTTTTATTTGAAATTATTTTTAATATGATATATTCAACATATTATTTATAGCAGGACCTTCAGTGGCATAGTTGTTGACCTCCATGTTTTAAAAGGAAATACACGAAGTAAAAATGAGAATTAATGTGAGCTAATATTTTTTCATAGGAAATGTAAATCTTATGGATGAAGGTGACAAATATCCAAAGAAATGCATATGTGATTGCAGAAGTAAAAAAATTCTGCATGAAGTAGACCGTCTATGTGGAAGTTTGGAATCTGGATTTAATATATATTTTAACACATAAAATTTTAAAAAAAAACCTATGTATTTTTTAATAGCAGGAGCAACGTGTTAAGGGGGACACTTAAATTATAACCAGTCTGAATACAAGCATTTTAAGGAAAAAATACAATACTAAAACATTTCTAGAGCTGTCAATAGAATTAAAAAAATTTTTTAAATTGGTTCATCCTATTTTTATTTTATATTTTTATATATCTACATTACTCTGTATGTGTAATAACATAAATACACATGGTTAGTTATATGCAATTTGCACTTCTTATTTGCACTCTTTATGTCTCTGTCAATCTGTGAAAAGATAGCCAATAATCTGAATTTAAACATCCTTTTTAAATTTTTAATAAAGTTTGTTTTAAAGCTTTGAATATTATTCTAACAATACAACATTTTCGTTTTAAAGCTTTGATAGTTATTCTAACAGTACAACACTCTTTATCAATTTGATGCTATCAGGAAAGTTACTGATTTTCATTGATATTAATAGATTTTAAAAGATAGCATTTTCGGCAGTTTTAGATGAGCATTTTGTCCAAAGGTGCACTTCTCATAGATTATAAATGATATAATACAAGTCCAAAAAATCCTAAACTGTAGAGGTGTAGGGATTCATTTCTAAATGCTTTTCAGTGAAATAACCTTATTCTTTATTAGTTTAATATTTTCATGACTCAAGTTTTTTGATAGTTTCTAATATAGTCCATTATTTATGGTGCACTTAAAACTTTATTCTCAAATTTCCTATCTTGGCTATAAACCAGATGCCTGGGGGCTGCAGACACAGGAATTGAGATTCACAGGGTGCAGTCCATTCAGTCCCCTGGCTGGTGTTTTCTCTCCTGAGCAGCCCCAAGCGTGATCCTCCTGAGGAACACAGGCATTTGGCCGTGGGTGCAGACAGGGCTTGGACTCTGAGCCTGCGGGACCTAATGATTGCATTGCTTCCCTTCCCTCAGGAACGGAGGCTGGACTCCCTGGACCTCGTGGTCTCCCTGCAGCACTACCTGTGGGATCGGCTTCCAGGTGCGGCAGCGCTCCTGCAGCAACCCCACTCCCAGGCACGGGGGCCGGGTGTGCGTGGGACAGAACCGCGAGGAAAGGTACGTGCCCACCCTGCTGCCAGCACCGCCAGCCTCACGCTTACTCTCATTCCGGCCAGGTCGAGTTCCCCGCGGTTTTAGTTTTGGATCTGCCTAAGCTTATGTGTGGCATCCCTTTCCGCTGAGCCAGTCGTCCTCTTCTTTTCCTGGCATCCTTTAATTTTGATCAAAGCCTCGTCGACAGCATCACTGGGCTGCTCTGGTGCCTACACAGCTGGGCTGGCTCCGCTGAGCAATTGCCAAGGGATTAGAGTACCCAGGAACCTCTGTGCTGTGCTAGGCTCCTGGAGACTCTGGAAGTACGTCTGCAGGAGACTTACTCTTGTGAGAATTTAACCAGACAGATCTCAAAGCTCCAGTTCCAAGGAGGACCTAAGAAGGTCCCGGATGCAGACACTACTGGGCAGGTGCGGTAGGGTTTTCCTCAGAACTCAGTTAATCCTCTGGAAGGCATGGGAGGGCATATTCAGAAATACCCTCAATGAAGCTGCAGCACAACCCAAATTGGGGGCTCTTTTCCACGTGTATTTTGAGCTTTCAGCACATCATGGCAACATTTTGATTTAGTCTTGGATTTAACAATTTGTTTCTTGGTGTAGAATTAGACATTTGGTTTCAGGCTCAACCTCTGCAATCGTAATCATTGAATCTGTTTTGCAAGATCATTGAATCTGTCTTAATATGCATTAAATATACTATTAATGTTTATTCTAATTTGTCACTATTGGGAAAGAATTCAAGTAGGTAAATTTCATAATGCTTTCAGGATTCTTATTCAGCTATACTAATATAAACTTATTGAATGACTTTCAGTGCATTTTAATTAAAATGTAGCAGGTTTATATTTGATGACATGAGCTCACTGGAACCTCGAATAAAAATACTGTATATAGTTATTTGCTATGCATTTAGTATTTATACGAACAGAACCAACAGACTTACTGTTTAGATAGCTCTCTATTAGGTATTTACTACAACCTAAAATCAACTAAGGAGAATCATTCCTTTTTTTCTTCAAGTGTGTTCCTCACTTGCCAATTAAGATTTCACTCCTTTTGACTAACAGGAAATGAAGATGATTTTTACCAAGCAGGGTGTGTCATTTTTTAAGCAGTCCCTGAGACAGTCTTGTGCAAGCCCTGTCATTTTCTAACACCAGTTGATAAGTGGGAAAGCCTATTATGGAAGAATTGTCTCCCTATTATTTCCAAGCCTTGTACAATTTTAAATTGGTTGGAAGTTTTTAAATGCTATGAATTGTCACCTAGGACAGGTTGAACATTCCTAATCTGAAAATCTGAAACCCAATATGCTTCAAAATCCAAAACTTTTCTAGCAGTGACATGATGCCACAAGTGGAAATTTCCACACGGTTTTTTGACTTTTGCCGTCAAAATGCAGTCAAAACTTTGTTTTATGCAAAAAATTATTTAAAATATATAAAACTACATCCAGCCTTTGTGTATATGGTATATTTGATGTGTGAATGAATGAATTTTGTATTTAGACTTGGGTCCTATCCCCAAGATATCTCATTATATATACACCAATATTCCAAAATCTGAAACAATGTGAAATCCAAAACACTAATGGTCCTGAACATTTCAGCTAAGGGATGCTCAACCTGTATAGCCCATCCAGGCAAAGTCACTTCCATCTGTACAAAGGCTTCCCTAGAGTCAAGGCACCACCACAAACTTAGCATGTGTTATCACCATTCCCAGGCTGATCACACAGGAAGGAAGAGGCTGATTAACACTGTGGCTAACATATGCGTACGTTTGCATCCACATAGGATTTTTCATACAGCGGTGTCTTCAGGAAAAGATACAGCGGTGTCTTCAATAAAGATGACAAGTGTGTTTGAGGGACTTATATGTAAAATATTCCTTTTGTAAAGAAGAAATGTTCATTTGTAGATTAGCATTTGCTCAATGGAGGAAAACGTGAAATTAAATAATAGATGGATAGTAAGAACAGGGACTATGTAAAATTTTTATAGAATTTAAGCTTTTCTATTGAATAGTCTTTCTAGGGGGCTACTGGGAGATTAATGAAAACCAGAAAAACCAAGTACCTAAAGTTTCCTCTGTGGTCTTCATAAGCAATAGGTTCTTAGATGTCTCTGCCATGTTATATGAAAGGTCTCTTCACCTAAGAAATATAAAAGCATTCTGATTCCAACAATGCAGATGTTTGAGGACTAAGCTCAAGATTGAAGGAGACTATGATCTCCATGGGAGAATACAAAAGACTAAGAACTAGGCATACAAAATAATTGATACATGTATATCATATTTATTTAAACACCATCAACCCTCAAGAAATCCTGGGTAGCCACAAGATAATGAATTGATCTTCCCAAAAGATTCCCTAAGTTAATGGTAGGTTTATAGTTAGTGATTTTTCATCTGGGACATCTCCAGTGTGTGGAATTATTCAATGGGAGCTTTGTTGCAACAAAAATCTCAGAAGTATTTACATAATTTTTTTTTCTGAAAAATAACTCTAGCTTAATTTTTACATGTACTTTAAAATGTATAGACAGTTTCTTTTTCTCTTCTGACATTTCCTTGAAAAGATTTTCTGGAGTAGCAGGAACTGAGTAGAAGCACCAACTCCCAGAGAGGCTACTAACAAAAGGAAGAAATGGACGTCTGCAAATATTATCAAGATGCAAATGTTATTATCTGTGCTAGTTTCCTCCTGCTGTGTAGTGGTAGTTCCATAAACTTTGTGGCTCAAAACAACACACGTTTCTTTTTGAAATTTCATAGTCCCAGTGGGTCAGGAATTCCTATATGGCTTAGCTAGATCCTCTGCTTGGGGCCTCAGCAGGCTTCAATCAAAACATGGGCCAGAACTGTGGTCTCATCTGAGGCTCCACTGGGGAAGGATGCACTTCCAAGATCATGTGGTAGTTGTTTGTATTCAGTTCTTTGTGGGCTGTCAAACTGCAGACCTCAATTCCTTACATAGTTGTTATTTAGAGACCACTCTCAGTTTCTTGCCAAGCGATCCTTCCTGGTGTTGTCACTTGCCTTTTAAAATCCAGCAGGAAAGACAGTCTCCTTGCAAGATGGGCATTACAAACTTATGTAACATAATCACAAAAGTGACATCTCACCCCTTTGCCATATTCTGTTGTTTGGAAGTAAGACACAGGCCTCCACAACCTAGAGGAGGTGATGACACAGGGTATGAATATCAGGAGGCAGAGCTCACTAGGGCCACCATAGAGTCTATCTGCCAGAGTTGATTCTCTGTTCCCCAGTCATTCACATCCCTACCCCTCACATGCTGAATGCATTTCACCCACTTTCAAGGTCCCTCAGTCTTATCCCATTAAGCCATCTCCCCAAAGTCCAGAACCTTATTATTTACATCAGGCCCACATGTGGAAGAGGCTGTCTGGGTGTAGTTCCCATCAGTCTGTTAATCTCTAAAGCCAAAGGGAGAAGTTATCTGCCACTAACAAACTTGGAGAGTCAGGCAAAGGATAACAGCTTTAGACATTTCTGTTCAAAAAGGCAGTAGGTGGGTGGAGTGATGGAAATTATGAAGGAATCACTGTTCCATATAAATTCTGAAATCTAGCTGAGCAAGTGTTTGGAGTTGCTTAATTAAGTTCAGGGAGTGGGCATAATGTTTTATGGTTCTTGGCTCTGCCTTCTGGACTCTTAGTTATGCTTCCTGAGTCAGGCTTTCTTTTTCTTGAAGAGAGCACGTGCTTGTAGCTAGGTAGTTTTATCAGCTTCCTTCCTGTCAGTAGAATGTGCAGGGTTTCCAGCAGCCTTTCATGTGTATTTTCTCTGTCCCTTTCCATCCAAGCTGCTGGTATCATTGTGGAAATAAGTTTCTTAAAAACATTATGGGCCTTCAATGGATTTCTACAAGGTTACTCCACTAAACAAAAGCTACATTCACAGACCTTTTTGAGTTAGCTCTTCTCTACCTTGGGGTGCTGCTGAGATGGCTGAGAGACAACACCCTCCAGCTCACTAGAGGTGATCTGATGCAGTTGAGAGGATCTGTGAGGCACACACTTGCTCTAGAAAGGACTCTTTGTGTAACTAAATACTACTCCAATTCTTTCATCTTTCTGAGGTTACAATAAAAGGTTTTACAGTCACTACATCAGCTTTTACTGTATTCCAACCTTCCCTAACAGTACTTGAAAGGACTGTGAAAGCTATTTCATATTTTTTGCATCTTTTGCCATTAAAAGTGACTGATTTCCAAAATCATCCAGTTCCTGTTCTTTTAGTTTAATAATCCATTCCTCAGTCTTTCTTCACCTACATTTCACTGTAAGCAGCATGAAGAGACCAAGCAGCACCTTCAACACTTTGTTTGGAAATTTCCTTAGCTATGTAATTCAACTTATGTGTTTTGCCTTTCATATTAACAAAGGTAGCAGTTTTGGCAGTTTTCACCCATTGTGTAATGCAGTTCTCCCTTTTTCCAGTTCCTGATAATATATTCCTGTTTACTTTTTAAGTTTTTACTGTGCTTTTACACACACACACACAAAAAAAACATAAATTTGCCACTTAATCATTTATAAGTGTGTAATTCAGTGACATTATTGACATTCACATTATTGTATAACCGTAACTACTATTTCCAAAACTTTTCATTGCCCCAAACATAAACTCTGTAATTGTTAAGCAATAATAACTATTCCTTATTCCACCCTCCTCCCAACCCCTGATAACCTCTAATTTATGTTCTGTCTCTACTAATTTGCCTATTATAGATATGTCACATAAGTGGAATCCTACAGTAGTTGCCATTTTGTGTCTGGCTTGTTTCACTTAGCATAATGTTCAAGGTTCTTCCATGTTGTAGCATGTGTCAGAACTTCATTCCTTTTGTAAGGCTGAATAAGATTCAGTTGTATGGCTATACCACATTTTGTTTATCCATTATTTTCATCAGTGGACACTTGGTATATTTTCAATATTTTGACTATTGTCAATGCTGTACTGAATATTGGCATATGAGTATCCATTTAAGTCCCTGTTTTAACTTTTTTGTGTATACTGTATATCTAGGAGTGAAATTGCTGCATTGGATGTTAATTCTATGTTTATCTTTTTGAGGAAACACCATGCTGCTTTCTAAAGAGACTTCACCAATGTTCTTTCCCAACAGCAACGCATGAGAGTTCCAATTTCTCTGCATTCTTCTTATTTACTTTTGTTTTTCCTTAATTTTATCCATCCTAGTAGGTATGAACTGGTATCTCATTGTGGTTTTGATTTGAATTTCCTTAGTGACTAATATTGTTGAGCATCTTCTCATGTGCTTAGTGGACATTAGTGTATCTTATTTATAGAAATGTCTATTCAAATATTTTGCCTGTTTTTCTAATTGTGTTTTTGTCTTTTTCAATAACTAATTTATTTTTGATGAAATTTGTAAATATTTATCATGTACAAAATGTTGTTTAAAATATGCATACATTGTGGATGGCTAAATTGAACCAATTGGCACATGCATCACGTCACAAATTTTTCTTTTTTGTGTGTGTGGTGGGAAGACCATCTGTTTTGATGTTCAGTTTTAGTTCTTTATCCCATTTTCCTCTAAACCCTTACTGGCCATGTCCTTTAAGTCCAGATTTCTACTAATGGATGGTTCAAGGTGATTTAGATTTTCTTTAATGTGCTCCTCAAAATTATTCTGCTTCCTGCCATTCCGTGGTCTCAAAGCCACTTTCACATTCCAACCTCTTACAGTAGCACTGCACTCCCATGTACCACGGTCTGTTAATAGTTGTTATATAATAACATTACCACAGATTTAGGCATTTAAAGCACCAGGTGTTTATTTGCTCATGGTGTCTATGAGTTTTTTAATCTGGGCACAGCTTCAGGTTCTCACAAGGCTGAAATCAACATAGAGGCCCTAGCTGTGATGTCATCAGGGCTCAGCTAGAGAAAGACCTGCCTCCAAGATCATGTGGTTGTTGGCAGCCTTCATTTCCTTGTGGGATGTCAGACTGAGGGCCTCAGTTTCTTGCTGGCTGTTAGCCAGAGGCTGCCCTCAATTCCTTGACAACTGGGTCCTTCTCACCTTTTTGCTTGCTTCCTCAAAGCCAACAAGGGAGAAAGTTCTCTTGAAATTAGGGTATTACAATCTATGTAACATAATGACAGAAGTGACATTCCAAAATCTTTCACATATTCTGTTGGTTAGAAGCCAGTGACAGGTCCCATTCATATTCAATAGGAGGAGATTACGCAAGGTGTGAATTCTAGGAGCTGGGGATCACGGGGAACATGTTAGAGCCTGTCCAATGCATTCTCAAAGTTAAGAGTCCCAGGGCTCAATGGTTTTTATTAAGTGATTATTTGTCTTCATCAGTATGTTTGCTGAATCCTGTGGTGAGCCAAACTGATGTTCTTCACAAGTTATTTTTCTTCCTAAATGGCTTGAATTAAATATTATGGTAGACTTAATGTACGTGCAGTTTCCCTGTTGCCATAAAAATTTATAGCAGTATGGCCCAGTAGAGGGCTGATCATTTAGAGTGAAGCAAGAAGAAAATAGTTCAGAAGAGGCCCTGATTGGTTCAGGTTAACAGAGATTGCAGTGAGCAACTAGCATGGATCTAACCAGAATGGAACATAATTTATGCATTTTATAATTTATAATAGAAAGAACACTTTATTGCATGATATAGTGCTGAGAATCTAGTCCATATGGAATTATAAAAGGTCTTTATTTTCATAAGAGACTAGATTTGTGAAAAAAAGTGGATAATTTATAGAGAAACAGTGCTAGGTCATTAATTGACTTTTAAATACAAAATGAGAATAAGCAGTCATGGGCAAAATTAAAATCTTAATTATTAACACATCATGAGGTACATCTGTGACTTGCAATGCTTTAACACAGTAGAGACACTCAAGAGCCAATAGCATTTGAAAAACATTGTAGCTCATTCTTTGCTAAAAGTCTGCAGTGTGTTGGGGACTAGAGAAAGGGGACCAACTGCTGGCCCATTGTGTAGATATTTTATCCACAATTAATTTTAAAACCCTTAACCAGCAGATACCAAAGTAACTGACTTCCAACCTCATTGTTTTTTGTATAGCTTCATAAGAGGGGCTTCTCTCAGGGGCATGAGTTAGTTGGGCTGGGGGCAGGGAGAGGGTCAGAGGAAAACACTTTCTCACAATTGTGTAGGATCCATACTTACAGGCTTCCAAGCACTTTGTCTCTGAACAGTCTCTTCCAGGGTGAATTCCTAAGTGAAAACCCAGACACAAAGAGACAGAGTTAGCCTAGTAATTTCTATTTCCCTCTGACCTCTCTCAATGGGGAGGCTGCAATTTCAGAGGGTGACACGCCAGCAGATCCTGGTGTGGCTTGTTTCATGGACTACTATAGGAGAAAGAGAAAAAAACAAGGCAGGTTATTGACAACCTTAAAATGCAGCTCAGTAGACAATTTATTAACACTGGCTGAAAGTTCCATGCACGGGTTACCCTGCGGTAGATTTTTACAATAATAACATGCTGAGCATTTTCAGGAGTGGCCTGCTGTCAGCAAATAACAGAAAGGATTTGTGTGCTATGGTTTATTTTGCTTTGGGGAAATGGTAGCTCAGTTGCTGTGCTTTTTATTAAAAGTCAGGGGTTTTATAAACATTTTTGGTAAGGTTTCCCTCTGCCTTCCATACCCATTTTTTTGTTGTTGTTTTTAGGAGAGGGGTTGTTGAAAGCTGAAATTAGGATCAAGTTTTCTAACAAGTCCATGCCTTTTAAATGCTGGTGAATCAGCTTAGAAATGGAGATAGCCTACTTCTCCTTCTACCCACAGTGAGCTACACATAGATATTTTAACTAAATGCTGAGAGTTCTGATATTCTGAGTTTTCTTGACTTCCTCAAAATATGTTCTCAAAACAAGTGTCAATTTTCTCCTGGAATACTCCATGAACCAACACACATATTAATTTTACTTATTGGAACTCGACACATTTGCACGTACTTCCTAAGATCAAATTCTTTTCATCTGTTGTATTCTCAAATTTGTCTTGTCTCTCCTATCTAGAGGCCATGATCTCTTAATTAGAAGGTCCTTTCCCTTCCCCTACTACGTGTAGGAATGTCCAGTGGCCCTGAGCTCTGAGAATAGGACCCTGGGAGACTATAGTTACCACCTAAAGAGGAAAACCTTACGTTTCTGTGTTATCTTAAATGTGGAAAAGATGAGGAAGAGTGATAACTGTTCAGTTCCATTGGCTACGCTCAAATGTGTAAGTTTAGACAAACTAAACTGCTTGCCCAGTTGGTTCTTGACTCTCCGGAGGCTCCTTCACCCCCTACACATCAACTATCTCTCCCTGGAAGTAAGAGTGTCTTCTGCCTTCCACTTTCAGTTAAGAGGCTGACTTTGGACTCCACTGTTTTTGTTTTGTTTTCTATACAGTCACACAGTTGCCATATTGTACTTTCACTATACCAAGCTCCATCTCCACCACTTCTTCTCCTTCTTTCCAACACCATCGCCGTTTTCTAGGTTGGAGTATCTCTCATTTGAATTGTTGCAATCCAGCGTCCTCTAGTTGCTGTTTGTTCTATGGGCTCTTCCTGCTGCTAAACTGCCCTGTCTGGGGAGATGCAGACCCCATACTGAAATATGAGGAGCTCCTCGAATCTCAGGGGCTCCAGAGAATAGTCAAGATGAAGCACCAACTCCTGGAGATGAGTCTGCCATCTAACTCTCATGGAGTTATTTTGTCTCTGGAGCTCTGTGGAAGTTTCCTGATTTCTCATAAAGTTCCAGTTTTCCACTGTATTTGGTAAAGATAGATCATCCCACTCCCTGTTGCCTTTTTATGTTTTGTTCTTCTCAATGATCTTTCGTGCTTTACTCTTTCCATTTCTACCTTCCATTATTTTCCAAAATGCTGACAGGGGTTCAGTGTGCCTCATCCCGTCAGCACCCCTCAGCTTGGCCTTGCTTTCTACTTTTCACATTGTCCCTGTTCCTGAAGCCCACACATTCCCCATGAAATTTTTCTGGTTTGACAGGAAAACAGTTCCATCTTACCAGCATTCACTGTCAGGAAACTACACTCTCCAAGTTTCTTTTCCTGGTGGCTGGCTACCATTTGCCCCTATTTTCAGTTCCAGAAAAGCATTTACTTCTGCATAAATAATTACAGTAATGCCACTGTGTATTAAGATAGTTTTGCACATCCTGAGCTGTGTCCATGTCCCTGTGTTTATTTTCGACTGTGAATACCTGTGATCAGGAAGCCTTCTGCAATTCCTGTTGCATAGGCCCTGCAGGATTAAGCCTTTATTAATATTGATGACAATAAAGGTGACTGACTTACACCAGCAGATGGGAACCTTTGCCTCTTGTTTCTTAAGGCAGATAGCCTAGCAAGAGAGGAGGGCATGAGAAAAAGTTGTGCATTCTAGTATTCTCTAGAAGGTAAATTTGGGAATTTGGGCTTCTTAGATGGACTATGAATCACCGAGTGTGTCTCACTACATTTGGTGCTGTTCAGACTAACCTCTTCCTTTCTATGAGCTGTAACCTGTAGAATGCCAGGCTGTTTCCTTTTTGTTTTTTGTTTGTTTACTTTCCTCACTTCACTTCATTTCACTTGCAGTGTTAAAAATTGAAGAGAAGGCTGGGCGCGGTGGCTCACGCCTGTAATCCCAGCACTTTGGGAGGCCGAGGCGGGCGGATCACGAGGTCAGGAGATTGAGACCATCCCGGCTAAAACGGTGAAACCCCGTCTCTACTAAAAATACAAAAAATTAGCCGGGCGTAGTGGCGGGCGCCTGTAGTCCCAGCTACTTGGGAGGCTGAGGCAGGAGAATGGCGTGAACCCGGGAGGCGGAGCTTGCAGTGAGCCGAGATCACGCCACTGCACTCCAGCCTGGGCGACAGAGCGAGACTCCGTCTCAAAAAAAAAAAAAAAAAAAAAAAAAAAAAATTGAAGAGAAATAATATGACTCATGATAAGGATAAAGGAGGCTTTGGATATTTGGCTGACATTTGGAAAAATATGTAGAAGTATAGAAGTATATTCAAACACTGAAAAATAGAACTAATATTTGTAAAATTGTATAATCAATTCTTTTTGAATAACGAGTGGTCTTTTAAATTGTTTGGCATTCTTCTGAGAGCCTACAAATAAATTTAAAAGTAGAATAGCTTAAGCAGTATATAACTTGGGCCTTCATGCTAATCCCATGCTCTAACTTTTCTTTAACTTATCCTAATATAACTATGGGCTTATTTGATTCAAGAATGAGAAAGGAATTCCAAGTAAAGCTATGCTGACTTTGTATCTGTAATCTGCTTTATCTTTCAATGTTTATGTTCACAAGATAAATGCCCTACCTAGATATTTTCTGTATACTCTTATTTTTGGGTGTCTGTTTGAAGGGTTTTGTTTGTTTTTCCTTTAATTGGCTGCACAGGAAGATCCATCCTGCATTGTGAGTTTAGCATTTTCTTCATTGTCTGCCATGCATCCCATTGTCTGTGCACACACAGCATGGCCAGCACCACATCTGCCTTCTGTATGGTGCAACTGCTCAAAATACAAAAAGCTCCTCCACGCAGAGCATGCCCATGTGTTCAACATCTGGTGCAGGGATGGAGATGGAAACGTCAGTGGTTTCAAGTGGCACTAATTAGTTTCCTTGTCATTTTGGTTTCCTCATTACAGATACTGCAATGAACATTTGCTATGTCCCCCACACATGTTCTGGACAGGCTGGGGTCCTTGGGAACGGTGCACAGCCCAATGCGGGGGTGGCATTCAAGCTCGCCGCAGGATCTGTGAGAATGGGCCTGACTGTGCAGGCTGCAATGTGGTGAGTAGCCTTCTTCTCACACCCAGCCCACAATCCAGAACCAGGAATACAGACTCAATACACACAAAATTCTCTGCACACACTAGATGTTCTGCAAACAATAAATGTTCTGCACACACTAGAGGCTCTGCACAAATTTGGTACACTGCAAACACTAAATGGTCTCACACACTAGGTGCTCTGTACATTCTAGAAGCTCTGCAAACACCTTATGCTCTCCAGATACTAAATGCTCTATAAATATGACATGTCCAGACACTGGATGTTCCCCATACAATAGATGCTCTGGAGGTACCAGGTCCTCTCACACACTGGATCTTCTGCAAACATGAGATTCTTGGCAGACACTAGATGTTCTGCAACCACTGAGTGCTCTGTAAACACAACATGGTCAAGTACTCGATTCTCTACACACACTAGATGCTGCAAATCATGCAAGTTTTTCAATTTAATTAGAATATCTGGAGAAAATACTTGAAATTCAGAGTATCCTGGAGGCTTCGTGAATTAAGTATTCACATATGGGATAAACTGTCCCAGGAGTTTTTCTGTTCTGATTTCTGAGTCACAAAGCCTTCAGCCTGCTTATATATGGCTACTCTATTCGGTTTGGGACACGGAATAATATCCCCATATCAGGCCTACACCAAGGTATAGAACATTGTGGGATGAACCGGACACACCCTGGGGACTGAGAAACTATATGGAGCCATTGTTAGAGTAAGCTGGTGCCAATGCAGAGAGGATAAAAGAGAATGCATGTTTTTTTTTTTCTCCTGCCTTTACAGGTTATATTTCTTTTAACACTTTAAACTGTCAAATAAAATTCCTCTTGGACAAGCTCTTTTCAAAAGACTTGCTTTTGCTGTTCCTGCTTCTTCTGTAAGAGTAACAGCATTTCCCCTTACTCACCTGCCTCTGGTGCTGGCTGCACAGAGTGGACACAGACAGTGGCAAAGGTTTGATGGAGAAGCTCAGCACGAGAAGGTCTGGCTAAATTGCTTCCTCACTGATCTTTCCAGTTGGCCTTTGCAGCATCTTTATCCTTTGGTTTGTGAGGCTGAGCAATGCTTTTGTGCTGCTGTAAAGCCTGCTTTTGTGACATGCAAAAACCACACAGCCGAGATATCCTTGGGAAATTCTCAGAAAGGAAGAGGGATATGAGGTTCTTTGTCAGATATTACACCAGACCCAAGGAGATTTCTGTTATTGGAAATTACAATTAGATTTCTTCCCCTTCACAATGGAAAAGATACTGTCGTAGCTCTCATATAGTCTAGTACTGATTATAAAGACACTTCTTTCCAGATCAGCCTGAACTAACTGTAGACCATGAAAAATCTTCATTACGATGTATATTTATTGATATTTCAGATGCTGACATTTAAAACTATTTATTTTAAATAATTTTAAAATGACAAATTTATGAACACTCACATGTTCTAGGAAAACCATTCAAATGGGATAACTTTGTATTTTGCTGAAGAATGTCATGTTTTGTTCCTGGTGGCATGATGTGTGCCCCCTGAGGTCTGCATTGCCATGTCAAGGTTTGTCTCATTTGCTGGGAAACCACAGGAATGGATGATCTGGGTTGATCTCACACCCTAGTTTCTAAATACATTGCAGTGTGAAAAATTCAGAGAACAGTCCACATCATTAATTTTCTCATTGTTCATTGACTTTTATAATTACCTTCAAATATAGCTTAATGAATAAAAAAATTATATTAAGCAATAATGTAGCATTTTTATGTAGTTCCTATGTGTGTATGTGTGACATCCATCTGATGATAAATGTAAAAATTGAAGGTCTTTCTAAAATATCAATGTATTTATTGCTTTATTTATTATAGAATTACAGTTTATGAAACAAATGTAACCACTGCTTTCAAATCCAGAATAACACATATGTCTCCAAAGAGACTATTGTCACTTTTTGGGAAATTTAAAGGTTTGTTTTTCTTTTTGTTTGTACCACCAAACTTAGCCTTTTGGTAGTCTACTTCTAGGAAGGTGTTATTGCGGCAATGAGGAGCAATCCACTTCTCAGTGGTAGGAGTATATTTTTCTTCTGACGTGTCTTCTCCCATGCATTTTGGTTTCTGTCTGTCCTAAGGCAGGAATGCCAGCTCACACTAATTGAGGAATGCAAACAGTAGAAAGGAAGGGCTCGGTTTCTTTGGATTGTTTGGAAGATCTATACTATCAGTTGAATTCCTAAGAAGTTGATTTAAAAATGATAGTTACCTAGCTAAAGCAACATTTTTGGTCTTCATATTCTAGCTGCAGTTCGTAAATCTTTGTCCACAAAGGGTTCGGTTTTTATTGAGTTCTATTATCAAGATAGTAGCTGTAAGTATAAAAAAAGTATTGATTTTTGAGACATGAAGTGACCAGTGTGTGTGGCTGGATAACAAGAGGTGACATTTCTGAGTCTCAGTGTCATCCTTGGAGAAGGCGGTGATGGTTTTTCCTACTGAGAGCTCCTGTATCAAGGAGGGTGCCATCCGTAAGGTCTGGCAGGTCTCACGTTTGAGTGCTCCTTCCTAGTCTCATTTCTTTAATTGTTATCCATGGGCTTCAGCTGCTTCTCTGAGTTCCAGCTTATTAAAAATGGGAGTCAGCTAATGAAATGTCATTTATATAATACAGAATATGTTTGTGGAAAGTATAAAAACCTCAATTTCCTGATTATTATAGCAGTTTATGAAAAAGAAAGAATTGATTATTTCAAGTTCAAGTATGCATCGGTTAGAAAAGACTCAAGAATCTCTGCTTCTGCCAACACTTTAAAGCTGAAATTTCATGAAAGGATTTTCCCAGCTTCACTTGTGAAATTTCTACATCCTTGTCTTAGACTAAGTCACCAAGCCTTTATTTGAATCTCAATAAAGAGGCAGTGAAGGACCCTTGCCAAGAGCTATTAGTTCTCTCCATGAATCCCTACTCGTAAATTGCTCAATGTCAAAAGCTTGGGAAACCCAGAGCCTTGGATTAGTTCGGGGAGCTGATTGACAGACACAGAGGGAGGACCTGGATCTTGTGCTGTCACTTAACTCTGTGAACTTGAGATGCATTCACTGCCCTCTGGGCTTCTGTCTTGCTCTGCAAAGTGCAGGGCCAGACCCTGAAATTGATGATTCTGTGACCCTGGCATTCCTTCTCTGGACCCTGGGGCACATGTGTCCAGCTGATTGAGGGACCACTTCTAGCAAATGTCCCTCCCTGGTGGCTCATAGCTCCAGTGAGCTCAGAATGAGACACTTAAAACACAGATGTTTACTCCCCACTTCCAAGTAGGCTAAACCCACAGGAGCATCTGGGGTCCTCTGGTCCTTGGTGCTGCTCTCCAGGTCTGCATGTCAGCCCTGCATGCCTGTGGCTTCACAGAGCGGGTGGAAGGAGCAGGGTGGTGGGTCAGAGGGGCTCTGCCTCTGAGTCACTGTGAGATTTGACCTGCTGTTCTACTTCTCCACATGGTTGTTTTCAAATGAAATATGAAGCATGAACACTTGAATGACAGAGCTGTTTAGAGGATTACATATAGTACCTAATATTTCTATATATCCTAGCCCAGTGCCAAGTCTAACATAGACATTTATAAAATAGAAATGATTGTCACTGTCATATGTGTGTTTCCTTTTAACCCTATTTTGACAATAGTAACTGTAACAATTGTTGTTGGATGAAGACTTGCAAATCCCAACTTACTAGGTGATGTCAAATTAAATATTGAAATTAAGTTATAACTACACATACTGGAGTTAATATTTAATGATTGCCTGAAATCCTGTATTACATCATAAAATAACTTTTGTTGAGTGCCTACTACATGCCATGCACTGCACTAAGAGTAATTAAAATTTATTATGTTTATTCTCTCTGTATCCCTGCAAGGCAGTTTTCATTATTACCTCTGCTTGGAGATGGAAAAAAAATCAGCCTGAGAAAGATTAATGAACTTGCCCAGTAGCAAGTTGCCAGTGGGGGACTGGACCAGCATTTGAGAACTGGTCCTCTGGGCACAAATAGAATTTAATGACACAACTCCATTTGTATAATTTATTTGCCCAATGTTAAGTGATAAATGATAAGCCTTACTTTACTCCTATTTAGGTTGAAGTGTAGCTTAAAAGAAGGAGGAGCTTTTTGTCTTTCTATAGCTCTTCTCTTGATTTACACTCTTGATTTTTATAATATTGTGATCATTTCAGCCAACCATAAGAGTACTATTAGGAGATCATCATGAGCATAGGAATTAATCGAAGATAAACTCGTAACACAAATCTTAACTCTACATTTTGGCTGAAAATTACAACACATGAAAGGAAGAAAGATATAAAATGTTATGTTGTATACATAGAATTACTTCTTAAATTAATGCAACTCAAAATTTCCTCAAAGGTTTAGCAGATTTACCTTATTTTTTGCTGTATCAGAGCCAAAGACAGCGTCAGATACAGCAAAAATAATTTACAAAGAACAGCAGACTTAGTATTTGGCAGCACTATATTTCTTACTGAAATATCATGTAAAGCGTGAAACAATTGACCACAAGCTATGATTTAAGAGAGCAACAGGGAGCACAGGGGAGATATTTATTTCCTAGATACAAAAGAACCAGACCACAGAAAGCCTGGAAAGGTCAAGAAGAAAGACATTATAATCAATACATGCTGTCAAAAGGGATTCTGCGAGGGTCAGTCAGAGTTGATATAACACACTAACATTTGTTTGTGTCAAATAATGGCACAATGGATAATCTTCAGAGCAAATGAAACGTGGCCATTGGAAGTTTAAATAGGTTGTGACACATGAAAATAATGACAGGCATTACAAAATATCACATTTTTGTGTAGCACATTAGGGTCTGCAGAATGCTTTGGGGAAGGTCGTCTCGTGTTTTCCTGATTTTCCAAATGAGAAAATCGAGACCTGTAGAAAACCAGTTAGGTACCCAAAAACCCTGCAACTGGAGACAGCAAGACCCCCGGTCCAGGTCTTTCCACTCAGAGGTCCTGAGACAATCCAGGGTGCTGTGTCTCCCTCAGCAAGTATACGAACAAGAACAGTGAGATTAATGGGAAAGATCTAATATCTCATACCCATGAAAGTAGACCATTCAAAAGCCCCAAACAGGTATATTTTGTATTTGTTTAGCTCCAGTCGTATTTCTCAACAGTCTCAGCTGTGTTTGCCTCTGGCCAGTGATGTATGTGTAAGCCCAATTTTAAACAACCTCACTAATACAACAAAAACTATTTGAGGCTCACATTTTACTCAAGTTTTAAAAAGTAGGAGCTGCATATAGCCTCATCTGCCTAATATTACTGCTCTGATTCAGAATTAGAGTTCTGAATCCATGTTCAGGATTTTTCTACAAACCACTGCTTATTGTAAATATTTTCGTATAAATTTTAATAATTGTATTGTTCTTAATTTGGTGATATTTAAAGCATACTGTAGATGATTTTTGTAGTTTTATTTCAAGAAATGTTTTAATTTCAACTTCTGACAATGCTGTTTTAGTAAGTATAAATAATTTAATGATATAAATACTATATTTTTCAGGATACATTTCATAAAACATTTTCTGAGCATCCTTGTGAATGCTCTTGTAAGACTCTATATCCTTATAAGACTCTAATAGAATTTTGATTTCTGGGACAATTTTATCTGTAAGTTTCCTATTTGGCTGGTATCAGGTGAGCAGCATCTTCGTGTTCCATGGACAATGTATTCCTGTGGGTTTTAGAAATACTCATTTCCTGTCTTCCTAGACTTCAAAAAAGTATCTCTAGTTCCCCATTTAATTTTTAGTACTAAAATATTTTCAAGAGCATAGCAACCTCCTTGCAATGGTGTGTACTTTTATTCAAATGGGACAGCTGGCACTTCCTTTCATCATAAAATATAGAGGAGAGGTAGCCTGAGAGAGATTGACAGTTTTACAATTGAACAGTCTGTTTTAAAATTGGCTGCTTGCTTGTTTGTAATCGTTAGTTCCCTTTGTATTCATATTTGGTGTTTCCTCATTTTTGAACCGTGGCTTTCTAGAGATTCATAGTCCTGCCTTAGATGGCAGGTGGGTTGTTATGAAGAGATATATGAAAAGTTTTCTTCTTATTCACTTATTTTTGTTTATTTGGTTATGTTTGGGCAATGTCACCCCAATATATGCTAAGCTGTGGATACTTGAACATTGGCAGCTCACACTGAATTATTTGTGTTTGTTAAAGGGTTGTTATTTTACATTGGACGTAGACCCATTTCCAAGTTTATTTGCTGCCCTTAATAATACCCTTGAAACCTCACAGATGCAGACCCTATATGAATAGTAAGCTATTCATATAGGCTACTATTGAATAGGGTACTAATGCAGACCCTATATGAATAGTAGGCTATTTGTATGGCTTACTTATTGATGTGTCTGGAAGCTGTTCTTACTTTAACAAGCCGGTGGACCTGGATTAGATACAACTAAGTTTATCCATTGCTCATGAAAATACCATTTTATAATCCTAGAAAGGAAATTTTCTAAAATAAAGTTTAAGAAATACATAAAATAGTTGACTCTAACTCCACTGAAAACATACAGAATTTTTATAGATAAAAATAATATTCTTCATCACCATCATCATCATCTGTCATTATAATTGCTACATGCCAGGTATTGTTTAAAGTGCTTCTTAGGGAATGAGTGAGGAATTCCTCCCAATAATCCAATGAAGTAGTATTGTTGTTAGTGTAACCAACTTATAGATGTAGAAATTGGAGCAAAGAAGCGAGATGGTCCAGGTTGTAGGAAGGTTGCCAGCCTCAAAGCCAGACATTTATAATGGTGGCCTGCTTGTTTCCCCCACTACACTGTGTGGCCTCATCTAATATTTGATAAGTAATTGAAAAGGTTAAGGACTGTAGTTTTCATAAGATTAACTTAAACACCAATGAGCTTATAGAAGTTTGTTGTATCTAGCTAAATATGACCTATATGAGATTCGATAAAGTGAATGGTTCTAACTAAAAACCGAAAACAGTTAAGCACTTATTGAGATAATCCCTGGTGGCTTCAGACTGTGCATGTAACTGAGGGTCCAGAAGAATGCAAGAAACCTTGGGAAAGCCCCAGATATCTAGATGCATCTGAGAAGTGATGCCCATCTTTCTCCTTTTTTTTCACTTTCTCCTCCAAAGGCAATGCATACAGTTGTGCAGGTTGTGCACTGCAGAATTCCAAAGGGAGTATTAAACATTATGGAGATGTGAGTAGCACTTCTGAAAAAGGGCAGCACATCCTGGCTGCCACCCTAGCCCTGAACTGAGTGCATAAAAACTCAGTGTGTTCTTCAAAGCCTCCGAGACATGTAGGATCCCAACCATTATTTTGGACTATTTTCTTCATCATGGGAATAGGAGCTGAGAGTGAAAATTCTGGCATCATAGCTTGGCCCCTGTTTAAAGTAGATTTTGAGACAAGACAGGGGTTTAGGGCAGGTGGTTTTTTATATGTCGACAGCAGCAGGTGGAGAGGATGACAGGGTGAGGCAGGAAAGAGGGAAAAGCTCCTATTAGGGTTTGTCACCAAGGTCACTGCTAAGGGCAGCAGAACTGATTTTCTGAGAAGCCTGTAAATGCCTCTCGGGAGTGTGTCACCTTCCCAGCTACCATTGGTTGAGGATGCACCCAGGCTGCACTTTCACTAACCCAGCAGTCTCCTGGGGCTTCAGAGAAGACTCCCAACATGGAAAGCCACAGGAAGGGAAGTGTGTGCCCCAGGTGGATGTGTCTGGCAAAGAACTGACCACCATTTTGCCCGCAGCTGGGACCACAGGAGGCTGAGGGGCTGTGCGGCCCCAAAAGCACATCTACACCTGGCTTTGTGAAAACAAATCCTGACCATAGTAGAATGGACCAATAAGAACAGGATTTCTGAGGCTGCAGTCCAATAATTGGGGTTAAACACAATCTGGAGCCCTCCTGCCTTACAGGTCCCATGGACTGGTGAGAACTTCCCAGTCATCGCATAGCCATGGATACCCATTATTAGGCCAGATGGCACTCCACTTTCTGCCAGGCATATTTATTTAGCACACGGCTTCTCCATTGTGTGGACCAATTCTTGCCTGGGACACATGAAAGAAAAGTCATTTTTCTGGAAAGGTTCTCTCTTCTCCATAGAGAGAGATACAGGACAGGAAGGCCCTTTCTTTCTCTGCACACAGAGTGTCGAGAGTGAAGCTGGAGCTGCTGCCCACTAGCTGGCAGCCTTGAGAGTAGCTAGGTCAGGGAGGAGGAGGACAGGAGCAAAGCAGGGAGACAGAGCTAAGGACACCAAGGGGCTCATCTCCCCAAAATCCACCTTGTTGGGCACAGCCTGATGTGTGAAATCAAAAGCTCTGGTGGCTTCAGCTAGTCTGAGTCAAAATCATTCTAACTGCTTTGTATTTCCCCTCCCCTTTGTGGAAGCTACCCTTCAAATACCGTTCAGTAGCTGATGGGGAAAGACATGTCCCTCCTTAATAATTGCTGTATCTGATGGAGATGATCTAGGATTTTCAAGTGACCCATTTCCATGAAAGCTAAAGACATGACCTTGACCTTTATGAAGAAGGTTGCAACCTGAACTCTTCCATTGCATTGTGGTTGTAAAATCCATTCACTTATATTTCCCAATATTCTTCCGTAAAGGGAATAATTGATCTCCCTTGCTGAAACTGGATATTATATCTTCACAAACACTGGAATGCAAAGTTTGTTTTCTTTTTTTTAATAAAATATCTCAGTGAAGAGCTTGCAAATATGAAAGATTGTCAAAGTGAAAATGCCACATGTTGTTAAAGGATGCTTAAGCTTTTTGAGAAAGTTAATATCAGTACACAAAATTGAGTGGTACAGCAGATGGCCACAAAAGTATAAGTTTTCTAAAATTTGGCACTGAAAGTTTCGCAATCAAGCTTAAGAATGATGTATGGCACAGATGGAGAGAAAAGAAAAATGATGGATTATAGGAATTAATCCATCAAGAGTCTGCCTCTAGGACATATAAATAATCATCTACAATCTCTGGAAATTGCAATTGGTATGGAGATCTGGAATATTTCACAAAAATGTTTTATTTATAATGTTGGAAGACTCTGTTGTACATTTCTATAGTTTTTAAAAATTTTTTATGCCTACAATAATTCAAATACAGTGATTGCAAAGTTAATTGAAAGAAGTTTTCATGAAGAGATTTCCTACTGTAAAAGTGACTTAAATTGTACACACACACACATTTTTCCTTTATAACTTTCCAATAAATTCCATGATAAAGATTATTCAATACTTGATATTAAAATACCTAGAACTTATATGTGGAGACACAATAATAGTATTTCAATTGTAATAATTTCTACTAAATGGCCACAATTTAAAAAATATTTTATAGGCCTACACGAGTAGGCAGTACATGCAGAACAAACAGATTCTGTTAAAGGCATAGCAAATGCTCAGTCAGATGGAACCCATGTCTCTGGTTTTTTAAATGTCAGATTTTTTAACTGTTAAAAATGAGTAATTAAGAGTGACTCTCTAGATTTAAAGTCTTAATAGAAGTTTATTTAAAAACAATCAGACAATATTCTTTTCCAAATGCATCTTCCGTCATTGATTGTAGTGCTGCTGACGGATTTGAGCTAATCAATTGATTATCCATAAAGAACACTCACTGGGCTTTTTAGTCAATTAAATGTTCCCTTCAAATTGGACACATGTTTTTGGTCAATTTCTGTAGCTCACCTTGTCTACTTCTGATTCTACCGAGCACTTGCTACTGAAATTAAAAGACAGTAGTCTCCTGGAGTAGTGTTGCTTGTTCATTTTATTTATTTATTTATTTATTTATTTATTTATTTATTTATTGAGACAGAGTCTCACTCTGTTGCCTGGAGTGCAGTGGCATGATCTCAGTTCACTGCAACCTCTGCCTCCCATGTTCAAGTGATTCTTCTGCCTCAGCCTCCCGAGTAACTGGATTACAGGCACTTGATACCACAGTCAGCTAATTTTTATGTTTTTAGTAGAGACGGGGTTTCACCATGTTGGCCAGGCTGGTCTTAAACTCCCGACCTCAAGTGACCCACCTGTTTCAGCCTCCCAAAGTGCTGGGATTATAGCCATGAGCCACCACACTCAGCCCTTATTTTTTAAAAAGAGATTTGGCTATCCAGCCAACTTAAGTGATGTACTGATGTTGTCCCTCTTACCAACAGCCAAGTACTCCCTTTTTGTGTTGTGCAACTTGTAGCATCAAGGCTGGGCTCTTGTATTCATTTGCATCTTTGTATAGCTCATTCTACCTTTTAAAGTCCTATTTCAGTCCATCACCTTGTTGTACAGGCTGGGCCATGGTTCCAGGAGACATTCCATGCCATATGGCACTTGGGCCATGACTGAGTGAGAGTAACACTCTCCCCACCCCAGGATCCCAATCTGAAACCTGTGGGTCTAATTGATATTAGCTCTGCTCATTCAATGTACAGAAAAGGTGGAGATCACCTGAGACATTACCCATTGTAGGTTCCATATTGCAGAGGCCAGCATATTGCCTCTCAGCAGACTCATTTCCAATACCTTTCTAAAATGAAGTAAGTAGAGAATTGAACAAAAAGCTTCAGAGACATACATCTGCTCAAAAGATATTGTCATCTCCTTAATTGACTATGCTGCTTATGGCGTGGTCTTCATTTGGTTTGTTCAGGTTCAAATCCCTGCATACATCATAGTATTAAGAGAGGTTTACCTGAGCTCACACTCTGTACCTAGAATCTGAGCATTTTGGTTTTTTACCCATTTTTATTCCACCATTTATTTAATAAAGAATAAGCTTCTACCCTGTGATGGACTCTGGGGATACCAGTGTAAATAAGGGAAGTGTGGTCTCTACTTAAACCTGGGGCAGTATTACTACTTGTGAGGCTTAAATCAAAATGCTCTGGGTACCTGTCTTTTATTTACATTGTTTTGGTGTGTTGATGCTACTGTTCACAGTATGCTTTTTCCCCCCTCTTTTTAAAGTAAATTTTATCGTGTATATTTAAGATATACAGCATGATGGTAAAAGGTACATATAGTCATATGATTACTATAGTGGAACAAATTAATATATCCACCTTCTCTCATAGTTACTCGTTTTTCCTCTCTATGATGAAAAGTCTACTGTTTTTTCATCATAGAGAGTACCTGTCCTAACAGGCGTAAGGTGACATCTCATAGTGGTTTTGATTTGTGTTTTCCTGATGACCAGTGATGTTGAGCAGCTTTTCATGTACCTTTTGGCTATTTTTATGTCTTTGGAGAAATTTCTTTTCAAGTCCCTTGACATTTCTTAATTGGGTCATATATATTTTTTTTATCATGTTGTATGAGTTCTTTATATACCTTGGATATTAATCCCTTATCTGATGTATACTTTGCAAATATTTTTCCCAACATGTAGGTTGCCATTTCATTTGGAAACAGCTTAAGTGTCCATCAATAGATGAATGGATAAAGAAGCTGTGGGACACACACACACACACACACACACACACACACACACACACAGTGGAATATTATACAGCCTTAAAAATGAGATCCTGTGATTTGTCACAGCATGGATGGATGTGGCACACATTATGCTAAATAAAATAAACCAAACAAAGAAAGAGAAATAGTGCATTATCTCACTTAGATGTGAAATATAAAAAACAAAAGGTCTCATATATGGAGAGAGAAAATAAAACAGTGGTTGTTAGGTTGGCAGGAGAGTGCAGGGGGAATGAGGAGATATAGGTCAAATAACACAAAGTAGCAAATATGTAGAATGAACACCTTGAAAGACCTAACGTATAACATTAGGACTATAGTTAATGATGGTGTGTTGTATTCAGAAATTTGCTACATGAGTACACCTGTTAGGACAGGTACTATAAAAAAGACAGGAGATAACAAGTGCTGGTGAGGGTGTAAAGAATGTAGATTGTACTCTGTTGGTGGAGATGTAGGCCGGTACAGCCAGTATGGAAAACAGTGTGGAGATTCCTTAGAAAATTAAAAATAGAATTACCATAGGACCCTACTAGCCGTCTTCTGGGCATATACCCAAAGGAAATTAAATCACTACCTCGTAAAGCACCTGCTTTCCCATGTTCACTGTAGCATTATTTGCAATACGCAATATAATCTTAATACCAATGTTCAATGAACAAGAATGAGGCATGCTATAGGAACAGTTCACATGTTTATACAAATGCAGCCAGAGACTTTCAAAATATGTTTTGATTGCATTATACTCGTTTGGTTTGCCTCATGGCAAACCATGCTTCCTTTGGTAGAAGTGACAGAAATGCTTAATTATATCAACAATATGTTTTAATTTGTGTTTTGCTTAAGATTTGCAGTTTCCATTTTTAAATTATTTCATCGGAGTGCCTCCAATGGTATTACTGAGCATGTGTCATTTCAGTTGTTAAAACAACTTGCACACATAATAATTTTTGAGGCAACTTGTAATTAAAGAAGAAACAACAGGTGTTGGAGTGTGAAAAATTATTTCAAAACATTGACTATTTTTTATAGATTCCATTGTTTCTTTCTTCCCAAACACTATCCCTTTAGTAATCCTAAAAGTTTTTAAGAACTGGAGCCTAGTTCAGATCTCTTCTACGTGAATGTGAGAAAGGGCACAACAGCGGCTACTATATTTTTATTTTTAATTTTTTTATGATACTTTAAGTTCTGGGGTACATGTGCTGAATGTGCAGGTTTGTTACATAGGTATACACGTGCCATGGTGGTTTGCTGCACCCATCAACCCATCATCTACATTAGGTGTTCCTCCTAATGCTATCCCTTCCCAGCCCCAGACCCCCACCGACAGGCCTCAGTGTGTGATGTTCCCCTCCCCATGTCCATGTGTTCTCACTGTTCAACTCTCACTTATGAGTGAGAACATGTAGTGTTTGGTTTTCTGTTTTTGTGTTAGTTTGTTAATATTTCTAAAGAGGAATACAAGGTTATATTTAGAAGCCTTCAAAATATGTCAATATAAGTAAATAAATAGCTGGTTTTCTCTGTGGCCTGATAGTGTGCCACAGTAACTGTCATTTCTGAACACTTGTCCCTTCATTTCCCTCCATGGCATATTTTTTTTTCAAGATCTATTTGACTTGCAGAATCTCGTGAGGTTCTACTGTGGAAGGAAGAGTTGCAAAGAACACTCTTCACATTCCATGTCACATTCCTACAGTATTTTATAAGCCGTGCTGCATGAGAAAGTAACATCCCACACACTATTATTTGGCATCTTGCTTCTATCATGATGTAAAGTGTTTTCCACATCTGTTTCAGTCTATCCTAATCCCACGAAATTGCCCTATTTGAGATTATTAGAAAGCAATCCTCGAAGGACCTCTAATGTCATTGTGTGAGAAAAATGACAGTGACTGAAAGAAGGACTGTGAAATCTGTCTTATAAAATTATTCGGGCTCCGCACATAAAGTCAGAAGCTCTGGAACAATAAGCCTCTCAAACTCAAAAGAGAGAGATACAAAATGGCAGAGGCAGACAGATGGAATCCAGACATTTAGAGGAGCCTCTGACATTTGCTGGGCAGTTTTCATTATGAAGCTCATTTAATTGGTTTATTTCTCTTATCTTCTTGCAACTGCTAATAGCTTTCAGTAATAAGGCCTTGACGTCTGAAACTGAAGAGGAAGAAAGAAACTCTGCCTGTTACATGCATCATCTTTGATCATTAATTTCTCTAATGCTTGGTGTGATCTCACATGATACTGTTCATTTGAAATAATTTTGCATGTGGAAGAAAAGAAAATTCTCAATGACTTCAATGACTGATTCATGTCTGTGGTACTATACTTTGCAGAATTTTCAGATCTTTCATCTATGTATTTAGTCAATGAAAACATGTTGACTACATACTGTGTGTAAAGAATTGGTGCAAGGGAACCCATGTAGATGGATACAGTAAACTTTCTCAAGGAGCCTCCTTTCTGGCTTAGGAGAAAAAAACATAATTCAAATTGCTAAATAATAACGAAGTAATAAATGCCATCAGAGCAATTATGAGAGAACACTGAGTGGAACATGAGGAGGAGGAAGTGAGGGTCAAGGGCACCAACAGGTGTGGAGGGTCAAGGGCACCAACAGGTGTGGGCAGGACTCGGCCAAGTTAAGAGGAGGAGCTTCCCTGAAAGTCTCTGTGTGCAGGCTGTGAACCCAAGGACATGGGATTCACACCTAACACTGGAAGCACAGTCACTTGTGGGCTACAGGATGTGTACAGGGATGCGGCAAGGGACAGATCTGGAAAGTGAGTAGTCATCATTCCTGAAAGGGCTTGAGTACCAGGCATGGGGGTGCACAGTCATTCGGTTTTTTTTTGTTTTGTTTTTTTGTTTTTTTTTGAGACAGAGTCTCACTCTGTCACCCAGGCTGAATCTCAGTTCACTGCAAGCTCCGCCTCACGAGCTCAACCGATTCTCCTGCCTCAGCCTCCCGAGTAGATGGGACTACAGGCGTGCGCCACCAGGCCCAGCTAACTTTTATATTTTTAGTAGAGACGGGGTTTCACCATATTCGTCAGGCTGGTCTTGAACTCCTGACCTCGTGAGCCACCTGCCTCAGCCTCCCAAAGTGCTGGGATTATAGGCATGAGCTACCACGCCCGGCCATTCAGTTCTTTTAGCTTGCTGTCACAGTTGCATAATTAGACCTGTACCAACTTTCTTGGGTTAAAATTTACACAGTAGAACTCTGTTAATAATTCAAAAAATATGTTACATCATGTTTTAAATTATTTTTTCTTACAGGGAAGAAAGCATGTTGATCTTACTATCTAAAAGAGGGAAGCTATCTGATTGTATATACATACATAATGTTATGGTTTCAGATATATGTATGTAGCCATATTCTCCTTTCCCACAATCATTCTTCAACTTTAGTTACAACTTCCTTCCTTATCACAATTTATTTACCTTAGTAAGTACTCCTAATCTTAAAAAACTCAATTTTAAGTTTAATGTTTCTTCAAAATAAGTTATATAAACTTGGATTTAGTTCAATTTCAGAGAAGAAATTTCCACTACACTATTAGATGAACTAATTTGTTTCAAAGCTTACTAATACTAAAAAATGACATTTTATGATTTTACAATCAGGGACAATATTTTTTTCACTATTGTTTTCTCAACACCTTGCAGAGTGTAGGGTAGTGAATAAATGAACCTAGTTATTTAATGTATGTGTGATTTTTTAAAAAGGTAATGGCAATTTGGGAAAAGAGTGTCACCACCTTTCCAAATGAAGTGATTATTCTTGTGTATTATATTGTTCTTATCTACTCTTGGGTTCATTCTTACTATCTCTTACAATGCAACACATTTTGTGTTCTCATTCAAAGAGATTCTTCACACTAAAATGGAGCTACTCTTAGTCCACATTTAACTTTTCTTTCCATGATATTTGCTTATGAACATCTCATTTCCTGTTCATATTCTTAAATTATTTCAAATTCTTTCTAATTAGCTTTGCAGGGCTGCTCCAAATGGTAAAATGTTAGCACTGAAACTCCGTGTTCCTGCAGTAATAGTGTACAGTCATTAAAATTGGTTTTGATATTAGGTAATACTTGGCAGGGATCTTCCAGGACCTTATCAGGTCCCCACAGGCAAGAATTGATTGAGCACATGCAACTATTATAGAGAGCCTCATTAGAAAAGAAATCTGAATCTCATACTTTAAAATGGTGCGAATTCCAATATTTGAGCTTCCTCCTGTAAATAAAATTGTAAACATAATGGCCTTGAGCCCTTTTGGGGCCATCACCCTGTGCATTCGACAAATACAGTCTTATTTCCCATGCTGCACCTCATGCACATCAACCCCAGTCTAGTCATCTAGTGCAGCTTAGTTGTCTCACAATAAGCCTGGAACAACCATGAGTATGAGGCATCGCTCAGGATGCAGCTGGGTGGAATATGAATCTGGTTGACTTGCTGAGCTTGACCTTAAGGAGCTCTCACTCTGGAATCAGAAAGATCCCAAGACCGAATAATACAGATGCCTGATAGAAAGTATCATAGTTGAAAGCAAGCCACAGGTGTTCAAAGAATGGAAGGATTCAAGCTCATAACTTTAAGCTCCTTGTACATGAGCCAGGCTTCTCTGAAAAAGTCTCATGCCATCATTTGGGTTTTCTTGGGTGGTTACTGAGACTTCAGGAGGTCAGTGCTCAACAGGACTGTCATACAAATGGTGATGCCAAGATGTTTGTTTCAATAAGAGGGGTTGTCATTGGAATTGGCTGAGGCTCTGTTGTTTTCCTAGAATTGTGGTAGTGGCTTGCTTATGGTCCTGAGGGTGCCGCATTATGTCCACTGAGGAGCCCTCATGGTTTATGTGACAGAATACAGGTTGGCCTGTGGGTCTTCAGTAGGGTTGTTGTGTTTTGAACTGCAAATCTCATGAAAACAAATGGGTCTTTTAGCCTGTGTCTTAAACTTGAAATAGAAATAATTCCGACCCATTGTGATTTATGCTGAATTTTGTAAACCACAAATCTAGTGCTTGTAAGGAGATGTACTTCCATGTGTGTGCCTTCCTGAAGAGATTTGGCAGGCTTCTCCTCGGGTGCACATATCTTACACAAACTTCTCAGGACCTACACTGCTCTATCCTTGTCTGGATTGTCATCCTCAGCTCTACAGAGCCCTGTTTTTCTCAGATGTACCCCATGGGTACATCTACAGTATAACAAGATAAATCTGGACAAGGGAAACACCATTTCATTCTGATACAAATCGTTGATTTTTAAAATTCTGACAGTTGGCTTCTATCTTTTACTTCATGTTTTGTGGGGAAAGAAAAGTAATCAATGGACATTGTAAGTTTTTCTAAGTAGACTTGGTTCCTTTTCCCACAACAGAATTTGAAACTTCCATTTGTTGCTTTAGCACTGCTGTTTGTGTAGCAGAGGCCTCTGAGTAGGGGTGACTGTGAGTTTACTGTGAGCTTCTCAGCTTGTGCTTCCTTGGTTTGAGAGGAATCTGAATTAACTCCCAGCCTAAGCACTGAAGGTAAAAATGATAAGCTTTCTACATAACTACTTACAACAGGCCTCCTATTACCAAAGGAGGTTTTACAAGCCTGGCACTTTGCAGACATTTCATTTATATCTCAGTGGAGGACAGATATTTGCTTGGCACAGCTTTACATTATAAATCATGCTCTCGTAACTATCTTAGGGTAAAGTCACTGGTGAACACAAAGTGAGAGGAAGTTGGTGATGCCGGGGCTTTCCTGTGCCCTTCTGTATGAGGGACGAATGGAGACTCTTGGAAAATCGCTTGAGATTCCAAACTCCCCGGTTGCAGGTGCCCTGTCTCTTTGGTTCATCATTGCATCCTCAGGACATTCTCAGTGCCTGGCATAAAGTAGCTGCTCCATGAGTAGTTTCTTAGGCATTGTGTGAAACACATTGGCAGCATTCAGATTAGTGGAGAACTGTCTGTTTCAGGTTTGAGGCCAGCTGCACAGATCAAACAGTTGCACCAGAAGTCCCCCAACCGTCATCATATTTGTAAGGAGACATGCAGAGAAGAGTTCTTTCAACATTTTAAGTTGTATTATCTTTCTCTTCTTTACTTAAACTTTCACGGCATTTTTCAGGGCCACCTTTAGGAGTAGGCAAAGGCATTAGAAGTTAAAGAGCTATCAGCAGATGGAAATGGAAGTTCGTTTTAAAGCGAGGACTTTTGTAGCAGGTTCACCCAAGCTAATATGTCCAGTGCTTGGTTACTGGGTAAATGGAGTTGGGCCTGAGAATTAGAAATAAATGGCATCCAGAGGCATTGCTATCCTGAAAGTGCCTTTGTGTGAAGTAGAACAGGTTTACCCTGCTGAAGGTCCCTTCACCTGGGCACAGAGAGCCCTATTTCAAGACTCAGGGTTTAAGAGGTGATTCTGTCTGAATTTCCACGCTCTCACACAGCTCCTTTTGTGCAGTGTACAGACTGTACAATCTTGTACAGAGTAAATTCATCAGGATTTAAATATAAATTACACATGTATACACACATATTTACATTTCACTTATATTTATATAGTCATATTCACAATATGATATTTATAATGACCAAGTGGAGAATCTTGTAAATAATACATTTTATGTTAACAAGATTAAGAGAGAAAGAATGTTACAATCATTTCAATAGATGTAGAATAAACATTTGATAAGTTTAACACTCATCCTAATATGAATTGTGAGTGAATAATTCATAGAGTGAATGGGAGCTTCTTTCACCTTATGAAGGATACCTATTAAAATCTTACCACAAACATTATCATACTTAGTGATGAAAGGTTAGAAGCCTTTCTGTTAAAGTCAAGAAAAAGCCTAGGATTCCTGCCAGGGCTGCTAGCGTTCAATACCATATTGTACTGGAGATCACAGCCAATTCAATGCAACAAGGTAAAGAAATAAGGGTGGTAAGGTCAAGAGTGGGGATAATTTATCCCAAAGATTCCTTCCAGCCCTCTTGCCTGCATCTCAAAGGTCAGAGGTTATTGGTTAATGACTGGTCATCAAATGTACTGCGATATTCACCCATTGCAGTCTTTGGTGAAAGGTGCCATGCTGAGCCTTTATGGGGGGAGTTGGTGGGGGGCTCACAACTGGATGCACTCCTGGCCTCTGACCCATTTGAACTCTAGCAGATTGATCTTTACCTCTTTTTATCTTTTAAAAGTTGTTTATTGAGTAAAGAGTTATTCAGTATTTTTAAAGATTTTGAACACCATTGAACAAAAGTTATGAAACATTATCCAAGGGATGGCCGCTTGTTTTCTGGTGCATGGATCGCATTAGCGCCATGTCTTACAGAAGAAGTGCTGTGAGGTTTGATCCTTGCCAAGTGCCTGCTGTGTGATAAATAGCAAGTGTCCAGTGCTTGGCCAAAAATAAAGGAATGAGAAATAGATAAGTACAGTCTTCTCAAGTCTCACAGTCTGTTAGGGAGACCCCTGCACAGACAGGTCACTGGATATTGCATCCAATGGTAGCACAAAGAAGGAGTAGTGTTTTCAGGTAAATTTAGGAGAACAGAATCTTACGTGAATGACAGCAGCTCTGGCAAAAGCATGGAGGCCTGAACCCACAGCATTTGTGAGCTATCAGACTGTGCCATGTGGCTAGTATACAGGCCACGGGAGTGGGAGGGGTTAACACAGTGCAATGGATGAGACTTTTCCAAATATCAGAGAAGCTAAGCACTTTGACTTTTATTCTGCTGGTAACAAGAAACTGCAGAAATACAATTAATACTAATTAGCCCAGTGCCTTTGAAACTGGCACCATGACCTGTTCAAAATCTCTTATATGAGAGTGTCCACACTCCTATTTGGATTATAATTTTGTGGAATTCCATGAGTGTGTGTGTGTATATATATATATATATATATATTATAAATGTAGGCTTCCTGCTGCTGCTGTCATTTTTGTCTGCCTGTGTAAATTCTTGTTTGAACAACCATGCATCTCATTCCCGACATTTTGTAATGTACTATCTGAATATGATTAGAAAACTTCAGGGTGTAATAAAGCTGAGTAACCTCTAATATTGAGGAACATTCTAAAAGAAAACTAACTTTTTTTTCTGTCACAGTATAAGAGAAAACTTAGATTTCTATATTCACCCCAACATAACACTTACCCTTATTCTATATACTTATATTTATAGGAAAATTAAGAAATTAAAAAAATACTTTCTTTCTTTTCTTTTCTTTTTTTTTTTTTTTTGAGATGGAGTCTCACTCTGTTGCCAGGCTGGAGTGCAGTGGTATGATCTCAGCTCACTGCAACCTCTGCCTCCTGGGTTCAAGGGATTCTCCTGCCTCAGCCTCCCAAGCTGGGACTACAGGCACATGCCACCATGCCCAGCTAATTTTTGCATTTTTAGTGCAGACGGGGTTTCACCATGTTGGGCAGAATGGTCTTGATCTTTTGACCTCGTGATCTGCCTGCCTTGGCCTCCCCTTTGAGAGGCCACTTTTGCACTTTTGCTGGGATTATAGGCGTGAGCCACCACGCCCGGCCACTGTCTTCATATTTTGAAAGAGCAGGTGTTTTTATGAAACACCTTATTGAATTATTTGTCTAAGTGAATAGAAATTGAAGCAAAAAGCAGTCAATACACTTGCTTAAATTTTGCAATGTTTCCTAGGAGAGAAAAATAAATAAAAACATTTATCCATGGTACAGAATTCTGTGTATAACAACTGGAGCATTTTCTATAGGCCTGAAAGAGGGCTTTGAATAAGAAACATCCCACCTTATTAGGCAACTTCTAGAACAGATTTGTAACTGCATTTGTTGGTTTAGATAACCTTATATATGAACTGGCATATAAGTGACCTCCATTATAAGTTATGATATTATAATATATGAAAGTGTGTGTGTGTGTTTATAGTGATAAGGAGAATGATTTTTACAGCCAGAAACTAAAGAATGTATGTACAGCATGCATTAGGAAAAATAAATATAAATATAAAATAAATAAATATAATAAAAATAAACATCTGTGGCTAAAAATACAAATTTAAAAGAAGTTTGCCCATTTAATTATTTAATCACCATTTTATATTTTAGAAACACACAGCAGAATGATTTTCAAATCATATTTAAGCAGATGAAGACCCAGTCTTTAAACACTGATTTGGATAATTATTTATTTTATAGGAAACTTCAAGATAAATGAACTGTTTTATATCATTGCCATATGTTAAGTATTTTAAAGTCTAGAAATGTTTAAGTTCAACTTATACATTTGATTTAAACATCCTGACTATTTTAATTGCAATGTAGTGCTCAGTTATGTGAAAACAGCCATGTCGGTAATGGCAGCCAGGATTGGGGTCCGATTTAGGGAGCAGGTGAGCAACAGGGATATTGCTGACCCATACCTGGTAGCAAGGATTTAGATGATGTCCTCACATCGTGCTGTATCTGGCTGTTCCCTTGATACTTTCTCTATCAGCTTAGTCGTCTATCTTTCAGATTGTCACACAGATGGAAGTAGAGAGAAGTCCACAGAAGTGGGCACAGAGAAAGCAGCAGAGTTGCTGCCTGACAGTCTAAAACTTAAGTTAAAAAAACAATCAAAGAAGACCTAAGAAATGTGTTTAGGCTGTAGCAAAAAAGAAAATAAAATCAAATGCATTAATAGTATTCTCAATAATAAATTTAATTATAACCCCAAGAAATAAATTAAGTTCAGAAAGAAATGGTCATAAATCTCAGAAATAAATCTATCAACAGCATTCATAAACGGATTATTGGGTCATGATGTCATCACTTCATTTAGAAAGAATATTTGCTTTTGTGAGAAAACACATTTATTCTGCTTGCAGATTGGGAAGCTCCTGGCTAATGTTGCTCCAGGCTTTGGTAGGTATATTAGTCCGTTTTCACACTGTTGATAAATACATACCCAATTTTGTACATTGGTCAATTTACAAAAGAAAGAGGTTTATTGGACTTACAATTCCATGTGGCTAGGGAGGCATCACAATCATGGTGGAAGGTGAAAGGCACATCTCAAATGGCGGCAGACAAGAGAAGAGAGCTCGTGCAGGGAAACTCCCATTTTTAAAACCATCAGATCTTGTGAGACTTATCACTATCATGAGAACAGCACAGGAAAAAAACCCACCTCCATGTGGGTCCACCCAGACCCACACCAGGTCCCTCCCACAACACGTGGGAATAATGGGAGCTACAAGATGAGATTTGGGTAGGGACACAGAGCCAAACCATATCACTCTGCCCCTGGTCCCTCCCAAATGTCATGTCCTCACATTTCAAAACCAATCATACCTTCCCAACAGTCCCCCAAAATCTTAACACACTTCAGCATTAACTCAAAAGTCCACAGTCCAAAGTCTCATCTGAGACAAGGCAAGTCCCTTCTGCCTATGAGGGTGTAAAATTGAAAGGAAATTAGTTGCTTCCTAGATACATTTGATAAATACAGCCATTCCAAATGGGAGAAATTGGCCAAAACAAAGGGGCAACAGGCCCTATGCAAATCCAAAATCCAGCAAGGCAGTCAAATCTTAAAGCTCCAAAATGATCTCCTTTGAGTCCATGTCTCACATCCAGGTCACACTGATGCAAGAGGTGGGTTTCCATGGTCTTGGGCAGCTCCAACTCTGTGGCTTTGCAGGGTACAGCCTCCCTCCTGGCTGCCTTCATAGGCTGGCATTGAGTGTCTGCGGCTTTTCCGGGTGCATGGTGCAAGCTGTCAGTGGATCTACCATTCTTGGGTCTGAGGATGGTGGCCCTCTTCTCACAGTTCCACTAGGTTGTGCCCCAGTAGGGACACTGTGAGGGGGCTCTGACCCCACATTTCCCTTCTGAACTGCCCTAACAGAGGTTCTCCATGAGAGCCCCACCCCTGCAGCAAACTTCTGCCTGGACATTCATGTGTTTCCATACATCCTCTAAAATCTAGGTGGAGGTTCCCAAACCCCAGTTCTTGACTTCTGTGCAATCACAGTCTCAACACCCTGTGGAAGCTTCCAAGGCTTGGGGCTTGCACCCTCTGCAGCCACAGACTGAGCTCTATGTTGGCCCCTTTCAGCCATGGCTAGAGTGGCTGGGATGCAGGACACCGAGTCCTTAGGCTGCACACAGCACAGGGACCCCGGGCCCAGCCCAGGTAACCACTTTTTCCTCCTAGGCCTCTGGGCCTGTAATGAGAGGGGCTGCCGTGAAGACCTCTGACCTGCCCTGGAGACACTTCCCCCATTGTCTTGGGGATTAACATTTGGCTCCTTGTTACTTATGCAAATTTTTGCAGTTGGCTTAAATTTCTCCTCAGAAAATGGGATTTTCTTTTCTATCCCATTGTCAAGCTGCAAATTTTCCAAACTTTTATGTTCTGCCTCCCTTATAAAACGGAATGCTTTTAACAGCACCCAAGTCACCACTTGAATGCTTTGCCACTTAGAAATTTCTCCTGCCAGATACTCTAAATCATCTCCCTCAACTTCAAAATCCCACAGATCTCCAGAGCAGGGGGAAAATGCCACCAGTCTCTTTGCTAAAATATAATGAGAGTCACCTTTGCTCCAGTTCCCAACAAGTTCTTCATTTCCATTTGAGACCACCTCAGCCTGGACCTTATTGTCCATATCGCTATCAGCATTTTGGGCAAAACCATTCAACAAGTCTGTAGGAAGTTCCAAACTTTCCCACATTTTTTTGTCTTCTGAGCCCTCCAAACTGTTCCAACCTCTACCTATTACCCAGTTCCAAAGTCACTTCTACATTTTGGGGTATCTTTTCAGCAGTATCCCACTCACAGTATCAATTTGCTTTATTAGTTTGTTTTCACACTGCTGATAAAGACATACCCAAGACAAGGGAATTTACAAAAGAAAGAGGTTTATTGGACTTACAATTCCACGTGGCTGGGGAGGCCTCACAATTATGGTGGAATGTGAAAGGCATATCTCACATGGCAGGAGACAAGAGAAGAGGGCTCATGCAGGGAAACTCCTGTTTTTAAAACCATTTTATCTCATGAGACTTATTCACTATCATGAGAACAGCAAGGGAAAAACCTGCCCTCATGATTCAATTATCTCCCAACAGGTTCCTCCCACAATACATGGGAATTATGGGAGCTACAAGATGAGATTTGGGTGGGGACACAGCCAAACCATATCAGGAGGGAAGCCAACAGAAACATCACTGGAGAACAAGGAGCCCCACTCATGCTGTGGGCTTTCAAATTAACCTTGTCTCTCAGTTGGGGCTGCATGTTCTGGGAAGGCCACCATCATACTCTAGTCTTTTAATTTGGATGACTGCTGGAACAGGAGGCACACATCTTGAGTATTTACAAAACCAGGGCTCAAAAATTTTAAGCTTTATTAAAAAATAACATTTGCATCCAACTATTTTGATAACTTACTATTTTTGACTAGTAGGTCTTTTATTTTCTTTGATCAAGATTTTCAACTTTTATTAAAGGGGCTAAGATTTCTCTAAGGTTTTCCTTTTGTTAGCAATGATATTCCACTTTTAGGGCATGGATAATTTAGGCAGAATTGATTGCTCAAGGTAACTAAAATGCTGTATGTGTTGCAATTCTAGTGCCATGATCAAGGAAGACAATGGCACCTGTATATGAAACAAGTCAGTCTGTCAGACAGAGAGTCCTGAATCAGGTGGTTAATGGGGTTGGCCAGAGTGACAATTACTGTGTGCTAGTGTTATGTAACACTAAGTCCCTCTTGCATCTTAACTCCTTTCATAAGTAGTTGGTGTGAGGCTGATGGCACTTCCACATGTCTTCCTTAAACTTCATGGGTTTATTTTCACCATTGGTGTCTGAGAATTCTCAGGAGGAATCTCAGCTTCTTGCACATGGTATAGATGTTCCAACAGTGATAACTGAAAGATGGATGGATGGATGGATGGATGGATGGATGGATGGATGGATGGATGAATGGATGAATGAATGGAAAACCTGATATTTTGATTATCATAACTGTGTTGTAAATAGAAAGTATCACTTAGGCAACACTACATTGACTTTTAGTTTCAAACATGTACGTGTTTAAATTATGGTACTTAGGTCATTATCCATAAGTTCTGGCAGGAAATATTCATGCAGTAATAAGAATCTAATTAAATAACCTGAGTTATTTTTTAAAGTCATTTAAAATCTGAATTTAAGAGGAACATAATTAATTTCCCATAGTAAATTGGCCAATAAAAGAACAAAAAATGCAGTTCCTTGGGATTTAAATTGTAGGAAAGTGATGCTGATAACACATTCATATTTTCCAAAGCCCAGATCCATTAAATGATGAAATCCCAGCACAGAGAGCCAAGAAAACACCCAAGAGTTCCAAATATTTGCATACAATGAAATGAAATGTCACAGGGACGTTGACCATAGCTGTGCATGTTCCAAATACATCATTCATGATGTGAGAACTTTAGATTAAATAAATGTTTCTACTACTATCTTTTAGAGCAGTAAATCTTAACTACTTATTTACAGAATATGAGCTGATAAAAAGACAGCTTCATGTAAACTCTGATAAAATCATATTTAGAAGATAATTTTCCTTTGGATGAGCACAAATGGAGTAAAATGATACCCCTAGAAACTTGGATGCAAGTTAAATTGAAACTTATTTTACCAGTTAGATAAATGCACCCTGCTGTGGATATTCCTAGTAGGATAATTATGGGGTATTGTGACCATCTGCATTTTCTAGGAAGAAAGGATGATTTCTCCAGTGGTCATTTTGGAGAATCCCTGATGCTTTTGTGGTCTGCATCTGATATTTGCTTCCAGGGCTCCGTGTAAAGATGCCATATAGAACAGGCTCTATGCTAATCACTATAAACACATTATCTCACTTAACACTTCAAAATTAGCATTGTGGATGACTTTCTTTCTATCCCATTTTATAGATGAGAAAGTGGAGGAACTAGGTTAAGGATTGAAGGGAGTAGAACCCCTGGGCAGACCTTGGTGGGCTCTCCTGCTTATAACACAGAACAATGAACTTGGGAGTGAGCAGAGAGCATCACAGTTTAGACTGATTAGCCCGCTTCTGAGTGAACTCAGAGAAGAAAATTGTTTTCAAGACATCAACCCTAATGAAGAATCAACTCTTTCTGTCTTAGGTAGTCACTGGAAACTCAGTTACCTACCAACAGTGTTAAAGGAGGTGGATATTTTAGACAATTTTCCCCATTAAAATACAGAATCAATGGGCTAAGGATTTTATGAACATAAGACTCCATCCTCAATCTTTTGAATTCTGTTTACATTGGGCAGAAGAAGGGTAACTTCTATACAATTTCAAAACAGTAGGGATGCACCCCTATTTTCAGTTTTTAAATCAGTAAATCGATTGTAGAATCTGTCATACAACAATGAAATTCTCACATCTTTTGAGAACTTGTTTGATTCCAGATAGCATTCTCCCTGGCAGCATTTGCAAGAAGCTCTTGAGAAAAAGGGCTCCAAGAGCAGCTCTGATCACTCATTTGGAGAAACCCATTTAACTTTCTTTAACCCAAGACTTCTCAGTTTTTCCTGACAACAGATGCTTTTCCTGTAGCACTCATTAGTACCCTGTGGAGTCGCCTTTTAGGAAAAACTCTTCCCTGGAAGGAATAGAACACCGCTTTAAGTTCTGTGAATTCTCTTAAAGCAGAAGATACTTACTCAACACATTTCCCTCAAAAATAGTGGACTGAACTTCAGAGTTTTAATGGAATTGTTAAAGTTGAAGTACAAATTGTCAACACATGCATAGTTCATCACTATTCTGGAGAGTTAAATTCAAAAATATGAGTTCTGAACAGTATCAGGCACCTTAAAATAACATGAATTGTAACCACTGGCCTCACCTTCCTAGATAACTTGCAGGACTTTCATCAACACCTCAAATTGCCTATGTACCATTAATAATAAGTAATGGTCATCTTTTTTAACTGAAACTTTTTCATGAGAAAGCATTGGAGAAATATCATAGCGAGAGGATAATGAGTCTTCCATTTGGAAAATTCCTTGCCAGTGGGAAACTGGATGTATATATCTCTATCTATGTCTATATATAGATATATACACACATATGTATGTATATACACATACATACATAAATGTATATTAGGGTTTTATTGCTAGGTAATAAATTAGCACAAATTCAGTTGTTTAATACTACATGTATTTATTATCTGATCATTCAGTGAGTCAAAGTCTGGGAAAATTCAAACTGTGCCCTCAGCTCAATGTCTCACAGGCTGAAATTGAGGTGTTGGCCAGAGCTACAGTCTTTTCTGTGGCTCAGGGTTCTCACTGAGTGTTTCAAGCTCACTGGGTATTTGTAGGATTTAGTTGCCTGTAGTTTTAGGACTGAGATCTTGTATTTCCTGCTGGCTATAGGCTAGAGGGTGGCGTTCTCTGCTCCTAGGCTGCCCTTAGTCCTAGCCATATGGGCCACTCACCACAAGGCAACTTCCTTCTTCAAAGCCAGCAAAAGAAAATCTCTTTCTAGTAAGGTACGAGGAGGTTGTGGATTATTGTAACCTGATTAAGAGGGTGACTATCCCATCATCTTCACAGGACCCACCAACACTCCAAGAGAGAAGATTATGCAGAGCATGACACCCAGGTGGTGGGAATCTCGGGGTTTCTTAGAATTCTCCCCACCATAGGTGTGTGAGTGGGTGCTTCCTATCAGAGGGCCCCTCAGATCAGAGCTGCGTTACAATGAAGGAGTCAGGGTGCAGGTGATGGAAGAAGATGGACCAGCTGCTCTGAAGGCTCTAAGCAGGACTGTTCACCTGTGGACCCTGAGGACACACAACACCACATGCCTCATGAAATACAAGAAGACTGAGTAGTGCAAACTACATCGTTACCCCTGAGTCTTTGTGGAGGTCTTTAGTAGTTTTACCAATTGAGTAAAACAATAGAAGATGCTACAATTGTTTCATCCTAAGTTCATTCAGTTTTTTTTTTTTTTAATTTAAGAGTTCTGGGATACATGTGCAGAACGTGCAGTTTTGTTACATAGGTATACATGTGCCATGATGGTTTGCTGCACCCATCAACCTGTCATCTACATTAGGTATTTCTCCTAATGCTATACCTCCCCTAGCCACCCCCAACCGGCTCCCCTGTGTGATGTTCTCCTCCCTGTGTCCATGTGTTCTCATTGTTCAACTCCTACTTATGAGTGAGAACATGTGGTGTTAGGTTTTCTGTTCTTGTGTTAGTTTGCTGAGAATGATGGTTTCCAGCTTTATCCAAGTCTCTGCGAAGGACATGAACTCATCCTTTTTTATGGCTGCATAGTATTCCGCGGTGTATATGTGCCACATTTTTTAAATCCAGTCTGTCATTGATAGGTATTTTGGGTTGTTTCCAGGTCTTTGCTATTGTGAACAGTGCTGCAATAAACATACATGTGCATGTGTCTTTATAGTAGAATGACTTATAATCCTTTGGATATATACCCAGTAATGGGATTTCTGGGTCAAAAGGTATTTCTGGTTCTAGATCCTTGAGGAGTCGCTACACTGTCTTCCACAATGGTTGAATTAATTTACATTCCCACCAACAGTGTAAAATCATTCCCATTTCTCCACATCCTCTCTAGCATCTGTTGTTTCCTGACTTTTTAATGATCACCATTCTAACTGGCGTGAGATGGTGTCTCATTGTGTTTTTGGTTTGCATTTCTCTAGTGACCAGTGATGTTGAGCTTTTTTTCATATGTTTGTTGCCTGCATAAATGTCTTCTTTTGAGAAGTATCTGTTCATATCCTTCACCCACTTTTTGATGGGGTTGTTTGTTTTTTTCTTGTACATTTGTTTAAGTAAGTTCTTTGTAGATTCTGGATATTAGCCCTTTGTCAGATGGATAGACTGCAAAAATTTTATCCCATCTGTAGATTGCCTGTCCACTCTGATGATAGTTTCTTTTGCTGTGCAGAAGCTCTTTCTTTGTTATTTCTTGTCATCTGCTTGCTTTTGAATGTGTTTGCTGTTGCTTCTCTAGCTCTTTTAATTGTGATGTTAGAATGTCAATTTTAGATCCTTCCTACTTTCTCTTGTGGGCATTTAGTGCTATAAATTTCCCTCTAAACACTGCTTTAGCTGTGTCCCAGAGATTCTGGTACATTGTGTCTTTGTTCTCATTGGTTTCAAAGAACTTATTTATGTCTGCCTTAATTTTGTTATTTATCCAGTAGTCATTCAAGAGCAGGTTGTTCAGTTTCCATGTAGTTGTGTGGTTTTGAGTGAGTTTCATAATCCTGAGTTTTAATTTGATTGCACTGTGGTCCGAGAGACTGTTTATTATGATTTCCGTTCTTTTGCATTTGCTAAGGAGTGTTAGTTTTAAAAAGCAAAAAATTTTAAATGGCATCCAAATGATCTAGGAGAGGAAAATGGTATTTAAATTATTTGCCATTAATTTTCAGGTAAAAAGCAAGTTGGTATATATTTAAGCCATGCGATTCACATTTATTTTTATTTATATTTATAGTTTCTGTATTTATATTTTTTATATTTCTCAAAAGCTCAAAACTTAAAAATGTTAGATATCAATTTAAACAGAAAATATTAACTTATCATAGACTAATCATCAGGTCTTTGCAAACTATTTACTATTAGTGGCCTATGCTGCTGAATGAAGAGTTTTTAATGCAATATAAATTTTTATCAATGAGATGGTTTCCCAAGGACATGAGTATGGCTTTACCCTATGTCTGCCATAAGTACTCTATTATTCTAATTTTATTTTATATTTTCTTGCCAAAAAATGGAGCCAGTTTGGTC
The DNA here is from genome assembly GCF_000001405.40 of Homo sapiens. Classification (NCBI taxonomy): domain Eukaryota; kingdom Metazoa; phylum Chordata; class Mammalia; order Primates; family Hominidae; genus Homo; species Homo sapiens. The sequence goes on along the minus strand of NC_000005.10, from coordinate 9,078,719 downwards.
CTATACAAGTATGTTTATGTGTCTGTAACCATCCCATACAAATCCTATTATTATAGGCAGAATTTTTTTTTCTAAATTTTGTTTTTCTTATTGTTGCATATGTATGACTGTGTGTGTGTGTGTGTGTGTGTGTACATACCCAGCTGAAATTTTCTGGTCAGAAGGCAGACCAATATTTGCCACTTTTTTTTTTTGTCCTTCAAAGAATCTGGGGTAAATGTCCCCATGCATTATTGTAAAGGCAAATTCATGACAGTCCTGCTGAAACCTTAATCTTAAATAACACAGTCTCGCTTAGACTTTTGTTATGTATTCAATGCTTCCAAAGTTCCTCATAAGAACTCTTAAAATCTGTACAAATTATCATCATGTTCTCAAGCACTTATAGTATGTTTAAACATTTTCCCCTTAAAAATGGAAGATTAGAAATAAAAGGCAGATGCCTCTGCTCAAGGTCACCGATTTCAATTGTTAGCTTGAGAAGGAAACGTTTCCCAAAGGACAGGCATTTGCTTCTATCTAAAAGTAGTTACTCCTCTCATTGCAAGATATTTGCTAGGAAAAAGATATCTGAATTCCTGGCTTTTGCTCTCAGAGAGTGAGAATTTAAAGGCATTACAGTGAGACAATAAAATAAATAGATGGATCTTCTCATTTGAGATGTAAGTTTATGGAAGCAAAATGCCCACAAATCACAGCCTCTGTAATAAAGATTTCCAGTGACAGCACTGATTTTCTTATTCTCCTGAGCTTTAGGCTGTTATAAAAAGGAATGCCTAAAATAATGGGTAAGGAGGAAAGGTAGTTCCATTTTTGTACGTACACGCACATATATATGTTGTGCACATACATACATCACTTTTGAGCAAGAAAGCAGAGGAGTATGTGTTTGCTTTTCTGCACTTAGAAGAACCCAGGTTGGCTACAGGTTGAAAGTGAATGCGGCCATTCAAAAGCCCCAGAGATTTTGGCTCAGTTACTCCCCACTTCGAGCCAGTGAGGGTGTCAGTTACCCAGGTGAGACCTGAAGTCGCATCCATCCCAGGCTTTGCCCTGGGGAAGCTCACATGCTTGGGAGACCGCCTTGCAAACAAGTGGCATAATAAAGGTTCATGATGCATGATAAGGTATGTAGAGAGTACTGTAGCTACTTAGAGCAAACCTGCAGAAATTCAGTTACTGCATAGAATAGTGGGATTGTGGATGATTTTCTACTTAGAAATGCTCACTTTTTGGTTACAATATTGTTTTCACATTTTTTCAAAACGTTTCTATTGCATTTTATTGTGATTCTATGACTAGTAAGAGTAGTGGAAAGAAACCAGGAATATCTAAAATATCTAAATCATTAACCTCTCCCCAGAGTAACTAGCGTATACTGAGTTTGTCTTTCGGCATTTTGAATATCGATTCTTTTCCCCTTCTATGAGCCAGATCCAAATACATGCACTGGGTGTTTATTTGGGATGGCTAAGTAAATCTAAAGCAAGGTTGTGGATTGCAAAGGCATTTTGGTGTTAGGAGATCAGCTTCTCTATCCTCTTATATGGCCTTTGTTGGGAGGTATTACAAGCATTTAAAGATGTTTTGCAGAGGATTGGATGGTGAGTAAGTAAGAAACAGTCCTGGAAGCCAAGTTCTCCTAAGTTACCCTGTGACTCCCACACTTCTCCAAATCCCATGGAAGGTGATTGTATGATAACTTCCTCATGTTCAAAGGCCTGTGCCAGCATGAAAAAGCACTGTGACCAAAGAAACTGATTAGAAGAGACATAAGTGATTTTAAAAGAATGAGGAACATGCACAGGCTACACACACACACACACACACACACACACACACACACACACAAAGATCGTAATGCATAGTCAATGCACTGGCTGGCTATGTGGTAGATAACAGTGTCATTTTGTGGACATATATGGTGGAAAGTGAAAATGAATGGATGGTGCATGCTTTATGAAGCATTTATCTACAAATACTGGTCATATTCAGTCCTAAATAAGCAAACATAAATGCCATGAAAAAAATTACGATGATTTTACTATATACAGGAATGTATAAACTCATAGTTGTTTTGGATACCATTTTTTATTTGTACAAATTTGTAGTGTACACATGAAATATTGTTACATGTATATAATGTGTGTGATCAAGTCAGGGTATTTAGGGTGTCCACCACCCAAGTACAATGCATTTCTGCTTAATTATAGTTACCCTACTCTGCTATCAAATACTGAATTTACTCCTTCTATCCAGCTGCATGTTTTTACCTTTTAATCCATTTCTCTTCATCCTCCTCTCTTTCTTCCACTTACCTTTCTCAAACTCTATTTACTATATTTCTCTACCTCCATGTGATCAACTTTTTTTGGCTCTGGCATATAAGTGAAAACATGTGATATTTGTGTTTTGGGGCCTGAATTATTTCACTAAAGATAGTGACCTTCAGCTCCATTTGTGTTGCTGCAAATGACATGATTTCAAGATAATTTCTTTTTTTTTTTTTTTTTTTTGAGATGGAGTCTCACTCTCTCACCAGGTTGGAGTGCAGTGGTGCGATCTCGGCTTACTGCAATCTCCGCTTCCCGGGTTCAAGCAATTCTCCTGCCTCAGCCTCCTGAGTAGCTGGGACTACAGGCACGTGCCACCATGCCCAGCTAATTTTTGTATTTTTAGTAGAGACGGGGTTTCACCATGTTGACCAGGATTGTCTTGATCTCTTGACCTCATGATGCAACCGCCTCAGCCTCCCAAAGTGCTGGGATTACAGGCGTGAGCCACCATGCCTGGCCTGAAGATATAATTTCTAAATAGCAAAGAAGCCACCATGTATTAGAAAGAGGCTTGTTTTTCTGAGACCATACAGTTTTGTACCTCTATTGAGGTATGGTTGGCATACAATGCACTACATGTTTAAAATGATAAAATTTTGGTCAGTTTTAAGGTATTTATACATTCATAAAACCATTGACACAATAAAGGTAGTGAACATGTCCATCAACCCATTTCCTCATTTCCTTTTGCAACACCTCCCTGATACCCGTCCCAGTACTCCCTCATCTCAGATAAGCACTGATTGCTTTCTGTCTCTATGCATTAGTTTTCATATTCCCTAATGTTATATGAATAGAATTCTACAGTGTCACACCTTTTTTTTTTTGCTGGCTTTTTTATGTGCATAATTATTTTCAGATGCTTTGTTGTTTTGTATATTAAGAGTTCATTTCTTTTAATTGCTGATTAATATTCCATAAGATTATTCGTTTAGCTATCCATCTGCTGATGGCCATATGAGTTGTCTCCAGTTTCTTGTCTATTACAATTAAAGCTTTTGTGAACATTCAGGTACAAGTGTTTGTATGGGCATGTGTTTCATTTTCTCTTGGGTAAATATAGAGGAATGGAATGAGTAGGCTATGTGATATGTATACGTTTGACTTCTTAGGAAAGTATCAAACAGTTTTCAAATGGCTTGTGCCATTTACAATGCTATCAGCAGTGTATGAGATAGAGCAAACCTGCAGAAATGGAGTTACTGCATAGAAAACAGTGGGATTGTGGATTAATTTCTACTTAGAAATACTCAACTTTTTGGTTATAATATTGTTTTCACATTTTTTTCAAAACATTTCTATTGTATTTTATTGTGTTTTTATGACTAGTAAGAGTAGTGGAAAGAAACCAGGAATATCTAAAAATCTCTAAATCATCAACCTGTCTTCAGAGTAACTGGCATATACTGAGTTTGTCTTGTAGCATTCTGAAAATTGAGTCTTTTTCCGTTCTATGGACCAGATCCAAATACATGCACCAGGTGTTTATTTGGGGTGGCTGAGTAAATCTAAAGCATTGTGTCCTCCTCAGCATCTGATACTGTGACACGATTTTGGGTTTGGGGGCTTTTGTTTTTTCTGTTGTTTGAATTTTAGTCATTCTAATACATGTGTAGTGGTTTACTTGTGGTTTCAATTTACCTTTTTCTAAGTTTACATACGCTTGTTTTGCCATCACATATCTTTGTTGAAATGCCTATACATATCTTTCAGCAGTTTTTCTATTAGTTAGTTTTTATACTCTAGTTTTAACTTTTAAAATACATAATGGGTGCAAGTCTTTTTATCAGATACATGATTTGCAAATACTTTCTCTCAGACTATATAGCTCATCATTAATTTTCTTAACAGTGATCCTTAAAAGGCAGAAACTTCTTATTTTGATTAATTCATTTTAATTGTTTTTTTTATTTTATGGATGGTGCTTTTGGTATTTTATTTAGAAAATTTTTGCTTAACCTAAGACCCCACAGGTGTTCTCATGTGTTTGCTTCTAGGAGTTCTTTGGTTTTAGATATTGGGCTATGATCCATTTACATCAATTATCATAGATGGAACAAGTTATTGATCAAAATTCATGTTTTCACATGTGGATATTCAATTATTCCAACATCATTTTCAGAAGAGACTATGCTTTCTCCATTGAATTGCCTTTGCACATTTACAAAACAAACCAATAAGCCATAAACAGGTGGGTCAATTCCTAGACTTTCCATTCTGTTCTTTTGCTCAGTCTTTCTATCTTGATGCTTATACCACAGAATCTTGATTATTGTACCTTTATAATGAATCCTGAAGTTAGAAAGTATGTCTTCCTACTTTGTTCTTCCTTGCCAAAATATTTTGACTATTCTAGATAACTTTGTATTCCATATGAAATTTAGAATTAGCTTGTTAATTTCTACCAAAAATGCCTCCTGGAATTATAATTAGGATTGTAGTGATTCCATTTCCTTTCATTGTAAAAGTCATGCACATATTTTTTTGAGATTTAATCTTAAGTATTTTATGTTTTGATGCTACTATAAGTAGTGTTCTTTTAAAATTTTAATTTCTGGTAGCTTGTTGCTGGTGCATGGGAATGAAATAATATTTTATATTTACATTGATCTTGTGTTCTGCAGCCTTAATAAATTAATTTATTACTTCTAGTAGCTTTTTTTTGGTAGACTCCATAACAGTTTCTACATAGACAATCATATTGTATGAGAGTAAAAATATAATTATTTCTTACTTTTAATATGGATGACTTTCGTTTCTTTTTCTTTCCTGATTGCACTGGCTAGAACTTCCAGGATAATCTTGAATAAAAGTGATAAGGACAGACATCCTTGCCTTGTTTCTCATCTTAGGAGGAAAGCACACAGGCTTTAACCATTAAGTGTGATTCAGTCTGTAGGTTTTTAATAGATATCCTTCATGAGATTTAGGAAATTTATTTGAATTCCAAGTTGATTGAGAGTTCTTATAAGGAATTAATTTTGATTTTTATCCAATAATTTTTGCATCTATTGAGATTATTACATGAGTTTACTTCTATACAGTTCATATGATGAATTACGTTAATTGAATTTCAAATGATAACCCAGTCTTTCATTGATGACATGAAAGCCACTTGATCATGAGGTGTTAACCTTTTGATATATTTTGGGTTTGATTTCTTAAATTCTTTTTAAGAATGTTAACATCTACATTCATGAGGAATACTCATTCATGAGGAATAGAAAACTACATTCATGTAGTTTTCTTTCTTTCTGTCTTTGTCTGGTTTTGATATCAAAGTTGGCCTCATAGAATGACTTGGGAGATACTGTCTCGTTTGCAATTATCTGCAAATATTTTGTATGTTACAGCTGGCATGTTGCAAGTTGTTTCTTCCTTATCTCTTCGAGGTCTTCCTTGAACATATGGGATGCAGTTATAATTACTGTTTTGATGCTGTTGACTACAGATTCTGTCATCTGTGTCATATCTGCATCAGTTTCAATTGACTGATTTTTCTCTTCATTACGGGTCATGTTTTTGGCCTCTTTCCATATCCGGTAATTTTAGATTGGATGCAAGACATTGTGAATTTAAACTGGTAGACAATTTTTTTGTCCTAAAAATATGCTAAGGTTCTCTTTGAGGACATAATTAAGTTATGTAAAAACAGTTTGATGGTTTTGGTGCTTGCTTTTAGTCTTAGTTACTTGGGATCAAAGCCACATTTAGTCTGCAGTAATTTTTCCCCACTGTGGAAGCAAGGCCCCTTTTGGTATCCAACCAATGACCCTTGAATTATGAGGTCTTTTGGTTTTGCTCTTTGAAGCAAGCACTGTTCCTGGTCCTGTGTGGGTAACACACAGTGTTCCCTCTGATCATTTCAGGCAGATCTTTCCCTATTCCTGTGTAGTTTCTCACATGAACTTGCTGATTTTTTAAGTCAAAACCTCTGTTACCTGATTTGTACTCAATTGAAATCGTGATGGGTGATTTTTGCACATCACTGGTGTGTTCATTTTGTGCAACTTTCTCCTTTCCAATAATTTCAGCCACTTTGGCATTCTCCAGCTCCCAAACCTGTCTTCTCAGTCTCTAGCCTGTGCCTGGGTTTCTGCTCCCCATGCTGTGGCCTGGGAACCTTCTCAAGGCTGTAGGTTGTGGCACTCATGGGTCTCCCATAAGTTGTCTCCCATTACTCAGTGATCACTGACCTTCATTGCCTGAAGTCCAGTACTTTAAGAACCATTATTTAATATAACTTTTTGTTATTTGGATAAAAGGGTTAATCCAGTTTCTCTTACTCCATATTGGTGGGAAACAGAAGACACTCTGTGACCATATAATTTTGAATGCACCACATTCCTTTATATACCTTCCTTACTGGGTACAACTAAACTAATTTCCAGAACTTCCAGTCAATCTTTGTTCTGTTTGCCACAAGCTCCTGGGAGCATGGTTCTACTTCCATGTAGATACTTGAGTGTTTTGGCTCTTTGCAAGCACAATTCAATTACTTTGTTATTTCTCTAATGTGAATTGCTTTCAGTCTCAGCAGGCCAAGCTTAGTTACTGAAAGAGAACTTGATAAATGCATATGGAAACCATAAGTATTCCATATGAGAATAAATTTGATTTACATATTCAGTTGTGGATGAGATGACTTGAAGGGTAATTTTTGGGCTTCACTCTGAGCATGTGGTATCAAAATTCTGCTTGGGTTGTCTCTGTCTCTCTACTTTACTTGCAATGTATGAAATATGAGATATTTTAATTTTCTCAAGGGAAAAATAAACAGCAAAACAGGAGGTCCCACTTAACTATCTAAATCTGTTCCCCAAATGTATGCAAATTTCATCTCAGTAGACTTATCTGTTACTTAATCAATATGATTTATCCATTTACCAAATAGTGTTACTATGCCCAAGATTGGTAATATAAAATAAACGTGACAAAGTTCTTGCTTTTGACAAATTTGCAGTCTATTAGTGGATGCAGAATTATAAATAGGCACTTAAGCTTTAAGGAACTACATGCTTTGATTCTCTAAATCAGGCCTATGGTGATGGGGGCCTGAATTAGAAGAGGCAATTAAGATGGAGAGGACAGAAGGAACACAGGAAGCCATGACTGTAGTACTTGGCATAGAAGTAAGGGAGAACTGGCAGAGTGTCTCCCGGGTTGCAGGATTAAACATTTAAATGAGTGCTTTTATCACTGTTGACTGGAATACATAATACGTGGGGAACATATTTGGAGGAATTATTTATAATTGCTTTAGTAAGCATTCTTATCTCATATTTTGCACCAGAATATTAAGAACCTTAGGTGCCAAATCATAATAGTTAGCTTCCTGAAATCCTTTTTAAAATCATTTATCTCTTTAGTATTAAGTGCAGTTTTGTTAAAGTTCCATTTACATTTGGATAGTTACAGCAGCAGTTCTCTAGTAAATTGTAACATACATATTCAGTTAAGCCATATAAGTGATCACAATAGAATTAAATCACTTCATGATTTTGCTCATTAAGATAAAACAAATTGGCCATACCATTTCTCACCATTTCATAATTTGATACTTCAAGTGAATGTATCATAATTAAACCTCAAAAAGCACTTGAAAGGAGAAATTCTGAGTCTCATGTTAAATTTTGAACCATGAGAAAATAAGAACATAAGAACAGACTGTTGTTGGAGGCTTAGATCTGAAGAGACTAAACTGATCTTTCTTAGCCGTGAGCTGTGCCCACCTCTGGGACCAACACACAGATGCCAATGCAGACACTTGAGCCAGCTTTCAAACACATTTGCCCCTCATACATTTCAAAAATTAAACTTCATCTCCATAGAAAGAATGAAGTTTGCAGTGTGGGAAACCTAAGAATTATTGGTGGTATCCTATAAATCTGTTTATGAAGATGTAGGATTTTACTAATTTATAGGTAATGCTGCATTTGTTAAGACCTAAAGACCAGCACTTTTCAAACAGAGGCCCATAAACTGCACATGATTTTTGTTTGTTTGTTTTTTTGAGATGGAGTCTCACTCTGCTGCCCAGGCTGGAGTGCAGTGGCACAATGTCGGCTCACTGCAACCTCCGCCTCCCAGATTCAAGCAATTCTCATGCCTCAGCCTCCCGAGTAGCTGGGACTACAGGCACCTGCCACCATGCCCCGCTAATTTTTGTATTTTTAGTAGAGACAGGGTTTCACCATGTTGGCCAGGCTGGTCTCGAACTCCTGACCTCAGGTGATCCGCCCACCTTGGCTTCCCAAAGTGCTGGGATTACAGATGTGAGCCACCACGCATGGCCGAGCTGCATGTGTTTTGAGCCCATTTCAGCAAGGAACTCCAGGATTCTTATCTGGCCAGGCTGGCTCGGAGTGAGGGAGGGAAGGGCAGTGGCATATGACATTCTCAATCCAGAGGTGAGAGCATCCCCACACTAGAGGCACAGAGGGTCCAAGACAAGGGTTTATGGCTTTCCTGTCATGTGGTTTTCATTCCAAGTGAAAGAGATCACACACGCGTTGTGCCTGGCTTTTCACATGACTGGGTTTATGGCATTCATTGGGGCTTTTTCATTTAAGAGGCAGCATTCAAAAGATGCCATAATAAAAGATGCTATAAACACAAGAAAATGAAGTCATCTATCTTTCTAGTATTTGTTGATGTAGAGATCATGCAGGCCGGGAGGAATGCCTAGAGAGTATTAAATCAAAGAAACAGCGATGATCGCCTTACATATTTTCTGTTAAAAGCCTATGATGTCACAAAAATCCTGAGTGTTATCCGCTGTAAAAAAAATAAAAAATAAATGCATTGTGAGTAAAGAAAGCTAGTTAGAGTATTTAAAACAGTACAAAATAAAGATTGTATTAGGTTCCCAGGTAAAGTTGGTGGCATGGACACACAAGTTGCTTTCTATCCCACTGGAAACATACTAATACAGTGTTAGAGGGGTTGATTTTTCAAGGCATGAATGCGCAAAGTCAGAAAAAAAGAGAAAGAACCATGTTGTTTTTAAAAAGTAGAATCTGGAAATACATCGAAGAAGCATGAATTCAAGTCTAACAGAGGAGAACTATGTGGAAGACAATGCTTCCCAGTCCTGTGATTCTTAGAAAGGCCTGCTCGCAAGGCTAGCTGTTGGCTGGCATCTGGGAATCTGGATTTCAGGAAGGTTTCTACCATTCCCAGATGGCAAGAATGGCTCTCTGTGCTTAAATTGTCTGTACAAACAATGTGGTGTATACTGAAAGCTTCCTTGGGGGAATCTGAACTTTTGGTACATGCAAAACAAGGATGCTTCTGCAACCAGACCCCGGTGAAAACCCTGAGCACCAAGTCTCCAGTGAGCTTCCCTGGTAGACCACCTTCCCTGTACGTCATCACAACTAGCTGCTGGGCGACCTGAGCACATCCTTCATGACTCTGCTGAGAGAGGACTCTTGGTTGTGCTGCCTGGCTTTGTCTGCACTTCTACCCCATGTGCATTTTCTCTTTGCTGATTTTGCTTTGTAGTCTTTTACCGTAATACATTTTAGCTGAGAACACTGCTGCACACAGAGTCCTATGGATCCTGCTATCTAATCATAGAAACTGGAGGGATCTTGGGGACCCCCAGCACATACATGAAAATAATCATCTCAATGCACACCAGAGACCCCTCAGAGAGCTTAGGAATCCACAGCCCCATTTTTTTTGTTAGTGGCAAAACAACATTGGGTGACTTCTGTTTAAGAAGTTATCAGACCTCCATACCTCTCTCCCACTCCACCAAGGGGACTAGACCTGCTCTGTCCAGCAGATGATAGGAAGCTTATTTTCTGGAGAGGAAAACAGAGCGTCTCTGGACCTCTGAGCACTGGGCTCAGTTAACTGGGTGCTTCAGAACTGAGAACGGCAGAGTGAGATAAGTGGGTGTCTACTGGACACTGAGAGTTCTGCCCTCTTCCTCCACTCAGCTCCCAGATCCTCCATGGCTCAGCCTCCAGCATCCAGACAGGCAAGACACTGGAGCAGTCTTCTCAGGGGTCTCTGAAGAGTCCAGCAGGAAAGGTTTAAGATTCTGACAAAGATTCTTAAATTCTGTTTAAAGATCTCAACCAGATCTGACCAGGTCTACAGACTTCTCTGTGCTACAGACCTTCCAGTTAAACTTTTTAGCCCTCCACTCTAAATCAGAGCAGAAAACAAAGACTGTTCAGATCACAGAAGAAACAATCTAACAAGAAAGATAGAGATCCAAAAAAGCAAAGGGAATTCAGCAATTAGAAGATACAGAAGCTATAGAGAAAGACTACAACCTTGAAATAATTCATCAAAGTACTCAGAGTATTCAAATCATCAATGTGCTCAAATTGGAGAAAGTAGTGTGACCAAAAAAATAAGAATAGCATACAATAACAGGGAATAATCAAGAACCAAAAAAAAAGACACAAAAGGGCTTTTGGAAATTTAAAATGTAGTAGAGAAGATGAATATTTCAATCATCATTTTGAAAGATAAGGTTGAGGAAATCTTCCAGAAACTAAAGCAAAAGATGAAGATATGGAAACTATGAGATAAAAGATGAGAAACGTGAAAATGGATAAATGAGTTTACATCCAAAAGATAAGAGATGCAGCAAGAAAAGGGAGGGAGAGCATGAAATGAAGTAATCAAGAATATTTCTAAAACCAAAGGAATTTGTAGATTCAAAGGTTTTACCAAAAGGACCCAAACTCAAGTTTAGCTCTATGGAGATAAGTATCAAAATCTGCAACTGAAAGAGGTGGAGGAATGATAGAGCAATTTATTTTATTTTATTTTATTTTATGATAAAGCTTAAAGAGTGATTTAATTCTTATTTTATTAATAAAACATTGTTAAAAATCTTTAATCCTGTGGCCATCACTAGGTGTATTATGTGTATGGGTTTCCCTCCAGTGAAACCCGTTGGTGTAAAATGGAGAAATTATGTCACACTGTATCCAAGGTCAACTCCTGTATCCCTCCTGTTGGGCTCTGTGTCTGCAGCAATTGTATGTAGAATGCTTGTCAAATAAATCAGTAGGTGCTCCAGGCAGATTTTCATCATCTCCACGTGCCAGACCTCCAAAGCCACTGCATGTTCAGCTACCCAGGATCCTCCTACCTGTGGTTACAAGGGAGGTACCTGGGAGGGAGGGAACAGAACTTACATTTTAGTGTACTCTCAGGAGAAGCTCAGAAGGGCCTTGAAGGTGTTAGCTGTGAGATGATGGGAAACCTTATACGTAAAAAAAGTCTCTTGCATCATTTTATCTTGTGGCTCCCCTACCACTCTAACACCTCACATCTGTGATCCCAGGTCTTAAAACATCCATTAATCTCAAACTGAATATTGTGAGGTTTACAAATCAATCTTTTAAAGAAAATAGCTAAACTTAACATCGGAATAATGGGTACTTTTAGCTACTCATTAAGTGAAAGGAAGACGATTTTTATGGGATCGGTGGGTTTTTTTCCCACAAGCAATTAAGTTTGTTGTCTCATTCCCATTGTTTACACAGGAGAGACTGTGGGGATTCCTTTTGGAGATGTCTTGAACACTGAGCATTCTGTTGAATACCTAATTTAACATAAATGTGTTTTTAGTTTGGTAGAGTAGCTGTGAGTGTCTTAGGAGCTGGTGTTTTAGAGACCCTTATCTTTCCCTAAAGGAAAGGAGCCCTTCGTGAGGTTGCTCTGTTTACCCCGTATAGTAACACTCGTCTGCGCATTCTCCCCAGGAGTACCAGTCTTGCAACACCAACCCGTGTCCTGAGCTGAAGAAGACCACGCCCTGGACACCCTGGACACCTGTCAACATCTCTGACAACGGCGGCCACTATGAGCAACGATTCCGATACACATGCAAAGCCCGCCTGGCTGATCCGAATTTGCTGGAAGTGGGAAGACAGAGAATCGAAATGCGGTACTGTTCTAGCGACGGCACCAGTGGCTGCTCCACAGATGGTGAGTAGTGATTCCGTGGGGACTGACCCACTTCCATGGAAGGGCCTTTGATCTTTTCTCTAAGGTCATAAACAGCAAGGGGGCATTTTCCTTTTTGGTTATTTATGGCTTAGCAGCCTTGAAAACAATGATCCCTGTAGAGCACAACTGACTGTAGGACAAATTGAAAGAAAGGAGCCTTACTGTAAGAAGTTAGATATTGAAGTGATACTATGAAATCAGGCCCCCAGATAACACTATATTTATTATAGACCCAGAATCATTTGTGTGAGATTTATTCAGTATCAGAAAATGTACTGGGGAAGCATCACTGATCTTTCATACATCTTCTGGCACTAAAATGTAAGCTGAAAAAAGGTTTTTCTTTATTTATCCCAAAACTTCACAAAGGCAATGGAAGTGCATTTCTCTTTGTACCTATAAAAGGATGTTTCTGTTTTTAAAAAGCACATTGTGTAAGGATACTAGAATAGTCTTTGAAATAACTTTGCTCCTTATAATTGAGTAAATCCCTTGAATGCCATAGTAATAGCATGGAGAAAGCCCTGAGGCAGAAACCAGATCTGGCCTCTGCCTGGCCCTAACACCAAGTGGTCCTTTTACCTGGGGCAATTCACTTTCTCTTCCTAGAGCTCTGCTGTCTCAACTGCAGAAAAAGGAATTGAGCCTGGTGGTCCTTAAGAGCTTGATGCTTTGCTTTGTTCTTCATTTCTGTTTTTCAGCCTCCTCTAATTGGGCAAAATCTCTTCCAAAGGAAAAGATACCAACAGAAAAGGAAATAGATACTCATAGATGGGTCCTTGGTACACAGTTTGATGAGAACAGTGATTGTTATATCTTGTGGCCATTCTTAGATCTGCCTTAGCATCTTTGCACAGGTGATTCTACCTTATTCTCCCAACACGAAAGGACAGCCACCATTTACAGAGAAGGGGTCTTTTACCCAGAGTGGATAGCCTGGACAAGTGCCACCGAGCTGGTGTGTTGCCACGTTGGACAGAATTTATTGTGGGATAAATTCATGGAGGTTTGGTAGATCTCCTTGGTGTTGCCACAGGGAAGGCTCTGAGACAGTGTGGCTCTGTGTGACGGCCACCAGCTGCTCTCGTGTCACAGATCACCATGACTTCTCCTGGGAGCTGGTGAACAGCCTGGATGCCTGGAGGCCCAGCAGGTGCAGCAGGAGCCACTTGCTTTACAAGCCTGCTTCCTCATCCTATTGCTCTCACTGACATTAACTCTCTCCTCTCCTCACACCACTGCTCACTGTAGTTCAGTGATTACCCAAGCTCATTGTTCCTTGAAGCAAATAAAAAAGTCTGCTTTCATACAGTATTTTATGTACAACTTAAACAAATACCACTCACCTGGAAAAATGGGTAACAAAATAATAGTCACTCTTTTTAATTTTGTAAACTCTTGCTGTATTTAGAAGAGAAGGTATATGATGAAATACCAAGAGAAAGATAACTGAGGACTTAAATATGCACATTTTATAAAGGATGATCTTGTGACCTCCACCTAGGGTGGTGAGATGAAGCACAAAATTTAAATGCAAGTTTCAGTTATCTTTTAGAAGTTTTTTTCTAGTACAAGTATATCCCATGAATCCTTTTCAGGAAAAGTATATCCCACATAACTTTTTAAATGACTAAGCCCCATGAAATTTTTTGGTTTTTGCTTGTTTGTTTGTTGAGACAGGGTCTCGCTCTGTTGCCCAGGCTGGAGTACAGTGGTGTAATCATGGCTCAACCTCCCTCCCCTAGCTCCCTACCCCCGACAGGCCCCGGTCTGTGGTGTTCCCCTCCTGGTGTCCATGTGTTCTCATTGTTCAATTCCCACTTATGAGTGAGAACATGCAGTGTTTGGGTTTTTTGTTCTTGTGTTAGTTTGCTGAGGATGATAGTTTCCAGATTCATCCATGTCCTTGCAAAGGACATGAACTCATCCTTTTTTATGACTGCATAGTATTCCATGGTGTATATGTGCCACATTTTCTTTATCCAGTCTATCATCAATGGGCATTTGGCCAGGTTTCAAGTCTTTGCCATCGTGAATAGTGCCTCCATAAACATACGTGCGCATAGAGTTTTATTCTTCTGTATCTCAATGGCTTTGAGTTCTCATGACCATTTCACATTTTGGTATTGATATCTTGAAAACACAAAATGGGACTCATTTTCCTCTGACCACATAAAATGAGGCTTGATTTGTGCATAGTTTTTCTTTATTGATTCACCACAGAATACTAATTTATCACAGACAGACAATTCTAATTCAATTTCTCTGAAGAGTATGCTGCCATCCTTTCAGAAACAGATTTTCTAAGTAAACAACAGAGTTGCTTAACAACACTGAGAGCTGTTGGCACACTTGTCTTCTGAGCACACTTCCCCGGAACTTTACTGCATACTTTTAGAGTTATTTGTTAAAGCTTGTGTCACATTGCCTACATTTGAGAAAATTATTGAATACTTTTTAGTATTGTGAGTGGGAAGACATTTTCATAAAATTTTGACTATGGCTAATTACGTGACTTAACAAGTGAAAGTGCTCACTGTACACATCACCCACAATATGTCCTCAAAGCCTGTTGGCTGTGATTCCTGCCACAGCAACTCCCCACTCACCCCACAGCCCACCTGCTGCTGCTGCTGCCTCTCTTGGCTCCTTGGGAAACACATTTTGTTAGGTAGTGTGCTCTAAACTTCATAGAAACGTTTGCCAATGTCACTCAGTGCTGTGTTCAGTTCTAGGGCATGAGTTCCACAGAGCAGACAGGAGTTTCTCAGGCCTGTGATCCAGAAGCAGTTGACTTGGCCCCTTTTACCAGCATTAATTCACCTTTGAAAGGTTAACAGCTGAAAGAATAGGTTTAGAAAATGTCTGAATTATGTTTCCCTTCCTCCAGATGGAGGTCCTTGAGGGCAGGCTCTACCCATTGTGTCTGAGGGCAGTTTGTTGTAGAATTCCCAAGGAAAGTGAGAAAGTTGTGTTTTCTTTGTAAGAAGTGTCTTCAAAAAGTAAACGAACTACCTATATAGAATCTATTATTTACTGTGTAAAGGTTCACCACATTCACATGGAGTTCTTAATTTCAACCTTATTTCATAGTAATTGCAGGAAACAAGCTTGAGAGATAAGAGGCTATCACACCACTGATTTTTGGCTACTGAAGTGTAAAAAGAGCTCAACGGAATGTGAGAGGGTAGTTCTAGAAATAAGGCAGACAGCAGATACAGAATGAAAGTCAGCATGGACTGTAGTTCCTCTGAAACTTGTAACAGAATCACACTTCACCTGTTTCCTTGGCAGGGCTTTCTGGGGATTTCCTGCGTGCTGGGAGATACTCTGCCCACACGGTCAACGGGGCTTGGTCAGCCTGGACGTCGTGGTCACAGTGCAGCCGTGACTGCAGCAGGGGCATTCGGAACCGGAAGCGTGTTTGCAACAACCCCGAACCCAAGTATGGGGGAATGCCTTGCCTTGGCCCATCTCTGGAATACCAGGAATGCAACATTTTGCCCTGCCCAGGTAAGTGGATTGTGTAGTCTACAAAACATCTGAAAACTCAAGGGCCTTGGAGAGTCTTCTAATTTACCAGGCCTCACGCAGCTCCCTGGCTTCGTGTTTGAGATCTGTGTTCTTAATAAATGTCTTGGCTATGCGTGGTTGCTCATGCTGGTAATCCCAGCACTTTGTGAGGCCAGAGAGGGGGAATCACTTGAGCCTAAGAACTCAAGGCTGGGCAATATAGCCAGACCTCATCCCTACGAAAAATACAAAAATTAGCCAAGTATGTTAGTGCACGCCTGTAGTCCCAGTCATTCTGGAGGCTGAGTTGGGAGGATTTCTGTAGTCCAGGAGATCAAGACTACAGTGAGCCATCATCAGGCCACTGCACTCCACCCTGGGTAACAGAGCGAGACCTTGTCTCAAAAGTAAATAAACAAACAAATAAATAAATGTCTTGTGTGATGTCATCACCTGTTGGATTAGCCCAGAGTGGAAAAAGGAAAGAAAAAGAAACCCCTTCTCCCAGCAGACCTGAAACCAAATCCTAAATCATTCCAAGCAATATTAAGACCATTCTCTCAGCCCTCCTTTCAGACAAGCATGCAACTTTAGTTGTCTGTATAAAAAGATCTGATAGGCCGGGCCACAGTGGGACCTCCCTGGGCCCTGGGCACATTTGTCTGCAGGGGCCCCCCACTCCCTAATGCATTGGGGAAAGACATCATCTAGGCTAGATTGTGTTCATGTTTTTTTCTTCTGATTGTAAAAGGAACTAAAACTTTCCTATGAGCTACTCGAAGGATATGGACTCTAGTTGTTGTGCCTGATGGAAAAGCCGGCCTTTCTAATGTGGTCTGAAATATCTGGGGCCTTTGGAGTGACCATCAGCTCCTTCTGGAGGCTGATCCCTTCCTGGGCCACTGATGGACCCAGCCCTCCCCCACATGGCCTCCATGTACCATCAGGTGGTCATCCAGGGTCACGGGTATCAAACATGCAACCCCTGGACCCTGGGCCTGCCAAGCCAGTTCTTGGTCCTCATGTCTTCTGTCACAAAAGGTCTACCTCATTAATTAAGTCCTCCAAAGACGCAAACTCTTCTCTCCTGTGGGCCTAGCAGAGCTGTTTTTCTGGGTCTTCTTCCTGGGGCCTGGCTTTTCATTCCACTGAATTCCCAAGCAAGCACAGAGTCATGAAAATGAGCCGAAAGAGCCCCCGCCCAGGGCTTTTGCTCTGACAATGCCTGAAACACTCCTCCATCTTTCCCTTTAATATTCAAGCCCCTGTTTCTGCCTTTCTCCTGCCGCAGCTCAGGGTCCCTAGCACCTAAAACACTTCCACCAGAACTTCCCACTTCCTGCTCTCCTGTCCAGAACCCACGGAAAGTCTTCAGCCCACACGTCATGGCCATCCTGAGGGCTGATCTGTGACTGGGGAGGCTGCCTTGACTTTTGTCTGAAGCTCCATGAGGACAGGGACTCCTGGCCTGGTCTCACTCATGGCAGCAACCTTAGCTCCCAGCAGGGGCCTGGCACATACTAGAAATACCCATCAGGGATTGTTTTTTAATAATGAGGAAACAAAGAGTTGGTTAATTGATCTTTCTTCATTCATGTCATTTCTCAGGAAACATTTTTGAGTAACCGACTGTGCACTGTTTACAGGGTATACACAGATGCAGTGTTATGATCCAGGTCAGAAAGAAACTTAAGAGTTTAGGGAGAGTGCATCCTGGGAGCAGCGTCAACCCAGTATGGCCACTGGCTACTGAGTTTATGACAACCAGGTGCAGTGGCTATATCCACCAAGGAGCCAGCCCCTTGGTGGATTTCACCAAGGAGAAATCATGGCAGCCACAGCAAGCAGGCTGCCCTTAAGCTGGGTCTCGAGGGACAGAAACGAGTTGGTGAAATTGACAAGCAGAGATGGGAAATTGGGAGGAAGGCTCATTCTGGAGTTGGATACAACATTTTTAAAGGCATAGAATATTAACATATTTCTAGTAGATACAACTTTCTGAGTTCTTACATCAAGAAACTGGCTTGTAGCAGATACTCAATGAAAATTCATTGGATTGGGTGCTTGGAAGGGTGGATAATGGATGGATGAATGCATAGATGAATAAACATGTATATAAAACTGAAAATATATAGTTTCCAGATTTGTAGCTGAGGCTCCCAATAATGTTTCTGCTCTTATCAGCTGCCTGGCTCCTCCTAGGGTGTCTCTGCTTGAATTTCTCCAGCCTCAGGAGACTCCTCCTCTGCCCACCCAGCTTTCCCAGCCAAGCTGATGCTGAGAGGCTGGGAAAGGTCACTGAACTGTTCTTTCCCACAGCCCCAGTAAAAGGAGTCCTCCTCTGGGGGCTGAGAGGAATCCTGTGGGCAAGCTCACTAGATTCGGGTCCATGCTATAAACTGGAACAGGGGCAGACGTCATGGGAATGTCAGGGTCCCTCCACCCACCCTTGTCTCCCTGGGCTCCAGACCCTATCCTTGTTGCCATGGGTAGGATGTGCAGATTCCTGCAGACACTTGGATGTTGTCCTAGTGCACAAGTACAAAGGGTCACCACTCATCTCAGAGACACTCTATTAACATGATCTGTTGGTTGCTCTCATTTTAGTTGATTTGGTGGTCAAGCCAATACCATGTATACATAACTTTAATATGTTGAAATAACCCTGTCCTCATTTTCGTTTTAAAAGCCAAGATTCTGCAGAGTGTTGTGGAGTTATTCAGAGTGGCCCATGTCACCTTGCACTAGGCAGTGGGTGAGTCAGGGCTGAGTGGTGCTTCCCCTGCCTGGGAAATTCCTAAACATATGATCGGGCATGACCCAGCAGGGAGGGTTGGAAGTGCTAGGGGTGTGAATGCTGAGCTGCACAGTCACCAGGAAGCCAGTTAGAGGCCGATTCCTGTCTCACTCAGGATACTCTCCCCTGTGAATTTACTCTTCTTTAACCCTGTTGGGTTCATAGTGGACAATTACAAATGGACACTGTATTTTATTTAAAAATATGTTTCCTCATTAAAATTAAATATGAAAATAAATCAGCCGGGCATGGAGGCTCACACTTGTAATCCCAGCACTTTAGGAGGTAGAGTTGGATAGATCACTTGTGGTCAGGAGTTTGAGACCAGCCTGGCCAACATGGTAAAAACTTATTCCTACTAAAAAGACAAAAATTAGCCTGGCATGGTGGCATGTACCTGTAATCCCAGCTACTTAGGAGGTTGAGGCAGAAGAATTGCTTGAGCCCAGGAGGTGGAGTTTGCAGTGAGCTGAGATCATGCCACTGCACTGCAGTCTGGGTGACACAGTGAGATTCTGTCTCAAAATAAAAATAAAATAAACCAGAGAATATAAAAACACATTTTAAATTAATCAATGAAAAAATTTTACCTCTAAGACTGATGTGTATAAATAAACTATAATAAGGTTTCTAAGTCAAGCCCATGCTGAAATAATCATTTTTTTCACCTTCTGTGGGTCCATCTAACTAGTACCTTCACCTACATAATTTACGCCAGCATTGAGAAATAGCTAATTATTTCTTCTTCACTCCTTTTCCTCAATGCATATTTGATTTAGCCTTAAAGACTCCAGACTTTGACCTACAAAGGTACAGACAACAGATGTTTTTTTGTTGCTAAGTAATGTTCAGCTAAGAGGAAAGCAACCTCAGAGTTTGGCACATGTACCCTAAAACTTAAAGTATAAAAAAAAAAAAGAAAAGAAAATGAAGGTAAAAACCTAATGAAGTAAACACAAACTCTTTTCATCAGACTTAACTGAGATGGTTCTGTTTTGTATTTTGCAAACAATAATTCTATGGGGGAAGGAACACTAAATCTAATGGAGGGACAGACTCTGAGTCAAAAGAATAATTCTGGCAGTTGTGTGTCCTATAGATAAATCTCTTAGGCATCTCTGGTGTGCTCAGAACCCTCTCTTCCTTTGCATTCTTGGAGTCCTTGAGTCCATACTTTGAAGTGGAGCCAGGCAGGGGGCAGTTGGTGTAGGAAATTTCTGCTTAGAGATCCTTAGGAGCAGAGAGCACAGCTGTCCTGCAGTGCAAACCTATGTAGTCCAGACCTCAGTATGCTGGAGAATCAATACCACATTTGCCCATGTCCCGAGAGACTGTGAGTGAAGGGCTTCACATCTCTGATCACACACAGGAAGCCTGTTGAGCAAATCTTAGTTATTTAGTTTTTACTTTGCTATTTAGGTCTCTGGCAATTGTACATTGGTTACTGCCATTGTTTTTAATCTTACTGTAGTGGGTGGAATATTTAGCTAGAATCTCTACAACAAGAATGTTATCCTCTTCTGTCAAGTTATTTCATGTATAAATTTCATTTTATCAAAAATAATTTCCTATAATTAATTGCTTTGATTCCTTGAAAGAAACATGGATCTGAGTTTGTGTTTGTCTGATCTTCCCATGAACCAGTATTTCTTGAGCTAACTTGGGTGATGATTCAAGCCATGAGGAGATTCCTATGTGATTTTTAGCAACATGGGAGGAGTTATGGGAAGCCCTAACCTGTGCTTGTGTGTCAGGTTCTGTGCTCAGCCTGCCACTGTTCCAGCCCCAGCTTCCCACTCACTTGCCCAGGACCTAACCTCTCTATGCCTCAAGTCTTTCATTTCTGGAACAACCCCCAGGGCAGTTGTGAGGATGGAGATGGAATATTGAATGAGTTTATTATTTTAATTATTACTATTACTAATGTTATTTTTTTAGTCCAATATAGTTCACATAGCAGGGGAAAAAAATCTATTTTAGTGGCTCAGCCTCACTCAGGCCCCTGACATGCTGTGCCTTCCACAGTGGCTTACATTTGTTTTGTTTTCTTGGCCCTGCAACTTTCTACTTCCCCACCAGGTTGTACAGGCTCCCTTGTGATGAAGGCTATTTCATTAAGATCTGTGTTCTGAAATGTCTATTTTAGAAATGCTTTGGCCTTTCTAATATGAATTGTTAGTACAATAATCAATATCCTACATTATGGCTCCATGATGTGGGTTGAAACCTGTAACATAAAGACAGGGTCAAGAGGACAGAAAGCAAGCACCGCATTAGAATTGGTCTGGGGACATAGGGCAATTGCAGACTAAGCAACTTCCGGACAGAGTAAGGAAGTGGTTCCAGGTCTCCTTTGAGTTCCCTCTGTACTAGAAACATCCATTTCCCCAGTTCTTTGACTGCTGAAATTGGTAGAGGTAGAGTGTGATCTTGTGATTTGAACTCCCAAGTGGGAATGTTTCAGCAACTGGATTCTGTTCCAAATGCTCTCTTAAACGGTTATTCAAACAACAGCTCCATTCTCTCTGTTTAACAATAAATGATCCTGTGCCAGGAGAATTTACCATGATACCAGATGGACAGTTGGTGTATGTGTGAGAGAGGATTTATTAGACTAGATCACATACACATTGGCTTACATGTTGGTAGAAATGTGGACAGGAATAAATATTGTTTGGAATATCACAGGATATATTATGTACATCAGCTTCCTGGTATGAGATCATTAGATGTTGCATGATTATGGAACCGTTGAAATGAGCACATTTAGTCTCTGTTTTTATTTTTGTTTTCGCTGTGGTAAGAATACTCAACATAAAATCTACCTACTTAACAGATTTTTGAGTGCACAATACGGTATTGTTAAGTATAGGTATACAACGATGTATAGTAGATATCTAGATCTTACTCATTTTGAATAACTGGAAGTTTATACCAGCTATACAGCAATTCCCCACTTCCCTCTCCCCCAGTCCCTGGCAACCACCGTTTTACTCTCTGCTTCTATGAGTTTGACTATTTTAGATACCTGATCTAAGTGGAATAATGTATTATTTGTCTTTCAGTGTCTGGCTTGTTTCACATAGCATAATGTCCTCCCCTAGGTTCATCCATGTTGTTGCATGTGGCAGGATCTCATTTTTTAAGGTTGAATAGTATTTCATTGTATGTACCTACCGCATTTGCTTTATCCATTCATCTCTTGATGGACATTTAGGTTGTTCTGAAATTTTGGTTATTGTGAGAAATGCTGCAGTGAACATGAGAATGCAAATGTATCTCAGAGATCCTAATTTCAGTTTTTTTGATATATACCCAGGATTGGGATTGCTAGATCTTACAGTAATTCTATTTTCATTTTTTTATTTTGTGATGGAGTCTCGCTGTGTCAGCCATGCTGGATGCATTGGCACCATCTCAGCTCACCGCAACCTCCGCCTCACAGGTTCCTGCGATTCTGCTGCCTCAGCCTCCTGAGTAGTGAGGGTGACAGATTTGCACCAACATGCACAGCTAATTTTTGTGTTTTTAGTAGAGACAGGGTTTCACCATGTTGGCCAGGCTGGTCTCGAACTCCTGGCCTCAGGTGATCCGCCTGTCTTGGCTTCCCAAAATGTTGGGATTACAGGTGTGAGCCACCATGCCCGGCCTCTGTTTTTAATTTTTTGAGGACCCTCCACATTGTTTTCCGAGGCAGCTGCACCATTGTACATTCCCACCAACAGTGTATAAGGGCTCCAATTTCTTCACATCCTCACCAACACTGATCTTTTGTTTTTTGGATAATAGCCATTTTGGCAGGTGTGAGGTGATACATCACTGTGGTTTTGATTTGCATTTCCCTGTTGATTCATGATGCTGAGCATCTTTTCACACACTTGTCGGCCATTCATCTGCAGGTTTATCATTCCATACAGAGGCCAGGGATCTACAGAACACATGGTTGGTTATACATCAGGCCCTGACACAATCTAGGGCACACATTAGACCCTTCTGAGCCCTGAGCTGCCTTGTGCGCATTTAGAAAGCCAAGATCTAAGACACTTGCCATTACTATAAGTCACAATGACTTATTTTTGCCCTGGTGTATGGGGCATGCAAGGGTACTCACTGATGCCAAGCTCCAATTTAGGTTACAAACAGAAAAAAACTGTCAGCAAGTGCTTCCTTCAGTGAGAATAGATATGGGAGAGAGCTTTTTTTTTTTTTTAATTTTTAAAGTTCTAGGAAAACACATGCCTGGCTTTTTTATTGCTGATATTACAGCCAGTATCAAATACTTGATCAATTCCTCTAACTGTCTGATATACCGTATAACTTTTAGGGAAAATACTGTTGAATTCTGCAAGTTTGTGTAAACTATTGAATCACAAAATTTCCAGTTAGATTGCAAACTTATTTCTAAATTGGGTTCAAATATTTTTGTTTTCTTTTTACTTTCTGCAAATTATAATATTGTCATAAAGATGATATTTTTGCTCTGGTTTCTCAAAAATGCTTTCTTTTTACCTTTGCCAATATCTAAAAAGAAACATTACACCATAATGATGTAATACATCATGACAGGCATATTAAAAAACAATCTAAGTTATTCTAGCTAAAACAATCTTATGCCCTGAATGATTTTGGCATCCTCTTGCTCCTGTTTCTTTGTGTAGGCTACAAAGAATGTTAAAATATGATACTGTCTACATACAGCAATAGTGAGTCTCTCCTCAGCTTTTTAATTGAGTTAGCTGTGGTTACAATTTGTGCTTAACCCCAGATTAGGATCTAATACCTTGTTTGACAACGTCCTGTAGCTTTGTCCTGGGACTCAGCAATAACAAGGAAGATCTGGCTAGTAAGAGAGAGGCACAGTCAGGAGTTAGCTAAACTGAAAATCATATTTGACATTGTCACAAGCCCAAGCCAACATGAGGTCTTGGTTTTAGCAAGATCAGCTAATAAAGGACTGACTCTTAAAGTCTCCCAGATTCAGGTGGGCCACCTGACCCCAGCATTCAGCAGGCGGGTCTACAGGTACCAAGAGCCCAGCCTAAAGAATTCAGGAGGCTAACTTGAGCAGGCAGAGACATGTGCTGGGTTGTGAGCTGTCATGGAAATGGTTAGTCAAGGAACCAGTTCGGCCTAACTTTCACATTGTAAAACTGCACCCTTAATATCTAATCTGACATATGGCTGCAGATTTTCAGATTCCTCTCTATAGTCATTTAAACATAGTGTCAAGTCTGTGTGGCTGTACTTAATTTGGTCATTCTGTGCCTGAATTTACCGAGCATTCTTCAGTTACCTTCCTCATGGGACGTGTTAGCTTTTCTCTATCCCACTGTCAGGGAGTAAACCATAATCCAATTAGTAAAGGAGCTCGTGACTTGAACTACTTACCTTGGCTTTAAGTCTTGTCTGGCTAGTTAGATGGCAAAGGTGAGAGCTGGCTGGGGCTTTACATCAATAACCGTACAAGGTGGTTCATGGTTGTTCTCAGGGGCTGGAATTACTATGACAGCTCGTGCACTCTGCTGTCATGTTTGTACTTAGATACGATTGATTTAGAAATGTTTTCTGAAACAGTGAATAAAGGGAACTGAAAAAGTGTAGGGAGGAATCTGTAAAACTGGATCTGTCACCAAGAGGAAGACTCCAAATGCAGCCCTGCGAGGGGTCAGAAGCCTTGTTGCTACGTGTGCCTATGCACTGAAGCCTTTCTGGAGTGCAGATTCCATTTTGTTTCCCTTACTAAACAGAATCCACTTAGCTTCCATTTAGTAACTCCTTTCACTTGGTTGGGATTGGATTATAGAAGAGCTGTGACATTGTGTTTCTTCACAGTGGATGGCGTGTGGTCTTGCTGGTCCCCCTGGACAAAATGTTCAGCAACATGCGGCGGTGGACACTATATGAGGACCCGCTCTTGCTCCAATCCAGCCCCGGCCTATGGAGGGGACATCTGCCTGGGGCTGCACACAGAAGAGGCACTCTGCAACACGCAGCCCTGCCCAGGTAAGCGGCACCTCACCTACTGCACAGCTTTCAGACAAATTGGCCTCTTTCCTTAATGGATAAATGGTGTAATTGATGATACTGCATCATGGTAAGTACTGAAAGGGGGGTGGGCAAGTTAGCAACATGCTATTACCCTTGAAGTGACTTTAAAACATAGCATCTATAATAAAATAGTTCTCACTGAGCTATAGATTCAGAACTCGTGTTCAAAGCCTTTAGCCCAGCAATGGGAGAGTGCTAAAGGCTTCAAGCACGAGTTCTGAATCTATGGCATGTTACAACACCCAATCTCCCTAATTAGGAAACATCCCAATTTATTCTTGACTTTGCTAATTAACACTAGTGACCCACAGGTGACACCTTGCTGTGTTGAGGGAGAAAGTCCAAGGAAAGGTGGGAAAGAACGAACATTTTTAGTGCCCCCCATGGAGTCTGGAGGTCTGAGTGGGGAAATCGCCTGCAGCCTTTTTGTCTCAAAACCAGCCTGGGTGCAGCCACATGTCTTCCAAAGATCTCCAGACCTGTGTTCCAGGAATGACTTCTAAAATGTGACAAGGGGACACTAAGCACTCTTGCAGGATGCTTCATCCATGGTCGATGGGCTGTAATTTAGAGGTAGTGCAATTAAAGGAAAGAAAAAGCATGACATCAAATCAGTAAGTGGAGGAGCACAGCAAACAACAGAAACTGGTGATAGCAAAGCATTCTTAAAGCCAGTAGCCTAATAACAGAGTCTGAGGTTTTGTTGTTGAAAATCAGGGTGGAGAGCAGGGAGCACCGCTGTGAAGTGCACCTCATAGGAGCCAGCCTTGGGCCCGTGGGTGTGGGAGCTCCTCGCTTCAAGCTCCCTGTGGCTGATGCAGGCGCTTGGGGCCTCCACCACCACCACCATCCCAGAAATAGCTTGGTTTACTGACATGAAGGAATGACCTGGAATGAAAATGAGCTATTCTTTTCTTGGTCTAACTTTGACATTGAAACACACAATTTTTTTTAGCTTGCTCCTGCACATCTTTCTAGAAGGTTCTATGTATATTGAAAAGGGCCTTAAAGCCAGATTCTCACTGTCATTCCAAAAACTGGCACTTTCTGCATTTCTAAGGAAACATTTTACCCTTTAACTGGAGCAAAGCACAAGTTTGATTTTCAAATTTTCCCTGCCACTACAAAGTGGATGCTTCTATTTAAAAAGGGGAAAAAAGCAAACTGCATAGAAAAATACCTTTTTATCCTGATTAAAATTCCATAAACAATATCCAGAGTTTTTTTTTTTTAACCTTCTTACTTATATAGGAGTCTTACTCCTTTCTTTTCACACATCTGTATGCCTGGGTGAATTTCACACATCCTAGTAAATCTTCCACTTCGGGATGAAGTATCCTTTCAATGCCCCTCTTTTGGCCTTGACCCAAGACTTGTGCATTGACCTTATCTCTTCAGAGACAGCAAACACGAGATAAGATGAATTCTACATCAAGGGTCACCTGACTTTGGCATGTTGACTCTGCGGAATTGTTTTTATAACAGAAAAGAAAGTAATTGTGTAGCTTCAGACTCCCTTTCAGCAACCCAGGACTCTCATGAGCACACAATTATTTCTCTCGCCTGAGCACAGAGGAAGGTGGAGAATTTTCAGGAATGTTTCAGGAAAGCATTTGAGTTTCTTTGAGGGGAGCATTACCCATAGCAAAATGGCATCTGCATTGATGACTTATGTACCGCTGCTGCTGATGGTCTGCACACAGCTGGGTCTCATGGATTCACTTATTGAGTGTCTAAATACAATTACTTTATAACGTTAAAATAATGTTTATTTTAAGCTCATGATATCTGATCAAATATATAACAGCGCAGGCACTTTTATTCATCCTCGTGTGTACTGTATGTACTGGATCTGTTAGATGATACAACTACATCTTACTGATGCACAGAACCATTAAAAATATGCTATGGAATCCTGGAATCCAGAAATCACATATGTAACTTGCCAGTGAGTCTAGGATGATTGAGCTTACTGGCCATTCCGCCCCATCTCCCCTTTTCTGGTCTCTGCAGAGAGCTGGTCGGAGTGGTCGGACTGGTCTGAGTGTGAAGCCTCTGGCGTCCAAGTCCGCGCCCGCCAGTGCATCCTCCTGTTCCCCATGGGCAGCCAGTGCTCCGGGAACACCACGGAGAGCCGGCCGTGTGTGTTTGACTCTAATTTCATCCCAGGTAAGAGCAGAGGTATTTATCAGTAAGAATAAAATCATTTCCAACATGGAGAGAGAAAATGATTCATAGGTCAGAGTTTTATTTGGCTTATTTGGTGAAATAGAGATGATTCCATCAAGCCCCATGGTTTCAAGGTGTTTAAAACGTAGGTCTATAGATAACTGCAGATTTAAACATGAATTCAGTTCATGAATTTAAGATTTCTTAGGAAAAGTGTCTTTTGCAGTTTATCAACTATAATGCAATCAGAAGACTTTGCTCAAAAAAATGAAAATATTTGGTTATTATTAAATATGTTTTGGTTATTTGGTTATTTTAATATTAGGTTAAATGTTTAGGCAGTGCTCGCTGTGTATGCACTGGCACACAGAGAAAAAGCACCATTCTCTTTATGCTATCTTTAATATACTTGAGAAGGTAGAAATGCATCATTATTCTCCTGTTGGAGAAGAGGTTGGCCCTCATTCAACCAGCTTCTCATGGTAAAGTCAGTGTGTAGTTGTTGGTGATAGCTGATCACTTGTTGCATGCTCACTGTGAGAAGGTGCTATATGAATGCATAGATCATTGCGCATATGTCCACTGTGTGCCTTAGGACTGTTAGGTGGACCAGCCTCTTACAAATAAATAGTAGAGTTGAATTCTATAAGCCAGTTTTCTTTGTTTTCTTTCGTCTGTGCAAAAGATACTATTTTAGAGAAAATTAGCATACCATACCTCAGTCATGTACGGCACAGAACTATAAGAGTGGTTGTTATTGTTTTCCTTTTTAACGATAGACATATTTTTAATTCTTGTTGTCTAACAAAAAATCAGTACAGGAAAGAATGGTGTTTCTAGACTACCGAGTGATATTTTATCCTCAGGAGTTAAAACATGTATGAGATGTGGCCTCTCTCTGCATCCTACTGTGGGTTTCATGTGTGGCATGCCAAGAGCATCAGTGGCCTCCTGAAGAGGGACTTCACTTGTTCTGGAGATGTCCTTGAGCTCTGGTGAATGGGCCCTCCCTCTGCCGGGAAGGTGACAACACTGGCTTTGATGGAACAAGTCTCAGAAGCAGGAATACCACAGGAGTACTCTGTGTGTTGGGCAGAGTGGGGGGATCCCCCCGGCAAGACACCTTGTAATGGAAAATGAGCACATTCCCTGCTTTCAGCCTGAGAGACCATAGCATTATCTTTCTGTGATAAATGAATCTTATCTCTCCCCAGTCAAGGTGATTTGGCCAAATCCATATCAGGTTGGTTAAAACAAGCAAAGAAACAAGTAGAATTTTTCTGATAATTAATCAAGCTTTTGAAACTTTGTGTCACATAACATTCAGAATCATTAGACAAACATACATGAAGCATGAATGTGGACTGTCTTCTGAACACCTTTTACACATTGTGATTCGACTTTTCTTTTTCCAGAAGTATCTGTGGCAAGATCCAGTAGCGTAGAAGAGAAAAGGTGTGGAGGTACGTTATTCCTTTTAAGTAGTTGTAATGGATGTACTGATATATTCTAATCATTTCCCTTCCTGCATGTTTTCTATAATTTTTCTGCCTCTTGGCCAAGAATGAAAAACCGGAGAAAGTCATGGATCCCAGGCATTCTACCTTGGCATAAAGGCTTAATAGTCAATATTTGATGTACCGATCGGTGGTTCTCAAAATGGGGTGCGTAGACCCACGTCCAGGGCATGGCCTGGGAACTTGATGGGAATGCAGATCCTCAGGCCCCACCTTGATCCACAGAATCAGGACCTCATGGGAAGGTCCCAGCAGTTGGTGGTTCAATTAGCCTTGCAGGTGATTCTTATGGGTTCTAAGCTTTATGAACCAGTGGTCTCGGTATTCACTATAGTTAATTTCATGAGTAAAGTAGAATTCAAACAATTTGTTTATATTTATAATACAAATCCATGGCAGCTAGCTTCCAATCTCCAACCCACTGAAATGACTAAATTGTAATGAGGCATAAGGTTATACCTATAGTGCTAGAGGAATTTTTCAAACCTCCTGCCACCCTGAATGTCAAAGACAACATTATCTGGTTCAAGTACATGATAAATTTGGACTTTACAGTCTGTGCCTTACATATACCCATAAAGTACTTGTCTGTGTTGTGAACATGCCTGGATGGAGAGGTTGGCTGTCCAGCCACCAAGGAACAGCCCATGTCCGCCTTTCAGAATCCGAGCCAATGTCTACATTGAGACCTTAACTTCCACATGTGTGACTGATGATGATAGATTCCCATTTGCTCCCCTAATCCGTTCCACAGGGTGTCTCAGAGAGCCCAGCCCAACAGGCATTGCCTCTGACATGTTCACATGGAACCTGAAGCTTCATAGGCATGTTTCAGGAATGTACTTATCATTCCTAACTACCATTATTAACTACCTTGATTAGGAGCTTACTGGCTGGGCATAGTGGCTCACGCCTGTAATCCCAGCACTTTGGGAGGCCGAGGCAGGCAGATCACGTGAGGTCAGGAGGAGTTCGAGATGAGCCTTTCCAACATGACGAAATGCCATCTGTACCAAAAAATGTAAAAATTAGCTGGCATGATGGCACACACCTGTAGTCCCAGCTAGTGGAGAGGCTGAGGCAGGAGACTCTCTTGAACCTGGGAGGTGGAGGTTGCAGTGAGCTGAGATCGTGCCACTGCATTCCAGCCTGGGCGACAGAATGAGACTCTGCATCAAAAATAAATAAATAAATAAATAAATAATAGAAGAGCTCACTATCTGTGACATTCTGTCTGCTCAGTCAGCAGTCTGTTAGTTCATTCATTCATTCAGTCATTCATTCAGTAATCCTTGCTGAACACCTGCTCTGTGTCAGTTTTGTGAAGGCCATTGAGCTTAGGATGGGCACCCACGCAGTCCCAGCCCCTCTGACAAGCAATCATATCATCAGAGACCCCAGTGCCTCAGAAGGGCAATGTTAGGTGTCTGAGCTAAGTCAGTGGAGTGAGTTCACTAACTAACAGTTGCTAACATGGGATCCAACTACAAGATGAATATGCAAACAGTTCACATAAAAATGATCATACCAATTAGTACCCTCTAATGTTTTTAGATCACTAATTGTGTGCTATACACTGTTTTACATGTTATAGACAAGAATATGGTGCAAAGCCCATTTGGTCCTCACAAGGAGCATTGATGTAGGCACCAAGGGTCTACAGTTCTTCATGTAACACCTCTGGAAATAGAGAAGGGTTTTGGAACTCAGCAGCTTTTAGATGTTTGTTAGAAGGGTATGTGGGGCCTTTACTCTATATTACGTGACACCTGCACAGGGCCTGGGGTTGTTCTACAACCAATCTCCTTAACAGTGCTGCTGTGAGATGTTGAAAAAAGTGAAGATGCTAAGGGTCTTCCTAGAAGTTCTGGTCAGGTCTACAGAAAATGGTTCAGGTCAGTGACATTTTAATGCCAGATGACTGATGAAGCATTACTTTTCAGAGATTTTGCACTTGGGAATTATAGAAAAGGAACAGTGCTTATGTATTTAATCTGCATTTTATAAATGGAGACCATGAGACTTAGAGGGATGATGTCACTGGCCCAAGTGCACACATGGAATTCAGCCAGTGGGATCCAGTGTGAGTTTTGAACCCAAAGCACCGTAGGAAACGAGCCCTGACAATAAAATTATCCAAAAGCATTGTGTTCGGGAGGCTCGAGCCACAGTAGCCCTGGTTAGGTAACACACTTGGACAACACCCAGGGTCCAGGACTGTCTGCTGCCTGGGTCCAGGACAGTGTAGGTCAAGAGTGGAGCAGAGTTTATAAGTGTTCCCATTCTCAGGGAGGCCATGCAGAGCCTGAGGCTCAAACAGCTGATGCCTCAGCAGAGCTGGCTAGGTATTTGTGCCTGCTGCCAGACGTGTGCAGTTCACTTTCCTCCTGCTGAGCCTCACAGTTACCCTGTGGAAGACCTTCAAGGGCCTTGAGAACCCAGGAGAACCTGGTGCAAAGCCCATCACCACCCTAAAATACTACTCCTGTGTGTCTGAACCAGCTGAGATGCTATTGGTTAAATCAGAGGAAGTTGAACTATTCTGAGATATTCAGAATGGAATTTTTTTTTTAGATCTTCAGGCTGCTGGCACTGGCACAATGGCATAGGCAGTTTAGATGAATCTTATTGTAGGGCTAATGGTTGAAAACAGTTACCTAGCAAGGATGTTTTTGACAACATAGGCATCTTCACTTGTTTATTTTTTCATTTTGTTGAAAATCAATCATTGTACAGGAAATTATTAGCCAATTGAACCAACAGGGTAGTTGGTCTGTATTCCATCTTTACTGATCAAAATCAACAGCAGAAAATCATATTCAAAGGAAAGAACTATAGTAAGCACATTCAGAACAAATTTAATGGGCACTGCTTTCCCCATGCAGAAAATCAGAAGAAATTTAATGGGCACTACTTTCCCCATGCAGAAAAATGTGCTTCAATTCAAATTTTTTGTCTTAGAGAGCTATTTTTAGTTGCATGAGACACAAAGACTATATAATCATCATAAAGATGTCAGCTGGCCCCAGCCTTTCCCAGGCACCTGCTGGAATGATTCATTTGACTAATGACACAGTATCTGCATATGGAGACTATCATGCATCTTCCCTATGTTATAATGAAACATGAGTTACCGGTGCAGCAGGAAGTATTTCCTTCAGAAGAAGGCATTGACCCTGAGAGTGCTAACAGCTCTGTCAGAGAGAGAAGAAGTAAGAACTTGTGTGAAATCAGCTCTTGCTTATCTAAGTATAGCGTCATTGTTACAGTTAAAGTCCCAGTGGCTGCTGGTGAAATGTCCCCTGGATACTTTATCTGTCTGTCCCAGGTTGGCAGTTCTCCAGCCCTAGAGGCTTCAAGACAGAGTCAAGAAAGGCCAAAGATGCTGAAACCATTGACCAACTAAGCTGGAAGTGAAAAGTTGAGGTGGTTGTGAGTGAGTGAGTGAGTGATCAGGACTGTGCTGGGAACTGCATTATCCACTGGCACTTCAGTGGTCAGGAATGTGTTGTGAGTTTTGCCTGACAGTGAGTCAGAGAGAAAGCAGCCTCCCTTCACAGTGTCCATGCACCCGAAGGGGCAGATCCAGCTCCAAAGTCCTGGGTTCCTGGAACACATTGTCTGGAGCAGCCAAGGAGCACAGCTTAGAGGGAAAAGTTCAGGGTTTAGGGACAAAGAGAGATATCCGACCTCTGCCATGTATCACAGGTGAGGCCTTGATGGCATCTCCTGACTGTAGGTTCAGCTTCCCTGGGGCCTATCAGCCACTGGAGGGTTGCATGAGGTTCAGGAAGGACTCAAACAGAGCCCCGTAGACCTAGGCCAGGTGGGCACTCACTGAACAGTGACCCTCCCTTTGACACCAAGTATTAGAGCCCCGTGGGTCCGCATTGGCAGGGTGGAATCCCTTCCAGGTAGGGAGGATCATGAGCACAGGGAAGACAGCTCAGAAAATCCCTGGGGAGGAGACAGACTGGGGTGGTTACGATGCACCCAGGCTCTTCTCATTATCTCCAGAGCCTGAAAGGCCTTGCTCTGCAGCCAGGTAGACTTGCCAGCATCACAGTGATGCTCAGCACATACCTCCAATCGTCTCACTGGGTGCAGGGTTGACAGGTCAGGGAAAGGTATTAGTGACACTGCCCCTCACCCTGGTGGTGTGTGGAGGAGACACTCTGGGGAAAGCTGGTGTCCTCAGGATGTGCTCTGAGCAGGTGGCACATGAGGCCAGTACCCCATGGGCAGCAGCCACTTGGTTCTAACAACACAGAGGAAGATAACAACACAGAGGAAGATAAGGCCCTGTTTTACTTTACCCAATTCTCCTGAAGCCCAGTGATGTGGCACTGACGAGATGCTGCCTTCATTTGTGGAAAAGCTTGAAACTTTAATAGTAGTATTTCACCAACATACACAAGGAATATCTGTTGTCTTTTGTTTGCTCCGACATAACACAGGTCTTGGTATGGTGCCTTGAAATCACTTGAGCCAATCCTATTTTAGAGATATAAGTCCATGCTGGCAAATTTTCTGAATGCTTTGTATTCATAACTGCAGGAAAATAATGAGACAGAAGAGATGCCATTAAATAGGAAAACATTAGGGGAAAAGAAGGTCATTTCATGACCATTTAAAATATCATATTTTGTTCATTTAACACAAATCCCTTATTTCTTTTTAGTAAACCATTTTCTTGACAAGACCTTCAAAATACAACATAAGTGAGAAAAGTGGTACGCAGGATAGTATTTACACCACACCAGCACACATGTGTGCTGAGTATCTCCGGAAGGGCACGGGAGAAAGTGCTTATAATAGTTACCTCTAGGTATAATAGTTACCTCTAGGAAAGGATTTATTTTTCCTGTAGACCCTTTTGTACTTTCTAATGTGTGCATATTCATACTCAAAAAATATAATGAAAAGTGTATGTGTTTATGTGAATAGAAAACATTTTAAATAGGATGAAATGGAGAGAGAGCTAAAAGCAGTCTGGCTTGCAGGCGAGCAGTAGATTAGAAAAGTAGCTGCTTCTCCCTTGTTTTCAGGACACAGCCCTGCTGCACAGGGAGGCTCAACCCATTGAGGTGCATGAATA
This sequence comes from Homo sapiens, assembly GCF_000001405.40. NCBI lineage: Eukaryota > Metazoa > Chordata > Mammalia > Primates > Hominidae > Homo > Homo sapiens. The sequence goes on along the minus strand of NC_000005.10, from coordinate 9,045,257 downwards.
AACTTTTCTGCAGAAACCCTGTACACCATGGATTAGGCTGCACTTGAAGCAGAACACTGTTGTGCAAACCTTTAAATAATAATAAAAACATGCTTCTGGTAGAGTATTAAAGTTTAAGGTCACTCCAAAAGACTATCATTCATAAGAGAATGAACTTAAAATATCCTGTGCTCTGCCAGGCACAGTGGCTCACACCTGTAATCCCAGCACTTTGAGAGGCTGAGGCTGGCAGATCATCTGAGGTTGGGAGTTTGAGACTAGCCTGACCAACATGGAGAAACCCCATCTCTACTAAAAAATACAAAATTAGCCAGGCATGGTGGCACATGTCTGTAATCCAAGCTACTCGGGAGGCTGAGGCAGGAGAATCGCTTGAACCCAGGAGGTAGAGGTTGTGTTGAGCTGAGATCATGCCATTGCACTCCAGCCTGGGCAACAAGAGTAAAACTCCATTTCAAATAATAATAATAATAATAATCCTGTGCTCCCTGTGTAGAAGTTTCTTGATGGCCATGACATTTCCAATGAAAGACTCTTAAGAATGATAATTTCCTTAATTTTGGAATGGGGATGAAGCTTTTCATTTTGACTTTCTCTTTTCATCCTAGTGCTTTGAGTAGCTAGGCAGGATGTTCTTTTCAAGTGTGGCATCACTTTGCTCATGTCTCCCTAGAGTTCAACATGTTCCACATGATCGCCGTGGGGCTGAGCAGCTCCATCCTCGGCTGCCTCCTCACCCTGCTCGTCTATACTTACTGCCAGCGGTACCAGCAGCAATCCCACGATGCGACTGTCATCCACCCCGTCTCACCTGCCCCCCTTAATACCAGCATAACCAACCACATCAACAAACTGGACAAGTACGACTCGGTGGAGGCCATCAAGGTAAGTGAATTTTAATATTTCTGCTAAGTGCCTGGTTTTCCTTAACACTTGTAGGGAGTATTTTGATGCCCTTTCTCTGCTGTGGTGGTTTCCTTTGAAACTGAATTTTCTCCCTATGTGAGAATAAGAAACATCTTTAGTCCTTACGACTTCAGGTGGCTGGGAGAACTTATGTCCCAGGAGCCACAATGTCCATACTTGTCTCTTAGCCATGTGGCCTCTATTCTCCACCACCTGTATGGAGACACACCAATTGACTTTTCCCCTTGGACCCTGCTTAAACCAAGATCCACAAGCCATGAGCATCTCCCCTCACTCAGATGGTAGATCTGGGGAATGAAGCACCAGGAATTAATAACACGCCCCTCCTGGCCTCTCAGAAACTAGCTCCTAGAGTAGGGAGGAAGCCCAAAGAGGAACACGAGCTCCTTCCATGAACAACAGCTTTCAAAACAAACATTTGGATCTCAAGAAAGGGGCTCCTCTGAGCATGATTCCAACACATCAGCTTGTCTCTGATCACTGTTACTATGGGCATCAGAAGGTAATTTACCCAGTCCTGTGTTCCCACTGAAGATTCAGCAGCCACTTTTAAGATAATCAGAAATGTTTCTCTCATGAAGATAAAGGACGTTGAAGGTACGGACAGCTGTCCAGTCTTTAACGAATCCTTCTAGAACATTTGTCTGATACTTTGCCCAGACTAACCCTGGACAGATGGCCATTGGGCACCCTCCTTCATCTTCATTTTAATCCTCTCAATATATATGTTCTACCTGGCTCAGTTGAAGCTCTTTGAAACTGCAGGTGACTTTAATGACTATTAATAGAAAATGGCTACAGTGATCACCTTCTAATAAGTTCAGGATGAAAAGCAATTAAGGCATTTGAAACCTGAGGCCCTTACTTAAATAAGTTCCATCAAGGTCTCCGATAAATGTCCTCACCCATGGTCATCTGAAAGCTGCTTATATATCTATTCAGTTATATGAATACGAATTTAGTTATATATATTCAGTTACAGTCAAAGTGTCTGTTAATTTGAAATCATTATAGTTTTAGGTTTTCTAGAGATTTAGATTTAGATTTTCTTACCTCCTGCTTCTCGTGGTAACTTCATAACTAAAGTTGAAAACTTAACCAGAAGATATCACAAACTGCCAACCTTATTCTGGTAATTAGGCAAGTCCTCCATGGGGCAAATAATCTGGGGAAGCAAATAAATAAGAAAACATATTTTAAAATATGGAGTCTTAGCAGAGAGCTCAAATTCAACATAATAGTCATCCTTGTTATATTATTTCTGAAATGCTACTCAGCATTCTTAAACCTGTTTTTTTTTAATATATTTTCCAGGCATTTAACAAAAACAACTTGATCCTAGAGGAAAGAAACAAATACTTCAACCCACATCTCACTGGGAAGACCTATTCTAATGCCTACTTTACAGATCTCAATAATTATGATGAGTACTAACAGCTTTCATGTTTTTGGCTTCTTGTAAATCCCCAGTTCCTCAAGGCCTGTGCCCCATGACTGCCCATGTTTCTGAGGCTTCAGAGTCGAAGTTTGGATACATTTCAAGTGCATTTCAAGCCACCAGAGTGTCCCATTGCTGCCAAAAATACACGTCTTTAAAAGCAACAAAAATTGAAATAAGACATCGTGAAAATCTTGACCATTGTTGAATGAGCCAGGGTGTGAAGTTTTTAATTGTGTTCATCCTATTTTTCTGACAAGTCCATTGGTTTGTTTTTTGAGCATTATTTTATAAATGTGCCACCCACATTGGAAGGAGTCTTTCTTTAGAACTTTGGAGTGTAAATCTTCATGATGTTGTAATTCAAGAAAATAGGCACTTTCTCTGAAAGACCTGCTCCTTCCACAAGAAGTGCATAGGTCCATAATATTTCATAAAATGAAGAAAAAGAATGTGGCCAAACAATTATTCACCATGGATTGCCCAACTTTCCAAATCTGGATAAAGCTGTGGGATTCTTGGAAGCAGCTTGAGTGTTTTCATCTTGCCTGGGAAGCCCAGGAATTCCACCTGGTCCACACCGGCAGAAGTTACAGTAGACTGTGAGGCACCCCACCTTGCTCCTGATGCAGTTTCTGTGCCATTGCTGGTGCTGGTGGAGGCAGCGGAGCAGAGGCTCAGGCACAATGAAGCGTGGATGTGTTCTGCAGGTTGCTGCAAAACTCACCTTATTCTGACTTTTGGATTTCATGGCATTCCAGGAAGCTCCTTGCCATGCTGTTGGCCTGGAAGTCCACCTGTCTGGTCCATAGTGACGTCCTGAAGAGCCAGTCTGTAAAATAACCAACCACTTACTTAGCGTTTGGATAGACTCCATGCCTTCTCTCTCCCTGCAAAGAAAAATCTTGAACATTTATGATGTCAATTAGTGAAAGTATTGAAAATACTAAATTATAACTAAAAGCAACTTTTTATGTTATTGAAAATATTGAAAGAACTGATATTAATGATAATCATTTTATTTTTCATCTCTCTGATATACCCAATGTGTGGCAATCAGCCCCTACCACGAGCATTAATACCATGTAAAGCTGGCTTTCTGGAGTCTGCCAGGTCCACACGAAGTGCTACCCCCAGTTTCTGCTGTTACTTGCTGCCTCCAGGCCAGGGGAGCAGGAGATGCTCAGCTCTGGTGCCTTTTCTTTTATTTCAGTGCTGCCTTCCCACCCACCCAGTCCATTCACCCTCACCTCTCCCTGCATGGAGGCAACAGCATTTCAAGATGTACCTTGGGAAGTCAGGATAGCTGGAAGTAAGGGTTTTTGGGATCCCTGTGGTCTCTTCACTGATCATCGATAAGCATTTAAGAGTGTGCTAACACCATTCACAGAGGTCCCTGGAAAAAAATATATAATTTTCTCACAAACAACCAATACATAACCTATGGCAGTTGGTTGAATAATTATTGAAAAAAAGAACACGACTGAAAAAGTTCATCTGATGCCTCTGAGCATGTGATAAAGTCCTGGGTAGACACGGAAACGTGTTCTTACAAATGAACCTTCGGATCTATGAAAGAAAATATAGTAGGGGGACTAAGGAACATAGAATTTTATTAGCATATGTGATTTTACCCTTATCTTTGTTTCTAATTTAAAGAAACAATTTCAGAAAGTGTTAGAAGAATTCTATGTTTAATAATGAATATTGTTGAGTTCAAAATATTCTCATATACCCAGATTTACAGAGATGACACAGTATTGAAATGGCAGGTGGGCTCTGTAAGTTATTTTGGATTAATGACATTCAGGGTCTTTGCAGTGGGGACTTCATGTTGCCTCTCACTCATTCCTCATATGTCAGAGTCTTCTGTCTATATGCACATGCTCAAAGTCCATACTCAGTAGGGGAAATCTAGCCGGATGGTTCTCCAATTGTTCCTCGGCTGGATTTTCATCATCAGATATTTCAACTCATCTCATCAGTTTCTTGTAAGAAAAAAACATTTTCACTTTGTAGCACATTTTAGTTATTTTTGAGTCTTCTTCCCTAATAGTTTGTAAGCTTAAAGGGACATTTTATTTTCCCTGGTAAAGAGGATTCTAATATTTCAAGAATGTTTCACTGGAATTGATGGGAAATGGTTTCTAAATGGCATCGAAGCTGGTCTTTAATGAGTCTTTTGCAATGACTTGGGAAAAACACCCTCCCTCACTACAGGATCTTCATGTTGTTAATAATATAAACAAACCTTTGAAATTAGCATTGCAAAAGAATCCCATTTTTGTTTCGTACCACACTGTTCAAAGGAAAATTGTTTATCTCTCTTCCTTTCTCTCTCTCTCTTATTTGACAGAATAGCAAGTGTTTAGATAATTTCAGATATATTCTAAGTATTTTACCAGCTGTGGAATAAGTTGTGTTTGTCCATCACTGTGTAGCTACCGTTCACATGTTCTGGCTCTGTACTCCACGCTTATCGCGTGAACCCTCACATGTTGGACTTTCACAGTGTGATCTCTCACCTGTCTTGGAAACTCCTTCATAAAGCCGCTCTTCCTTAGGCCTGGGCTGTTTGGAAGTCCTGGTGAAACTTTGCGGTTCACATTTTAAATTCCTGAATGACCTTTTCATTCTCTCTTTCTTTATCTTTGTTTTTGTCCTTCATTCCCTCCTTTTGTTCTTCCTTCCTGCCTTCTTTTCTTCTTTCCTTTCTTCTTTCTTTAATTCTTCCTTTCTTCCTATTTTCTTGGTACAAGTGGAACAAAAACCAACACATAGTTTTAAGCTACACCTTTCTGCACCTGATGTAAAATGACATTAATCACTATTTAACTTCTAAAATTATTTCTGAATACAGTTGGAGATAGGCTGGTTTTCATGAGGAAGCTGGCTTGGCTTTAGTCTTACATTTAAATTCTTTGAAAGTGGCTCCCAGTGCTATTCAGGGTCCTTTCTTGAGGCCAGACTCATCACCATCTACTATTGATTTTACAGTGCACTGACAGTTTACAGGAAGGAGAAGAACAGAATTTCTGCACACTACACAACATGTGGGCTTCCTGTAGCTCCAGGGACATGTAGCTTTGGTGAAACTGGGGTTTTGTAACCTCTGAATGATATGGACTTAGTGAATTCTAAGGAACTCAGGGGGCACGTGGTCAGGCTCCACCGCACAGAAGAGCCACAGTCTCCAGACTCATGGCGTTCCCTCCAGAACTCCCCATTCCCCTCTGAGCATATTTCTATGCTGCTGCTTCTTGTGACTTACATGAGGCATCTCAGCTTCTTCATGTTTGTAGGGATGGTTCCCTAAGCCTGTTCAAGTAGGCTCTCACTAGAGTTACCATTCATATTTGAGAAGAAAAGAACATTTAATAAATGTATGTGTGGGGCTGAGGTTCTAAAGGAATTGAAAAGAGACGATAAACATTGAATGAGGGTGAGGGCATCCCTGCTGGGGAGAAACCTCTGTCCCTAGGAAGAGTCCGTTCATGTCATGTGGTTTGGGATGAACCAGGGGTCTGGCCCCATCGGGTCACAGGTGATGGCAAATAGAAAAGAAGCAAATGGAGGAAATAGTCGGATAAGTAGGTGACGTGAAAGGCAGGACCTGGTCACCCCAGCAAGTGCTATGGACAGTTCCCGGAAACGGTTGCCCACTTCACAGGTCCATGGGTCTGACCCTTGGACTCTGCCAGGATCAACTGCCCAGAGTGCCAGAGTTTTAGCCAAAGGTGTACTTACTTCCTTATTTATCTGCAAAAGGATGGAAACTGTGGGAGTCAAAGCCTATTTTGCTGAGTGTTCCCACTGGAGTCTCTGGTAGAATTAGCAGGTCATGCTGTCAAAATCATGGACAAAGGCTGGGTGCAGTGGCTCATGCCTATAATCCCAGCACTTTGGGAGGCCAAGGTGGGCGGATCACCTGAGCTCAGGAGTTTGAGACCAGCCTGGGCAACATGGGGAAACTCCATCTCTACAAAATATACAAAATATTAGCCAGCCATCGTGGTGCGTGCCTGTGGTCCCAGTTTCTTGGGAGGCTGAGGCGGGAGTATCATTTGAGCCAGGAGGTTGAGGTTGCAGTGAGCTGAGATCACATCACTGCACTCCATCCTGGGTGACAGAGAGAGACCCTGTCTCAAAAAAAAAAAAAAAGAACAAAGTCTTAGCGGGGGGTCTCTATGTCCCCAAGTGGCTCTCTAAGGGGATCCATTAGCGTATAATTGAATATCAAAGGGAATTTTACCTTAAACATATATCAAGTCTATACTCAGCTAATCGTTTTGTCTAAACACAGCCTTGTTAGCATTTGAATTTACAAATATTCATTTGCTTATTTGCAGTGTTCCTTTTGCTTTTAGAATAAATCATAAATATTTCCCCAATACTGTCAAGATACTTCTTCAACTTTGTCCCTGAACCATCAGCTTTCTTTAGGGTCCGGGTATCCTTTACACTTCAATGGGGTTTTCTTGTGTGTGTCATTGGGGGTAACTCCATTGACCTCAGCATTTCTATCTCAAGAGATGGCTCTGGAACACAGAACCAGAGGCAACAGGTACTAATGGTTGATAAAATTAACAGCGACTGCATAACCATTTTCCACATGGCAGGGCTGTGCTTAAGCCCCACACCTCCAATAATCAATTTCTATGACGGTACTAATAACCTTAACTATATGCAAATTCTTCACCACTTATGATATGGTACAAACTGGAGTTTACAGATGGCCTTGGCCTTGCCTAGCCCATTTGTTCATCCTAACTTCTTCATCACTTCCTGATGCACTTGGGGAAGCATGTTGACACAACGTTACCAATATTTGATTACCTATGGTTATCTGCAATTACCTACGCTTATCTTATCAGACCCTAGATGCCATTTGAGCCCCTTACTTCTTTGGGCAGTGGGTGAAATGGGAGAACATAGAGAAATGTTCACTTTGACCTAAGAAACGCATAAAAGGGAATGCCATGCACAATGTAAGATAAAATGTTTGGGGACAGGGGATCATCGTGAAATTTATTTCTGCTATTCTGCCCTATTGAGGTCATTAATTATAATGGATTTAAAGATTTTTTTTTAAACTCTACAAACACTAAGCCAAGGAATTCAGGTTATCTGCTATGTTAACCTAATAAAGCAAAGGAAAATAAGTTGCTTTAATCCTTGCTTGTTAACCTAATAAAGCAAAGGAAAATATGTTGCTTTAATCCTTGCTTCTTTTCTCTTTTGGTAATAGAAAAGGTAAATAAGATGTAATGTTGAACTGCTGGTGATGATTTCTAAAACGACTCTTTAAATACTCCTTTCCTATGGACTTATATTAAAGATGCATTGTACACATTGTTTTAGCAGATAGATCAAAGATATACTCAGTGGTCATCTGTTGCATTATCAGAAATTTGATACATGTTACAGAAGCATGAGGAAGGGAATCCTATCCACTTTTGAAAATAGAGTTCACATTGCAAGCGACATAGGGCATTATCAAAACCAATTCAGAGCCTGGCACAAAATGTATACTTCCTAGTGAAAGCTGTCTCAAAACACAGCCTTTTTGATGGATCATATTAGCTCATATCTGCCATAGAAAGGCAATCAAGCTTACTCCCTGCAATCGGAGTCAATATCAATTCTTGCTCAAGCAAACATGTTTTACAGTGTTGGCGCAATGGCAGGAACTAGTCAAGGGCACTTTCAGATCTGGAAAGAGGAAAGAGGAGGTAGAAAATCACTCTTTTGTGTTTCTTAAACTGTCAATCAAGCAAGAAAATTTATTCCACCCCTTCATATTTGCTCTAAAATCTGGGGCCAGTAGTTGAAATGTGATCTTGTTCTTTCTCAGCCTTTTGGCAATTTAATGCCAAATATTCCAAATGTTAGATGAATGGCAGTAATAAAATGATTCAAATGTTTGATAAATACAAGCTGAGAGCAAAATCTGGACTCTGAAAAATCGGAACTATTTTATCATGTTGCTAAAATGAGAGCATCATTTTCTTCCCTCTCTGTAAGTGCGGTAGTTTAATTTCCTAGAAAAAGTTGCTAGTGCCTTGTTTAAGATGATCATTTATCATTTCATGTGGATATTATTGGTCTAATTAGAAGGAGAAGATTGATTGGATTTACTTTAAAGAAAATTATTCTCCTATGTCTCTTTGAACTCAGGAATAGAAAATGACCAAGAAGCACATCATCTTCAGATGTGATTTTTGCCCTCACTGGGGATGTAGAACCAGAATAGGTACAACATATGCTCAGAAGAGAGGTGACTTCAGTATTAGCCTTCTAGAAACTAACATCACTTTAATTTTTACATGTTCCAAAAAAAATCATAGTGATTGTTCTGTAATAAGAATGTTAACGTGATGCCTATAGAAGTTAGAGGTTTTTGTTTCTGTTTCTCTTCAGGCAAGTCCATAGATAGAGGAAAATCAGACACAGGCTGGTGACAACTGGTATAGATACAGTGAGCATGGAATGAGAACCACCTACAACATTGCCTGATTATTTTTAAGTTTATATCAAAACTGCTTCACAAGTTCACAAAAGTTGTCACTCTTAATTTGGGTTAAGAAAAGTAATAGTATTATCTCTGCTGAAGTTGATTGTTTTTCTCTTTTACCATGACTGTTGGCCAAAAGCAAGCTGAACCTCTGCACTTTGAAACAAAGCACAGTATGAATCTTTAACCCAAGCACTTAGTTTCACCACTGAGATTCTACATCATCTGCAAGAAAATGCACAAACTTTTGGTCCAATGTTGGATTCTTCAAAAGTGCATAGCAAAACTTTTGTGCTATGCCGCTTGATGTAACTTTTAAAGATGTTATCAAATGTTAAATGCCTCATTCTGCGTTAATTTGCTGTTGGCTGTTTTGTGAACACAAAATAAACTTGAGATTTTTTTTTTTTTTTTTTTTTGTGAAACTCCTCCAAAGCCAATTTCAGCCCTTGGTAAGCTTGCAGACAGTTACTGATCTTAAATTTAATTTTAAAAGACAATGTATCTTAATTATAATTTAGCTTTTTAAAACAATGAGATAGCTTTACATTTCCCCTTTGTTTGAATGAGAAAATGGATCTTGGGTTGCTATGCTAGAACACTTGTAGATTGCTGGGTCCTTTGTAAGGGGGCCATGGACACACCACACTTTCTTTCAATCCTTACATTTGAAGCATTGATATTCTTCAAAACCTTCTTGTTACATGTGCGCAATAGAAATTTCTAATGTTCATGACTTTTATCTTTCCTGTCCATCAATTCACTGGTTGTAAATGCTTCCTGAGAGCTGTCTAGGTCTGTATCCCAGATTGTTGCTTAATGACATCTGACAGATGCATTGTTTTCTGAAATCAGCTTAAGACACCAATTGTGGCAACTGGAAACTCATTACCTGCTGCATTGGATCAACTATGGAAGTTGGAGCAGGGGTGGGCGGAGGTCACCTAACCAATCAATGGAAGGCAACTCACACCTGCTCCAAGCCTCAGCTTTGAGAAACAAACACGTTTATAAGAAAAAATATATAGCTATTATTACAGAAGTGAATATGTTGTGCTCTCTTACTGCTCTTGGTGCATTGACAGTTTCTGTATCTCAACCCTATTCATCTTTATGAAAAAGCATTCTGAAGATCTATCCTCAGCACTGCTGAGTGTGCAGTCACACTTTCCTACCAACCCCCTTCTTACCATCTCTAGCTGCCATTTGTGGGGGGAACAAAACAAGGGAATCCTGATTGTGTACAGTATAAATTGTATTATATTTTTTGTACTTATGTTTTATGTAAATAGTTTGTCTCATTCAATTGTATGTGAGCATTGAAATAAATCCTACCATTTAGGGGACAATTTAGTGGCATTTTTCTTTGTATTGCCTCTGAGTGTGCGGTCTCCCCAGAGGTGCTAAGCAATGGCCACTGCTCAAAGGAATGAATTTCATCAGAGTGAAGTGCAGACCACTTCCTGCTGAGGAAAACTCATAACACTCCTGTTTATCTTCAGGCCTTTTGAATGGTGGCCAGGACATGACATAAGGATGTATTAAAGCACTTTTAGAAATATTTCCATGGGCAACAGGAAATATGTGATAAGGAAGGCCAATTAGGCTTTCTGTTTACAAAGAGTTGGTATCAGGTTGAGCTGATGAATGATGCATTGAGTTGTATTATACTTACCCTCTCTCCAACACACCCTATTCCATTCTTCTTTGCATAAAACAAGGTTTTTCTTGAATGAACTGCTGTCAGTCAGCATGAACACAAAGATAAGAAGCTTGACCCAGGAAGACCACCCTATTTAGTGAAAGCCATATTTCAATGTTCATGATCCCATTAAAGGAAAAAATATACATGCATATGTATGTATTTATATATGTCATATATACACATATATGTATACATAAAAGTATATGTGTATAATTATTTTATATATATTTTTCAGTTGACCAAAAAGCTGAAAAAGCCCACTTAATATGGGGCCAAAAATTAACATAATACAACTATATAAATATATGAACTAGTGAAGCATGTTATAAAGATTAAACTGTTTTAACCCCCAAATTACTTATTTTTTCATTAAGCAATGAAAAATTAAAATTTTAAAGCATTACATGAATAACCTATATTTGGCTATTAGTTTAGAAAGTGAATGGAATTTACAGTGTCATACCATAATTTTGTTTCTTGCCTTTTTGTTCCTGAACACTTGTAATCTTGGTAATATATATTCTGATATTTAGATGGTCTCACAAAATGCTTGTGTATCCAGGTCCTCCACATTTCATTCACTTGCTTTAAGAAACAGGTTGAAATATGATTTCAAATATCTTTCTGGACCTACTTGAAATATATGATGTAATTTTTCATTTAAAATATCTCCTCAAGCCCCATTTGGGAAAAACAGCATAAAGGATTGAATGTACTGACTGCACAATTATGGATATTTAGTCTAAAAGGAAATTTCCCTTAAAGTAATATGAAACTATTACTTTTCTGAAATTATTCTTGGTTTATTCTTTATAAAGTAGATATGATTTTCTTTATAAAGTCAAAGTGGTGTCAGAGATTGCTTTTGTCACATTATTCTGCTTGCTGTACATTTTTCTTGGAAGCATTTGCAGCTCTTACCCTGCAGTCAGACTGAGACCCAGGACTGAAACCACAAGTTCACGTTTGGTTAACATAGATCTGGGTGTTGCAGAGATCTTAAGACTAGAGCTACTAAAAGCATGATGGAGGAAATGAAGCTCAAATATAATTATGTTTAATAAAATGTAATATTTTGAAAATGAGCCTTATCATAGGAAACAGAAAACTGCTGAAATATGATTTTTAATTCTTAATCTAAGTGGCCTTGCCTAAATGCCAGAGGGTTGGCTGTTCCTCACAAGGATGGATTCACGGGCCATGTTTCCTTTGAAAGTAATGCATAGGTAGTGAAGACATCTACATTCTATCTCCTGTCCACTCACTTTGCTTCCTCTCTCCCGCCTAGGAATTGCTCTAAGTCGTCTCCTGTTTCCTATAGTAGTTGCAAGTTACCTGGTTTCATGGTGCTTCTCTTGAGGTTCTGTGCCTCCTGGTGACAAGAACCTACCCTTCCCTGAGAGAAGGATGCTGGTGGCAGCAACATGTCTGGAAATCCCCATCAGGAACATACATGGGAGATGACAGTGGAGCAGCCATTTAGAGAGTGAATTCCAGGCAACAGCACAGCTCACAGGGCCTCTTCCACCCAGTGCCACAAAACACATCACCCTCCCTTTGGACTAATATATTTGCCCTCCTTTCTCTACTTCCTTTCTAGCTGGAAGTTCCAAGAAAATGTGTTTTGTGAAACAATGGAATTTTCTTGGTCCCTGAATTTATCTTGAGGTGAAATGATAGTAGTTAAATTCCCAGATTTTACAGAGAGGAGAAAGATGCCTTGAGGACCCAAACAAGTACAGCCAGGTTCAAACCCAGTGTGGCAAATCCCCACCAAGACTCTTTTCCCTCCAGCCCTGTTCTCAGAAATAATTAAGTAAATTTCAAACTCCTGTCCAAAATCTTGGTGACCTGTTTAATCTCTGTGAGCTCTTTAGAAAGTGTTTCACTAAAATACACTTTCCAACTCTCTGTGCTCAAAGACGTGTCCTGACTCTGCATTTAGAGTTCTTTCCACCCCTATTCTAAAATCTGGAGACAATCTAAGAGTAAATAACACAGAACAAGACATTCACATCTTCACAGATAGTTGGAAAAGCTCCAGCATCCATTGTGCTAACAGGCGGGGATAAAATGAGGGGTGGCATGGTCCATGCCCTTTAAATAGCTATTCTCTACGCTGCATTGAGTCCTTTACAGAGACAGAAGTTTAAGGAAGTAAATGCATGAGATTGGGAGGACACAGCAAATGCACAGTTCCCAAGAGATTATAAATGAAGTTGGGTCAAAGGTCATTTGTTGGCCCCATATTTGATATCAACTTAGAAAATTGAGCAGGAGAAATGCCATGTGTGGCTTCCTACCTTGGAGTTTCTCCCCACCCACCTTCTTACATCTCATCTTAACCCTCCCCCAAAAGGAAAAAAAAATACAATCTATTTCATACTATTCTCTTTCCTGAGACCAGAATACTTTATGGAATCCAGGCTTGGTGGGCCTTTCTCAAAAGAAAAGAGGGTGTCTGCATGGGATGTTGTTCTTTCACAAATATTGGCTGTTATAATTCAACAGCATAATTCATTGACACAGGTTCCGTCTAGTCTAAATTTGAATAATTGAAATTAGTACATGATGTTTTCAGTAAGTGTATCCCATAAACAGGGAAAATGTTCATCTTCCTTAAAGAAAAGTCAAACAGACCATTTTCAGCAACAGTTAGTATGCACACATGGGATAAGCTCATTACAAATGAACACTGTCAGTTACTAATGAGATTTTTATAATAGGGCATACAATTTGGGCTTGTCATTCTCTTCCTTATGTAAGCAGTATTATTGCTTGTACTTGAAACCATAATTCTTTGGAAAAGTTCTTTAAATCAGGCATTTCACAAAAATTTGGATAAGTTACAAAGACTTTGCTATGTTTTGTTTGAGCATTAGATATATTCAGGAAGGTCACGTGAAATAAAGATTCTGCCTTATGAAGAGAAATTTCCCTTGCTCTACTCCACATCTTCGAATGGACATGGGAGGATGGAGAAGGAAGTTGGGGCAGGGGCTTGACTTCAAACTCCGAAAGACAGGCTTAAGCAAGCCTGAAGATCCAGAAATGATAAATGGCTCAACCACCTGACTTCCTTATCCCCCCTCCCTGAAGCTCAAACTCCTCATCATTACATCAAGCAGTAACATATAGAAAGAACATGAATGATAATAAAATTGAAAGATACACCATCAATGCTTCATATACAGTAAGTTCCCAATAAACGATGGTGTAGTTGTCATTATTATGACTCAGGGACTCACTTTACTTGTATTCATCTTCTCTCTCTGGGAGCAGTGCAAGCCATTTTCCCTCTTTAGACTCAAAGTTGTAGGTGAACCAGTTTTATAAATTAATAAGAGTGACTGCAGAAGCCTTTGAGCCTGAATGGAATATATGCCCCATACAAATGAGGAGAAGGTTCACGGGAGGCCCAGGAGTAAATTCATGACTACAGTTAACAATCAGGGAGGCAAGCAATATTCTCTGGAAGTAGCTACCACTAACCAAGATTGGAACCTTCTACTTGTATAATTTAATATTTTATCTATCTATAACTTGAGAAATTAACCAATAATAATGCATAAATGTGTAAAACATGCCTCATTTCTGAAGACAGAAGAGGATGTTCCTTTATAAGAAAGTGGATTACACTCCTGCTTACTTCTTGCCTGCAGAGCTCTGGTTTTGCTTTCTTTCTGAAGCAACTTGCTCAGGTGAGGGAAATAGTTTTGTGTTGTTTTGGGAAACACAAGTCTGAGAAGGGGAATCCAGTAACCTGTCAAAAACCTAGGGCTTCAATATTGTATATGAAAAGCTAATTTGTTTCTTCATGAGGAATCTTTCTGAATGTTTAATTTTTCCTCTGTCACATACTATTGAGATAAGAATTTGGGTATCAATTCCTAATATTGAAACAATGATCATTGATAAGATGGAAACAATGCAACAAAAGGTCAAAAATGCAGTTGACTAACAACAGCAAATATCACACATTTAAGCACAACCTTTTAAACATTCAAAAGGTTTGAAATGTGAGGCTTGATGATCAAGAGGACTGTTATTGGCTTTGCACAACATGTTGAAGATCATCTGGGAAGGGACAAAAGATGCAGAAGCTGATTTTCTGTTTCTGAATATGATGGCAGTCTCTATATGGGACAGGATGGCCAAGGCCTAAAGAATACACACACTGGAAAGACAAGCATTAGACAAAATAAGTTCTATTATTTTAATGAGTTCTCTGTGGGCAGACATGAGCTCTTTCTCTCTGATTATTATAACATAAGCACCAAACCCATGCAAGTGAAAAGGAAACAGCCCTGGTGAGGCGACTCCTGGATTGAGACTTAACACAGAGATGGATTGGGAGTAAACACAGCAAGAGGGCAGCAGGGAGGGAAAGGCAAAGTTTTCAAAGGATGCATCAGGGAAAGAGGAGACATGAAGAGACAGGTAGAACACAAGTTATTAAATAGAATTTGATTTAAATTGAATTGATTGACAACCAGTTGATTGAACTGGAAATTTAGTTGAATAAATAACAGAGGCAAGAATGAATTCTCCTGATCAAAAGATTTTGTTTTTGTTTTTGTTTTCCATAGTACTAATAGCTATAATTGCAAAAGAAGATCTTTGTTTTTACAAACTTTTTATGTATCTTTTATAATAATCTAAGGAAGCAACTTAAGTTTCCAATAAAAGGTATAAAGTACGACTCTCAGTTAACAAACTCAGATATACAAGAAAAAACTTATTTTTAATCCCTATCTCTTTGAATCAGTTAAAATAACGCCTTAGATGATAAAAAGATAAAACTTTAGTTATTCTTGGAATTTTCTCCCCAATCCCTATCCCTAAGATGATACAAAGTTTCCATGGTATATAAAAAAAAAAATGGCCATTGGGAAGTGGAGACACTTTGGCATTGCTCACTAGACACCACCGACATACAAGAGAAAAGGCTGCATGGTCCATTGAATATCAGCAAATCTACCTAGGAAATGGAACATATTTGATGGAGGTTGGGTCCCCTAAGCCATAGCCATTATTCCAAGGAGCATAAAAGGCCACCCCCAAGAAGTATGGCCTCTTCTACCTGCTACCACCTCATAGCAGTGTGTGGCTTGTGTGGCTTTCTATTGCTCATGGCAGTCCTGACACACATTGCTGATCCTAGACTAAACCTCTTTTTTTCTTTTACAAATGCAATTTTTAAAATTCCCTATTTTGAGTACATAATTATATTCAGTATCTCCACAAGATTGTGCAACCATCTCTACTATGTAATTGCAGAAAATATTCATCAAAGCAAAAAGAAAATTCATACCCATTTGCAGTTACTCTCCTTTCCCCCTCCCCCTAGTTGCTGACAACTACTAATCTTGTATTGATCTTTGTGGATTTGCCTATTCTGGACATTTTATAAAAATGGAAGCATACTATATGTGGACTTTTGTGACTTTTTTTTTTACTTAGTATGTTTTCAAGGTTTACTCATGTGGTATTTTGAATCATGAGTAATTGTTTTATATGGGTGAATAATATTCCATTTTATTGACATAACACATTTCTTTTATGTATACATCATTTGATAAACATTTGGGTTGTTCCACCTTTTGATTATTGTAAATAACAGTGCTATAAATGTGTATACGAATTATTGACTGGAAATATATATTAAGTATCTTTGGTGTGTATCTAAGAGTAGAGTTTTTGAGCTATATGAAAACCCTGTATTTAGCATTTTAAAGAACTGCCAAACTGTTTTCCAAAGTGGCTGCCTCTTTTCGATCTGCTACCTGCAGTATATAAGAGTGTCAGTTTCTTCATATGCTTACCAAAACTTGTTTTTCATTGATTAATTGTCGTCCTAGTGGGTTTGAAGTGGTATCTATGATGGTTTTGACTTGCATCTTCCTAATGACTAATGATATTGAACATCTTTTTATATGTATATTTACCATTTGTATATGGTCTTTGGAGAACTATTTAGTTTTTTTGTTTGTTTGTTTTTCAAGATGGCAAATTAGAGGCTTTTAGCGTGCCTCAACCCTTGGAAATAGCAAGATAGTGCATAAATATCAACTTTGAGCTTTAATTCAAGGAGGAAAATGGGAATTCACCTGTATTGGTCCATTCTCATGCTTCTATAAGGACATACCTGAGACTAGGTAATTTATAAAGGAAAGGAGTTTAATTGACTCACAGTGTTGCAGGGGAGGTCTCAGGAAACATACAATCATGGCAGCAGGGGAAGCAAACACACCCTTCTTTAAAAGGTGGCAGGAGAGAGAAGAATGAGAGCCAATTAAAGAGGGAAGCCCCTTATAAAACAATCAGATCTCGTGCTAAATTACTATCATGAAAACCAGATGGAGGAAACCACCCCCATTATTCAATTATCTCCACCTGGTCCCTCACACAACACGTGGGGATTATGGGAACTACAATTCAAGATGAGATTTGGATGGCAATACAGCCAAACTATATTATTGCACCCTGGCCCCTCCCAAATCTTATGTGCTCTTATTTCAAAACACAATCATGCCTTTCCAACAGTACCCTAAAGACTTAATTCATTCCAGCATTAACCAGAAAGTCCAAGCCCAACATCTCATCTGAGACAAAGCAAGTCCCTTCTACCTACGAGCCTGAAAAATCAAAAGCAAGTTAGTTACCTTCTAGATGTAATGAGAGTACAGGTATTGGGCAATACACTAGCTCCAAATGGGAGAAATTGGCCAAAACAAAGGGGCTACAGGCCACATTCAAGTCTGGAGTCCATTGAGGCAGTAATTAAATCTTAAAGCTCTGAAATAATCTCCTTTGAATTCTTGTCTCACATCCAGGTCATGCTGATGAAAGAGGTGGGCTCCCACAGACTTGGGTAGCTCCACCCCTGTGGCTCTGCAGGGTACAGCCCCTGCAGCTGCTTTCACTGGCTGGCATTGAGTATCTGTGGATTTTAAGGCACATGGGGCAAGCTGTCAGTGGATCTACCATTCTATGGTCTGGAGAATGGTGGCACTCTTCTCACAGCGCCACTAGGCAGTGACCCAGGGGGAACTCTGTATGGGGGTTCTGATCCCACATTTCCCTTCTACATTGCACTAGCAGAGGTTCTCCATTAGGGCTGTGCACCTGCAGCAAACTTCTGCCTGGACATCCAGGTATTTTCACACATCCTCTGAATTCTAGGCAGAGGTTCCCAAACCTCAATTCTTGGCTTCTGCACACTTGCAGGACCAATACCACAGGGAAGCTGCTAAGGCTTGGGGCTTGCACCTTCTGAATCAATGGCCTGAGCTATATGTTGGTCCCTTTTAGCCACGGCTGGAGCTGAAGCAGCTGGGATGTGGGGTACCATGTCCTGAGGCTTCATAGAGCAGGGGGGCCCTGGGCCTGGCCTGGGAAACCATTTTTTCATCCTAGGCTTCTAAGCCTGTGATGGGAAGGGGCTGCCATGAAGGTCTCTGACATGCCCTGGAGATATTTTCCCCATTGTCTTGGTGATTTACATTTGGCTTCTCATTATGTATGCAAATGTCTGCAATGGGCTTGCATGTCTCCCCAGAAAATAGGTTTTTCTTTTCTATCACATTGTCAGCCTGCAAATTTTTCAAACTTTTTGTCTCTGCTTCCTCTTGAATGCTTTGCTGCTTAGAAATTTCTTCAGCCAGATATCCTAGATCACCTCTCAAGTTCAAAGTTTCACAGAATTCTGAGGCAGAGGCAAAATGCCACCAGTCTCTTTGCATAGCATGAGTGACCTTACTCCAGTTCCCAAAAAGTTCCCCACCTCCATCTGAGACCACCTCAGTCTGGACTTCATTGTCCATATCACTATCAGCAATTTGGTCAAAGCCCTTCAGCAAGTCTCCAGGAAGTCCAAACTTTCCCACATCTTCTTGTCTTCTTCTGACCTCTCCAAACTCTTCTGAGCCTTCCAACCTCTGCCTTTTACTCAATTCCAAAGTCACTTCTACATTTTTTGATATCTTTACAGCAGAATGTCACTCTCTGTAGTACCAACTTACTGTATTAGTTGGTTCTCACACTGCCATAAGAACATGCCCAAGACTGGGTAATTGATAAAGGAAAGAGGTTTAATTGGCTCACAGTTCACAGGGCTGGGGAGGCCTCAGAAAATTTATGATCACGGCAGAAAGGGAAGCAAACATGTCCTTCTTCACAAAGCAGGAGGAGAGAGAAGAATGAGAGCCAAGTGAAGAGGGAAGCCCATTATAAAACCATCAGATCTTGTGAGAACTTACTATCACTAGAACAGAATGGGGGAAACTGTCTCCATAATTCAGTTATCACCACCTGGTCCCTCCAATGATGTGGGGATTATGAGAACTACAATTCAAGATGAGATTTGGGTGGGGACACAGCCAAACTATATTACCACCCTAATCATGAATGACATCTCAGATCTCAGGGAGAATGAAGGCAAACAGCCCCTGTGATGGCATCTGGCTGATAAAAGTGAGTGAAGTCCCAGTATGCAAGAGAAGCAGTGAGCCTCCCTCTGTGACTCACCTTTCCTCTGAGGAACTGAGCAACCCAGGCTGAGGAAGAGCATTTTGTTTCTCCCAAGCCCTGGAGCTAACTTGGGGAGATGCAAGTGAGAGAAAGACACTTTCCTGCTTGGAGATACAGTGAGGGAAAGAAACTAGGAAAAGTTCCAGACATTTTCCCAGACTCAGGACTGACAGCAGGGTGCCATTTTTAATCTGGGAAAATACATATTTAGCCATTCCGTGGTAACCTGGCTGTATGGTTACACAGGCACTGTAGTCTTGGCCCAAAGATTGGAGAATTTGACTGGAGTGGAGTAGGGGCCTCCACAGCCAGAAATGTGGAAAGTGTCTCAGCAGTAGGTGCTGGGAGTGTTGTTTGCCTTGTTGTAGGCCTGAGGTGAGAGAAGAACTGCTTAGCTGCTGCTCTCTTAGATGACAAGATTACAGCCGGGACCAGCTTGGCAACCTGGGACCGGTCTATGTGTGTAATTGCTGGGTGTTCTGATCTGCTCCCCTGAGACTGTGGTGCAGGAGGGTCCTCCTTGCTCCTTGCCAAGGCAGACTTCCACATATTTGGAGCACCCGCTTGTCTGGACCAGCAGCCTGAGCCTCCCCACCCTTCCTGGACATATATTGTAGTACAGTGGGGCCCTCATGGCTCCACATGTATGGAGACCTCCAGATGTTAGAAGCACCCCCTTCCCTGGATTAGCATCCTGGCTCACTTTCATTCCTGTGTAGCGATCTTACTGCAGGTGGACCCTCTTCACCCCATACCCAGGCAGATCTCTCCAGCCATCTGGAGGACCCACTCCCCTGCATTAGGAGTTTAGGCCACTCTAATACCCATGCAGAGAATGTAAGCCAAAGAAATTTCCCAGTTCCATGAATAGGCATACCTCTGACTGCTTGGTGGCCACCCACTGGATTATCCCTCACTGCTGGTACCTATGTCTGCCATCAGGGAACCTGTAGGTAAATGTGCCTCATTCAGTCCTTTCCATCTTTTTTTCCAGCTGCCTGGGACGGAGCAGGCAGCTCAGACCACTGTGTATCCCAGGGATCAGTTCATTGCCTGAGGCAACAGATAGCTTCTCCCAGTAAACAAGGACAGGAATATACCCAGTTGAACTGGCCGTGGCTGGCTCTTACCCATATGCATCATCTACTGGCTTGTAGGTCAAACTGCATAATAGAAAATTGGCTAAAAAAGTGCGTGTAGCTATAGAAGCAAAGCCAAAAGACCATACCCAGCGTTTTCTACAGTCACTCCCTAAAGGGAGGGGAAGAAAGAGAAAGGGAAAGAAGAAAAAAAATAACATTATAGCAAAACAAAAAGAAAAATTCTACCTGTATAAAAATAATTACAAAAATTAGAAGTGCCAGCATCTGCAGATGAGAAGGAACTAGCGCAGGAATTTTAGCACCATGAAAAATGTAGTGGAACTACCAAAGGATGGCACTAGATTTCCAGCAATGTTCTCTAATCAAAATGGAAACTCAGAATGACAGAAATAATTCAAAGCATGCATTGCAAGGAAAGTCAATGTGATCCAAGATAAGGTTGAATATAAACACAAAGAAAGTTCTAAAGCAATTTGGGAAATGAAGGAAGATATAAACATCTTTTGGAAGGAAGGAAGGAAAGAAGGAAGGAAGAAAGGGAGAGAGAGAGTGGGGGAGTGAGGGAGGGAGGGGGAGAGAGAGAGAGAAATAAAGAAAAAAGAAAGAAGAGAGGAAAGAGACAAAGAAAGAAAGAAAAAGAAAGAAAGAAAAAGAAAGAAAAGAAAAGAAGGGAGAAAGAGTGTTATGTCATTTGCAGGGACATGGATGAAGCTAGAGGCCATCATCCTTAGCAATCTAGGGTTGGAACAGAAAATCAATCACTGCATGTTCTAAGTGGAAACTAAATGATGAGAACACATGGACACATAGAGGAGAACAACACACACTGTCAGAGGGTGGGGAAAATAACTGCTGCTACTAGGCTTAATACCTGGATGATGAAATAACCTGTACAAAATACTTCCATGACACACATTTACATATGTAACAAACCACACATATACCCCTGAACTTAATAAAATTATTTGAAAAAGAAAAAAAAAAAAGAAAAATCAATCGGAGATTCTAGAATTTAAAAACTCTCTAAAGGAGTTTCAAAATACAGTTGAAAGCTTTATCTATATACTGGACCAAGTAGAAGAAAGAATTTCAGAGCTTGAAGATGGCTTTTTATAACTAAACCAAGCAGACAAAAATAAAGAAAAAAAGAATTTTAATAAATTAACAAATCTTCAAGAAATGAGATTATGCAAAGTGACCAAATCTATGAGAGATGGAGAGGAAGAAAACCTGGAAAACATGTTTAAGGGAATAATTCAAAAAATTTTTTTCTGATCATTCTAGAGATGTACACATCTAGATAGAAAAAAATCAGAGAACACCTGCAAGATACTATTCAAAATTAACATCATCAAATTATATAGTCACCAGACTGTCCAACATCAACACTAAAGAAAATATTTTAAAGGCAGCTAGAGAAAAATGTCAGACAATATACAAAGGGAACCCCATCAAGGTAACAATGGACTTTTAAACAAAAACCTTACAAGTCAGGAGAGATTATGACCATGTTTTCAGCTTTCTTAAAGAAAAGAAATTCCAACAAAAAGTTCAAATTCCACAATTTCTTTGTGTTGGTTTTCTCATCTTGGATCTAATTGACTTTTCTCGCTATCTATGTTTTGAATTCTATATGTCATTTCTGAGCTTCCATTTTGGTTAGGGAATATTGCTGGAGAGTTAGTGTGATTCTTTTGTGGTGTCACTACGTTCAGGCTTTTCATGGTGTCAGAATTCTTGTGCTTGTTCCTTCTCTGTATTCTTAAAGAAAATAAATTCCAACCAAGAATTTCAAATCCCACTAATCTGAGCTTCATAATTTAAGGTGAGTAAACTCTTTTCTGGACAAGCAAGCTCTAAGGGAATTTGTTATCCCTAGACAATCTTACAAGAGTTGCAAAAGGAGATCTAAATATGGAAATGAAAGAATGATACCTGGTACCACAAAAACACACATAATTACATAGCCCACAAGCCTCATAAAGCAATCAAACAGTAGAAAATACAAAGCAACCACCTAAAAATTTCATGATAGGCTCAAAACCTCACATATCAGTGTTAACCTTGAAGAAAAATAGTCTAAATGCCCCACTTCAAAGGCAAAGTTGGATTAAAAAAAAAACACACAGACAAGCAAGACCTATCCTTCTGCTGTCTTCAAGAGACCCATCTCACCTGTAATGAGATCCGTAGACTCAAAGTAAAGGGCTAGATAAAGATCTATCATGCAAATAGAATGCAAAAAAGAGCAGGGGTCACTATTATTATATCAGATAAAACAGACTTTTAACCAATAATGGTAAAAAAGGACAGAAAGAGCCAGTACATAATGATAAAGGGTTCAATTCAACAAGAAGGCTTAAATATTCTACATGTATATAGCGCCCAGATTCATAAAACAAATATCATAGACATAAGAAAGAATTTAGACATCCACACAATAATAATAAGGCACTTCAACACCACACTGACAGCATTACATAGATGATCAAGACAGAAAACTAACAAAAAAAATCCTGGACTTTAATAAGAACTTGGCCAATTGGACCTAATAGACATCTACAAAATACTCCACTGATCAAATATTCTTCTCATCTGGACAATGAACATACTACAAGTTTGACAACATGGTTGGTGATAGAGCAAGCCTCAATAAATTTAAAAAAATCAAAATCATGTAACTGTACTTTCAGACCACAGTGGAATAAAAATAAAAAGGAATACAAAGAGCTCTCAAAATCACACAAGTACATGGAGGTTAAACAACTTGCTCCTGAATGACTTTCAGTTAAACAATGACATCAAGGCAGAAATAAAAAACATTATTTGAAATAAATAAAAACAGAAAGAAAACATACCAACATCCCTGGGATGTGGCAAAAGCAGTGTTAGAAGTAAAGTTTATAGTGCTAAATGTATACATTAAAAAGTTTAAAAACTGTTCCTATCAAACTACCAATGACATTTTTCACAGAACTGAAAAGAGAAACCTCTTGTAAAATTCATGTGCAACCAAAAAAGAACCCAAGTAGCCAAAGCAATCTTAAGCAAAAAGCACAAAGCCAGAGGCATCACATGACTTGATTTCAAACTATACTATAAGACTACAGTAACCAAAAGAGCATGGTACTGGTACACAAACAAACACAGAGAACCATGCAATCGAACAGAGAACCCAGAAATAAAGCTGCACAACTTTAGCCATCTCGTCTTTGACAAGAATAAGCAATCAGAAAAGGACTCCTTATTCAATAAATGGGGCTGGGATAACTGGCTAGCCATATGCAGAATAAAGAAACTGGACCCTTGCATTTCACCATATACAAAAATTAACTTAAGATGAATTAAAGATTTAAATGTAATACCTCAAACTATAAGAATACTATAAGAGAATCTAGGAAACACAATTCTGGAGATTAGCCTTGGGAAAGAATTTATGACTAAGTCCTCAAAAGCAATTGCAACAAAAACAAAAATTAACAAGTGGGACCTAATTAAACTAAAGAGCTTCTACACAGCAAAAGAAACGGTCAATAGAGTAAACAGACAACATGCAGAGTGGAAAAAAACTATTCTCAAACCATGCATCTGACAAAAGTTTAATATTCCAAATCTATAAGGAACTTAAACAGCTGAAAAAGCAAAAACAACCCCACTAACAGGCATAAGACATGAACAGACACTTCTAAAAAGAAAACATACACACGGCTAACAAACATAAAAAAATGCTCAACATCACTAATCATCAGAGAGATGCAAATCAAAACAACAATGTGATACAAGTCAGAATGGCTGTCATTAAAAAGTCAAAATGCAAAATATGCTGGTGAGGCTCCAGACAAAAAGGAATGCTTATACAATGTTGGTGGGAATGTAAATTAATTCTGCCACTGTGGAAAGCAGTTTGTGGATTTCTCAAAGAACTTCAAAACAGAACTACCATTCAACACATTCCTGGGTGTATATCAATAAGAAAATATGTTGTTCTTTCAAAAAGACATAAGTCCTTGTATGTTCATTGCAGCACTATTCAAAAAACAAGACATGGAATCAACCTAGATACCTATCAATGGTGGACTAGATAAAGAAAATATAGTACATATACACCATGGAATACTACACAGTCATAAAAAAGAACAAAATAATTTACTTTGCAGCAACATAGCCATCGTGGAGGCCAATATCCTAAGCAAATTAACAAAGGAACAGAAAACAAAATACTACATGTTCTCATTTATAAGTGGAGTTAAACATTAGGTATTACATGGACATAAAGATGGCAACTATAGACACTGGGGATTACTAGAGAGAGGAGAAAGGGAAGGGGCAAAGGTTGAAAAACTAACCATTGAGTTCTATGTTCAGTACCTGGATGATGGGATCAATTGTAACCCAATGGGAACAACTGTAACCCAAACAGTATACCCTTGTAAAAAGCCTGCATATTGGCCCAGCACGGTGGCTCAAGCCTGTAATCCCAGCACTTTGGGAGGCTGAGGCGGGCGGATCACCTGAGGTTGGGAGTTTGAGACCAGCCTGACCAACATGGAGAAACTCCATCTCTACTAAAAATATAAAATTAGATGGGCGTGGTGGCGCATGCCTGTAATCCCAGCTACTCAGAAGACTGAGGCAGGAGAATCACTTGATCTCAGACGGCGGAGGTTGCGGTGAGCCGAGATCATGCTGATCGTGCCATTGCACTCCAGCCCAGGCAACAAGAGCAAAACCCTGTCTCAAAAACAAAAAACAAAACAAACAACAACAACAAAAAAGCCTACATATTTAGCCTCTAAATTTAACATAAAAGTTGAAATTATTTTTTAAAAATAGCAAGAATAAAAAAAGGAATATATATTCAAATCATTTACCCATTTTTAAATTGTGTTATTTTCCTTTATTTTTTAATGATAAGACTTCTTTATCTATCCTAGATACCAGGTCTTTGTCAGATACATGATTTGCAAATACTTTCTTCTCTTATGTGGAATTTTTTTCACTTTACTGATATTATACTTTGAAACACAAAAGTTTTTTAATTTTGAAAAAGTCTAATATATTTAACTTTTTGGTTACTTGAGCTTTAAATGTCATGTCTCAGAAACCATTGTCTAATCCAAATCATAAAGATTTACACCCGTGCTTTTGTCCAAGAGTTTTATAGCTTTAGCTCTTACATTTAAGTCTTTATAACATGTGAGTTGATTTTTCATATGGTGTGAGATGAAGGTTCAGCTTTGTTCTTTTGTATACTATACAGAATATCTAGTTTCCCCAGCACTATTTGAAAGAAAAAAGATTGCTCTTTCTCCATTGAATTGTTTTGACATCCTTGTCAAACATCAATTGACTGTAAGTGTGAGGGATTATCTTTGGAGTCTCAATTCTATTATATTGATCTATATGTTTATCTTTATCTCAGTGGCATGCTGTTGTGATTACCATAGCTTCATGGCAAGTTTTGAAATCAGAAAATGTGAGTCCTTCCTATGGTTTGGATATGCTTTATTTTTCCTCATCAAAACTCATGTTGAATTTTGACCTCCAATGTACCCATGTCAGGAGGTGGAGCCTAGTGGGAGGTGTTTGGATCATAGGAGCAGATCTTTTATGAATAATTTGATGGTGTTCTCTTAGTAGTGAGTGAGTTTTCGTTCCAATGAGACTGTTAATTCTCATGGAAATGAATTAGTTCTCAGGAGCATGGGTTGTTACAATGGCAGGACATTCCTTTAGTTTTATTTCTTTGCATGTGTCCACTTCCCCTTTGACTTTCTTTGAGAAGTTTTGATCTACCACGTGGCCCCCACCAGAAGCTGAGCAGATACTGGCACCATACTTCTTGTACATTTCAGCCTGCAGAATCTTGAGCTAAATAAACATATTTAAAAATAGGTTACCCAGCCTCAGGTATTCTGTCATAGCAACACAAAACAAACTAAGACAGTCCTTCCATTTTGTTTTTATTTTTCAAAATTGTTTTGTCTATTCTAGGTCTTTGCATTTCTATGTGACTTTTTTGATCAGCTTGTCAATTTTTGCAAGGATATTACTGAGATTTTGAAAAAGGTTGCATTGAATCTGTAAATCAATTTTGGAAGAAATACTATCTCAAGAATATTAACTACTCCTGGGAGGATCATGCTTGACCAAGGGTTCACTTGTGCCATTCATGACTTGTGAGACCTGTGCTCAAGTGCTGCCAAGTCAGGACATATGGGAAGCCATGGGACAATTACTGTTCACTCTGATTAGCAAACAAACCTGAGCTGCCTCCTCTGGAGGCTTCAATCATGGACAGCAACCCCTTCTAGAGAGGCTCAGCATGTGTGTGTCTATTTCTACATCTTTTCCAGCTGTGACAGCATAATGTGGAATCAGCCATGCTATCTCTATCAGAGACAGAGACTGCAGGAAGAGATGGTATTCCATAATCCTCATTCTATATCTGTCCTAAGGGCAGCTACATGCCAAAGTCACTGTCTTCTAGACGAGTTTACATGACACATAGGCCAGAGAGAGGTAATTTGAGCTCAGCTAAAATCTGATGAATATTTTCTAATTTTGTAGCTCACAGTACTTAGTATTTTAATGAATTGTGAACTTCATGTCCTTGGGTAAGAAAATCAATGGGATTTCTTTAATTTGGCCCCAGGACAGTTTCTCATCATTGTAGACAAAATCAGGCTCAAGAGCAGGTCTGCAAAATGTCCAGATCAATGTGCTAGGGTGACCAGATGTCCATTTAGAGTACAGACATTATTTTATTAATAAACACTAAGGCCAAACATGGAATTCCTGGTAATTGTTCTACAGATCCTGTTGAAGGGCATCCAAAGATGTCACTCACTGATTTTTGTTCAAGAACTGCAAAATCAGTGAGAAATGCAATGCTTAATAAAAAAGACAGGCTGGGTGCAGTGGCTCACACCTGTAATCCCAGCACTTAAGGAGGCCAAGGCAGGCGGATCACCTGAAGTCAGGAGTTCAAGACCAGCCTGGCCAACAGGGTGAAACACCGTCTCTACTAAAAAAAATACAAAAATTAGCCAGGCGTGGTGGCAGGTGCCTGTAATCTCAGCTACTCGGGAGGCTGAGGCAAGAGAATTGCTTGAACCCGGGAGGCACATGTTGCTGTGAGCTGATTGCACCATCGCACTCCAGCCTAGGAGACAAGAGCAAGATTTCATCTCAAAAAAAAAAAAGTACAGTCCAAAGAGTGTGAATCCAGTGGATATGGTTTCTCTTGATCTCAAAAACGTCAGGAGGAGGCCAGGCGCTGTGGCTTATGCCTGTAATTCCAGCACTTTGGGAGGCTGAGGCAGGCGGATCACAAGGTCAGGAGATGGAGACCATCCTGGTGAAACCCCGTCTCTACTAAAAATACAAAAAATTAGCTGGGCATGGTGGCGGGCGCCTGTAGTCCCAGCTATTCAGGAGGCTTCGGCAGGAGAATGGCGTGAACCCAGGAGGAGGAGCTTGCAGTGAGCCAAGATCAAGACACTGCACTCCAGCCTGGGAGACAGTGAGACTCCCTCTCAACAACAACAACAACAACAACAACAACAACAAGTCAGGAGAAACAAGAAGAAACTAAGAAAGAAAGAATATCAAGTAAATCTTTAGCCAATAGAGATTTAATACAAATAGAAAAATTGTAAGTGCTGACTTTTATAATATTAATATATCACTGAACTTTTGAAATTGACAC
This sequence comes from Homo sapiens, assembly GCF_000001405.40. Classification (NCBI taxonomy): domain Eukaryota; kingdom Metazoa; phylum Chordata; class Mammalia; order Primates; family Hominidae; genus Homo; species Homo sapiens. The sequence goes on along the minus strand of NC_000005.10, from coordinate 9,017,327 downwards.
AGTAGTCACTAAAGAAAGCTCAGGAGACATGATTTATTTAGACATGCAATATTTTCTAGATTTGAAAGGTTTTTGTTAACTCCCTCACAAGAGACAAAAGATGCGACCCATAGATAGAGTGGTAGGCAAGAACAGCTATTTATTTTACAAAGGTCTACGAGAGGGAAGCATTGTTCTAGTCAACAACCAGCTCCTAGAGTATAAAGGTTAGCAGTTAGAGCTACTGGTTAAGGAAGACTGATTGTATCAATTCCTTCTCTAATGACCAGGCAGAAGTGACAGATTTTAGGGTGGCCAAATCTGCTGAGAGCACAGTGGTGTTTATGCCAGAGAAGACCAAGGGAAATAACTAAAAGGTTCCCTGAAACCCAGCTCTAATCTGGGGAACAGATGAATGACTGCAAAATAATGATGCATGCATTGATGCTCTTGAGAGGCATCCTCTAAGCTGGGGCCAGGCCGGGCATTATCCATCTGTTCAACCTCCCAGGAGAAGCTCTGGACCTCACTGGGGACAGCATAGGGCAACACCTGGGAAATGTGAATCTGTGGTTACAGACAGGGAGAGGAACTGAAGTTGTCTTAAGGAAAGAATAATACAGAAAAAAAAAAAAAAGGCCAAATGCTTGGTGCAAGACCAGCCCTCAGCAATTATAAGGTTTTTGTCTGGCTCTGCCTCTGAGTGGTGGCATTTTGACCTGAATAAATCTGGGAAAATTTGTAAACCAACTTGTGTCATCCAAGTGCCTGGAGCAGTACAAATGGAGGCACACAGGCAAGTCTCGATGTGAACTGAAAATATAATCTTACATCTGGTTTGGCCAGCTTAGCTGTTATGGGCTGGAAATTTGTGCTCCCACCCTCCACATATATATGTGAAAGCCCTAATCCCTAGTGTGGCTGTATTCAGAGATGGGACCTCAGAGGAATAAACTGAGGTCAAATTAGAACATCAGGGTAGAACCCTGAACCAATAGGATTAATTTCCTTATAAGAAGAGACACAAGAGAGCTTGTTTGTGCTTTTTCACTCATTCATGCCCCTCCCTGTCTCTCCCTGTGCTGAGGAAAGATGACAAGAGGACAGAGAGAGAAGGTGGCATTTTTCAGGCCAGTAAGAGTCCCCTCGCAAGAAACTTAACTTGCTGGCATCTAGATTGTGGACTTCCAACATCCAGAATTGTGAAAACATGTCTATTGTTAAACCATCCAGTCTGTGGTATTTTGTTACAGCAGCCCCAGAGGACGAATATAATGGCTATATGGGAAAAAGATGCTGGAAAGCTCACTGCTTCTAACTAGGGGTGTACCAAGGAGTGGCAGACAGTCAGTTCAAATCCATAAACATTTTAAAATTCATGAGTTACAGTGATAATGCAAATAGGAAAAGGATTCAATTCCCTGCTCTCAGAAAATTCTCAATATAATTAGAAAAAATGAGACCCTAAGAATTAAACATAACAGAATGTGGTTAGAGTTATGCCACCACAGGAAGCCCGGGGCAGAGTGATGGGGTCACGCTGGAGCTGACAGTAATTTCCTGAACAGTTTGCTCTTTGAGATGGGGTTAGGTCTTTGGAATGTTTCACATTTTAATGGTTTAAGATAATTAAGATCACATATTCTGAAATGTTTTCTCCCACACTCTTGTGGTATGTATTCATTTTCTCTAAAACATTTAGCTTATTATTTTCTTTTTAAATTTTTTGAAGAGAAAAATTTTTAAAATTTCCACATGCCCTTGATAGTACTAACTATAATATATAATGATTGATTGATAGATAGATAGATTTAAATCTTTTAAAGCACACGTTATCTCTTAAGGAATGGAATCCTTGTAATAGCCCATGTGGGTTGCGAAGTAAGGCGTGACTGTCCTCTGTAAGAATGAAGATCACTTGGTGACATCTGTAAAGTCACACAGCAAAGTCAAGGCTGCTTAAGGCTAAATCAAAACTTTCCTATCACAGTCTGAACACCTGTTCCCTAAAGTGTTTAAAGTCATCTGAAGTCCTTTAAAATGTCAGCCTGAGGGAGAGAAAAAGGGAAGGAGAGGGGAATGGAGAGAATAAAACAGAGAGAGAGACACAGGTAGAGACACAGCGGTAGAGAGAGCCTGAAAGACAGATAGGTGGAGAATCAGTCTGCGCTCTGGTAATTAAGTAACTTCCTCAAGAGAAGAGAAAGTTCCTCAAGAGAAGAGAAAGTTGCCAAAAAGAAAGGGGCTCCGCTACAGCGCCCTGGGCACCTTTCCTTCCCAGCAATCCTTGAGGCTATCAGTATTTCTCTGTGTGATCCTGTGATGAAAGTCCTGTCCTTTATACCCTAAGCCTGAGGAGGCAAGGACAGCCTCTGTCTTTCTTTGATTGCCCTTCCTTGGGCCTGCTGAGAGCCCTATACCTAGAAGGTGCTCGGGAGATATTTGCTCAGTGGGCAAGGGACAGAGAGAAGGGCTCACCAGGTGTGCACACTTGCACAGGTAAGGACAGCAGCTTGAGGGGCTCCATTCTGAATCTATGAGCTGCTCACATTTGCCCAGTGGGCCCGGGGAATACACACTCACAAGTAAGTGTGCCAGCTGGAGAGGCTCAGTTATGGACTGGGTGCTTATGTCTCCCACAAATTCACGTGTTGAATTTTACCCCCAAGGTTATAGTATTAAGAGGTGAGACCTGGAAGGTGATTAGGTCAGGATGGTGCAGCCCTTATAGAAGATGCTCCAGGAGCTCTCTCTGCTCTCCATCATGGGAGGACACGGTGAGAGGATGGCCCTCCACAAGGCAGGAAATGAGCTCTCACCAGACACCATCTGCCAGGCGCTTCATTTTGGACTTCCCACTCTCCAGAACTGTGAGAATTAAGTGCTGTTTAAGTCATGGTATTTTGTTAAATCTATGTTTTTGTTGTTGTTGTTTTTATTCTTTGTGTTTTTTTTTTGAGATGCAGTCTCGCTCTGTCACCAGGCTGGAATGCAATGGCACGATCTCAGCTCACTGCAACCTCTGACTCCCTGATCCAGGTGATTCTCCTGCCTCAGCCTCCCACGTAGCTGGGATTACATGCACATGCCACTACGCCCAGCTAATTTTTGTATTTTTAGTAGAGACAGGGTTTCACCATGTTGGCCAGGATGGTCTCTAACTCATGACCTTGTGATCTGCCAGCCTCAGCCTCCCAAAGAAGTCTATGGTATTTTGTTATAGCAGTCTGGACTGACTAAGGCAGGCCTGATTCTGAATTTAGAGCAACATTTTTCATGAACTTCTAGTCATTTTGACTCAACTTCTGACACATACATTTTTTAGCCCATACTCATAGGGATAGGTCATTTTTAAAGTATCTGAAGCTTAATTCAGACAGCCTTTTGAAAGAAAAGAAATATAAAATGAACACTAAAAAAGTCCAGTAGAAATGTGGATTTTAGTTTTGGAAAAGAAATCACAACAAACTTCACTTTAAAAAATCTGATAGAAACTATATATCTAATAATTTCAAGGAATAACAATATTTGTGTTAACTGCCAGACATGTCTTTATTATGTTTCTTATTTGTGTATACTTTGACTTTTCTATCATATGATAGCCTTTTTTTATTGCCTGAATAGAAAATAATTGTTAATTAAGGTTGATTTATTTATATCAATTACAGCTTGTTATGTATAATCAGATGTAAATGTGTGTTTTTTATTTGTATCAATTACAGCTTGTTATGTATAATCACATGTAAATATTTGGTATTTTTGTCAAATTTTGGAACACTCCTATCAACTTTCATTCATGTATGAGCTAAGAGATTAGGATAATTAACTCCACAGACTAGCTTTACCGTTCACGTACTTCAGGGGCCATGCTCTGGAGGACAGCGCCTCTGATCTTGCCTCTTCACATCAGCACATTAATGACATGACACATGGACGTTGAGGACTCCCGTGCTACTGCAAGATGGCCCACAGAAACTTTACTGCACGTGGCAGTGTCTGCAAGCCACATGCATGCATTTCTCTAAACCTAAACTAAATCTATCCCAATCTCAGTTTCCCCTTAGAACCTCCCAGAGATGCCCATAGCCATTCCAACATCACCTACCTCCAGGGAATATGTGATATAAAGAAAGTTGGAGAAAGTTTTAACTGCAGCTAAAATCATTTAATTGATCACATTTTAGAAAACCACATGACCATGTGGGAATGAGAACTCCTGATGCTCCTGAGACTTTAATCTGAGGATACTCCATCTCTGTACTCCTAGGTGCAAGGTTCAGGCTGGATAATTGGATGCCAGTGTTGACTAAGGCAGCTGTGGATGATTCCCTTTCAAAGGACCTGGACATCCTATGGCAGAGAGGAGGTGTGGGCTGAGTTTTGCTAGTGTCTCTGTCCATTACTGTTTGGGTGATCTGGGGGCTGTTTGCATTTACTATGACTCAGTTTCTCATGTGTAAAATGGGGATAATAAGAACATCTTAGATTACAGGTTTATCTTGATGATTATTGAGTTAATCCATATGACACTAAGAAAAATGCTTGACTGCCTAGCAAGTGCTCAACAAATATAAGTCATTGTTATTATTGCTTTTATAAAATCTGAAAAATGATGTAAATAACCTTTAAATATATGATACTTTATTAAAACTCCTTGTGGCAATTGGGATGTTGAACATTCTTTTAAATCCCATAGCATTTGAATAAAGGAAATGTGATTTCAAACTGAGTAAATACCAGAACAGATATGTTTCCATAGCAGGGAAATGGAGAGTCAGGTTGGTCAGAAGTCTATTTTGGGGATTGATTAAGGGTTCCGTAAAACACAAGCAAGTTATGATTATCCATAACAGAAGTGCCATTGTGAAGACTGATTCTCCATTTAGATCCTTGGTTGCTCTGTTCTGTGGAGTACAGGAGTACATGGCAACTCCTTAGAGCAAAGTCGTTTCCTGGCTTCCCTGGAAGATGGAAGGAATTGTTCAAACACAAAATACTCTTTTAGCTCTTATGAAGAATGGCTTTCTGTACATTTAAGGTAACATTCTCATTACTAGATTGTATTGTTGAAAAAAAGACAGTGAGGTACTTCAATTTTTTCAAAAATTATGAAAAAAATGTATTTTCCTTGGTCAGTAGTCATGGTTGTTGTTTATCTTGGGCTCTCTGCTTTTGTGATCAGAGAAGGAAAGAGTTTGGCAGGTAGCTTTTTGCTTGTTATGGTAATAGTTTTTTTCTGGTATATTTTTCTTTTACCAAATGAGATAATGTTGGGAAACCATAAAAGGTAAAAAGAACAGAAATACAACCTCTGAACTTTCCTTCAGAAAATGGAGGGTAAGGTCGTTAACAGACCACACAAGCTACTCAAGAATGAGAAGAAAAATCTGCCAGCAAAAACGTATTTCATACCAGGATATGCTTTTTCCCATTTGATCATTGAGTTTGATTTTTCACTGATTAATATTTTTTCAAAAGTTTTACAGAAATTATAAATGGGAGAGTTTTTCAAATATACCAAACTTCAGATGGTGGGGATGGTAGGAGTTCCCAAAGCATTTTACTGGGTAGAGAGGCTACTAGTGTGAAATATATGAAAGAGTTAAGTCAGCTGGAACTGAAGGGCACAAGTTTTATTTGCAGTAAGATCCTAAAATGATTTGGTAATATTTTATTATTTTATTTTATTTTTTGAGAGGAGTCTCCCCCTATCGCCCAGGCTGGAGTGCAGTGGCGCGATCTCAGCTCACTGCAAGTTCCGCCTCTTGGGTTCACGCCATTCTCCTGCCTCAGCCTCCTGAGTAGCTGGACTACAGGCACCCGCCACCATGCCCGGCTAATTTTTTGTAGTTTTAGTAGAGACGGGGTTTCACCATGTTAGCCAGGATGGTCTCGATCTCCTGACCTCGTTATCCACCCGCCTCGGCCTCCCAAAGTGTGGGGATTACAGGCATGAGCCACCACGCCCGGCCTCATGATTTGGTATATTTTAATTGCACACAAAAACATAAATACAGAGCATCTTTTGCTGAATCTGGTGTTTGAAGGTAATGGAAAAATAATTTTTTTAGAAAACAAAGTAAATGTAAATGTGTTTTTACATATTGTGTTTCAGCCCAAAGGGAGAGCTACCAATAACAGAATCAAAAGTCTAGAAACTCATGACCAGCCAATACTGAAGTATTTGGAATGTTCTTGCATGGATTCCATTTTTCCCATAGGGTAGAGCCATGTCCACTGCCACCTTGGTGACCAGGGGTGGCACCAGTTTCCAGGCAGCAGAGCTGATTGCCAATCCAGCCTTGGCTGTCCAGTGGTGGGGCCTTAGTCAGATGACCAAAAGCCATGAGATGAGAATTTTTTTGAGAATGAGGGTGAGGATAGCCACCACACTGAATTGTGGAAGATCAGTCTAGGGATGTAGGTAAGACCCATGATCCTGGGCCTAGAAAGAGCCTCGCTGATTGTTTTGAAAGTGAAACAACTGGAACATTTTTGAAATAATTTAGTTTGTGTTTCTTCTTCCAATTATCTTGATTTGACAAGTGACCTCCATTATATGAAGACAAGAAGATATGACTGAATGAGAAGAGAAATAAGAAAAGAGAAGCATTTATTTGGGTATTTCTTAATAAATGCTGAACACACCTTGGCACAGGCATTTTTAAAGCCTAATAAAACGTTTAAAATGTCTATCATGCTGGCCCTCATTAATCCAGCCATTTTCCCATGTCATCTCTGCTTTTATAAAAAGGTTTTCAGAACCGCTCCCTACACATGCAGTGATTGTATTACTGTGTTCAAAGACATGGCTACGTGATGCCATTCTTCCATAAATTCAGAGTTTACTCATGCACATTCACATGTCATATCCAGCAGACATGCCAACATTCTCCGACCCAGTTCACCCTGAGGGAGTGGCAGGAGTTGGTTGGGGTGGAACAGATGTGCTCATGCAGCTGAGGGCACTAGCAAGGTCACCAAACTTAAATGAGTTTATTAATTACCAGTGAGCAGCCCCACTCTTTGCTGAGTGTTTTCAGGTGTGCAGGACTACTTGAGGATTCATGTGGTGTGGAAGATCGAAGTCTACTCTGTGCAACTTTGGGGAAATGATCAAGGAAAAGTATTCTCAAGGCTTTATTGTGAAGTGGCTATGCCCATCACGAGGGAAATGAAGAATAATTGGCCACTTGCCTGAAAACGCAGGAATGGAGCAAGTACTTACTGAAGGGCAGATGTTGAAAATCGGGGTTGTACATTTTATGCAAAGGAAAGAGTATTAGCCAATGAAAAGGTATGTAAATGCTTGTGGCATGTTGCAGTGGCTGGTAGTAAAGAGGTGAGTCTGATAGGAATGGAGCTTGTTTATGGGGAGAGAAGAGAAGAAAAGAAGGAAGTTAGCAAGATCAGGAGGAGCCCTACAATGAAAAGCTTTAGCTATCTTTCCAACAAAACAAAAAGAAAAAAACAAAAACAACTTTTATTCCTGAACAGTGATTTTGTTCAGTAGCACTTCTTTCTCTTGAAAACAAAACAAAACAAAACCAAAAAGTGAACCACAAATATGTAGAACAGTTAAAGGTTAAAGGTGGAGCTGGTATGGCTTTGGTGTGAGACAGGTGTGACTTTCTTTGCTATTATCCATGGCCCAGGGATTTAGATTCCCTAGCAATCTAAATCTGTAAATCACATTGTTGCCTCTGGAAGAATTGGCACCCTGGAAGCCATCACCGGGAAGCCATAGTCCATTCATAGACCCGATGCAATAACTACAGCACAACTGCGTGAAAAGGCAAGAACCACTCAACCCCTTCTCCTTCACCCTTAGTGGCAAGTCCCGCTTTTCTGGGGGAGGGGCAAGTACCCCAACCCCTTCTCTCCATGTCTCTACCCCTTCTCTGCTTTTCTGGGGGAGGGGCAAGAACCTCTCAACCCCTTCTCCTTCATCCTTAGTGGCAAGTCCCGCTTTTCTAGGGGGCAAGAACCCCAAATCCCTTATTTCTGCACCCCAACCTCTTATCTCTGCACCCCAATTCCTTATTTCCATGCCCTGCTTCACACGAACATGAGTGAAATTTGGTGCCATGACTTGGATCAGGGGACCTCCCTTGGGAGATCAATCCCCTGTACTCCTGCTTTTTGCTCTGTGAGAAAGATCCACCTATGACCTCAGGTCCTCAGACTGACCAGCCCAAGAAACATCTCACCAATTTCAAATCCAGTAAGTGGCCTCTTTTTACTCTCTTCTCCAACCTCCCTCACTATCCCTCAACCTCTTTCTCCTTTCAATCTTGGCACCACACTTCAATCTTTCCCTTCTCTTAATTTCAATTCCTTTCATTTTCTGGTAGAGACAAAGGAGACACGTTTTATCCGTGGACCCAAAACTCCGGTGCCAGTCACGGACTGGGAAGGCAGCATTCTCTTGGTGTTTAAAAATTGCAAGGACGCCTCTCTGATTATTCACCCACGTTTCAGAGGTGTCAGACCATGCAGGGAAGCCTGCCTTGGTCTTTCACCCTTAGTGGCAAGTCCCACTTTTCTGGGGGAGGGGCAAGTACCCCAACCCCTTCTCTCCATGTCTCTACCCCTTCTCTGCTTTTCTGGGGGAGGGGCAAGAACCCCTCAGCCCCTCCTCCTTCACCCTTAGCAGCAAGTCCCACTTTTCTAGGGGGCAAGAACCCCCAATCCCTTATTTCCATATCCCGACCTCTTATCTCTGTACCCCAATCCATTATTTCCACACCCCAACCTCTTATCTCTGAGCCCTGATCCCTTATTTCTGTGCCCCGACCTCTTATCTCTTTGCCCCATCCCTTATTTCCGTGCCCCAACATCTTATCTGTGTGCCCCAAACCCTTATTTCTACACCCTGACCCCTTTCCCACTTTTCTGGAGGGTAAGAACCCCCAAACCCCTTCCCTCCGTGTCTCTACTCTCTCTTTTCTCTGGGCTTGCTTCCTTCACTATGGGCAACCTTCCACCCTTCATTCCTCCTTCTTCTCCATTAGCCTGTGTTTTCAAGAACTTAAAACCTCTTCAACTCACACCTGACCTAAAACCTAAATGCCTTATTTTCTTCTGCAACACCACTTGGCCCCAATACAAACTGACAATGGCTCTAAGTGGCCAGAAAATGGCACTTTCAATTTCTCCATCCTATGAGACCTAAATAATTTTTGTTGAAAAATGGGCAAATGGTCTGAGGTGCCTTACGTCCAGGCATTTTTCACACTTCTTTCCTTCCCTAGTCTCTGTTCCCAATGTGATTCCTCCCAAATCCTTCTTTCCCTCCTGCCTGTCCCCTCAGTCCCAACCCCAAGTGTCGCTGAGTCTTTCCAGTCTTCCTTTTCTACAGACCCATCTGATCTTTCTCCTCCTCCTCAGGCTGCTCGTTGCCAGGCCAAGCTAAGTTCCAATTCTTCCTCAGCCTCCGCTCCTTCACCCTATAATCCTTCTACCACCTCCCCTCCTCACACCCAGTCTGGCTTACAGTTTCGTTCCGTGACTAGCCCTCCCCCACCTGCCCAGCAATTTACTCTTAAAAAGGTGGCTGGACACTGCTGCTGATACCCAGGCAAACGGGGTCTGGAGGAGACCTCCAGCAAACTCCAACAGACCTGCAGCTGAGGGTCCTGACTGTTAGAAGGAAAACTAACCAACAGAAAGGACATCCACACCAAAAACCCATCTGTACGTCACCATCATCAAAGACCAAAGGTAGATAAAACCACAAAGATGGGGGAAAAAACACAGCAGAAAAACCAGAAACTCTAAAAATCAGAGCGCCTCCCCTCCTCCAAAGGAACACAGCTCCTCACCAGCAATGGAACAAAGCTGGACGGAGAATGACTTTGATGAGTTGAGAGACAAAGGCTTCAGAAGATCAAACTACTTTGAGCTAAAGGAGGAAGTTCGAACCAATGGCAAAGAAGTTAAAAACCTTGAAAAAAAAATTAGACAAATGGCTAACTAGAATAACCAATGCAGAGAAGTCCTTAAAGGACCTGATGGACCTGAAAACCATGGCACGAGAACTACGTGATGAATGCACAAGCCTCAGCGGCCAATGAAATCAACTGGAAGAAAGGGTATCAGCGATGGAAGACGAAATGAATGAAATGAAGCGAGAAGACAAGTTTAGAGAAAAAAGAATAAAAAGAAATGAACAAAGCCTCCAAGAAATATGGGACTATGTGAAAAGACCAAATCTACATCTGATTGGTGTACCTGAAAGTGACGGGGAGAATGGAACCAAGTTGGAAAACACTCTGCAGGATATTATCCAGGAGAACTTCCCCAATCTAGCAAGGCTGTCCAACATTCAAATTCAGGAAATACAGAGAATACCACAAAGATACTCCTCGAGAAGAGCACCTCCAAGACACATAATTGTCAGATTCACAAAGTTGAAATGAAGGAAAAAATGTTAAGAGCAGCCAGAGAGAAAGGTAGGGTTACCCACAAAAGGATACCCATCAGACTAACGGCTGATCTCTCTGCAGAAACTCTACAAGCCAGAAGAGAGTGGGGGCCAATATTCAACATTCTTAAAGAAAAGAATCTTCAACCCAGAATTTCATATCCAGCCAAACTAAGCTTCATAAGTGAAGGAGAAATGAAATACTTTACAGACAAGCAAATGCTGAGAGATTTTGTCACCACCAGGCCTGCCCTAAAAGAGCTCCTGAAGGAAGTACTAAACATGGAAAGGAACAACCAGTACCAGCCACTGCAAAAACATGCCAAATTGTGAAGACCATCAAGCCTAGGAAGAAACTGCATCAACTAACGAGCAAAATAACCAGCTAATATCATAATGACAGGATCAAATTCACACATAACAATATTAACCTTAAATGTAAATGGGCAAAATGCTCCACTTAAAAGACACAGACTGGCAAATTGGATAAAGAGTCAAGACCCATCAGTGTGCTGTATTCAGGAAACCCATTTCACATGCAGAGACACACATAGGTTCAAAATAAAGGGATGGAGGAAGATCTATCAAGCAAATGGAAAACAAAAAAAGGCAGGGGTTGCAATCCTAGTGTCTGATAAAACAGACTTTAAACCAACAAAGATCAAAAGAGACCAAGAAGGCCATTACGTAATGGTAAAGGGATCAATTCAACAAGAAGAGCTAATTATCCTAAATATATATGCACCCAATACAGGAGCACCCAGATTCATAAAGCAAGTCCTGAGTGACCTACAAAGTGACTTAGACTCCCACACAATAATAATGGGAGACTTTAACACCCCACTGTCAACATTAGACAGATCAACGAGACAAAGTTAACAAGGATATCCAGGAATTGAACTCAGCTCTTCACCAAGCAGACCTAATAGACATCTATAGAACTCTCCACCCCAAATCAACAGAATATACATTCTTTTCAGCACCACACCACAGCTATTCCAAAATTGACCACATAGTTGGAAGTAAAGCTCTCCTCAGCAAATGTAAAAGAACAGAAATTATAACAAACTGTCTCTCAGACCACAGTGCAACCAAACTAGAACTCAGGATTAAGAAACTCACTCAAAACCTCTCAACTACATGGAAACTGAACAACCTGCTCCTGAATGACTACTGGGTACATAACGAAATGAAGGCAGAAATAAACATGTTCTTTGAAACCAACCAGAACAAAGACACAACATACCAGAACCTCTGGGACACATTCAAAGCAGTGTGTAGAGGGAAATTTATAGCACTAAATGCCCACAAGAGAAAGCAGGAAAGATCTAAAATTGACACCCTAACATCACATCATTAGGGATCTAATGACACCCTAGAGAAGCAAGAGCAAACACATTCAAAAGCTAGCAGAAGGCAAGAAATAACTGAGATCAGAGCAGAACTGAAGGAAATAGAGACACATAAAAAACTTCAAAAAATCAATGAATCCAGGAGCTGGTTTTTTGAAAAGATCAACAAAATTGATAGACCGCTAGCAAGACTAATAAAGAAGAAAAGAGAGAAGAATCAAATAGACGCAATAAAAAATGATAAAGGGGATATCACCACCGATCCCACAGAAATACAATCTACCATCAGAGAATACTATAAACACCTCTACGCAAATCAACTAGAAAATATAGAAGAAATGGATAAATTCCTTGACACATACACCCTCCCACGACGAAACCAGGAAGAAGTTGAATCTCTGAATAGACCAATAACAGGCTCTGAAATTGAGGCAATAATTAATAGTTTACCAACCAAAAAAAGTCCAGGACCAGATGGATTCACAGCTGAATTCTACCAGAGGTACAAGGAGGAGTTGGTACCATTCCTTCTGAAACTATTCCAATCAATAGAAAAAGAGGGAATCCTCCCTAACTCATTTTATGAGGCCAGTATCATCCTGATACCAAAGCCGGGCAGAGACACAACCAAAAAAGAGAATTTTAGACCAATATCCTTGATGAACATTGATGCAAAAATCCTCAATAAAATACTGGCAAACTGAATCCAGCAGCACATCAAAAAGCTTATCCACCATGATCAAGTGGGCTTCATCCCTGGGATGCAAGGCTGGTTCAACATATGAAAATCCATAAACATAATCCAGCATATAAACAGAATCAAAGACAAAAACCACATGATTATCTCAATAGATGCAGAAAAGGCCTTTGACAAAATTCAACAACCCTTCATGCTAAAAACTCTCAATAAATTAGGTATTGATTGGACGTATCTCAAAATAATAAGAGCTATCTATGACAAACCCACAGCCAATATCATGTTGAATGGACAAAAACTGGAAGCATTCCCTTTGAAAACTGGCACAAGACAGGGATGCCCTCTCTCACCACTCCTATTCAACACAGTGTTGGAAGTACTGGCCAGGACAATCAGGCAGGAGAAGGAAACAAAAGGCATTCGATTAGGAAAAGAGGAAGTCAAATTGTCCCTGTTTGCAGATGACATGATTGTATATCTAGACAACCCCATCATCTCAGCCCAAAATCTCCTGAAGCTGATAAGCAACTTCAGCAAAGTCTCAGGATACAAAATCAATGTGCAAAAATCACAAGCATTCTTATACACCAATAACAGACAAACAGAGAGCCAAATCATGAGTGAACTCGCATTCACAATTGCTTCAAAGAGAATCAAATACCTAGGAATCCAACTTGCAAGGGATGTGAAGGACCTCTTCAAGGAGAACTATAAACCACTGCTCAATGAAATAAAAGAGGATACAAACAAATGGAAGAACATTCCATGCTCATGGGTAGAAAGAATCAATATCGTGAAAATGGCCATACTGCCCAAGGTAATTTATAGATTCAATGCCATCCCCATCAAGCTACCAATGACTTTCTTCACAGAATTGGAAAAAACTACTTTAAAGTTCATATGGAACCAAAAAAGAGCCTGCATTGCCAAGTCAATCCTAAGCCAAAAGAACAAAGCTGGAGGCATCACGCTACCTGACTTCAAACTATACTACAAGGCTACAGTGACCAACACAACATGGTACTTGTACCAAAACACAGATATAGACCAACGGAACAGAACAGAGCCCTCAGAAATAATGCCTCGTATCTACAACTATCTGATCTTTGACAAACCTGACAAAAACAAGCAATGGGGAAAGGATTCCCTAATTAATAAATGGTACTGGGAAAACTGGCTAGCCATATGTAGAAAGCTGAAACTGGATCCCTTCCTTAAACCTTATGCAAAACTTAATTCAAGATGGATTAAAGACTTAAATGTTAGACCTAAAACCATAAAAACCCTAGAAGAAAACCTAGGCATTATCATTCAGGACATAGGCATGGGCAAGGACTTCATGTCTAAAACACCAAAAGCAATGGCAACAAAAGCCAAAATTGACAAATGGGATCTAATTAAACTAAAGAGCTTCTGCACAGTAAAAGAAACTACCATCAGAGTGAACAGGCAACCTACAACATGGGAGAAAATTTTTGCAACTTACTCATCTGACAAAGGGCTAATATCCAGAATCTACAAAGAACACAAATAAATTTACAGGAAAAAAACAAACAACCCCATCAAAAAGTGGGCAAAGGATATGAACAGACACTTCTCAAAAGAAGACATTTATGCAGCCAAAAAACACATGAAAAAATGCTCATCATCACTGGCCATCAGAGCATTGCAAATCAAAACCACAGTGAGATACCATCTCACACCAGTTAGAATGGCAATCATTAAAAAGTCAGGAAACCACAGGTGCTGGAGAGGATGTGGAGAAATAGGAACACTTTTACACTGTTGGTTGGATTGTAAACTAGTTCAACCATTGTGGAAGTCAGTGTGGCGATTCCTCAGGGATCTAGAACTGGAAATACCATTTGACCCAGCCATCCCATTACTGGGTATATAGCCAAAGGGTTATAAATCATGATGCTATAAAGACACATGCACACGTATGTTTACTGCGGCACTATTCACAATAGCAAAGACTTGGAACCAACCCAAATGTCCATCAATGATAGACTGGATTAAGAAAATATCACACATATACACCATGGATACTATGCAGCCATAAAAAATGATGAGTTCATGTCCTTTGTAGGGACATGGATGAAGGTGGAAACCATCATTCTCAGCAAACTATCACAAGGACAAAAACCAAACACCACATGTTCTCACTCATAGGTAGGAATTGAACAATGAGAACACATGGACACAGGAGGGGGAACATCACACACCGGGGACTGTTGTGGGGTTGGGGGAGGGGGGAGGGATAGCATTAGGAGATATACCTAATGCTAAATGACGAGTTAATGGGTGCAGCACACCAACATGGCACATGTATACATATGTAACAAACCTGCACGTTGTGCGCATGTACACTAAAACTTAAAGTATAATAATAATAATAATAAAAATGTGGCTGGAGCTAAAGGCATAGTCAAGGTTAATGTTCCTTTTTCTTTATCCCCAATCAGATAGCGTTTAGGTCTTTTTCATCAAATATAAAAATCCAGCCCAGTTCATGGCTCATTTGGCAGCAATCCTGAGACGCTTTACAGCCCTAGACCCTAAAAGGTCAAAAGGCCATCTTATTCTCAATACATATTTTATTACCCAATCTGCTCCTGACATTAAATCAAACTCCAAAAATTAAATTCCGGCCCTCAAACCCCACAACAGGACTTAATTAACCTCGCCTTCAAGGTGTACAATTATAGAGTAGAGGCAGCCAAGTTGCAACGTATTTCTGAGTTGCAATTCCTTGCCTCCACTGTGAGACAAACCCCAGCCACATATCCAGCACACAAGAACTTCCAAATGGCTAAATCACAGTGGCCAGGCATTCCTCCAGAACCGCCTCCCCCAGGAGCTTGCTGCAAGTGCCAGAAATCTGGCCACCAAGCCAAGGAATGCCCGCAGCCCGGGATTCCTCCTAAGCCGTGTCCCATCTGTGCAGGACCCCACTGGAAATCGGACTGTTCAACTCACCTGGAAGCCACTCCCAGAGCCCCTGGAACTCTGGCCCAAGGCTCTCTGACTGACTCTTTCTCAGATCTTCTCGGTTTAGTGGCTGAAGACTGATGCTGCCTGATCGCCTCGGAAGCCCTGTAGACCAACACGGACGCCGAGCTTTAGATAACTCTCACAGTGGAGGGTAAGTCCGTCCTCTTCTTAATCAATATGGAGGCTACCCAGTCCACATTACCTTCTTTTCAAGGGCCTGTTTCCCTTGCCTCCATAACTGCTGTGGGTATTGACAGCCAGGCTTCTAAACCTCTTAAAACTCCCCAACTCTGTGCCAACTTAGACAATACTCTTTTAAGCACTCCTTTTTAGTTATCCCCACCTGCCCAGTTCCCTTATTAGGCCGAGACACGTTAACTAAATTATCTGCTTCCCTGACTATTCCTGGACTACAGCTGCATCTCATTGCCACCCTTCTTCCCAATCCAAAGCCTCCTTTGTGTCCTCCTCTTGTATCCCCCCACCTTAACCCACAAGTATAAGACACCTCTACTCCCTCCTTGGTGACCGATCATGCACCCCTTACCATCTCATTAAAACCTAATCACCCTTACCCCGCTCAATGCCAAAATCCCATCCCACAGCATGCTTTGAAAGGATTAAAGCCTCTTATCACTGGCCTGCTACAGCATGGCCTTTTAAAGCCTATAATCTCTCCTTACAATTCCCCCATTTCACCTGTGCTAAAACCAGACAAGCCTTATAAGTTAGTTCAGGATCTATGCCTTATCAACCAAATTGTTTTGCCTATCCACCCCATGGTGCCAAACCCATATACTCTCCTATCCTCAATACCTCCCTCCACAATCCATTATTCTGTTCTTGATCTCAAACATGCTTTCTTTGCTATTCCTTTGCACCCTTCATCCCAGCCTCTCTTCACTTTCACTTGGACTGACCCTGACAACCATCAGGCTCAGCAAATTACCTGGGTTGTACTGCTGCAAAGCTTAACAGACAGACCCCATTACTTCAGTCAAGCCCAAATTTCTTCGTTATCTGTTACCTATCTCAGCATAATTCTCATAAAAACACACGTGCTCTCCCTGCTGATCATGTCTGACTAATCTCTCAAACCCCAACCCCTTCTACAAAACAACAACTTCTTTCCTTCCTGGGCATGGTTGGATACTTTTGCCTTTGGATACCTGGTTTTGCCATCCTAACAAAACCATTATATAAACTCACAAAAGGAAACCTAGCTGACCCCATAGATCCTAAATCCTTCCCCACTCCTCTTTCTGTTCCTTGAAGACAGCTTTAGAGACTGCCCCCACCCCAGCTCTCCCTGACTCATCCCAACCCTTTTCATTACACACAACCAAAGTGCAGGGCTGTGCAGTCAGAATACTTACACAAGGACTGGGATCACGTCCTGTAGCCTTTTTGTCCAAACAACTTGACCTTACTGTTTTAGGCTGGCCATCATGTCTCCATGCAGTGGCTACTGCCATCCTAATACTTTTAGAGGCCCTTAAAATCACAAACTATGCTCAACTCACTCTCTACAGCTCTCATAATTTCTAAAATCTGTTTTCTTCCTCACACCTGATGCATATACTTTCTGCTCCCTGGCTCCTTCAGCTGTACTCACTCTTTGTTGAGTGTCCCACAATTACCATTGTTCCTGGCCCGGACTTCAATCCAGCCTCCCACATTATTCCTGATACCACACCTGACCCTCATGACTGCATCTCTCTGATCCACCTGACGTTCACCCCATTTCCCTACATTTCCTCCTTCCCTGTTTCTCAACCTGATCACACTTGGTTTATTGATGACAGTTCCACCAGGCCTAATCACCACACACCAGCAAAGGCAGGCTATGCTATAGTACAAGCCACTAGCCTGCCTCTTAGAACCTCTCATTTCCTTTCCATCATGGAAATCTATCCTCAAGGAAATAACTTCTCAGTGTTCCTTCTGCTATTCTGCTACTCCTCAGGGATTATTCAGGCCCCCTGCCTTCCCTACACATCAAGCTCAGGGATTTGCCCCCGCCCAGGACTGGCAAATTAACTTTACTCAAAATGCCCCGAGTCAGGAAACTAAAATACCTCTTGGTCTAGGCAGACACTTTCACTGGATAGGTAGAGGCCTTTCCCACAGGGTCTAAGAAGGCCACCAAGGTCATTTCTTCCCTTCTGTCAGACATAATTCATCGGTTTGGCCTTCCCACCTCTATACAGTCCGATAGCAGACTGGCCTTTATTAGTCAAATCAGCCAAGCATTTTTTCAGGCTCTTAGTATTCAGTGAAAACTTTATATCCCTTACAGTCCTCAGTCTTCAGGAAAGGTAGAACAGACTAATGGTCTTTTAAAAACACACCTCACCAAGCTCAGCCACCAACTTAAAAAGGACTGGACAATACTTTTACCACTTTCCTTTCTCAGAATTCAGGCCTGTCCTCAGAATGCTACAAGGTACAGCCCATTTGAGCTCCTGTATAGACGCTCTTTTTATTAGGCCCCAGTCTCATTCCAGACACCAGACCAACTTGGACTGTGCCCCAAAAAACTTGTCATCCCTACTATCTTCTGTCTAGTCATACTCCTATTCACCATTCTCAACTACTCATACATGCCCTGCTCTTGTTTACACTGCCAGTTTACACTGTTTCTCCAAGCCATCATAGCTGATATTTCTTGGTGCTATCCCCAAACCACCACTCTTAACTCTTAAAGTAAATAAATAATCTTTGCTGGCAAAGCTATGTTGAACCTCCTTAGGCACTTTCTAATTAGATGTCCTAGGTCCTCCCAATTCTTAGTCCTTTAATACCTGTTTTTCTCCTGCTCTTATTCTGTTTAGTTTTTCAATTCATACAAAACTGTATCCAGGCCATCACCAATAATTCTAAGTGACAAATGTTTCTTCTAACAACCCCACAATATCACTTCTTACCACAAATCTTCCTTCAGCTTAATCTCTCCCACTCTAAGTTCCCACGCCACCCCTAATCCCGCTAGAAGCAGCCCTGAGAAACATTGCCCATTATCTCTCCATACCACCCCCAAAAAATTTTCACCATCCCAACACTTTACCACTATTTTGTTTTATTTTTCTTATTAATATAAGAAGACAGGAATATCAGGCCTCTGAGCCCAAGCTAAGCCATTATATCCCCTGTGACCTGCACGTACACATCCAGATGGCCGGTTCCTGCCTTAACTGATGAGATTCCACCACAAAAGAAGTGAAAATGGCCTGTTCCTGCCTTAACTGATGACATTGTCTTGTGAAATTCATTCTCCTGGCTCATCCTGGCTGAAAAGCTCCCCTACTGAGCACCTTGTGACCCCCACTCCTGCCCACCAGAGAACAACCCCCCTTTTTCCTTTACCTACCCAAATCCTATAAAACGGCCCCACCCCTATCTCCCTTCACTGACTCTCTTTTTGGACTCAGCCTGCGTGCACCCAGGTGAAATAAACAGCTTTATTGCTCACACAAAGGCTGTTTCGTGGTCTCTTCACATGGACACGAGTTAAAGTAATTATAGAGTACAGAGTGATGGAAAGAAAAATGATTAGGTATGCTGAGAGAATGAAAGGTCACTTGATCAGAGGATTCGAACTTTGTTTAAGGATGGGCCCTCTGTTATAGAAAGTCAGCAAATGTCAAATTCTAAGCCAGAGCTCAGGATATCAGAATGAGTGCTCAGTGCTTAGAAAATAGCTAACTCTCTTGTTTATCTTAAAATCCAACACCGTTAACTTTACAGTTTAGTCAGGTTATTTTCTGGAAGCTTTTCAGAGAAAGAAGTTTCAACATTATAATAACATTAAAATTGGACCCAGGTAACAATAAACCCTATTGTTCAACTGTATAATAAGTATTTTATGCTTGTGAAAGTTATTCTTTGTCAGACAATGGGATTTTACCCAAGCTCAGTGAAAATGCCTTTTGAATTTGTTCCTAGTACCCTGAGGGGTGATGGCTCACCTGCCTTGCCAAGGTTAATGTGGCAAAATGTAAAGAAAAAAGGAAGGATTAGATGCTTGGGAAAAAATGGAGAGAAGGATTTAGGGAGAAAATTCAGGGAATGTCTCAATCCTACATCCATACTGCCAGACCTGGGTATGGTTAATTACAATGCTGTGACAGCCTAAAGCAAAAAGCAAGTTAAAACATGTAACTTACAAATGGATTCATTAGAGAGAACGTTGCCAATTTTATTCTTCTAGGGAAGATGATTGTTATATCTGCCACATTACATAGGATTATCCCTTTAGTGATTAGATATGTTTTGAAGAAGGAAACTAATTTTTTTGGGAACCTGGTTCACATTGCTGTCATATCACCTGTAAAGTGCTGGGGTCAATGTATACTAGAAGTAAGTCCCCCATTTCCCTGCAGTCCACTGTGCTCACACTGAAAGAGTGGTTTTAAAGAAATAAAATTACATACATAGTTGAAATACCTAAGACTTTGTCGTCCAGAAATCTCTACCAAAAAAATGCCCAATGTCCCTTAAACTCATTATTTTATTAAAACACAGTGTTGTTCAAGTTAGAATTGAGGTGGGTCAGTAAAAAATAAACAGCAGAGAGACCAGCTCTCCAGAACCAATAATTTTTTCAGGAATAGTAGGAATTTGCAATCCAGTATATGGATGCTATGGTGAAACACTGGCACATCCAAGGAGGAAAAGGAAGGCAAAGCTTTTTAAAGGCAATATGAGGGCATATACATTAATGGTTATTGAATAATTATCTGTAGCTATAAGAATTAATAACAAGGCTGGAATCAGTCCATTAGTAAAACAGGCAGTTGCTGGGCAGGTGTCATTGCAGGAGTTATCCTTGTGCAAGGTTGTGGTGACCTTTGTACAAGATTGTGGATTTGGCAGAGTATCCTGTGATAGTTCTTGCTATCAGGCAAATGTACATAAAGTCTCCTTCTTCATGGTCTCCCAACTCCATTTTATTAGGGTATAACATGAGTGACTTCATTTTGATATTGATAACTTCCACAGGTAGTAGACAAGCTTGTGGAGAAGTGGAGGATAAAACTGGAGTCATAAAATGCCTCTTCAAAGGTAAAGTAACATAAGTTATCATCAGAACAAGTCCCTATTAAATAAAATGAATGTGCAATTTCTATCATCCATTCCCAAAATATCAAGCATGCAAGTAGACAAGAAAGCATGACTCATAGTAAGAATAAACAATTAATAAAAACTGACCTGGAAATACTAAAGTTGGATAATGAAATCTTCAGATAAGGAAATTAAAACAGCAACAATAAACTTGCCTTTAATGTCAAGAGTATTAAAAAAGCATCAGGATGATGAGGAAAGTAACAAAGATATAAAATAAAATATAAAACTTCTAGAGATAAAAGATACAATAACAAAAATAAAAATCCACCTAAGAAAAGATTAGTGAACTTAAAGACATAGCAATAGAAAGCATTTAAAATAAGGCAAAGTGAGAGGAAGGATAAGAACAATAAATAAAATATCAGAAGCCTATCCACCAATATCAAACAGCCTAACATACATGTAATTGGAGTCTCAAAAGAAAACAAGTGGGCCAGGTGTGGTGGCTCAAGCTTTTAATCCCAGGACTTTGGGAGGCCAAGGCGGGTGGATAACCTGAGGTCAAGAGTTTAAGACCAGCCTGGCCAACATGGTGAAACCCCATTTCTACTAAAAGTACAAAAATTAGCTGGGCGTAGTGGTGGGTGCCTGTAATCCCAGCTACTTGGGAGTATGAGGGAGGAGAATTGCTTGAAGCTGGAAGGCGGAGGTTGCAGTGAGCCAAGATTGTGCCACTGCACTCCAGCCGGGTGACAGGGTAAGACCATGTCTCACAAAAAAAAAAAAAAGAAAAAAGAAAAAAAAAGAAAAGAAAACAAGAAAAAAGGACAAGAAAAATATTTGAAAAAATATTTGCCAAAAATTATACAAATTTGAGGAGAAACATAAACTCACATATCCACGAAGATCGACAAACTTCTTGAAGAGGAAATATGTATCTGTGTGAAAAAGTCACAGTGATTACATTATACTTTATAAATAAGCTAACTTGAATCATACATAAAGGCAAAAGCCAAAATTATAAAACTTCCAGGATAAAATTTTTTGTGACCTTGGGTTAAGCAAAGATTTCTAAAACACAAAATGTACAACCTATGAAATAAAAATATGAAAAATTGCAATACAACAAAATTAACTTTTTTATTATATAAAGTGTATTAGCCTATTTTCATACTGCTATAAAGAAATATGAGAGACTGGGTAATTTATAAAGAAAAAAAGGTTTAACTGGCTCACAATTCTACCTGGCTGGGGACACCTCACAATCATGATGGACGGCAAAGTAGGAGCAAAGGCATGTCTTAAATGGCAGCAGGCAAGAGAGCATGTGGAGGAACTGCCCTTTATAAAACCATAAGACTTCATGAAACTTATTCATTATCAGGAGAACAGCATGGGAAAACCCTCCCCCAAGATTCAGTGATCTCCCAGTGAGTCCCTCCTATGACATGTGGAAATTATGAGAGCTAAAATTCAAGATGAGATTTGGGTGGGGACATGCCAAACCATATCATTTCACCCTGGCTCCTCCCAAATCTCATGTCCTCTCATTTCAAAACCAATCAATGCCCTTCCCAACAATCTCCCAAAGTCTTAACTCATTTCAGCAGTAAGTCAAAAGTCCACAGCCCAAATTTGTGTACCTGGCTTGAATTTCTCCTCAGAAAATGGGTTTTTCTTTTCTATCACATCATCAGACTGCAAATTTTCCAAACTTTTATGCTCTGCTTCTTTTTTAAACATATGTTCTAATTCCAAACCATATCTTTGTAAATGAATTAAACTGAGTGTTTTAAGAGCACCTAAGTGACATCTTGAACATTTTGCTGCTTAGAAATTTCTTCCATTAGATACCCTAAATCATCTCTCTCAAGTTCAAACTTCCACAAATCTCTAGGACAGAGGCCAAATGCTGCCAGTCTCTTTGCTAAAGCATAGCAAGAATCACCTTTGCTCCAGTTCCCAATAAGTTCTTCATTTCTATCTGAGAATACTTCAGCCTGGACTTTTTGCTCAAACCCATTCAACAAGTCTCTAGGAAACTCCAGACTTTCCCACATTTTCCTGTCTTCTTCTGAGCCCTCTAAACTGTTCCAACCTCTGCCTGTAACCAGTTCCAAAGTCACTTCCACATTTTTTAGTATCTTAATAGCAGTACTCCATTCTACTGATACCAATTTACTATATTTATCAATTTTCATATTGTTATGAAGAAAAATCCAAGACTGAGTAATTTATAAAGAAAAAGGGGCTTAATGGACTCACATTTCCACATGGCTTGGGAGACCTGACAATCATGGTGGAAGGCAAAGGAGGAGAAAAGTGATGTCTTACATGGCAGCAAGCAAGAAAGCATGTGCAGGGGAACTGCCCTTTATAAAACCATCAGATCTCATGAAACTTATCCACTATCATGAGAACATCATGGGAAAACCCAACCCCATGATCCACTTACCTCCCACCGGGTCTATCCCATGACATGTGGGGATTATGGGAGCTACAAGTCAAGATGAGATTTGGGTGGGGACTTAGTCAAACCATATAAAAAAGATACCGTTAATAAAATGAAAAAGTCACCAAAATTCTGGGAGAAAATATTTGAAAAATAAACCTAATAAATAATTTGTATCTGGAATATATAAAACACACTTAAAATTAAATAATGCAGCACAGAATATGACACAATATTTGAACATGCACCGTATCAAGGAAGAATTACAGATGTAAATAAGTACATATAAATGAAGGACATTATTATTAGTGAAGTGTAAATTTAAACCTTACTAAGGTATCACTACATACACACTATAATGGCCAAAATTATAAACACTGAGAGGACTATACAATGAAGAGAATTTGGAGCAAGGATAACTCTTATACAAAGCTAGTGATAATACAAAATGAAATAGCCTTATTGAAAAATTGTCAGCAATTTCTTATAAAGACAAACTTTTTTTAATATAACCTAGCAATCCTTCCTAGATATGTACTCAAAGAGAAATGAGAACATCTGTCCAAAGATTTGTATGCAAAATTTGTGTAGCACACAGATTCATAATAGCAAAAGAATAAAAATAGCCCAAAAGTCTATCAACTAGTGAATGAATAAACAAGTTGTGGTATATTCATCTAATGGAATACAGTCTAGCAATAAAAAGGAATAAACTACTGATACACCCAACAGAAATGAATCTCAAGAGCATTAAATAAGTAAAATAAGTCCAGCATACCCCCAAAAAACACATGGTTTGTGACTGCATTTATATGAAATTCTGGAAAAGGCACAATTTTAGTAATAGGAAGAAGATTTGGCATTACCTGGGTCTGGGGATGGAAGTATGAACAAATCCTCTACAAGGACATTAGACAGAAATTTGAGTAAGGGAAATAAATGTTGTGGTTACATGATTGTATACATTTGTCAAATTTATGCAATTTTACCTTTAACATGTATGTTGTGTTACTTAGACATTTCAGTAATGCTGATAGGAAACAAAAATAGTCTAGAAGTGATAAAATATTGTGGACCAGGCAGAGACAAATGTAAAACTCTTTCACTATAAAGTCTTCACCACTAGGGGCAAAGTGTGCCTTCCTTAAACAGCTCCCAAGTCAGGTAAGAAACAAATAGAAGCACACAAGAGAACATCCCTCCTTAACCTTCTTGAGAGACATCCAGAAACTGCCACCAGTTGATTAACTTTTGGGTTTTATCTATTTTGGAACTGTTTCAAAGCTTGCAAAAAATTTTTAAAATAAATATTTTAGAGATGTTTAAAAAGAGAAGAAAAGGCGGAACCCAAAAGGCAAGAATATGACATAAGTCCCAAAGAAAAGGAAAATTTAGAAAAAAACATAAAAATTCTGAAAAAAACTATAATCCTTGAAAAATATCTCACAAAATAGGTAAATGGTAAATTACATATTGCTAACAGGAAAATAGTAATTCAAAGTTAGAAATGAGGAAATAAGCCAAAATACATCACATATATCCTATATCAAACAAGAATTAAGAGCCATGACAAAGAGAAATTATATAATAAACACCTAGGGCTAAAACTGAGAATAGATAAATATGTTAAGAAGCAATATTTAAACACTCTGTTGGATACCAGCTTATACTCTCTTGCCTATACTTAATGCTATTGATTAAAGAAAAGGATTAGAGACTTGAAAAAGGAGAAAAATATTTAGGGGAAAAATCCAGAATACGTTTCAATGTTCCAGAGTATTGGGTAAAATAAATAAAACAAATACAAATTCTTTTAACACTTATTTGTCAAAGAAAGTTTACTGTCGTCAAAGATTGCTGTTTCCCCATTTGTGAATTAGAATTGTTTCTGGAAAATGGCTACCCAGGAAATTTATTTTCTTATCCTAGCATCTTTAGGTGGGGCCAGATAACTAATTCTGGCCAATATAATGTGAGCATTGGAAAACAATGCACGTTACTTCTGGTGTGAGCCTTTCAGCCTTTGCTCATGTGTTGGTTGGAGACGTCCAGAGAGTCTTGGAGACCACATGTTGACTAAGACATTGACACTGCCAAGAGGAGACCCCCCAAAATTCAACCTAATTATTTTGAGATTCATTTGTGCTGTTGCTGCATCAGTAATTCATTTACCCCTCATTGACCTGAAAGGGTATGTGGGCACAATGACCAGACTTTTATGGTGCTTATGCCATTATGCAATTTTGGGTCTCTTTGCTAAATCAGTTAGCTTACTGTTACTAAAACAGAAGTTAAAATGCTTTGATAATTCTATAACAACATACTTTCCATGTTAGAAATGTAATCACTTTGATCTTTTAAAAAGTTAACTGTAATAATTTTCAAGACTATTGTTTATTTAGTAAGTCCCTTCTGCTGTATCACCAAGGATCAATGATGTTAGAAATGGGTACTGTTCATATGATGAAGACCTTGAATGTTCACAATATGTGTTTTTCCAAAGAATCGAAGTACTTTACTAGAAAATAGATGTTATTTTCTTGAAGAGATAGATTCTGTGTTACGGTTTTTTTCATTTTTCAAGGTCACAGAGTCTATAAAGAATTCCAGTAAGTCACATGAAAAAAATATGATGAAGCTGAAGTTCTCCAGCTTCATTCCTATCCACAGAATCCAAACTAGCAACTATCCAGAAGTATGATTACCAATCCGAATATTCTTAAATCAGGAGCAAGGTTGTGATACTCTCTTGAACCTCAAAGCTGAAAAAAAAACACAATCAGATGGTAATGGAGATGACTCTCTTTGATTGCAGTGCCCTTCCTCCAAGCACCACAAGTGGGGTATTTTACTGAGCTTATAGTTCCTACAGTGAAAAAAGTGAGTTAGAGGTGGACATCCAGTTTCCCCACCATTCTGAGACTCTATGCAGGAGGTTTGCTTTTATTTTATCTCACAAAAATAATTGCAAGCATTGGCAGGGCTGAACTACCTGAGGTCAGCTAGAGATAAAGAATAGGGGTAGAGCTTACAATAATCAGCATGTGGAACTCTGTGGTTGTTCTCCTTTTCTGCCAGTAAACATGCCACAGCATAGAAGACTTGTCAGCATCACCATGCTGCAGGAAGCAAAGCCCACAGGTCTCCTGGGCTCAAGCCTCTAGTCAGTTTTCCCACATAGCTTAGGCATCCTCCTTGGGTCTTCCCCAGAAAATTAAAGGTTGGGAATGAAACCAGCTTCAGAGCTCTTGCAAGACTCATGACCTGCGCTTGGGGAACTCTGTCGTGCTGAAATGGCTGCAGAGTTCGTGGATCTAAGGACCACGACAGTCAGTCTGCTCAGAATTTCTGAACAGACTTACTGTAGAAGGATGGACACATACAAAGCCAGACTGCAAAGGCTTCAATAAATACCTACTTACTAAACACACAGATAATGACATATGAATATAAGGTACAAAATTAATTAGGGAAGCATGACCTCAAAAAATGAACAAAACAAGGTGCTCATGCCTAACCCTAATGAGATGGAGATGTATGACATCTCAGACAATTCAAAATTTCTGTTTTAAGAAAGCTCTTCAGCAAACTTAAAGAAAATACAGGGAAATAATTCAGAAACATAACAGAAATTTATCAGAAAGGTTAAAATAATAATTTAAAATATCAAACAGAAATCCTGGAGCTAAATACTACAATGAACAAAATTTAAAACTTAATAGAATCGGTGGCAGAATTGATCAAGCAGAAAAATAAATGTGTGAACTGAAAGACAGGATATTTGATACCGTAAACTAGTTCACCGTAAACACAAAGTTCAACCATTGTGGAAGTCAGTGTGGCGATTCCTCAGGGATCTAGAACTAGAAATACCATTTGACCCAGCCATCCCATTACTGGGTATATACCCAAAGGACTATAAATCATGCTGCTGTAAAGACACATGCACACGTATGTTTATTGCGGCACTATTCACAATAGCAAAGACTTGGAACCAACCCAAATGTCCAACAATGATAGACTGGATTAAGAAAATGTGGCACATATACACCATGAAATACTATGCAGCCATAAAAAATGATGAGTTCATGTCCTTTGTAGGGACATGGATGAAATTGGAAATCATCATTCTCAGTAAACTATCGCAAGAACAAAAAACCAAACACTGTATACTCTCACTCATTGGTGGGAATTGAACAATGAGAACACATGGACACAGAAAGGGGAACATCACAGTCTGGGGACTGTTGTGGGGTGGGAGGAGGGGGGAGGGATAGCTTTAGGAGATATACCTAATGCTAAATGACGAGTTAATGGGTGCAGCACACCAGCATGGCACATGTATACATATGTAACTAACCTGCACATTGTGCACATGTACCCTAAAAGTTAAAGTATAATAATAATAAAATAAAATAAAGATAATATATAATTGGAGAAAAGAAAAACAAAACAACTAAAAATGAGGAAATCATACAGGATCTATAGGACACTATGAAAACAAGTAATGTTTGGCCCATTGTCATTCAAGAGGGATTAGAGTAAGACAAAAATGTAGAAAGCTTATTTAAATAAGTAAGAGCAGAAAGCTTTCCAAACCTGGATAAATATATAAATACACAGGTACAGGAAGACTGAAGGTCACCAATCAGATACAATTTAAATAATACTACCCCAAGACATAGTATAGTCAAACTATCGAACGTCAAAGAAAAAAAGTAGATCCTGAAAGCCACATAAAGAAAGAAGCAAATAATACATAAGGGAGTGCCAATATGCCTGGAAGCAGAAGACTTCACAGCAGAAACATTACATGCCAGAAGGGAGTGAGATGACAGATTCAAAGTGGTAAAGGGGAAAAAAAACCCGGCCAATCAATAAGCTATCCTTCAGAAATATAGGGTAAAGACTTTCCTAGACAATGAAAAGCTGATGGAATTTATCACCAATGGATATGTCTTTTAAGAAATGCTAAAGGGAATACTTCAAACTGAATAAAAAGAATGCTAATGAGTAATGCAAAAACATCTGAAGGTATGAAACTCACTAGTAAATCCAAGTGTACAATCAAATTCAGAATATGATAATACTGTAATCTCGGTGTATACATGACACACCAGTGTTAAGGTTAAAAAATAAAACTAGTAAAATAATAACTATAATAGTCTGTTGAAGGATAGGCAATATAAAAATATGTAAATTGTTACATTAAAAATTAAAAATGTGGAGCGGGAATGCAGATAAAGTGTAGATGGTTTTTTTGTGACCAAAATAAGTTGTTATTTATTTTTAAAAAATGGTTTCAAATATAAGATTTTAAAAATAGGTCTCATGGTAACCATAAAATAAAAACTTATAAATGATAAACATTTTTTAAAAAGAATCAAAACATATTTCCAGAGAAAATCACTTAACTACAAAGGAAGACAGAAGAGAATAAGAAAAGCTCTATACACACACGCATAGACACACAAACACACACACAAGCAAACAAACTAGCAACTAAATGGCAGTTGTAAACAGTTGTAAGTTTTCACTTATCAATAATTACATTGAATATAAGTGGATTAAACTTTCCAATTAAATGACACAGAGTGACTAAATGGATAAAACAGAAGACAAAACTACATGCTGCCTACAAAAGAGCACTCCACTTGTAAGGCACACAGAGACTGAAAATGAAGGGATAGAAAAAATAGTCATTTCAAATGGAAAACCAAAGATAGCAAGATGTATACCAAATAAAACATTCCATGAGGCCAGCATTACTGTGATATCAAAACCAGACAAGGGCACAATGATAAAAGGAAACTGCAGGCCATTATCCCTGATGAACATCTATTCAAAAATCTTCAACAAAATTCTAGCAAACCAAGTTCAGTAATACATTAAAAATATAATTCAGTATTATCAAGTGAGATTCATTGAAAGGATTCAAGGATGGTTCAATGTATGCAAATGAATAAGCATGATATATCACATTAACAGAATGAAGGACAAAACCCATATAATCATAAATAGATGCAGAAAATTTATCTGACAAAATTTAATATCTCTTCATGATAAAAATTTTTAACAAACTGGATATAGAAGGAATGCACCTCAACACAATAAAGGCCATATATGATAAAACCACAGCTAACATACTAAATGAGAAAAAGCTGAAAAATTTTTCTCTAAGACCTGGAACAAGACTAGAGTACTTATTTTACCACTTTGATTCAACATAGTACTGGAAGACCTAACCAAAGCAGATAGTCAGGAGAAGAATAAAATAAAAGGCATACAATTGGATAGAAGGAAGTCAAATTGTTTTATTTACAAACAACATGATCTTATCTACAGAAAATTTTAGACTCCACCAAATGACTATTAGAAGAAATAAATTCAGTAAAGTTGCAGAATACAAAATCAACATACATAAATCAGTAGTGTTTCTATCTGCTAATACTAAACTATCTTAAAAAGGAACCAAGAAAACAATTCCATTTACGGTAGCCAAATAAAAATTAAAATACCTAGGAATAAACTTCATCAAGTAGGGGAAAGATCTCTACAATAAAAATTGCTAAGCATTGGTGAAAGAAATTGAAGAAGACACAAATAAATGAAAAGATACTCCATGTAATAAAATGAAAGATTCAATATTGTTAAAATATCCCTAATACTCAATATACAGATTCAATGAAATTCCTATCAAAATACCAATGACATTCTTGACCAAAATGGAAAAAAATAACCCTAAAGTTTTATGGAACCACAGAAGACACCTTAGCCAAATCAATCTTGAAAAAAACAAAACAAAACCCAAATCTGGGAGCAATACACTACCTTACTTCAAAATATACTACAAATCTATAGCAACCCAAACAGCATGGTACTGGCATACAAACAGATATATATATAGAGATGGCAGAATAGAAACCCCAGAAATAAATGCATACATTTACAACCAACTGATTTTCAACAAAGGTACCAAGAAAATACACTGGGGAAAGGATAGTCTTTTCAATAAATAATGATGTAAAAACTGGATATTCACATGTAGAAAAATAAAACCAAACCTTTATCTTTCACCATCTACAAAATTGAACTAAAACTTAATTAAATGCTTAAATACAAGATCCAAAAGTATGAAACTACTAGAAGAAAACATAGGTGGAATAATTCATGACATTGTACTGGGTAAGGATTTTTTTGGATAAAACCTCAAAAGCACCAGCAACAAAAGCAAAAATAGACAAATGGGATTACGTCAAACTAAAAAAGTCTCTGTACAGCAAAGGACCCAATCAACATAGTAAAGAGACAAATTATAGAATGTAAACCTGACACGGAGTTAATATACAAAATATATAAGGAAGTCAAACAACTCAACAGCAAAAAACCAGATAACTAGATTAAAAGATGAGTGAAAGACCAAAATAGACATTTTTTAAAAGTAGACATACAAACGGCCAATAATTATATAAGAAATGCTCAACATCACTATTTATCATGGAAATGCAAATCAAAACCACAATGAGAAAGCAACTCACCTCGGTTAGAATGGTTATTATCAAAAGGGAAAAAGATAACATGGTTTGTCAAGGATGTTCAGAAAGCCCTTATTCACTGTTCATAGGAATGTAAACTAGTACAGCCATTATAGAACAGACTATGGGGGTTCATCAAAAAATTTAAAATAGAACTACCATATGATCCAGCAGTCTCAGTACTGGGTATATATCTGATGGAAATTAGATCAGTTTGTAGAAGAGACATCTGAACTTTCATGTTCTTAGTGCCACTCTTTACATTAGCCGAGATGTGGAATCAACCTGAGTGTTCATCAATACATGAATAGGTAGTAAAAATACACACACACACACACACACACACACACACACACACACACACACAATGGAATACTATTCAGCCATAAAAAGAATGAAACCCTGTCATTTTGACAACATGGATGATTCTGGAGGACATTATGATAACTGAAATAAGATAAGCCAGGCACAGAAAGACAAATAGCACATGATCTCACGCGTGTGTGGAATTTTAAAAAGTTCATATTACAGAAGTAGAGAGTATAATGGTGGTTACCAGGGCCTGGGATGGCTATGGGGAGAGATTATGAGGAGATGTTGGTCAAAGCCTTAATAATTATAGTTAGGAGAAATAAATTTATATCTATTGTGTAGCAAGGTAAGGCTAGATAATGATGATATATAGTATTCTTGAGAAATGTAAAGGCAGTAGAAGTTATGGGCTCTCACCACAAAAATGACTATGTGAGATCATGCATTTGTTAATTAAAAATGAAGAATTCTAGCATCTTTAATGTCAAGCCCCTGTGAAAATCAGTGTTCATGGAAATCATGCATTGTTGAGAAAAAAGTATGTTTTCAGCATTTTCTAAGATTAGAGATAAACTATTTTAAATAACTTCAAGAGAAAAACCTTAGAAAGATTAAAGCCATTTTTTTGAGGTTTTAGAAAATTTCATTAACAACCGTTACAGAGGCTAATAAATCTCTCCTTATTTCCACTCACTATGAGCTGTGGAGCCTTCATTGCATCTACTCATATGCCTCAGTATATTTCTTTAACTTAGACAAGATAGAGGTGGTGCTATGTCACAATTTTAGGGAAGAAGATGCTAACACCTATACATGGATGTATACTAAAATGATAACCGTTGTCAAGACAGTAATTTCATAACTTTTTCAGTGGAGTTATATTAAAATATTGGGTTAAAGTAAATATGAAAATGTCAAAAAGTAAATTTAGGAGAGAGTAATATAGAAGAAAGATCTTCAGACTAGAAATCGGCAGGTCCAGCCACATCCCTTGACCAACTCTTGTGTTTCGGAATGCAAAATGATATGATCACTTTGGGGAAAAATTTAGAATTTTTCTTATAAATTACATATATATTTTTCCATATGACTCTGACAACACTCCTTGATAAATGAAATATTATATTCACAAATAACTATACACAAAAATGTTGATAGCAGCTCTATTCAAAATGTTCTCAAGCTGAAAACTATTCAAATGCCCATCAATGTGTGAATGGAGAATCCAACTGTGGTACATCCACATAATGGAATATGACTTTTAATAAGAAAGAACAAACTATGAACACATGCAACAAAACATGAATCTCAAAATGTTTTTGCTGAATGAAGCCAGTTTCCAAAACTTACATATTGCATAATTTCATTTACATGACATTCTAGAAAAGGAAAAGACCAAGGTACAGAGAATAGATCAGTGGCTGACAAGGGTAAGTTTGGGGAAAGAATGTAGCCACAAAGGGGCAGCTCAAGGGAGTTTTGGGAGTGATAAAACTTTTGTGTATCCTTGATTGAAGTGGTGGTTCCACGACTCTACACGTCTTAGTACATCAAAAAAATGTTAATTTTACTTATGTAAACCTAAGAGCAATGAAAAAGTCAAATGTGGTGGAATCGGCAAGAGGAGATAAAATCAATGTGAACTGGAGCTATGTTACTAAATTATAAACTAAATTTTCAGAAATGTCAATCTTCCTGAAATGATTGATTTGTACCTTAATATTATAGCCTATTTTGTTGAGTTAAGCTTCTGTGTGAAAATTCTTGGCAGATATACCTGTTTAAATATTTCAGATTATCAATTTCTTAGGAGTCTTGTAGAGCTGAGGAAGGATCCTGTAAGCATATTTTTCACCCTGCGTGTCACCAGTGAATTACATTTTAAGAACCATTAACCTGATGATCTTCCTAGTGATGTCACCCCAGAACACTCCTAAGGGCCCACCGCTTACTCATTTGGGATGTGAACTGTGAAAGAATTGAAGTTCCAGGTAGTTCAGTTTTATTCCGTCAGAGTCTTCAGCAGAAGATGAAGTGAACACAAACACAAGATCTTGGTCTCCAATGTCTCAGAGAACATCTCCAGCCCCTAAGCAGCATGGAGGCTACCATGGTCCATCCGAAGGGAAGGAGATTGGCAGCTGCACAGGATGGAGGATGCCACCTAGGGTAAAGTGGAGCTGGGGAGAAACCATACATCCCAAACTTCTGAAGGTAGCTGACCACGGTGTTTGTGCTGATGGAAGATGTACTATAATTGCAAATATCAAAAAAGAAGCAAGCTGATTTAAGGAAGGCCATCTCGGCAATGTGAATGGATGCTGAAGAGCTCCATAATCAGACCTGTGTGTGGTAGGACAATAAGGCAAGGGCACAGGTAACTTTTATTGTTTTTAAGTCTGAGGAAACATGTTTTCCAGATTTTAAAAGGGTTAACTGTGCATTATTTCTTCAAATAGCTCTATTTTCCAAGAAAAGCGGTAAAATTGTTCAGAGCATATGAGTATGAATATTGCTTCCTAAACAGTTGACAGACACCACAGCTGGAAGTAGCAAGTATAATTAATAAGCTAACAGAAAAGAG
This sequence comes from Homo sapiens, assembly GCF_000001405.40. NCBI lineage: Eukaryota > Metazoa > Chordata > Mammalia > Primates > Hominidae > Homo > Homo sapiens. Next base: position 8,983,929 of record NC_000005.10, on the reverse strand, counting down.
TATTTTTTATTTCCAGCCTACTATTCTGCCAAAAAAAGATGTGCTGAAAAGTTAAAATAAACCTAACCAGAGATTTTAATGTAAACAAAATATTTTAAAAACTAACCTTCCAAAGTTTAATTTTTAGAATATATTTATGACCCCCTTATATCTGTATTTGGACCCTGTTTGGAGCAAATACTTTAAAAATTGAAGACATGACAATGTGGAATCTGGGAAGGGGCTGACATGTTTATAAATACGATAGAAAGGGTAAAGGAGAGAAAGCTCTTCACCTGAAAGGGAGGCCCAGTCTCTAGTATGTGTATAGAACAAGCAGGCAGGTGCAGAGAACCAGAAAAAGAGAAAACATAGGCAGGTTCATGGCAGGAAACTCAATTCCAGTGAGATAGGAAAAAAATGAGGTGCACCCATGTGTGCTTTTGTAAGAATCATGGGTTGTGTTTTGAAAAATAAATTGAACTAATTAAAGAACACAGACAAATGAAAGAAGCAAAGAAGCTAGACTGAAGCGAGGTCTAATAGGAGAGAATATTTAGTCTGGATTACTCATTATATGAGAAAGGGGAGAAAGTATAAATCTAAAGACTGGCTTGTAAGGCTGGACCAAACCAGACCCACATCAAATCCATCATTAATATCGTGGGGATGGTCCAGACACGTCCTTTTGTTGCTTGTATGATTTAAAATATTTTATTACAGAAATATATTTACAAAAGCATTTTCTTTCTTTCTTTCTTTCTTTTTTGTTGAGACAGAGCCTCCCTCTGTCACCCAGGCTGGAGTGCAGTGGCACGATCTTGGCTCACTGCAAGCTCTGCCTCCCGGGTTCAAGCTATTCTCCTGCCTCAGCCTCCCAAGTAGCTGGGACTACAGGCGCCTGCCACCACGCCCGGCTAATTTTTTGTATTTTTGGTAGAGACGGGGTTTCACCATGTTAGCCAGGATGGTCTCAATCTCCTGACCTCGTGATCCACCCGCCGTGGCCTCCCAAAGTGCTGGGATTACAGGCGTGAGCCACTGTGCCTGGCTACAAAATCATTTTCAAATTAATTTTTTGCTTGTCTACGTTTCAAAATTAACCAAAATGCTTGTATCAGGAATATTAGGGGATTACAGAAACCCACGAAAGTGTGGTTTAGTCACAAGAGGCTGTGTGTCTTATATAAGAAAGTTGAAATTTGGCATTCCAGGGCTTACCAAGGTCTTCCAGGGCAAAGACTGTTTCAATCTTTCTACTCTTCTCTTCTTGCGAGTGATTCTCTTTTCTATTATTGCAAACAAAATGGGAAGGAGGGATGGAGGGTGAAAGGGGTTGATGAGTAGGGATGTCCCTGCAGTACAGCAGCAGGCCTGTCCTGAAAACTGCTGGCAGACCTCTGCACCTTCTCATTTGGTTAAAGCCCTAGGTGCAAGAGAGGGTGGACACTTAGTTCTGTAACTGGGTATCTTGCAATTCCAAGGTGAAGCTTCAGGTAAGAAGAAGGGCAGAATGGTTAATATGCAGATAAAAAGCAGTTTGCTGTGTGAACTGGCCATCCAGAGATGACTGCTATCATTAGATGTCTGTTTGATCAGGGATACACAAATATTTTTATAATGTAGGATTGATTGTCATTTGACTTGCTCTCCCTTATTTAACGTTATATGTGAACACATTCCATGCAAAAGCTCAGAGGTATTCTTCTTCATCCTGTTAAATGGCTTCATAGTTTCCATGTCAGGGATTACAATCTGTGTTTGGGGAAAGTTAGGTGGTTTCCAAGTGTTATTACAAATAAGGCTGTGATGAATATTTTTGTAAGTATGTCTTAGGATATTTTCCATAAATGAAGTTACTGGGTCAAAGTTATAGACATATTTAAGGCTTTTGATTTGATTGCAAAATTGCCCTTTGGAAAGGTTATCTCAATTTATATTTCTATCTTGTTTCTAAGTTTCTTCACTAGTGCTGGAAGAATTATCTTTTTTAAAAAAGTCTTTGATAAAATCATTCTGGAATTTTAGAGTGCTAAGAAGATACAGATACTTAATTAGATGATGAGGTCCATCTGCATAAATGGCATAAAGCATATTAATGAAGAGATCACCAGACCTTATCGTAGAGTAGTGCCTTACTTGTGTGAATTAAGAATGTAGTTGGTACCTCCCACTTGGTGAGTCTCTGTTTTGGAGTGCAGCATCAGTCCTTTCCCCCAAGCTTGTTTATATTGGCAGACACCCTGGTGGTTGTTTCTCACTTGTTTCTGGTTTTTTCCTAACAAGATAGCCACTGTTTAGGAGGGCCCTGACTGAGAAAGAGGTTAGCATCAGGTGTTTTGGGTGAGTAAGAAACACATGAGAGAACTCAACAAACACATGAAATAACAGAGGCAGATTATTACTTACAGATCCCAGGGAGAAGAGGACAGTGTGCCTCACAAGGCCAGGGGGAAGGGGAGAGCCATCAGGACATGTATGCTCCATCAGCAGGTGGGAGCAGGAGACAGGAAACAACAGACCTGGGAGCCAAAGCCTTTACTGGGGTGCAAGTTATCGCCCAAGTAAGTTTCACATGGGAAGTTGTAATTGGTGGGTTTAGAGCAAACAGGGAGGAGTCCCGTGGATTCATGCTGCAACTAAGAGGGTGTCTCTGAAGCATACCTGTGCAGTCTGTGTGGGTGTGCGGGTCAGTAGGGTGAGTCAAGAAAGATGTATGTAGTTGTCTCATAGTGTGAGGCAACACTATACTGGATCCACCACACTGAGGAACTGGGAGGAGATGGAGCCCTGGAATCTGTATTGAGGGTGATTAGGTCTGCTTCTGACATCAGAATGTTACACTTCGACTCAAAATGGACACGGAGGCAACATAAAATGGTAGGAATTCACTGCATTTCTCATGTTTAAAATGAGAATGTGTCCTTTTTCCTAGTTTATAAAAGTATAAAATGAGATCCTTTGTAGGGGGAGCATTTGCTAAAGAGCTACAAGCTGTTTTATAGCATAAGAACATACTACGTTCCCGACCTGTCTTTTAATAGGCTGCCAAAGACCTTCATTTTAAATTTTCTTTTCCTTTTGATAAATGTTTTTGAGTCCTAAGATGTGACAGTTGGGGGAACTTTATTACCAGCCTGAAGCTATCTCTCCACTTTGGCATTTAACAAATGGAGACAATATATGTTGTGTAAGTATTTGGTAAATAAAATATGGTTTCAAAATTATAGTGTACCAAGCTGTGGGTTATTTGTTAATATTAACTCACCTGAGCTAATCTAATTCTCATGCCATGCCTGAGTCAGATTCCCTTATTATTCACACTTTTCTATGAGAAAATTGAGGCTTAAAAAGTTAACTAACATTCCTGAAGTGACACGGTAAACAACTAAGGGAGTCAGGATCTATGCCCAGGAAGATCTGCACCACAGTCAGAAGTTCCTGGTCCCTAAGCTCTGATCCTGTAAATCATGTTTTTGTTTATTCCCCAACACTAACCTCACTCCTTTACTATTCAGTGCAGGGTGACTTTCCTGACTAGGAAATTGGAGTGAGTCTAGATGAGGACAAAGCACACGTGGTCATCTTCGTGCTGGTGATTGATACAATCAGGCCAAAACAATATGGGTTGTGCAACAGGAGGAGCTGGTTGATTAAATTCAGCATCTCATCTCATAAAATGGGGTTTAAAAATGTATCTATTTTATACAGGTGGGACTAGGGATTAAATGAGTTCATTTAAAAAGAAAGCTGATTTTACATAATTTAATTCTTATTCCTTCTGCAATTTCACATTCATTCAACAATAGCAGTAGGCTGAGCTTCATGCTGTATTTGAATGGAACAAATATTTTGATTTTTAAAAAAGCCACTACAAGTAATGCAGGGAACTCCTGAGACATACACAGGTAACGGAATGCATAAAGAAGTGCAGGATTTGGAATTCCCTGGAAGGAACACCGGAAGAGAGGAGAATAGCCAGCAAGACCAGGGTCTAACAGGTTATAGTTTAATTTGGAAGAACTACTAGAGTTGAAAACAAAGAAATATACTTGGATTCTTCATTGTGTGGAGGAGTTAACATAAAACCTTCCTTAATTTTAATTTGATTTAGAAAGATGAGTCAAGAGTGAATTTGGGGACCACTGAAAGAGCTTCCTCTGTGTTTGGAGATTAGTCAGGGGCACATCACCAGAGCAGAATCAAAGGACAAAGGGGGCAGAGGGCAGAGCTTAGGAAAGAATGGGAGGCTTGGAGTTCTCTGTCATGCATCAATTTCTCTTTAGGACATTTTCTCTTACAGAGAATGTATAATAGTCATGAATAACAGGAAAATGCTGTAGTCTGAAAGCTCTGTGAAATTGTTCTCAGGAAAAAAATTGAGATGGTTGCCTGAAGTAAATACAGTTCTAATAGTATGTCTGGAAGAAGTGGATACCAATGTATTTATTATTCCCCACTTAATCAGTCATTTTTTATAACATTCTTTAATATTTAAAATGTTCTATTGCATAGCAAGATGAATATAGTCAATAGTGGATAATCGTACATTTCAAAATTGCTAAGAGAGTACATTTCAAATGTTCTCACCATAAAAAATGTTAAGTACTGGAGGTGATGTATATGTTAACTAGGTTGATTTAATTACTCCACATTGTATTCATAGATTATAACAACATCTTCTATCTCATATATTTATATAATTATAAATTATAAATTTGCAGTGAAATTTTGGTAATTCCAATAGTTATTCAATCAATAAAAATTTCTGATACACACTATTTTTTTGAGACATGGTCTTGCGATGTTGCCGAGGCTGGTCTCCAACTCCTGGGCTTAAGGGATCCTTCAGCCTCAGTCTCCTGAGTAGCTAGGAGTACAGATGCATGGCTAGAATACACTTGCAACGCCAGGTATCCTGCCATGTACTAGAGAGACATCGATTAATGAGATAGTGTCTCTGCTCATGATGAGTTCACACTGAGCAAGTCTCCAAGAGAGAAACAACCACAATGCAGCCATATAAGGGGCTGGGAGCACAGCTAACCTCTCAAAGAGGACAGCCTGAGTAGAAAGGAGGTGTCCTTGCTTCCTGTTTGTATTAGTCCATTCTCACATTGCTAATGAAATACCTGAGACTGGGTAATTTATAAAGAAAAGAGGTTTAATTGGCTCCGGGTTCTGCAGGCTGTACAGGAAGCATGATGCTGGCATCTGCTCGGCTTGGAGTAGGGGCCGGGGGAGTCTTAGGAAACTTACAATTATGACAGAAGATGAAAGGGAAGCCAGCACTTTACATGTCTGGAGGAGGAGAAAGAGGTGGGGGAGTTGCCACACACTTTTAAACAACCAGATCTCACGAAATTCACTCACTATCACGAGAACAGCACCGAGGGGACGATGCTAAACCATTTGTGAGAAACCATCCCCAGGAACCAAGCGCCTCCTACCAGCCTCCACCTCCAACACTGGGGATTACAATTTGACATGAGGTTTCGTGGGGACACAGATCCAAACCTTGAAGAGGATTTCCGCAAAAAGGAAAAGCAACAGGGCATATGTGCTGGACAAGTTGAATTTGCTGCCCTAGATCTGTTTCCTCCCTTTTTCACTGTGCTTTCCTTCTCAGGATGACCTTTATGAACCGTTTCATTTGGTTCCACTCTCTCCAAACTCCCCATTGAGCTTGTGCAATGGGGGAGAATGAGGTTTAGGTATTTATTCCTGGGGTTCCCTGCCAGCCAGACCATGGGTTTGTAGGAGCTGTGATCCTTCCTGTAAGGATGCTGCTTCTTTTGGGTGTTCCTTTTCTATAGCAATTACTCTCTCTTTGAGTTTTGAAAGAAGCTCCCTCCTCTTAGCATCTGCCCATGGTTGAGAAAAGATCATTGTCCTTATTGTACTCTGGGTGCTAAAACATCCCTTTTGGTTTTATTTTAAGCTTACACACAGCATTATAAATATCCCATCTGAGTGTGCTAATTCCTCTTAAGGTACTGACTGGATATAGCAAGTGCAACTAATGTCTCTTAAATGTGTAACTTACACAGTGGTAGTTTGTTGATTTCCTCATTAAGGTGTGTCCTATATTTACATCAATCCTAAAGGCTAGGAGAACATGCTCAGTTTTGTACTCAACATCCAGCATGATCTGGGGACTCAAAGAAGGTAAACCTGAAATAAACTGGGAATTATGTGGTGTCTTTTTCAAAAAATTTAGACTCTGCATTTTCTACTCTTTCTATGGTTTTAGGAATAACTAATCCTCTTTTTTTGGCAAAGCAAATTGTTATTATAAAGAATTGAAGGAAAGACTATATTTATGCATATGCTCGAAGGAATAATGCAATTTGAAAACATCTCATTAGCGAACAGTGTTAAGTAGGATATTACGGAAACATTTCAAATTATTAAGGCACAGACTCTTAAATTATAGCAATATAGAAATGTTGACTCAATGATTCTCGTGTCACTTAATCAGTTGTTATGAATCATTTAAACATCAGGTCAGATGGCCATTATTAAAATTGAAATTAACTTTGAATAACATGTAAGGAAATATTTTATGTTCATGGCCATATTACCACTTGTAAGAGTGTATTAATACATCATAGTTTGTGCATCATTTGAATGATCCCCAATTCTTCTACCACCAAAGGAGAAATCAAATTTTATGCCCCTTCTAATATGAAATGATTTCTTTTGCTTTCACGTTGTACAGAAGCAGGTATGAGTTTGTAAACAATAGTGGATTAATGTCAAAGAGGATTTAAAATACTAAATTAAAAGATGATTGTTCCTTGGCCCTTTGCTGTCTTTCCTTTAAAGGAATGCTAAATGTCATGTTGGGTTTTCTGTTCTGCAAGAGTTTTAATGAGTTATATGTTTGTAATTTGTGCTTGTGGCAGGGAGAGTGGTGTCTGGTGTTATGTGTTCTCATCAAATCCAAAAAGAGATGGTTATTCTACAAAAAAAGTCTGAAACATATGATACCATATTATACATAATTAGCATTATACATATAAAGTTTACTATTTGTTTCTCTCACGTATGAACTCAGGCAAAGCTATAAAAGAAGTTAGATAAATTCCAAGTCCACAAAGAATGTAAATGCAAAAAAGCAGAGCAAGACAAAATTTAAGAAATAACTTACAGCTGACAGCACTCTAGCCTGCTTACCTGAAGGTAGGACTATCTGAGAAATATCTGCTGCTGTGTTTCTTTTAAGAGAAACTAAGGAAAGTGCTTCTGAATTTTCTGTCATAAAATTAACTTTTTAATCTATCTATTTTTCTTAAATGACAAAAAGTTTTCCCTTGATAAAATTTAGAATATTTGCTGAATCTATCTGCCAGTAGGCAGGCATGTTTCCTACTATTCCCTGCATTTATTTTCTACATACTTAAAAGACAGAAAGCAACATCATCACTATAAAATATGAAATTGATTACTGGGATCTTTTTATTGGACTGTCAAAGGAGGAGGACACCACTAAGTAAAGTTAAACTCATTGTATGCCTAAGTCAGAGAACTAAGTTTGCAGAAACGACTTCTCCAAACTGAGCAAGATTTCTATGTGATTCTGAGAAATGTGTAGTTAAGACGTTGGTGGACTTCAAGAGGTAGAGGTATTTAGGTATTTGTTACTGTTATCTGGGTGATTATTATTATAGGTGTGTGTGTGGTGGTATGATCTGGCTGGCATTCACAAGAGTTGTTACTGACATGTCTTTGCTGCCAATCAGTGGATTCAAAACTGTGTCCTATCACTAGTCGAATAGGTTTAAAAAGTGATGTCATGGAGCTGAGTTATCATTGATTAAATTATTCCTCGTGGTTACCTGCCATGATTGTAGGGCAATCTTTTCTTTTTCTGAGACTGGGGAAACCTGTATTCTCATTTTTTGGTGAACTCTTATCCAAACTTTCAGTCAAAAGTGTTGATTATCTGCAGTATTGAAGTTTAATGTACAGAAATCTGATCTGTAGTGTGAGTGTTAATATTTCACCTTGTGTTTGCCTTTGAATCATTTTTGAATAATTGGGTGTAACATAGCATCACGTCCTTCTCTATTTTTATAGGCCTGAATATTTAGAACTGCTATCATTTTATAGTAGTAGATATGGTTTCAAATGTTTGAGTCTCTTTGGAGATTTGATTTGTAGTATGATTTAAAAAGAAATACTATGAGCAATCATAACAGAGAAAGTATTATTAGGAACAGATCAAATTACATGATCATGTTGAATTATGGTTTTTATATAAGTAAAATTATAGTCACCCTGTCCTAAATATTTATTAGTCTACCATTTGTTAAGGATAAGTAATGACTATATCCTTGGTAAAGATATATTTTAATAGCATTAATTGCTATTCTGGACATTTTTTTTTGGCAAGAGATAATATGCTTAACATTCCTTAAGATTCAGGTGGTGATTGCAGAAAAACATAGACCTATGCAAGTGCAAGTTGTTATTGTTACTTAGGGAAACACGATGAGTTAAGAGAGAAGCGTACAGTATCAACTGTTACGAAAGAATTACAGGTTCTTCTCTTGGTCCAGAGGGCTAAAGGCATGTTGTGGAAAGTAATGGAGCCTGGAGGATAAGAGCTGTGATTTCAGTCTGAACACGTTTTACTTGCTTATGCTCTCCAAGGAAATCTAGAAATGAGTGAAATGGCTTAATCTGCTCAGGATTTTATTGTACTCTCACACTATACCTTCACTCATAGATTACAAAGGATGAAAGACACAGCAGTAGCAGCTTCCAGATGACTTACTAGAGAGGCATCTGGTACTTGCTTCCTCCATATAGAAGAACCAAAATTGTGAGAAGATAATCACATTTTGGATATATCATCTAAGAGAGATCACTGGAATTCAACAGAGAAGTGAAAGGAAACACCTAAAGCAAGAAAGGAGAGGGAGGCGAGGCAACTTGCAATTAGCTGAGAGTCTGGAGAGGCTCTTCAATGTGGGAAAAAGGTAATTGAATAGCCCCAAGTGCTCAACTTTTCCACCATAAACTCCCACATGTTATCCATGGGAAAGCCCCTAGGCCATCACAGGCCTTGAGACTAGCATAGCAAGCTACCTAGAGACCACACAGAGGCATTGATCCAGAAAAGGAGCTCAAGCTGGATCCCACACATCCTCCAAGCTCTAAGCAGCCACAACAAGTTGCCATATTGAGAGCCCAGCCCCCACCAGACTGCCTCCTGCCTGGAAGCCCATCAGCCCCTGACTCCACATCTCTGAAACCCCACTAACATTTCCTGCCTGCAGCCATTGCCACAGCAATTTGCTGCCTCCAGCACTGAAGTGTGAACCATCGTCAAAGACCCTGATGCCCCTAGCAGTGAAACTGCTGAATATTTTCATAGCCTCCAAGGACAGACTTCCTTGACCACAGCAGCTGTCACTGTGAGTTGCTGTGGCCAAGCCTGAAGTGCCAGCAAACAGCATGCTCCCTAGTCACCTATATACTTAATGCTGCTGCCACTGAAAGTGACTCTGCCCTCCCCAGTAACAAGGCTGCAGCACATCAGCCTCTACAGAGACTCTCCAGGCCCCTCCAGAGCATTCCACTGTGGACCTAGGGTACTTATCCCACCTCTGCCTACCACAGCCAGCACCTGTATGCCACCACCAGGGAGCCCGAGGACAAGTATGCCAAGTCTAGCTCTGCCCAACCCTCCGGTGCCCAGGCATGCTCTCCAGGAGCCTGGGGCTCTCCCAGTTTAGTCCACTACTCTTGGCACATGAGCACTCTGCCTAGGGGCTGAGGTTGGACCCACCTAACCTGCTGCTACCACCACAGTGGGAACCTACTCACATGCATCCATGGGCTTAGGGCTGTCCATCCAGCCTGTCACAGCCATGGCCAACACCAGCCTGGATCACTTGGACCCAGAGGTTTGTCCCACCACTGCTACTACTGTCACCCATACCACACCCACTGCCACTCATCTGCCTGGACCACTGTTACCACTACTACTGGCACTTGAACAAGCCACCTAGAGGCCCAAGGATAAGCACGCTTGGGTCACCACTGCAACCACTGGGGTCTGAGGATAAGCTCACGTGTTGTCCTTGTACCCAGCAAAACTTCATTACAACCTCCACCAACAACTGAGAAAATCACAGACTGCCCTGATGCAGTTTACAGCCAAATAAATAATAAAGAATAAACTATTGCATGCACCCAGAATCAAAACCACAGTCCTCTGCCCAGCCAACACCATAGCTACATCTTCAGAAAAAAGTCCTCTCCTATGAAAGCAAATTCTAAAAATTAAAAGAGATTTCTGTTACACCAGATGCATAGTTGTAACATATGGACACAAGAAACACTAAAAAGCAAGGAAATATGGCACCTCCAGAGGAACATAATAATTCTCCAGCAACAGATACCAATCAAGAAGAAACTTATAAAATCCCAGATAAATAATTAAAAATAATGATATCAAAGTAGGTCAGTCAGATACAAGAAAATACAGAAAAATAAAACTGAAGAAATCTTTGAATAAAATACAAAATACACTTGAAATCCAACAATAGACTAGTCCAAGGAGAAGAAATAATCATGTAACATGAAGACAGATCTTTTGAAATTACCCAGGCATACAAAAGTAATGAAGAAAGAATAAAAAAGAATGAACAAAACCTACATGACATATGGAATACCATAAAGTGAGTAAATATTCAATTTTTCATTCTCCCAGAAAGCAAAGATAAAATGAAAGTTTTAGAAAACCCATTTAATTAAATAATAGCAGAAAGTGTTCCAAGGGCAGCAAGAGATTTAAACATATAGATATAGGAAGCTCAGATATCTTCAAACATATACAATGCAAAAAGGTCTTCTGCATGGCATATTATAGTCAAACTGTCAAAAGCCAAAGAAAAAGAGATAATTATAAAACATCAAAAAAAAAGCATCTAGTCCCTTTTAATGAAGGTTTCATCAAACTAATAGTACATTTCTCAGTAGAAACCATACAGGCCAGGAGATAATGAAATGACATATTGTAAATGCTGAAAGAAAAAAACCTGACATCCGGGAATAGTATATTCGGCAAAGTTATCCTTCAAAAATGAAGGAGAAATAAAGGTTTTCCAGATCAGAAAAAGCAGAGGGAATTTGTCACCCCCAAACCAGTCCTATAAGACATGCTTATGGGAGTCTTACATGCAGAAGCAAAAGAGATGATATCTATTAACATGAAAACACATTAAAGTATGAACATGAAAATACATGAAATGTAAAACCCACTGATAGAGCAAATATACAAATAAGGAAAAGAGAGGACTTAATTGTTACCACTATAGGAAAATCACTAAATCACTATGATAAATCATAAGATAGAAGGAAAGGAACAAAGGATACACAAAACAATCAGAATTCACTTAATAAACTGACAGGAATAAAGCCTCACATATTAATAATAACTTTGAATATAAATGGATTAAATTTCCACTTAAAATACCCAGATTGGCTAAATGAATAAAAAAAAATGACCCAACTATATGCTGCCCAGAAGAAACTCATGTTACCTATAAAGGCACGTATAGAATGAAATTTTAGTTATAGGAAAAGATATTCCAACAAACATAAAACAAAGCAGGAGTAGCTATCCTTATATAAAATGAAATAGACTTAAACAAACAAACAAAAAACGACAAATAAGGTCATTAAATAAAGACAAAGGGATCAGTTTAGCAAGGGAATATAATAATACTAAACATATATGTACCTAACACCAAAGCAACCAGATATATAAAGCAAATATTAATCTAAAAAGAGTGATAGACTCCAATACAATAGCATTTGTACACTTTGACAACCCAATCTCAGCACTATACAGATCATCAAGATAGAAAATTAACAATGAAATATTGGATTTAAACTACATATTAGGTCAAATAGATCAAACAGACATTTATAGACCATTTCATCCACCAGTTACAGAATGTGTATTATTTTCATCAGTCCATGGAACATTCTTCAGAATTGATCATATGTTAGCACACAAAACAAGTTTCAACAAATCAAAAAAATTAAAATCTTATCAAGTCTCTTCTCAGATCACAAATGAGTAAAATAAGAAATCAATAACAAGAGGAACTTGAGAAACTCTACAAATACATGGAAATTAAACAAAAAGTTTCTTGATAACCATTGGGTCAAGGAAAAATTAAGGAGGAACTAAAAAATTTATTAAAACAAATATAAATTGAAACAAGATGTACCAAAACCATTGTAATATAGCAAATGCAATGCTAAGAGGAAATGTTATAGCAATAAAAGCGTACATCAAAAAAGTAGAGTCCAAATAAACAATCTCGTGGTGCACTTCAAGGAACTAAAAAAAGAGAGAAGACCCAAATAAACAAAATCAGAAATAAAAATAAGATTTTATAACTGATGCCACAGAAATACAAAAGATCATCAGAGAATATTATGATCAACTAGATACCAACAAACCAAAAAAAAAAAAACTAGAAAAAATGGATAAATTCCTGTAAACATACACTCTGACAAGATTGATTTAGGAAGAAATACAGAACCTGAACAGGCCAATAACAAGTAATGAGATTGAATTTGTAATAAAAAATTTCCCAACATAGAAAACTGTAGGACCTGATGGCTTTGCTGCTGAATTCTACCAGGCTTTCTAATATCAATTCTCCTCAAATTGCTCCGAAAAATTGGAGAGGAAGGAATTCTTCCTAACTCATTCTCTGAGGCCATTATTACCATGTTACAAAAGCTGGACAATAATGCAATAATGACAACAAAAAATCTACAGGGCAATATTTCTGAAGAATATTGATGCGAAATTCCTCAACAACATACTAACAAAGTAATCTAACAGCACATGAAAAATGTAATATACCATGATCAAGTGTGATTTATACCAGGGATGCAAGGATAGTTCAACACATGCAGATCAATAAATGTGATGCATCACATCAACAGAATGAGGATTAAGAACCATGTATCATATCCATATATGCAAAAATGTTAATGTTATAATATTTAAATGTTATATCATAAAGGGGTATTAAATTTTATAAAATTTTATTAAATTTAACATCCCTTCATGATAAAAACTCTCAACAAATTATGAATTGAAGGAACATACCTCAACATAATAAAGACCATACATGACAAACCCACAGCTAACATCATACTGAATTGTTAAAAGTGGAAGTTTTTCCTGTAAGAACTGGTACAAGACAAGGATGACTGCTTCCACCAGTCCTACTCAACATAGTACTGGAAGTCCTAGCCAGACAATTAGGCAAGAGAAATAAATAGAAGTTATCCAAATTGGAAAAGAGGAAGTCAAACTATATCTCTCTGCAGATGTTATGACCTTATGTCTAGAAAATCCCTAAAGACTCCACTGAAAAGACTCTTGAAACTTATAAACAAAATTAGTGCAATTACAGGATAGAAAATTAGTGGAGCTGCAAGATAGAAAATTAACTTACAAAAATCAGTAGAGTTTATATACACCAATAATAAACTAGTTAAGAAAGAAATCAAGAAGGCAACCCCATTTACAGTAGCTACAAGTAAAATACCTAGAAATAAGTTTAACCAAGGAGTTAAGAGACTTCTACAAGACAAACTGTAAGACATTAATGAAAGAAATTGAAGAGAACAGAAACAAATGAAGACATTCCATGCTCAAGGATCAGAAGATGTAATATCATTAAAATAATCATACCGCCTATAGCAATCTACAGATTCAATTCAATTCCTATCAAAGTATCAATGTCAGTTCTCACAGAAACAGAAAAAAGAAACAAACAGGAAAGACAACAAACCAAAAAAGCAAAACAAAACATAAAAACAAAGCTGAAGGCATCACACTACCTGACTTCAAAACACATTACAAGTATATGTATAGTAACCTAAACAGCATGCTATTGGGATAAAAACAGACACATAGACAATTGGACTAGAATAGAGACCCCAGAAATAAATCCACATATTTACACTCAACTGATTGTCAACAGTGGTGCCAAGAAAATACACTGGGAAAAAGACAACCTCTTTAATACGTGGTGGTAGGAAAGTTAGATGTCTATATGCAGAAGGGTGAAATTGGACCCCTATCTCTCACTATATAAAAAAAAATCCACTCAAGATGGAGTAAAAACTTCAAAGTAAGATCCCAAACTATAAAACTACTAGAAGAAAACATAGGTGAAACACTTCAGGATATTGGTCTAGGCAAAGATTTTATGGCTAAGACCTCAAAAGCATAGGCAACAATAACAGAAATAGAAAAATGGAACTGTATTAAACTAAAAAGTTTTGTGCACAGCAAAAGAAATAAAAGAATGAAGAGACACCCTGTTGAAGGACTGAAGTTATTTGCAAACTATTTATCCAACAAGGGACTAATATCCAGAATAAACAAGGAAGTTGGAAACTCAACAGTAAAAAAAAAACAAATAGTCTCATTAAAAAATGGGCAAAGGGCATGAATAGATGTTTCTCAAAAGAAGATATACATGCCGGACATGGTGACCAACACCTGTAATCCAGCATTATAGAAGGCTGAGGTAGGGAGGTGGCTTGAGACCAGCATGGGTAATATACTGAGGCCCTTCTCTATTAAAAAAAGAAAAAGAAAAAGAAAAAAAGAAAGAAAAAGAAAAGAAGATATACAAATGACCCACAGATATATAAGAGAGTGCTCAACATCCCCAATAATTAGAGAAGTGTAAATCAAAACTACCATAAGATATAAAATTACCCCATTTAGAATGGGTATTATTAAAAAGACAAAAAAATAGATGCCGGTGGAGAAAGGGGTACTCACACTGTTGATGGAAATATAAATTAGTATTGCCACAATTGAAAGCAACGTGGAGATTTGCAGATTTGCAAAAAATAAACATAAAAATACACTCCAAAAAACCCCAAAATAGAATTACTATGCAACCCAGCAATCCTACTACTGGATATTTATCAAAAAGATAATAAATCAGTATATCAAATGGATACCTAAACTCCTATGTTTATTGCAGCACCATTCACAATAGAAAAAATATGGAATTGACCTAAATGTCTATTGACAGATGAATGGATTAAGGAAATGGGGTACACATATACAAGGGAATACTATTTGGTCATGAAAAAGAATGAAATCATGTCATTTGCAGCAACATGTGTGGAAGTGGAGGTCATTATGTTAAGTGAAATACGTCAGGCATAGAAAGGCAAATATTGTATGTTTTCATTCATATGAGGGAGCCAAAAAAATAGATCTTATGGAGGTAGAGAGTAGAATGATAAATACCAGAGGCTGAGAGTAGAATGAAAAATACCAGGTTGTGAATAGAGAGGGGGAGAATAAGAGAAGTTCATTAATAGATACAAACATAGAGTTAGATACAAAAAGTAAGTTCTAATGTTTGATAGCAGAGCAGCGTGACTAAAGTTAATAACAATATATTGCATATTTCAAAATAGCTGGAAGAGAGGACTTGAAATATTTCCAACACGTAAAAATGTTAATTGGTCAAAGCGGTGGACACCCCAAATAAAGCGACTTGATTATTACACATTCTATATATGCAGCAAAATATCACATGCACCTCATAAATATGTATGGATATTTTATATCAATAAAAAATGATGAATAAAGGATATATGACCCATCCAAAATAGGACTAAAAGAGTATGCAAAGGAGAGTGTTCCAGGGATATAAGAAAATCTTGTTCAATTTTTGGCAGCTTTCATTGGGGTATCTCAGGAATCTGAGAGCACTCTTTGTTTCCTGGCATTCTAAAGTCTTAAACTCTATCAGAAGTGTATCAAATATAGGTGGATATTTTTACCACCTATATTTCTATTGTAAATTTTAACAATTTAACATGCCCCAGAGAATGCCTTAAATTCAGCCATTTGAGACTAGTTGCCATCTGGTAAAGAAGTGATTCTACAAGGGGATCTGGAGTATTTCAAGCAAAGTCTGATATTGTCTTTTACATTTGTTCTCATTTTCATTTTTATGATAAACCCGTCAACAAACAATGCTGTTAGAATTTTGTCTTGAAATGTTCAACTCATCTGTTATGGGAGTAGACACATCTCACTTTTCAGAAACATAATCATTATCAAGAGTTTTCCTTGTATTTGAGTTGGGTAACTAGAGCCTTTCATGTGATATACAAGAAGAACAGTTATAATAACCTAGGAAAAATCAGTCTAGTGTTCAAAGGACTCTTCTCCAATCATCTGCCTATGTCTAAGAAGTCTATACTTATAGGGTTTCTCAGAACATTACAACTTATTTGATTATGTTTTGAATTCTAAAGAATATGGCTTTATTAATGTATGGATTAGTTATAATTTGACCAGATATAGAATAATTTTCAGGTACTTCTAAAATTAGCTCCTATGCAGTACATTTTATTGATTGTTCTCTTGGCAGAATAGATATCTACTCATTAAATGTTATAAAAGTTGTGCTTCAGAGAATTCTGTGTTCTTCTCGCAATGGTCCCAAAATAACATTACAATTTCTGCCATGAAGAAAAGATTGTTAGAAATTTCCACCACTTGAGTGATTTTAGAACTCAAAGGGATATGATTACCTTAATCATATTTTAATATTTTCTGTATTTATGATGTTTTGACATCTTTGGGGGACCTTCCTGGCCGGGAAGATACTTTCCATTCCTGGAGCTAGTTTCTAAAGACAGTAACCAACTCACCAGTGATTTCATATACAAACCAACCAATCCAGGGCTGTACCTGCAATACCACCTTTCTCTGACTCTCACATACCCAGCCACTCTTTCCCCCACCTGAAATCAATGCAAGGTCAGGAACCAGGCAACTAAGAACAGTCTCTATGCCCAAATTATTCCAACTGACCAGTTCCTGAATCCTGCTCTGCCTTGCCTTCACTTTTCCTACAGAAATGGAAACAAAAAAGGCTGTGGCCAATGCCCTCTTGACGCCGGCATCCCTTTGTGGTTCTACATGGCACACAGTGCTTCACTTTTGCAGGAGAACTGTGAGTAGCATTAAATATTTCTTTCAGTGGTATTGACCTTTGTGTGTCATTACTCAGTTACCTTTGTGAGTTAAAACCTGGGCACAAATCATTGATACTCAGAATCCTCATTGATTAAGACTGATGGTAGATTCAGAGGTACCTATACCAACAAGAAAGCCACATGGTTTTACACTTTAGTTTACATGCAGTTTTAACATGGGATTTGGGGTGGGGGAAAATGTGGAAGCTGAGGCCATTGATTTTTTTTGATGTGGCTTCTTCAGAAAGATTTTGGAAAGTTGTCCTCTGTTTCTTAGACAATATGGGACTCTGGTCCTTCGAGTAGCCCTTGGCTCTCAATACATACAAGTGCACTGATCTATAGGCTGCTAATTCTTTTTTTTTGAGATGGAGTTTCACTCTGTCACTCAGGTTGGAGTGCAGTGACAACATCTCAGCTCACCGCAACCTCTGCCTCCCAGGTTCAAGCAATTCTCCTGCCTCAGCTGGGACTACAGGCGTGTGCCACTAAGCCCGGCTAATTTTTTGTATTTTTAGTAGAAACAGGGTTTCACCATGTTAGTCAGGAGGGTCTTGATCTCCTGACCTCGTGATCCACCCACCTCGGCCTCCCAAAGTGCTAGGGTTACAGGATAGGCTGCTAATTCTTAAAGAACAGAGCATAAGCTAGTCTTGTTGTTTGGAGATACAGATCGTTTTCTTACTCTAGATGTCAATGCATTTTTTTGTTGTTTGCTTCCTTACTTTCAAGGACTTTTGTTCCTTTTTTTTTAATTGTGCTAAACTATACATGACATAACATTTCCCTTTTAGAATATTAAATTCAATGCTATTAAGTACATTCACGTCGTTGTGCAACCATCACCACTAGCTATCTCCAGAATTTTTTCGTAATTCCAAATTGAAACTCTGTGCTCATTAATGACTCCCGTTCCTTCCAGTGTCCTGGTAACCACTATTCTGCTTTCAGCCTCAACGAATTTGCCTGTTGTAGGTACCTCATGTATACAAAATAGTACAATTTAATACTTTCATGCCTGGTTAATTTATTTCACATAGCATTGTGTTTGTAAGGTTCATCCATGTTGTAGCATGTATCAGAATTTCATTTCTTTAAGAATAATTAATATTCCATTATATATTGTATCAATTGATTATTATCTATGTAGAATGTATAATACACATATACATATGTAATATATATATGTGTGTGTGTATACATACACACACGTATACACACTGCATTTTGCTGATTTATTCACCTGTCAGAGGATATTGACTATTGTAAATAAGTGCTGTTATCAACTTTGGTGTGCAATAATCTACGTAAATTTCTACTTTCAATTCTTTGGGGTATATAACTAGAAGTTGAATTGGTGAATCATATAGTAATTTTATGGTTGGCATTTTGAAGAGCTGCCACACTGTCTTCCACAAAGGCTGCACATTTCACGTTCCCAACAGCAACGCACAGGGATGTAATGTACAGGGAGAAATGTACCCATTTCTCCACATCATGGCCAAAAGTCTTTATCTTCTGTCTTTGAGATAATGCTATTCTAGTAGGTATGAAGTAGTATCAAATTGTAGTTCTGATTTGCATTTGAAAAGATGATGAACATTTTTTCATGTGCTTATTGGCCTTTTGTATATATTCTTTGGAGAAATATTAAACCATTTACTCATTTTTTCATTGGGTTGTTTGTTATTTTGTTGTTGAGTTTCAAAAGTTCTTTTTTTTTTGTATTTGAGCCCATTTTATTTTTCAACATTTATTTTTAGGTTTGGGGATACATGTGAAGGTTTGTTACATAGGTAAACTTATCTCATTGTTGTACAGATTATTTCATCACCCTCCTTCCACCTTCCACTTTCAAGTAGACTTCAGTGTCTGTTGTTTTCTTCTTTGTGTTCATAAGTTCTCATCATTTAGCTCCCACTCGAAAGTGAGAACATGTGGTATCTGGTTTTCTGTTCTTGCATTAGTTTCCTAAGGATAATAGCCTGGAGTACAATCCATGTTCCAGCAAAAGACATGATCTCATCCTTTTTTATGGCTGCATAGTATTCCGTGGTGTATATGTACCAAATTTTCTTTATCCAATCTGTCATTGATGAGCATTTAAGTTAATTCCACGTCTTTGCTATTGTGAATAGTTTTATACCACTTTATAAAGGAACAAGTCTGTCTTGACTTTAGCTCTTGATGTACCCCAGAACACTGTTTGAAGTATTTCTGAAGTCTATTTTTAAATATGTTAATTTTTATTTTGATTCATCTTCATTTTGTTTATATATTTGTATATTTTCCCAGTCTGAACTTAAGGACCTTAGATAATACATTTCTTTTAAAAATGCACTCTTAAAGTGATTTTCTGGTTTATGCACAGCTAGATTATTTAAATCTTCTGCTGGCATTTCATATTATGGTGCTTTAACCATTTTCCCCTTATAAGGGCCTAAGAATGAAAGGAGCTTGATAGTACGAAGCTGATTTTCCATGACAATAATTATCAAAATCCTGGATTCTGGCACTGATTTCTGTTTGTCTTTGTGAAACCTGAGGAACTACTTTAAAAATTTAGGGTAAAGCTCTCAAGTTATCTCTAGATAGAGTTTAAGTTCATCTTCTATAGATCTAGAAAAATAAAAGGGATTTCAATTTCAATGTGAATTATTCCTGTTCAAAGTAAAAACACAAGCAGAACCATGAGGGAAACGTAGAACAGAAGGAACAGAAGCGGTATGAGAGGGTGGTGAAGACAAGGCCAGATACAGAGAGATGCAAGGAGTGTGGGTTTCAGAAGACTTGAGAGGTAGTGAACATTCTCAATAGAAAGTTTGAGGGAGGCTAACCCGGAGTTTTTATTTTCTTATGCTTAATCATGTAATTAGAGAAAATTTACCATGTGTTTGATATTTTATTTTCCTCCTAGAGTTTCTTTTCAATCTATTATTGATGTATCAAAATGTCTCCATAACAGTTATTGCAGTTCTAAGTCTTCCTTAATAAACTCTTGTCAAATGTCAAGCTAATTATAAGAGCCACTTTGAGAGGATATGTAAAATGCAAGGGTTTGTGCCTTTCATGGGGACAGTTCCATGACAAACACAAATGAGGCTATACCTGGTCAAAATCCTAAGCTACTGAATGCTGTCTTGGTGTTGGAAAAGTATAGGGTAGGAATAAGTCATCTGATATGAAAGCTGACAATCCCACTCCAGAATATGTCATTATAAAATGATATTTCTTTTGCTGTGCAGAAGCTCTTTTGTTTAATTAGATCCCATTTGTCAATTTTGACTTTCGTTTCCAAAAAATTATCATCAGAGTGAACAGACAACCTACATAATGGGAGAAAAATTTTGCAATCTATCCATCTGACAAAGGGCTAATATCTAGAATCTACAAAGAACTTAAACAAATTTACAAGAAAAAACAACCCCATCAAGATATGGGCAAAGGAGATGAACAAACATTTCTCAATAAGACATTTATGCAGCCAACAGACATATGAAAATATGCTCATCATCACTGATCATTAGAGAAATGCAAATCAAAACCACAGTGAGATACCATCTCACGCCAGTTAGAATGGCAATCATTAAAAAGTCAGGAAACAACAGATGCTAGAGAGGTTGTGGAAAAATAGGAATGCTTTTACACTGTTGGTGGGAGTGTAAATTAGTTCAACCATTGTGGAAGACAGTGTGGCGATTCCTCAAGGATCTAGAACTAGAAATACCATTTGACCCAGCAATCCCATTACTGGCTATATACCCAAAGAAGTATAAATTATTCTACGATAAAGACACATGCACACGTATGTTTATTGCAGCACTATTCACAATAGCAAAGACTTGGAACCAACCCAAATGTCCATCAATGATAGACTGGATTAAGAAAATGTGTCACATATACACCATGGAATACTATGCAGCCAAAAAAAGGATGAGTTCATGTCCTTTGCAGGGACATGGATGAAGCTGGAAACCATCATTCTCAGCAAACTATTACAAGATCAGAAAACCAAACACCACATGTTCTCACTCATAAGTGTGAGCTGAACAATGAGAACACATGGACACAGGGAGGGGAACATCACACACTGTGGCCTGTGGGGTTTGGGGGGATAGGGGAGGGATAGCATTAGGAGAAATACCTATTGTAGATGACGGGTTGATGTGTGCAGTAAACCAACATGGCACGCGTATACCTATGTAATAAAACTGCATGTTCTGCACATGTAACCCCTAACTTTAATAAAAGAAAATGATCTTATTTCATGATTTGATAAAATAAGGAGTGTCACCACATAGATTTAGCTGGTGGTGTGGAGGGCAGAAAAGAAGCAATCATTATTGACATGCCACCTTAGCACAAATAGGCTGCCATTCTAGCAGACCTCCAAACATCAGTCCATGGGACTGTCTTAATTGAAAGCTTCTTTGGCCCCTGCCTCCATCACTTCCATATGCTCTGGAAGACATAAAATGGCATAAAATGGAAGCAAATAAGACAAGCCTTTGTGCGGTTAAATCAATAAAAAATGAATGTGAAGAAACCCGGTAAAAAGATAGGAAGATTAATGATGAGCATATTTACTAAATCGTGCACTCCCCCTAAAAAGCTCAAACTCCTTTATAGAAAGGACTTTTTAAAAACAAACCATAGAGTAACAAAATAAATTTAGCAATGCAACCTCAATGAAAGAAGTCAGATCTGACATCATTGTTGAGAAATTCCCAGGCAGCACTTCAAAAGGCCTGTCAGACTGTGGGGAACAAGGAGCCCTCCGAGTTTTCCTATTGTTTCAAGGTTTTTTGGAATGACACCAAGAGGAGAGGGTCTTCAAAAGAATCTGATAAACTTTCAATTGTCAAAGAAAGAGGCTACCATGCAGTATCTCGTGTGTGTGTGTGTGTGTGTGTATCTGAGTTTCTTATTTGCTTAAACAAAGAAGGTAGACTCTTGTTAACCCACTCTCTCCTACATGGATTGTTGGCAAGCTTTAAAGCCATTAGTGTTCAGGAGTTAGCATACCTTTAGCTGTTAAATTGAGGTTATAGATGTTATTGACTGAACCAATGAGTTTAACGTCATTTTTGTTGATTACTTATTGTTCTTAACATGCCTGGGTCTAGGAATGAAGAAGAAACAGTGCAGAACCCACGCTGATCCTGAATAGAAGCAGAATGAGCAGTAAACACAATTGTGCTGATTTAAACCCTTAGTATTTGGGGCTGCTGTGTTATTTCTATATATCCCTGCCAAAGGGGTAAGCGTGAGACTCACATTGATTAATCTGATTACCATTCTCCCTTAGGAATTAGTGATTTCTGGGCAGGAGACATTGAAAGAAACCAATCCAAGTTCTTTCTCAGAGAGAGAAACTGATACTGTGGGAGAGAGTGTATCTCTTTGGCATGCTAGGCTGTACAAACTGGGAATTTGCAGTACCTTCTTGCCTCTCATGTGGAAAAAGCATGAGAAAGAAGCCCACACAAAAAGCAGAACCAAAAGGTGAAGGAGGAGGGACAGATCTCTGATGATGTAGCTTTAGTGCCTGGTCTCGAAGTCAGCACATCTCAACTTTTCAGTTTTACGAAATGCTAAACTCTCTTTTATGCTTAAATAATCTCAACTGGGTTTCTTACCCTCATACCCCCAGAAATTCCCACTTCCCTTTAGCTTGCCTTCCTCAGTTGGATTCTTTCAAGGTAAATCTGCAAGACTCCTTGAATTTGCTCTTCCCAAATTATCTATTTAATCTATCCCTTTCTTGATTTAATATTGCCAGGGATTCCCAATGTCCATGGACCAAATTTTGAAATCCTTGAAAAACAAGCACATGCTGCCTGTCTTTCGATGCCCCCTCCTCTGTGACTGTGCAGGAGCCTCAGGTGCTGGCCACAGTGTGTTTTTGTAAGTAACCCGAGCATCCTTAGCACTTCATTATGTCCATCCTTTTTCCCATGTTCTTTCCTCTGCCTAAAATGCTCAGCACCCTCAGCTTCATGAAGATAACTCACCCCTGTTCTTCCTAAATAAAAAATCAAATACTTTTCTGATTACTAAGCTTGATAGGGCGTATAAAAACCATTCTCACCCATGAATGGTGAGTATAACTTGGTGTATGGGGCAGAAGTAAAAATCTGCACTTCTCATTTGCTGATGGTGCCCTTGTTTGATTTGTGCTTACATATTCATTAGTAAATTTGGAACAGTATTATCCACCCTTTTATCTTCCACAGATTTGTGGACAGGATCCACAAAGTTAATGTTTAAGAATGAGCCATTTATATGGAGAAGCACCATTAATTTTGTTTATCTCTCACTGAGTTGTTTTGTAGTTATTTGTGTGTGCATTCTGTCTCATAGATTGTAACTCCTCCAAGGAGACACAGGGGTGGCGTGCATCCTTAAATCACCTTGTGCCTTGAACACAAAAGTGCCTTGTTAGAATCTTCTGTGCCAGTAATCAAACCATAGGAGAATATTAAAAATACTGCTGTATCTCACATATACAATATAATAGCACTTCTATTGGTAAAATTAGTAAATGCTAGGATTTTTTTAGTTTTAGTAATTTGTATCTTTAAAGAAAACTTAATTCCAAATTTTAATTTACAAAATTTTTGTCATCATTCAGAAGAAAAGGGTGACATCTGTAGCAAAATCAATATAAGACATTTCTATGCTTCAGGAGACCAAGTATACAGTAAACATGATAATACTTTGATTTCTGTCACTTCATGATTTTTCTCTTGGATTTCAAGATGGTAGAATATATATAAACTAAGGACTTTCTCCTCCAAAACAACAACAACAACCCCAAACAAAAACAAAAAAATGGCCAAAAATTATATTCACAACTCTTTTCCAGTAACTGCTTGGCACCTCAGATTCTGCTATGTTCAGGTACACCCTTCCCTGTTGACTCTTTTAAGAAGGAACTGTATGGGCCTTGACTTCTGTAACATTTTGAAGAAAAACTGAAATCTCAGCACACTTTATAATTTGTATTTCCTAGCAGACATATGATCATTTATCCTCATCCAGAGCTCCTCAATCACAAGAAATTGCTAGCTACAACTGGAAACATCTCATTTTAGCTTTTTCCTAGACATGTGTGCATTCTTTAATCCTTTAAAGTCATAAAATGCTTGGACGTCTGCTGGATCTCAAGACAATCTGTGGTTGTCCCTAACATTTTGAGTGAAAAAAAAAAAATAACAAAGCTTGATTGGTATTCAGAGCTGATTTAGTTATAGTTCTTTCCTCCCACCCTTGAGGAATCCAAGGCAGGAAGTCAAAGTGCCTTTCCAAATGGAAGGTCTCACTGGGGTAGGGGCAGGGCTGACCCCCAATCTTCTGAGGCTCAGCTGAATGCCCTTTTGTCTCCTGTGCAGAGTCCTGGGGTAGAGTCTTCTGAGTGGGTATTTGTCCTGATGCACATTGGAGCAACCTGCATGTGAAGGTCCATGTGGGCTGCCTGCCTCCTGCCAGTGTCACATAGGTCCTTAACCTACTCCCACCTCAGCCAAGCAAAAAGCACGAGGTACCCTGGGTTGCAGGAAGCTTCAGGAATCCATTCACCATCACCCATGCTTGGCACTGTCTTCATTTTTATACCTGCTGCCTGAAGGAAAGACCCATCTTCTGGCTGATTTAAGGACAGGTATTAATCTACCCATCTCCTTCGTTGTTCCCAAGTTCATGGAAAGCCACTGCAGTTGATTTTAATTTGAGATTATTTAATCTATGTGATCATATATATTATTTTGTATCATATATACAGACTGAGAACCAGAAGTGCTGAAGTAAAGAGATGACATCAATAAAAGCTGGTAGACTGGGAAAGTGTATTTTATCAACAAACAGAAAGCAGATCTGTCATACATAATTGTGCATTATGACAAGTAAAAATAACGTCATTTTCCCATGTTCTAGGAGAATTTTACCTCTTAAATAAAAGGGAAACATTGATGGGCTACCATTGTCCTGCTGAAGATGGGGTGGAGATTAAAATCATCCATGAGGATCCTGGACGTGATCCTTTCATACTCAGAAGCCACTTCAAGGCTCTACCATGGACAGAGCATTCAACCGCACTCCCAGATTACACCGTTCAGGAGGTCATCATTTATAATGTGTTTGTGTAAGAACTCAAAGGAAACATTTGTTAAGTTAGAAGAGCGTGGAGAAAAAAAAAGTGACCTAATGTAGAAGAGAGTATGGTAGCTTCCCAGGGGGTGTGTAGAAGCAAAGAAAGGAAACCTTTTCTTCATGCCTTTTGAGTTCAGCAAAGTGGTGTCAGTGACTTATTAGAAGAGGCTAATGCCACATCATGTGCCTCCTGCAGCTCACGAAGGGGAAGAAAGTTCTACCCATGCCTTTTAATTTCAAACATGGAATCCTAACATTTTTAAAAGTCATGGCTTCGCTTACATGTGGTCACCCCTCCTCACCTGAAAATGATTATCTCCATGGAAGTGTTGTAAGAGACTGTGAATTAGAATGCTTTGAAGTAAATAAAAAATTATTCTTACAATTTGGGAGTATGTTTAATAGATTTATAAATTTATAAATTTTAAGATTTTAAATTTTAAGTCAGTTATGAATTTATGCCCTTGATTTGGCTTCTTGTATCCTCAACCATAAATTATCTTTTTCCCAAGCTCTGATGCTGTTATCCCATTTCCTTCATAGATGCCCATCATGTTAGAGCCAAGGACCAACATGACAGCCAAATATAGAAAAATAAAACAGTTAACTGTAGTAAGTAAACAGCACAGGTTTTACTTGTAGATTATTTTCTCTGTAGTTGGCATACACTGTTTCCCCTTTTAGACTCTGTTTTTGTGAGTTCAAATATTTTATTTTTATATGTATCACACATCCAGTCTTCATATGTATCATGTCTAATATGGTCTGTGGCACACAGCCAGTTAGTTTCAAAATTAAAAAAAAATGGATAAATTAATAGTAGAATATTCACATTTTTCACTTTTAATGATGGACCATTCAATGTGTTGAAATCATATTATAAGAATTCCTGGGCTGGGCATGGTGGCTTATGCCGGTAATCCCAGCCCTTTGGAAGGCCGAGGCAGGTGGATCACCTGAGTTCAGGAGATTGAGACCAGCCTGACCAACATGGAGAAAACCGGTCTCTACTAAAAAATACAAAAAACTTAGCCAGGCATGGTGGCACATGCCTGTAACCCCAGCTACTCAGGAGGCTGAGGCAGGAGAATCGCTGGAACCCAAGAGGCAGAGGTTGCAGTGAGCTGAGATCACGCCATTGCACTCCAGCCTGGGCAACAGGAGTGAAACTCCATCTCAAAAAAAAAAAAAAAGAATTCCTAATTCCCCGTACCTTGAACTGTTTGCAACACTCAGGTTGGTGGTTTGCCACAACCTATCTATCTGAGCACGTTGCGGATGTATGAGACTGGGTTGCCAGTGTTGTAACTAGTGGTGGCAGTGTCCTGCGTTTTTGTAAGTGTGATGGTATAGAGTTATGATACCTTATGTCTCCAGATTTTTATTCAATTGAAGAAAAATTGCAGCAGAAAACATACATGAAAATATAGAAGTTTTGAAAAAAGTTTAGCTCATTTGTAAGGAGTGTAGAACTCCATAACAATGAAGTAGGTAATATGGCACTGCTCAGGAGGAAGGCATGCTCCTCCCACACGGAAGATCAGAACAGCATTCTATTCACAGAACAAAGGGCACTATTAGGTGCTAGAGAAGATTTTCACCACACATTTTGAGGAATTAAATGTCCAGGCTTCCCTAATACCAAGGGCAATTTGACTTTCACTCCATCATTGTCAACCTGATTAGATACCCCAGGTGTTCAGCCAGATCTTATTTTATACCACAGTTTCTAGTAAATCATGATGCAGTGAAATTAAATTGGTCTTAGCAGAACCTGACAGAACAGTAATTGTAGCACAGCACTAAAATTTACCCCCTGAAATCTACTATGGAAGTCTGTGTCTCATATTGTCATCTATGGAAATGCATCCTTGACAACTCGAGTGAGGAAATCAAATCTACATGGCATGTGAAGTCAATGAATGAGCAAGAAATCTAGGTCTAATGAAAATGATAAAAAATGGATGGTGATGAACAGCAGCCATAGTAATTGCAGTTAGTGTTGCCATTTAGATGACTGCATTTGTATTACCAGCTTCACGAGAAAGGGCATAATGACAAAATGCTAGATGACTCTAATAATATTAATTTATTCAAAGGAATAAGACTTGCCAAAGAACAGTTTGTAATATGTCTTTACACGGCAGTAGAATTTATATAAAAGCCTACTTTCAAGTAACTTAGATTGAAAAAGATTCTGTATTTATACTGAAGTTCACTTTTCATACATCTTCTGACTTCTGGTTGATAGGGAAAGTACTTAGACTTGATCTTAGCAATTAACTTATTTTGAAGATAAAACTTTATTTGTGGATGGTCACGGTGCTTTATTGTGTGGAGGGCACATTGTCATAAGAGTGCTTATAGAGCTTTGGAAAGCAGAAGCTAATTAAGCCTTGGACTTGGGGAGTATGTATTAGGTTGGTGCGAAAGTAATTGCTACTTTTGCCATTTAAACGTAATGGCAAAATAGAAACAGGTGTGAAAAGAAACATTTCCCCCAGTTCACCTGCACTTAGTGCATATAATAAATCTTACTGAAAAATTATCCTGAGGAACCCTGGATAGGAAAAAAAATGCCTATGATTTATTTACATAATGTGAAGTAGCAAATACATATTTACAAAAGACACCAAAGGAAAATGTCAGTGGGCCAGGGACGGTGAATCTCTACTTGCATTATTCCCTAATGAAAAGAAAATATTGAGAAAAAGGTAATAAATCATATTCTTGTCCTCCTCTCCAGAGGCCAAAATAATTCTAGGTAAATTATACAGGTACAAACAATGAATGGTTATTAAAGCTGCATATGAGATACTCTAAAACTCAGTGGTGTAAAGAGAACATTTATCATAATCACACATTCTGTGGGTCTGGAATTCAAACAGGGCACATCATAGGGAAGCTTGAAAGGCTAAAGTTATCTGAAGATTCACTCAACCTCATTTCGGCTGGTTGGTGCTAGCTTTCAGCAGGAGACTCCAATTCCATTGACAGTGGATCTCTCCTTGTGGTCTTTTCTTATGGGCTAGTTTGGACTTTCTCACAATGTGGTAGGTGGAGTCCAAGGGCAAGCATAGTGGTCAAATGACAGAGAGAATATGAAGACTAGAGAGACATGAAAGACTATGACTTAGTCTTGCAAGCCACAAAATACCATTTTGGCACACTGTTGTTTATACTATCCATGAGACCCTACACACCTCTCCAGGAAGGAGTGCTGGTTACATTGTACAAAGGACATGCAGGATGGGAGATATTGGTGTGGTCATCTTCGGAACATGAAATATGCCTCAGTTACTAAGCAAGAAATAGTAGCCAGCCCAAAACCTAGGGGACAAGGGAGGAGGGTGTAAAAAATGGAAGACAGTAAGAAGTATACCCCTATTTTGAAAATCTACCTGCACTAAAAATTCTGTATAATGAACCATATACCCACAAACGCCTGAGATGTATAAAGATTCTCTGTATTTATTTTGTGTTTGTTTGTTTTGTTATTCCAATATCCTTCATAATGATTCCAAAGAAAATAATAGAGCTATAGAAAAACTGTCGTGTGACATTAATATGGAATTTATAAAATGAAAAAACCCTATTTACAAGCAATATACATGCATAGTAATAAATATGCCACACAGAAGCACATTTAGAGTTTCTGTTTAATAGGGTCCTTTCTCAAACTGCTTATCACTTACTACTGTCGTCAACCTGCCCCCTACAGTGGAAAAAGATGAAAAGCAGAATTTGAAAGTAAGAATTGTGTCTCTCATTATTTACATATATTAGGGTTTGAATTATCTTCTAACATGGTGAAAATACAAATAACATCATTCATAACATTTTAAAAGTTCAATCTATGGGCATTTATCCATTAATATAGCATCTTAATCTTTTTATTTTTTTGCAACTGGTTATGTTGAACTTACATCTAAATGTTATTTTTTCTCCTATTTACCATAGTTTTATTTGATTAATTTTTTCTCTGTGTTGAGCATATAAAATGTACTTAGATGTTTTCTGTCTGCAGTTTGAAATCTATACATTTTATTTTTGATTATTTGGTTAGAGTTGTGAAATTTTATATATATATATATGTACATAACTACTTATTCTGAAATTTTATTGGATAAATAGAATTGCTATCCTGTACCTAACAAAGATGCTTTAACATTTTTTAAATAGTACTTAAAATACTATATATTTAAGTTTTTTAAAAAAAAATCACTGATTTTTATATCCTACTTTGACCTTCTGGGTTCTTTTTTTTCTGATACACTATATACGTTAGTAAGTCTTTTATCTAATGTCTACCTAGTGCCTGTTCTTATTGGCCTTTCTTTGTTTGATAAATCTGAAATGTATTCTATTTTGCCTGATTCTTGGATGAAAGAATTCTAGGTAGAACAGTATTTTCACACACCACTTGGAAGAGAAAAAAATACAACCACTGTAATCTTCCATCTCTTTTTTCTGATGAGAAAGCTGAAAGCTGCTCTCAGGGGAATCAGACCCACTGTCATTCTTTTGTAGTTAAATGGCTCTTTTTCACTGGGAACTGTTAAGATTTCCTCATTAACTTTGACATCCTGAAGTTTCAGTGAAATGTGTTTGTTTGTCTAAGATGCAAATTTACAAAATCCATTTGACCTTAGTGTGCTCATTAAATTAAAAACAGTCATTTTATTTATTTTTCTAATTCTGAAAAATTCTCAGTCATTCTCTATTGCACCATTGCCCCATGCTTTGTTTCCTTTCTTTCAGAACTACTCAGCAACATAGTTCGAAGCTTCTAATCTCACTCAATCTTCTATGTGTCTCAGCTTTTCTCTCTCTCTTCTTTTCTCGTCCTCTTCGTCTCTAATGCTCTGTGCTGTGTTCTTGTGAGTCAAGGCCTTAATGTGTTTCTCAGTTCACTGATATTTTCTTCAACTGTATATGTCTTCTGTCTCTATAGTTGGTGTGATTAAAAATATATCAAAAGCTGGCCGGGCGTGGTGGCTCACGCCTGTAATCCCAGCACTTTGGGAGGCAGGGGCGGGCAGATCCTGAGGTCAGGAAATCTAGACCATTCTGGCTAACACAGTGAAACCCCGTCTCTACTAAAAATACAAAAAATTAGCAGGGCGTGGTGGCGGGCGCCTGTAGTCCCAGCTACTCGGGAGGCTGAGACAGGAGAATGGTGTGAACCCGGAAGGCGGAGCTTGCAGTGAGCCGAGATCGCGCCACTGCACTCCAGCCTGGGCGACAGAGTGAGACTCCGTCTCAAAACAAAAACAAAAACAAAAAACAAAAACAAAAAACAAAATCCAAAGCTGATTTTCATTTTTGCATGCATTTCCTCATTTGTTCATGTTCTCATTATTGCACAGGGTTTGTTTCATTTTTCCCCCCACATTCATTGCTTTCTGTGAGAAGTTTTGATGGATCACTTCTCAGAAGCAGAGCAGGTCTTGCATCAGCAGCTCAGGGTTTCTTTCCATGGTATCTCTCTTCTCGGTTTGGAGCAAACATTCAGGCTATATCCAGTTCCTGTTGTGCAGGGGTCTCTGATTATTTCCTTTGTACTGTTACAAGTATGCAAATTGTTTCTAACTGAAACCCTCAAGCACAGGGCAGAGAATGTTCAGCTTCTGCTCTTCAGAAAAGAACTGAGACTCAGGAGCCACTTTTTATTGAGAGCTGGTTTATTTTCTCCTGCAGTCAGTAGGTTGTGTTCAGTTGCTGATTCTGTGAGGCAAATTAAATTTGAGCCTCCACATCTTGGTTTGATTCCTGTGTGCTTTGACCCTACTCTATAGATATACCCACAGCTAATTTACCTTACTTTTGAGTGTATGTGTGTTTATCTGTTCTTTACCTTTGAATAGAGGGCAGAGTTGTTTCAGTATACACTATCCTTTTGACGAGAGGTCAAGTCTTATCAGAAATAAAGACACACTTTTGGGATGTAGGAGCAGGAAAAAGATTGGTTTTTGAAGGGAACCTAAAATATATCCTTAGCAGTTGGTTAAATCTTCAAGTAAATTTCTTGATCCTGTTGTATGAAAACATACACAGATT
Source organism: Homo sapiens (assembly GCF_000001405.40). Lineage (NCBI taxonomy): Eukaryota > Metazoa > Chordata > Mammalia > Primates > Hominidae > Homo > Homo sapiens. Next base: position 8,952,666 of record NC_000005.10, on the reverse strand, counting down.
AAAGAACTTGAAGTTAAATAAACTAGAGAGTGCTATGATTAAAGTGCCTAAAGTGTTGGCCAATCCATTTTTTAGGTTTTGGATCTTGAATATTGAATAGCACTACCTTGCAGATTTAGCTATGGGCTTCTTTGCCATATATGAGTAAGAACTAACCATATCTTAGTGTATTGTAAATGGTGATCCACAAGATTATTATAAAATTATGTAATATTTTATATTTTCATGATATATACATAATAATATCCACCCCCACACACACAACTCCTGTTCACATACTCACTTTAGATCAACTGGATAACCACATAACATTGTTTTTCTTTCCTTCCTTTCACCAGTTCAAACCACATGGCTTCAGCACCTGCACTCTGCTTACTATTTTGCTGGATTCAACTTTAATAATTACAGTATAATGAGTGAAGATCTAATGTCATAATACATTTTAAAAAACAGAAGACAAATATTAGTCTGATTTCACACTGCTATAAAGAAATACCTGAGTCTGGGTAATTTATATAGGAAAGAGATTTAATTGACTCCAAGTTCCACATGGCTGGGGAGGCTTCAGGAAACTTACAATCATGACAGAAGGGGAAGCAGGCACCTTCTTCACAAGGAGGCAGGAGAAAAGAGAGATGGGAAATCGCCACTTATAAAATCATCAGATCTCGTGAGAACTCACTATCACGAGAAAAACATAGGGGAAACTGCCCCCATGATCCAATCGCCTCCCAGCGGGTCCCTCCCCTGACACATGAGGATTACAATTTGGATTACAATTCAAGATGAGATTTGGGTGGGGATACAGCCAAACCACATCAACAATCGTGAAAAGAAACAAGAATCTCATGTCAATACACAAAAAGTATATCTTTAGTTATTTGAAAGTGAATATCTACTAGATTATAATAAATTATACCAAATAAAATAAGAAAAATGCAATGTCTAACTCTGTTCAGCAGTTTTCTTTGATCTCAGCAATTCACAAAGCAGCAGGTAGATGGCAACTAAAAGATGTCTGAATGACTGGAATAGAAAACATTTCATGGAATGTAACATGTATCATTTCAACTTGGCTTCAGTAGGTCAATCATCACATGAATAAATGGCATAATAAATTAAGAGAGCTAATATCTAGAAGCCGGCCTAGTTATAGCCAAGAGTAGGTAGATTTTATTTTGTCTTTTGAAATGTATAGTTTTTATTTAACTTCTTATAAACAAACAGGAATAGGAGGATAACGTGTTAGGAAAATCAACAAATGGAATTTCTTTATTGGAAGTGAAAATTATAATAAGTTGTATATATCAGTTGATTAGAACTCCAAGTCAGGCAACATACAGCTTCCAAGATAGCATGAGATGTGTGAATTGAGGACAAGAACCTTGTCTGTCATGTTCACTAATGTGCCTCCATCCTGCAGGACAATTCTTGACACCTAGTAGGCATGTGATAAAAATTGCATTTAATTAATTAATTAATTAATTGGTTAAAGGATGCAACAGTGCAAAGAACAGTATTGAGATCAAGACATGGTGTAGGGTTAACACTAACCAGTTGTTTAACCTTGTATGTATATTAAACTTTCTGAGACAAATTATTCAAAGATGGGGGTAAATTAAATGATCTCCTGGGCTCTTTCAGTTCTTAAGAAGCCAATAAAAGGAAACAACTAGAGAATCAGGCATAGAGGTAAATGGAGTCAATGCAAAATCTTTGACAAACACATATTACCTTCTCTGTTCAGTCCTTCAAAAGTCTCATAAGTGAGCAGCAGATTCACCATAGCTCAGAGACTGTTCCCCAGCAGTCCCTTAAATGTCATATGCCATTAAGCCTGAGAAAATTAAAACTAACTAACCTAACTAGGAAAGCAAAACTGCTATCTCTCCTCTTTCACACTCTTTCTTACCTAGGTTCTCCTTGTCCTCCACTCTAATGATAAAACATAATATATTGACTGATGAGGGTGTGAAGTCAGGACCTTTGAATGGTGGGCCTGTGGAAACAAAAAGTAGAAGTGTAGGTGCCCTGAGGCAGAGGGCTGCCTCGCTGTTGCTGTTCTGTGCCAGAGTCCCATAGTTCCAGCTGAGTGTGTTCATTTATTTCCACTTTCTTTTCAGAAATCTGCAGGAAATGAGGACTCCCCTGATTGCTTTTTCTCATGAGTATGAGTTCACATTTCTTGTTGCTTTGTATGTCTTGTAATTTTGAATATATCCTAAACGTTAAGAGTGAGATACCGTAAAACCATGAATTCTGATATAATCCTCTCAAAGTGTTTTTTTTTTTTTTTGGACATCCAATTAATTTGACTAAATTCAAATTCCCAATCATGTCTCCCTTGAAATGGGCAGCAACTAAATTCCTCTTCTTTTAACCTTAGCTGAGCTTAGCTTAGTTTGTCCGACCTGTGGATAGTTCAAAGGTCAGCCAGAGATGTAGGCAGAGTTTATCCACATGATTTGGTTCCCCTCTACTGTGACTTTCTTCTACACATCTTGGTTTCCTTTCTCACTTTCCATCTGCCATGTTCACCCTGAACTCTGTCCTCTCATTTCTCAATCCAGTAAGCCCTCTGTCATGCATGACCCTGACTAAAGCCCGCCCTCAGGTAAATGCTGTAAAAGTCAGAAATCATCCAGTCTTCTTCCCTTTTTCTGAGTTTCTATTCACTGTTCCTGGGTCATTTGAAACCTCAACTATTCACTGACTGATTAACTGAGCTAAGAATTGAAGCAACCAGTTTTCCTACACTTCAATTAAGTATTCATAGTCCATACTTCTTTTCTTATCTCAGAAAAATGTTTATGTTACCAAGTTATACTAGGATGCTGTTCACTTTAACTCTTTACTCTCCCTATGCTGCACTCACACATACTTAAGAAGAGGAACACTTGGTATTAGAGATGTTTTGAAGCTGGCTAGATGCAAGGTGTAGAATGAGCCTCTAGTACTTTTCCAGCACATCCAAGTTAGGTCACTTTCTAAAATTAAAGAATGTTATTAGTAATTATACCAAGAAAATTAATGTAAACTGGCAATGTCTTGAGCAAATGAAATATGTGATTCTTGTACCAATTAAGTCCATTTCTAGCTCTCTACTGTATTAGTGGCTTAGGGCTGTCATAACAAAGTGCCACAAATGGGGTGGTTTAAAACAACAGAAATTTACTGTCTCACAGTTCTAGAGGCTGGAAGTCCAAAATCAATGTGTCGGCAGAGCCATGCTCCCTATAAAGACTGCAGGGCACCCTTCCCTTGCATTTCCTAGTTTCTGGGGGTTGGTTGGCAGTCATTGGTATTCCCATGGGTTGTAGATGCCTCGCTCCAATCTTCCCTCTTCATGTTGCATTTTCCCTGTGTCTCTGTCTTCCCATAAACATCTTCTGATACAATTCTGCTTCTTTTTGTGTTTCCTTTTCCATTTCCAGTAAAAAGTTGCATGAATTCACAATTAATATAGTATTTTGCTAGAGTAAGGTATAGACAGCAAAAGGCAGCTAAAGTCAAAATTATAAATGTTTCCCCTCCAAACAGTAATTATCAGATAGTAGGTACATTATGAGTGTTAAGGCAGCCTGGCAATGACATCTATATTTACACTGCAGGTCTCTATCTACATTGCACATTAATATTCTCCAATCTTGTTAAATGTAATTTCCAGTCATCTTTGTTTCATCAATATACTATTTTACAATTTAAACAAAGATGAATTATAGAAATGCAGTTTCTTAATTTTTCTCAATACACATGCCACAGAATAGATTAAAATACGCAAGTTGTTTGCATAAGTTAGATATTCCATTTTGGCATCTTTAAGTTTTGGGTTTTTTTTTGAAACAATTGTGGATCTTTCATATCAGATGAGGACAAAAGACCTTGACTTCTGAAAACTTAGAATTCAATAATAGTAACAGCATTAAAAATTCATCTTGTTAGAATAGGCATACTATCCGATTTTTATTCAACTACTGCTCAATATGATAGCCCAATTTTATTTTATTCCAAAAGTTTTCCTTTTCAACTTTGTAAAAGAATGCCATGTGCAATCTACTTATTTAAGAGAATTTATTAAAGTGTCTTAAAATCTGGATCTTCTTAACTAACTGAACACTGGGCACTTATCCTACCTAATTTTCTTGGAGACTTTAGAACTAGGGTCATAAGCCTCTGTCCACAAGTATAATCTGGATTGCAGATGGTTGATTGTTCTTTGGTTAGCACTGTGTATTATAAGAGAGAGTTTGAACGCCTGTGTGTGTGTGTGTGTGTGTGTGTGTGTGTGTTGTGTGTCTGTTTGGATACAGGCCTCTTCCACTCTTATATCTTCTTATACTCAATGCAGGTGACCTGACTGGCACTGTGGATAATAAATTCCCCTGCTACAAAAGTTGATTTGAAGTATGAGAGAAAGACACTCAGAGGAAGGATGTTCTACAGCTATACTAGTCAAGTCTCCAGTAGAGGTGGAATTGAACACCTTGGTTTCAAAATACTGCTAAGTGTTCAAATTCCAGGTCATAAGCAATGGGAGTTGGGAGCCAGAGACTTTGAATTGTGCAGAGTCTGGCTCCGGAGTCAGACGACTCAGCTCTGATAACTGACTCCACCTTCCTGCCTCGTAGGTCTGACACTTCACATGAACTGTGAAGCCTCAGATCCTTCCTCTATAATATCAGAAGTTGTGATATAATCATTATTGGGATTAACTGAGATGATACATGTGAAATAGCATAGTAGCATTCTTCCAATATTATCAATAATAACAATAGAAATAATGAATTACTGAATAAAATCTAAGATGAAAGAAAATGACTAAGTAATTAAGGCCACAGAGAACAATGTCCCATCAGAGTTATATTAATACAATACAGTATATGTTTTCTATTTTGTCTGATTTTATTACAGTCATTATTGGTAGCCCCTCCCTAAATTCATTTTATTTTTTGGTGTTGATTTTCTTAGTACATCATTGATGGAAATTATGTCTGGTTTACATTCTCAGTTTATTGGTTTGCAGTGCTGGTTAACTTTAAAATCGATTTGTGTTTCTCTTCTAATATCCCAAGGGCCAAATATTCTAACTTGCTGTCCAACAGAGAGCGACTAGAGGAGACAGTGACTTTCACAACTGGCTGGGTTCTCTCTGTTGCTTCCCCTGATGGTTCAGGATTGTCACGATACACTGGGGAAAATTAGCCTGGGGTCGTAGAATAGATTCCTCACAAAGCCCAGTGGATTTATTCGCAAAGTCAACTATGATTGTGGAAGTGTGTACAAATTGATTATTTGGCAATTAATTTCAATATTTTATGTGCTAATTTGACTACTTGTGCCTAGACTTTTTGAAGGATTTCCTTTTAGCCAGTCTTTTTCCTTCATGAAAAAAACCCCACATGTTTTTCTATGCCTTCATAATGTCATGGACCTTATCTGCTTCTTCAAAGATAATTGCTGGAGCCCTCAAAATTATGTCTTCATTGTCACAGTTCTTGGCAGTCCTACCAATAGATGTTCCCTTGGGACTCTCTGAGATTGCTCAAGTATCATATGCAGGTGAACTACTGATACACACATCCCAGACAATGCCCTAAGCATGGCCCTTTCCACCCTCAAATAGGCTGTCTTCACCTATACCAATGTGACCTGTCAGCTCAAAAATAACCTGGATGAGCTGAGTCCTGACTAGCCCACATGACACTACCCCCAACCCCCACCACCTAGGCACTTCCATGGGAAAGAAGACCAAAGGACAATTTGGTTGTTATTGAATCCAACACACAATCTTTTCTACACCCTCAAAGCCCAAAGAAAACCAAGAGAAAACAAAACAAATCATCAAATGTGATTTTAATCATCAGTTTTAATAGTGTCAATTTAATGTTGATAATTGACAATAGTAATTTAGTTAACTGCTTCTTAACAATGTGGCACAAAGCAAGTTAAAAGCAGATTTTTACAATGTGGCCTGTCAATTAGCTGTTTTTTTTTGGACTTGAGACATGCTAAATGCGAGTGGACAGAAGTCTGTTCAGGAGGCAGAACGTCTGGCCATAAAGGGATGTCATGTGAGCTAGCAATACATTTCAGATGATTAAGGGAAATTTCAGGTTGTGTTTCTTTTTCTCTTAAATACAGTTGTGAAAAGAGGGGTGGGAATCTTATTTTATCAAATTTAAAGTTCTGGGACATGAGGGAAATAATTTTGGAAAATTAGTCAATGAATAAAAGACCTCAACATCTATTTCCAGATGTGTAAATCAATTCGTTTCTAATTTATGGTACTAAATTACCTTCTGTAGAATAATATTGGCTATTTGTGTATGGACTATTCATATAAACAGGTGATTTTCTCGTCAACATGAAACATGGTAGTGAGTCCCAGGAGTTATCAGGATTTCTAAATGGATGTTTTAAAGAGAGAATAAATTGGTTGTATTTTAAAATGACTGTACGAGAGGACATACTGGGAAAGCTGAATTCATACTCACAGTGGGATAAAAAAGAGTGACAGGGGCTTTCCAGTGAGCTCAGTGGGAGAGAAAGTGCTTCTTGTAGGATGTCATCTCTTTAGCATTTGTGGAATAGAATATAGGAGTGATCTAACTGCCATGTGAAAGAAAGATTACATGTATCATTATTGGCTAAAAAATCAGTTCACTGATGTAAAACAATTTAACATGATTTGAGAATATCAACTATCCTTTCTAAGACTCCTAATTTGTTTTAGCTTGATAAGAAAAGCACCAAAATAAGACGCTAGGAAGAGAAAGTCAGCAAACTTATTATGTGTATAATAATACACATATACACACAGAGAAAGGGGGTTATAATCTTCTCTACTGAAAGTCCACTGAATTAAATATTAATCATAACTTAAAAACACAGCTAAATAATAATTTTGAATCAATATATAAACTGATATTTGACCCAAAACTGGGTATCATAGTGTTTTGAGAGCCTCTAGCTAAATGGGAGTTCCAGTATCAGAGGCAGATAAATTCTTATCTCTGGCCACTGGATTGAGCCATTTGGTTGCAGTGTAGAATTGGAAACCATGTCAAGGGTAACTAAACCCTGCTTCTAGTATGAGAAAACTAAACTTGTATTCAAAACAGATGCCAAGGTAATATAAAGTTATGAGAATTCACTACACATGGCCTGTGTAGTGAATTTAACACATAGAATTGATCATCACAAGCATGGAGAGAGCAGTGCTGAGGATGAGTCCTGTCCAGGGAGCAAGGGAGGGGAGAGGTGGGGAGACAGGGGTACCCACTGACCTTGTGTGAGAACCTTGATTAAACCATTCCTGAAGATTTCTTCTCTGGGAGCCATTAAATCCTCATTTTACATTAAGCTGGTTTGAATTGGGTTTCCGCCTAGGGAAGAATCTTTTCAACTACATTCAACAAACAACTCTCGTCTATGTTCCCTCTGAGGAGTCATCTTTTCGGTATACATGGGCCATTCCCATTGTGGGGGAAAATCAACAGGTAAAGTGAAACAATAACAACAAAACATGTGCAAATACACTGACACAAAGGTTCCACCTATCAAAAAACTGTTCTTGCAGTGGTCCGCATAGCTGATTTTGAAGTCATGAATTGGAAATATGGATCTGTACTTTTTTTTTTAGATATAAAATACACTTGCTCACTTTCTGTTTATTGCATCTCACTTTGGTGATTTTCATCAATATAAAACAACTAGTTGTGACCACAGGGCCTTCATGGAAGATAAAACAGAGCTAGACAGATATAACATAGTCACTACACATTTCCCCATTCATATTTCACATACACACACAGAGACACACATACACACACACGTGAATCAGGACAGATATTTCTCTTATTTTCTATTGATATCTTGGTCTCAGCATGTGTTACTGGTTATGATTACAAGTTTTAGAAAAAGAAAAGAACCATTAAATGAATACAGTAAGCTTTACTCTCTGTTCTCTTTGTAGGAAAAGTAAAGAATAGTGGCCAAAATATCAAAGAAATTTTGTATTTATGGCAAACTTAGAAAAAACTAGCATTCTTATACTTATTGTCAAATGGCTAGACTGAATTATTTTCTATTTTGTCGTCTTATAGGAAAATTGTAAGGATCAGTGAACACTGATAACTGAGGCATGAAATGGAGGCCATTTTTACCTGCATTATCCATTTTGGCAATTATCATTTTTGACAGTAACTGCATGACTATAAAATGTACTCCTCAATTTGATCTAGGTAATATGATTTCAGGAGAGTCAATATGAATTGATCTGTATAACTATGAACCTTCATAAATGTTTCATATCTTAAGTCATCAAATATTTTATCAGTGTCCTACGTGCTGCAATCACATAGAAACTTATTGAAATGGTTTCTATATTCTAATGAATTAAGCAATTTTTACAATTCTGCAAACCACATGAATCAGACATGAATAATCTCTTGGCATTTGACCTTTTCCTTTTTATTCATACTACCCTCTTTGCTAAGATTTGTGTGTAAGGGTTGAGGAGGCAGAATATGGAACTGCAGAGTGATGCATTTCCCCCACACCCCCTACCTCCGGAATCACAAACCCAAACCGTGCTCACGGGAAAGATATACAAAAGAAGAAACTTAATAATTTAGGTAGACAAATTGTCAATAAACAACAGTAACAACAGCAACAATAAAATGAAATATATGGCTGTTTGGAAATGTTACATGTGTGGTTTATCTATAAAAACATAAATATCATTTCTTACATGGTTACAATGGATTAAGTATAAAGCTTGAAGATTTGCCAAGTTATCTGACATAGGCACAAAGAATAGTACAGCATTCATATTTTTAAGATAGGGTCAAGGGCAGTATACAGTGTTGCTACAGCAGGAGTTCCATTTTTCTCTGCTTGGTGAGGAAAGTAAGCCTATTGTAGCAGTCCCTGCATGTTGCCTACCAATGTTCATTTCTTTTTTTCTTATTAACACATGTCTGTCCTCTTTATGGGGTGAATAACATGTTCCAAGCTAAAAATATGCAGCCATCCTCTGGTGTGAGCCTAGGAGATCCTGAGGTGTGCTTTGGACAATTAGGCAGTCATGCCAGAATAGAGCTTCCAAAGTTCATGGGAAGAACACGCTTCTCCCTTTCCCTTTCACTTGTCTGGAATGTGCACCAGTGGCCTTCCTGTGACCCTGAGTCGGAAGCCACATGCTGGATGGGAACCTCAGAAAACTTCAGGTTCTGAAGCAGCTGACCTGCACTCTCGGACTTACAGTTGGAGGAAAGTAAACCCTAATGTGTTCATGTCAAACTTAGGGGATTATAGAGTAAATAGGAGTGATACATCAGCCTGTGCCTTCCCCATCCTAGAAATTGAAGGTGATATTTTCTGGGATCCTATCATCATTTTTAAAAAAATACAACTAATCTGTATATCCAAGCACTATGATCCCGGATGTTGAAATTCTCGAAGACCAAAAAATGTGTTTAGTCTTTAAATTATTTCTAACGCTGGAGGTATAAATTGTTTAAAAGATTTTAGATATTTCTATTGGTTTCATGCATTTTTTGGTAAATGTCATTCCGTGAAAGTGCATTAGTACAATGTTGACTTTGCGTGGAAGAATTGTGTTTGTGTCAATGAGCATTCAAAAATATACTTCTGAAAAAAAGTAAAAATTATTTAAAAAATATTTATTTACATTTTAAAATGGAGGTTTATTTGAGAAACATATACAACTACAATAGAACACTTCATAGGCCACTTTACATGATATAATAGGCAATAGTAACATACATATTTTTCCAAGCATAAACATTCAGGTATATTAATGACAGTCATGCAGGTATAATGGCTATGAGAAGACAAACTTTATTTATAAAGAGATAGGTCGAATGTGAAATGTATAAATGTGTATCACTGTGGTTGGAAACTGTCTGCACCCAGCTAAAATTGCAGTTATCTGAAATACCATGAGGGACAACCTAAGTTTTTTGACAATATTGATCAAAATCCACAGAATCACCACCACATCACCGCCTCATCAACTGCCCCAAAAGTCAAGATCTTGATAAATTTTATCGTTCACAGATGCAGCTGTACAAAAAGGACATTTCATCATTTATTAAAGAAGTATTAAGATTTTTACATACAAACGCAATGCTCACACACAAAGTCAACATTGTAATAATGCACTTTCACGGACTCACATTTACAAATATTGCGTAAAACTAATTAGAGCTATCTAAAAGTCATTATGCAATGTATGCCTTCAGTATTAGAAATGATTCAAAGACGAAATGCATAACACAGAGATTTGTAAAAAATAATGACTATAATTTTAAATAGTAAAAAAAGAAAAAGAAAAAAAATTTTGACATATTTGAAAGTACATTACAGGGAATAGAGTCTAGGCGATTACATGGAGACAGTTCATAAGAGATAGCTGACCTTCATGATCATTAAATTTTATTTTGAATTCTTGTATCATGATGAGTAGCTGCATTTGTTTTCCTTTAGGACACAGCTCTCCTCAGAGAATATTTTCACATTCATTTTCTACATGGTGCTGCTCTTTATGAAATTTATAATTTGATATATATAAACATACATGTTCCCTATTAAATTTTCCCATCTTCTGCTCCATGCTTCAATGTTGTTTTGTGTATGCAGAAATGTATTTCACATGTATTCATATATAGATAACAAATTTGGCAGAAACAATATTGGTGATCAAACAGCAACACCATTGCATAAGTGTCTTTTTATTCTATCATGCACATAATTATTTTCAAACCAGTCAGTAACTTCACTGGCTTCTTCTGAAAATGAGGCTTTAATTCATTAAAAACTCCTGGAATGCCATCAGCTGGAAGGAATGCAAGTGCAGGCAAATGAAATATTTTTATTTTATTTTTTTCAACTTTTATTTTAGATTCAGGGGTAAAAGTGCAGATTTGCAGATTTGTTACCTGTGTAAACATGCTGCTCAGGTTTGGTGTACAAATGATTTCATCATCCAGGTAGTAAGTATAGTACCTGATAGGTAGTTTTTATGACCTTCACCTCCTCCTAACCACCTCCTTCAAGTAGGCCCTGATGTCTAGTCTTCTCATCTTTTTGTTCATGTGTCCTCAATATTTAGTTGATTTTATATCCAGAAACTTTCCTGAGGTTGTCCATTAGTTCTAGGAGCCTTTGAGCAGAAACAATGGGGTTTTCTAGGCATAGAATTATGTACTCTGCAAAGAGAGATAGTTTCATTTCCTCTCTTTCTATTTGGATGCCTTTTATTGCTTTCTCTTGCCGTATTGCTTTGGCTGAGACTTCTAGTACTATGTTGAATAGGAATGGTAAGAGAGGGCATTCTTGTTTTGTTTCAATTCTCAAGGGGAATGCTTATAGCTTTTGCCCATTTATAGTATGATGTTGGGTATGTGTTTCTCACAGATGGCTCTTATTATTTTGAAGTATATTCCTTTGGTGCCTATTTTTTTGAGAGTCTTTAACTGAAGATATGTTGATTTTCATTGAAAGCATTTTCTGTGTCACGTGACACAGAGATGATTATGTGGTTTTTGTCTTTAGTTCTGTTTATGTGAGGAATCACATTTATTGATTTATGCTTATTGAACCAACCTTGTATCCCAGGATTAAAGCCTCCTTGGTCATTGATATGGTTTAGATTTGTGTCCCTGCCCAAATCTCATGTCATATTGTAATCCTCAATGTTGGAGGAGCCCAGTAGGAGATTGGATCATGGGGTGGGCGTTCCCCTTTCTGTTCTTGTGATAGTGAGTGAGTTCTCATAAGATCTTGTTGTTTAAAAGTGTGTAGTGCCTCCCATTTCTCTCTCTTCCCTCTGCTCCAACCAGGTAAGATGTACCTGCTTCCCCTTCACCCTCCACCGTAATTATAAATTTCCTGAGTCCTCCTCAGCGATGCTTCTGTACAGCCTGCAGAACCATGAGCCAATTAAACCTCTTTTTATTACAGATTACGCAGTCTCAGGTAGTTCTCTATGGCAATGTTAGAATGGACTAATATAATCATGGTATATTTTCTTTTTGATGTGCTGTTGCATTTGGTTTGCTAGTATTTTTTGAGGATTTTGTGTCTATGTTCATCAGAGATATTGGCTTGAAGTTTTATTTTTTCATTGTATATTTGCACATGAAGGAGCTAAGGAGGAGTCCCTTCTTGATTTTTTTGGAATAATTTCAGGGTGGTTGGAACCGGCTCTTCTTTTCACATGTGGTAGAATTTGGCTGTGAATTCATCTGCTCCAGAGCTTTTTATAGTTGGTAAGCCATTTATTAGTAATTTTATTTTGGAACTACTGATTGGTTTATTCAGAGTTTCAGCTTATTCCTGGTTCAGTCTTGGGAGGTTGTCTGTTTCCAGGAATTTATTCATTTCTTCTTGCTTTTATCATTTATGTGAATGGGAGTGTTCATAATAGTTTTTGAGAGTTGTGTGTGTGTGTGTGTGTGTGTGTGTGTGTGTGTGTGTTTTGGATGGGAGTTTTCCTCTTGTCATCCAGGCTGGAATGTGGAGTGCAATGGCACAATCTTGGCTCACTGCAACCTCTACCTCTCAGGTTCAAGTGATTCTCCTGCCTCAACCTTCCAGGTAGCTGGGATTAGAGGGACATGCCACCATACCAGGCTAATTTTTGAATTTTTATTAGAGATGGGTTTTGCCATGTTGGCCAGGCTGTTGTTGATCTCCTGACCTCAGGTGATCCACCCACCTTGGCCTCCCAAAGTGCTGAGATTATAGGCGTGAGCCACTATGCATGACCATCAGTTTTTTGTATTTCTGTAGGGTTGGTGATAATCTCAACTTTGCCATCTTTGATTGTGTTAATTTGGATGTTCTTTCTTTTTTACTTTATTAGTCAAGCTAGTGGTCTATCAATCTTGTTTAGGCTTTCAAAGAACCAACTTTTTGTTTTATTGATCATTTTTATGGGATGCTGCTTCTTAATTTCATTCAGTACAGCTCTGATTGTATTTATTTTCTTCTGCTAGCTTTGGCGTTGGTTTGCTCTTGTTTATCTAGTACCTTAGGTGTCATGTTATGTTTTTAACTTGAGATCTTTCTAATTTCTTGATGTAGGCATTTAGCCCTATAAATTTTTCTCTTAACATTGCTGTAGTTGTGTCTGAGATTCTGGCATGTTGGATCTTTATTTTTGTTAATTTCAGTAAATGCTTTGACTTCTGCCTTAATTTTATTCTTTACCCAAAAGTCCTTCAGTAACAGATTGTTTAATTCCCATGCAATTGAATGGATTTGAGATATCTTCTTGATATTGTTTTCTATTTTTATTGCATTGTGGTCCAACAGTGTGCTTGGTATGATTTTGGTTTTTCTGAAGTTCATAAGAATTGCTTTATGCCTGAGCATATGGTAATTCTTAGAATATGTGCTTTGTGCCAAGGAGAAGAACGCATATTCTGTTGGTGTTGGGTGAAGTATTCTGTAAATCTATGTTAGGCCTATTTGGTGTTGAGTTTAGTTCCACATATCTTTGTTTGTTTCCTGACTCGATAATGTGTTATACTGTCACTGGGGTGTTAAAGTATCCCACTATTATTGTGTGGTTATGCATATCTCTTCATATGTTTCTAAGAAGTTGTTTTATGAATCTTGTTGCTCCAGTGTTGGGTGTGTACATATTTAGGATAGCTAAGTCTTCTTGCCAAATTGAACCATTTATTATAATGTAATGCCCTTCTTTGTACTTTTTGATCATTGGTAAAGCCTGTTTTGACTGAAATAAAAATAACAAACTCTTCTCTTTCTTGTTTTCCATTTGCTTGATAGATCTTTCTCCATTCCTTTATCTTGAGCATATAGATGTCCTTACATGTGAAATAGGTTTCTGGAAGACAGTATACCATTGGGTCTTGCTTCTTTATCCATGTTGCCACTCTAGGCTTTTCAAACGGGTCATTTAGTGTAGGGGTGGGTTGCCCCTCCACACCTGTGGGTGTTTCTCGTAAGGTGGAATGAGAGACTTAGGAAAGAAAAAGACACAGAGACAAAGTATAGAGAAAGAAATAAGGGGACCCGGGGAACCAGGGTTCAGCATATGGAGGATCCCGCCAGCCTCTGAGTTCCCTTAGTATTTATTGATCATCTGTGGGTGTTTCTCAAAGAGGGGGATGTGTCAGGGTCACAAGACAATTGTGGGGAGAGGGTCAGCAGACAAACACGTGAACAAAGGTCTTTGCGTCATAGACAATGTAAAGGATTAAGTGCTGTGCTTTTAGATATGCATACACATAAACATCTCAATGCTTTACAAAGCAGTATTGCTGCCCGCAGGTCCCACCTCCAGCCCTAAGGCGGTTTTTCCCTACCTCAGTAGATGGAGCATACAATCGGGTTTTATACTGAGACATTCCATTGCCCAGGGACAGGCAGGAGACAGATGCCTTCCTCTTGTCTCAACTGCAAGAGGCATTCCTTCCTCTTTTACTAATCCTCCTCAGCACAGACCCTTTACGGGTGTCGGGCTGGGGGACGGTCAGGTCTTTCCCTTCCCACGAGGCCATATTTCAGACTATCACATGGGGAGAAACCTTGGACAATACCTGGCTTTCCTAGGCAGAGGTCCCTGCGGCCTTCCGCAGTTTTTGTGTCCCTGGGTACTTGAGATTAGGGAGTGGTGATGACTCTTAAGGAGCATGCTGCCTTCAAGCATCTGTTTAACAAAGCACATCTTGCACCGCCCTTAATCCATTTAACTCTGAGTTGACAGAGCACATGTTTCAGAGAGCACAGGGTTGGGGTAAGGTTATAGATTAACAGAATCTCAAGGCAGAAGAATTTTTCTTAGTACATAACAAAATGGAGTCTCCTATGTCTACTTCTTTCTACACAGACACAGTAACAATCTGATCTCTCTTCCTTTTCCCCACAATTTAGCAAGTTTACATTCAAGGTGAATGTTGATAAGTGAGGATTTCATAGTGTCATTGTGTTGTTAGCTTGTTGTCATGTAAATTCGATTATATAATTGTTTGATAGTGTCAGTGGGCTATGTACTTAAATGTATTTTTGTGGTGGCAAGTATTGGTCTTTCATTTTCAGGTTTTGCATGCCCTTAAGGACCTCTCATAAATGTAATGCAGTTGTGGTGGTAATGTATTCCCTTAGCATCTGCTTCTCTGAAAAGGATTTTATTTCTCTTTTGCTTATGAAGCTTGCTTTGGCTGGATATAAAATACTTGGTTGGAATTTTCTTTCATTAAGGATGTGGAATACAGGCTGCCAGTTTCTTCTGGCTTTTAAAGTTTGTGCTGAAACATCCACTCTTAGCCTAATGAGCTTCAATCTGTAAGTGATCTGCTCCTTCTCTGTAGCTGCCTTTAAATAATTTTCTTCCATATTTACCTTGGAGAATCTGATGACTGTGTACTATGGGGATGGTTGTACTGTATAGTATCTTGCAGCAGCAGTTCTCTAAATTTT
Source organism: Homo sapiens (assembly GCF_000001405.40). Lineage (NCBI taxonomy): Eukaryota > Metazoa > Chordata > Mammalia > Primates > Hominidae > Homo > Homo sapiens. The sequence continues at coordinate 8,937,189 of NC_000005.10, read as the reverse complement.
ATGAATTTTCATGTGGACCTCTCTAGTGAGGTTGGGGAAATTTTCATGGACAATATCCTGAAATATGTCTTCAAGTTGCTTGCTGTCTGTCCATCTCTTTCAGGAATGCCAATGAATCATAGGCTTGACATCTTTATATAATTCCATATTCTTGGAGGTTTTGTTCATTTAAAACATTTCTTTAATTTTTTTCTGCCTGTATTCATTCAAAGGAATGGTCTTTGAGCTCTGAGATTCTTTTCTCAGCTTGTTCTATTATGTTATTAATGCTTCCAGTTACATTATAAAATTCATTTAGTAAATTTTTTATTTTCACATTTTAGTTTCTTTCTTTCTTTCTTAAAATGGCTATGTCTTTCAACTTTCAGATTGTTTTACCATTTTCCTTGGATTGGGTTTCAATCTTTTCCTGTATCTTGTCTAACTTTCTTGCCATCTAGATTCTGAATTTTATGTCTGTCATTTCAGTCTGGTTAAGAACCATTGCTGGGTAGTTAGTGTGGTCATTTGGAGGTAGGAAGACACTCCGGATTTTCAGAGTTGCCAGAGTTTCTTCACTGATTCTTTCTCATCTGTGTGTTTCTTTAATCTTTGAAGTTGCTATTTTTTGTTTTTATATTCTTTAATGACCTTGAGAGTTTGATTGTTGTACAAGTTAAGTTTGGTCTGTTGGCTTCATTTCTGGATGTGTTCATGGGGCCAAAGTTCAGCTCAACATTCTTGGACTACATGCTCTGACCCTGGGGCAAGGGTTAGAAACTTTTGTTTCTGGCCCCTTGAGGTCAAGCATCTGCTGTGCTGGAGGGGCTGAGATGTTCCCATGACAACACTCTGACAGGGGCTTCTGGCAAAAGTGCACAGGCAGGGGATTGGTGCCTAAGACATGGATGAGTATGCTCTAACAGGGAAGTGTTGGGGGAAGGTGAGTGCTGCCTGAAAGTGCACAGTGGCACAGCGGCTGTGAGCATGTGCATGCTGGTGGGCTAGTGGTAGGTCCACAAGCACATGCATATCAGCAAAGTGATGGATTTTCATATGCATGTGTGTGCCTGCAGTGCAGCAGGGGAAGGCTGTGGGCAAGTATGTCAGAGGGGACTGTCTGCAAAAACACTATAATAGGAAGGTGGGGTTTTCTGGCAAATGAGCTATGGTGGTGGTTGTGGGTAAGTATTTGATAGGGCAGCTGAGGCTGCACTGCAGGCAGGTACAGGTAGGCAGGGACTCTAGATAAGGCCAGCATACAGAGGGGCATTCAGATCAGACTAACCTCATCCTGTGGCAACACAGCCCTGCTGTCTCCAAGACAAGCAGCATACAAAGGCTAAAGCTACCTGGAGGAGTATGGTAAGCCTTAGGCAACGGGCACCCATGGTCATGCTCCACTGCAGCCATTCCCATGTCAAATCCTCTGCATTCCATGCATACTGGACCTCTGTCTTTGCCATCTCTGAACTATTCTCCTTGCCAACTTAAATGTCCATGGGGGTTGTTGGGTCTTCTGCGCTAGGATCCCAGAGGTCCGTGGCGAGAGTGGGCCACTTCACACGTATTTCACTCACCCCTTGCCTAGGAAGGGCTCAGGGCCAGGAACGAGTTCTAGTGCTTAGCAACCCACTCCGGGCTTTCAGTTCCCTACCCTTTTAGTCCAGGGTCTATGTCCTCCTTGTATACACTCTGAATGTCTTCTTTCCAAAGATCTGTTTGGAATGAAATGCCACACTTTTAAACTGAAGTTTTCTTGGTTGGCCAATCTACTCATATAAATTTTTTACCAAATGTTTTGGGCTGAATGGAAAAAACAAGTGTTATTGGCAACAACTTGAAATTCAGTTTTAGAAGGCTTGATCACACCTAATTCCAAATATTTCATTATGGTTTAGGAATCCAATTGAAATCCATTTCTTCTGCATGAAGGCAATAACTAGATGATAGTCCTGTCTAACGTAATGCTACTGCCTTGTTATTGTGATTTTCAGGATTTTAAGTGTTAGGGATTTTAGATTTTAGGAATTTAGACTTTGGAGAATGTTGATTTTAGAGATTTTTGAATTTTCAAAATTTCAACATTCCTGATTATGGTATTAAGGATTGTTTTCCAGGATTATACTACAAAGGCACATTTACCTCACCAGAAAAAAACAAAAACAAACAAAACAAAACAAAAAACAAAGAAACACTGTGAGCAGATCATAATTCCAAATATAAGCTTAAGTTTCCCAGTTGCTCAAAGTATGGTTTTTATTTTTATTGTCTAGCAGAGAAAAGATTCTTAGAGTGATTATGCTCCAGTGATTTATACTTCTTAGTTTGGCTGCTTTCCTCCTGACATGGGCAGGTTCTCAGTGAAGGCAGGTGGCTCTCCAGAAAGCTTTTCATCACCAGAAGGCTCAGAAACTCTGTAGGTGGGGTTTTCACTTTAGGGGGAGATCCATATGAAGTTTGTATGTGCTTTTCACTTGGAGAAAGGTGAGCCCCTCCAGGGCTCAGCCAGGCCAGGGCCTGGTGTGGCTGATAGGGACTGAGTCATCACAGACTGCTACAAGAAGGTGGAGCCACATGGACGCAGGTGGGACTTGAGGGAATCCAGTAGGAGGTAACAGATCCAGGCCAGCATCAGCTAGCCAGGTCCCAACTAGTCAAAGGGAAGGAGATAGCAGAGGGCACACTTGTGGCAACTAAATAATAAAGCAGGTGGATTCATTTTATGTAGTCAAGCATTAGTTCTCAGGCTTTACAGAGTAGTGAATGGCCCCAGAGACATGGTTGAAATTATGACCCAGGTCTGGTGAGGCCAGGATCCAGCATTTCCCACTGTCTTTGCCATGCCTATGCCTTGAGGATGAGTCCTGGGGACATTAGGGCTACAGAAGCAACAGCTGTGAGATGCAAGGTGAATGACAGACAGAGATTTCCCAGCCTAAGCCAGCAGTTAGGATCCCTTAAAGAGCCAGAACCCTGAGAAAATACACAGTGCAGTGTGGTGTGTGTGGAGACGGCGGGTCATTTAGGGGAGCCATGAGGGAGTGTGGAGCACATATCTTCAGATACGAAATTTGAGAGTATGTCTGAGGCTGGAGGCCTCAGCCTTGTGCTGAGATGCTTGCTTAATACCATCTGTAAAGACGAGCTCACTGAGTTATTGTTATCTTAAAACTTTGGAAAAGGAGCTAACACTCTTCATGTAATAACTGCCAGGCATTAAAATAGGTATCCTGAACCTACTCTTCTTGTTCTTTAGAGATGTAAAAGGAGTGATGGAGCCAAAGTCAAGGATTGGAAAACTTCTCAGATGTCTTTGTGTAAACTGGGCTGAGAGGGAATGATTGGAATCAGAGAAGCTGGTGGGGTGGGGGGTGGAATGAACTGCTTCTTCCAGGCAAGGAGTGGAGAGAGCTGGGAAGAGACACCAAGGAACTGGGGCCCAGTCCATCTGAAGACAACACAAAAACAGTCTTCCTCAGTCCAGATTTCTGCATATTTCTCTTGTTCAACATTTAGATTTCATAATTGTAGATAAAAAGATTGTTGTATTCTCATGGACATTGGGGATTGATGAGAGATTCATACTGCACACTCTGCAGCCCTCCTCAGATCAATATTGTCCTCAACAGAGCCCATCAGGAACAGAAAAGCACCCAGCAAACTGACAGATCCACCCAAGTAGGAGATATTGAAAGCATCACAGACTTCACTATTATGTAAGACAATTGCGTTGCTTTGACTAGCTATTAATAAAATCAGTAATTCTGAACTTCATTGAGAAACAATGTCATGTCTGTGATAGGATGAACTAGTAAAAAATTCAAGGCTTTCCTTCAGCCTGAATAAAGCCATGATTCATTGGCCCCAATACTGTTTGTGAAGCCCAAAAGTTGGATCTACAATAATGCTAATATTTTACATGTAGCACATTTACAATTTTCTGCCATACCCTGAGTTATTTTTATTTGATTATATTTTCTATATATGCATATAGATTTATAATAGTGTGTAACTTTTAGGGTATGTTCCATTTGTAAACAAAACTTTTCCGAAGGGTTTATATCAATTTTTAGACTGTTACACACCCACAAGAAGTTGACATAATAAGGAAATGAGGCAAGGATAAAAATGCAAATGCCCAAATAAAAAAGGGCCAATAGCTACCTTGAAAAAGAATCAAGCATTCTGGAATTTTAAAATGCAAAGTCCTATTTCTCAAAGAAGTCAAAATATCTTTGATTGCAGATAATATGATCCTATATATAGAAAACCCCATGGTCTCAGCCCAAAAGCTTCTTAATCTGATAAGCAACTTCAGAAAAGTCTCAGAATACAAAATTTATGTGCGGAAGTCACAAACATTTGTATACATCCACAACAGGCAAGCAGAGAGCCAAATCATGAATGAACTCCCATTCACAATTGCTACAAAGAGGAATACAGCTAACAAGGAAAGTGAAGGACCCCTTCAAAGAGAACTACCAATCACTGCTCAAGGAAACCAGAGAGGACACAAAGAAATGGAAAACTATTCTATGCTCTTGGTTAGGAAGAATCAATATCATGAAAATGTCCATACTGCAAAAAGTAATTTATAGATTCAATGCTATTCCCATTAAACCACCATTGACATTCTTCACAGAATTAGAAAAAAAACTATTTTAAAATTCATATGGAACCAAAAAAAGAGCCCATATAGCCAAGACAATCCTAAGCAAAAAGAACAAAGTTGGAGGCACCCCTTCCTGTGTCCAAGTGTTCTCATTGTTCAATTCCCACCCATGAGTGAGAACATGCGGTGTTTGGTTTTTTGTTCTTGTGATAGTTTGCTGAGAATCATGGTTTCCAGCTTCATCCATGTCCCCACAAAGGACATGAACTCACCCTTTTTTATGGCTGCATAGTATTCCATGGTGTATATGTGTCACATTTTCTTAATCCAGTCTATTATCGATGGACATTTGGGTTGGTTCCAAGTCTTTGCTATTGTGAATAGTGCTGCAATAAACATACGTGTGCATGTGCCTTTATAGCAACGTGATTTATAATCCCATATACCCAGTAATGGGATGGCTAGGTCAAATGGTATTTCTAGTTCTAGATCCTTGAGGAATCACCACACTGTCTTCCACAATGGTTGAACTAGTTTACACTCCCACCAACAGTGTAAAAGTGTTCCGATTTCTCCACATCATCTCCAGCACCTGTTGTTTCCTGACTTTTTAATGATCGCCATTCTAACTGGTGTGAGATGGTATCTCATTGTGGTTTTGATTTGCATTTCTCTGATGGCCAGTGATGATGAGCATTTTTTCATGTGTCTGTTGGCTGCATAAATGTCTTCTTTTGAGAAGTGTCTGTTCATATCCTTTGCCCACTTGTTGATGGGGTTGTTTGTTTTTTTCTTGTAAATTTGTTTGAGTTCTTTGTAGATTCTGGATATTAGCCCTTTGTCAGATGAGTAGATTACAAAAATTTTCTCCCATTCTGTAGGTTGCCTGTTCACTCTGATGATAGTTTCTTTGGCTGTGCAGAAGCTCTTTAGTTTAATTAGATCCCATTTGTCAATTTTGTCTTTTGTTGCCATTGCTTTTGGTGTTTAGACATGAAGTCCTTGCCCATGCCTATATCCTGAATGGTATTGCCTAGGTTTTCTTCTAGGGTTTTTATGGTTTTAGGTCTAACACTTAAGTCTTTAATCCATCTTGAATTAATTTTTGTATAAGGTGTAAGGAAGGGATCCATTTTCAGCTTTCTACATATGACTAGCCAGTTTTCCCTGTGGGGTGGGAGAAGGCGGGAGGGAAAGCATTAGGAGATATACCTAATGTAAATGACAAGTTAATGAGTGCAGCACACCAACATGGCACATGTATACATATGTAACAAACCTGCACATTGTGCACATGTACCCTAGAACTTAAAGCATAATAATTAAAAAAAAAGAAAAACATCAGACAAAACCAAATTGGGGGCAATCTACAAAATAACTTGAGGAGTACTTCTCAAAGCTGAAGAATAAACAGGGTAAGTCTTAGAAACTCTCACGAACCAGAGACTAAGGAGATATGATGACTAAATGTAATGCGGTCTTCTGGATATAGGATCTTGGAAAGAAAAAGGTCATGAGACAGAACTAAGTATGGAGCTTAGTCAATAGTAATGTACCAGTGTTGGTTTATTAGTTGTGACAAATAAGACTATAGCAATGTAAGATATTAACAATAGGGGAACTGGGTTCAGCGTGTATGGCAATTGTTTGCACAACCTTTGTAACTTTTATGTAAATAAAAAACTACTCTAAAAAAAAAAAAGCTGGACGCATCTTGCTACCAGACTTCAAACGATACTATAAGACTGCAATAGTCAAAACAGCATTGTACTGGTACAAAAACAGACATATAGACAAATGGAACAGGATGGAGAACTCAGAAATAAGATAGCATATTTATAACCATCTGATATTTGACAAATATGGCAAAAACAAGCAATGGGGAAACGATTCCCTGTTTAATAAATGGTGCTAAGAGAACTGGCTCTCTAGTTGCAGAAAATTGAAACTGGACCTGTTCCTCACGACTTATACAAAAATCAACTCAAGATGGATTAAAGACTTAAATGTAAAACTCAAAACTATAAAAACCCTAGAAGAAAATCTAGGCAATACCATTCAGGATGTAGGCATGGGTAAAGATTTCATTAAGAAATTGACAAAAGCAAAAACAAAAATTGACAAGTGGGATCTAATTACACTAAAGTGCTTCCACACAGCAAAAGAAACTATCATCAGAGTGAACAGGCAACCTACAGAGTGGAAGAAAAATTTTGCAACCTATTTATCTAACAAAGGTTTAATATCCAGAATTTACAAGGAACTCAAACAAATTTACAAAAAAAAAAACCCATTAAAAAAATGTGGGCACAGGACATGAACAGACACGTCTTGAAAGAAGACATTCATGCAGCCAACAAACCTATGAAAAAAGCTCAACATCACTGATCACTAGAAAAATGCAAATCAAAACCACAATCAGATACCATATCACACCAGTCAGAATGGCCATTATTAGAAAGTCAAGAAACAACAGATGCTGGCAAAGTTGCAAAGAAATAGGAACATTTTTACACTGTTAGTGGGAATGTAAATTAGTTCAACCATTGTGGAAGATAGTGTGGCGATTCCTCAAATATCTAAAACCAGAAATGCCATTTGACCCAGCAATTCCGTTACTGGATATATAATGAAAGGGATATAAGTCATTTTATTACAAAGATGCATGCACACGTATGTTTACTGCAGCACTATTCACAACAGCAAGAACATGGAATCAACCCAAAAGCCCCTCAATGATAGACTGGATAAAGAAAATGTGGTACATATACACCATGGAATACTATGCAGCCATACAAAGGAATGAGATCATGTCCTTTGCAGGGACATGGATGAAGCTGGAAGCCATTATTCTCAGTAAACTAACACAGGAACAGAAAACCAAATGCCACATGTTCTCACTTATAAGTGGGAGCTGAACAATAAGAACATATGGACACAGGGAGGGGCACAACACACAGTGGGGCCTGTCAGGAGGAGGGAGAGCATTAGGAAAAATAGCTCATGTATGCTGGGCTTAATACCTAGATCATGGGTTGATGGGTGCAGCAAACCACCATGGCACACATTAACCTATGTAACAAACCTGCACATCCTGCACATGTACCCCAGAACTAAAAATAAAATAAAATAAATAAATATAAATAAATACAAATAAAATGCAAAGTTTTATTTCTCCATCACCAAGTTCGTCAAGGCAAAAGAGAGTAAAACCACACAATGTTGTTTATTGCAGTCCTTCCGTCTGTTTACCTTTAGTAGAATTACCAAAAAAAACCCACAAATTTTCTGAGATAATTGAAAAAAAATTTAAAGCCTTAAAAATTTGTTTTGCATTTACTCCACTTATGAAACACAGCAGAACTCCACGGAGTGTGTGGTGAAAAAGAAAGACAATGATAATCCCATTCGAATGGCATCCCTTGCTTGGTTTTTGGCTCCAATAACTTACTAGAGCATGGTGCTTTGAGGACAGAAGAATCAAATCTAGGGTGGAGAAGAAATGAAAACATTTCTTGGGCATAGCTGCAGGAAGTAACTGGTACCCTACATGCAGCTGTCTGAGCTGTGTATTGGGAGAAAAGAGATAAATGAGTGAGTTGGGGAGTAGTAATGAAGAAATAGAACAAATGTAGGCAAGTTTTTGGTGGAAAATAAGGGACATGGGTGACTGGAGAAAATGTTTTTTGGATATTTAAAAAGTCATTTTTTAAAAAATGGGAGATTCTTGAGCATTTTAAAATGCTGATGAGGAAACGAAGAGGGTGAGGTTGAATATAGATCAGGAAGAAGATAATTGCTACATCAGGGCTCCCGAAACTCGAGAAGGTTTTGGGATAAATGAGCCCCAGTGCACTTGAGGAGAATGTGGGCTTAAGTCAGTAGCACCTGTTCCTAGTTGACAGGAGGAAAGAAAGATATAATTAATGCAAGTAAAACTAGATGTGTACAATTAGTGAAAAAAAATCTGAGATAGATTCAGTAATGGTTAAACTCCCAGAGGTGGTAGAAATAGGGCTTCTGCAGAATTCGAGGTGGAATTTTAGGAGAGTAGAAAATATTAGTATTTGTAATAATCTGCAGAGAATGGGAAAGTTATTTGTTTATAGTTTGGAGACAAGTGAATTGGAAGGGAGTGAATTTATATTTCATTCTGAGGTGCAATTGTAATCTAAAGACATCTGCACATTTGCCATCTTTACTGTAAAATATTTTTCAAAATCATACATTTTATGAAAATTTTGAATAAAGACACAGATTCTTTTCTGAATATCATGTGGCTTCTGTGAATACCGGTGATATTTTTTCCTATTTACTCTAAGAATCCGGAAGAGTTTGATTTCTCTCCCACTCATAAGCCCCATGGGTTTCATAAGACAAATACATAAAAAACAAAAACTGAACATAAGAACAAACAATAATAAAATTCAATTCCAGTTTTGTTCGCAGAAAAGGCTTTTCAGTCATTTTGCTTATACATCATTTTATATTAAAAATGAGAGTGAGAAGAATGTTTAAAAGAATTAGGAACAAGTTACTTTATAAAAATATTACTCATAATCAATGAGAGGTATTGAAACTTTCATATATTCTGTATATTGCATTTTACTAGACATAATCCCAATGGTCGATTTCTGAACTTTCAGTACAGTTGTTAATAAGTTCAGTAAATTCATTTCAACTGAGTATTACATTTCTTGGATATTGTTCTAGGAGAAGTAAATTTGTAAGTGAATCATGCTCACATTTCTATAATATTCTAATTCATAGATTTAATTCTGTCACATTTTCCTTAACATATGCCAAATATATTTTAACTTAACTGCTTCCTAGACACAGCTATAGGCCAGTTAAATAGGGTATTTTCTTTGTACAAGCTCACGCTCATGCAATTCCACACCGATCCTTTTGTTTCCTATTCACCTTCTCCCTTCTTTCCTCCAGCACCCAAGTATCATAATGTTGAAATGTAAAATATCAACATTAGGAAAACGCAGGCAAACATACCAGCATGACTTTAGCAAAACAAGGGTCTTGGTCTAGCAAGAGTTTTCAGCCTGGTAGAAATCCTGATGCCTTCTGGAAAACGACACCAGATTTTACTTTGGAAATCAGAGGCCACAGATTTTCATTACCTGCTAGTTTTACTTATTTATTTTTAATTTTAATTTTTGTGGATACATGGTAAGTGTATATATTTATGAGGTATATGACATATTTTGATACAGCATTACAATGTGCAATAATGACATCAAAGGAAATGGGGGTACCCATCACATCAAGTATTTATCCTCTGTGTTACAAACAATCCAATTATACTTTTGGTTTCTTTTTTTTTTTTTTTTTTTTTTTTTTTTTTTTTTTGAGGCAGATTCTCGCTGCGTCGCCCAGGCCAGAGTGCAGTGGCGCTATCTCGGCTCACTGCAAGCTCCGCCTCCCGGGTTCACGCCATTCTCCTGCCTCAGCCTCCAGAGTAGCTGGGACTACAGGTGCCCGCCACCACGCCCAGCTAATTTTTTTTGTATTTTTAGTAGAGACGGGGTTTCACCGTGTTAGCCAGGATGGTCTCGATCTCCTGACATCATGATCTGCCCGCCTCGGCCTCCCAAAGTGCTGGGATTACAGGCGTGAGCCACACGTTTGGTTATTTTTAAATGTACAATTAAATTATTATTGACTAGCGTCACTGTGCTGTGCTATCAAACACTAGATCTTATTCATTCTTCCTATTTTTTGTGCCCTACTTCCTCCTGACCCCCCACGTACCCTTCTCAGCCTCTGGTAACCAACCTTCTGCTCTGTATCTCCATCAGTTCAATTGCTTTAATTTTTTTCCCTCACAAATAAGTGAGAACATGAAAAGTTTCTCTTTGGGTGCCTGGCTTAATTCACATAACATAATCACCTCCAGTTCCATCCATGTTGTTGCAAATGACAGGATCTCATTCTTTTTTATGCATATGGTGTATATGTACCACATATTCATTCTCCCTAAGACTGTTCATAGACACTTAAGTTGTTTTCAAGTCTTGGCTATTGTGAATAGTGCCTCAGTAAACACAGGAGTGCAGGTATCCCTTTGATATAGTGATTTTCTTTCTTTCGGGCATATACCTAGCAGTGGGATGGCTAGATCATATGGTAGCCCTGATTTTAGTTTCTTGAGAAATCTTCAAACTGTTTCTTAGTGGTTGCACTAATTTACATTCACATCAACAGTGTACAGTGTTCTCTTTTCTCCACATTCTTGTCGGCATTTGTTACTGCCTATCTTTGGATAAAGGTAATATAACTGAAGTGAGATGATATCTCACTGTAGTTGATGAAATCCCTCAACTTCTGTTTTCCTAGGAAAATCTTTATTTCTCCTTCATGTTTGTAGATATTTTTTGTCAATATAATATTCTAGGGTACAAATTTTTCCTTCAGCATTTTAATATGTCATGCCACTCTGTCCTGGCCTATAGTTTCCACTGAAAAGTCTGCTGCCAGATGTATTGGAGCTTGATTGTATGTTATTTGTTTATTTTCTCTTGCTGCTTCTAGGACATGTTACTCATCCTTGACCTTTGAGTCTGATTAATAAATGGCTTGAGGTAAGGGGTTAAATTTGGGTTAAATTTGTTTATGTTTTATACCTTTCTTATACTTGAATATTGATATCCTTTTCTAGGTTTGGGAAGTTCTCTCTTATATTCCTTTGAATAAATATTCTAATACCCCCTTCACATTCTCTTTAGGCCACTAGATCTTTGATTTGCCTTTTTGAGGCTATTTTCTAGATAATGTAGGTATGCTTCATTGTTTTGTATTCCTTTTCTTTTGTCTCATTTGATTGTGTATTTTTAAATAGTCTGTCTTCAATCTTACTAATTTTTCTTCTTTATCAATTCTGCTGTTAATTAACTTTGATGCATTCTTCAGTATATCAATTGAGTTTCAGCTCTAGAATTTCTATTTGATTCTTTTTAATTATTTAAATTTCTTTATTAAATTTATCTGATATAATTCAGAGTTCCTTCTCTGTGTTATCTTGAGTTTCTTTGAGTTTTCTCAAAATAGCTATTATAATTTTTCTTGTCTGAAAAGTCCCACATCTCTGTGTTTCTAGGATTGATTCGTGGTGTCATACTTAGTTTGGTGAGGCCATGTTTTCCTGACGGTCTTGATGTTTGTGGATATTCATTGGTATCTGGGCACTGAAGAGTTAGGGATTTATTTATACTCTTTGCAGTCTAGGCTTGTTTTCACCCATCTTTATTGGGAAGACTTTTCAGGTATTCAAAGGGACTTGGGTGTTTTGATCTAAGTCTTTTCTCACTTCAGCCATTTCTGTATAAGTGTCACCCTAAGCCTAGTAGTCCTGTGGTTTTCAAAGACTTGTAGAGGTACTGCCTGGGTAGTCTTGGCCAAGATTCAGAAGAATACTTCGGATTACCAGGCAGAGACTCTTTTTCTCTTTCCTTACTTTTTCCCAAACAAATGGAGTCTCTCTCTCTCTCTCTCTCTCTCTCTCTCTCTCTCTCTCTCTCTCTGTCTCTGCTGAGCTGCTGGATCTGGGAGAGGAGTGACACAAGCCCTCCTGTCACCACCACCACTGGGACTATTGCATCAGATATGAAGCCACCGTGGCACTGAGTCTCACCCAAGGTGCACTGTTACCACTACCTGGCTAATGCCTATGTTTGCTTAATGCCCAACAGCTGTACAATCAGCAGGTGGTGCATCCAATCAGGCTTTTTTGTTTTTTCCTTTCAGTGTGCTAAGTACCCCCAGGCTCTGGTTTGTTCCAGAGATGCCATCCAGGAGCCAGGACCTGGAGTTGGAAACCTTAGGACTCTACTTGATTCTCTATTCTACTGCAGCTGAGCTGAACCCAAACCACAAGACTCTTCTCTCCCCTTTCCCCAGGCAGGGGTGTCTTTCTCCATTTCCATCGCCACCACAGGCCCATGGTTAGTACCACTAGGCTACTGCTGATGTTTACTTAAGGACCTCAGGCTCTTCAGTCAGCTTGTGGTGAAAGCTACCAGGGCTGAGACTCACCCTTCAGAGCAGTGGGCTCCTGTCTGGGCCAGGATAGGTCAAGAAATGCTATCCAAGAGCCAAGGCCTGCAGTTGGGGACCCCAAGAACCTTTTCATTGTTTTACCACACTGTGGCTGAGCTAGTACCTAAGCTGTAAAACCAAGTCCCTTTTTCTCTTCTCTCTGATTTTCTCAAGGAGGAGTCTCTCCTCATAGCTGCTACAGCTGTGAGTGTGCTGGGTCACACTGGAAGTCAGCACATTTTGGTCTCACCCAAGATTTCCTTCGTGTACTTCCTACTTACCATTGCTAATTATTCAAGGCCCAAGAGCTCTTTAGTCAGCATGTAATGAGTCCTGTGAGAGCTGAGTCCTTCCCTTCAAGGCAGTGGGTTACCTTCCAGCCCAGGGTGTGTCTAGAAATGTTATCCAGAAGCTAGAGCCTGGAAAGGGGTCCTCGCAACTTTGCCTGGGGCACTATCCTACTGTGGTTGTGCTGGTATTCAAGTTGCAAGAAGTGTTGTCTTTCCTCTTCCCTCTCCCCTCTTCAAGAGGAAGAATAAGTTCTCTTTCCAAGCGAGCTCACTGCCTGGTGTGGGAGGAGGAGTAGCACAAACACTCCCTTAGCCCCTCTAGCTGATGTTTCACTAGGTTGTGTGCTTCCCAAGTCTGCTATATCTGGGTTCTGAGCTCAGCACAGCACTAGGACTTGCCTAAGAGTTGCAGTCCTTGTGGCCTAGACTGCCTTTCAAGTTTATTTAGAGCCCCAGAGCCCTTTAGCTCATGGTGGTGAGGCTTGCCAAAACTGAGTTTCAATTACTGGGATGGGCAATTCCACCCTAGTTAGGGCTCCTCTAAATGCTCCCTCTGTGAGTGTTAGCTGACTTCTCCCTGGTGCTGACAGCATGAGTTCCAGTGAAAGTCCCACAGTCCCTGCACTCTTCCTTTCTCAGGCACGCAGATTCTCTCTCCTCACCCTGCTGAGGGATGGAGGAGGGATGGTGTTGGCAATAAAACACTGTCTTTCCTACTTTCTTCACTGCCACTTTCAGTAATCTAAAGTTAAAACCAAATACTGTGATCACTAACCTGATTTTTGGTTCTTATGAAGGTGATTTTTGTGTATATAGTTGCTAAATTTAGTGTTCCTGTGGGGAGTACAATTGGTAAAGGCTTCTATTCAGCCATCTTGCACTGATCACTGTCTCTTTTCTCTCCCTGAGTTGAAAAACACCGTTGTCGCTTCACATATCCTAGCTAAGCGTTGGACATTTTTGAATTTTTGTTTTCAAATCATGAAGTCTGTATTCTACTATGCCGTGCTTCTTGTGTGTTTATGAGATTAATTCACGTTGTTTTGTGTATATGCTATTTGCTGTATAGTTTTCTACTGTATGAATGAATATACTTTGACACACTGTTATTAATGACCATTTAAGTTGTTTATTAGTCAGTTATCCCATTGCTATAAAGAAAAACCTAAGACTGGGTAATTTATACATAAAAGAAGTTTAATTGACTCATGGTTCCTCAAGATGTACAAAAAGCATGATGCTGGCATCTGCTTGATTTCTGGAGTGGCCTCAGGAAACTTACAATGATGGTGGAAGGAAAAGGGGAAGCTAGACATCTCATGTGGCAAGATCAGCAAGAGCAAGAGCAAGAGCAAGGAGGGGAGGTGTGACACCCTTTTAAACAAACATATCTCATGAGAACTTGCTCATTATCAGCAGAACCGCTCCAAGGTAGTGGTGTTAAACCATTCATGAGAAACACCTTCATGATCTAATCGCCTCCCACCGGGCCCCACCTCCAAAATTGGGTATTTCAATTCAACATGAGATTTTGGTTGGGACACAAGTCCGAACCATGTCAGTTTGCTTCTATTTTTTTTTTCTATTAAAGATAATGTTGCTACAGAATTATATATATGTGTGTGTGTGTGTGTGTGTGTGTGTGTGTGTGTATGTACATGTACACATTTCTGTTGGGTATATAATTGAGTATAAACTTGCCAGTTGATAGTACATACATGTACTTACGTTTTTACACTAGCCAATCTTTAGTGGATACTTCAGAGCAGGTTTCTCAACCTCAGCCCTATTGAGGTTGAGCCTTGTTGAGAACCACTGGGCCCCTGAGAACCACTAAGCCCAGCTGAGAACCACTGCTCTGGAGTTTATAAAGTGAATTCATAATTACTTTTACCACTTCAAGGAATTTAGAACACTTTAACTCTATTTATTTTTATTTCATATCATGTGCATATTATATATTTTACTATTCTGATATTTAAAACTTAAAATTTTATAATTGATTCAGAAAATCAACATATACTAGATTTTCCCACATTTGTTTTTTTTCTTTCTCTTTATTCATCCTGATATCTCTGTTCTTCTTTCTGTAATCATTTTACTCAGTATGGAGGTTGCAAGTTATATTATGTTTTGATTGTCTAAAAATTTATTTATTTGCCTTTTTGAAATATATTACATTTTTATGGGTATAAAATTCTAGGTTTTCATTTCAATATATTGAATATTTTATTATCTGGTCTTCTGGCTTGCATTGTTTTCGTTGAGAAGCCTTCTGTAAAACCTTTTTCCTCTTTAAAGGTTTTATGTATTTTTGCCCCCTCTGGAACTCTTATAATTTCCATTTGTCTTAAATTTTGAGATATAGTATCCTAATGGGCATACTTTTCTTCTTTATAGATTTAACAGTATACATTATAAATTATGAATATAAAGTTTGATGTTGCTCATGTTTTACTGAAAGTTCTTGGCATTTATTTCTTCTTCATTCTCTTTTCTTCTCTACTTTTGGGACTCCAATTAGACCTATATTAGACCTTGTTCATCATGCATTATATAACTTTCATGCTCTTGTGTTTTTCTTCATTTTCTGGTCTGTTTTCTTTTGATCCATCTTCTGGTTTAATAATCCTCTTTTCAGCCTCAGTATTCTGTTGTCAAATTAATGTATTATGCTCTTAATTATATTTATAATACTTTAAATTTCATAATTTTTTCTTTGATTCATTTCTATGGTTTCAGTTTCTCTGCTGATAATCTCCTATTTGCCACAGAATTTATTGATTTTATTAATATATATGTATCTAATTTAAAGTTTGTATTTAGAAACTTCACTATCTATATCTGCATTTCTCAGAAACCTGGTTGTTTCTGTTTTTTTCTTCTTTATTTTCTATGATTTGACCTTAGTTTCTGTTGTGTAAAGTAACTTTTTAATGTAATGCCATACATATGTTTAAATGTTGTGAGGACAGTTTGTTATTTTTATAGATAATTTATTTTTACTTCTTACAGGCAGAAAAAAATCTATTTTTACTTCTTACAGATGTTTGATTCATTATCAAACATGATTTTCCCTTGAGGTATTTGTGAAATAAAAAGTCAGAGCTTATGGCTCAGAAGCCAATTATAAATTTAATCTGATGAGGGATTGATTGACAGAATAAAGGCTAAGTTTTAATCTTCTTGAAGGTTGGTTCATTCCTGTTTGCTCGTACATACAGAATGTACTCCTTCATGGTCACCACTGTTAATTACCAGGCATCCTCCTCTTTGCTGTGACCTGAACTTCATTTGTGGTCTCTCTAGTGCAATGAAATTCTGGAATCTTTACTCTGCTTCACTTCTCAGTTTCAGCTTCCTGACTGGCTTCTGAGCCACTAGGAACTGGTCTTTTAATGCACAAATGGCTCAAAGAAAATATAATGCTTAGTGTTAAATTTACTTGTTTCTACTTCCTTTCTCTGGGATCTTGGTTTCTACTGTCTTGGTAATTCTTCAGAACCTTCAAATGGATATTTTCTTATCTTGGTCAGGGTTTCTAGTTTTTCTTGTTCAGAGGGTTGGCAAGCGACAAGCTAATGTACAGTTATCAGAAAATCCACTATAACATATTGGAAACCTGGGCAAGTAAATACAAAATAATATAATAAAAACAGGCACTAATATCAGAAAAATACATATATGATTGTCATGTACCTCCTCCCCTTAATCCAAAGGAATTTAATCTCCTACCTCAAAGCACTGTGGGTCAATGCAGAGTAAGGACTGAGGATGTTTATGTTACTGTGAGAAGAGACCAGAACTGGGGGTCAGATGCCTTGACCCAAATCTGACTTTGCCATTCCCAAGCTTCAAGACCTTTAGGAAATCATGTAACTTTTCTATCTGATCTTTCTCACTTGTTAAAAAAAAAAAAAGAAAACAATAGCTACCTTTTCCACAGCTTTACTTTGTGTATAAAGTAAAAATGAGATACTGATATGAGGCTTATATAAACTTTCTAGAATTATAGAAAAAATGTTAATAATGTTAACTTGTATCTTTAGTAGATTGATGTGTTTATTAGAAGATAAACTACACATAATTTCTCCGTATGATTGTGTTGTGCAGCAGAAAGGGCAGAAAGAACTGTGAGAAGAAACAAGATCAGGTTTGTTTTCTGACTCTAAAATTTATATCATCTATAGAACTAAGGCTCTCTTTTTTTACCGTCAGTATTTGAAATTAAATTAATTTTAAGGGCTCAGAGGGAAGAGAACACAGCACCATTGACCCTAAGCACACTGCCTTGAGGCCTAGTTGGTTCCAACCAATCTGAAAACGTCTAAGAGAAGCTAAATTCATGCTCTGGTTCTTTCTTTCCCAATAGTGCTTCTTAGGGAGCGCTTAGTGTTCCACAAAGTCATTGGTTGAAACTCTTGGGAATTTTGGAGCCCTCTTCTGCACTTTAAGGAGTTCTGTGAGATTCCTGGTAAGTGGGAAATCACAAATCTCCATGGATTTGAATGATTCTTATGTATTTACTGCTTTGGCCACATTTTATGATTTTAAGTTATATGAAGCTTATATAAAACTTTATTAGTGTTGTTATCAATGAATTTTATTAATTTTCCTGATAATGCGGTGTCTTCAGTACTAGCAGGAAGCAATAGTGGTGCTTCTATTGTTGATGTATTGAGCAAATCGTAAGTTATTTCTACATGTGCCGGGGTGAATGAAAGATCCATTTCGGAAAGAATCAATCACTGGATAAGTTCAAAAGCAAAGAGTATATGAAGGCATTTACATTGGGAAATCACTGAGAAGATGAAGAATTACAGATGGCTTAAGTGCCTTCTGTGAGGGAACAGGCATTGTCCCTCCCTTCCCATTTCCCCACAAGAGAGTTCCATGAGAGCAGAAAAAGCTAGAGAGAGAAAATGTAGTGCTTGTGAATAATGCAGAGAGGATGACAAGCTTAAATCTGGTGATGACAGAAACCCACAACATTTATTTCAGATGCTTCTGGCTGGCCAGTTTATTGTAAAACTCTGTATTATTTTATTTATGTATGTATAGTGAAAAGTTATCCTCCTTCATTCCCTTCTTGGCAAACTAGTTACAATGCTAATTTTATTACATCATAGTTATAAATATAATCCTGCATATTTTGAATATAGTTATGAAAACTCACCATTTCTTATCATCTGCATAAAGAAAATAAAAGCAAGTAACATAAAGTAAAAATATAAGTAAATGTGTAGGTAAGATAATTATAGAATATTTAATAGATTGAAAAGGTTAACATATGAATACCTCTATAACATGCATGTGGGGGAAACTTCAGAAAAAAATAAGTGGCAAAAAATTGGAACAGAAGTGAGATGCTGTCCTCCCTCCTCATACCCCAGCAGTGAGATGCTGTCCTCCCTCCTCACATTGCAGCAGTGAGATGCGATGCTCCCTCCTCACATCCCAGCAGTGAGATGCTGTCATTCCTCCTCACATCCCAGGATTGAGATGTGGTGCTCCCTCTGCACACCCCAGGAGTGAGATGCTGTCCCCCCTCCTCACACCCCAGCAGTGAGATGCTGTCCCCCCTCCTCACATCCCAGGAGTGAGAGACTGTCCTCCCTCCTCACATCCCAATACTATGATGCTGTGCTCCCTCCTCACATTCTAGTAGTGAGATGCGGTTCTCCCTCCTCACATGCCAGTAGTGAGACGCTGTCCTCTGTCCCTCACATCCTAGTAGTGAGATGCTGTCCTCCCTCCTCACATCCCACTAGTGAGATGCTGTCCTCCCTCCTTGCATCCTAGTAGTGAGATGGTGTCCTCTCTCCTCACATCCCAGTACTATGATGCGGTCCTCCCTCCTCACATCCTAGTAGTGAGATGCTGTCCTCCCTCCTCACATCCCAGTACTATGATGCTGTCCTCCCTCCTCACATTCTAGTAGTGAGATGCTGTCCTCCCTCCTCATATCCCAGTACTATGATGCTGTCCTCCCTCCTCACATTCTAGTAGTGAGATGTGGTCCTCCCTTCTTATATGCCAGTGGTGAGACACTGTCCTCTCTCCTCACATCTAGTAGTGAGGTGTGGTCTTCCCTCCTCATATGCCAGTAGTGAGATGCTGTCCTCCCTCCCTCACATCCTAGTAGTGAGATGCTGTCCTCCCTCATCACACCCCAGCAGTGAGATGCTGTCCTCCCTTCTCACATCCCAGTACTATGATGCTGTCCTCCTTCTTCACATTCTAGTAGTGAGATGATATCCTCCCTTCTCACATCCCAGTAGTGAGATGCTTTCCCCGCTTTTCATATCCCACCATTAAAATGGTGTCCTCTCTCTTTACATCCCAGCAGTGAGATGCTGTCCTCTGTCACACCTGGTAACTGAGAGGCTGTCTTTGCTGTTTTACTTGCTTCTACCTGCACCTTCCTATGTGCCGTGTGTAGAGTGGCCAAAATTAAATTCTCATGTATGGATCCCCCATTCACCTTTTGAAAGCACTTCATGTATTTCATTGTGTGTGAGTTAAAATAAATAAACAATGCTTCATATGCCCTTTGAGGCCCTGCATGACTAGAACAAGACTGTCTTTCTACATCCAACTCCTGACACTTCCTTACTTTTCTTTATAATGTCCAGCCATGGTGGCCCCTTTTCTCTTCTGAGAACATTGTCATGTGCTGTTCCCACTCCTGAACTAACATCCCCCCTTCACCTCCCTCACCTATACCCTTCCTGCCCATCTCAGCCTACATATTACCTTGGAGACCACTGTCACTAATTTCAGACTCAATCTTTCTGCATCCTAGGTATTTGTTTGAATAGCTGCATATTGTTTTCAATTACAGAACTTATCACAATTTACAGTTAAAATTTACTTGTTCTTTTATTTGGTTAACGTTTGTATTTTCTGAAGCCAAAATAATAGTAATACTTTTATTCATAAAGGTGGTTGCACTGTTTGTCACAAAATCCAGAATATAATTTGTGAAATAATTGTTTGAAAGGATACATGACCTATAGTCCTCAATAATGATATACTAAGCTCCTCAATAGAATACAGTGAAAATAAAGAAAAGGTATTTATAGTATGTTGCCATATTTTTCCTTTTGGTTATAATCTAAATTATCTTTAATTCTCAGAATAAAATCAGTACCTTTTGCCTCTGTGTGTATGTGTGTGTAATTCAATGTGCCTTTTTGTGCATTTGAATCTTATAAACATCTGTGGGAGTAGAAAGGGATAATCATGCCCATTATATAGGTGTCTAAAATCCAATTTTTACTATGTATTTTTTGAGTAATTTTCTTCACATCAATGACTTTTTTTTATTAAATACTGGCCATTGTTTAATTCGTCTTCTTCTTCCAACACAAGTGCAATATTCTAAGTGCCTTAATAAATAAGGAAGTCGGATTTTCCGTGCAGCCTCTGCAATGCCTGGGACCCTAGAAGCTTTCTCACCTCTACAGAAAGAAGGACATTTCTACTTCTGTACAGAGTTGTAAAAAATGAATATAATATGGCAATTATACTGCTTGGCAGAGGAATCATTATATTATTCTTTTGTTTTGTTTCTGAAATGTTGAGTAATTTTCTTTATAGCAGTGACCTGTTTTTGATTAATACTGGTCATTGTTTAATTCATCTTTTTCTTCTGACATAAGTGCAATATTCTAAATGCCTTAACAAATAAGGAAATAGGATTTCCCATGCAGCCTCCACAATGCCTGGGATCCTAGAAGTGTATAACATTTCAAAAACAAAACAAAACAATACAAAAGAATAATATAATGATCACTCTGCCAAGCACTATAATTGCCACATCACATTCATTTTTTACAACTATGCACAGAAGTAGAAAGGTCCTTTCTGTAGAGGTGAGAAAACTTGAAGCTCAGAGAAATTAGGGAAATTGCCTGTAGCCATATAAATGATATTTGTAAGTGTTAGAATTTGAATCCAACTGCCTGTGACTTAGTCCAAAGCTCATGCTTGTTCCAATAAGCAATATAATGTTAGGACTGTGAGGATAAACTTCGATGTCTCCAAATCATTCAAATAAAAGAAATGCATTTACATTGAATCAAGAATATTTATATCTTACAAAACACTCCATTTCCATATGTACTATGATACTAGACTGTTTTTAGAAACTAGTGCCTACTAGTTCCTTCATATTAAAAGTGGATGAGAAGAATATTTTCTTCAGATCAGTTCTGATGTGATTTCAAACAAGCTTGAAACAAGGTGACCAGACAGTGCTTTCAGTTGACCTGTCTTTATCTTTCTATAGGTACAAAAACTGGCCTCCAAAGGACTGCTTGTATTACCAGGGCCTGGATGTGATCTGACAGATTTATAAGTGAACAAAAGTTCAAAAAGTGCTTCTTGAAAGTATATATAAACAAAAAAACTTATTACTCATTTAATGTTTAAGAATATATTTTACTGTTTTCTGTCATTGTATTGAACTTGTATCAAATGAATGACATGACTCCTTATTCAAATATTTTCCCATATTGATTAAAAAAGAAATGTAGCTGGTTGCAATGTATTAATCCCTTTTAGTATGGAACTTTTAAATATCAAGGAAACCAATAACAGGAATGTCATTTTGTTTCTACCTTGTCTGATAATATACCACCTTATTAAGAAAATATTCCTTATTCAGGCCGGATGCAGTGGCTCACGCCTGTAATCCCAGCACTTTGGGAAGCTGAGGCGGGTAGATCACCTGAGATCAGGAGTTCGAGACCATCTGGCCAACGTGGTAGAACCCCGTCTTTACTAAAAATACAAAAATTAGACAGGACATGTCTGTAGTCCCAGCTACTCGGGAAGTTGAGGCAGGAAAATCACTTGAACCCAGCAGGAGGAGGTTGCAGTGAGCCAAGATCACACCACTGCCCTGGGTGACAAGAGTGAAACTCCATCTCAAAAGAAAAAACAAAAACAAACAAAAAAATTATCTATTCAATTCAGGAAATAATATTTCATAGGATGTCATTTTATATCAAGTACTGTGTTAGCCGTGTTCCTATGTAACAAAGAAATGTATTATAGCAGATACACCTATAACAAAGGAACCACAGAAGGTAACGATGCATCAGCAGAAAGCAGTACTGATTCTGACTGTGAATGAGACTTCCTGAAAGAAATACATGGCTACTCTATCTATTTATTTGAAATACTTAATTGAAAAACAAAAAGTGAAGACATTCAAAGTGCACAATGCGATGATTTGATATAGGTATACATTGTGTAATGGTTATCACAGTCAAGTTAATGTACACATCCATCATCATCCCTGCTGTACCTTACACCCCCAGGACTTGTTCGTCTTATAACTTGTTCTCAAATTTGTACACTTTGACCAACATCCCCCCATTTCCTCCCACCATCATGATCAGATATCTCCTCACACCAGTTAGGATGGCTATTATGAAAAAACAACAGGAGATAACAAGATTCACAAAGGTGTGGAGAAAATGGAACCTTTGTACCTCATTGGTGGGAATATAAACTGGTGGAGCCATTATGGAAAATACTATGGAGGCTCCTCAAAAAAAGTTAAAGTTAGAGCTCTCATGAGATGGAGCAATTCCACTTCTGAATATATATCCAAAGGGAATGAATGAAATCAGTGTGTTGAAGTGATATCTGCACCCTCATGTTTATTGCAGCACTATTCACAATAGCCAAGTCAAGGAATTGATATGGTTTGGATTTGTGTCCCCACCCAAATCTCATGTCCAGTTGTTATCCCCAGTGTTGGAGAAGTGGCCTGGTGGGAGGTGATTGGATCATGAGGGTGGATTTCCCCCTTGCTGTTCTTGTAGTAGTGAGTGATTTCTCACAAAATCTTGTTGTTTAAAAGTGAGTAGCACCTCCCACTTTGCTCTCTTCCTACTGCTCCACCCATGTGCCTGTTTCCTCTTTAGCTTCTTTCATGATTATGTTTTCTGAAGCCTCCCGGTCATTCTTCCTGTACAACCTGTGGAACTGTGCATCAATTAAACCTCTTTTCTTTATAAATCACCCAGTCTCAGGTAGTTCTTTATAGCAATGCAAGAATGGACTAATACAGGAATCAACCTAGGTATGCATGGATGTATGACATAATAAAATTGTGGTATATATAAGCACAATAGAATATTATACAGGTTTCAAAAAGAAGGAAATCCTGTTCTTTGGGACAACATAGGTGAACCTAAAATAAGCCAGACACAGAAAGGCTGCTCCATCTTAACTGCACAAAACTGGAGCATGGAAGGGCATGAGCCCAGGAATGGGAACAACTGAGCATGGGAATTTGCTGAGATCACAGTCTGTTCATACAATGGTGGGAACTCAGGCTGGAAGAAGAACTAGGAATAAGATTGTGAAGGGCCTGGAGAGTCCTGATGGGGATTCTCAAACACAGTCAAGTTTGAGAACCACTGCTTTTCTCAAACACAGATATCTTCTGTTTTTGTTCACTCTGGGCACGAGCATGCTGCAGGCAGAGAGCATTTGTCAGGTTTCACTTTCTTTTGGGTACTCTTGTCAGGACGTTGCTGCATATTCATTGCCCTAACAACCCTATGAATTAGGTGCTGCTATTACGCCAGCTTTAATGATGAGGAAACTGGCAGCGGGTGCAACTTGTATAAGTGACAGAATGGTTGTGGGTAGGGCCAGGACTTACATCTAGGCTTTCAGTGGCCATGATACCCATGTGCCTGGTGAGCCTGGGTTTCCCAAGGTTGGTCTGAGCCCACATCATACAATGAGGTCTGGTTTTTCTCAAGCAGTTTATAGAATACTGGTTCAATTACAGTCATGGTAAAGTGGCTCCATATTAAAAAAAAATACCTGTTTGTGATAATACAGAATTCTAGACCCTCCTCAATAAAGTGCTTGTGAAATCTCTTAGCTGAATTTAAATAAGAAAGAAAATGATCTCTATTCTGATTGTTCTGACCAGAATTTATTTTTCACATCTTCTGATCTTGTTTTCCTGCAACAATAGACTACTCATGTTTTCTAAGTTTTGGGTTTCAGAGCCCCTTTGTATTCTTAAAATATTAATGAGTTTTCCAAAAGAGCTTTTGTTTATAAATGTTATGTCTATTTATATATTCCATATTATAAATATAACATGCACACAAAATCACATTTGTGAATATGATCTCCAATCTCATACGAAGTATGGCTTAAGTATTAAGAAGCAGCCAAACTCAAAGTGTCAGCTGTAACTTTCCCAAAACTCTAATTTTCACTTGAAAGCTCAGATTTTATCATTGAAAACATGTATTATCAGCTGTTTCCCTTGGTGCTAATGGCTTACTTTATACATTTTAAAGAAAAAATCTGCCAAATATTTATGTTTAAATAACCATAGTTTGTCTGCCCTTCTTTCAAATATAAAAGGTGGTTTCTGGAAAAAATGGCTTGTACAATTTGCAACTCAAGTAATCACACAACTGACTTATCTTGAGATAATCACTGAATTTCTCATTTTAACAGGTAAAATATTTTTAAAAGGATGAATACTAAAGGGTTGAGATTTGATAATTGTGATAGTTAATAAAGTGTCAAATTGATTGTATTGAAGGATGCAAAGTACTGTTCCTGGGTGTGTCTGTGAGGGTGTTGCTAGAGGAGATGAACATTTGAGTCAGTGGACTGGGAGAGGCTGGCCCACCCTTAATCTGGGTGGACACTATCCCCTCAGCTGCCAGCGTGGCTAGGAAAAGCAGGCAGAAGAAGGGGAAAAGAGTGGACTCGCTGAGTCTTCCCGCCTTTACCTTTCTCCCATGCTGGATGCTTCCTGCCCTAGAACATCAGGCTGCAAGTTCTTGTCTTTAGACTCTTGGACTTACAGCAGTGGTTTGCCAGGGGCTCTCAGGCCTTCCACCACAGACTGAAGGCTGCACTGTTGGCTGCCCTACTTTTGAGGTTTTGGGACTCAGACTGAGTCACTACTGGCTTCCTTGCTCCTCAACTTGCAGACTGCCTATCTTGGGACTTCACCTTGTTATCATGTGAGTCAATTCTCCTTAATAAACTCCTTAATAAATGTGCATGTGAATTCTATTAGTTCTATTAGTTCTGTCCCTCTAGAGAGCCCTAGTACATTAATTGTAATAATTTTTGATGCATTCGTTAAGTATAACTTATTTGTTTTCTTTAGTGGGAGTATGTGGTGGGGAGGAATATAACTGCTGCCTACAGAGTTTTGTGCCATTGCCTTGATCCATAAGCCACCATTGCTTTTTGCATCATCAATAAAAACATCAACACAATTCTGGGATAAACCAAGGTATCTCAAAATGGTTATTTGATACTTGGAATATTTCAGCACCACTTGATGTTTTTGTTAGGCACTCACATGGTAGAAAATATTTCCCGATGATTGTTTCTCATATTGGACCAATGCAAGCAAAATAACAAGTCCCGCCACATGTACACATTGAGCCATTTGTAAGGCAAAGGGAAATTCTGTTGACGAGATATTACCCTGAGACTTTGGGTTTTCAGCAAAATGCTTGAATCAACAAGTTACTGTATGGTGGGAAAGTGGCCCTGGTTCTTATGTTGCATTTTCATCCAGCAGGCATTCAGCAGTGTGCCTCAGCTATTGCATGTGGTCCTTCAGCCAAAACAATGCAATAGCTCACCTTGGAAAATGCTGCCCTCGCTTTCTTATTTGTGGTATGCAAGTCTGTAACAAATAATTATTCATGGATCTGAAAGAGTTCATCATAGCTCTGGTTAGCATATTCAACTTCCTTTTCTTTATTCTTTGATTGATTGATCTCAAAGTGATGCTACGACTTACCTGGTACCATAACATTATTCAAAAGGTTCCATTGCATAAGATTATAGTAAATTATTAACATTTATAATGCCAGCAGAAAATAGCTTTCATCATATTTCAATTTCTTATATATAGTTTTACCCATTTTTTAGTAGAGTATGTCCTTTAATAAGTTAGAGAACTCTCTGATAAGTCAACTCTGAAGAGTCTCTTTAGACATAGATGATAGAAGTATTATAATCCCTTCTAAAGCCAATGCTGAATCCTTGAATAGAATACAAATTAATTATCTTGTATTTTACAATAATACATTACTAGGTTCTAAAATAAATAATAGTATAAATAAACTTAAAAAATTTAAATATGTTTTCCAAAAAGTTATATTGCAAAATGAGACAAAAATTATACTTGCTTCTTGTGTTTCTCCGTACAACTAAGAAAAATCACCAGATTTGGGAAAATTACGTACTGAACAGTAATGAGGCTAAAGAAAATTTAGCAGGTATAAACAAAGATAGAAAGAACAAGATGGTAGGAGTACTGAGAACAAACTAGTTAATCTCTGACACTGAACGTAAGAATACTCTAAATGTAATACATTAGAATGCTCTAGAATACACATGAATACACAGACACACATTCTGTTATCAGACTGATGATGACATCACATGATGTATCCTCCAGCGAACTCAAGTCTAACTACAACAGAATGAAAGTGGAAAAGGCAAATAATGTCATTGAATTCTTTTTGCTTTGATGTTGCATACTGCCTGGAAGAGACACAGGATCTCTCTGGGGTCTTCAGGTCCCATTCTGAAGACCTCTCATTTTCCACTATTTTTGATTACTTCTCCTTAGAGGTAAGTGTGTCAATCTCCTTTTCCTGGGAATGGTAGAGTACAACATGAAAACAAAATTCACCTATTAAGCAGGACACATATTTTGTGACATTTTCTGTGTAGCACTCATAAAACTCTCTGTCAAGGAAGAGAGGTTTCAGGGCCATGGGATCTTCTTCCTAAAGGGACATAATAATTCAACTGCCCTAATTTTATAGATAATGAAAGTGAGTGCCAAAAAAGAAATTAATATTTAAAAATCACGGCCAGCTGGATGAGGAGGTGAAACAATTGGCCCAGTTTTACTTTTGTCTTGCTTGTATTAATTGTAGTATTAAACATATTTCAAAGTACATTCATGATTCTACCTAGAGTATAGTTTATTTAGTGTTCCCTTAGGGTACATATGCAATGAACTACAATTTAACTATCTATCTCCCAAAACACTCCATTAGCCATGCACAGAAACACTGTTTGACCTAAACTTAAAAAGTAAAATAAAATCCTCAGCTTCTACTTCAATTAACCGTTGACCCTGTTGTACATATGATAGAACAATAGCAGGATTCGACTTGATGCATCTTTCTAACCTCAGGATTTAGTTGACTGCAGAGGAGGAAGTCCTCACCTTTCTTTTATGACCTAGTCCTATTTAATTACCCCTACTCCTGAATACATTTTCTCTGTTATTACTCATTATCACTACACCATACTAATTTACTGGCTGCTCAGAATAATCAAAAGTCTTTAGCATGCATACTCTGACCACCAAGAAACTCTCACTTTGCAGAAAATTCTTCCTGGATGGTAGAGAATGTCCTAGCAACCAAAACATGGTACTTTTTGGTACCACTTCATTTAGCCAGGTCCACCACTCCTCCCTGTTGCTGAGCTCTGCCTTTCTTTCCCCAAAATATCCTAATGACTAAATAAGACATGCATGTAAAATCCTTAGCACGATGCCTGGCAAACGCTAAGTACACAATTTTTGTGCACTATTACTGCCTCATTTTTGTGAAGATGTAAAGGTTACTGTTCTTATCTCTCCATGGAGTTGGCACAATTTCTGTGTGATGTCTACAGAAGGGGTTTTATGTTTTCTGTGTCATAACTTCGCCACCCTGGACATATCTTTATCTACTCTTCCTGTTACCTGGTATCACACACCTTAGATTAATATTTAAGTATAAGTACATATGCTTAATGTCACACATCTGACATATTGTGTTCAGAATTTATATTAAGCTATAAATATCACCTCTGAGAAATCACAGTATTCTGAAAATCTATTAAAACATTCACATCATAATATCCAAATTGTGTAGTATTTGTTTTTCCCAGTTATGAAAAGTGTTCCTCAATGCATGCAACTGAGATACATTTAAATCAAAAATTCAATCATAAATATTTAATAATAACAATACATGGATGAAACAATTGCTTGTCCATTTGGATTTGTAAACCATTTTGAGGAATACCATCTAATGAGGATCTATACTTTAATTGCATCTTACTAAACCAGGACTTCTGAACTCGGCTGAGTTACAAATCATTATACTCTTGTTTTGAAAGACTTTCATTGCTGCCAACAAATCCTTGTCATAAATAAGATAAACTAGAAAGTAAATTTTTCCAGGACAACATCCTCTTATGACATTCAGAATAGATTTAGTTGTTTTATGATAAATGTTGAAGTAAATACCATTAAATAGTCCAGTTTTCTGTAGTTTCAAATTCACTACATGAATATTTCTTTTGTTCCTTTTCAACAATGAAACAGAATCCCTGCAGTAGAGTCATGCACTAGTACTGAACAAGAAATGTTTTGGCAAAGACGAAGGCATGCTATATGATGGAGAATATAGTATTTTACCAGGTGAATGGCTTTGCTGAGAGGTCAGTTCATCAAACTTCCACTCCAGTGGGCCACCTGTCAAGTCATTCTGAGCTACAGAAGTTGGGCATCCCTTAGCTGGTTCAGATGCCTCCGGTGGTTCCACGTCACTGGAGAGAAGAGTGCTAAAGCTCTGGATAGGAAGAAGGACAGGCCCCTTTGTATGTTCCAACTAAGGAGATACTCTCCTCAAGCACAAGCTTTGTGGCTCCAAGGAGTGACAAACCCATATCCCCTCTTTCATCTCATGCCCAGGTGACCAGGTGCCTGGAGGTGGGCTGGTCTCCTTTTTGCCAAAGACATGCAGGATGTTCCAAAAGATCCAGTCTAAACCCAGCCAACCATGAGTCATGTGCACTCTCTCTGTGACACTGGGAAAGTCACCTATCCTTCTCAATTTCTTTCTTACAGAGGAAAAATATCTCCACTTTAGAGTTGTTGGGGTGGACTCTCTGCTGCCCCCGGTGGAGAGAAGCTGAACTGCTCCTATGTCTCCCTCACTCTTGTGCCAACCCTAAGGAGGCGCTAAGAAGTCTGGAGCTCTAAAAAGCGCTCACAGAAAACAAAGAAATAAAACTGCAAGCTTTTCCATGGAGATGCTCCTTTTGACGTTTCCAGACCTAGCACAGGGCATCCTGCATACTTCCACTACCTGTAGTCACGGGACCTGTGTCCAGGGAGGCACCGAGGGAAGAGAACACAGAGATGAAGGATTCCAACAACTTTTTCCCTGAATTATCATTTAATTCTTACTTCTGTTCTGTGATGGCTGGTCCCATCATCCTCATTCCATAGATGAGGAAATAGAGGTTAAAGAATTCTTCACCTCCCCAGCGACTTCTCTACTGAGGAGAGAGCAATGAGTTACAGAGAGGAACAGTGCTGCTTTGCTGTGGGGTCTCCCCAACTCCTTTCTCATGTCCCCTGGTCATGGCAGGTAAATGGGAGAGAAACCCACAGCCATGGCACTCCTGTCACCACGGTACCCCATGCAGGGAAAGCCAAGTGGCTACAGGTCGCCCGGAGTAGTAGGAGGAGTAAATAATCTGATATCAAGTGCTTTCTTATAGTCTGTTAAACAATTGTTGAATCTATGTTTTCCAGCAGAAGTACGTGCTTTTAAGCCGTGGTTTTTCCAGGAAGTGCTGACATTAACGTATATGACTATGTGTTTTATTCTTACACACAAACACACATAGCAATATCGATCTATTAATAATTGAAGGAGATTTGAAAAAAAAAGTCCAGATTCCATCCTACTGTCCAGTTTGATTTAAATGTGAATTCCAAAAAGCTAACATCATAACCAGACTAAAATAATAACCTCTTGCTTTATGTAAACTTTGAACAGATGACACATTGAATACCTGTGACTCAGAAATTTTTAATTTAAACTCTATGTTGTAAATTCAGCTTCCTAATAGGCCTTTGTGCCTCTACAGTGGTTTAAGGTGACTCACATCTTTCCCATAAATTATTTCAATTCAAACTCTCAAAAAATTCATTAAGTAGTGAAGGTAGGTGTTCGGTTTGTGTTGCTTTAAATAAAGACACTGAGGTTTTGGGAGGAAAATGTGGCCGTAACTTTTCATGCTGAATTTAGAGTCCAGGTTAACATATTTTCTACTAAAGCATGATGTATAGATGAGATAATCTGACTGAAATTAAGATTAGGCAGTTTGCTCTTTAAGTTTAATAGTTACAAGTTTTGTAGTTCACTAGAGGAATCGTGTCACTAATAAAAATATAAATTGAAAGAAATCAAATTGTATCATATAAAATATTTAAAATATAATTACTACTTTCAGTCTCTATTGTTTTGGGAACCCATTTGCTGTCAATGGTGGACAGCTGTGGGATTTTGCTTATACCAGGGAGTGCCCGTTTCCAGATTTTTCTGTCCTGTTTCCCTCTTTGTGAGCTTTGTGGTGGTGAATCATCCGTGCCTTGCCCCTAGTAGACATCATTCCATCATTGCCCAATGCGGAGCTCTGGGGTTAATGAGCAAACTCCACGTGCGAGACTCTGCTGCAAGCGCTCCAGGTGTATGCACTCATTTGATCCCCACGCAAAACAACCCTATGAGGTAGGCGCTATTATCATCATATTTTACAGATGAGGGTCTTGGTTGAGGTTAATTAAGAAGCTGAAGTTACATGACCAGTTAGTGGCAGGACGTGGTTAGAGCCCAGGTGTTCTGGATCCCCATCTCTTGCCATTAACGTCAGTGCCACACAGCCTGGCCTGTCACAGTGCCAGGGCGAGCTGTTGCATACACCCACAAAGGCGCTACACTTGCAGAATGACCCAGTTGCTCTTGTTCATTCTGAAAATAGTTTCAAAGTCAAACTACTTGTTCTGAAACCATTTATATTGATTTTGATCATATAATTTAATTTTGTAATTTGTAAATAGACAGGTTCAAATTAAGAAAGGCATTATCTTATTCAATTATGCCATGTTTAATAAAGAATACTCTGCCCAATTATCAAAGTAATGAGAGAGAAGATGAATTAGTTTGTCCACTTTCCCAGTGGGGCACAGTTGAGGAGTAAAACCTCAGTGGGTAGAGAGGGGCAACTAATCTCCTGTGGCCACTGTGTTATAGGGCATGATACTGTGCCTCCCTCCCTCAAGAAGCCTAGTGTCCAGCCGCTGGGAAGCCAGGCATCTGAAGTTGAATAACACTGTGGGACAGCAGGTGAGGGGGAAACAACCTCTGAGGGAGAACGGCGCAGAACAGAAGTGCGCTTCACAATGAAGGCAGAGCCCATGGAGTCTGTAGCAGGCAGAGGCCTTCGTGAAGATGCAGGCTGCAAACTGGGCTTCCAAGGTCCGTGAGTGCTGAGAGGAGGGTGAAGCCTGCCTGGCAGGGAGAGAAGCAAGGACAGAGGCGTGGATTGTTGGGGTAATGCATAGTGATTGGAAGATGTATAGAGATGGCTTCACAGAGAAAGGCAGGACCTAGGAGAGAAGTTCAAGATGAGATTAAAGGGTAAACGGGAGCCCAGTTCAGGAGGAACTTGAATAGTAGACTGGGTGAATGTTATTTTTTGAACTTTTAGAAAAAGAGGAGAACACAAATAGTTCTTGCATACCTCCTATGAGACAGTCATGGTACTTAGTGTTAGAAATACAGTCTCATTTAATTTTCATAAATCTTTAAACAGAGAGGTTTATTGCCATTTTACAAAAAAAGGGAACTGAGGTGGAAAGATGAGAATTAATGTGCCCCCAGTTCTTGCCAATTGGTACAAGCCATACATTGTGAGCTCCACTTTGCCTTTTTACACTGATGGAAGTTGAGACACTTCATCTGTGACTTTGGGAAGATGTGTGTTGGTTCAACAAGTACCTTGGAAATGTGACCAGACAAGAACCAACACATTTGGTGGCTGAATTCTAAACACATTTTCCAGGAATTTTGCTGATATACAATTTGAAAGAGGCCTTTGAAAATACGGAGTTGTTTCATTGCCTCTTACTTCTGTAAGAGTAGGGCGTTCCTCTGGCAGGCTTCCAAATGGAATGCATTTTAAATCACTGCCACTGGCTGACTTCAATAATGCCTCAGGGAAAGAAACTGGAGACCAAAATTCTACTCTATAATTAGTTCAAACTCTTCTGACAAGTTATCTTTCCATAATAAATCAGAGAAAGCTGGAAGCATGATAAATTTAATTATAATTGATTGTGTGAGTATTGTCATTCATTTGCATATTGACCATGTCCCATGGAATAATTTTTCTTACCTACTTAAGTGTTAAGACCGAGGAAGAGTCAAATTATGGAAACATCTGCCCATAATTAAAAGGGAAGCTGCTCTTTGGGACAAGGTCTGCTATGTAAAGTCAACTTCTACCAGGCACTTATCTCTATCACTGTACATTGTCCACATAATTAGAAACAACCTGATTCTCTCAGCTTGGAGGGCTTGTCGAACAAGTGGGAGTATTTCCAGCAGATTGAAGGTAGAACCTACTGCTAACTGCTTAGTGAGGGAGTAAAGAAGTGACCCTGAGGTCACACCCTGGAGATACAAGTGCCCCACTCGCCTTGGTGCTGATGGGTTCTCTTGCTCAGTTGGGCCATAGGGGATCCATACTCTCTGTCTCTTCAGTCCCCGTGGCACAGTCCAGTTCCGAGCAGGGCTGTTTCCCTGAGTATGGAGTTATCAGGACCCGGGACTCGAAGCATTCTCACACCTGGGGATGCAGAGAGCTGCTCCTGAGCATTCTCCCAGGGGAGCAATGGGAACTTCCCATGAAGCCAGTGGGAAACTTCTCTTTATATTTCATTGGCCCAGATGCTGCTAGGTCTCCCATCCAGATCTCAACACTGGCAATGAGAATGGACTAAATCTTGTTGTTTAGATTATTTGGGGGGACACACCTACAAAGGGTTGTGAGTTATTGAATCAATATTTGAAAAAATATCTAGAACAAAATAAGGGTGGTAGAAGGGTTGCTAAATGAGTGAATGGTGAATAATGAATGTGTGGATAGAACCTGCTTCTGATAAATTACCTGAATATAAAGACCACTTGAATAAAATTAGAACTGGTAGGAGGAACTACTTAAGAAATAGATAGGTACTCAGTAGGCAATAAATTACATGTATATGCATGTGCCTGTCTCTATATGCGTGTGACTGTGTGAGTTATTAAAGAGAGAAGAAACTAACTAGTGCTATTTATTTAATTGTTTTTGGTGGTGCAAATGGTACGGGAGCCAGAGCTTCATTATCAAAGAATAAAGCAGCACCATCTCCGGCTCCTACCTTTTTATTTAATGGCTCTCTTTCTGGTTGTGAAGGCCTGAGGCTTTGAGGATGAGTTACGAGGGGGAAATAGTTTCTGTGCTTCCAGCTCACTGGAGGCCATTGTCCTGAGTTTTCTAGACCTGAGATGGCTGCTTAGAGCTGAGGCAGCAGAAGTGACTGACTCAGGATAGGAGAGAAGGCTGTCTCTGAACTTAGGGCATGAGAAGGATGGGAGATTCTGAAAGTTCTGGGATGCATTGAGTTGATGTGCACTGTGATCGAATGCACAAAATCAGGAGGCTGAACTCAAAGGTGTTTGATAAAAACCCATGGTTGCCACAGAGAAGGGAAACCCTTGATTCTAATGGAGCACACACGCTCCATCTCTGTCTGCAGCTCTAAGAGGACATTGTGAACTTAGTTGAGATCATTGCCGAGGCCGGCTTATGGCAGCACAGACCAGCAGGATCTTGTACAACCTGCACGGGGAGGGAGCAGTGAGTATACAACAGGAATAGTGATTGAGACTGGATTTCCCAATTCCTAGGCAGGCGAGGGTCAGAGCAGATTTAACTTAAGTGAAGTAGAAAAAAGCAACTTTTGCCACAGCAAGTGTTGCAAGACAAAATGCACATGTAACTGATTTTATTCTTAATCCAGTACACCATGCTCGGCACTAGAAACGACAGTGTTCCATGATTGGTTAAGTGCACTCCCAACACTCATCTTCTGACGATCAAATTAACACTAATGGCACCATACTTTAGAAATGACTATTCCTTTTTTGATATGGTTTGGCTGTGTCCCCACCCAAATTTCATCTTGAATTGTAACTCCCACAATTCCTGTGTGTCCTGTGAGGACCTGGTGGGAGGTGATTGAATTATGGGGGTGGGTCTTTCCTGCACTGTCCTCTTGATGGTGAGTGAGTCTCATGAGATCTGATGGTTTTAAAAACGGGAGATTTTCTGCACAAGCTCTTTCTCTTTGCCTGCTGCCATCCATGCAAGATGTGACTTGCTCCTCCTTGCCTTCTGCCATGATTATGAGGCCTCCCCAGCCATGTGGAACTGTAAGTCCAATAAACCTGTTTATTTTGTAAATTGCCCAGTCTTGGGTATGTTTTTATCAGCAGCACGAAAATGGACTAATACACTTTTAAAGTAGTACATAGTCTTATTTAGCTTCCAAAACAACATTTAAGGAGAAGTAGGGCAAAAAATATTATACCTATTTTAGGGAGGAGAAAACTGAAACTCTGCTTGAGTGATTTACGCCATTGGCAGTAGTGAGATTTGAGCATGGGTGATTGAATTCCAAGGTTAGTGGTCTTTCTCACTGGCCTATCTACCTCTGTCATATTGTCTTTCCAATTCTATTATAAAACAATAACTGCAGGAATCAAGCTGGGATATCCATTTTTATTACTTGTGTGAGTGTAATGAATGAATGAATGACTTTGTTGCTAATGACTCCCCAGATGGGCCCCTGTCAACCTCTAATAATTGAAATTTACATTTATTGTTGGTGAAATCTAGGTGCTTTCAATACAATGATTGCTTGAGGGAAGAAAGAAAAGCTGACCTCTCTTACCACATAATCTGTTTTTATGGCTGTTTTCTTCATGGCTTCCAGCCCTCTATGCACCTTTTATTTTATCTGAGTAATATTCATTTCAATGAATGGTTCATTTATTATATTATAAAATATTAGATGCTTCTTTCTAGAAGCAACGTTGTCTTACTTTTCCATAGATTTATTAGTGTGAGTATAAATTGCTCTGGAATATATTTTGAGCATCTTTTTTTCATCATTCGCATAAGATGCCAGTAATTTATTCTCTTACATGTAACGAAATGACAAAAGTATTTTTAAAAATTCTCATTCCATGATAATGTGTCATTCAGTGGTCTGTTATGGGAATATCTAATAATTTACAGAAAGGCATCCAGGGTAGATGAAACAAGAAATTAAGTAAAATAAGATAAAACAATTCTCCCACCTCCAACATACACATGCATATCAAAGCTGGTCACTCTGCAGACATAGACAGGTGCAAAGGCTTTTTCTCTAATTGGTAGAATCAGGAATTTAGTCCCATGCCTTGGGACTATATAAGAAATGATCTCGTCATGAGGTGTGGCTTGCTTTGTAAGATTATTATATGCTGCCCTAAAGTAATAGTAGTTTCAAACACTTGTCAGTGTATCTAGGCAATGTCCAAGACATCTAAGCTGATAAACTTGCTCCTGAAACAAGAAAATTGTTTAAAATTCCCACTATTTATTATGCATCAGCATAAAATTTTTTTTTAGAATATGTGGTGAAGAGAGAGTAGGATGCAATCAAGCAGTGGATTTGGGGATAGGATGGGGCAACCCTAGATTATGTGTTTTCTTCTCCTGGGGTCTCAGTGCTAGTGTTTCTTTTCTGTGAATTTCCTGACACTTGTCTGTGTCTGGTATATTTTAGTGCCCTGAGAGTTCACATAACTTATCTCAAATTAAGTGACTTAATTGGTAAGGTGAAGGATTCTGGTGACTTTAATTACCAGTTACAGGATAATGATAGGTTTAAAATTATATTATAGGTTAGAGATATAAAATTATAATTATATAACTATAGATGTAGGATCATATTTCCAGCTTAGATACCTTTATTGAAATATAGACAGAAATATTCAACCATCAACTGGATATCTTTACCCAGATATACTATAAGCACCTCAGTCTCAACATGTCCACAGTGTATCTACTCACTTCCCCACCCAAATAATTCTTCCTTTCATAAGCCCCTCCTGGGATCATAGCATGTCCATTCACCTTGTCTTCCAGGCCTTAAGACAGGAATTTCCAGGGATCTTTGATTCTTCCCCTTTCTTAATAGACATGCCCAGTGTCTGTGGCCAGTGCACTCTACTCTCCTGACCCTTCAGCTGCTCTGTCTCATCTTAGTTCACACTCTCGTTGTCTCCCACTAGGACGATTGCAATGAGCCCCCAACTGTTGCCCCTGCTTCTAGTCTCCTTCTCTGTCACTCTACCCTGACAATGAGTATCTAAAACTCATTCCTGATCATTCTACTCTCCTGTTAAAAACATTTCTCTTAATTTTCAATTAAGTAAAATTTTAGTTTAGGATGGATATAAAATTTTTTTATGATCTAGTCTAAGCCAACCTCCACAGTGTAATCACTGTTTTCCTCCATAAACTCACTTCGGAATTTCCTATACGCTATGCCCCTTATAAAAGTTTTTTTAATTGAGGTATAATTTACATACCACAAAATTTATCACTGTAAAGTGTACATATCAGCTATTTTTAGCACACTCCCAAGGTTGGACTACCATCAGTACAATCTTTTTTTAGAAAAATTTCATCACTCTGCTTTCAAAACAAGCCATGCTCATTAGCAGCCACTCCCTATGTCCCCCTCCTTTTGCCCCTGGCAACAACTAACCTACTCTGTCTTTATAGATTTCACAGAAGTGGAATCATACAATTTGTGGCCTTGTATACCTGGCTTCTTTCACTGAGTGTAATATTTTCAAGGTTTCTTCATGTAGCATGTATCAGTACATCACTCATGTTTATAGCTGAATAATATTCCATTGCATCAATAGAACACATTAAAAAGTGTTTTATTCTTCAGTTGCTGAACATGTGTGTTGTTTTCTTCTTTTGACTATTATAGTAATACTATTATGAACATTTACGTACAGGTTTTTGTCTAAACATATGTTTTCCATTTCTTTGGGTATATACTTAGGAATGGAATTTTAGGGTCATGTGGTAACTCCATGTTTGAGGGTTTGAGGAACTGCCGAATTGTGTTCCATACAGGTTGCATCACTTCAGATTCAGCAATGTAGCCAGCAACATATGAGCATTCTGACTTCTCCACATCCTTCCAAACACTTATTATTTTTCACGTAAAAAATTATTATAGCCCTCCTAGTGGATGTGATGTGAGATGGCATTTTGTTACAGTGTTGATTTGAATTTCCCTAATGACTAACAATGCTGAGCATCTTTCATGAGCCAGCTGTGTATCTTCTATGGAGAAATGTCTATTCAAACCTTTTACCCATTTTAAAGTGTTTAAATAAATTTTATGAATAGACCTTAGTTTTTGTAACAATTTTATGTTGACAGAAAAATTGAGCAGTTAGCAGTTTCCATATTCAATTCCCCTACACATTCTTGCACACAGTATCTCCTATTATAAACGTCTTGCATTAGGACAGTACATTTTTCATACAATATTATAAATCATTAACTAAAAGCCATTATGTATTCAGATTTCTTTAGTTTTTACCTTTTTTTTTCTTTTCCGAGATATAGGACATCATGTTACATTTAATGGTTATTATGTCTCCTTTAGCTTCTCTTGGGTGTGATATTTTCTCAGATTTTCTTTGTATTTGATGACACTGACAGTTTTGAGGAATACTGCTCATGCATATTATGGGATATCCGTCTATATTAGAATTTATCTGATGATTTTCTGATGGTTAGATTGGGATTATGGGCTTTTGGGGGGAAGATTACAGAAGTAAAACACCATTTTTATTGTATCAAGGGTCCATGCTTTAAACATGACTTATAACTGTTAATACTGACGTTGATCACCAGGCCAATGTAGTGTTTATAAGGTTTCTCTTTTGCAAAGTTACTCTATTTATTCCTTCTTTCCATATGGCAGTCTTCGGAAGGAAGTCACTGTTTGCAGCTCAAACTTAATGACTATAGAGTCATGATTCCTCTCCTTCAGACTGGAGTATGTAAACAATTTATTTGAAGCTCCATATTGGAGATCTGCATCTTCTCCCTATTAATTTGGAATATTAGATTGTAGTTTTCTTTTCTTGTAATGTCCTTTGTTCTGGTGTCAGAGTAACACTGGCCTCAAAGAATGAGATAGAAAATGTTCCTTCTGTTTTTTTGTTAGATTTTATGGTGGATTTGTGTTAATATTTCTTAAATATTTGATAGAATTCAGCAGTGAGGTTATCTGGTCCAGCATGCATCTTTTCTTTGTTTCTTGATTAGTCTAGCTGAAAGTTTGTCATTTTAATTTTTTTTCAAAGAACAGAATACACTTTAGGGTTTGTTGATTTTTCCCAGATTTTTAGTTCTCTATGTGGTTAATTTCTGCTCTAATTTTTATTCTTTTCTTTGCTTTCTTTTGGTTTAGTTTGCTTATATTTTTCTAATTTCTTTCTTTCCTTTTTTGTTACTATAGAGACAGGGTTGTGCTCAGTCACCCAGGCTGGAGGGCAATGGCATGATCATAGCTCACTGCAACCTCCACCTCCTGGGCTCAAGTGATCCTCCCACTTCAGCCTCCTGAGCAGCTAGGACTACAGGCATACACCACCACACTTGCTATTTTTTTTTTTTTAATTTTGTTTGTAGAGACTGGACCTCACTATGTTGTCTAGGCTGGTCTTGAAATCCAGGCTTCAAGTGAACCTCCGGCTTTGGCCTCCCAAAGTGCTGGGAATACAGGTGTGAACCATCTCATCTGGGCTTCTAGTTTCTTAAGATGGAAAATTAGGTTGTTGATTTTAGATCCTTCTTTTTTAGTGTAGATGTTTACAGCCAAAAATTTTCCTATGAACACTGCCTTTGCTGAATTTTTTAAGTTCCATTATGTTGTTTCTTTTCATTTTCATTCATCTCAAAGTATTTTCTAATTCCAATTGTGGGACAAGACAGTCTTTTCAAAAAACGGTGTTGAGAAAACTGGATATTCACTTGCAAAAAAATTTGAAATTAGACCCTTATATTATGTACAAAAATAACTCGCAATGGCTAAAATACTTAAAAGACATAAGTCATAATTTCTTCTTTGACCCATTTATTATTTAGGAGCATCTTTTATAGTTTCCACATACATATACATTTTCAAAACCTCCTTTTGTTATTGACTTTTAATTTTAAGCCAGTGTGATCAGAAAACATACTATATATGATTTCAATTTTTTAAAAGTATGATTTCAGTCCTTCAAAATGTGTTGAGTCTTTCTTGTTCATGAAACAACATTACCTTTCCTGCAGACTGCTCCGTGCACGCTTGAGAAGAGTATGTTGGGCGAGTGTTCTATAGATGTTTATTACACCTAGTTGGTTTGTAGTATTGTCCAAGCCTCCAATTTTCTTAGTGATCTTCTGTCTAGTTGTTCTATGCAAGACTGAAAGTGGAATATTGAAGGATGAGAGAAAATACCTACGGAAGGAATTGTTGTGGAAAATCCTCTCCATTCAACCCCCAAGGCTGAGATTCAAACCTTACTGAGGAGAATATACCTGGGGGCCCCAATCCAGCTCTCCCAAAATAACAAGTAGCAACAGCAACAAACCACTATTCACGATCAGTGAAGTGTGTTGAGGTGCCGTGGGACACGGTTGGCCAGTAGGAAACTAACTACGGAGGTACATGGGAAATTCCCTAGAGGTGGTGTGCCTCGGGTAGCCATGCTGTGGGAAGAAGATGAAACTCTACCTCTTGCAGTGACTCTTCAGTGTCCTTAAATATCCTGTCAGCTGGCAAATAATAAATGTTCACAGGTACAGGTCTAGCATAACCAGGAAGAGTGAAAAAAATGTAGCTTTGAGCCAAGGGGCAATCAACTGTTACATGATACAGACTGTTCCTTTAGACTCTCAGCTTCCAGTGCACCCTTCTACACATTTTTGAACTTCTGTACAATAATGTGACTCTGTGTTTCCACCTAAAAAGGGGAAGCCATCCTCCATATAATTGAATAAGCTATCCTTTTTTTCTATCAGGAAGATGCACACAGTTGTAGCAGTCTGTTGGATTCCTTTGTTGGCTATATTAATTACTGGTCAAATTCAGTTACGGCAGCATTAAATATTCTACTACCTAAAAACTATATAAAGTTATTTTGAAACAACTTGTACATAAAATAAAAATGAAGAAGGAAAATGTTTATTAAATATAAATAATATAAATATGCAAATAAACAATAATCCTCAGTTTTGAAATTGGTAACAAGGCTGTAGTTGATAGCTCTTTTTTTTCTCTTTTACTAATCATTTCACATTTCACCTTTCCTTCACCCATAACCAAAGCTGGTCAAGGTTCCCTTTCTAGTGAAGTGGCCCAAATCCTCATCCCTATACGGTACTGATACTCAAAAAGTGCATTTTGATTACTGTAGTTTTATTTTATTACAAATAATATAATATGCAAATAAACTATAATGCTCAGTTTTGAAACTGGTAACATGGTTGTAGTTTATCTTTGTTTTTGTTTTTTTTCTCCTTTACTAATCATTTCACATTCCCTTTTCCTTCAGCCATAACCAAAGCTGGTCAGGGTTCCTTTTCTAGTGGAGTGGCCCAAATCCTGTATAGTATTGATGCTCAAAAATTCTATTTTGATTACTATAGTTTTTCATTAACTTTTAATGTTGAGAATGGGGAGTACTAAGCATTAGCCCTGAGAACCATTATGGGTTCTAGACACAGTCTTCCTTACCCTCCGTTGGTAGCAGCAATGGATTTTTTCCTCAATAATAAGAATCAATTCCTCCACCAGGCAGAGTAATTTCATTTTCTCTCTCTTGGCATAAAAAGATCAAAATGTCCAGATGGCAGTCTCATTTTCCAATGCAGTGAATTCTCACCCTTTAGGAAACAAGACCTCAAAACCAGTAGATCTCTTGGACAAAAAGCAATGCTTTTGCAAGTTGGCTATTAGGAATAATTTTGAAAGGAGATGGACCACCTTCTACACCTTGATCCTTAGACTCGAGTATTCTGCCTCTGGAGGGAGAAAACATCATATAGTGATCTCCAATTCAAAAAAATATGCTACATCTTGTAATACAGAATGTCATTCTCTTTGAGCATTCTGCTCAAACTGGTACCATAACTGAGTCCCTAGTAAACCATCCCACTGCGCAATTAGGCCATCTACTTCCAGGTAATGTGATAAGACCAGTTAATTCTATGCATATAAGCCCATTGCTGTACTTATTGCTGTGAAGTAAGTTGCAGATCAGAAGCATTATTGTGCAGAATACCATGCTGATGGATAAGAATTCTGTAAGTCTATGCATGGTGCTGCTCACAAGGCAAATTGATATTCAGAATGTGTTATTCCAGTGAGGATGTTTATATTATTACTCATATATACATATCTTTATAAATATGAAATTGAATACTCTTTAACTTGTTTTTCCTTTCTTAACATTCTACATGACATTGTTCCATGCAACAAATTGTTGGATATTCTTCATCATATTGAGTGGTTCCAAAGTTTCCCTGTCAGGAATGTCCAGTTTTTGCTTGTGGGAAGTTAGGTGGATTCCGAGTCTTTCATTACAAACAAGGCTGTGATGACAATCTTTGTAAGTCTGTCTTAAGACATTTCCCATAAATGAAGTTACAGGGCCAATGTCTGGCACACTCTTGAGGCTTTTGATTTGATGGTTAAATTATTCTTTGGAAACATTATTCCAGTTTATATTTCCATCTCATTGCCAAATACCTTCACCAGTACTAGGGGAAAAATATCTGTGTTTTTTTGTTTTTATTTTTCCTTTTTTCAATCTTTGTCGGTTTTAGAAGTAAAGCTATCCTGGAATTGTGAAAGATGCTGAGAACATGTATGTATTTAATTAGGAGAGGGAGTGGCCCAGCTGCATGAATGGTGTGAGACATCTCAATCAAGAGATCATAGGAAATAGTTATTGGGCAGTGACATGGCTCTGTGAAATAATGATGCAGTTGGCAGCCATTGCATTGAAAACTTTCTTCTGTGTTAGTGATGGAGCATCTGTCTTTTCTTCAAGGGCCTCCAGTTATTTGTGGAAGTCCTTAGAGGGAACCCCGTGTGTCCTCACCCCGTGTGTCCTCGTAAGCATACAAGTCTGCCTCTTTTCCTTTCTCTCTGGATAATTTCTCAGGGGCCTATGAGCTCTGCCTACAAAGCCTCTGGAAAAACCTCTTGCCTCCCATGCCTCCTGAGAACACTGAAGACCCAGAGTAGGTCTTAGAGCTTCTGGGCATCCAGGTTGAAGGCTGGTGCTGTGTAGAGGCTCAGAGGGAAAAGGGGCCACCTCCAATTCTCAGAGAGGACTTTGAGTGGCCTGGTAGTGCTTTACCTACTGACTTTCAAGTGTTACCAGCATACTATGCAGAACCATTTGTAAACCAGGCTTGAGTCTCTACTTTCTCAGTCAATTGCTTCTAAGGAATTTCCCAAGAAGCCATAGGAATGAATTGAGGGAAAGGAAGCAGGGTACCAGAGTTAATGATGAAGGATTTGGAGCCACCTGCTCATGGAACAAAACTTATTGTGAAAGTTTTTTACAGAAAATTATCGTAACTCATTGATGAAAATTATATAGAATATTCTTCAGTCTAACAGAGAAAAAAAATTCAGTCAATTAAAAAATGAGATAAAGTAGCCTACACAAAACCACTTCTTCTCTTCAAAAATTAATTACCTAAATATGCCCAGTAATTAAATAGAAAATATTATACTTAATTAATCTGAGGCTAGATGAATCATGTAAAAATGAAACATCACTTACATCGAATAAAAGGCTCATTAAGTTCAAACCTTATCTTTAATGGTTAAACCAACCAAAGAAAAAAACTTCAAGGGAAGAAAAGAAGTAACACACCTCTTCCTTTTATGCTGTCCCATGGGTACTGACAGCGCTGTGACCTGGGAACACTTGGAGGATGGGCTGATTCAGAAAGGGGCAAAGGACTGTTGCATATCAAAGGACTGTTTGAAAAGCAATTGAGGATATAATGCTCATCTCATTTTATTGACTTCCCAGGCAACACATGCCCTTCAGCACCAGGTCACAGAAAAAAGAAACGGTTCATCTAGATACCTTCCTAAGTTAGAGAATCATCCACAGCAATTATTAACAACAATTATCCAAGAAGACAGAAATTTACAAGCACTGGATTAGGAAGCAAATGTGACTCTGGTTGAAACTGGAATGAAAACAACGACAAATAAAAGAAACAATAGGGAGATAAAATAAAAAATACAGGAAATCTCAGGTTGGAGAATTGTTCTCTTGACTTCTTTTCATATGATTATATTTTTGTTGGGGAAAGAAGGAGATGGGATGAATCTCTGTTCTTTATAATGTAGGCTATCCAGAGGCTGAATATGTCTACTATCTCCGGTTCAAGAAGTTTGTGGCAAAATTCTCATTTTGTGTACATGAAATAGAGTTAGTACTGATGGTTTCCCGACAAGGAACGTCCACATCTCCCATGGGTACTTTTTTAAGGATGAGATCCTGTGATCCATTCTTGTTTCCTTGCTCTCCCCTTGTTTGGTAAAGAAAGGGCATCTGCATTCTCCTACGGCTGAGAGTTTCTGGTTTTGTTAAGTGGCCTAGGATGCATTCAACTATTGACCACTTCTTAACTCCATTACATTATCTTCACATTTTTGTTTCAATCTCAACAAGAATATATAGCTGACTTTCTCCTGGATCTGATGTAATTGGTTATTAGCATTTTTGTTCTCTCTTGCATGTGCTTTTTCTTTTACTGATGTTTAATCTTCACTGCCATTGTATTTGTCATGAGTTTCTCTCATCTTGTGTAAAAACACTAACTAAAGTCTTAAAGTACACAAAACTATATTTAAGACTGCTATTACCAATGTGATTGTTTTTCTGTAGGTTAAATTACTGGGTTTTTAAAGCAATTAACTTGACCTGAATCTTCAGCCT
Organism: Homo sapiens; assembly: GCF_000001405.40. Taxonomy (NCBI): domain Eukaryota; kingdom Metazoa; phylum Chordata; class Mammalia; order Primates; family Hominidae; genus Homo; species Homo sapiens. The sequence goes on along the minus strand of NC_000005.10, from coordinate 8,893,216 downwards.
CAAAAGCTGTATGTGTGCTATTAATATGTCCATCATCTTATTCCAGGATAGAAGGTACTTCATGTACTGAAGTCTCATTCAGGGTCCATTAACTCCGAGTTCACTGGAGTCAGGCGTGCTGTGCTGAATGTTCCCCTGACAACCTCTATAAGAAAAGGAGGCCCTGAAAAATAATAACAATGCAAATAAAGAGCATTTTCTCCAAGTTAATAATAACATCAAACATATTGTCCTGGCTTCGCTTTTTTAATAGTGTTTCAAATTCCAATGTGAAAGTGTGACACAAAATAGGATATAAGTACCTAAGAGGAATAAAAGCCAAATGTTTACAAAGGATGCATTATATTCTAGGCACCATTCTAGGCCCAGCTTAGGCTGCCATAACAAAATACGTAGACTGGGGGCTTAAGCAACGGAAGTGAATTCTTCCCAGTTCTGGAGGCTGGAAGTTCAGGGTCAGGGTGCTGGTAAGGGCTGTTACTGGTGAGGGCTCTGCTCCTGGTTTGCCAGTACAGCCTTCTCGCTGTGTTTCCATACAGAGGAAGGAGGGAGGTTTGGTCTTTCTGTCTCATCTCAAATCCCATTATCATTAACTCATCACATCTTCTCTTTATAAAGCCCATCGTGGGGGTGCCTATGCTCATGAACTCATCTAATCCTTGTCCTTCCCATGGCCCCTACCTGTAATACCATCACTTTGGGGGTTAGGGCTTCAATGTACGAATTTTGGGAATGTACAATTCAGTCCACAGCATCTTGGCTTCCCTCTAAGGAAGGAGATCTTGTTAAAGGGTACCTCTGAGTAGTTGCCCCAGAGGCTCACAAAATGATGCAGAGTGTGCCAGACAGAGAACACAGAATAGACAAAGCCTGCAGGAAAAGCACATTAAGACATGCCCATTAGCACAGCAGAGGCCCAGGACTGAGCCAGTGGTCCCGAAGAGGGGCATTCAGAGTGGGGTGCCTGGAAAAAGTGTCAGGAGATGAAGCTGAAGGAAGGGTGAACTTTTGAATTAATGCTGAAATGAGTTAAGACTTTGGGGGACTGTTGGGAAGGCATGATTGGTTTTGAAATGTGAAAAGACATGAGATTTGGGAGAGACCAGGGATGGATGATATGGCTTGGCTCTGTGTCCCCACCCAAATATCATCTTGAATTGTAATCCCCTTTTGAGAAAGGGCCCTGTAGTCCCCATGGGTTGAGAGAGGGAGGTGATTTGATCATGGGTGCGGTTTCCCCATGTTGTTCTCATGACAGTGAGTGAGTTCTCACAAGATCTGGTGGTTTTATGTATTTGGAAGTTCCCCCTTCATTCTTCTCCCTCCTGCTGCCTTGTGAAAAAGGTGCTTATTGCCCCGTTGCCTTTTGCCATGATTGTAAGGTTCTTGAGGCCTCCCTAGCCATGTGGAACTGTGAGTCAATTAAAACTCTTTCCTTTATAAATTACCCAGTTTGGGATATTTCTTTATAGCAGATTGAAATGAACTAATACAGCATGCAGTGGAGGGAGTGCAATAGAGTTGGGATGGGCAAGAGAAATAGGATAAATTTTGAACCTGCCAAACTTGAGGACCCTGTGAAACCTGTAGGGGAGATGTCAATAGACAGCCAGCCATGTGTCCCTGCAGCAGGTATACTAGTTAAGGTGACTCCAGCTGCTGTAGCAGATAAACATGTATGTATACTTCAAGCAGAGCAGAACCAAAGCAAAATCCTGTGTGTATAATATCTCAAACCTAAGTAGAAGGCTATTACTGCTTACATACATAAATCCCAGAGTCAGTGTTCCTGGATGGCAGAAGGTTTTCCTTTGAGCAATGATTTAGGAGCCCAGCCCCCCTTTTTCTTGTGCCTTCATCATCTTGAACATGTGGCTTCCAGGATCCCCATGCATGGTCATGGGGAGGAAATAATACAAAAACTTGATTGAGAGAGGATGGATTGGGTCATTTCTGCAAGTCTCAGATATCACACAGACTCACTTGCCATTGGCTGAAATTTAGCTATATGGCCACACCTAACTGCAAAAGAAGCTAAGGAAGGAGTACCTAGAAACTCTATTTATCAATCTCCATATCTCAGGGCCCTATACTTAGTATCTGTGCAATAAAGTTAGGTATTATCATTAGATGAGGGATTTAGGCTTAGGTGAAATGTATGAGAATACAGCGTTAGGTGGAAGTTGGAAAGAAAAATCCCAAAGACAGAGAAGAGTGTACATGATATTCTGGGAACTATTTAAAGCTTTGGAAGTGGCCTGGCACAGTGGCTCACGACTGTAATCTCAGCACTTTGGAAGGCTGAGGAGGGCGGATCACGAGGTCAGGAGTTTGAGACCAGTCTGACCAATATGGTGAAACCCAGTCTCTACTAAAGTTACAAAAAATTAGCCCAGCATGGTGGCGCCTGCTTGTAATCCCAGCTACTCTGGAGGCTGAGGTAGGAGGATTGCCTGAACCTGGGAGGCGGAGGTTGCAGTGAGTTGAGATTGTGCCACTGCACTCCAGCCTGGGCGACAAGGCAAGACTCTGTCTCAAAAAACAAACAAACAAACAAACAAAACAAAAGCTTTAGAAGTAGCAATGGAGTATTCTTCATCATCACTGCCATATGTCACAGCATAAATAAAGCTGATAAACAAAATTTTGAGGAAAACCAATTTGATAAAAGGGTACATGCTGTATGACACCATTCATATAACATTCACAATCAGATCGAATTGCCCTGAAATGCTTGTAGCTAAGACAGAAGTTAACTTTATTTGGCACAGTGATTGGTGTCAGGGAGGAGAGGGCTTGAAGGCAGCACTTTAACATTTTTTTATCTTGATCCAGGTACTGGTTTTATAGGTGTGTTCATTTTGTTAAAATTTATTGAGGTGAGCACTCCTGATTTGTATAAATTTTGTATATTGTGTTTAAATAAAGCATATACTTTAAAAGAAAGTTTATACTTTAAAATTTTCACACACATACTCTTATATAGAAATTAATTAATACCTAACTCTCCCTAATGAAGAATTATTGATCTTTACTCCATTTTCTCAATTTATATATTCCAGTCCTTTTATACATTTCTTACTGCTCTACACTTAAAGTAGGAATTATTTTATTTCAAAGGTAAGTCTTTCTGGCAGATTATTTTTGGATAATTGAATCCAATTGCTTTGATATTTTGATGTCCAAGGCAAGCATTTTATACTTTGGACCCATTAAAATAACTTACTGTATTAATAGTCTTGAAAATTATTTTCAAACAGTACTTTTGTTGTCTGTGGTGGAGACAGCTCTCAGGCCACCAAAGACTCATGCATCTCTTCCATAATATAGCTACTTTTGCTGGACACTTTTTATCTAGATGTAGCCACATGACTGACTTCCAGCCAATTGGATGTGGACAGATGTGATTGATGCTGCTACTAGGCCTGACCCTCAAAGCCCACCAGACATACCCACCACTATGTCTCTCCCTCAACCAGCTGAGAGGTCACCAGGTGCTACACAGGTTGAGCTTCCCATGTTATGGGGCCGTGAATGGGCCCACAGAAATGAACATGCTTATTGTAGTTTATAGGAACAAGAACTAATTTTCTATTACATTGAATCACTGAGATTTTAGGTACATCTGTTCCTCCCCTAAACATCGTGCTTGTTTTCCTTGCAATAGCTGTAAATTGCTCACTTAGAAAATTGAGTCTAGTTTCTTTGTAGGACCTTCACAGTGTACCCAGCCCAGGACTTCAACACTCTACCATGCTCCATCTAAGCAGTCTATCCCTGAATCAGTCATTATATTATTAATTTATAATAACATTAGCCCGCCCTCTTAGTTAAAAGTTCTTCATTATCTTGCCTTATAAGGAGAACAAAGAAACCCACTTACATGGAGAGAGCCTGGCAGTGGTTCAGATTTTGGTCTTCTTTAATTTGCTGCTGCTCCACATATTTCTTTTGAATGCAGCATTAGGTAAAGGCGAAAGATTGATGGATGTCAATGCTTAAAAAAAGAACTAGCTTCCAAGTTGTTCTATGATCCATAGTGGTCCTGGTCATTAAAAATCTGCCAGTACATACAGCCTCCATGTGGGATGCCTGGGTTAAGTGGTGTCTTCTGCCATGAGATAGTGTGTGGCTGTCATAAATAAAGACAAATACAGCACGCTCAGGGCCATGGTGTTTGAAGATTCAGAAGGAGGTTGCTTTGCCTTTCAGGAAAACTCCAGGACTGGGTGATGGGGACTTCCATTGATGGGAAATTGCTTTATGTCCCTTCTCATTAAATTGGATCCCACATGACCAGTGAGCTCTGTGTTTAAACATAGCCTGCTTGTTCCTTGCTCTAATTTATTTTAGATGTATTTTAAGGAGGAAATTTTCGTATAGGACAATAAAATATTTCCAAATCTAATTTTGCATTCTCTCAATCAGCATCTCTAACAAAATCAATTCTATCAAGCACAGTTTTGTGCTCATTTATTGAAAGAAGCACACATAGAGAGAACTGCACTAATAGGTGTGCAGCTCAACTGAGTCTATATATTTACATGCATATATTCCTATAGAACATTTCCAGCTCCCCAAGGGTACCTGAGTGCTCCTCTCCATTCAGTATCCCTCCTGCATGCAGCTGCTGTTTTGACTTCTATTGCTGTAGATAAGTGTAAACCAGTTTCTAAATATTCATTCAATACTCATCTAACTTTTGCCTATATCTCTCTGCTCTGGGCTTTAGAAAAATAGCTCTAAGTAGTGTTTACTTATTATACAGTTGTTAAAACCTATTTTCTTCTTTTGGGTTTTCCTTTGGTTTTATACCTGGTACTACATATGTTGCCATTTTTAAAGTAAAATATTTAGAATTGAGAAACTTTTGAAAAGATGAGTCTGCAAGGGCAGCGTAAAGGATTAGCAAAATAAGGCCAAAGTGTGTGTCACTCATTCAAAGCCCACAGTGTTCCAGGCTGCCAGGGCCTCTGACAGGAAAGGTGCTGAGTCTACCAACCCTGGCTCACCAACCTTAGCATCACCTGGAGCAGAAGTGAGGCACAGAGCAATAGCGGCGATCCCTTATGATCCTCAGTCTGTCACTGAATCCTGAATTCTGGAATCATCATTGAAAACGGTCATAATTTCTACAGCCTCATAGCTAAAATAAGGCTGTATGTGGGCCCATACATCCACCTATAACTCCTAATTAATGCTTTTTAGCTTTCTAAAACTCTTGAGACAAAGCAGTGTAAGTTGTCCAGTTTGGTGCTTCACTTTCAAAATCATTTTGGATATTCTAGCTTATAACCACATACATTTTAGAGATATCTTGTTAAATTTCCTTAGAAACTTATTAGATTTAATTTGGAATTACCTTAAATCTATGGATCACTTTGAGGAGAATTGACGTCTTGACAATATTGAGCTTTCTAATCCAGTAAAAAAATACATGTTTTCATTTATATAGATCTTTTATAATTTCTCTCAGGAATGATTTATAGTTTTCATTGTATAGGGCTTCAATATTAAATTCAAGGTTTTATTAAATTTGTCTCTGGTTATCTCCTGGTTTTGGCATAATCATGAATTTCCAAAATTTTATATTTTAACTGTTTATTTGCATATAAGTCATTTTATTTTTGTATGTTGACTTTGTTCCCTGTAGTCTTGCAAAAATAACTTATTAGTTCTGCTATTTGTAATTTTTTAAGGATATTCTGTGTGACACATTCATGTCTCTGAATAAGAATAATCCTGTTTCCTCATTTCTATTTTGTATTTTGAAAATTTATTTCCCTTGCCTTATTTCAATGGTTGAGATCTCCAGTATAAGGCTTAGCAGAACTGTGTGAGCAGAAATACTTGACCTTTTCTTAAACTGAGAGAGGAAGTTTTATTCTTTCAAATTCTGTATTAGGTTAGATTAGGTTATAGAAGGCTTTTTTTAAAACTAATCCTAATCTTCTGATTTTTAAAAAATATAATGAATACATTTTGAATTCTCACAAATTATTATTTGCTTCTGTTGAAATAATCATAGAGTTTTTCTATATTGCCTGCATGTGGAGAATTTAAATGATTGTGGTTTGAATGATAAACCAACTTTGCATTCCTAAGAATAACCTCACTTGACCTTTAAGTACTAGTCTTTCTATATATTTCTGCATTTGTTTTGCTAAACAGTAAGATTTTGTAAAGGATTTTGCATAAATGTTCTTAAGAGTCATAGCTACACTTGCTTGTACTATCTCTGGTTTTGGTAATGAATGGGGCCATGCTGGCCTTATAAAAGGATTTGCAAAATGTTTTGTCCTCTTACTTAAAAAACTATTGCATAAGATTGGTATTACTTTTGTGTTAAATATTTGATGGAATTCACCAGTGAATCCATCTGGGACTTAGATTTTTATAAAAAACTTTTTATTTAAAATTTAATTTTGGGGTACAGGTTATTTTAATATTTTCCTTTTTGTTTCAATTTTGTTTTCATCTTTTGAGGAATTTATATACTTATTTAAGTTGATTTTTTCGACAAATTTATTCATAATATATTTCATTATTCTAATTTCTAATTTTTAATTTTTTTAAATTATACTTTAAGTTTTAGGATACATTTGCAGAACATGCAGGTTTGTTACATAGGTATACACATGCCATGGTGGTTTGCTGCATCCATCAACCCCTCATCTATATTAGGTATTTCTCCTAATGTTATCCCTTCCCTAGCCTCTGACAGGCCCCACTGTGTGATGATCCCTTCCCTGTGTCCATGCGTTCTCACTGTTCAACTCCCACTTATGAGTGAGAACATGTGGTATTAGGTTTTCAGTTCCTGTACAAGTTTGATCAGAATGAGTAATAAGAGTTTTTTAATTTTACTGATGTAGTCTAAGATCAAGCTTTTGCTTTTATTGATTTTCTATACTGTTGCTTTATTTTCTATTTTGTTGTTTCAACCCTTATTATTTCCTTACTTATACTTATTTTGGTCAAACTTGGTCTTTCCTTCTTTTTCTAGCTTTTTAGGTAGAAGCTTAAGTCATTGATTATGATCCATTTACATTTAATGTAATTTATGATATTCTTGGGCACATGATTAGCATTTTATTGTTTATTTTCTATATGTGCCATATATTCATATTTTCTTTTTGCCTCTCTTCCTGACTTCTTTAAGATTAAATGATTATTTTAATGTTATATTTTAATATTCTCCACTTTTAAATTATTTGTTAAATTTGTTTTATTTATTTATTCTTAATAATTGCTCTAGGCTTTCCAATACACATATTTAGCTTACCCCAGGCTACTTCTAAATTATATTATAAATCCACAGGTAAAGGATGAGAATCATACAAAATTTACTTTCATTTTTCCCTTCCAACCTATATGCTAATGTTTTCATATATTTTATTTCTATATATGTCATAAACTTCAAAGTACAGTCCTATTATTTTTGCTTTACACAAATAGTTCTAAAAGTGCAGTCTGGGGTCTCCTGTGGTTCATAGGATCTTTTCAGGGTATCCATGAGGTGGAAACTATTTTCATAATTGTAAGACACTGCTTACACTTTCATTCTCATTCTCTCAAAGGCTACATGATATACGATATTGCAACAGACCAAATGCAAAAGCACATATTATGCTTTAGCTGCTCTTTATTAAGTCTGGAATTGAAGCGATTGGCAAAATATTTTTTAAATGCCATTCTCCTCACTAATTGTTTTTCTTCCTTGAAAAATATAGTTACTTTTCTTAAAAAGATATTATTTTTTGTTAATATAAAATGGGGTTATTATTACTAGTTTTAAACAAATAAATAAATATTTTCATTAATAGATATTATTAATAAATATGTCAGTTTTAATTTCTAATACAGAAAATATTAGTAGATGTAATCCACATCAACAAATTATCCAGGATCCTCAATAATTATCACAACTACAAAGGTATGATGAGACAAAAGTGTTTGAGAAATTCTTCTTTAAACTGTTAATTATATTTTAAATAGAAACCTAAAATACTTGTCTTATTTACATAGATATTTATCATTTCCAAGTCTGCACATTCCTTTATGTATATACAAATTTTAACGTACTATAATTTTCCTTCAACCTGAAGAAATTTCTCTATTATATCTTGTAGAGAAAGTTGGCTAAAAAAGATTGCATCTGATTTTGTTTGAACTAAATTATGTCTTTATTTTGCCTTCATAATATAAATTTAGCTAGATTTAACATTCTAGGTCATTCCCCCACCCCCCTACCCTGCCTGCCCATCACTTTGTAACATTCATTATTTATCCTTCCCTGCCCTCTTCTAGCTACAGAGAATTATTATTTGAGAAGGTCAAAGTAAATTTCATGTTAAGAAAAGAAGGTAGTTGGAATGAGAGGATGGATATTAACTTCATATTTAATACAACATGTGCATCTGCCCTTTTTACCAAGTCATGGTCTATAGGCAGAAGCTAGGGTATGTGAAGTCGAGTTGTATTATTAAGTTTATAATCTTCACATAACCTCAAATCTATAAAACCTTTGTTCAACAGTCCAGAGAAATTTAGATGAATTAAAACTCTTACTTTAGTCAATGGTACTGTGTGGTTTGAGAAAGAATCAGTTAGGTGACCTTTCTATTTTTTTCTTGATATTTATTCTGCTAAAGTGACATAAAAAAACTTTATTAGAAAATATAGAATGTCACATTATTATTAAATTGTTTACTTGGCATTTAGACACAGGTGTTTTCTTAGAAATTTTAAAGGGGATTGAGCTTTGCTCCTTTGATGCCGACAACTTTGACTCTATTTTAGCAATAGATGCAAACCCCAGAGCTTCCAGAATACAAAAATGTGAACCTACTTGCTGGAAGAGAACAAGGTAGAGAACCTACCTATTACCATCAAATACCAAACCATAATTATAAGAAAAATGTAGTAAAATCCAAACTTTAAAAATATATGAATGTTTAACAGAGTGTGTGCTATGTGTAGAAGTTCAAGGCTGCCCCCTTCAGAGAAAGCAATGCCTTGAAAGAAAGGTGGAAAATCAGCTTGAAGAGAAAAAAACCATTCTAATAGATCTCAGATGCATTTCAGCTCTATGTTGTAGGATTTCGTGTTCATAACTATTCTATTGGTGTTGATATTTCTAGGAAGGCTGTGGCATAAACCAATGCACAGTTACTCCCTGCGTCCTTAGCAAAGGGCAGATGTGATTTGCTGAGAGCACACACATCCAAGCCCTAAAAGCTTCTCACCAGCCAAGCACCCTACACTCTTCTCAACCACTTGCCTTCACTCCAAATGCCTCCTCCCTGCCTCTATCCAAATTTTACTCAGTATTTAGGGCCCTCCTTAATCGGCAGAATCTTCGTGAAACTGCCCCATAGAATGCTGATGGTATTAGTGCTCTTTCTCAGCAGTGCGAAATAATGCTGTTTTATATGCTTTAAGACTACGTTGGTTGGCTCTTTACTTGTCTGTGCCCCTCCTGAGCTGTGCAAAGGGGTTACTGTCAACACCACTAGCATGTGGTACAGATAGAGCATGGAGTTTACTGGGGACAAGCTTAGGATCAGAGAAGTAGGAGGCACACACACCCTTGAACTCTCAGTACCCAACATCATAGTCTTCATACCTATGGCCAACAAGCTGGTATACAGCGCCTTCATGTCTCTGATGCTCCGCATATGTATATGGCTTGGGAGCATGGAGCACTTGTGTAACTAGTACCAATGGATGCTCTCTGTTTAAAAATGGTTTTGTCAGGAAGAATTAGCAGTGGCTGGTATCAGCCTGTTCTATTGAATTAACTCTGACCTGCTGAGCCACTTACCTCAGGAACTCCTAGAAGAATAAAGAATCTAAACCCTCAGAGCCAACTAGATTTGTCCCCTTGGGAAAAAAAAGACCTTGGACTTGTTTATTTTTATAGCCCTAGGTTTAGCACATAGGCATGCAATAAATACTCTTTATGAACTGAGTGAACATCAACACCAAAAATATAGTTTACACTCAACTACTGTGGACAGGAGGACCCTGCATGTGAAACAATACATTGACTAATGCTTGAGGTCTATAAAAATTCACCATCATTTTGCATCAGAATATTCCACCAGATTCCCCTCTGGGTTTCTCAAGACTCATTGTTTGAACTACAACCCAACAGGTGAGTGGTATCAGGCTGTCCACTAACATAGTGAGACTCCACAATCTGCTATCCTTGGGCTGAGAACATTTTTCAGTACTTTAGCCTTCCATGAGCCCCTGGCATACCCTCATTTGTTCATTTGGCCTCACTGTTTTGCACACTACTGTCTCCAACTTACCAGCCTCAGAGATTGCCATTTCATGACTTTTTATGCTGTGCTTATTCTTGAAAGCATTCCTGTGAGTAACCAAAGGATAAGACTTTTTCCTGCAATTTTACCATGTGCTTCTAGAATGCAAGTAAACACCATGGAGTCTGTTAACAAGAAAGATGCAGTTCCAGCTATCAGACAAGTTATAGGCCCTGCTTTTTGACTCTGGCAGGTCAAAGTATTTTCAAAACTTCAGCAGAAGAAAGAGAACAAATGTAGAACATGTTTGTTGCTGTCACAGCAGTTATTCTAAAGTTTGAGTGCTGTTTGGTTTTGTATCACCCTATTTTAGAAGGCATGAACCAAGAGCAAAGATATAAGCAATTGCATTTTGAAAGGACGGGAACACTGGGGAGAGTATACTGACAACTTCAAATTCGAATTAGTCTAGGATCACATCAGACAGAGCCGTGCCTGTATTCTTTGGTTATACAACTAGGGACACTTTTTCTTGCAGTCTGAGGTTCAGAAAATACCTGATTGATATTTAATTGGGAATAATTTCTCATGCCTTTGTCTTAGTTTACTCGTGGCTTCTGTATTTTTTGCACTCTCAGGTGGAAGTTCCTGTTACAAGCTAAATTTCTTCATTAGTAATATATCTTCATTAGCAAGCAGCTATGGTAAATGAACCTTGCTATCTTAATTTTTAATGTAATTTTGTGCCTATGATCTCAGCTAAATGCCATCTACTTAGTTCACTGCCACATGTATAAGCTAATAACCAAATATCAGGTATGAAATGTTAAACCCAATAAAATAAAACCTCAGTGGGAGAAACTGACTTTCTGTGAAGCTTCTCATACAGGTTATGTGGGCGTTGATGCCCAAATAACTGACCACTAGATTGCAAAAGTACATCCTGCTGCTTTTTTTATGGCTGTCAGGATAGGCAAAATCCCTAGAAAATCTGTTATTCTCAGCCCTAGAATCATAAAACTCTGAAACACATTGAAATCTGTAAATCACATTGGCCAAATCCCAGAAATTGCCAAATAAAGTCATAAACATGTTTTATAGGTGTAACACAAGAAAAATAATCTCTTTTTGGTAACTCAAACACATTACTGTATTAGGATCATCATCATCACATATTAGACTAAGTTACTCGCAGCAAGCCACCAGACATTTTCAAAATACCCCATGGCAGTTTCAGAAGTTGAGTGACAGTGCATCGGTCAGAAAAAAACTGGTGGTGCTTCAGCAACAAACAATTCTAAAATTTCAGTGGTTTTAAACAATTCACGTTTGCTTCCAGGTTATACAGTGAAGTCTGGCAAAGATACTGCACCTGTAATAATCAACGCACTGCCAAACTGAAATAATCAAAAGGGTCAGATTTCTATTTTAAAGAGTATTTAATCAAAAAGCTAGGAATGGCCATTCTGGGATGCACCACTACAGAGAAACAGGGATAGTGCTTAGAAGTTAAAAGCCAAATTCTTGCTAACAGGAAGAAGACAAAGAAATATAACAGGATGACAACATTTTTTATACAACGCTGGGCTTATGAGTTACAATAAATTAATTATTCAAAGTTTGTTTTCTTTTCTCCGTGGCTTGTTTATTTGTTTATATCTGGTTTTCATTTTATTTCCAATATAAAAGAGTGTATTTAACATTCCATCTTAAGTCTCTGTGATAACCACGAAGGCTGTGTGAAAAAGGTAAGAGGATTGGAGAGAGGCAGAGAAAGGTGGCAGAATAGAAGGCTCCACTGATCATTCCTCTGGCAAGGAAAACAATTTAACAAATATTTACACAAGGAAAGCACCTTCATAAGAACTAAAAATCAGGTGAGTTCTCATAGTACCTGGTTTTAACTTCATATTGCTGAAAGAGGCACTGAAGAGGTAGGAAAAACTGTCTTGAATCACCTCTAACATCCCCCAGCAGTGCAGTGTGGTGTGGGGAGCATCTCTGGGCACTGGCAGAAGGAGAGCGCAGCAATTTTGAGGCAATGAACTCAATGCTGTCCTGTTAAAACAGAAAGGTAAACCAGATGAAACTCAACTGATGCCCACCTACAGAGGGAACATATAAACCAGCCCTAGTCAAATAGAATCACCAGTTCCAGCAGTGAATTTAAGTTCCTGAAAGCCTCACCACCGTGGGCTAAAGTGCTCTGGGGCCCTAATAAACTTGAAAGGCAGTCTAGGCACAAGGACTGCAAGTATTATAGGAGTCCTAGTGCTGAGCTGGGCACAGAAACAACAGCTTGGGTACACATGAGCTACTGAGACACTAACCAGGGCACCTAAGGGGGTATGGCATCACCACTTTCCTAACCCAAGCTGCACAGTTCATGGGCTCTAAAAGGGACCCTTTTCTTCCACTTGAGGAGTGGAGAGGGGAGAAGAAAGAGGACTCTGTCTTGAATCATGGATACCAGCTCAGCCACAGTAGGATAGGGCACCAGTCAGAGTTGTGAGGTCCTCTTTCCAGGCCCTAGCTCCTGGACAACATTTCTACACATGCCCTCGGCCAGAAAAGAACCTGTTCCCTTGAAGGGAAGGACCTTGTCCTGGCAAGATTCATCACCTGCTAAGGGAAGAGCACTTGACCTCTGAATAACCAGTAGTGATAGCCAGGTATTATGTTGAGAGCCTTTAGTGAAGCTCTGAGACTTGCTGGTATCAGTTGACACTGAGCACATTCCTAGCTGTGGTGGCTATGAGGTGAGATTCTTTCTGTTTGAGAAAAGCAGAGAGAAAAATAAAGGGGACTTTGTCTTGTACCTTAGATACCAGCTCAGCCACAGGGGAGCAGAGCACCACCTGGGCTTTTGGGGTCCCCTACACAATAACTTGTCTCTTGGACAGCATTTCTGGACCTGCCCTGGGGCAGAGGAGAGCCCACTTCCCTGAAGGGTGAGTCCAAAGCCAGACAGCATTCACAAGTTGACTCAAGAGCTCTTGGGCCTTAAGGAGAACATTAGCCATAGGCTGGCAGTAGTACCCCTTGTAGAACTGTGGTGGCGGTGGCCATGGGATGGGGCTCCTCTGCCTCTGGAAGGGGGAAGGGAAGAGTGGGAATGATTGTGTCTTGTGGTTTAAATGCCAACTCAGCCTGCAGTACGGTAGAACACCAGGTAGACTTCTAAGGTTTTTGACTCTAGTCCCAGGCTCCCGAATTTGCCTCTGGACCTGCCCGGGGACTGGGGAACTTGCTGCCAAGAAGGCAAGGACACAGACCTGACTGGCTTTACCACTTGTAGAGTCTGAGGGCCTTGAGTGAACATAGGCAGTATCCAGGGAGTGGTCACAGCAGGCCCTGGGCAAGACCCAGTGCTGTGCTGGCTTCAGGACTCACCCAGCACAGTCACAGTGGTGGTGGCCACAGGGCTGCTTGTGTCACTCAACACCCAGCTTCAGGCAGCTCTGAACAGAAAGAGAGACTGTTTCTTTGGAAGAAAGTAACAAAAGGGAACAAGAGTCTCTGCCTAGTAATACCGAGAATTCTCTCGGATCTTGTGCAGGACCGTCAAGGTGGTACCTATATGAGTCTGCAAGAACCACAATATTACTGGGTATGGAGGGCCTCCTAAAGTAGACACAGCTTAAATCACAAACCCAAGTCCTTTTAATAATAAAGATCAGAGCAGAAATTAATAAAATTGAAATAAAAAAATACAAAAGATCAACAAAAATTGATTTTTTAAAAAAGTTTAACAAAATTGACAAATCCTTAGCCAGAGTAACTAAGAATAAAAGAGAGAAGACCCAAATAAATAAAATCAGAAATGAAAAAGGAGACAATACAACTGAGACTTCAGAAATTCAAAGGACCATTGGAGGCTACTATGAGCAACTATGTGCCAATAAATTGGAAAATCTAGAATAAATGGAGAAATTCCTAGACACATACAACCTACTAGGATTTAACCAGAAATAAATCCAAAACCTGAACAGATCAATAAAAAGTAATGAGATTGAAGCCTTAATAACAATTCTCCCAATAAAGAATCCTAGGACCTGATGGCTTCACTTCTGCATTATACCAAACATTTAAAGAAGAACTAATACCAACCCTATTCAAACTATTCCAAAAAACTGAGGAGAAAGCAATACCTCCAAACTCATTCTACGAGGCCATATTACTTTGATACCAAAACCAGACAAAGACACATCAAAAAAAGAAAGCTACAGGCCAATATCTCTGATGAATATTGATGCAAAAATTCTCAACAAAATACCAGCATTAACTGCAATCAATACATGTAGAAAGATCATTAATCTTAACCAAGGGGGGTGTATCCTTGGGATGCAAGGTTGGCTTAACATATGCAAATCAATCAGTGTGAAACATAATATCAACAGAATGAAGAATAAAAACCAGATGATCATTTCAATTGATGCTGTAAAGTATTTGATAAAATTTAACATCCCTTCATAACAAAAACTCTAAAAAATGGGTATAGGAGAAACATTCCTCAACACAATAAATGCTAAATATGACACAGCTAGTATCATACTGAATGGGGAAAAACTGGAGCCTTTCCTCTAAGATCTGGAACATGACAAGGATGCCCCCTTTCACCACTGTTATCAACATAGTACTGGAAGTCCTAGCTAGAGCAATCACACAAGAGAAAGAAATAAAGGGCATCCCAATTGGAAAGAAAGAAATCAAATTATCCTTGCTTGCAGATTATATGATCCTATATTTGGAGAAACCTGAAGACTTCACACACACACACACACACACACACACACACACACACACACACACACACACAAACACACCACAAACTTTTAGAACTAATGAACAAAT
The DNA here is from genome assembly GCF_000001405.40 of Homo sapiens. Classification (NCBI taxonomy): domain Eukaryota; kingdom Metazoa; phylum Chordata; class Mammalia; order Primates; family Hominidae; genus Homo; species Homo sapiens. Next base: position 8,878,091 of record NC_000005.10, on the reverse strand, counting down.
TCAATTATGTTGCAGGATACAAAATCAACATATAAAAAATCAGTAGCATTTCTATATGCCCAATGGGGAACGATCTGCAAAAGAAATCAAAACTGATCCCATTTACATTAGCCACATATAAAATTAAATATCTAAGAATTAACTTAAGGAAATGAAAAATCTCTACAATGAAAACTGTAAAACACTGATGAAAGATATTGAAGAGGACAACAAAAAAATGGAATGGTATTCCATGTTCATGGGATGGAAGAATCCATATTTATAAACTATACATATTACCAACAGCAACCTACAGATTCAATGCAATCCATATTGAACTACCAGTGAAATGCCTCACAGAAATAGAAAAAAAAATCTAAAATTCATATAGAACCACAAAAGACCTAGAATAGCCAAAGCTACCCTAAGCAAAAAAAAAAAGGAGGAATCACATTACCTGACTTCAAATCATACTACAGAGCTATAGTAACCAAAATGGCATGGTACTGGCAGAAAAACAGAACAGAATAGAGAACCCAGAAACAAATCTACGCACCTACAGTGAACTCATTTTTGACAAAGGTGCCAAGAACATACACTAGGAAAAGGACAGTCTTTTTAATAAATGATGCTGGGAGAACCGAATATCCATATGCACACACACACACACGCACACACACACACACACACACAGAAAATGAGGCCCTTATCTCTTGTCATATTCAAAAATCAAATAAAAATTGATTAAAGACTTAAATTAAAGTCTGCAGACTATCAAACTTTCTGCAGACTAAGAAAACTTTGGGGAAAATCTTCAGGACATTGGCCTGGGCAAAAATTTCCTAAGTAATACCCTAAAAGCACAGCACCAAATCAAAAATAGACAAATGATATCACATTAAGTTAAAAAACTTCTGTACAGCAAAGGAAACTATCAACAAAGTGAAGAGACAACCCACAGAATGGGAGAATATATTTGCAACTTAACCATCTGACAAGGGCAATAACCAGATATATAAGGAGCTCAAACAACTCTACAGGAAAAAATCCAATAATCCGATCAAAAATAGACAAGAGGTCTGAATAGACATTTCTGAAAATAAGGCATAAGACATACAAGTGGCAAACATAGGAAAAGATGCTTAAGATCATTGATCATCAAGGAAATGCAGATCAAAACTACAATGAGATATCATCTCACGCAAGTTAAAATGGCAAAATGGCTTATAGCCAAAAGCCAGGCAATAATAAATGCCACTAGGGATGTGGAAATTGGGAATTTAAGTTAATACAGTTATTATGGGGAAAAGTTTGGAGGTTCCTCAACAAAAAAATCCAGCTACTATATGATCCAGTAATCCCACTGCTCGGTATATACTCAAAGGAAAGGAAATCAGTATATCAAAGAGATTTCTGTATTTTCATGTTTACCGCAGCACTGTTCATAATAACCAAGATTTGAAGCAACCTATGTGTCCATCAACAGATGAATGGATAAAGAAAATGTGGTACATATACACAATGGAGTACTATTCAACTATAAGAAAGAATGAGAGGCTGTCATTTGCAACAACATAGATGGAACTGGAGATCATTATGTTAAGTGAAATTAGCCAGACACAGAAAGACAACCACTGCATGTTCTCCCTTATTTGTGGAATCTAAAAATTAAAACAGTTGAACTCATGGAGATACAGGGTAGACGAATGGTCACCAGAGGCTGGAAAGGGTAGTGAGGGGTGGAGGAGAGGTGGGGATGATTAATGGGTACAAAAATAATAGAAATAATGAATAAAACCTATTTGTTGGCACAGCAGGGTGACTATAATCAATAATAACTTAATTGTACATTTTAAAATAACTAAAATAGTATAATTGGATTGTTTGTAACACAAAGAATAAATGCTTGAGAGGATGGATATCCCATTCTCTATGATGTGATTATTATGCATTGCATGACTATATCAAAACATTTCATGTACCCCATAAATATACACACCTACTATGTACTCACAAAAATTAAAAAAGTAAAAAATGAATGATAAGAGGGAAGTTAATCTATAAGGAAAGTCAACAGGAAGAAGGAAGGATCTTCCCTGGCATCCTTCACCATTTACATCATTTTACAAAATAATGCAGGTAAAAGACTTAATTCAGATAAACAACAGCTTACAACTGCCTGTCACATGACTTGGGCCTTAAAGTAATTTACATTGCTTTAAGGTTCAAAAAAACTGTAGAGTTCCAATAACTTAGATTCTGAATTACTTATTTTCACCATCTGGGCTAATGAAAGCAAAAGCTACATCCTGGTAGAAGTTACCACACTTGCTGCAACAGGTTAGGGAGGACGTGGGAAGTGACATGCTGGCATTTAGGGTGTCTGCCCGGCAGTTCTGCGTTTCCTTCCACTCACATGGCAATGGCGAAATCAGATATGCACCAGTCAGCCAACTTCTAAAGGGGCAAGGAAATATAGCCCTGCCATGCCCTGGGAAGGAGGACAAACACACATCTGTAAATGTCTCCAATGATCATGATGTGGGGAAACTGTTGGTAGAGAATGCAAGTTGGGAGGCAAAGGCACAGCGACCCAGTGTAATCTTTTCAGTTGACAAGTCGAAAAACTGTGTGGTGGTGGAGAGACCTGAGGCTTTTGGGTCAGCCCTCAGATGGCCTCAGGGCCTTGGGGAAATTATTAACTCTTTGGGGTCCTTTTGATTCCCTAGGAATTCTGCTTCTTATATGGGTAAAGTAAGGACATCCTTGGAGAGAGGAAAGGTACGTGAACTTAGTAGACATCTCATTGAACCTAGAAAGCTCATTTCTCCAAAGCGAATTGGAAACTTGAAGAGTATGTGTGAACAGAATTGCCATACTATTGTTACTATTTTTAATTAGTTTTGGAATCAAGTCTCAGAAGACAAAAAGAATCTTTGGAACAATTGCCTGACACTCAATACCCACCTGGCATGAAATCAGGGACTCATAATCCTAGTTAAACCTTTTTAACCTTCTAATATCCAGTACTAGTCACAGACCAGGTAAACCAAAAATCTCTGGGTGTGGGGCTCAGGCATGGAAATACTTGACCCCAAGATGTATTTTCTGTGTAAATTCCTGAACACAGATTCTCTGTGATATCTACCCAGGGACCAAAACTACAATGGCAACCATTAATGTTAATTGTCAGAAATGCATTCCAGGTGAGAGATGGGTGATCTCCACAGTAACTAAACTTCAAGCTCTGACTTCCAGGGTAGTATCATATTAGTCCTCCTGGCTCATATACATTCCTGGCCACAACAAAATGCTAGTTATCTTCCTCAGCTGACAAACTTATAATAAATGATTGCTTTTCAAACAACATTTTATTTTCCTAGAATATTATTTAGCCTCTTGCAAATATAAGGCTTAAACTATTCAACAAGATCAGAGAATTCCTTCTCATGGAAGGTCATCAAGAAAGTGTGGGTCCCACTGACCACATTTAATACATTCAAAAGCAAAATCCAAATATTGAGGATTTTTTTTCAACATGATTAGCTACTGCTGTGACTTCTAGTTTAAGTCTACAGGAAAAAAAGTAAAAGGAAGAGCAGAACCGCTGTCCAGGCATGACAGAAGAAGTGAGTCTTGCTAACCTCAATTATTCTCTAGCCATGTCATTGTCTCTAACAAGGGAGTGTGGTGTGTTGGTTCAGACAAGCAAGAAATGTCGCATGTTTTCTCACAAGAGACATACCAGGCTCCATGAAACAGCCGCCTCTAAGCCTCTAGCAATGCCAGGAAGGGATGAGCACCTGGAAACCAACTGCCACTGAGATGGGGAACCTGTGGCAGCTACAGCAGATGGGAGTGCGGCCCAAGGCTTTTGCCTTGACTATGCCAGTGGCCCTCAGGTGTCCAGGAGGCTGCAGGTGGGCTGGGTCAACAGCAGTGTCTGTGCAGGACAAACCTCCACACATAGGTGAGTGGGTGTCTGCATTTGACAGTGAGCTGGAGGTGGGGGGTCTTCATAACACATCACCCAATACTAACATCTGTAGCTCCAGTGAGTCTTCTGAATTTCAGATAGGCCACCTAGTACTTATCCCAGTTCAGCTCCATGGTTACAGTCTCCCAAATTATTTCATTCCAAACCCCCTTCCCTGAAGCCTCTACTACACCCTGCAACTGGGAAGTTCCTTTGTTTGATACCAATTTGATCATGGCACTTCCATGGCTGGAAGCTTTCATTGGCTCCAAACTACCTGTCACAAGAAATGTGGAAGTGCCTCTTCCTCCTCCCAGGCAGAGGCTGAGAATGCAAGGGTGTCTGGGCAGGAAGTCAGCTGGTCCTTGCAGGTGTTCCTGTTGAAGCCCCAACCAGGTTTCCTGCAAGTGAGAAAGGGACCCATTGCAAGTCAATGAACCCCAGTGGTTCTGCATCTCATTTCTGGCCAGACAGAAGGGTAGGATTTCATAGCATGGGATGAAGAAAATAACACTAATTACTCATTTACTTGAAAAAAATCAACTGTCAGATACAACCATGAAAATTATGGTAGAAAACAATTTCTACCACCTTTGAGAATTGTTTTTGACAGGTGTTTGTGTGTGTATGTGTGTATGTGTGTCTAATTTGTCAGTCTCCATTGAAGCATTTGGAAGTACACAACAGCATGCATGCTGTAACTCACATTTGACTAGGGGCAGAGATAAGGGGCCCTGATCTCTGACAGGGCTGGATAGGGATTGTCCCTAGCATCTCTGTCAGCCCTAGGCTCTGCAGCTGGAACTGGAATGTCAAAACCCTTTATGGAACATTCTAGCACCTGCAACGCCAGAGTACATCTGGGGTCTGACTGGTACGCTTGCTTCTGGGAGAAGATATGGGTTATAGAGCAAGCCCATGCTGATGTGTTTTGAGAGACATTTCTGGAAAGATGGGTAGAGCCTGACCCAGCAGAAGTTGAGGAATTGCCTTTGCTCCCCGAGTCATGGGGATGTGAACAGGAGAAAACACTAGGAAGTGGGTGTGCCCTGATGCACCTGTAGGGCCTTGGGTTGGTGGTGCTACAGGGAGTTAAGGAAGCACAATCAAGGCAGGCCAGATCTCCCCACCTTGGAAGCATTCTGTGTGGCTTCATCACCAGGGAAAGGGCAATGGCTCAGGGAGGGGCAGGGGGCTGTTAGTTAAGTGGAAGGATAGAGAGAGGATGAGGGAGGGCAAAGTGGAAAAGGCACTGAGGGGCCAGGGAGGAGCTGGAAGGGCAGGAATGGGTAGGCAGGAGGAGAGGATCAGATGTTGGCTGGGAGGGGCATGTGGACCTGAAGAGCAAGTGCCAAGACTGGGCACATGCTGGAGGGCTGTTCAATACACTCTGGCCCCTTTTTATTCATGACCTGGCAAGTGTTGGCCTCTGAAGAAAGGAGAGGAGGATGCTTGGATCATCATGTGTCTACTGAATAATATGGTCTCTGTAGTTGGACTGTTGAGGCCATTTGCAACCTGAGCCCCTAACCCCACTGTTCTCCCACACATTCCCGAAACCACAACTGTGTTAAAAATTGGTGCTTTCTCAACGTGCAAAGAACTTCTGTCCTCTACAGCTTTACAGTGTCTAATCTACAGATTGATGCTTTTTCTATCATTCATATGTGACCATTAAACATATCTACAGCCTTTAACAAGCTCCATGTCCCCTTCTCCATGAGCTGAACTTCTAGGTCAGGTTGTTTGTGGCAACTTCATGAAAGGTAGAGAGACCTTGTATTCACATCACTCATTCATATCTGTTTCCTATTAGATCACATCTCCTTTTAGGTTTGGGAATATGCCCCACTTTTAATTGCCAATTGTAATTAGAAATGTGAATTGTAAAATTAAAATAACTTTAGTTAAAGAAGCTACTAAAATTGCCATCATTTAACATTAAGGGCATTTTTCATTTCTAGTACTAATTCCTTAGAAAAAGACAGTTGAATTGTGTTTGCTTCATAGTCATTCAATGGTTTTCCTTTAGCTATAGGATAAATTCAAATGGCGAAGTACATCATTAATGGTTCTCCATAACTTGATTACATCTTTGCTTCCTCCTCTTTCTTCAACCCACACATCCCCAATAATCCAGAAACACGACGTCCAAGGTCCAAGATGGAAGAACCCTTTTTGCATTATCTGAGGCCGTGCTTCTTAAAGCCTGAAGCCTCCATGAAATAAGTTTCCTTAAGTTTCCTTAGCATAGAACTCCTTTCATTATGTTTGCCTGGCTTCTTCTCCCCTCCCCTCCCCTCCCCCTTTCTTTCTTTTCTCTTTTTTTGAGGCTGATCTCAAACTCTACTGCTGTGGAGATTTCTGCTCCTGTCACCCTCCTTCTGTGCCCACAAGAGATGCTCCCATCTCTACATAGCACATATCTCAATCTGATTTGTATTCCAGTTGCCTGTGTAGATAGCCATGTCCCCTGATAAAGTATCTTTCCTTTGAGGAAGCGATGTTGCCTTATTTTGCTGTTCTGTCTCTGATTCAAAATTACTAAATAAACAATTGTGGGTTGGGCAAACTTAAATAATAAGATTACCAGAGGATTTTTTTAAATGGTAACATCTGCTGTTGATATGGGGGAAAAAACAAGAATTAGAGACTGATTAAAGATTTAAACATGGTAATTACGGATTTAAATATAAAGTAGTAAATCATAAAAGTTCTAGGAGGAAAAATAGAAGTTCATAGAGGATAACATGATAAGGATTTTCTAAGTATAACACTAAAGGTTAAAACCTTAAAGAAAACAATTAGTTAATTTTCATTTCCAAATTTTTAAATTCAAACATTGATAAAGCATGATGAAGTGAATAGATAATAGACACCAATATTTGCATTTTCATGACAACTTTTCAAATAACAAATGATGAAGTGCTAGTAGAAAAACTACGAATGCATATGTATCAGTTTGCTATGCCGCATTAGCAATGTAAAGCGGACCAGGAGCCTAAACCACAGAAATGTGTCTGTCGTCTCACAGTTCTGAAAGCTGCAAGCCTGAGATCAAGGCGTGGGCAGAATTCGCTTCTTCTGGAGCCTCTCTCCTCGGCTTATAGGTGGCTATTTTTCTCCCTGTGTCTTTACAAAAGCTTTCCTATGTGTGTGTGTCTGTGTTCAAATTTCCTCTTGCAGTCATATTGGATTAGGGCCCTCCTTACTGACACTATCGAGTTTAACTTAATCACCTCTTTAAAGTCTCTATCTCAAACAAGGTCTGAGGTACTGGAGGTTAGGAGTTCCATATAGGAATTTGAGGAGAAGATGCAATTCAGCTCATAAAAATACGGGAGGGGGCCGGGGAAGTGCTGGGTAGTGAAGGGCGGGGTCCCCGGTGAGTACTCCACCCTGGGTCCTGTGCCCACAGGCCTATGTGAGGACAGGCATTTCTGTTTTCATGCCCAAAAAGTTGCCTTTTGGCCCGCCACGCCCCCCATCCTGTTCCCAGAGTAACCTGAGACCTGGTAGGCACAAATACAGGCGGCTCGACATCAAGAAGAGCAGAGGAACACAGCGGCAGACACCAGCGGACACCAGTGGGGACACCAGCAGACCCTGGCAGACACCAGCAGACACCCGGAAGACCAGACGGCAGAAGAACGTGGACGCGGAGGGGAGTTCAGCTGGGGCAGTCGGAGAAGAGTCCTGCTTCCGGGCCGCCCAACTCCAGGGGAGACCATCTTCCCACTCCATTCCCCTTGCTGAGAGCCTCACCCTCCAAGCCCACGTGTGATCTGATTTTTCTGGTACACTGGGCAAAAACTCGGGATACAGAAAGCCCTCTGCCCTTGCAATAAGGCAGAGGGCCTAATTGAGCTGATTAACGCAAGCCGTTTGCAGACTGCAAAGCTGAAAGAACACGCTGTAACACACACCCACGGGGGCTTCAGGAGTCGTAAACTCTCACTGCCAGACGCTTCCGCGAGGTGGGAGCCCAAAAGCATTCCCCACACCCTCTGCTCCTGCCTGCCTGCATGCTCTCCCCAGGGGTTTGAGCAGTGGGGCACTGAGCAAGTGAGCCACACCCCTGGCACGTCCTGCAAGCGGGATAAGGGAACTCTCCCGTATCAATAACAGTATGTTATTATGTTATTATGAAATTACCCAACAACAAATTTAAATAATAAAATGAACTAAACCTTTGTTCTTTCACATTATTTATTATTAGGTTAGAAAACAAACAGAAAGCTAACCCGTGTTGGCTTACTAGCTTCTAAGGTGAGGCTGTTGGAACTGGCCCCCTGAAACCGCTGAGGAGTGTCTGAAATGATGGAGACTTTTTGGCGGTCTCGTTACATCTCCTAGCAAACGCCATTCTGTGTGCACATCCTCTGACCCAGCCATTACACCTGCTAAGGCAGAAATTGGCCCAGTGCTCTGAGATGTGTATGAAAGAATGGCCACCATGGTACTATTGTTTATTTTATTTGGAATTAACTGTAACAAATGAGAATAATTAAGAATGTAGATATTCTCCACAGTGAGTATTGTAAATCAGTCAATCAAGCAAAGCATATAGGGTGTGTAGTCAGCCATCTGCCCCACAGCTGTAGCTCCTAGAGCTACGGGATGCTGTTTGGGAAACTGATGCTGTTTTGTGTAACTGTGGGTCTCTTCTCTCACCACCAGGTGCCTTGGCATGAGAAAGGCCCAGAGTTATGGCATAAGCCTTGGGAGCAGGGGTCACATCCCAAGGAGCTAGCACAAAGTCTCCTACCTGGCTGGTGAATTGGTAATTGAGACTGCATTATGTGGAGTGACAGCAAACAAAGGTGTATTTCTTATACACGTGTATCTGTGGGCTGAGATTCATAATCATAACAGGTGCTATAGGACTGGTAGTTTGTATCCCTCATAAGTTGAAGCCAAAACTCTTATGTTGAAACCGTATGCTCAGTGCGATGGTATTTGGAGGTGGTCTTTGGGAGAAGATTAAGTCATAAAAGGGGAGCCTTTGCTGATGGGACTAGAGCCCTCATAAGAGAGACCCCACAGAGCTTCTATGCCCCTTCGAATATGTGATGATACACTGAGAAGATGGTTATCTATGAGGAAATGGTCTCTTACCAGATACTGAATCTGCTGGAGCCTTGATCTTGGACTTCCCCAGTCTCCAGATCTGCAAGATATAAATTTCTATTGTTGATAAGTCACCCATTCTATGGTATTTCATGACAGCAGCTTGAAGGGGAAGACATCAGGTATCACGCAGTGCAGAGTGGCATCATGTTGATCTGATGAGTGGGTCATATCAGAATTCTGAGACAAGAAAGCTGCCCTGTTAATTTGATTCACAAATGACAGGATTTCATTGAAATGGTTGTTATACTTACACTGCATATAAACAGTATGAAACCCAGACATCCACATAATAGTAATTAATTTGGTGGTTATAAATGGACAGTTTATTCAAGGTTCCCCCCTCACAATTTAATAGAAATGTATTCAAAAAACATTTTAATGGTGTTTAGAAAGAGGGATCGTTAAATACATTCTAGGTTTTGGCCACTCAAAATGTGGTTCCTGGACCATGAGCCCAGCATCCCCTGATGGCTTGTTAGTGGTGCTGTGGTGTGGGCCCCACCCCAGACCTCCAGAAATGGAACCTGCACTTTAATAACATCCAGTGGTGACTCCTAATCCCAGGAAAGCATGAGAAGCTTAGTTCTGGGAAACTACTCTCAGTCAGTTGAGAATAGTGAATGAGGGCATGGAAGACCTCTGGCAAAATGAAAGTCATAAATGGCAGTTACATTTGAGCCTTGGCTTTGGAACAAGAAAAATAGACCAGGGAATATGACTGCTCAATATGTGTGAATTGGACTGTATATGGTGAGTCTCAAAGTTTTCTGCACATTAAAAGTTCCTGGGAGGTTTTTTAAAAACACAATATTTAGTCTCCCACTTACCAGACCTGTGGGGTGCAACTCCCAACAGTGGTATTTAAAATTCTCTACATGATTCCAGCCTGCAGTTGATGCTGAGATCTACTGAACTACATCACTTTGCCTTCTCCTGACCCACTCAACCATCATTGAAAACTACGAGCTCCTTATAAAAAATTGTATTTGAAATCCTAGAATGAAAACCACCACATGGAACATGTTATATCCATATGTAAACTGACATCTTCATTTGCTCTGGTTTTACCAGTCACTTCTTCAACAAATAGCCATTCATATCATATATTTCACTCCATAATTTTGCCTTTGACAAACAATTCTGAAATATTTTACATTCTAAGTTCTGAATAATTTTCACTAAGATAGGTTCTAACTAAGCCTTTAATAGTATTTAATGTTTAAAGTTATATTCTTTCTGTGTTCTGAGTACTTCTGAAGATTACTATCAGAACTTGCACGTTGTAAAAATACACAATCTGGGGACAATTGTAGCTATATGAGTGGCTAGGCTTCTGCTTAACTGTGCACTTGTAATTGGCAAGCTATTTTGCTATAACAAAGTAGAATAGAAGGGGAAAGGACATGCTGACTGGGCTAAGGAGAGGTGCACTGCTCTGTAATGGTCAACTTTCTGAAGTTGCATTAAGTAAATGCATACATAGCAAAAGCACAGACGAACTGAGAAGAGCTGGTATAGATGGGTCCCAGGTGCTCCTTCTAAACATTCTTCTTCAGTGCACAATATACTTGAATGTGGGCTTCCGTGTGCCAGATTTTGTAGCACAAATTGATGCCCAACTTCTGTTGTATTGTGAAGATCACAAAATACACAATGGCTACCAGATCTATTATCTGAGAGACTTTCATAGGTGACACGTATTGTAATTTGATTCAAGCATATAAGCAATAACAACAAAGCCAATTAAGGAATGAGAACAATTCAGCAGGAGAGAATCATTTGAACAAGATTCAGTGCAATTGTTAATGAACATTAAGTCATGCGCCAGAGACCTGAATGCTGCGACTTCAGGGTTCGCTCTTACATTGGATTTTCAGCTATGAAACAGAAATAAAAGAGAAAGGTCGATATCTGTTTCCTTTTAGCTCCCATTTCATTTTAGGTTGGGTATATGTCCTATTTTATTGCAAATTATGATTGGAAATACAACGGGTAAAATTAAATAACTGATTCTATAGCAGTTATTAAATTGGTACCTATTAACAGAAAGGCCAGCTTTTCATCTGCAGTACTGATTCCTTAAACTACACTGAATACATCTTGCTTCCCAATCATTCAGTGGTTTTCCTGCTCAGCCCTTTGCCACTGTGTCCTCGCTCAGTGATATCCATTCTCCACTCCCACTTCAACAGAATCCTCGTAATTTCACCACCCTTTTTCCTACACTAACACTTTATTAGAAAGGAACTATCAAGATTATTCATACCAACCTGTAATTGACTGATAAACCAATCCATTATCTGCCACTCAAGGAGTATTTTTAAGTAAGAGAGGCTAAGAACCCTAAGTTCTTAATTTTCAAAGTAAGACACACACAGGAAGAACAGGAAGCCACAAGATAGAGATGGTGAACTTTCAGGGATAACTCATTTTACTTGAAGAAAGGTTACATAAAATATTATTTTTCTAAAAAGGTGAATGTATAATGGCACACAGTACAAAATCCAGATAACATTTACAGATGAGATATAAATGTTCACATATGAATTTCACTTTTTCTGAAGCTTCATTGCCAGCCACCCCTGTATCTCAGTGGTCCCACTTCCCTTTCCTCTGCTTGGAGGAATAGTTCAAGGGGAAGGTTTTGAGAGGCATTGCCACAAGACAGACCCATTGACCTCTTGATGAAACCCACTAGAAGCAGGGGAACTGCTTATTTTTTCCCAGATTGGATGAAGGCTGACACTCTGGGTGATGTTGCCAGTACTTCACATTCTTAACAGTCGATTATATACTCAAGAAGGAACTGAAAACATGCAGCGATCAGCCCTGCCCTACAATGACTGTGCTGCGAGAGTACAGAGAAGGAAAGGTTTCACTGCTTCCGAAGCCCCAAAGACAAGCAGGGCTGCTCCGCAGAGCGCTATGTTTTAGAGCTCTGGAGGTAGCTTTATGGGTGATAAACTATAATGATCATCCTTTTGCAGGGAAACAGATATTTGAGAGAGAATCCATGGCTCATGATGGCACCTTGGAAAGTCTGTGTTGTTACATCAATGGTCTCTTTGTCCAAGATGGGGATGAGATGTATTAGACAACACACAATAGCTGGAAACGGAGAAATGTCAGGAACAATTGGTGTTTTAACACTAGCAAGAGCCTGCAACAAATGGTCAGGTAAACAATAAATGGGGCAGAAGAAAGCTTCTTCTCCACTCCTGCAAGTTCCTCCTCTTATCTTGCCTTCTGGGAAGGTAATGGTAGAAGAACAGGGGGTCTGAAAGGTTCCCCAACCTTTCATGGCTGCTTTTTGCAGTGTTGCAGCCCAAAGTATGTTGGTTTCTTTAACCCTCACCCTGCTGCAAAGCTGCCATTGTGCTGCCATACTGACTGGTGCAAGGCACCCCTCTCCTTAGAACGGGTTTGAGCAGCCGTTCTGAAAGAGAATGGCTTTACAAACTGGCTTCGAATTGGCTTCAGCCCCTGAGTTATCTTTTCAATGTATAATACAGAGAATAGCCTCACTGTCTGATCTGTCAGGAAGCTAGTTGTTATGGTTGCTTGAGGTAAAGAGAAAAGATGGCATGGATTTCTCTTTGCTCACGACCCAGGGGCATCAGCTCCATTTCTCAACGATTACTATAGTGAATATAGACTCCTCTTTGAACACAGCACTTTGCTAATAATAATTCAATGGTTTATCCTGGTATGTGGCCACTTCCTATTAAAGATACACAGAGGTGAGAGGCAGACAACCCATGAGAGTCTGGGCAGCTGCTGTGTGTGGGGATGGAAGCATTATCTCCCTAAGGGCAGGGGAGTTTCCTCCTCTCTGCCTGAATGCTTGGAAACATGGAACAACTATGAAGGTAGAGTACAAAAGCATTAATGACATATGAATTATCAGTTCACCTAGTAATTGGGGAAGGCAGATTCAACAATTTGATAATGATGTGAAACAAACATATCTGGCCAGAATGTAGATTAATAAGAATCATAATATGCTGTGTTTGGTCAGATAGGTAAGTATAATCACTGGATAATTATTTAGCATTACCCGAAAAACAAAACAAAATAGTAGATTTTTCTATGATCTCACAATTTCTACTCTTTTGGAGATACCAAAGATTAAATGGGTAACATATTCACAAGGATATAAGCACAAGTATGTTAATTTCAGTCTGATTTCTAATAATAATTTTTTAAATTTAAAATTTGAGAGTTTAATGGATGCATAATGTGTGATGTATCTCTATAAATAGTTTTATATTTATATATGTATCTTGATAAATCTAAGAAAGATGTTGAAATAAAATCTTGATACAAAAACATATACATAATAGACTGCTTATATAAAATTATAAAAATTCACTATATTTTATCAGACACACATCTATAAAATTACACAGTATGTGTTACCATCAGAGAAGGGAGTAAAAGGATGTGAGCGAGATATAAAATGAATTTTCCTGAATCTATAGTGATTTACTTATTTAAAATATATTCTAATATGTCTGACACTAAGTGACTTACCAATGATAACATCACAAAAAGAAGACAAAAGAGTTTGGAGTGTGTCCTGAGGTCACTTAGGGGGAGGCACCAGCATCCCCACTAGCACATCGTTGCTTTCAGTGGTACCTTCTCTGGGACTTATGTGATCAAGTCTTTACAGATGACAGTCAAGGTACTGGTGAAATGGGAGAGTTCCCTGATGCCCCCTGCAGGACGTGCAAGAGGGCTGTGGCTTGTTTGTTTGGCTTCTGTGTGCTCAAACCCCTTAGGGGAGGGGAAGCATGCAGATGGGCAAGTTCAGGAGCCAAAGTGAGCACTTTTGGGGCTCTGGCCCCATGGTAGTGTCTACGGGTGGGTTCTTGTGGCTCCCGAAGCCCCAGCAGTCATATTACAGTGCTCTTTTAGCTCTGCTGTCTGCAGACAGCTCAAGTGTTAACCAGCTCAGTGCCCTCTTGGTACCCAGGTTCTTGTCCCGCATTCAGAAAGAATCAGGTCACACGGACAAATTGAAGGATGGTAAATGCAGGAAATTTTATTGCCAGATGGAGGTGGCTCTCAATAGGATAGATGGGGAGTTGAAAGGGGTTGGAATAGGAAGATGATCTTCCCCTGGTAATCCTGTGACCAATCTCCTCTCTGACTTCCCCCAGCCTCTAAGTTCAGAAGCTCCTACTCTTCTCTCCTTCTCTGCCGTGACACTCTTCTGCTCCTCTGTTCTTCTGTTTGTTTGCTTGTCTGCTCCTGGAACCTGGGTTTGGGGTTTATATGGTTACAGGATAGGGGGACGTGGTGGGCCAAAAGGCAACATTTGGGTAGGAAAACAGGAATACATGTTCCCATTTAGGGCCACGGGTTTCCAGGCTTGAGGGTAGGGCCTTTGCGAGGGAGCCATCCTCTCCTACCCAGTATTTCTCTGTCTTCTGTCTGTATCATTGGAACCACAAAAGACAGCTTGAACAGTAATTAACTTTATTCAGAATGTGGTAAATCCCACAGAACAAATAACCTGGATTTCTATAACCAATAGATGACAAGAAAAACAAAGAAGGGATCAGAAAAAACAACCTAAGACCAAAAAATATTTGTTGACACTTTCTGAAATTTGAACAATGAATGAATATTATATGGCATTCAGGAAACACTAGAGTTTTGTTATTTGCAATAATGGTATTGCCTCCTTATCTGTTAGATTCATAATGGAAAATATATTGGTGAAATAATATGATGTCTGGGGTTTGCTTTAAAATACTTCAGTGGATTAGGGACTATGGGTAGTAAAAAGGTACAAATGAAAGTAGGTTGGCTGAATAATGATTGTTAACACTCATAGAAATCAACAGTCAAAAACCGTATGTGTATGTGTAGATATGTGCATGGGAATATGTATGTAAGTGGACGTCTGTATATTTCACTGTGTAGGTTAAAACGTGTGTGTGTGTACATACATACATACATAAACATACACACCTATATACATACACACACATTTTGTACACATGTTTGTTTTGAGATAGGGTCTCACTTTGTCACTCAGGCTGGAGCACAATGGCACAACCTCAACTCACTGCAACCTTGACTTCCTGGGTTCAAGTGATCCTCCTCAAGTAAGCCTCAAGCTCCCCAAATAGCTGGGACTATAGGTACACACACCTATACCCAGCTAATGTTTGTATTTTTTGTACAGACAGGGCTTCACTATGTTTCCCAGGCTTTTATACACTTTTTATTTGTGGGAGTCTCTTCAACACACACATATATGGTATTTCTCTCTCCTTCTCTCTCTTTCTACCTGAACACTTTACCAAAGAAAAGATAATATTTAATAATAGCAAAATTGTATTAAAATACCAACATAAATAATACAGCTAATGGAAGAGAAAATTCATGCAATTCTTCTAGAGTTTTATTTGATGATAATAGAAGCTCAAAATCATTATTATCTTTAATCTAGGGGTCCTGTTACACACATTTATAATGAAGAATAAATTAGAAGTCAAGTAAAATGTTTATGTAAAATAATTTTATTACAGTACTATTAACAGATTAAAGATAAAAATAATTATATATTCTTCATTAGGAAAATGTTGAAATAAATTATGCTATAACAGCCCCAAAATTGCCCCTTAAGAGATTTACATGAATAGAAAGACTCTTGCAGAGGAAGATTCATAATCTAAATTTATTTATTATTTTGAATTATTCTATATGCTTAATAGCCCAATCCATCTAGTAAAAAATATTTAAACCTGATGAGATAGTCTAAAATTTTAGTGAATAAATACATATCTGACCTATAGTATCTGTCAGATAAACTAATTTTTGCTCTAGCAACAAGTGACACTCACATCTCAGTAATTAAAACAGCAAATATTTTACTCTACATTCAGGCCATTCCATAATCTGCTTTGTGTCATTTGCATGCCAAACCCACACCGGTGAGACTCCAACTGTCTGGAACATAGGTGAACAGGAAGGCAGAGAAAAAAGAGAACACGATGAAGAATCTGCTGGCTCAGACAGCAGCGCCTGGAAGAGTCATGTGCCACTTTCACTCACATTTTATGACTGAAGCACGTCATATGGCCACGTATAAATTCAGGAAATTGGGGAAGTACAATTCCACTAAGGAAGGACAGTGAAAACAGCTGGAGAATTTTACTCTGTCAAATGAGAAATAGTGAAACTAATCCTCCATTAAAATATATACAAATTTATATTATTTAAAGCAGGAATTAAAATCTTAGAAATTTGTGCCTGCATATTGTCCCCTAACCACACCTATATTTATATAGGGAATTTATAATAATTAAGCCATTTAAGTAAGTGATAAAGATATGTACTTTGAAACATATACTGATGGGGGAAATAGCCAGCCATTAAAATATGATGTAGCCAGATTCATAATTTAGATATATCCAAAATTTAATATAAAAACAAATTATTAGAAGAAAATAGGTGAACATTCTTATATGTTATAGGTGGTAAAGGTCTTATAGTCAGGGCATACGTTTTGGAAGCTATGAAGATTTATAATACAGTATTGCTAACTATACTCTCATTGCTGGGCGTTAGATTTCCAGAGTGTTTACAACCTGCATAACTGAAACTTTATACCCTTTGACAAATATCCCTCCATTGCCACCTCCTCTCAGCTTTTCTCTCTGTTTCTGTGACTTCAAAGTTTTAGATTCCACATATAAGTGAGATCATGCAGTATTTGTCTTCCTCTACCTGGCTGATTTTGCTTAGCATAATGTTCTCTGGGCCCATGTATGTTGTTGCAAATGGCAGGATTTCCTTCGTTTTAGTGGCTGAATAATATTCAATTTTTTGTGTGTATGTATGTATGTATATGTACAAACTACACAAAAATAATATAAATATTTCATTACATTAATATATATTACTTTTTTATTCATTTATTCATCAATGGACATGTAGTTTGTTTATATATCTTGGCTACTGTGAATATTGCTGTAATACACATGGAAGTGCAGATATTGCTTTGACATATTGATTTAAATTCCTTTGTGTATATGCTCAGAAGTGAGATTTCTGGATCATAAAGTAGTTCTAATTTTAATTTTTTGAGGAACCTCTACACTATCTTCTTTCTTGCTTTTTTTGAGACGGAGTCTCACTCTGTTGCCTAGGCTGGAGTACAGTGGCATGATCTTGGCTCAGCCTCCCAGATTTAAGTGATTATCCTGCCTCAACCTCCTGAGTAGCTGGGATTACAGGCATGCACCACCATGCCCTGCTAATTTTCGTATTTTTAGTAGAGACTGGGTTTTGTCATGTTGGCCAAGCTTCTGTCACCTAGGCTAGAGTGCAGTGGTGCGATCACATCTCACTGCAACCTCTGCCCCCCGGGTTCAAGCAATTCTTGTGGTTCAGCCTCCTGAGTAGCTGAGACTACCATGGCACCATGCCCAGCTAATTTTTTTGTATTTTTCATAGAAATATGGTAGAGATGGGGTCTTGCTATGTTAGCCAGGCTGATCTCAAATACCTGGCCTCAAGTGATCCATCCACCTTGGCCTCCCAAAGTGTTGGGATTACAGGTGTGAGCCACCGTGCCTGGCCTCTATACTATTTTCTATAATGGTTGTACCACTTTACATTCCCATCAATAATGTAAAAGATTCCCTTTTCTCTACAATGTGCCAACATGTATCTTTCATCTTTTTTATAATAGTCATTCTCACTAGTGTGAGATAATCTCATTGTACTTTTAATTTTACATTTTCCTGATGATAGTAATGTTGAACATTTTTCATATAGCTCTTATCCATTTGTGTGTCTTCCTTGAGAAATGTTTATTTAAATAATTTGCATTTTTAGTTAGTTTTTTAGTGTGTGTTTTGTTGTTTGCTATTGGATTGTATGAGTTTCTTATACATTTTAGACATTAACTATTTATAAGATTCACGGTTTGCAAATATATTTTCCTATTCAGTACATTGTCTCTTCAGGCTGTTGACTCTTTGGGCTGTTGATTCTCTATGCAGAAGCTATTGACTTTGATGAAATCCCATTTGCCTGTTTTTGCTTTTGTTGTCTGTGCTTTTGTTGTCATAGTCAAAATATCATTGCCCAGACCAATGTAAAAAATATTTTCCCGTGTTTTTTTCTAGTAGTTTTACAGTTTTAGGTATTACATTTAAGTATTTAATCTATTTTGAGTTGATTTTTTAATATACTATAAGATAAGGGTCCAATTTTATTTTTTTGAATGTAGATATCTTGTTGTTCCAACACAATTTATTTAATAGATTGGGTATTCTTATTGGGTATTCTTGACACCCTTGCCAAAGATCAGTTAACCATAAATGTATGAATATATTTCTGGGCTCTATTCTGTTTGATCGGCCTAAATGTCTGTCTTTATGCTAGTGCCATATTGTTTTGATTCCTGTATCATTCTGCTACATTTTGAAATCAGAAAGTATGATGCCTCCATCTGCGTTCCTGCCCAAGATGGCCATGACTATTCAGGGTCCTTTGTGGTCTTATTGAGAGAACAAGTAGAAAGCCTCAACAGACATAAAGAATATAGAAGTGAACCAGATGAAAATTCTGAAAGTGAAAAGTTCAACAAAATAAATAAAAAATTAATTGAATTACTTAACAGATGACTGGAGTTAGAAGACAGACAATAGAAATTAACCAATCTGAGAGATCCCAATTGAAAAGAATGACCAGCTCTTCAAGAAGTTATGAGCAACATCAAATGATCTGGTATATATGTTGTTGGTTCCTTAGAAGGAGAAGAGTGTATAATTAGAGCAGAATAAAATATTTGAAGAAATAATAGCTAAAGCCTTTCAATGATTGATAAAAAATTACTCATGCATTCAAAAATCTCAGTGAGACCCAAGTAAAATAATTACTAAAGACCCAAAACTAAACACCTTATACTCAAAATGCCATAAACCAAAGTTTTAAAAGAAAATGACCTTGAGAGTAGCCAGAGGAAATAGACACATTATGTACAGCGGGGAAAGGATGAGAATAACTGGGGATTTCTAAAAGATAACAGAAGTGCAGTTTTTAAAGTGTTGGATATTAAAAAAAGAAAACAAAAATCTCTTCTCAGAAAAACATCTTCCAAAAATGAGAACAAAATCAAGATACCTTCTTACCAACAAAAGCTGGGACAATTTGCTGCCAGCACACCTGTACTGCAAGATTTTCTAATGGCTGTCCTGACTGAAGGAGAATGTTTCTAGTTGGAAACATGGATCTACAGGAAGGGATGATAAGCACCATGAATGGTGACTAGATGATTAACTATAAAATATGATATGTTCTTTCTTCTTTTAATTGATTTAAAATAAAACTGACTTTTGAAGAATAAACAATAACACTGTAAAGCAAGTTTTTTGACAAATTAAGAAGTAAAATGTATAACAAAAATAGCAACAATTAATAACCCTATGAAGAAGGTACTTTATTACTCCTTGTATTATGGAAGAAAAAGGAGAGCACTGTCAATTAAATAGCTTACCTAAAACCACATGGTCAGCAAGTGAGATCACGACCTGGCTTTCCACCCTGCTCTGTTTTTCACTGTTATTATCCCCCTCTCTTATTAAGTTTTCATAGCATTTGTATAATTAAATTTTCACATTATGTTTATATGATGAACATTATATTATATGTAATACCATTATATTATATTGACTCATTCTTATACTTTCATACTTTATTCAGTTTCCTTAGATTTTATCTAATATCCTTTACTTATACCAGGATTCCATCCAAATTACCAAATTAAATTGAGTAGTCCTGTCTCCTTAGGCTCTCCTTGGCTGTGGCAGTTTCTCAGACTTGCCTTGTTTTTAACAACCTTCAGAATTTTGAGGACTGCTGGTCAGGTATATTGTAGAATTCTTCTCCTTTGGGGTTTGCCTGATGTTTCTGTCTTGATTATATTTGGATTGTGGGTTTTGGGAAAGAAGATCACAGAAATAAAGTGTCATTTTCATCACATTGTACCAAGGGTATGTACTATGAAAATGAACATAACTAATTGCTATTGATGTTAACTATGATCACCTGGATGAGCCAGTGTTTAACGTATATCAATAAGTAACATAACATGAGGCTGCATTAAACAACTGGAAATATGATAGATACATTTTAAGGCTGAGTTAAATGACACAGCTTTTTATGACTTTCAAGGGTGGTACATTTCTAAATGGTCTTATTATTAAGAGCTATGAACTGCTCAATAGTAGATTAACTTTATAAAATAGATGTTATTTTACCCAATCTAAGAACTTCTGATTTTTAAAGGCAATGTTAACAAAAATGAAAACAGACTTCATAGATTGGAAGAAAATATGTGCAAATCACATATTTAATAAAGTGCTTGGATCTTGAATATGTAAAGAACTCTGAAAACTCAATAAAGGGAAACAAACATGTTAGTAATAAAACGGGAAAAGATTTCAAAAGATTTCATCAAGGAACATGTAAGAATGGCAAATACTCACATAAAAGTTTCTCAAATTCTAGTCATTAAGGAAATGCAAATTAAAATCAATACACCTATAAGGAGAACTAAAAGTAAAAAGACAGCTTATAAAAACCGCTGGCAATGATGCAGAGTAACTGGAACTATCACACACTCTCAAGGAGAATGTAAAATGGCACAACTACTTAGAACTAACAGTTTGACAACATCTTAAAAGTTAGAATTCCAAAGTTAAAAGCTTCATATGACTTAGACATTCCACTGCTAAGTATTTAGCCAATCTAAATGAAAACATCTGTCCATCTGTTGTTTCCTGATCTTTTAAAACACTGTTACACTGTTGGCGGGAGTGTAAACTAGTTCAGCCATTGTGGAAGACAGTGTGGCAATTCCTCAAGGATCTAGAACTAGAAATACCATTTGACCCAGCCATCCCATTACTGGGTATATACCCAAAGGATTATAAATCATGCTGCTATAAAGACACATGCACACATACATTTATTGTGGCACTATTCACAATAGCAAAGACTTGGAACCAACCCAAATGTCCAACAATGATAGACTGGATTAAGAAAATGTGGCACATATACACCATGGAATACTATGCAGCCATAAAAAAGAATGGGTTCATGTCCTTTGTAGGGACATGGATGAAGCTGGAAACCATCATTCTCAGCAAACAATCGCAAGGACAGAAAACCAAACACCGCATGTTCTCACTCATAGGGGGGAATTGAACAATGAGAACACTTGGACACAGAAAGGGGAACATCACACACCGGGGCCTGTTGTGGGGTGGGGGGAGGGGGGAGGGATAGCATTAGGAGATATACCTAATGTAAATGATGAGTTAATGGGTGCAGCACATCAACATGGCACATGCATACATATGTAACAAACCTGCACATTGTGCACATGTACCCTAGAACTTACAGTATAATTAAAAAAAAAAAAAAAGAAAAGAAAACATCTGTCCGCACAGAGACTTACATGCTAATGCTCATCGTAGCTTTATTATCAATAACCAACAACTGGAAAAGTCTAGATGCCCATGAGCAGGTGAGTGGGTGCTCAAACCATCCTATACCCATACCATGAAATATTTAGAATATTAATAATCAAACAGAATGAATGATTGTATTGATACACACAACAACCAGAATAAACCACAACATATGAGTGAAAGAAGTATATTTTCCGAGTTGTGTACATGTATCCCTGTAAATATACCTACTCTACAATTCTGCGAGACTCAGCTAGATCAGTGTTTGCCTGTGGATGGGTGTGCTGAAGAGGGAGAAGAATTTTAAAATGCCACAGGCACTCTTACGAGTTGATGGGTATATTCACTCTCTCGATTGTGGTGATGGTTGTATGTTTAAGCATACATTTTATAGTTTCTATATGTGTGGGGTTTTTATGCCAATTATATCTCAATAAAACTTTTTTTAAAGCTTCAGTGAATTTATATATGTTAAAATGCAACAGTAAGTCATCTTTCCTTACATTTTTAACCTTCTTATATTAAATTATCTCTAATGTATTCTTAATGAAACTGGAAATTGGCACATAAATGATTGTGAGAGTTGCTTCTAAATATTTTTGTTAGCTTTTTTGCTTTGTTTCTCATATTTAACCTTTAATTAAGCTTAATTTATAATGGATAAATAATTGTTTAAAGTAGTGTCCTGCTGAGTAGAACATGGTACTTAATCTAGTGGAGCTGCTGATGTGAGACTCTGCTTTGTCACTCTCAATTAATTGAGTATCGTTAGTGGTTATTTATTAAAGAGCATGCTGTTATTTAGAGTTTTCGGCCAGAACAGTTTACTTAGTGTAGTGACTAAAAGAATAAATTCCCACACTATTTAGAAAGGAGCTCCAAGTCCGTAAGTGAAATCCCATTTTTAAGAAAATCCTGACCATTTTGTAATAGTTTATATATTTTGTAATAAGTATTTCTACTTCTATACCTTAGCATTAATCATGAACACTGGAAAAGATATTCAATAAAAATAGTTTTAGATAACTATGGCAATGACTGGCTCTAAATACTTCTTATAAAAATTCTGGTGACTGTTGTGAATTAATTGCCAGTAAAATAAGTTATGCCTCTTTATTTGCATTTTCGAAGACACATATTTAGATTAGAATTTAATATGACGTTATCTTTGATACTTTATACCTTTGACAATGTTTTTAGTTGTATATCCTGAGTGGAAGGGAAAGAAAATTCCATGGGCAATCAGCCATATTCATTTTTAAGGAGTTCTTATTTTTTTAAATGAACATTAAATTTTACAATACTTTTAGATTTACAGAGAAAATGCAAAGATAGTTTGGAGAGTTCCTGTATACTCTATGTTCCATTTCTCTTGTTGTTAAGGTCATATGTTTTATAGTATACTTGTCACAACTAGTGAACCAATATTGTTATATTATTATTAACACTATACTTTATTTGGATTATAAAAAGTTTTTCTCTGATGTGTTTTTTTCTGTTCCAGGATCTAATATGGGATAAATATCAAATTTATTCATCATGTCTTCTTATAAAGCTTATAAGAAATATATAGACCTTCTTATAAATCTCTTCCTACTACTGACTGTCAGTTTTCCTCCCTGAATTCCAAACGTGGCCATAGTTTTGTTCAGTGGAACTACACATAGGTAAGAAGAGATTTGCATTTCACGTAACAATTTTCCAAAACAGGGATTCAGATGAAATTTCTCTAAGTCATTTGCTACTGAGGCTAAACCTGCCAATTGCCTTAAACCTTTCATCTTCTTTCAACCTCTTATGGCAATGCTGTGTGTGGCCATTCTGGTTAGTCTCCTATGAGGCCTTGTCTTGTGCAGGGAGAACCCAGAAATGGAATACATAGTTCTGACTATGGTGCTGAGGACAGTGGAGGGTGATTGCCACCCATCTGGCATGATCCCTGAGCTTGCACTGAGGATATATTCACAAGGCGGAAGTGGGTCAGAGTGTCCCCACATACCTGTAGGCTTTGAATTCTGCTGATAGTTACAACTAACTGAAAAATATACAGTCTTTATTTTATAAACATCACATCTGTACTTTTCTCTATAACATTTGGCTATTTATTATCTCAGTACAATAATTGTAGTTAAGTAGAAATGTAAAATCTTAGAGATATATGAGTTTTTAGAAATCATCCAACCTAAGACAGTGTGGCAATTCCTCAAAGAGCTAAAGACAGAAATAGTATTTGACCCAGCAATCCCATTACTTGGTATATACCCAAAGGAATACAAATTGTTCTATTATAAAGACACATGCATGCATATGTTCATTGCAGCACTATTCACAATAGTAAATATATGGAATCAACCTAAATGTCTATCAATGATAGACTGGTTAAAGAAAATGTGGTACATATAAACCATAGAATACTATGCAGCCATAAAAAATAAAGAGGTCATGTCCTTTGCAAGGATATGGCTGGAGCTGGAGGCCATTACCCTTAGCAAACAATCACAGGAACAGAAATCCAAATACTACATGTTCTCCTTTATAAGTGAGAGTGTAATGATGAGAACCCATGGACTTATAGAGTGGAACAACACACACTGGGGTCTATTGGAGGGTGGAGAGTGAGAGGAGGGAGAGAATCAAGAAAAATAACTAATGGGTATTAGGCTTAGTATGTTGGTGATAAAATAATCCGTACAACAAACCCCCATGTCACAAGTTTACCTACGTAACAAACCTGCACATGTACCCCTGAACTAAAATAAAAGTTAAAAATAAGAAATCATCCACCTAATGCCCACCAAAATTCACATTTCAAATATTTCGATATTTTAAGGGTTAAATGTATTTTTTCTTCATCCACGTTCAACATAATGTCTTGTTTGGTATTTTAGATCACCTTGCCCTTCCACCACAGATCCTTTTAAATCTGTGGCATAGGCTATGAAATTCTTCTTTAATCTCTACTAAGACTGGACCAATGCTTGTTGTTACTAGTCCTCTCCAGTGAGGCTTCCAGACCTACCCCATGTCCTCCCCACCCTCTCCTGAACTATGATAGTTATTGGTCTACCTCCATTGTACCACAGAGTTGTTCTCTTGGCACTTTCTAATTTTATCTCTTTAGCTTTTGTCCCACTAATATCTAATTTTTTTCTTAGCCCAAATGGCACAGACCACTAGGAAGGAATCCCTTGTTGTTCTTTTATTGTACTTGTTAGATGTATTCAGGCTTAGAGCTAAGACTCTATGATAAGCAGTTTCACAACCTCTCTCTAAAGTGGCTTGCTGAAGCTCAGACAATCTGGTTTTAAAAACACAAATGTCTCATTCATAATAATGAATGTTATATCTAGCAAACTCAATGTAGGTGAAAAGAGAAAGTAGAGAAATCCTATGTGGAAATAAATGAAGACCAACCCAATGTGGAAATAAATGAAGACCAATCAAATAAGAACAGCAAAGGCTACTTATTCAGAGCTTCTCAGAGTAGAGTAAGAGATTCAACCAATGCCACCTGCATTTACCAGAGACTCCAAGACAGGCAGAAGATCTGGAAAGTTTCATGGGGGTGAAGAAAGAAGGCTCTAGGTGTGCCCTGACTGGAGGATGTTGGCCTGGGGAAGGTGCAGGTGGACTAAGGAAAAGCAGGTGTTTTACCAGATGGGTTAGGAGCATATTTGCCTTTTTTCTAGTTGGTCCTAAGTTTGAAGCAGGGACAAAAGTTAGGGAAACTGCTCATTAACAATCAAGTCCTGGCCCTTTTGGGCCAATTGTTACAGGTGTTATTGTTTGGTTTCCCATATCACTGCTAGAGAGAGTGCCCTGCCTTCCTACAAGTCTGATTTGGAGAGAGAAGGCTGGCTTCCTCGGCTGGTTACTGTAGATCATGGGTTGGTTTCCTAGGCAGGTTTGCTATAGATTATAGGAATTTTTCTGCCTCTCCAGAGTCCCCCAGATGCTGGGGTGATCCACAGGACAGTGATCACAGTTGTGCTTCCTTGAGGTTTGATTCATACCATAGCATTCCATAGAAGATGTAGGTTATAGCTCCGATGGTAATCAATTTGAAATTAAATGAACTAGTATGTTTTGGTGGTACACAGATACATCTATGCAATATCAAATGTCAATGTATTTCCTCTCTGGGAAATATTCAGTGAATTAGAAAAGGAAACACATGATGTAGCCAATTTAAAAATAGGTCTTGCTATATGGATGTTCTGATACCTTTGTAGAGTACACATGTATCTGCTGTATGTGTGATCAATCAGATTATCACGAAAGCATGGACTTCAGTCCCTCAACAACTTTGAGACCACAGGGCTTGCAGAATTTGTGGCTTGAACATCAAACAGCCTTAAGAAAGTCAAACAGAAGATGCAGAAAACTAAATTGCAATAAGAGTAAACCCTCGGGAAATAACAAATATTTATTTAAAACCAGATTTCTGTGTATTTGATGAGAAATGTCTTAGGAGTTCCTTCCTTCTCTCCTGGCACTAATGGGTATGTGGTAGTGAGTGTGGTGGGAGGATGGGAGTCATAGAATTATCTGTTTATTCTCTTCTCCTGCAATTGAATCTGAACCAATTTTGCCAGAAACTAATTTTGTTTGTTTATTTTACTATCATCAATCCCTGGGCACAGATCCCTAATCTTTCCTCCAAAAACAAAAAAAGGAGAATTTCTGATTCATGGAAGGTGCTAGCAAATGTTGTTAAATACATGCATGAATGCAGCAATGAATGGATGAATGAATGAAAGGCTTTATTGCCCTTTTCCTGTTTGTTCAAGGGGTTAGTAAAACTTTTGTATTCCATAGCTACCTTATCTTTCACATATTTAGAATAAATGCCATACTTATTGCTTCAGATGGCCTTCTTGTATTACATTCAGAGAAAGATATTGGTTGAAATACAGTATCTAAAGCGAAACACTAGTATATATTTCTCATGCGGGCTTGCTTGAGACCTTTGGGCATAAGCAATTTATCAATGAGGGTCTAAAAAAGAAAAAGAAAATTATTTTGTGTGTTTCAGACAGACACATTTAAACAGAAATAATTTAAGCAGTATTGTTTATCCACATGATGAAGAAGCTGAGCATCCATGCCGGAGTGAGTGAGGCCACCCAGGGAAGAGCCATCCTAGAGAGCTGTTGCCACCCTGGGCTTGAAGACCGGAGGCAGGCATCAGAGCCCAGGGCTGGGGCCACCCAGTGGCAAAGGCAGGCACAGAATTCTACAAGGACACAGAGGAGACCCAGGCACTGCCAGCCTCCACCTAAAAAAGGAGGAGAAGAAAAGCTCTGGTTTCTCCCTCTCCTTCCCACTCTCATTTCCTGCTGGAACTTCCTATTGGCTGAATCCTGCCAGAATAAAGCTGTCTTGGGAGAAGGGGAAATGCAGCTTGTAGGGATCAATCCTGTGTGCAGGGAAGGGGTGAAGAGTGGGATGAGGACAAAGAAAAATAAGAAGCAGCCCGGGGTGAGGGAGACAGTTATGATGAATATTCCCGAATCTAGCATGACTAGGGCCATGGCTGTGATCAAGTTATTAACTTGGATGAGCAAACCCACTGCCAGTGGAGTTTTCCTGACCCCTAATGTTCAGAAAAAAATTGATTCTAACCTTCTTTCCAACAACTGTGGAAGTCTGAAAACATTCCCCAGATCTCTCCAAATTTTTAGCAGATCTACATTTCCCCATCTATGTTGTCAATGTAGTATCTCCATGAATTAGATTGTCTTGTGTGTGTTTTAAGGAAGTCCTTATATCATTGCCCTGATATGATCTCAGGTCCAAGCAACAATTTGTTCTGCTTTATTTCCCTCATCAAAGACATTTGATACATCAGGGTAGAAGAGTCTGTACTGGAGACCTGGGGGGATGGGGAGTTACCTCGCCTACTGCGTGAGATAGAAGTTACAATGCCTGGGTCTCCTGACACTGATAATCTCTCACCCATTTATACAAATATATACCTCCATTCCTATTTTATCAGCTTTTTTCCTTTCTTTCCTACTTCTATATTAACTGCTTACTCTCTTTTGTCATGAATAGTGCCTAGGCTCTCAAAATTCTTGTTTCTGTTGGGCATTTAAGTTACCCCTGACATCACTGATAAACTGAGCTCCACACCCACCTCAAAGTATTTCACAGATCAACAAGAACTCTCCTGTGATAGGATCTTCGTGGAAAACAGAAGTTCTTAGATTGGATGAAACATTTATGGATTTTTTTTTCTCTAAGTGAATCTATTCTCAAGCAATTTACAGCTCCTAATATTGAGATCATCTAGACACTCAGCACTCTTGAAAGTCATAAAATATGTGTGATTTCACTTTGCCTTTAAGATACATCTATCATATTTAAAGTTATTTAATATACCTCAGCATTATGTCATTTATATATGTTAAACATTACCTTATTCAGGTGATCAAAGTCAACATCAATAGCAATTAGTTGGGTTCATAATATGTACCCTTGGCTGGGGGTGGTGGCTCACGCCTGTAATCCCAACACTTCAGGAGTTCAAGACCAGGCTGGCCAACATGGTGAAACCCCATCTCTACTAAAAATACAATTAGTTGGGCGTGGTGGCAGGTGCCTGTAATCCCAGATATTCGGGAGGCTGAGGCAGGAGAATTGCTTGAATTCAGGAGGTGGAAGTTGCAGTGACCCAAGATGGACCCACTGCACTCCAGCCTGGGTAACAGAGAGAGACTCCATCGCAAAAAGAAAGAAAGAAGGAAAGAAGGAAAGAAAGAAAGAAAGGAAGGAAGGAAGGAAGGAAGGAAGGACCCTTGATAAGATGTGATGAAAATGGCATTTCATTTTTGTAGTCTTCCTTCCCCAAACCCACAACTTCAATCTAATCAAAAGCAAAACATCTGTCAAGTCCCAATGGAGAGGAGGGATTTTACCATATACCTGACCAATGTTCTTCACAACTGTGGAAGTCATTAAAAACAAGGGAAATCTGAGAAAATGTCACAGCCAAGGGAAGCATCAGGAGTTATGTCTACTAAATGTAGGCTCTGCCCTCAGCCTACCCTGGGTGATGTCACCCACCTACGGTTGTTGTCATGCACTTGGATCAAGGCAGAGTAGCATCTGATTCATTGCATAAACAATGAGGCTGAGTCCCTGATGCCAGTTCTGGCACCAAAGTCAATGGCGTGAGACTCCATTTGTGGAATTTCCTCTCCACTTTGCCTGAATTTTTAAACTCCTTTTAAAATATTAAAGACAATTAAGAGTTTTACAATTGATATTGGAAATGCTATAAAATCATGACATCATGATTTTATACGATGTTTGCTCAGGGCAGATTTTCTTGTATTTAATATTTCCTTTTTGTCATTTCTGTGGTGATTTTTTTTTCATTTAACATTTAGCACTGTACTTTTCTTTTTGGTTAATCTTTCCTTTTGCTAAGCAGTGGATTAGAATAGATTAATTTCAGTGTGTTTTTCTCTGAATTTATCTTACATTAGAAACATTCTACAGGAAATGAGTTAAATATCAGCATTTTATTTTGATCAGAAATTGCAAGCTGTTGTGAAAATAGAATTTACTTTTTTTAAAGAAAAAGAATAAAAGAATATAACCAGTATTGGTAGTATTTTGACCTGAATTTCACTGCTTTCTTTAGAAAGTAGGCCTGAACGAGACAAGTTTTCTCTTCTCTGATGTTAACTGTGACAAATTTTAGAGCAACAAAAAAATTGCTTGGATTCTCAAGGGTTTTGATATATTTTCTCTGTGGCTTGATAAAAGCCAAAGCCATTCTATGAAGTGCAGGTCTTTTTGGGGTTTGCGCTCTTTTTTCGTTGATTTGGAATGAAGATTTCTGAAGCAGTGGGGATTAGCGTCAGGTCCTGATTTTGCAACTGTCTATTGTCTGCAGGACCGTATTCCAATATGCTTCTTACAAATCAACCCATGGGTGGTTGGGGCAGCTGTCGGGCTCTCTCGGCAGGGGGATCTATGAGGACAAAAGAAATAATAATAGAGAAGGCAGGAGGAAGCTTTAGGAGGTAATGGGTATCTTTATGATAAAGACTGTGGTGACGGTTCATGGGTGTATATTTATCTCCAAATTCACCAAGTTGTACACATTAAATGTGTGCCATTTTTTATATATCAATAATTCCCCCCTAAAGTGGTTTTAAAAAGAAGGAATCAACCCAGTTTGCGATTTGAAAGTTAAATACATGATTCTAGTAAATAGGAATACAAAAAGTTTGTGCCTTTAAAAAAGTGGATCACACTATAAAGCAAATACAAATCATTATCATCTTTCATCTTCCCTTTCAATTTGAGTAATTGTAGAATTTGGGTTGAGGGCTAAGGTATTACATTGTGTAAGAGTTCTAAGATAGTCCATTACATCATTGGGGAAAATAGATAGAAAAGAGCAAGACTTTTTTCACATGTGTAATGCAGGTATGTTTCCTCCAGTGAAACTACCTTTAACAGTTTTACTAATGACTTAGCTAATAAATGCTAATTCTAAAAATAAATGATCACATGAACAAAAGACAATCAGCAAATACCAAGAGCAGTAAAAAGGAAAAAGAATCATGAGAAATTTAAATACTTAATACAGGTAAATTTTCAGTGACCATTAATTCACACCCTTAGTACGTACACTCATATATACATATGCTAATTATAAGTATATATAGTATTTTACATAGAATACAAATATAGAAAATATGCACGTATGGAGTAAGAAACCTAAGGAAATGGTGCCGACATGAGAAATATCGCCTTACCAAAATATTTAAACAGTATAGCTCAGTATTAACTAATTCCCAATAATTTAAACTCAAAGTTCTAGTATTTCATTTCAGAATGGCAGATAATTATATGGGGACAATTGCTAGACCTTCTGTATTACTTTAAAATAGTTCCAGTTAGAAAAAGTAACAGCTCCCCAAAGATGTTCATGCCCTGGCTCCTGAAACCTGTGAATTTGTTCCATTACATGGCAAAAGGGATTTACCAGATACAATTAAATTTATGGATGGGGAGATTTAGCTTGGATTATCCAGAGTCAGGCCACATGAGCCCCTAAAAGCAGAGAACATTCTCCAGCAGAAGCACAGAAATAAGGCAGACAAGAATATTGTGAAATTTAAAATGTGAGAGAGACTTGACTTTGGCTTTGAAGAGGAGGGAGGTGATAAGCCAGAGAATTCAGGTGTCCTTTAGAAGCTTAGAATATCTCCCAAAAAGCTAGGAAGGAAATGGGGACCTCAGTGCTACATCCACCTGGAAGTGATTTCTGCCAACAACCAGAATAAGCTTACAAGTGGATTCTCCACTGCTTCGAGGAAGGAACACAGCTCTGTAGACATCTTGATTTCAGACTTCTGAGACCAGGAGCACAAACATCAGCCAAGCTACCTAGATTTCTGCTCTATAAAATTAGGAAACAATAAATTTGTTGTTTTAAGCCTCCAAGTGTGTGGTAATCTGCCATGGCAGCAATAGTAAAACAGTTATAATACCTACATTTACTTCATTCTTCTTTTGTTACAGAGCAATTGGAATATCTAAGCAGTACAGTTCACCTTCTACTAAGCAACCTTATATTTTGGCTTAAAATGCAGCAGCAAGAAGGGGTATGCTTGGGAGTAGTAAATTTGCCTCAGAGACAATGGTTTTCTGAGTATAGGCAAGATTCTTCTGAACTAATCTTCTGAAGTCTTCAAAGTCAGTTACTTTTTTCAGAACAAAGAGCCAATATCAAGTTGTGCAAAACAATATGGGACCAGTGAAAACAAAACTAAAATAGTTGTGCTTAATTTAAGCAATATAATAAATACTCTTATTTTTAATTATATTTAAATAAGTATATCCCTATTTAGATATGTAAAAATAACAGTTTATGATTTATTAATTATAAATTTGCTTGTTTTGTAGATTTTAAAAAGATTTTTCAAGCTTTTGTATTGGTACGGTAACACAGGCTGTACTTATATTTTCCAAACATTCAAAAACCAAAATCTTTTCTACCATGTCAGAACACACATTTTAAAATTTAGCCCTAGCTTTCACTAAAGTCACTTGTTTTTATCTAGATCTCATGAATCCTGAATGTACCACTTTGGAAGTCTGACTTTTTTTTTCCTCTTAACAAAATATTTAGTGATTAGTTTCAGCATTTGTTCAGAGCTAACAACCTGCTTTCCGTTTAATGAATGAAAAAAATCAAAGACACTTCAACTTGTTCTCAGCATTGTTGAAAGAGATACATTTCTCACTGGATATAAAACATGGTTGTCAGAAAGCAATACAGGAATTTTCATGATCTGAACTTACGTAAACTAATAATAAAAATACTCCAGTGCTGATTGTAGAATCTTGAGTTTGTTCTTTCCTTCTCAATTCTTTGCAGCACACACCAAACAGCAAAGAATTTGGACTGTCTTTTGAGGCTGGAGAAAAACTAGTACATGCCCATGGGTATTGGTGTAGGAAGATTAAGATAGGCCATCTACAGGTGATTAAGATAGACCATTTACAGGTTACTATAAGAAGGTACTCTTGCCCTGAGTCACTAAGAAAATCTCAGGGCAAGAGTACCTGCTGCAATTGCTGTTTTTGTGGAAGTGAAAATATCTCAAGCACCTAAAATGGCAGAAAGAACACTAAAATGCATTTTAAAGTATTACAGGGTATGTTCTCTTTGGCTCTGGCTTTAATTTGAAAGCCATGGAGATCACAAAAATGAAAATCCGCACAGAAACAGATCATAAGCAACATTCTTCAATAGGCTCAATGACATCAAAACATATTACACATATTAATGTATCTATTAATATGAATGAAAGACTGGTGTTTGCATTTTTCCTGAAAGAAAAAGCAGCCAATACTTTGGAATAACAGAGTTGTATCACAATCTGTCAGAGTGAGAGGTTCCTGACTCAGCTCTGACTCTTCTCCCTGTAGGTCATCTCCCAACACAACAGCAGTAGTGGCCACTGCATAGAGCAGCAGAATAGACCAAGGCCAAAGACAGAGGCCCGGGTAGAGGGTAAAATGGTCTCCGCCCTTGTTTACCTAGGGCCATAGCTCAGCTGTAACTCAGCTGTATTGTCTCAGGAATGCGCCCACATTGACTTGCTACCACTGACAGCTCTTTGGGTTTCAAACGTTTGTAGTAAATAGTCTTTCTAATGTGAACTTGGACGTTCATAGAATAAGACACAATTTCTTAAAAAACTTAATGATAAGCACTCCCATATGGGATGACAATATTTTAAAAACTCGAATCTCATTTCAAGATGAAAGCCTGAAGATGCAGATTTGAGTCTTGACTCGCTAACTGAGGTTCTCATCCATGGAATGTTCCAGCATCGCATCTGTCTTCCTGTTACTGTATGGTTGCTTGCTCCCTAAGTGAATGCATTCCCTCTTAGACAGGAAGTCCTGGACTGAGAGAAGCTGTCTGGGGGACATGAGCTGTCACCACTTGTTTCCTCAGAGAGATTTGGCAGAAGAGGCGGCTGTGCCACCCGTTGTCCTCTGCCTGCTCCCCACTTCCTCCCCATTCTGCCTGGCAGCCCAGCAAAACCTCCCAGAGGAGGACTTCCGGAGGAGATGGAGGAATGTTCTTCCTGCAAGGGCAACATATGGCAGCCAAGCTCCCTGGTTAGAGCTTCCAACAACCTCTCGGTGCCCAGTTATGGGGGATTTCTTCAGGGCAAAACAGAAATGGCTAATTCAGAAATCTCTCTGTGCTTTTTTGCTGATTTTGTTACTTAAGTTGCTTTAATGGGTGTATGAAAGCAGAATCTAAAATTAATAAACAGACTTTTCCAAATCATTTCTTTTTAAAGTTATTCACCCGAAGCAATCAGGATGAAAGTATAAAGGAACTGCCAAGACGGGTTGACAAATGAAAGTTAAGAAAGAGAGAAGATCTGCTCAACTGTTTCTAGCTGGCTTTCTTTCCATGGATAACGGAACCCATGCAGTCAGCTGAGAGCAACGCCAAGATCAAGGCCCTGCAGGGCAAGGAAGAGAAGGAACACTAGGAGCACTGTGTTTACAGG
The DNA here is from genome assembly GCF_000001405.40 of Homo sapiens. Taxonomy (NCBI): domain Eukaryota; kingdom Metazoa; phylum Chordata; class Mammalia; order Primates; family Hominidae; genus Homo; species Homo sapiens. The sequence continues at coordinate 8,844,435 of NC_000005.10, read as the reverse complement.
GATCTAATTTTTCATTTTGAAGGGTTGCCACATCACTTTCCCAAGCTTTTTAGAGCATTGTGGGGCTTTAACAAGATGTGTATGCAAGGATTGGGTGAAATTCCAGTGCCCATGTTTCCCGGGGAGTCTGTAAGAGGCTCTCTCCATCCCCTTCTTACTCCTGCGTCCTGCAGAACACACACACAGTCACACATTCTTTCACCAAACATGGCCTCACTCTCACAAAACACTCACAAAAGTACACTGACAGTCACACAGGATCACAAACATGCACTAGAAATCTGAAACACACATATCCAACCTCTCTCTGTGACAAAAAGACACTATCCATACACACACACACACACGCTCGTCTGCTCTGCTGAGTCACCAGTCTTGGGTCTCAGCCTCAGCACGTGTGGGGCCTGCCCTGTGGGAAGCTGTTGAACACAGAGGGAAGGGGAGGTTGCACTGTCCACCTCCTCATTACCATAATGATTGCGTTCAGCATCCTTCATTAGCACACAGGAGCACTAAGGGTTGGAGAGGACGTGCGTCAGCTCTACACACACAGCTGCTCACATCACTTGACATGTGTATTTGCTGGGACACTTGGGAATGAAATGGCTTGTGCAATTTAGTCTCGTGTCAGTCTTCAGCTTTAAGTTTCAAGTGATCCTGCTCTTGCAATAAATACAATGGAGAAAGCAGCTTTTCTTCAAGGACATCTGAAAGCCACGTGAGTACCATTCTTTGATAAACATTCTCATTCCAACTGATGGAACGAAAAGCCAGGAACAGGGTCCCAGGGAGGCCAAAGGGGTTCTCAACTGGGAATGAGGAGCCATGCCTTCAGGACTCTGCTGCGCCCCAACAGCAGGCACAGGAGGCGCAGTCCCAGTCTTTCCCCCATCTTGCCTGCCTTTCCCCCACCTCGCCTGCCTTTCCCCTCTGGAGTGAATGGGGTGAGAGCTCTGCTCAAGCCTCAGCCTCCAGGACACTTCATCATACCAGCTGCCTCAGGCAAATTAAGCACAACAAATGCTGATCTGTTCAGGGCTCCTCCCTGTTTATTGCAAGACTGTGGTTCTCAAACTTGACCTTTTGGGACACTTACAATTACCCTTGACTTCTGATTCTCTCCATGATGATCTAATAATAGCTGAGTATGGATATTCTTTGTCAAGTGAGGTCTCTCCCTCCACATTTGCTTATGGAATCAAGTGACAGTCACCCCATGTTCACTCTGTGCAGATAGCAGGTGATGCCTCCAGTAGAACAGACAGGAAATAGACTAGCAGAGAGAAACTTGCAAGCCAGAGGGCAGCAGAGGCAGCACAGGGCAGAGCTGGACAGTGAGGAAACTGAACATCAGCTGCTGGAGCAGCTGCCGTGAGGGAGCTGGTGGGGTTCATCTCAAGATGCTATGCTGCTGGGGCCGACCATCAGTGGGAGGTCCGATGCTCACCCGGACATAACATGTCCTGTGCACGAGCCGCACTGGAGCTGATGTCCTTTGTTTTAACAAAAGACCAATATTTCAGCCAGAAAAACCAGAGCATGACATTCAAAGACACCAATCAGCAACTGGGGGAATTTGAGAAGATGAACTAAACTCCTGTAACCTCAGTTTTTCTGACTGTGCACCTCACATAAAATGTGATATGGCAAGTGACAGCGGTATTTGTCATGCTTCTATTAAAGGCTCAGGTTTGGGGGTATAATTTACATATCCTAATCAATGAATTAAATACCATAATTGTCTTAGAGCTTAATAAGCTGTCAAAAGTGTGACAAAGAAGTTATGAGTCTTTATTCTAGCCCGTTTATCTGATGCACAATTATACTGAATCTCTGGAAGTCATAAGCAAAGGACCTGTAGTAAGAGACACCTGATCACTTTCCTTCTTCTTTTGACACGGGCTTTGTGCCTGCAGACTCTTTTATGGCCATGGTTCTAAATGATGTCAAATTATGAACTGTCAGAGCTCATATGTTTTTCTGATAAATGTTGAACTTTAACTACCTTTATTACACGAACATAATCAAAAGTAATTGTGCATCTGTTTACTATGGTGAGGGGTAACTGTAGAGCCACAGCTCCATCACGTCATGTCTGCATGCTGAGCTCTCCAACACAGATCAGGCTTTACACACACATGGAATAAGTGAATGCTGAAGGAATGAAATCAACCGTACTCTTGTTATGCTTCACCATCAATTGGGCTCTCATCTGAAAATCACAGACTCCAGAGATCTGCTGGGCTAAACCTTCTGTTTCGTTTTGAGGAGGATGAAATCCGATGGATGGGGTCATCAACCAAGGCCATGGTATGACCAAATGTCTAGAAACCATGGCTGGGGGCCCTGGTGCCATCACATGAGCCAGTGTCTAGAAACCATGTCTGGAGGCCCTGGTACAGCACTCTGCCCCCACCGACTGCATCCTTCTGTGAGTCCTAGGATCTTGGAAAATGTAACTGAGGTAAAATAAGGAGACAAAGGAACCTGATTCTAAAACAACCAGAAATAGTGAAATTGTGTCCTGATCACCTCTCCTGGGTGCAGTAAACACTCCCTGCTCTTACAGCTCGAATGCCCAGCCAGCCTTAGATCTCCTCAGGCTGCCGGGCCTGGGACTGAGGTGGGGTTTTTCCCAAATGTTCCATCCTACTCAGGTGCTCCATGCCCTGGATGAGGAACGAGGGTGTTTGGACCCTGACAGAATGTCGGGACCCCAGCGCATCCTTCCCTGGAAGTGACACAAAGTGTCCCCTTAAGTCAGCACAGAGAAGACTTTTGTAAAAAAAAAAAAAAAAGAAATGAACCCATTGCGTATGGAATTAGTGGGTTCTTGGTCTCGCTGACTTCAAGAATGAAGCTGCGGACCCTCGCGGGTTTGTTACAGTTCTTAAAGAATGGTGTGTCCGTAATTTGTTCCTTCCTCCCGGTAGGTTCGTAGTCTTGCTCACTTCAGGAGTGAAGCTGCAGACCTTCCCGTGAGTGGTACAGTTCCTAAAGGTGGCACATCCAGAGTTGTTGCTTCCTCCTGTGTGGAATTGTCTGGAATTGTTCCTTCCAGCTGATGGGTTCGTAGTAAGGGTTCGTAGTCTGGCTGGCTTCAGGAGTGAAGCTGCAGACCTTAGCGGTGAGTGTTACAGCTCTTAAAGATGGCGCAAATTAGCCAGGCATTGTGGTGGGCGCCTGTAGTCCCAGCTACCGGAAAGACTGAAATAGGAGAACGGCGTGAACCTGGGAGGCGGAGCTTGCAGTTAGCCGAGACCACGCCACTGCACTCCAGCCTAAGAGACAGAACAAGAATCTGTCTCAAAAAAAAAAAAAAAAAAAAAAAGGTGGCACAGTCCCAAACAATAAGCAGCAGCCAGATTCACTGCAAAGAGCTAAACAACAACGTTTCCACAGAGCAGAGAGAGAACCCGAGCAAGCTGCAGCGGCCTGCTCTGGTGGCCTGCTTTTAGTCCCTTATTTGGCCCCACCCACATCCTGCTGATTGGTCCGCTTTACAGGCAGCTGATTGGTCCATTTTACAGAGAGCTGATTGGTCCGTTTTGACAGAGAGCTGATTGGTGCATTTACAAACCTTTAGCTAGACACAGAGTGCTGATTGGTGCGTTTACAATCCTTTAGTTAGACACAAAAGTTCTCCAAGTCCCCAACCGTCCCAGAAGCCCAGCCGGCATCATCTCTCACTGGCTCTCGCTGCGGAACTTGGCGGGCCGGGTAATCCGGCAGCCCAGAGGGAGCTAGTTCCAGACAATCAAGAGGAAAAGAGGGGAAGAGAGAAAGAGACGGAGATCGGCTATGGTGGCCAACAATCCCGCGAAGAGGGAACGGTGGTCCACGCAGGGATTCAGTCTCCGATCAAGCCCAGCAGGCGCCGGCCGGCCACGCCGAGTGCGGGGCTTGCAGAGCCGGAGCTCACCTGGAACCCAAGCGCTGGGCCGCGAGCGCCGCGCGCAGCGCCGGCTCCAGCCAGTGCCTTTCTCTTCACACCTCCCCGCCAGCAGAGGGAGCAGGCTCCGGCCTCCGCCAGCCCCAGAGAGAGGCCCTCATAGCGCAGCGGCGGGCTGAAGAGCTCCTTGAGCGCGGCCAGAGCGGACGCCGAGGCCGAGGACGCGCCCAGAGCCAGCAAGGGATGCTACCACGCTGTCACCTCTCACCGTGAGCCACAACTGCTGGTCCTGCGTTCACGGCTTTCCTTTGTCTTTCAGGTGGAGACGCGCTGACCTGCCCCAATACCTATTGTTGTTTGTTAAATTACTCCAAGATACTTATAGTTAACGGCAAACACCCATTTATAACCACAAATCATGTCAGATGTTCAGGACCAGCACAATCAATCAAGTAAACAGCACCCTCCTTGAGTATGTGGCAGGTGTGTGAGGATTTCATGAACCTGTCCTGCATTTCCAAATCCATCCTGAGGCCTCTCCCTGGACACAGGTCTGTGGATCAGCCTGTACTCGGGCAGTTTTACCTTCTATGTCTGTTTGTCACGGTCCTCTTGTCCTAGTGCTCATCACTGCACGTTCCCAGCTCCAGCAAGTGGCCACTCTTTTCCCTCCACAACCAAAGGCCCGACGGCCCAGCCCCCCGGTGGCAGGTGGCCCTTCCATGGCTGAGGTCACACACCCAGCATCGCATCCTGCCCTTCTCGGGGCCTCGGGCCCCTTCGACTCGTCTCCAGGGATTGCACTTGCTCCTGCTGCCCACGGAGGTTTCCTTCCTGTGATTCCACTCGGAGGGGGCGCTTTTCTTTGCTGGCTTCAACCATCACAGAGCTGCTTTGTGTTCGCCGGCAGCTGCCACGCTTCCCTGAAAAGGCGGCTTCTGTTCTGCTGGAGATGAGCTGATTTGCCTGGCAGCCAACTTAAACAAGGAGGTACTTTGAGACCATTTTTTTGGAATCTTTGTCTTTTTCTCTCGACATTCAGCTTCGTAGTTGTAAAACTCTAAATACTCGTGGGGTTTAACACAAGGCTCGGGGGTTTTGAGGATTCCAAAGTGATTCCTGTATACAGTTATGACCACAGAACAAATTCACAGGGGAGAACAGACCATTCATTGTGACATTTGACACCGGACAGCAGATGATACAGTGTCCCCCTTATCTGTAAAGAAGGCAAAGTTTTGTTTCTGGTTTCCGAATCCAGAAATTAATAGTTCACTTAATTGCTAGGAATCTTCAAGGGTATGGTAGGCTCTGAGCATTGACCTGGCCCCTTATTTCCTGGCAATAAGTAACAGTTCCTGAAATTCTTTTTCTGCTATTAAATGTAACCTGCGACTTGAAGAAGCATTTTAGTTATTTACTCTCTCTGTGAACAAAAAATAACAATGCAGGCTGGGCAAAGTGGCTCACACCTGTAATCTTCACACTTTGGGAGGCCGAGGTGGGTGGATCACCTGAGGTCAGGAGTTCAAGACCAGCCTGGCCAACGTGGTAAAACCCCATCTCTACTAAAAATAGAACAAATTAGCTGGGCGTAGTGACAGGCACCTGTAATCCCAGCTACTCAGGATGATGAGACAGGAGAATTGCTTAAACCTGGGAGGCAGAGGTTGCAGTGAGTTGGGATCGCACCACTGCACACTAGCCTGGGCAACAAGAATGAAACTCCATCTCAAATAATAATAACAACGCTCAGTGCTCATCTTGTTTCTTGCTTTCTCCCAAAATGTTAGTAGTTAAATGTAAAAAATGAATTCCCTCTTTAGTTAAACTAGCTTCCTGTGTGGTGTCCACTCGATGACATACCATAGCAGGGATCCCTTGTGTAACAAACATCCCTCTTCAAAATAATGAGGACTTTCTTTAGTCCCCAGACAGCCTTTAGTGACACATTTTCTTGTCTCCACTGCCCTCTAGTACGTGAATATAACCTCTCAGTAGCTACGCTCCCAGGTGGCACCAATGAACCATGCCTCCTGGTAGTCCTCTCCACGCTAAGTTGGGCCAGCCCTCTGTAACCAAGAGAATGTGGTGGTGGTGATGCTGTGTGACTTCTGTGACTAAGTTATAGGAAGCTTCTGTGACCCTGTGAAACATTTGCTGTGATTTTTTTAGATCACCCCCTCTGTAAAAATCCAGGTGCCAAATAAGAAGCCTAACTACCTGGAGAGCACCATGGTTTGAGGAATCCCAAATTGGCCACATGGAGAAGGTGCCTTCCTGATCTACCCCAGCTTTTCCAGACCTCTCAGTCTGGATGTCAGGTACATGGGTGAAGAGGCCTTGAGATGTTTCCAGCCTCGGCCCCAGTCTACCTGTAACTGATGGAGGAACCCAAGAGGGAAATGTCCAACTGAACTATAAACTTCCAGAACTGTGAAAGGCAATCACAAATTGTTGTTTTAATCCTTTTAGTTTTCAGATGGTATACAGCAATAAACAGAACAGCACTTCATAATTGACCAAATGGGAGAATGTGTGTTTGAGAATTAACAAAACCATTTTGAATTGTAACTAATGAGAATACTTTTTTCACCCACACAACCCCCATCCTTTCAGCAAATACCCTTTATTTAAATTCTTAGTTTTGGGAAATATGTATTTTGGAAAATATGTATACATATGTATAATGTGTACATATACATGTCAATCACCTGGGTCATAAAGATCCTAAATTTATCTGCAACACAATATGATCTTTGCAATTGTCACGTAAACTTTCTTGAAATCTCATAATCCCGAAAAGCGTTATACACAGAATACAGACATTTTTATTGGATACAGGACCCAATTTTAAATTTGCCCTTACTTGTTAGCCTTTTGGAATGTCTGACATCTTACAAATTCAAAACTGTTCTTTGCATGTTTGGAAAATTTAATAGCATTTTCTGAAGTGTCTCCACAGAATGTAACTTTTGGTTAACTTCATGTAACTCATATGAAAGAAAAAAAGCCAGTTTTTGAGACTCTCATCTTAGAATGATGGCATTTAATGCCAGAGAAAAACATGGAGATAGTCCAGCCTAACAACACATGTGTTCTTAATCCTGTAATCTGTTTTCCGCACTCCATGGAGAATGGTATTTTAGATTTAAAAGCAAATTTCAGCATGTCTTTCTTCTAATAAAAACTTTAAACGATTTTTCAGGGCTTGTAGGATGTAAAGACCAAAGTTTTTAATATATGTATGAGATCTCTGCATGGTTTCATAATATTATAGCTACTGTTCAATAAAAGTATTGCACTAATTCCATATTCCAATGGAAAAAATAGACACCTAACAGCATACAAATATTTTAAGGATGCATTAAATACTGGAAGACAATACTATTTAAAACTTGGCACAATTAAATATATACATAAACACTGAAAGCAAAAGATTAAAAAGCATAAATGGCATAACAAATTTAACTCAATAAAATTATATATTTTCTAGAATCAATAACACAATCAAAATAAACAAAGAAAGTGAAGGAACAAATTGGGAGGAAATGTTTATTACATGCACCTAACAAAGGGTTCTAAAAATTGATACAGGAAAAAGTAGCAAAAGCAACAAATAAATAATTGACAAAGGATATGAATGGGCATTCATAAAACATAAAGAAATGGATATGAAAAATAAAAATATTATCTCTCTCCAGTCATCAGAAATCTGAATACTAAATGAGCAACCTTGTTGCACATCCTGATCAAATAAAAATCAAAACCAAAACCAAAAAAGTAAATTACCTGAAAAATTTAGTAATGACAATATTGCAGGAAAGTAGCCTTTTCCTACCAAGTGGTTCTATTATATTTTAAATATGTTTCAACGGATGTCTTTTTTGAGACATATGATGTTTTTACACAGAAGACTGAGATGACAGGGTTCTCATCTGTTGTCCATGAGTCAGTAGATCCCATTTAGGGAAATCTAGTCACTGCTATGCTATTAAAACTTGTCACATGGGCTTGGAGGATGGTGGTGGGAGGTGGGTGGAGGGTCCTAGAGGAGTCATCATTGTAAAAAAGAAATGTTTTAATGATTCACCTCACCTGGAAACAAGTGAAAGTGAGACCCTGACATCCTCCAATATTATTGCAACCATGAGTTAGATGAATCCTCTCCTGGGACTCTCATTTAGACTTAAATATGTATAAATTTATGTATTTATACGTATGTATATACGTATACGTGTTGCTCTGACTTTAATGAGACACCAGTTTTATAACAGTACCAGTAAAGATGACTCTGGCTTTCATATTTGACATTTTTAGTCGTCTTCATCCTTTACCAGTATTCACTTTGAATGCAAACCTCTGTTTCAAACACCTCAGGAGCTTCCAGCAGAGGTTTTTCCAGTAGACCACCAGGGCCGAGGTGCCTCACTCTTTCTCAGCATCACTAGGAGGTGCTCAGTGCAGAAATCTGCTGCACTCCAATGCAGTGTGGGTGCCAGAGTAGAGCCCTGGCCTCCAGGCCCTCTGACCAGCTCTTCATGAGTGGTGCAGGGTTGTGCATGGAGGAGAAGGCTGTGATCCCCAACCCTTGCAAAGGTTGATGAGCAGATGCATGACAATAGAATTGAGCATTAATTATCTTAGTTTCAAAAGACTGAATTACTACTGGAGACACCATCGTTACTGACCTTCGTGAGAAAAATATGTATTTAAAAATTCTGTTACAACACACAATATTTAGTTTGTAAAAAAACCATCTCTTATTGCCAGCATTGCTTCTGAAGCCCTGTGGTGACATCTGTTTTTTTTCGGAATGGAGGCTTGTGTCTCCTAGTTGACATTCTCTGCACGTACCTGACTTTGAGGGAGGACTTTGCACAGGTGCGTCCTCCCACATGTGTGTTCATTAGATGCACTTAATGGTCTATGTAAAAATTGTCATTTTAATGATCATACCATAAAGACATAACATTTATTTCAAGCTTACATTTTATCTTGTAAAATTTCTCTTGGTATTAATTCCTCAAGCAATTTTGTTCAGCTCCTATTGCTGTGCTGGGAACTAGGACTGTAATCTGGGTCCATAGTGAGAATAAACAGTCACTTTTTAATTTCAGGCAAGAAAACAGCATAGACTGGGCTCCCAAATACATCTACATGGATTTAATGGACACGGTAAGTAGTTCTGAAATTTAATATATCTTACTTCTCTATGTTTGGTACTTGGCAACACTTGTAGGGAAGCCTGTACATATTGCTCTAGGTGGATGGATGCTTTGTATTATTGTAAAGCAGCATTTAACATGGGTTTCTTTTTTTTTTTTTTTTTTTGAGACAGAGTCTCGCTTTGTTGCCCAGGCTGGAGTGCAGTGGCACAATCTCAGCTCACTGCACGCTCCACCTCCCGGGTTCACACCATTTTCCTGCCTCAGCCTCCCGAGTAGCTGGGACTACAGGCACCCGCCGCCACACCCGGCTAATTTTCGGTATTTTTAGTAGAGACGGTGTTTCACCATGTTAGCCAGGATGGTCTTGATCTCCTGACCTTGTGATCCGCCTACCTCGGCCTCCCAAAGTGCTGGGATTACAGGCATGAGCCACCACACCTGGCCTAACATGGGTTTCTCAAGCGTTGATTCTCTCACCCCTTGTAGCTATCTCTATGATTAACACAGGCAATGTTGGCAAGCATGTGGCGTCAATAATAGAGATGTAGCTGTTACAGTTTATGTGTGAGCCACAGTTATGTTTGTGTCTTCTTGTGTATTGGGGACATATCTTTTCCATGGCATGTTCTTTCTCCTGATCATTTGGTGCTGGTTAATCAATCCCAGATTGGTGAAAAACCTATAAAATGTAATTTAATATGAGGTGTTTTACAAGTCATTTCCTGCTTGTTAGAATAGTTTAAAAATATGCCTTTATTTATTTACTTATATTTTTAACATATATTTTTATTTTAATAGCTTTTGGTGTACAAGTGGTTTTTGGTTATATGGATGAATTATATAGTGATGATGTCTGAGATTGTAGTACACCCATCACCTGAGTGGTTTATGTTATACCCAGTATGTAGTTTTTTAATCCCTTAACCTCCTCCCACCCTTCCCTGTTCTGAGTCTCCAGTGTCCATTATACCACTCAGTGTGCCTTTGCGTATTCATGGCTTAGCTCATACTTACAAATGAGAACATATAGTATTTGGTTTTCCATTCCTGAGTTACTTCACTTACAATAATGGCCTCCCGCTCCATCCAAGTTGTTGCAAAATACCTTATGTTCTTTTTTATGGCTGAATGGCAGTATTCGATGGTGTATATATGCCACATTTTTTTTAGTCCACTCATTGGTTGATGGGCACTTAGCTTGGTTCCATATCTTTGCTATTGTGAATTGTGCTGTGATAAACATACACATGCAGCTATCCTTTTGATACAATGACTTCTTTCCCTTTGCGTAGATACCCAATAGTGAGATTGCTGGGTTGAATGGTGGATCTACCTTTAGTTTTATGAGAAATCTCCATACTGTTTCCTATAGAGGTTGTACTTTACATTCCCACCATTAGTGTATAAGCATTCCCCCTTAACCACATCCATGCCAACATCTATTGTTTTTTTATTTTTTAATAATGGTCATTCTGACTGGGTTAAGATGGTATCTCATTGTGGCTTTAATTTGCATTTTCATGATGCTTAATGATGTTGAGTATTTTTTTTCATATATTTGTTGAGTACTTGTATGTCCCCTTTTGGGAAATGTCTATTCATGTGATTTTCCACTTTTTGATGATACGATTTAGTTTTGTTTTCTTGCTGATTTGCTTGAGTTCCTTGTAGATTCTGGATATTAGTCTTTTGTCAGAGTTTGCAAATATTTTCTCCTGTTCCGTGGGGTGTCTATTTACTATGATGATTATTTCTTTTGCTGTGCAGAAGCTTCTTAGCTTAATTAGGTTCCATTTATTTATTTTTGTTTTGTTTGCATTTTTTTTGGATTTTAGTCATAAATTCTTTGCCTAGGGAAATATCCAGCAGTGTTTTTTTCTAGGTTTTCTTCTAGAATTTTATGGTTTCAGGTCTTAGATTTAAGCCTTTAATCTATTTTGAGTTGATTTTTTTTATATGGTGAGAGTTGGGGATCCAGTTTCATTCTTCTGCATGTGGCTATCCAGTTTCCCCAGCAGCATGAATTGAATAGGGTGTCCTTTCCCTAATTTATGTTTCTGTGTGCTTTGTCGAAGATTACTTGGTTGGAAGTATTTGGCTTTATTTCTGGGTCCTCTATTCCATTCTGTTAGGCAAATGTATCTACTTTTATGCCGGTATCAAACTATTTTGGTAACCATAGCCTCGTAGTATAATTTTAAGTTGAAGGATTTTTCAAGCTTCCAGATTTGTTCCTTTTGCTTAGGATTGCTTTGGCTATTTGGGCTCTTTGTTGATTTCATATGACTTTTAGAATTTTTTTTTCTAATTTCGTGAAAAATGATGTTGGTATTTTGATAGGAATTACATTGACTCTGTAGATTGGTTTTGGGCAGTATGGCATTTTCACAATACTGATTCTTCTAATCCAAGAGCAGGGGATGTAGTTGTATTTGTGTCATCTATGATTTCCTTCACAGATTTCTTTCATAGTACTTTATAATTCTTTTTGCAGAGATCTTTCACCTCTTTGGTTAAGTGTATTCTGAGGTATTTTAATTTTTGCAGCTATTGTGAAAGTAATTGAGTTCTTCATTTGATTTTCAGCTTGGTTGTTGTAGAGGTATAGCAGTGTTACCAATTTATATACACTTATTTTGTAACCTGAGACTTTACTGAATTCATTTATCAGATCTAAGAGTCTTTGGCAGGAGTTTTTAGGGTTTTCTAGGCACACGATTATGTAATTGGCAAACAAAGATAGTTTTATTACTTCTTTTCCAATTTGGATACTCTCTCTTTCTCTTGTCTGATTTTTCTGGCTATGACTTGAAGTACTATGTTGAATAGTAGTGAAAGTGGGCATCCTTGTCTTGTTCCATTTCTTAAGCAGAATGCTTTCAACTTTTCCCTATTCAATATGATGTTGGCTGTGGATTTGCCATATATTGCTTTTATGATTTTGAGGTATGTTCCTTCTATGCCTAGTTTATTGGAGGTTTTTATCATAAAGGTATGCTGAATTTTATCGAATGCATTTTCTGTGTCTATTGAGATGATCACGTAGTTATTTGTTTTAATTGTGTTTATGTGATGAATCATATTTATTGACTAATATATTTTAAACCATCCCTGAATCCTCAGGATAAAGCCCACTTGATCATGGAGAATTATCTTTTTGATGTGCTGTTGGATGTGGTTTGCTGGTATTTTTGCATCTATATTCATCAGGGATATTAGTCTGTAGTTTTCTTTTTTTGTTATGTCCTTTCCTGGCTTTGTTATCAAGATGAGAGTGGCTTCATAGAATGAGTTACAGAGGATTCCTTATTTCTCAATCTTTTGGAATACTTTCAGTATGATTGGTACCAATTCGTCTTTGAATTTCTAGTAAAATTTGGTTGTGAGTCTGTCTGGTCCTGGGCTTTTTTTAGCTGACAATATTTTTTATTACTGATTCAATCTCACTGCTTGCTATTGGTCTGTTCAGGATTTCTGTTTATTCCTGATTAAATGTAAGGGGGTTATATGTTTCCAGGAACTTACCCATTTCCTTTAGATTTTCTAGTTTGTGTATATAGAGGTGTTCATATCAGGCTCAAATAATCTTTTTTATGCCTGTGGTGTTGGTTGTACTGTCTTCATTTTCAGTTCTAATCAGGCTTACTTAAATCTTGTTTTTTCTTAGTTAATATAGCTAATAGTCTATCAATCTTTGTATCTTTTCAAATAACTACCTTCTGTGTCATTGTTCTTTTGTATTTTTTGTTTCCAGTTCATTTAGTTCTGCTCTGACCTTTGTTATTTCTTTTATTCTGCTAGCTTTCAGTTTGGTTTGTTCTTATTTCTCTACTTCCTTGAGTTATGACATTAGGTTTCCAACTTATGATCTTTCCGACTTTTTGATGTTGGCATTTAGCATTATACACTTTCCTTTTAGCACAATGACCTTCTTTGTCTTTTTTTTTTTTTTTTTACTGCTGTTGCCTTAAAGTCTGGTTTATCTAAGAATAGTTAATCCTGCTCACTTTTGGTTTCCATTTGTGTGGAATATCTTTTTCTACCCCTTAACTTCGAGTCTATAAGAATCGTTATGTGTTTGGTGAGTCTCTTGAAGACAGCAGACATTTGGTTTGTGATTATTTTTGTCCATTTTGCCAATCTGTATCTTTTAAGTTAGATCATTTATGTTCAACATTAATGTTGAGATGTGAGATACTGTTACAGTCATGATATCTATTGTTACCTAAATACTTTGTTTTCTTCATTGTGTCACTTTTTTATAAGTCCTGTGAGTTTTGTGCTTTCAAGAGGTTCTATTCTAGTGCATATTGAGCTTTTTTTCAAAATGTAGAACTCCTTTTAGCATTTGTTTTAGGGCTGGTCTGGTAATGTCAAATTCCCTCAGTATTTGCTTGTCTGAAAAAGACTTTATTTCCCCTACATTTATACAACTTAGTTTTGTTGGATACAAAATTCTTGACTGACAGTTACTCTGTTTATGTACGCTAAACATAGGACTCCAATCCCATCTGGTTTGTAAAGTTTGCTGTTCGTCTCATAAGTTTATCCTTATAGGTTATCTGATGCTTTTGTCTCACTGCACTTAGAATTATTTCCTTCATATTGACTTTAGATAGCTTCATGACTGTTTGCCATGGTGATGTCCTTTTTGCAATGAATCTTCCAGGAGTTCTTTGAGTTTCTTGTATTTGGATGTCTAAATTTCTAGCAAGGCCAGAAAAGTTTTCCTCAATTATTTTCTCACATAAAATTTCCAAGTTTTTGCTTTTTCTTCTCCCTCAGGAACATCAATGTTTCTTAGATTTGGCTGTTATATATAATCCCATATTTCTTTGAAACTTTGTTCATTTATTTGAAATCCTTTTTCTTTATTTTTGTCTGATTGGGTTAATTCAAATGTCATGTGTTCAAGCTCTGAAATTATTTTTTCTGCTTGATCTAGTCTGTTGTTAAAACTTTCCAACTGTATTTTCCTAAATGTGCCTTTCATTTCCAGAAGTTCTGATTGGCTTTGCTTTAAAACATCTATCCTTTAGATTTTTCAAATTCATATCCTGAATATGAATCATATTTTATTCACATTATAATTTCTTTATGGTGGCTTTCACCTTTATCTTGTACCTCCTTGAGTAACTAAATAATCAACATTTTGAATTCTCTATCTGATATTTCAAAGGTGTCATCTTGGTTTGGAGTCATTGCTATTCATTCATGATATTTTGGGGGTATTATAGAACCCTGTTTTTTTATATTGCCATAATTATTTTTCTTCTTTCTTTTCATTTGAGTGGACTATTTTTTCTAGTTATTTTTGAATTTATTTTTAATTCAACTGTTTTTGTTTAATTTCTTTTTTTTCTCCCTTGAAGATATGACTTTCATGAGTATACTTTATTGTAACCTAATTCAACTCTGGGTGCTTTTGGGGTGAAGATTATGTATGAGTTCCTTGGTGATAAAGAGTCTCTGTATGAGGGCTTATTCAGATGCTGGTTGTAATAACAATGTGGTTAGTGTGGGGCAGATTCACTGTCCTCTGTGGGGTTGAAATGGCAGAGGCCTCTTGAATCTTATCTTATTCCCCAGGGGTGTACATTTATTTATTTATTTTTTTCCCCAGTATTTTATTTGCTGTGTTGAACAGCTCAGGCTTCAGGCCAGTAAGAGAGGTGTCCATGGATAAAAAACATCAGTGGCTAAATCAGGTGGGTAAATGCAATACCCAATGGTGGGCAGAGGTCCCAGCCTTGACAGAGGCAGCTGGGGGAGCTCTCAATTGAAATACACTGAGATCTTTTCAGGGGGGATGTGTGGGAGCCAAGTCAGCTTCCTTTCCAGGCCAGCAGAAAAATGATCCACCTCTGAGTCACCCTCCTGACCCAGTGTTCCAGCTCTTCAACTGAGACAGGCATCTCTTTTTATCTGCAGGAATGTTGATGTTAGATGTAAAGCAGCACTGTGACTCAACCCCTTGTGCAACTCTGAACATGGAGGGGAGTCCTGTGAAGATGCACTGACCCTGAAGTGTTTCAGAAAGGCTGTCTATAGCTGTACCTAAGCCTTGATCATGTGAGAGAAGTCCTAGCTCTGTCTGCAGTGGTGGGCAAGGGGGACAAGAAGTCACCTTCTCCAAGACCCTTTTCAAGCACCAGGGTTGCCTGACTGTTGAATTAGGGCCATAGACTTTCCACACTGAGCCCAGCACTGCACTTGTGCCTCTGCTGAAAGATGCTTTCCATAGCAGAAAGTTCTGGGACTCAAGTCCTGCTGTCTGTATTTTTTTGTCCCTTGATGTGGTGTACTCCCCCTTCCCCTAGGAGTAGGAATCCCTGAAGAACAGACTACTGTGAATGCCACTGCTTCTCTGGGTCCAGCTTCCCCATGGGGTGAATGCAACACTCCAGGCTGGTGCTGGGGAATGCTTGCAAGTGATCCAGTGATGTGACCTGTCCTCAAGTCTCCCAGCAGTGGGAACAAGCACCAGCTCTTATGGGGTGACAGGGGAGTAACATAGACTCTGTAAGATTCCTTGGTTATAAACAGCCTTATTGTGTTGGCTTTCTCAAATGCCAGGAAGTCTCAAATGCCAGTAGTAATGAACTGGTCACATGGACAGACATAGGACCTCCTGGTTAGCCAGGATGATGCAGGCAGTGGTGATAGTTGAGGACACGCATAAGTTTTCTTCTTCCTAGGCACTTTGTTATCCAGGTCTCTCCCACAACACGTGGAAATTCAAGATGAGATTTGGATGAGGATACAGCCAAACCATATCACTCACCTAGCTCCCATACACTTGGCAAAGCAGGTCTCACAATCTCAATGTTTCTCTAGCAGCAGCTAGCTATGTTCCAGGCAGTTTGCACTCAGAACTCAAAACTTCCCCAGGCCATATGCCTTCCCCTGGAAGACCGAATCCTTGGCTTTTAGGCCATGCCTTTTCTGCTCAGCCAGCCAAGCAGGGACATTCAGCTCCAGTGCCCATGTTTACAGCCCACTTGCCACTTCCCCTTTGGTTCTGGATTATATCTAGAATCTCAATTGGGAGCTTCTTTTAACATGTGACCACCACCTGAGTTACCTGACAGACTTCCAAAACATCCCCTGTGAGGTTGGATCAGGAATGGCTTCCCTCCACATCCACTGGAGCCTGGGAGTGCATACAAAGAATATCCCAGTGCCGCTCCTTCTTACATGCTCCCACCACTCTCTAAATCAGCTCCAGTGCTGGGTAGGGTTAAGGACTTCCCCCATGGCCTGGATTGCCAGGTTCCCTGGTGGGAGTGTATAAAGGCAGTTTATCTCCCTCACAAACTCTGGGTACTTACAGTTTTCCAAATGGCTCACGGTTGGAGTCTGTTTTCTTTCAGTTTTTGTGTTAAGTTCCTTATTTGTGTTGCTTCTGCCTTCTACTTCCCAGGCTGGGAGCAGCTATGTGTCTTGCAGAACAGTTCTCTGCTAGCTCTGATTCGCTCCAAACCTCATCTGCTAGTGTTCTTTCTGGCCTGATTCATCTCTGTTTAATATATAATGAAGTAGATTTAAGTGTTATCCTTAGGATGTGGTTCTCCCTTGAGGAAGGAGAATAGGGTCTGGAGGCAGGGAACATAAGGCCGATTCACGCTGATTTCCTAGAACTAAATCAAATGAAAACACTTCAGCAATGACAGGAAATATCCTCTCCATTTTCTTAGGGCATATGCCAAGTAAACGACTTTGTAACTTTACTTCATCCTCTTCCTTCACATAGGGTGTACACCAAGTAACCAACAGAAACCTCTAGAGGGTATTTAAACCCCAGAAAATTATGTAACCAGGTTCTTGAGCCCCTGTGCTTAGAACTGCTCACACCTGAGGAGTATACTTTCATTTTCAATAAATCTCTGCTTTTGTTGCTTCATTGTTTCCTTGCTTTGTTGGTGTATTTTGTTCAATTCTTTGTTCAAGATGCCAAAAACCTAGACACCTTCCACTGGAAACACCCTCACTCCCATTCTAATACTCTTTCTTCAGTGGGTAATAAAAGTTGGCTTCAGCATGCATGTGCTTGAGGGTATATACGTATATATGCTTTTCCAGATGGCAGAAAAGGCTGGGCTTTAATTAATTAATTAAAAACTTCACCAAATATCCACTGAAGACTTGTTATGCCACAGGACTAATGCTTGGTGCCAGGGAGACGGAGATTAAGGACTCAGTTCCTATGCACCAGCAGTTTTGCTGCTCGGAGGGGCAGACAGGCAAGACAATGAAGGCACAGAGGGGAGAGCAGAGCCTCACACAGGAGCACCCCCAACCTGCTCCACTGAGAGTCAGAAAACATGACTTGGAAGAAGTGAAACCCCTACTCCATCTTGGAAAATAAATAGGAATGAATGAGGCTTGATTTGGCTGGGGAGGGAGGAAAAAAGCCATTGGCTAGTGTGTGCCCAGACACCAAAGGATGCCTTGGTAGTGGTCTGGGAAGCAAAGGCTAACTGTACCCTGAAAATGGTGGGTGTAAAACCCTCCAAGATATGTATACCCGGGATAAGAGCTAGATTTCCATTCAGTCCCAAGCTTATTTTAGTAATCAGAATGCAGGAAGGCCACACCTACACATATTAATTCCTTTCCCTCAGCCGTCTGCCTCTAGGTACACATGAATAAACTTTTATTTCCTTTGAAGCAAAAGGATTTCTCTGACTTTTAAAGGGCAGAGCTTTCTGGGCCCTGGAGGGAATTCTGATGCATCTCCCAATCTTCTTTGTGTAGATACATGCCCATTTTATTTAGAACTCTCTTGGTAAATGGCCAGAATGAGAACTAGAACATCCAATTCCAACTATTTCCTTGGTGTAATTGCTTTTATGTGTGTCCTGGTGTTTGAGAGATTTTTCTAAAAGCCATTCTTAACAGTTGGAGAACCTGTTTTTGCCCATTGGGCAAAAACAGGAATGTCTGTTTTGTGCCATTTATAGGCTTTTGACAATTTAGTGTGCTGTGGAGGGTAACCACTTTGAGGATTAATAATTTAGATGGCCTTTTTTTTTGTAGGCTGAGGATTAGAAGATGTTTGTAGACAACTTAGTGTCTCTTCACACTTGGAACAGCTGATAACGAGTAATTCTTCCTGCTTTACTTGGGAGGTAGAAAACTAGAAATTTTTTAAAAAATGAGTTATAGGAGAGAAAAATAAGAAAGTTAGCCCATCAGAATGTACATGCTGTAAACCTGGTCTATTCTGACTTTCCTTGGTGGTTTTCAAATAAATTCCTCACTTGGATTCTGGAAGGAGATTCTATAGAGTGAGGTTGCAGTGCAGCAGGGAGCCCATTGACCCAGCCATAGACATTTTTGATCCCAGCTGGGCCCTGCTGCTAATTTACTGAGCGCATTCAGCACAAAACAAATAGTTTCTATGTTTGATTTGGAAAATGAAAAGTTTGTATCAGATAGTATCTAGGGTTCTCTTAGTTCCAAAATTGTGTGCTTTAAGTCATTGCCTTTTAACTGATTGCTTTTCTTTTTTCTCCAAATTTTTCTCTTTAAAATAAATGTCAGAATCTGTAATTCCCATGGGTAAAAATAGTAAGTAACAACAGCTCACTCATCCTGATGTCAGCTATTATTCTAAGCAAGTAAATACATTAACTCATTAATCCTCATGGTAACATGAGAAGGTGGATACTATTTATTGTGCCCATCTTAGAAATGACAAAACTGAGGCACCTTGTCAGTGAGTTGCCCAAGGTCACATGCAGAGATTACCAGAGACTTCAAACCCAAGAGTGGCTCTGGAGCCTGTATGGAGGCTCTGCAGTTTCACTTTCTATAGCACAGGGAGGAGATTATGGATGGGAAAGCGGCCAGTCTGATACATCAGGTTAGGACAGTCATTGTTGCTTTATAAGACACATCACAGTTTCTAACTTCCCTATCTATTTACTTATTTAGACAGTGGAGCCAGAGTTCCATAAGTACCAGTTGTCTGGTTTAGTGGCCCTGGGAGGTAGCACAGATCCAATACCCCTTAAGCCTCTGGTGAGTCATAAGGTGACTGAGTGAATGTCAGACAGCCAGGTGGTAAGGGGTCCCCAGAGAAACTCGAACCAGCCTGCACACTGGGAGGAATGCACACTGGGGTGGAGCCACAGAAGTTCATGCAATTTGCAGCAGGGAGTTGCCTGGAACCTTCTCTTCCTGTGTGGGACCTGGGATTCAAACTGCGAGGCGGGAAGCTCTAGAGGAACTCTGGCCTTGTGGAGAGTCCCTGTTTCCCCCCAATTTTTTTTTTTCCTTTTCACCCAATAAAACTCTGCTTTACACACCCTTCAAACCACCTGCGAGCCTAAACTTTCATGGCTATGGGACAAGGACCCCTGTTTAGCTGAACTAAAGAATATTCCTGCAACAAGCAGACAATAGAATTTGAGGAAGGCAGAGGTTTAACAGAGTTTTCTGGGCTTCATCCATCCTATCAATTTTGGTAAAGACCAGGATAAACGACTTACTTGTCAAGATTGACAATTTTTATCCTTTGAAAATTTTTATTTTGCCTCACTTTTGAGAAGTGGCATAAAATTACATATTTACAAAACAAGTAAATTTGTGAAAGTAATGGAGATTTATAAAACAATTGACTATAATTTCATTGATTGTAATTTAAAATGCTACCAAATAGAACAAATCAAGAGGTTGTGAGTTGCCATAAATTACCTTTGATTAAGTCCTTCTTACATCAGTTCCTTGAGAGAGTGAATATAACAGAGGTCTGGCCCAAGGCTGTGGGCTTTCACCTTCATTGCTTGTGGTGCTTATGGCCATTTATCTTGAGTGACAGGTGCGCTAGTCCCACACCAGACTGTTTTAGCATTCTAGTCAGCATTTTCCCAGCTTCCACAATACTAGTATTATAAATGCCATGTCTTCTGTGTGAGCTTGTAATTATGAAGACACCCCCAGAACAAGGTAAACAGTCTACAAAGGGGAATCATATAAGAATAGGATGGTGGTCTTATGTGAAATGTGTCTGCTAGATGGAAAATTGCTGAAATTGCATACCTATATGGATGTCCAGAATGTCTCAAGCTGAAATTCTAAATCATTCAGTATCATGTGGCTTAGACTATCTTTGATGGATCCAATTTTTTTTGTCCTCAAATAAAAATGTTTGACTAAAACAATGTAATCGTATCAAGGAACACATAATGGGGCATGCAAATGAAAAAATAGGCCACTCTTCTGATCCACTTGAATTATTATATTTTGTCTTATTTCATTGTGTATGTTAATATGAACTTCCTTAAGGTCTTTCTAAAGATAGATATTGTACGAGTCAACAAATCAAACAACAAGTAAACTGTAAGCCATGAGCAGCTAGGTGTATCCTGTTTGAATCTAAATTTTTGGTGCTACAAATCTATTTATATTAATGACTGAAGTATCAATATTGTCATGCTACCCTGAAGGGATAAACATATATAAGTAGAAAATATTTCAATTGGAACAGCATTAGCATTCAGCTCTGATTTACTAGTGAGGAAGAAAATCACACAGAATGAATTTTCTGAGTTTGTCCCCATGTTATACATAATAACTTATACAGAAGCATATATTATAATGCTAAAGATATATTTTGACATAGTAATATATAATTTTATGCAAAAATTTTCTTAATGAGAAAATGCTTTTATTCCAATGATTATCATTTTATGGTGTGTTTCCTTTAAGTGGTATTACTAAGACTTTATATCTTAAAACAAAATGGAAAGATTATTAAATGCAAATAATGATCTCGGATAAAAGTATTCGTAAATTTGAGTAACCTAAAATTCTAGTTACATTGTGCATTGCATATTAAATTGCATTTACATATTTTTAGTCTATTCATTCAAAAGCAGTATAAATAAAGTGATAATTCTATCCTTTGTGTGTATTAGTAATATCATGTTTTGTGGTATAAAAATTTTGTAGCTTTAATAATAACAGAAAATTTCATGCCAAGTTCCTATGTTTTGTCCATATGATGATAAAACAACTATTTTTGCTTTCATTCTTAATTCTAGACAAAATATCAGCTTAACTTATTTTCATATTCCTCAATGTTTTCATTTTAACAGAGTAAGCCATTGTTTGTTGTTGGATGAATGATGTGAGCATAAAATTTTAAGTCATACTTTATTCAATATATGCAGGATCAAATTGAAGTCTTCAAGTAGAAATCAATGCATTTCATTTATCTTGTATAGCCAACTGTACAACAATGCAACACAATTAAAATAGATTATTAATTTATTTTAATTTGACATAATGTAATTGCAAAATTATTTGTATTTATATGAAAATAATTCCGTAATCATCTTATAAACTTTCCTTAACATTGCTGAATAATATAAGATGCATTGGGGCTAAATTTTGATTATTAAATTTAGATTTTCTATGTGTGTGCATATGTGTGTGTTCTTGTGTGTGTGTGTGTAAAAAGTGGGAGGGAAAGAATATAAAAAGAAAAGTGCTAATGGTAGTGCAAGGAAAAATAGATGAATTCACTGTGAGTTCATTCTCACATTTCTGTTAAGAAGTACCTGAGACTATCAAATTTATAAAGGCAGGTTTAATTGGCTCATGGTTCTGCAGGCTGTACAGGAAGCATACTGGCTTCTGCTTTTAGAGAGGCTTCAGGAAGCTTCCACGATAATGGCAGAAGCAAAAGGGGAGTGAGATGTCTCACATGGCAGGACCAGGAGCAAGAGAAAGAAATAGGGAGGTGCCATGCATTTTTTAACTAACTAGGTCTTATGAGACCTCACTCATAATCACAAGGACAGTACCAGGAGGATGGTTGTATTAGTTCATTCTCACACTGCTATAAAGAAACTATCGGATAATTTATTAAGGAAACAGGTTTAATTGACTCACAGTTCCACATGGCTGGGGAGGCCTCAGGAGAATTACTATCATAGTGAAAGGCCAAGGAGAAGCAAGGCACATCTTACATGGCAGCAGGAGAGAGAGAGAGAGGGCACAGGGAAAACTGCCACTTTAAAAACCATCAGATCTCGGTCAGACATGGTGGCCCAGCACTTTGGGAGATGGGTGGATCACCTGATGTCAGGAATTTGAGACCAGCCTGGCCAACGTGGTGAAACCCTATCTCTACTAAAAATACAAAAAATTGGCTGGGCGTGTTGATGGATGCCTGTAATCCCAGCTACTCCAGAACCTAAGGCAGGAGAATCACTTGAACCCAGGAGGTGGAGGCTGTAGTGAGCCGAGATGGCGCCATTGCACTCCAGCCTGGGCAACAAGAGTGAAACTCCATCTAAAAAAAAAACAAAAAACACACCAGCTCTTATGAGAACTCCCTCAGTGTCATGAAGTGTCATGAGAACAGCATGGGTGAAATTGTCCCCATGATCCAATCACCTCCCAACACATCCCTCACTTGACATGTGGGGATTACAGTTGCAGTTGGGATTTAGGTGGGAACACAGAGCCAAATCATACCAATGGTGCTAAACTATTCATGAGAAACTGTCCCTGTGATCCAATCACCTCCCACCAGGCCCCACCTCCATGATTAGGAATCATAATTTGACATGGGATTTAGGCAGGGACACAGATCCAAATCATATCCACTATTATAGTTGGTGACTTAAATACTTCTGTATCAGAAATGATGGAATCCAGCCAGCAGGTAGAAAATCAGTAAATACATACTTGAATTCAAGAGCATCATCAATCAACTGGATTGACATCTATTTACTACTTCATTTAGGGTACACATTATTCTCAGGCTCACATGTAATATTCCCCTGTGATCATACTCTGCTCATAAAACATACAATAACACATTTAAGAGAATAGAAGTAATGTCCCCTTTTAGAGCACAATTGAATGACACACAAAATACATATCAGAAAAATAACTAAAAAAAATCTGCAAATACTTAGAGATTATACACAAGACTTTAAAAGAATACATGAATCAAAAGGAAAATTCAAGGGGTGGAGGAAGATGGTTTATGGGCACAAAAGAAAAGTTAGATAGAATGAATATAAGTTAATATTTGATTATACAACAGGATGTCTGCAGTCAATAATACTTTACTATACATTAAAATAACAGAGGATAATTGGATTGTTTGTAACAGAAAGAAAGGATAAATGCTTGAGGTAATGGATACTGCATTTACCCTAATGTGATAATTATGCATCATATGCCTTTAACAAAATATCTCACGTATTCTATAAATGCATACACCTACTATGTATCCACAAAAAATAAATTAAAATTAAAAAAATTGAGAATAATTTTAAAATATTTTAAATTGAATTAAAATAAAAATGTAACATCAAAATTTGTGGGATGCAGGAAAAGTAATGTTTAGAGAAAAATGTATAGCATTGAATGCACGTATTTTAAAAGAAACATAAAAAATAAATAATTTAATCTTTCTCCTTAGGAAGTGAAAAAAAAAAAGAAGAGCAAATTAAAACCAAAATGAGCAGAAGAAAAGAAAAATTAGAGCTGAAATCAATGAAATTAAAAACAGGAAACCAATAGAGAAAAACAACAAAACCAAAAGCTGGTTCTTGAAAAGGTTAATAAAATAAGCCTCTATTCAGGCTAACTAAATTACAAGCAGAGAAGTCACAAATTACCAATATCTTGAATAAAAAAGGGAACATTACCACAGATCCCTTGACATCAAAAATAATAATAAGTATTATGAACAAATTTATGCCAACAAATTTGATAAACTATAGGAAAGCAATCTTTTTTTGAAAGACATAATTTGCCAAACTCACACAAGAAGAAATAAACAATATAAATAGCCCATATCTCTTAAACAAATTATATAAATCATTAATAACTTTACAAAACAGAAAGCACCAGGCCCAGATGGGTTCATTGGTGAATTCTACCAGACATTTAAGAAATAAATTATACCAATTCTATACCAATTATAGCAAAACATAATAAAAGGGAATGCTCTCTAACTCATTCTATGAGGGCAGCATAGCCCTAATACCATCACCAGACAAAGACATTGAAAGAAATGAAAACTACATATTGGTAGCTCTTATAAACATAGATGAATGCAAAAAATAAATAAACTCAACAAAATATTGGCAAATTAAATTTAACATTATGTAAAAGGAATCACAGACCACAAACAAGTTGGTTTTATTTCAGGTATGCAAAGCTGGCTCAGCATTTGAAAATCGGTTATGTAATTCTTCATATAAACAATTAATAAAACTTATGTAATCACATTCATGGATTTGGAAAAATCATTTGAAAAACTCAACACTCATTTATGATTTAAAAAATAAAATCTCAGCAAATACAAATGGAGGAGAATTTCCTCTAATGGATAAAAAATATCTACAAAAACCCTACAGTTAATATTATACTTAATGGTGAGAAACTAGAATGTTTCTTTCAAAGTATTACTATGAGCAAGGCAAGAATGTCTCTTCTCACTATTACTTTTCAACATTATCCTGGAAGTTCTAGCTAATGCAATAAGACAAGAATAATAAATCAAAGGTCTGCAGCGTGAGAAGGAAAAAATACAACTCTCTTTGATTGCTGTATTAGTTTATTCTCAAATTGCTATAAAGAAATACTTGAGACTGAGTAATTTTTAAAGAAAAGAGGTTTAATTGGCTCATGGTTCTGCAAGCTATACAGAAAGTATAGCAACTTCTGCTTTTGGGGAGGCCTCAGGAAGATTTCAATCATGACAGAAGGCAAAGGGAACTCCGAACATGGCCAGAGCAGGAGGAAGAGATAGAAGCAGGAGGTGCTATACATTTTTAAACAGCCAGATTTCATGAGAACTCACTCACTGCTGTGAGGGCAGTACCAAGGGGGATGGTGCTGAATTATTTATGAGAAATTCACCTCCAAGATCCAATCACCTCTCACCAGGCCCCACCTCCAACACTGGGCACTACAATTTGACATGAGATTTGGTGGGGACACAGATCCAAAGCATATCACTTCCAGATGACATAACTGTCTATGGAGAAGATCTCAAAGATTTAATATAGTCAAGATGTCACTTGTTCCAAAATGGATATGTACATTCAGTGCAATCCCCATCAAAATTTTAGTAAGTTATTCTGTGGATATTGGCAGACTGATTCTAAAGTTTATATGGAGAGACAAAAGACTTCAAAGAGCCAACCGAATATTAGAGAAGAACAAAACTGGAAAACTGACACTACCTGACTTCAAGACTAAAATAATCAAAGCAGTGTAGTATTGGTGAATGAATACAAAAATAGATTAGTGGAACAGAACCAAGAGCCCAGAAATAGAGCTGTATAAATATAGTCAAATAGTCTTTGACAGAAAAGCAAAGGTGATACAATGAAGTAAAGATAGTGTTTTCAACCATTGATGCTGGAAAACTGGGCATTCACATGCCAAAAAGAAATCTAGACTCAGACCATAACAGTCTTCAAAATATTAACTTAAAATGGATCACAGACTTAAAGGTAAAACTCCTATAATATAGCATAGGAGATAATCTAGATGACCTTAGGTTAGGTAATGACTTTTCACATACAACACAAAAGGCATGATCCATGAAACAAATAATTGCTGAGCTGGATTTCATTAAAATTTAAAACTGCTCTGTGAGAAACAATGTCAAAATAATGAGAAAACAAATCATAGGATGTGGAGAAATACTTGAAAAAACATGTCAAATAAAGGGCTATTATACAAAGAACTCATAATATTCCACAATAAAAAAATGGGCAACCCAATTATAAAATGGCAAAAATACCTGAACAGACACCACACCAAAGGCAATATAAGATGATAAATAAACATATGAGAATATGTTTGATGTGATATGTCATTAGGGAGTAGCAATTTCAAACAAGAGACAGCTAACTGCACACCTATCAGAATGGCTAAAGTCCAAAACATTAATACCAAATTCTGGTGAAGATGTGGACCAGCATATGAGCAAACTCTCATATGTGGCTGATGGGAATTCAAAATGATATGGTCACTTAGGTTTGGTTTCTTAAAGAACTAAATATACCCTTACCATACGATCCAGTAATTGCTCTCCTTGTTATTTACCCGAACAACTTGAAAACTTTTATCAACATAAAAACTTGCTCACAGATGTTTATAGCACGTTTATTCAAAATTGCTCAAATTTGGAAACAACCAAATACCCTTCAGGAGGTGAATGAATAAATAAACTGTGGTATATCCAGACAATGCCATGTTATTCAGTGCTAAAAAGAAGTGAACTGTATGAAAAGATATAGAGAAACCTTAAATGTATGTTATTAAATGAAATAAGTTCATCTAAAAGGCTATATAATGTATGATAGCATTCTGGAAAAGGCAAACCTATGAGGCAGTAAAAAAGATGAGTGCTTTCCAAGGTTGAGGGTTAGAAGGGGATGAATAGGTGGAGCATAGAGGAGTTTTAGGACAGTGAAACTATTCTATGTGATACCACAACTGTGAATACATGTCATTAAAGATTTGTGAAAATTCATAGAATGTGAAAGAGTAAACTTGAATGTAAAGTATAAACATTTGTGTGATAATGATGTGTAAATACAAATTTATTGATTTTAACAAATGTAGTACTGTGATATAAGATGTTGATAGTGGGGGAGGCTGTAGGTGTTTGGGGCAGGGACTTCAGAAACTCTGTGCTTTCTACTTGATTTTGCTTTAAACTTAAAACTGCTCTGAAATGATCTCTATTAAAGAAAAATGAATCCTACTTGTCAAAAATAAGATAATTGGATTCTCTTGGTTGAAGGATACAAAGGATACCTTTTTTTCTTTTTTTTTTTTTAAGAGTGAGGATCTTTCTATGTTGCCCAGACTGGCTTCTAACACCTGGGCTCAAGCAACCCTACAGCTTCAGGCACCCAAGTAGCTGGGACTACAGGCATGTGCCACTGTGCCTGGCTCATGCCTCATTCTTATCCAGCTATTTCACACGTTTCCAATTAACAAACCATGTTAAAATTTTTGATTATATTACATTTTAACATGGTTCCACGTTACTGTGTAGAGTTTTATTCACCTTTTATATTTTACAAAATAATAAAATCACTAATATATTACCAATTTCATTAATAACTTATAGTTGTGCTTTTATTTAATTTTCAAAGGAGGAGAAATGACTTCTGTTACTATTTCTAGAACTACAGCCTAGACATGTGTGTCTTAAGAATAATTATACTAGTTATTTTATGTTGAGTGTAAATTGTGTGTCAGAGATAAAACATATTATCCATCAGTGTGCCCAGTTCTCATATTTGATCTGGTAGGTGTCTATTAATCTCATTCCCATTTTATAGTTGGCTATATGAAGGATTATAACAATTAATTTATTATTATATCTGGTGTTTTAGTCTGTTTTCACACTTGTATAAAGAACTACCCAAGACGGTGTAATTTTTGAAGAAGAGAGGTTGAATTGACTCACAGTTTTGCAGGCTATACAGGAAGCATGGCTAGAAGGCCTCAGGAAACTTATAATCATGGCAGAAGGTGAAGAGGAAGCAAGCACATCTTAGTTTGGCGGAGCAGGAAAGTGAGAGATGGAAGGGGGAAGTGTCGCACTTTTAAACAATCAGAGCACATGAGAACTCACTCACTGTCATGAAAACAGCAAGAAAGAAATCTGCCTCCATGATTCAATCACCTCCCACCAGGCCCCTCCTGTGATACTTGGGAACTTCAATATGACATGAGATTTGGGTGGGGACACATTGGCAAACCATATCATTCTGCCCCTGGACCCTCCAAAATTGTCATTTTCACGTTTCAAAACCAATCATGCCTTCCCAACAGTCCCCCAAATACGTAACTCATTCCAACAGTAACTCAAAAGTCCAAGTTTAGAGTCTCATCTGAGACAAGACAAATCCCTTTCGTCTATGAGCCATGGAAAGAAAACAATACTTCCAAGATACAATGGGGATACAAGAATTGGGTAAATGTTCCTGTTACAACAAGGATAAATTGGCCAAAACCAAGGGACTAAAGGCCCTATGCAAGCCCAAAACTCAGCAGGGTAGTCATTAAATCTTAAAACTCCAAAATAATCTCTCTTGACTCCATGTCTTACATCCAGGACATGCTGATACAAGAGGTGGGCTCCCAAGGCCTTGGGAAGCTCTGCCCCTGTGGCTCTGTAGGGTACAACCCCTGTGGCTGCTATCACAGATTGGTACTGAGTGCATGTGGTTTTTCTAGGTGCATGGTGCAAACTGTCAGTAGATCTACCATTCTGGGATCTGTAGGACCATGGACCTCTTCTCATAGCTCCAGTAGGCAATGTCCCAGTGGAGAGACTGTATGAGAACTCCAACCCCACATTACCTTTCTGCACTCCCCTAGTAGATATTTCCCATGAAAGCTGTGCCCTTGCAACAGGCTTCTGCTTGGACTTTGAGACATTTTCATACATCCTCTGAGATCTAGGTGGAGGTTCCCAAACCTCAGTTCTTACTTGCTGTGTACCCACAAGCCCAATACCATGTAGAAGCCACTACAGCTTGGGGCTTGTACCCTCTGAAGCCATAGCCCAAGGTTTACTTTCCTTTTGTTAACCATGGCTGGAGCTAGAGCAGCTGGGATGCAGGGTGCCACAAACCAAGGCTGCACAGAGCAGCAGGGCCCTGGGCCTGGGCCACACAACCATTTTTTTCTCCTAGGCCTCTGGGCCTCTGATGGGAGGGGCTGCCACGAAGATCTCTGAAATACCCTGGAGACCTTTTCCCCAATGTCTTGGCTATTAGTATTTGACTTCCCTTCAGTTTCAAAAATCTCTGCAGCCAGTTTGAATTTCGCCCCACAAAATGGGTTTTCCTTTTCTACTGCATGGTCATGTTGCAAAGTTTTCAAAACTTTTGTGCTCTGCTCCCTTTTTAAATATAAGTTTCAATTTCAGACCATCTTTTTGTTACATATATGAGCATATACTTTTAGAAGCAGCCAAGTCACCTCTTGAATGCTTTGCTGCTTAGAAATTTATTCCATCAGATACCCTAAATAATTTATCTCAAGTTCAAAGTTCCACAGATCTACGAGGCAAGGGCAAAATGCCACCACTCTCTTTGCTAAAGCCTAGCAGGAGTGACCCTTACTCCAGTTCCCAATAAGCGGTTCATCTCCATCTGAGACCACCTCAGCCTGGACTTCATTGTCCATATCACCATCAGCATTTTGGTCACAAGCATTCAACAAATCTCTAGGAAGTTCCAAACTTTCCCACATCTTCTCATATTCTTCTGAGTCCTCCAAACTTTTCCAGCCTCTGCCCATTAGCCTTTTTCAAAATCACTTCCACATTTTCAGGTATCTTTATAACAGTGCCCCTCTCTCCTGATACCAATTTTCTGTATTATTCCATTTTCACACTGCAATAAAAACTATGTGAGACTGGGTAATTTATGAAGAAAAGAGGTTTAATTGACTCATAGTTCTGCAGGCTCTTCAGGAAGCATGTCTAGGAGGCCTCAGGAATCTTACAGTCATGGTGGGAGGAAAAGAGGAAGGAAGTATGTCTCAACATGGTGGAGCAGGAGAAAGAGAGAGAGAAAGTGAAGGGGAAAGTGCCACACTTTTAAACCATCAGATCTGGTGAAAATTCACTCACTATCATGAGAACAGCAAGGTGATAATCCTCCCCCATGATTCAATCACCTCGCACCATGTCCTTCCTCCTATATATGGGAATTATATTTCAGGATGAAATCTAGGTGGGGACAGAGCCAAACCATATCATCTAGTAAGAAAGAAAATATGATTCAGACATAGAACTCTTGCTTTCCTATATCCAACTCGTCACACTAATTAAATCTGCTTCTATTTTTACATTTGATTATGATCAAACTAGAATATGATTACAAAGGCAATGCAGTAAAATCTTTCTGAGTAAGTCCTGTGTGATCATGTTCTTGTTCCCCCTTAACATTCTCATCATCCCCCTGAGGTTTTTGAAGCAAGCTGCTATTGCTTTGAAGAGTTGTCTGAAAGCTAAGTGGATGCTGCCATCCACATGCCTGAGGAACAGCCCTGAGCATGATCTGTGCTTGGTTGCTGCAGGAAAGAGCTGCTCTTGATCTTCCCTGAGGGGTACTTCCCTGCTGGTCAGTATCTTGAATTCTATTAATATGCAAATTGAAGCTTCACCTCCAGCCAAGATGTAATAGTAAGAATAGGATATATTATTTTCCCAAAAGTGTAAAAAAATGCAGAAATATATTTAATAATGGATTTCAAGAAGCAGCAAAGGAGACGGACGGATCACAAGAGACAGAAAACAAATGAAGTAAAAACTACAAATCACTCCAATTTACTGCCTTTGAGTTTCCAAGACAGAGCGTGGAGAGAGGGAAGGTGGACAGAACCTAGCAGATTTCCTTAGTTGAAGAGACAACTGAGAATCTAGGGAGACCAAGATAGCTAGAGTTTGCAAAACTCTAGAGGCCTAGAGGGAAGGGAACTGCAGAAAGAGATGAATCTGAAGTTCTTTAAAGGACCTATTCCATAGAGTACTGGGGAGCACATAAAGGTGGAGCAACTACTCGAAGCTGGGACTTAGACCAAAAATTCCCTAATCTCACCTAACATATAAAAGCAAGATCTGACAGGGTCACTAATTCTTTCAGTGGCCAGAGAAAATGAAAAGATGGCCTTGACCCTGGGGAAGACTGTAGAAGAAACATATTTAGGTAAAAATCAGAAAGTTAGTATTGAAAGTCTAAGTATCCAATAGGTATATTAGCAGCAGTGAGTCTGTATGGGTCTGCAGTAACCTCAATTCTTGCCTCCTCAGAAGAGAGAATTTGACTGCAGGGCATATGGCAGAGTGAGAGACTGATGCAAGTTTTAAAGAGTGGAAGTTTATTAAAAAGTTTTAGAGAAGAAATGGAGGGAAGTACACTTGGAAGAGGGCCAAGAGGGTGACTTGAGAGATTCATGTGCGGTTTGACATTTGACTTGGGGTTTTATATGCTGGCATGTTTCCAGGAAGTTGCATCTCTTCTCCCCTGATTCTTTCCCTGGGGTGGGCTGTCTGCATGTGCAGTGGCCTACCAGCACACGGGAGGGGCTGCATGCCCAATGTGTTTGCTGAAGTTGTATGCGTGCTTACTTGAGATGTTTTCTTTTATCAGTTGAGTGTCACCAGTTAAACTCTGCCATTTCACCTCTTAGTGCACATGCTTGAGCCCACTCACCTAACTCCTGAGATCTTATCAGGAGCTGCTGATCATCAGTTTTAGGTTTCTTTTTTTTTTTTTAATCTTTTGGGCGACTTCCTTTCCCTGGCACCAGTTGTGACCAATTATTATTCTAGACAGATAGTTTAACAACCGACTGACCATCACCTGATGGTCTCCTTACATTCCTGGTGGGGTGGGAGATGGAGGACTCTTTTGCCTTGCTTATGTCTGACTACCTACCTGCTGTAACAGTTAGACATCTAAGTGGATCTCTTAAATAGGCAATCTGATACCTAAGAGGGGGAGTTCCGTGAAGAGATGTGAATTTGGGTTTCATTTTAAATGTTGACTCTGCAGAAAGCCTTCTCAGGCTATTTTAGCTAAAACCCTTCATTTCCATAAATCTCTGGGATAATTTCCTTTTTGTTTTCATTATGCTCACTAGTTAATCTCATCAGTTATGCTTGTATTTGTTTGTTTGTGTTATCTCTCTCCAACTGTGATGTGAACCCCATTAAGTAGAATCTGGTGTTCATTCCTTTATCCAACTTCTATTTTAGAATCAGGTGGTACATGTGCAGATTTGTTACAAAGGGATATAGTGTGATGCTTAAGTTTGGGATCTGATTGAACCTGTCACCCAGGTAGTAAGCATAATAACCAATAGGTAGTTTACAGCCTTTTCTCTCCTCCCTCTCCCCATTCTATTAGTCCCAAGTATCTGTTGTTTCCATCTTTATTTCCATGTGTACTCAATGTTTAGTGCCCACTTACAAGCGAAAGTAATGTGATATTTGGTTTTCTGTTTTTGCACTAGTTCATATAGGAAGTTGGTCTCCAGCTGCACCCATGTTGTTGCGAAGGAGATAATTTCATTTTTTTTATTACTGCATAGTATTCCATTATGTATATGTGCCACATTTTCTTTATCCAGTCCACCACTGATGAGCAGCTTGGTTAGTTCCATGTTTTCGCTATTATAAATAGTGGTATGATGACCATATGGGTGCATATGCTTTTGGTAGAATGATTTATTTTCCTTTGGGTATGTACCCAGTAATGTGTTTGCTGAGTCAAATAGTAGTTCAACTCTTAGTCTTTGAGAATTTTCCAAACTGCTTTCCACAGTGGCTGGAACAATTTATATTTCCACCAACACCGTATAAGGATTCCCTTTTCTCTGCAGCCTCGCCAACATTTGTTATTTTTTGACTTTTCAACAAAAGCCACCTGACTGGTGCCAGATGGTATCTCATAGTTTTGATTTGCATTTCTTTAATGATTAGTGATAATGAGCATTTTTGAACATATTTGCTGGCTGCTAGTACGTCTTCTATTGAGAAGTGTCTGTTTATGTTCTTCAATCTGTTTTCAAAGATTTTATACACGTGTCCTGGAAAAGTGCTGGCCACAAAGGAGATGCCTGATAAAGACTGTGGAAAAAAATATCTGAACATACAGTCATAAAAAAGAAGAGAGGTATGTCAGCTAATGTTAATGATGTTGGAATTATCAACACACAGATGGTAACTTGCTATTTTGAAAGGATGAATTTCCTCTGAAAATGAGATGAAAATAGAGTCCATGCAGAGTTCTGAGAATATCATCATTTAAGTAATGCACAGACGAAGGCGATAATACACTAAACAGCCCTTAAGCAGGATAAATAAAATAAATTCATCACCTTGGGCACAAAATAGTTAAATTCACGTAAACCAAAGATAAAATGAAACACTAGAAAGTAAAAAGAAATAAGATGACACATTACATACAGAGGAATGAAGATATGAAAGGCAGCTAATAGCACATTAAAAACAATGCAAACATTGTCAGCAGAACAAATCTTCTCCAAGAAATGTTAAAAGTAATTCCATCAGGCTGAAGTAAAGTAAAGGTAGTTAAAAAACCTAAATTTTCAGGAAGGCATGAATAACACTGGCAATAGGAAAATATGATACACAGAAAAGTAATCTTTTTTATTTTTTTAAAACACATGACTATACAAAACTATGACATTGTATTTGAATTTAATATGATATGAATATATAATGCATATATATCAATTATAGCATAAAAATTCATGCATGCCAAAATGAAATCTTGGTGTTTCTAGGCTGGTTCTATAGGAAGGGCTACAAAATGAACTCTAAGTAGTCTGTGAAGAATCAAGGATGTATTTTGTAATCCCAAGAAGAATCACTACAAAATAGCATGCAAAGATTTATGGCTAAACTGTCAATGGTTATTCATGCCTTATACCACATAAAAATGTACTCAAAGTGAATTAGAGATCTAAATGTAGAACCTAAAACTTCAAAATTTCTGGAATAAAATAGAAAAACCATGTTGATGACTTAGAGTCAACCAAAGAATCCTTAAATACAATGTAATATGGATGGATCACAAAAGCAAAAAAATAGGTATCACCAAAATTTAAAAATGCCCACAAAAGAAATAAATAAAAGGCATCCAAGTTGGTAAAGAGGAAA
Organism: Homo sapiens; assembly: GCF_000001405.40. Lineage (NCBI taxonomy): Eukaryota > Metazoa > Chordata > Mammalia > Primates > Hominidae > Homo > Homo sapiens. The sequence continues at coordinate 8,810,663 of NC_000005.10, read as the reverse complement.
TCAAACTGCCTCTGTTTGCCAATGATATAATCATATACCTAGAAAACCCTAAATATTCATCAAAAAATCTCCTAGATCTGATAAGTGAATTAAGTAAAGTTTCAGGATACAAAATCAATTTACACAAATCAGTAGCACTGCTATACACCAAAAACGACTAAGCTGAGAAAAATATCAAGAACAAATCCCCTTTACAACAGCTGCAAAATAAAAATAAAATACTTATAAATATACCTAACAAAGGAGGTGAAAGGTCTCTACAAGGGAAACTAGAAAACACAATCATCAGCGACACAAACAAATGGAAACATAACCCATGCTCATGGATAGGTAGAATCAATATTGTCAAAGTGACCATACTGCCAAAAGCAATCTATGGATTCAATGCAATTCTTATCAAAGAGCCATCATCATTCTTGACAACTAGAAAAAAAAAACAATCCTAATATTTATACGGAACCAAAAAAGACTGTATAGCCAAATCAAACTAAGCACAAATGACAAATCTGAAGGCATCACATTACCTGACTTCAAACTATACTATAAGGCTATAGTAACCAAAACAGCATGATACTGGCATGAAAATAGGATAGACCAATGGATCAGAATAGAGAACCCAGAAATAAAGCCAAATACCTACAGAAAACTGATTTTCAACAAACCAAACAAAAACAGTGGGGAAAGGACACCTTATTCAACAAATGATGCTGGGATAATTGGCAAGCCACATGCAGGAGAGTGAAACTAGATCCTCATTTCTCACCTTATTAAAAAAAATCAACTGAAGATGGTTCAAATACTTAAATCTAAGACTTGAAACTATAAAAATTCTAAAAGATAACATTGGAAAAACTCTTCTAGACATTGGCTTAGGCAAAGAATTCATGACCATTAACCCAAATGCAAATACAACAAAAACAAAAATAAAGAGATGAGAAGTAATTAAACTAAAAATCTTCTGCCCAGAAAATAAAATAATCAACAAAGTAAACAGTCAACCCCCAGAGTGGGGGAAAATCTTCACAAACTATGCATCCAATAAGGGACTAATATCCAGAATCTACAAGAAAATCAAACAAATCAGCAAGAAAAGAAACCCAAATAATCCCATCAAAAACTGGCTAAGGACATGAATAGACAATTTTCAAAGGAAGATATAAAAATGGCAAACATATACAAAAGCGTTTAACATCTCTAATGGTCAGGGAAATGCAAATCAAAACCACAATGCAATACCACCTTACCACTGCAAGAATGGCCAGAATTTAAAAATAAAAAATTAATAGATGTTGGTGTGGATATGGTTAAAAGGGAACACTTTTACACTGCGGGTGGGAATGTAAACTAGTACAACCACTATGAAAAACAGTATGGAAATTCCTTAAAGAACTAAAAGTAGAGCTATCATTTGATCCAGCAATCCCACTCCTGGATATCTACCTAGAGGAAAATAAGTAATTATATAAAAAAAACACTTGCACAGGCATGTTTATAGCAGCACAATTTGCAATTGCAAAAATATAAAACCAGCCTAAATTCTCATTAACCAATGAGCAGATAAAGGAAATTTGGCACACATATACCATGAATACTACTCAGCCATAAAAAGGAACAAAATAATGGCATTCACAGCAACCTGAATAGAGTTAGAGACCATTATTTTGAGTGAAGTGACTCAGGAATGGAAAACTAAACATCATATGTTCTCAATTATAATTGGTAGCTAAGCTAAAAGGACACAAACACATAAGAATAATACAATGGACTTTGGTGACTTGGAAAGAAGGGTGGGGGTGTGAGGGATAAAAGTCTAAACATTGGGTACAGTGTACACTGGGTGTACACCAAAATCTCAGAAATCCCCACTGAAAACTTATCTGTGTAACCAAACACCACCTCTTCCCCAAAAACCTATTGAAATAAAAAAAATCCCTAAAAATAAAAAAGATGGCATAGTCCATACTTGCCTATAACCTATGCAGCACATTCTTCTGTATACCTTACATCATCTTTAGATTACTAAAAATACTTAATACAATGTAAATACTAGGTTGCAATTTGTATGCTTTATATTTATTTATATCATTTGTTGTTGTATTTTTATTTTTATTGTTTCTTTTCAAATATTTTTGATTCACGATTGGTTGAATCTGCAGATGCAAAACGCACAAATACAAAGGGCCAACTGTATTACAAACTGTACATCTGATAAGGGCCTAATATCTAAAATACAGAAGGAAAATAACTCAATAACAATAAAACAAACAACACAATTTAGAAATAGACAAAGGATCTGAATAGACATTTCTTAACAGAAGAGATACTAATGGCCAACAGATACATAAAAAGATGGTCAACATTTCTAATAATCAGGGAAATACAAATTAAAATCACAATGAAATATCATCTCACACCTGTTAAAATGGCTATTGTCAAAAATAGATTGTGTAGGTGAGGATGTGGAGAAAAGGGAACACTTGTACAGTGATAATGTAAATCAGTACAGCCACCTTGGAAAATAGTAAGAAGGTTCCTTAAAAAAATTACAATTGAATTACCGTATGATCAAACAATTCCACTTCTGGGTATATATTTGAAATGAAATCAGTATGTCAAAGAGAGGTCTTCAAATCCCATGTCCATTTCAGCAGCACTAGCCAAGATATGGAAGTAAGTCCATTAATAGATGAAAGAATAACGAAATGTGGCATGTATGCATAAGAATACTACTCAGCCTTTAAAAAGAAGGAAATTCTGTCATTTGTGACAATATGAATGTAACTGGAGGACATTATGCAAGCGAAACAAGCCAGGCACAGAAAAACGCATTCTGTATGATGTCACTTATGTGGAATGTAAAACAGTTGATCTCATTGAAACAGAATAGAAAGATGGTTACATGCAGTTGGGAACAGTGAGAGGAATAGCAAAAGTGAAGATGTTGTTTAAATGGTGGAAAGATTCAGTTTGACTGGAAGAATAAATTTTAGTGATTTATTTCATGGAATGGTGGCCACAGTTAATAATAATGTATTGTATAATTCAAAATTCCTAAAATAGATTTTTAACATTCTCATCACAAAGAAAGATAAATTGGTGAACTGATGAAATTGCCAATTATCTTGATTTAATGTTTCTAAATGTACGTATAGATCAAAACATCATGTTGTATCCCATAAATGTACAAAATTATTTTTTGTCAAGTGAGAAAAAGAGAATGTTAATTGGAAGGTAATTCGGAAATATGTTTTGGAAGTATAATTGCATATGTACTTTGATATATCAAATTCTATATGTGAAGCATTCTGTCAAAATTCTTGCACACGTGTATTAATAAAATGATATATTGCAACTATTCTCAATAAAGTACTGCTTGTGACAGCAAAATGTGGGAGCCAACCTAAATATTCTTAGCAGTACTGTCTGAGTAAACAGATTATACTCATAAAACAGAGCCATAATAAAATCACATTTCATTGTATACTCCTTTATATTTTGTGAATTTTAAATTTTGTGAACTTTTTGCTCAGGCAAAAAAAAAAAAAAGAATTATAAACTAATGAGCCAGTTTCCTCCAAGAATAAAAATAGAAATATATCTAATTTTGTAGCAAAATCCATTAATATTGGCATCATTTTAACTTCAAACATATTTTACTCAACACATATGAGATAGAATGTAAAGTCATTGTTTTGAAAAACATTTCCAATTGGTGTTAATATTATTACTCTGGGAAACGAGAGTAATTACAGAACCTCAAAATGGTCAGCAAACTATTACAATATCAGTTTCTTCATATGTTTTCCAGCGTTTAATTTTGCCATTGGGAGGGTATTAGATTTGCTCTTAGAATTGTGCAGCAATATTTCATGTGGTAATCTACATTTCCCTAATGAATAATTATGTTAAATGACTTTTTGTTTATTACCTATACCAATGTTTAATTTTCAGTTTTGTTTTTGCTCTTTTGTCTGTTTTGTTTGCAATTTGGAACATTTCTTCATCAGGAATATGTTTTAAAAATATTGTCCCTCTGTATATGGTTGGGTTTTTTGGTTTTCATTTTCCTAAGTCTATTTTCAAAGAGCAGGCATTAAATTATTTTTTCAATAGTTTTGGGGGAACAGGTGGGTTTTTGTTACATAGGAAGTTCTTTAGTGCTAATTTCTGAGAGTTTGGTGCACCCATCACCTGAACAGTGTACATTGTACCCAGTGTGTAGTCTTTTATCCCTCACTCCCCTAGCCTGCCCTCTCTGGAGTCCCCAGAGTCCATTATATCATTCTCGTGCCTTTGTATACTCATAGCTTAGTTCCCACTTATAAGTGAGAAGATACGATGTTTAGTTTTTTATTCCTGAGTTACCTAACTAAACACTCAGAATAATGGTCTCCAACCATTCTGGGTTCTGTAGGGTAGTGACCATCTTATCACAGCTCCACTAGGAAGTGACCCAGTAGGGCAATCTATGTGGGGGCTTCAATCCCACATTTCCCTTCTGCACTTCCCTAGCAGAGGTTGTCCATGAGGGTCATGCCTCTGCAGCAAACTTCTACCTGGACATCCAGGCATTTCCAAACATCCTCTGAAATCTAGGTGAGGCTTCCCAAACATCAATTCTTGACTTCTGTGCACCTATATAGCTCAACACCATATGGAAGCTTCCAAGGCTTGGAGCTTGCACCCCATGATGCCACAGCCTGTGCTGTACCTTGGTCACTTATATCCATGGGTAAAGTGGGAGGGATGCAGGGCACCAAGTCCCTAGGCTGCAAACAGAAGGGAGACCCTGGGCCAGGCTCACAAAACCATTTTTTCCTCCTAGGCCTCTGGGCCTGTTGTGGGAGGGGCTGCCACAAAGATCTCTGAGAGGCCCTGGAGACATTTTCCCCATTGTCTTAGGAGTTGACATTTGGCTTCTTATCAACATATACAAATTTCTGCAGCAGGCTTGAATTTGTTGTCAGAAAATGGGTTTTTCTTTTCTGTCTCATAGTCAGGCTATAAATTTTCTGGACTTTTGTACTCTTTCCCCTTTCAAAACTGAATACTTTTGACAGCACCCAAGTCACCTTTTGAATGCTTTGCTGCTTAGACATTTGTTCTGTCAGATACCCAAATCATCTCTCTCACGTTCAAAGTTCCACGGATCTCTAGGGCAGTGGCAAAATGCTGCCAGTCTCTTTGCATAGCAAGAGTGACCTTACTCCTGTTCCCAACAACCTCCTCATCTCTATCTGAGACCACCTCAATCTGGATTTTATTGCCCATATTACTATCAGCATTTTGGTTACAGCCATTTAACAAATCTCTAGGAAGTTCTAAACTTCTCCACATCTTCCTGTCTTGTGAGTACTCCATGTCTCTAGAAAGTTCCAAACTTTCCCACATTTTTCCATCGTCTTCTCAGCCCTCCAAACTCTTCCAACCTCTACCTGTTACCCAGTTCCAAAGTTGCTTCCACATTTTCAGGTATCTTTAAAGTAGCACCCCACTCCCAGTACCAATTTACTGTATTTGTCTGTTTTCATCCTGCTGATAAAAACATACCTGATCCTGGGTAATTTATAAAGAACAAGAGGCTTAATGGACTCACAGTTTTGCATGATTGGAGAGGACTCACAATCATGACAGAAGGCAAAAGGCATATCTTACATGGTGGCAGGCAAGAAGCTTGTGTGGGGGAACTCCTAAGTATAAAACCATCAGATCTCATGAGTCTTATGCACTACCATGACAACAGTATGGGAAAAACTACCCCCATTCAGTTGTCTCTACCTGGCCCCCTTGACACATGGGGATTATTACAATTCAAGGTAAGATTTGGGTGGGGACACAGCCAAACCATATTACTAAGTATTTTATTATTATTATTTGCAGCTGTTGTAAAAGAGGTTGAGTTCTTGATTTTTTTTTTCTCAGCTTGGTTGCTATTGGTGTATAGCAGTGCTAATAATTTGTGTAAATTGGTTTCCTATCCTGAAACTTTACTGAATTTATTCATCAGATCTAGGAGCTTCTTTGATGAGTCTTTAGGGTTTTGTAGATATATGATTGTATCATTGGTAAACAGTGATTGTTTGACACCTTCTTTATCCATTTGGATGCCTTTTCTTTCATGCTCTTCTCTGATTGCTCTGGCTAGGACTTCCAGTACTATGTTGAATAGAAGTGGTGAAAGTGGGCATCTTTGTTTGGTTCCAGTTCTCAGGGGAAATGTTTGCAACTTTTCCCAATTCAGTACAATGTTAGTTGTAGTTTTGTCATAGATGGCTTTTATTACCCTAAGGTGTGTCCCTTCTATGCCAGTTTTACTGAGGATTTTAATTAAAAAGGGATGCTGGATTTTGTCAAATGCTTTTTCTGGATAAAAACTCTAGTGAAACAAAAAAAAAAATCACACTCCTAAACATATATGCACTTAATGCTAGGCCTTTCAAATTTATAAAACAAATATTACTAGACTGTATAAATGACATAAACGGCAACACAATATTAGTGGGGGACTTCAGTACTCCACTGACAGCGCTAGACAGGTCATCAAGACAGAAAATCACCAAAGAAACAATATACTTAAATTATGCCCTAGAACAAATGGACTTAACAGATATTTACAGAACATTGTACCCAACAACTGCAGAATATATATTCTACTCATCAGCACAAGGAACATTCTCCAAGATAGACAATATGATAAGCCACAAAACAAGCCTCAATAAATGTAAGGAAATGTAAATTTTATCAAATACTCTCTCAGACCACAGTGGAATAACATTGGAAATCAACTCTCAAAGGTACCCTCAAAACCATACAAATACATGGAAATTAAATAACCTGCTACTGAATGATCAATGGATCAACAATGAAATCAAGATGGAAATTTAAAAATTATTTTAACTGATGGATAATTGTGACACAACCTATGAAAACCTCTGGGATTCAGCAAAAGCAGTGCTAAGAGGAAAGTTCATAGCATTAAATGCCTACATCAAAAAGTCTGAAAGACCACAAATAGATAATCTAGTGTCACATTTCAAGAAATTAGAGAAAGAAGAACAAACCAAACCGAAACCAAGTAGAAGAAAAGAATAACAAAGACCAGAGCAGAACTAAATAAAATTTAAACAAAAAAATACAAAATGTGAATGAAACAAAAAGCTGGTTCTTCAAAAATATAATAAAAATTAATCGACTATTAGTGAGATTAACCAAGAAAAGAAGAGAGAGGATTGAAATAAGTTCAATTAGAAACAAAATGGAAGATATTACGTCTGATACTACAGAAATACAGAAGATCATTTAAGGATACCATGAACACCTTTATGTGCATAAACTAAAAAACCTAGAGAAGAGGGATAAATTCCTGGAAATATACCACCTTCCTTGATTAAGCCAGGAAGAAATAGAAACTTTGTACAGACCAGTAACAAACAGTGAGATTGAAATGGTAACCAAAAAAAATTCCAACAAAAAAAGGTCTAGAACCAGATGGACTCACAGCAGAATTTTATCAGACACTTAATGAAGAATTGGTACTGATCCTATTTAAAATATTACAAAAGATAAAGAATTGCTCCCTAAATCATTCCATGAAGTCAGTATCACCCTAATTCAAAATCAGAAAAGTACATAACAAAAAAAGAAAACCACAAATATTCCTAATGAACATAGATGCAAAAATCCTCAACAAAATATTACCTTACTGAATTCAACAGCATATCAAAAAGATAATTCACCATGATCAAGTGGGTTTCATAACAGGAATGCAGGGATGGGTTAACATACGCAAATCAATAGATTTGATACACCACATAAACAAAATTAAATATTATTCCATTTTATATATTAGACTTGAGCATCAGTGGATTTTGATATCAGCAGTAGGTCCCGGAACTGAGGAAATGCTGAAGTTTCAGTATTTTCTCCCAATCTGTGGGTTTTCTCTCAGTCTGTTAGTTGTTTCTTTTGTTGTGCAGAATATTTTTACTTGGATGCAATCCCATTTGTCTAATTTTGCTTTTGTTGCTGTCCTTTAGGAGTCCTATTCAAAAACACCATTGCCGAAACCCAAGTTGTGGAGTTTTTCCACTGTTTTCTTGTAGTAGCTTTACAGTTTTAGGGCCTTACACTGAAGTATTTTACCTATTTTGAGTTGAATTTTTATATGTTGTAAGCTAAGGGTCCAATTTTATTTTTCTGCATGTGGATATCCAGTTGTCTCAACATCCATTTATGTATTCTTTTTCCATTGTGTATTCCTGAAACTTTTGTTGAAAATCAATAGACTGTAATTACTTGGATTTTTTTTCTGAGCTTTCTATTCTGTTCCATTGGTTGATGTGTCTGTTTTTATACCAGTTCCATACTCTTTTGATCACAGTAGCTTTGTAATATATTTTGAAATCAGAGAGTGTGATGATTCTAACTTTTTTCTTTTTTCCAATAATTGATTTGTCTATTTGGGGTCTTTTCTTTTTCTATACATGTTTTAGGATTTTTCTTCTATTTCTATGAAGAATGTCATTGGCATGTTTAAATAGTGACTTATTAAAACTGTAGATTGCTTTGGATAGTATGAACATTTTGGGGGTATTAATTCTTCCAGTCCATGAACATGGGATATCTTTTGATGTATTTGTCTTCTTCAATTTATTTCCACAAAGTTTTATTGTTGTGGTGCACAGATCTTTCACTCTTGGATTAAATTTAATTCTATGTATTTTTTAGTGCTATTGTAAATGAGATTGTTTTATTAATTTCTTTTCAGATAGTTTATTATTAGTGTATAGACATGGTACTAATTTTTGTATGTGAATTTTGTAAACTGCAACATTGCTGAATTAGTTTATGCATTCTAACAGGTTTTTAGTGGAGTCTTTAGGGTTTTCTGGGTATAAGATCATGACATTAGCAAAAAACCTTTCATTTCTTCCTTTCCTATATGGATGCTCTTTCTTTTCTTCTCTTTTCCTTTCATTTCTCTTTTCTTTTCATCTTTCTGTCTTTTCTTTCTCTCTTTCTTTCTTTCTTTTCTTTTTTCTTTCTTTTTCTTTATTTCTTTCTTTCTTCTTTTTCTTTCTTTGTTTCTCCTTCCTGCCTTTCTTTCTCCTCCCTCCCTCCCTCTTCTTTCTTTCTTTCTTTCTTTCTTTCTTTCTTTCTTTCTTTCTTTCTTTCTTTCTTTCTTTCTTCTTTTTCTCTTTCTTCCTCCCTCCCTCTCTTTCTTTCTTTTTCTTTCTTTCTTTCTTTTTCTGCCTTTGTTTCTTTCTTCCTTTCTTTCTCTTTCTGTTTCTTTCCCTCCCTCCCTCCATCACTTCCTTCCTTCCTTTCTTTCCTCTTCTGTCGCCTAATTGCTTACACAAGGACTTTTACTACTATGTTTAAAAAAATAACAAGAATGAATATTCTTGTCAAGTCTCTGATCTCAGAGGAAAAGCTTTCAAATTTTTCCTCATTCAGTAGGCTGTTAATTGTGCACTTGTTATAAGTGGCCTTTAGTGTGTTGAGACACATTCCCTCTATATCCATTTTTTGAGAGCTTTTGATATGAATGGATATTGAATTTTGTTAATTTTTTTCTGTATCTATTGAAATGATCGTGTGGTTTTTGCCCTTCAGTTGGTGAATATAGTATATCACATTGATTTACATATGTTAAGTTAATCTTGCATCCCTCACATATCATTGATCATGATAACTAATTTTTTATGTGACATGGAGTTCAGGTTTCTGTTATTTTGCATCTGTGTTCATCAGAAAAATTGACCTTTCTTTGTTAGTCTAGCTAAATGTTTGCTGATTTTATCTTTTTGAAAAAAACTTTGGTTTTTAAAATACTTCCTGTTATTTTTCTAGACTTGATTTTATTTCTGCCTTCTTTGTTATTTCCTTTATTCTGCTAAACTTGGGCTTACGTTTTTCTGTCTTTTCTAGTTTTTTGAGGTGTAACATTAGGTTGTTTATTTGAGATCTTTCTCTTTTGTTGTTGTAGCCATTTTATTGCTATAAACTTTCCTCTTAGTAGTGCTTTTGCTACATCCAATAGGTTTTGGTAAGGTATGTTTCCATTTTTGTGCATCTCAAGATAATTTTAATTTTTTTTTTAAAATCATTCTCTCACTCTTTGGTTGTTCAGTAGCATGATGTTTAATTTCCAAATATTTGTGAGTTCTCCAAGATTGCTGTCATTATTGATTTTTGATTTTGTGCCAGTGAGGTCAGAAAAGATACTCAATATGATTCAATTCTTACTACATGTACTAAAAATGGTTTTGTGACTTAAGTTGTAATATATCTTGAAGAATGTTTTGTGTCAACTTTAGAAGAAGGTATATTTTGTTGCTGTTAGATGAAATGTTCTGTAAATATCTTTTAAGTATATATGTTATAAAGTGTAGTTCAAGTGTAATGTTTCCTTATTAATTTTATGTCTAAATTTTCTGTCTAATGTTGAAGTGGGATATTGAAATATCTTACTATTATAGTATTACAGTCTATCTCTCCCTTCAGATTTATTAGTATTTGCTTAATGAATTTAGGTGTTCTTATGTTAGGTACATACGTATTTGCAATTACTATATCTCCTTGATAAATTGACCATGTTATCATAAAATAATGACTTTCTTTTTCTCTTTTTACAGTTTTTGACTTAATGTATATTTTATTTGTTATACATATTGTTACACACACCATTTGTTTTTTATTTCTGTGGGATATCTTTTTCCATTTATTTACCTTTAGTCTATGTGTGTTATTAGAAGTGAAGTGAGTCTTATAGATAGCATACAATTGGATTTTCTTTTAATTTATTCAGCCACTTGCTGCCTTTTGTTGGGTAATTAAATTCATTTACATTTAAAGTAATTGTTAATAGGTAAGGACTTACTATTGAAATTTTAAATATTGTTTTCTGGTTAATTTTTAGATCCTTTGTTTTTCTTGCTTTCTTATTTTGTGCTTTAATTATTTTCTTTACTGATAGTATTTGAATTATTTGTTTTAATCCTTTGTGTATATATAAACAAACATTTTTGCTTTGTGGTTTCCATGAGGCTTGCATAAAAAATCTTATACTAATAAAAGGCTGTATTAAGCTGATAATGACTTAACTTTTATCACCTGCGAGAAGTCTACACTTTTGCTCCCCTTGCCCCACAATTTGTTTTGTTTGCAAATTTTATATGTTTTATACTTTGTGCCGCTAAGAAATTATTGTAGCTATAGTTGTTTTCACCAGTGAGTTTTGTATTTTCATATTACTACTTAGAAATACTTTTCTTTAGTTTTAAGGACTCATTTTAGCATTTTTTGTAAGGAAAATGTAGGGATAATAAATATCTCAGCCTTTGTCTGGGAAAATTTTTTTATCTCTGCCTTATTTTTGAATGACAGTATTTTTGGGGTCAGTATTCTTGATTGCTAGTCTTTGTTTGTTTGTTTAGCTTTTGAAGTATAGCATTCCATTCCTTTCTGGCCTCCAGGGTTTCTGTTGAAAAATCCCATGAGAGTGTAATGGAGCTCCTCTTGTATGTAACAGGTCACTTTCCTCTTGCAGCTTTCAATATTCTCTCTTTGTCTTCAAATTTTAACAATTTGATTATGATGTAAATTGATGTGTGTCCCTTGGAAATAATCATATCAGGTATTCATTGAGCTTTCTAGATCTGAATTTATATTTCCTCTTCCAAACTTGGGCATTTTTCTGCCATTATTTATTTGAACATGTTTTATGTCTCTCTCTTTCTTTTCTCCTTCTGGTACATAAATAATGCATATATTATTTTACTTGATAGTATTATAAATTTTTTTAGGTTGTCTTCACCTTTTGTTTTCTTTTTGTTCATCAGATTGGATGATTTTAAATAACCTGTCTTCAAGTTCGCTAATTATTTTTTTTCTGCTTGATCTAGTTTGCTGTTGTACACTTCCATTGAATTTTTAAGTTCAGCTATTGTGTACTTTGGGTCAATTATTTCTGTTTATTACCTTTAATATTTTCTATCTCTATGTTGATGGTCTCAGTTTGTTCCCTCATTGCTCTCCTTACCACAGTGAACATCTTTACAGCTATCTTTTTGAATTTTCTGTCAGGTAAACCACATATCTCTGTTTCATTGGGATTTTATTCTGCAGCTTTATCTTGTGCTTTCATTTGGAATATATTTTCCCATCTTCACTTTCCTTGACTTTATGCATTTTTATGTGCATTAGATAAACAAAGAAAAATCCAAAACAAAACAAAAGACTTCTTCAAAGTCTTGTTAAACTGGTTTTGTGTCAGAGATATTCCTCCTTATTCAGCCTTGGTAGAGATGTTAGGTTCCTCAAAACTCTTTATGCTTGTCCAACCTGTTGCCATTGTTCTTAGTGGCATCCAAGAAATTAGAAAGTGTCAAAATGTTGTTCTATTGCGTTGAGAGAGTTGAGATAGAAGGCAGTCCCTTCACATGCAGTTGAAGAGCATAGAGTGTTAAATTTGTGGTCAAATTTATTCTTTCCTTGCAGAGAAGCTTAGAGCCAGAATTTACTTTCTATACCTTCTGCCCTTTGTCAAGGAGAGGGTCTAAGGCAGATGTCAGTACTGTTTATCATACTGCTCACTTTGAATGGGGAGAGATGGCTGCTGGACATTTACAAGTTTAAAAGTCATCTATTTGTTCTCTTTAGTATAAGAGTCTAAGAAGTGCAGAGCTTTGTGAACTCCCAGTTAGGTAATTTATGAGCCAGTCCTTTGAGTAGAGGGTATAAATGTTAAAATGTTCAATATGTACAGAAGCTAAGGGAGATTCTTCCTATCTGGATTAACTGCTGGAGCAAACCAGGACAGAAAACATGGGGAGTACCCACTCTCCTGTTTGAGTAAGTTTAAATACCATACCTTCCTTACAGAGATTCCTGGTCTGGAGTTATCACCAAAGCAAGTCAGCAAGGAAGGCACATGCAGTGTCTATTTTCCATTTCAGGCATGGAGAAGTCTCCTTGCCTCCTTTCAATGAAAAATTGAAAGAGTTAATTTCTGGAGCAAGCTGAGGGAGAAAGCTGAGGAGTGCCATTCTTACTGTTTTTGCTGGCAGAGGCCTGTAACCTATTTCTATGGAATGATTTCAGGACTGGAATTATTGCTGGAGAAAGCAGGGGAAAAGGGCACAGAAAGTTCTTGCCCTTTTGTTCAAGCAAGCTGCCTTCTCACCCCTTTTGTAGGATGAGTATTCTGGTCTGGAGTTATCATTGAATTAAGCCAAGGAAAAGTACACAGGGAGTTATCCCTTTCTCTTTCAGAACAGAGATGTCCCCTAGCCTCCCTATAATAAGAAACTGAAGAAATTTTCCTCAGAAACAAGCCAGGGGAAGAGTGGTGAGGAGTGTTGTTGCTCCTATTCTTACACGTAGAGGCCTCCAGCCTCTTTTCTGGGAGAGATTGTAGGGCTGGACCCACTCCCATTTGCAATAAAACAGATGGTTCTTACCCTTCTTGCAGAGGGAACTTTTTTGTCTTGAGTTATCACTGAAACAAACCAGGAGAGAAGGGTACAGAGAGTGTTAGGCTTCCCGTTTAGGCTGGAAGAGATTCATTTTTTTTTTTTTTTAATTTTCTTTGTATGCTTCCTGATACTGGCTTGATGCAGGCCAGAATGACAGAGAGCTGCTGGGAAAGTGTGCAGCCAAACTCTTTCTAGGAGATGCTACAGCATCTGGGAGTGTCCATGTGGTTCAAAACTCCTCTTTGTTTTTTGTGCTTGAGAAAAATTTCCTGATGCCTTGTCGCAGCCATTTTTCAAAAAAGGTGATGTAACAGCCATGCCCTCCTGCAGGAACTGTAAAAGTTGGACATTCTCTGTGCGGTATATGCCTCTCACTCCAGAAAATAGCTGGGAGCTGGGGTTTCCTTCTCAATTACAACGTGCTGTGCTCAGTGTAGGGTTGGTTCATAGGTGTATCTTCACTTTTCCCATTTATATTGATATGGATATTTTCTTAGTCCCCAGTTGCCTCAGAGTCTTTAAAGTGGGTTTTGGCTTCGTCTGGAGACAATCAATCCATGTCTAGGTGTTTACTTGTTATGTCTGTGGGAGGAAGAGTCAGGAGCCTCCTGTTCCACCATGTTGTTGACGTCACTGCAATTTAAATTCTTATCAGCAATGTATGAGAGGCTAGCTTTTTTTGAAATAAAAGTTTTGATTTTCCATAGCAAGAGTTCCTGTCATTCTTAATTTCCCACAGATTGTAGCACACTCAATCCAGGTAGCAACAACTTTAAGATCCTGTTGTATACATAGAGATGTTGTGGGGACACATGGAGCCAACCCAGTGTGACAGTTCTTAAATTTTTGAATATGGCACTGGGAGGCATTAGGCCCCCACCAGCATGGTATTGAGGAACTTTCCCTGTCCTATTACTTTCACAACTGTGAGATAAATTCAGGACCTTTTCAGGGAAGACTCATGTCATCATTGCTCATTGAAGTGTAAGTGGAGAAAAAGGAAAATGAGGTAAAGAAAGATTTCTCTAGAGCAGCCACCTCAGGTGGCAATGTCTAAAAGTATTTTTGTTTGACAAAACTGGAGAGGTGTATGCTACTAGCATCTACTAGGTAGAGGTGAAGAATACTGCCAAACATCCTACACAGTGTATATGACAGTATCCTAAACCAAAGAATGATATGGCCCAAAATGTCAACAGTGTGAGGTTTAGAAAACTTGGTATATTTTTATCTCTTCTCTCACCCCTTCCTCCCTCCAAGATACACATACAAGCTGTTAAAAGTGGTTCCATTTAGGGAAGAAGCTAGCTTTGGGTAGCAATATTTGGAAACTCAGAGTGAGGAGAAGGAACATAGACTGTCCTTTTTTGGTAGAATATATAGTATATACTAATATATGTATTATAAACATAATAAAGTATATTTTACAAAACACCCTACTGTATTTTTCAAATGATTTTTAAAAAAGCGTGTTGTCATGTAAATTTTGTAAATAAAAAGCTAAAGATACAGGATTATACTGTATACCAATAGAGATATTTTTACTTCTTTCTTTCTGATGTATTCCTTTGACTTACTTTTTTTTCTGACTGTTCTTGCCAATATTTCCAGTACTGTGTTGAACAGAAGTGGTGAGAGTGGACATCCTTGCTTTGTGCTGAGTATTAGATGATCATAATGTTAACTGTGTGTTTTTTCATAAATGTCCTGTAATACATTGAGTAAATTTCTTACATACCTAAATTGTTAATGATTTTTGTCAAGAAAATATGTCAGACTATGTCAAATGATTTTTATGCATCAATTAAGATTGTATAAGAAGTGCTGGGGAGGTTATTGAGAGAAGGAAGCCCGTGTACACTGTTGGTAGGAATGTAGATTAGTGCAGTCATGTAGAAAACAGTATGGAGGTCCCTAAAGAAATTAAATATAGAACTAACGTACCACCCAGTAATCCCTCTTCTGGGTACAGATCAAAAAGAAATCAAGTCACCACCTCATAAAGATACCTGCGTTTCCATGTTCATTGAAGTGCTGTTCACAATAACCAAAATATGGAAACATTTGAAGTATCATCAATGGCTGAATAGATTAAGAGACTGAAGTGTGTATGTGTGTGTGTGTATGTGTGTGTTTGTGTTTAATAAAATATTATTCAACCTTAAAAAGGAAAGAGATCCTGACATTTGCTACAAGATAGATGAATCTAGAAGACATGAAATAAACCAGACACAGAAGGAAAAATGCTGTGTGATGTCACTTAAATGTGGAATCTAAAAAGAAAGTTTCTTTAAAAAGTCAAATACAGAGAGATAGAGAATAAAACAGGTGGTTACCAAGGGCAGGATACATTTCCTCAGTCCCATAAACTGCCCAACTGTGTTTTATTACATTTGGCCACTGGCTTGCTATTTGCCTATCTTTTCTTTGTACTTTTGGGGATTTATTTCCCAGTTCCAGTAGGTAAAGATGTTCTCCTATTTTGTTTCTAATTATTATCAATTTTGTGGACTGAGTTGCCATAGTAACAACATAAGACTTTATCAGGGGAAAGGAGAAGACAGATTTGTTCCTGTATTGCTATGGATATACAGAGTACTGAGTTTACCTTAGACTATAAAGCAGCTCCTCCACAGGTGACTCGCCCTCAGTCTCTTTTATCGGGTGCACATTCACAAAAGCTGGATGTAGAGAATGACTAGACATATCGTTCCCTGCAATGTAAGACACCATCCAAATGGCGCTTACCATACCTCACAGCACAGTCACCCTCAGTGGTCTTAAGTGAGGGGAATTGGTATGCAGTCCCAGACCCCACTGGAAGCTCCCATCCTCAGGAGTCAGCCATAAGAGTGGGTTTACACCTGTGTGTCACACAGTTTCAGCACTCTGGGGACCTTACACCTTAGGATCTATACCCCAGGAAGGAGAAAGGCACCTGCAGCCCTGCACCCCACTCTGAATGGAGAGACCAGAGATGCACAGGGACCCTGGAGAACTTTCTCTTTCAGCTCCACAGCGGTGTAATCAGGAACCTAATTTGCTTCACTAGGGGTGCCTGTCTTGTTAGCTTTTTCTCTCTGCCTTTTTCCAGTGCATACAGGGAGTCATTGTGTTTTATATTCCATAATTAGTCCCATTGAGACATTTCTTTCTATTCCCTTTTTCCAATTTATTTCCCTGGTTCATTACTATATGGTGATATTACCCAGGCAGTCAGAGCTGGGTGTAGTCAGCACAAGGACAGAAGTAGACATGGGACCACAGGAGCTGGGAAGAAGCATAGATCCCAGGCTGGGGCCTTAGCACAGATGGACTGAGAAGGGTGCAGTTCTGAAGAACGTGGAGTTACTGAAAGGGGGAATTTCAGGGAGCGAGATCAGTAGCCTGATGGAGTATGAAGGGAAGGACCTGTTTCTGAGGCTCCTGGTGGCTGGAGGATGAGCTGGAGGGGTGGCCCAGAGTCAGATCGACCTGAGTCTCTATGTCCCTCTAAGGAACTATCATTGAAGGTTTGAGCAAAGTTACTCTCTTTTCTGGCCCCAAGATGGGTGTTCCTATTGCACGCTTCCTTGATGTGGAGTATGAGGTTGTGGCTAGGCCTTTTCCTCCAAAATCAATACTGTACTATGATAGAACTCCCCACAGACTTTGTAACTGGGGTCCTCTCCAAGGGGTCAACCCACTAAAGGGAGTCACACGAGATTCCTCCTGCAAAGCCACCTTGCACAGCATCCTTGCCAGGCCAAGGATTGGGGCAATGTGTCCACTGCTGCCTCTTGCACTGCCCAGCCATCCTCAGTTCTCTTTTTCCCCCATTTAGTTATCTCAGGGAAGATCAGAGAAGCCATGAAAACTTGTGTCTTGCTAGGATATAAGATCCCAGATTCCTCATTTTGCAAATATCTCAATCTTTATAGAGGGATGTGAAACAGCAGCAGGAACCTCTGAGCCCAGTCTTATAATAATACATGTAGGTTTTAGATTTTGTCTCGTATTAAGCATTTGACTTTTTAAAAATGCAATTGGTTAATCTCTACTTTCTGTAGGTTAATGATTGGATCTATGTTTATTGTGATTAGTAATATTTGGACTCAATTCCTAATGCTTTTTTGTCCCACTTTATTCATATTAAAAAATCCTTCTTTCTTGACCTATTTTTATTGTTCCATTTTTACATGTTTATTTTTAAATTTCATTTTACCCCTTTACTGGTATGTAAATTGTATGCTTGGTTTTCATTACTTTAATGACTATCCCTTCAATTTTGTAAACTGCATTTAACGATGTCTAGAAGCAATCAATATCTGAACCTTCCCTCCTGAACAGTAAGATGAGCTTAGGAAACATTAACCGTTCATTTTCCTTCCCACACCTCAACTTACATGCTGTATTAGGCCATTCTCACATTGCTATAAATACCTGAGACTGAGTAATTTACAAAGAAAAGAGGTTTCACTGGCTCATGATTCTGAAAGCTATACAGGAAGCATCATGCTGGTATCTGCTCAGCTTCTGGGGTGGCCTCAGGAAACTTACAATCATGGCAGAAGGTGAAGAGAGAACACACATATTACATGGCCAGAGTAGGAGCAAGAGAGAGGAGGGAGGTGCTATACACTTTTAAAAAAACAGATCTCACAATAAATCACTCACTCACTATCATGAGAACAGCACCAAGAAGAGGGAGCTAATCCATTCATGAAGGACCACTCCCATGATCCAATCACCTTCCATCAGCCCCATCTCCAACATTGGGAATTACAATTCCACATGATATTTGGGCCCGGACATAGATCCAAACAATATCACAAGCTATTGTAGTCTAATATTTTAATTCTAGAAATTCTTCATCACTTTAACTTTAGAAAGAAGATATTTTTAATTATTTTGTCATTTTTTAATGCAAAAAATTCCCAGTTTGTATTTACCAACATATTCACCAATGTTTTGGTTCATTTTTCTCTTAGAGTCATTTTTCTTCTTTTTAAAATATATCCTTGAAAATTCATTAGCCAAGTTTGACACATGTTGATTTTTTTAAGATGGTGAATTTCTTTTTAGTTTTTGATAATCTGAAATATATTTTACCTTCACTAATGAAAAAAAAACATTTCTGAATAGACAGTTCCAGGAGGAGATTAGATTTCTATGAGACTTTAGTGACATAACTCCCTGCTTTCTTGGCCTTCACTTTTGTGCCTGAGGAGCCGTCTTCATGTTATTCTATTAGATGAGCTGTCTTTCCTCTTTTTATCCTAAGAATTTTCTTTGTCTTTTGTTTTTGTATGTTTGTTTGTATGCTTCATTACAATATGAAAAGACAAGTTTTCTTTTACTTATCCTTACTTTTATAGCTTGTGATTCCTGTGTTTGGGGATTTGTGCCTTCATTCTTGTATGAAATTCTCAGCCACTTTCATTTGGAAAATTGTTTCCTTGCTGTTGTCTTTCCCCTTTCCAGGATTCTGATTATCTTTATTTAGGACCTTCTCAATCCATTCCATAGATTTTACCTTTCTGTAGCCAAGTGTGTTTCTAAAGATGGCTCAACGTGATTTGCTTGCCATGTGATCTTGGCATTCATCTCATCAAAGAGTGGGATGCACCTAGTTCCCTGCTTCTGGAATTCAGTGGATTTTTGTGACTGTTCAACCAGCAGAGTATAGCAGATGTGATTCCATCTGACTTCCAAGGCTAGGTCATAATAATGTTGCAGTCTTTTGGGACACCTGCTTTTGGGGCCAGCCTCATAATATGAGGAACCTCAAATAAGCTTTCTCATGGGGCACACAGGTAAAAGCTTGTGTGTGGAGGCCACATGCAGTTGTTCTGGTTGACAGCCCAACTTAGGTACAAGCTGCCAACCAACATCACCCATCAGACGTGAGTGTTGATGTCACCTAGCCATCAGCCATCAGCTGAAGTCACCCCCCGCTTTTGAGGCCCCTCACATCGTTGAACAGAAAGAAACCATCCTTGCTTGTAGTTGTGCCCTAAATGAACTACTGACTTTCAGAATCCATGTGGAGGATAAAATAATTGATTTTTTAGGCTACTAAGTTTTGGGATAGGTTATTAATGATTCAATAGAATGTGGAATATGTCTGTTACTATCCTTTGACTCAATATATTCTGCATACTTTCTTTGTTTCTATTGCCAAAGATACCAGTTACTTCTTCAGCCTTTCCCTAGTTGGCATTAAATAGACTAATTGAAGTTTGATTATTAGTGATTATATTTTTCATCTTTAAATGCTTTATTTAGTGATTTTCCAAATCTTCCTTGCCAGTTCTGATAGCATATTGCTGCTTAATATGTGATTCCTTCTTTTGTTTAGATATTTCATACACAGCATTTTCCGTTATAATTTTAGTATCTGAAGCCTTTGAGGTTTTATTTATATTGGATTGTTTCTACTGACTACCAACCATTGGTGACTTGTTTTCTTTTGCCATTGGTGGTATGTTTTTCCTCATTGGTTAAAATTAATCACAGAAATACTGAGGGCCTACAATGTGTCAAGGATTAAAGGAAGAGTCTCACACTTAGGTCTCCAACATTTACAGGTGCTAGGTTTGGGTTGGCTTTTTTTTTTTCCAGGAAATTCCAGGTTTTATAACATGTGTTTTCCCTGCAATGTTCTGTTTTTCCTTTTGCCCTTTAGACAGTTGTCTTACATCCTGTCTGACATCTGTAAGCTTCACAGTAAATTTAAGATGTATTTGTTTCAATTCATCTAAGATGGAGTGGCCTTCTATTTAGTCTGCCATATTGCTTGAAATAGAAATCCACGAAAACCATTAACCATAGATGGAGCTACAGATATAGTTATATATGTATATTAATACAAATCCTTTGAAAATAAGCGTTATGTAGAGTCACATATATCATTGCATCAATAAGAAACATTTCAAATGTATTTGGCAATGACAAATTAGAGTTAAATTGTTCGTTCCTGTGGATTAGTAAAGAATAGGAGTTTTAATCAAAAAAGGGTAGAAGGCTAAAAGTTTGGAAGTCCATAAATCAGAAATTTGATAGCAGCTTTACTCTAATGATTTCTGATTTCTTCCTCATAAATTTCTAATTGAACTTTTAGGGGAAGTTAAATTGGATAAGAAAAAATGGATTACAAAACTCACTTTAAATGTTCTTCTAGTTCATGGTTAAAACATAAATAGCTTATAGCTGGGAAGTTACCAATAATTATCTTCCTCACGCAGAGGCATTAGATAATTCTGTTTAAACTTAATTTGTATATTTTATAGGTTCGCTTTTAACTGTGCGTCTTAATATGTAAGAGAGTAAATGATTCTTTAATTTGTGTTCAATAACACAGAAATTTAAATGCGTTAGTACTGCTGTTCTGGGATATATTTAGTTTGTTATTACATAAAATGTTACTTTGCCTATGACATGTAGCTCTGAAGACTTCAGGCATTTTTTTTTTCCACCTAAAATAGTACAGAAAAAAACTGTGGCAGTCATGGTTAGATTTTCTTTGCTGTTTCAGCCTTCCAGGGCCACTTACGAAGGACAATTGCTTTGTGCTCACTTGACAAATTTTACACACTTTCTAGGATAAGTTGGTGAATAAAATTCAAAGTATGAGAACTAAATATGCTCCCTCCAAGAACCACCACTAGAACTAATTTAAAGAAAACACACACACAAAATACAAGTGTTGTGAGAACAGGGGAGGCAACAATAGTAAAGGTGTTTTGGATGCTGGAAAGAGATGCTAATAACTGACCTGGGACACTCAAGGCGGGATTTTATTGTGATTTGAAGTGTAACATATATGCCCTTAGAGGATGGTGAGCAATGCCAGGAGTTCATTGACTTCACAAAGCAGGTTGATCTGATGGCTGAAAACTGGCACCACCAGGTGTCTCAGAACATGGGGCAAGGGAGTAAAATCAGGAAATTGAAGGAAAGCTTTTGATAAATAGTATTCACGAAAATAGGCCCATGCCAAGGATAAAGTTTTTTGTTTGTTTGTTTTTTGTTTTTGTGAGATGGAGTCTCTCTGCTGCCCCGGCTGGAGTGCAATGGCGTGATCTTGGCTCGCTGCACCCTCTGCCTACCGGGCTCAAGTGATTTTTCTACTTCTGCTTCCCGAGTAGCAGGGCTTACAGGTACCCAACACCACGCCCAGCTAATTTTTGTATTTTTTAGTGGAGACGAGGATTCACCATGTTGGCCAGGTTGGTCTTGAGCTCCTGACCTCAGGTGATCTGCCCCCCTTGGCCTCCCAAAGTGCTGGGATTATAGGCATGAGCCACCATGCCTGGCCTGGATCATTATTTTTAAATGAATAATCAATACTACTAAGGTCAAAGAGAGAATAATCTGAATTGAGAGACAAATAAAAAGGAGGGAGGGAGGAGAGAGAGAGGGAGAAGAGAGGAAGAGAGAGAGGGAGAAAGGAAGAGGGAGGTGGGAGAGAGAGAGGAAGAGAGAGCTAGAGGGAGGTAAGAGGGAGGTAGGAGAGAGAGAGAGAGAGGGAGGCAGGGGGAGAGAGGGAGAGGTAGAGAGAGAGAAGAGAGACATAATGTTAACATACAGGAAATGCCATATTGGTTTGCTGCCATAATTAAAAACAAACAAATGTAAAAATAAATCATTTGCACAAGGAAAGACTTACACTGCGGTCTAATGCCACGAAGACTTGTTTATATGTGTGGGTCCACGTGAAAGTTGATGTTAACACAGAGACCACAAAGACAATAGTGTTTTAGTTGCTGTTGCTCAATTTTACTTACCTGGATGCCAGTATGGATAGAGAAAACATGCTTTGGGTTTCCTTTTGTTTTTAATTCAGACTGCAACCATGCCAACTTGAGGATAATTTAATGGAAACCTTTTCAGGTTACTCATAAATAAAGTATTTGAACATTATTGTTTTTCCTTTCAGTGCAATAAAAACATTGGTTTAAATATTGAAAACTGAAAGGAACTAGATAACTTCCACCCAGCTTTCCAAATAAAATTGAGTGTTAGCTTGAGAACAGCTCGAGAAATCTTAGGCCAAAGGCACATTTTTTTTTTCAAGAAGTTTTAAGCAGCTAAAAATGAGATTTAGAATAAAAGTAATTCTTTGAACATATCTAATTGTATTCCATAGCTCTTCCACGCACTTTAGCAGCATAATGTGGACAGAAAATTAAACTAGGAAACAGTCAAAGAGAGAAAATGGGTCATTTTTATTCTGAGATAAAAAATTTCCAATTCTAACCCAGAAGTTGAGATTTATTTAGTGGGATATCTAAATATATCTACCTCTATGTTCCAAAAATGAAGTATACATTATTTCTGACAGTAAGTAATAAAATTCCAATTAACACAGAGAGAGTAGAACTCTCTAGTAAGCAGCATTCCCAGACCCTTAGGATGCTTCCCTTCATCATGTCCTTTAATAATAT
Organism: Homo sapiens; assembly: GCF_000001405.40. Taxonomy (NCBI): domain Eukaryota; kingdom Metazoa; phylum Chordata; class Mammalia; order Primates; family Hominidae; genus Homo; species Homo sapiens. The sequence goes on along the minus strand of NC_000005.10, from coordinate 8,787,757 downwards.
GATTTTTCACTTGCTGTTATTACATATGGATTTAGCAAGTGGTTAGTATTATATTTCATTGCATGGATGTACAAAACATTTCTTAATCAGTCTCTAATGGAAAAACATTTAGGTGATTTCCACCTTTTGCTATAATAGAAAACATTGTTTTTTCATTTTACTTTTGACAAGTAATAATTGTATGTATTATATATTTATGGGGCACAATTTGATGTTCTGATATATGTTTACACTGTTACATGATCATCTTAGAGAATATTTGAGCAATATTTTTTAAGTGACTAGAAGTATAATATTTGAGTGAAAGGGTAAGTGCGTGTTTACATTGGATCGATGTTTATTGTGTAGTTTCTCCCATCTGCTGTCCCAACCTTACTAAACCCCACCCTGGACATAAGCCATTAGGGTGGTCTCAATGGGCGTCAGATGAAAAGAAGAGAATCCAGGCAGAAGCCCCAGACTCCTATATCTAAAGAAACAAAAGTGACATATTTTTGTAAATGAGACAATTTCAATGTAGGCAAAACCCAAGAGAGTGCGGGTGAGGACAAGGGGTAAGCCAAGGTATGGGTTACGGCTGTAAAAAGTAGCAGGATCAGCAAGTGACAGGTTCTATGATGCTACACCCATTTTGGGGCTTTATTTTGAAGTCTAAGAGGAGTCTTTGAAGAAGTCAGTATTGCAAGGACATGGTCAAATTACTGCTTCATCATGTCACCATGGCAACTGTGTGGAACAGCATTTGGTGGGATAAGGTGAATGGTAGCAAGTGGAAGAAAGTGCAGCCATGAGAATTTATGAGGGATGGAAATCACTGAGATGAGGCAGGGACTGAAAAGTGACAGAGCTGAGGATTTCAGGTGGAGCACTTCTCAGCACCAGACTACTCACAAAATAAAGGATCAGTGTGAAAGAAGACTCCTAGAATGCTGGCTTAGAAAACTGGATGGAAGGAGGTACCCAGAACCAATGTAGGGATGGCAACATGAAAAATGGATTTACGTAGAATCATGATTTCATAATGGAGCTTAGACTTTCGATGAGTTTGAGGCTCTGAAGTAACAATGAGGTACAGCTACCTGGTAAGTGATTGTAGGGGAGTTTAATATGTATATGTAAAATTCAGGAGACAAAAACAAGTTGAAGATAACAAAGTGGGAGCTTTAAAAATGCAGACTGAAGTTGCAGCTGTACAAACAAATGAAAATGCCCAGGATTCATTCAGTTGCAAGTGTGAGAAAGAGATGACATTGGATAAATAGAAAGAAATGTAATGATTCACTTGTCTATAAGAAGAAGCCTGGACTTGGCCTCAGCCGTGAGCGGCTCTGAGGAACCTCCCACAAGGTGAGTGTATTGAAGTCTGAGTCCACACCTTGCTTTCGGCTCATGTCCGCTCTCTGTATCTGTCTTTGCTCAGCTTTTGTGTGTTGGCCTCACTGACTTCCTCTTTTGGAGGAGACAGGATGACCAGCAGCTCTCATCTCCATGATTTGCAATCCAGAAATATTGATTACTTGCTTGCTTGGCTTGGGTGCTGTACCAAATGTACCAAATGCTATACCAAATCTTGTACCAAATGCTGCATCTGTGGTAGATAGCCTCCAAAACTGAGTACTGACACTTCAACGTCCCTTTATATGTGAAAGCTTCTTCTCCTATCTGCAGATTAATCTATTTCTCCTCTCCTCGGATCTTGGCCAGTTTAGTGACTTGCCTATAGGAGGTGGTAGATGTGATGTTGTGTCAGTTACAGAACTAGTCATTAAGAGACCTGGGAGCTTTCAATTAGTTCTCAGATCTGACTGTCATGCTGCAGAGAAGCCCAGGTGATTCTACAGAAGAGGGAGGCTTATGGCTATATTCTGGAGGATAAGAGGCCATGTATAGAGGGTTTGTATGGAGGAGAGGCTAGTAGAACCACTTGACACACATCAAAACCCAAACTTGACAGAGAGCTATTTTGACCTCCATCCCAGCCTTGCTCAGGCACCAACTGAATACAGCCGCCTGAGTCACTGTGGCCAATGACACTTGGAGAAGACCTACCCTATGAACCCCCAGAACACATGACAGAACATAAATCAAGCTTTCTTTAAGGCTCTAAGCTTTGAGATGTTTTACTGTACAGAACTGCTACCTGAAATAGTGGCCTTAGCACAGCTATATAATAAGTCAGGCTGGCTCACTCCTTCTCTCTTGTTGCCATAGACAGCAGAGCACTCATGTTGAGGGAAAGAAGAAGTTTCCTAGAGTGGAGGTGGACATTGTAATCAAAGGTGTAGGAAAGGGATGCTGGCTGCACAGAAAAAGTGTTGTTCACCACCAGGAGGAAGGAGGGAAACAAGAAGACCTGAGGATCAGGTGGTACACCACTTCAGTGTTCAGGTGGCACAAACAAACACTAGAAGAAAATAATCATCACCAGCCTGGGAAACATGGCAAAATCCAATCTCTACAAAAAATAACAACAACAAAAGAAAACCACACACACACAAAAGTAAATTAGCCAGGCATGGTGGCATGCACCTGTAATCCCAGCTGCTTGAGAGGCTGAGGTGGGAGGATTCATTGAACCCAGGAGATTGAGGTTGCAGTGAGGTGTGATTGCACCACTGTGCTCGAGCCTAGACAACAGAGTGGGACTTAGAGAGAGAGAGAGAGAGAGAGACAAAAGAAGAAAGAAAAGAAAAAGAAAAGGAAAGAAAGAAAGAAAGGAAAGAGGGAAGGAAGGGAGGGAGGGAGAGAGGGAGGGAAAGAAAGGAAGAAAGAGAAAGAAGAAAAGAAGGAAAGAAAGGAAAGAGAAAGAAAGAGGAGAAAAGGAAAGAGAAGGAAGGGAAAGAAGAATAAAGAAAGGAAAGAAAGAAAAAAGAATGAAAGAAAGAAAGCAAAAAGAAAGGAAAGAAGAAAGAACGAAAGAAAGAAAGCAAAAAGAAAGAAAGGAAAGAAAAAAAGAACGAAAGAAAGAAAAGAAAGAAAATAGTGATCATAGAATGCATGAGCTCAGCTGAAAGTTAAGGGAGAAGAGAGCATTGGCTCCTTAAATAGTGTGTATCCCTCATCAGGATATGGTCTATGACTCATTCCCTTTAATGACTCCCCAATAAGATTATATTAATGTCTGAAGTTGAAAAGTGGAAATGGTTCCTATACAGGAAGATTGTGAAAATTTGTTATGTCCTTTCAGTAGCTTGGTGAACTGTGCTGAATCAAAACCTGCCCTTTCCCTCACACATTCTAAAGACAAGTATGTTGATAAAACCTGGGAGCATAGACTAATATAGAAACAATCATCTAGATTATTTTCGACCTGAAAATTTTATTGATGATAATTCCAGAATTTCGTGGACGTCCTGAGATGCACTAGATAAAACACAGTAAAGAGCCCTTAATAAATTGCTTAGTTCAAAAGAAAGGGAAACACTCTGGTCAAGAAGTGCCCTAGTTCATTAGGGCTGCTGTAACAGAATACCACAGACTGAGTGTCTTATAAACAACAAATTGACTTCTCACAGTTCTGGAGGTTGGGAAGTCCAAGATCAAGATATTGGCTGGTTATGTGTCTGGTGTTGGTCTGCTTCCTGGTTCATAAATGGTCCCATCTCTCTGTGTCCTCACATGGCAGAAGGGACAAGAAAGCTCTCCAGGGTTTCTTTTATAAGGGCATTAATTTCATTCAAGAGAGATCCAATTTCATGATGTAATAACTTACCAAAGCCCCACCTTCTAATACCATAACATTGGGGGATCAGGGTTTCAATAAATGAATTTTACAGAGAACCAAACATTTAGTCTATAGCAAATTACTGGGGAGTTCAAACTGAATTTCCAGCAGCCCACCACGTATAGGACACAGGCACACGAGTGCTAGGATTCTAAATCTCAGTGGAGGGCAGGTTTTGTGGCCTTCTATCTAACCAAGAGGGTATATAGATCTGACTCACTGCCTTAGAGCCAAGGTCCTTTAAATGCTGCCAGTTTAAGCAGCAAGAAAACCACCACCATGCCAAAATGGACTAAGAGCTTTCTATCTTCCTGTGCCTCAGGATGAAGACTCACTTCCGTCTGAAAATGTAAGCTTCCTGAGGATAGAAGTTTTTACTCTGGTTAACTGGGGTACTTAGCACTTGGAGCACTACACACATCATAGGAGTTCAGCAAATACTTATTGAATGAAATGAAACCTATAAATTCAGTCCCTGCCGCACAGAGATGTGGAGTCTGAATTTGCATTACCTGCATGGAGAAGAAATACCGACCTGAGACTATGCCAATAAGTATGACCTTGGATTGATGAAATCAGGAACTGTAGGAGAATCAAAGGTATAACTCCTCTTGTTCCCTTCTATAGAACACATCTTATTAAAAATGACCACCATAAAAACTACACAAAGAATTTGATAATATAGGAGATGGTATGGTTTGAGCCAGAAGGGCTAATAGAGGTTTTCCTTTGGGGAAAATGGTTGGGTTTATGTTGTATAAATTGGTTTAAACGCTGATAAGTAGGACCCAATGGACTGTGGAAGGTAAAGATACAATAGAGCTGAGATTGGATGAGGAAGTGTAGTCATTGAAAATAATGTGGGCAGGGAAGTTATGTTATATAGGCACAGGCACAATCTGTGATGGAAGGGAAGAGAGAAAAAATGAGTAATTAGTACCTGATTGTGTCAGAAGTTGAGCAAGGTCTTGCTTTATGGCTTCTATTTTCTATGTTGGGAAGATGTAAGGTTATCTTCCATAGTTGGTGGAGGAGAGGACTTTAGAACTACTTATTCCCAAATGCCCATCAATTGTAGGCTAGATAATGAAAATATGGCACATATACACTATGAAGTACTATGCAGCCATAAAAAGGATGAGTTCACGTCCTTTGCAAGGACATGGATGAAGCTGGAAACCGTCATTCCCACCAAACTAACACAGGAACAGAAAACCAAACACCTCATGTTCTCACTCCTAAGTGGGAGTGAACAATGAGAACACATGGAGACAGGGAGGGGAACATCACCTACCGGGGCCTGTCGAGGAGTGGAGAGCTAGAGGAGGGATAGCATTAGGAGAAATACCTAATGTAGATGATGGGTTGATAGGTGCAGCAAACAACCATGGCACGTGTATACCTATGTAACAAACCTGCACATACTGCACGTGTATCCCAGAACTTAAAGTATAATTTAAAAAAGAAGAAAAAGTAAATAAACAAATATCAACAGAAAAGGAAAACGTAAAAAGAAGAAATACTTATTGATACTTATTATAATTAACATTCATGTATGAATGGCACTTTCTAGTCATTATCTCCAATCCTTAGGACAACACTGTAGGGTATATGGTAAAATCTCCGTTTTAGGAATGAAGAAATTTAAGCTCTTAGAAATTCTGGAATTTGACCAAGCCAAGTAAATAGTGAAGATACGATGGTGATGCTTGCTCCTACCAACGAATTCATTCATCTTGTGAGCATTCACTTTGGAGAAGAGCAATCAGTTGAAATAATCGTTGTAGAATGTGAGGAAAACAGCCTCATGGGAAACACAGTATGTTGGGGTGAAGCATTGAGGCACCAGTCAATGAAGGTGGACAGATTTGTGGTCACTCCAATCTATGTGATTCTAAATTCCCCATCCTCAGCCCACCTCCTATCTTGGGCAGCTCAGGTAGACATGTCTGATTGTGTTATTCACTGTCAAGATATAGGATGAAAACTAAAGTGAAAAGGCAATGAGCGAGTGAAGTTTTGGTAAGGGTATTGATTGTATTCCACTGCTAAGACCAATGGGTCTACCCCTAACATTGCAAAACAATGGTACATGACAAAGGTACAAATGGATCCTCAAAAACCATGTTATAGGTAATACTTATGAACAAAGCTAACAATTTACTCAATAAAATATGCTCTATCATTCTACCTTTCTAAATATGTTGTTAAAATGACAATATTGAAATACACATACAAATTTACTTGCTGTGGTGTGAATATTTGCATCCTCCCAAAACTCATATATTAAAATCCCAACTCCCAAGTGTTAATATTAAAAGATGAGGCCTTTGGAAGGTGATTAAGTTGAGAGCAGAGCTGTCATGATGTGATTAGTGTCCTTATAAAAAGACCCCAGAGACCTCGCTCTCTTCTACTATGTGAGGACACAGTTAAGGCATCATCTGTGCTGACACTGAATTGGCCATCTCTTAATCCTGGACTTCCCAATCTCAGAACACTAGGAAATACCATTGTTTATAAGTTACCCAGTTTATGATATTTTGTTATAGAAGCCAGAATGGATTAAGACTCTATATTTTTATATAAGAGAAACTCAGCAAAATATTAAAACTACCAAAATAGTATTAAACTGATATTTAATATTAAAACTATTACAATTAAATTATTATTGACCATGCCTGATTATTCTATTAATTGATTGGAAATGGTTGGGTGAATAATAATGAGATTATTCTATTAATAGATTGGAAATGGTTGGATGAATAGTAATATTAAGACAACATCATTCATTCTGTTTTATAGTTAAAATGTTCACATCAATATATGAAGTCACAGTTGACACAAATTCATATTAATAATTTAAAAGACTGAAAATAAAATGTAATTGTTTGAAGTACACAAATGGTGTATATTTTCCACAAACATCTAAAGTTAATGTAACAAAAATAAAAAATTTGGCCAGGCACCGTGGCTCATGTCTGTAATCCCACCACTTTGGAAGGCTGAGGTGAGCAGATCACTTGCGGTCAGGAGTTTGAGACCAGCCTGGCCAACATGGTGAAACCCTGTCTCTACTAAAAATACAAAAATTAGCCGGGCATGGTGGTGTGCCCCTATATTCCCAGCTGCTAAGGAGGCTGAGGCAGGAGAATCGCTTGAACCCGGGTTGGGTAGGTTGCAGTGAGCCAAGATCTCACCACTACTCCTCCAGCCTCAGAGACAGAGTGAGACTCCGTCTCAAAAAAAAAATTATAAAAATAAAAAAATAAATAAATAAGTTAAAATTGTCATTTTTTCTCACATATTAAAATATATATAAAATTAGAAAGCAATATAAACCTAATTATTGAACACAAATTTCTATGTCAAATTATCTAAATAGTGCCAAATTTTATTTAAATTTAATGAAAATGTAATTAACTCAATAAACACTTTTAATAAGAAAACTATTCCCAGTTCTAGCATTCTGTATCCATTTGTTTGCCTATGTAAAGAATTATTAGCATGCTATGAGCAGCTTGTTAGTTTAGGGTATTTTAGATGATACAAATTTAAGATTTAAGTGTACTTTGCAAAATACCCTTCAGCCACCCTAGGAAATTGCAATAACTTGCAAATTTATGAGTGCCTCTATGCAAATTCTGAAGGCTTCTCATTGCACTCATTCTAAATTCATCTTCTTTACTTTGGTCTGGCCTTTGCTTATTTCTCCAGCCTCATGTCTTGTCACTCCCCCCTTCACTCCTAACCCTCTGCTTTCATCTCTTCTTGCCCATGTGACTTTCTTGGCCACTATTCTCTCATCAATTTCAGCACAACCATCCAAGATTAAAAGTAAGTTCATGGATTCTTCAGATAGTTATTGAGCCCAGAAGGTAGCAGGAATTATGAGTGCAGAGATGAAAGTCAGCTCCAGAGTGGAGAATCTTGCACCCTGGTAGGGAAGCAGAAATTGAAAGCTGGTGGAATGAGTGAGTCTCAGATGCTCATGCATTGTATTGGGGAGTGGGTTACTTGGGTTAACCTTATTTGGGTTAATTCTGGGAAAATTTCCTTAAGGGAGTATCCCTGAGTGGGTCATGAATGAACCAGTTGGGGTTTTGTAAGAAAGGAAAGAAAGTACAGCTGGGAGGTGGATGTGTGTGTTAGGGCTTGGTGTGCTGGAAATAGTAAGGCAGCCTTGTTTGTGGTTGAACTTCTTAAATATTTCTGCTGAAATCCCTAATGGCAGTGGGGACAGTGCAGGGACTGATTATATAACTTAAGAAGCCTTTTTGCCTAAGGGATTTCCCTTTACAATTTTATCTTTTAGCTCATAAATTCATGTAAAAGTTCATTCTAGTTCTTAAAATCCTTGACATTGTTTTATATAAAAAGGATAGTTCTTGATAAGTTTACATTTAATTGTCTAGAATTCGTTCTCTCCAAAGTTTTGAAAATGTCAGTGCTCCAGTACAATAAGCCATGTTTATCCTGAGGCTGCTGGCCACCTCATTGCACCCTTGGCTCATAGGCCCCAGCTGGGTAATGATGTGTGCAGTACTATCTGTTCCCTCTCTCCTCCATCAGCCCCCAAACTTTAGCAACGTATGCCAGTCACGATAATTGTATGTGGATCAATTGGGCATAAGTGCAACAGAGTCAATTTGATAAATGGCTGATTTAGCAAGACCTGATTCTGTTTATTATTCAGACTGAATTAACATTTTTCTTTCTTTGGGGAAGTAAAGGAATGTTAGCTACTTGATTTCCTTATTTATTCTGAAACAAATAATATTGCAGCCCATCTGCAAATATGTTGCTGTCTTTCAAACTAGAACCCACGTTTGAGAGTGAAATGTGCCCCCAGAGAGAAGAAAATGCTCCCTCCTCTCTTACAGCCAGTAGAAAAGGGGCAGTCTAAGCTTTTGATGATGGTGGCAGGTGCACTCACCTCCACCAGAGGCAAAACTTAAGACAGCAAGGACAGATGATCTTGATTCCAGGGGTATAGAACACTTAGTGACTGTATTTAGCAGTGCATGAGAAGTTGGGTTTGAAAATACTGAGATAATGCTTCTTAGTCCAAAACAAACAAAAAATATTAGGTATATCAGAGTACTTAGCAGACAGTTGTCACAGCAGTATTTTGATTTAAAGATTAGGAAAATTACTAGTTAGTGTCCACTCAAGTGGTAAAACGAAGAGATATGAGATGCTTGAATGACTTTTGAGTGTCATTTGGGTTCTTTCTTCCTGTATACATTTATTATTTTCAAAATCCACACTTCCGAAACCTTCACTGAGCTTCCGCTTTATGCCAAGTACAGTTACGAGGTGTTAAGGAAATAACAATTAATTCCTTCAGATAATGCTTGTGTTTCTAGGTGCCAGGCACTGTCCAGGGGCCATTGTCCGGGTCCTTTTTCATGTACCTTGATCTAATTTGGGGGGAAAGAAAACGTGTAAGATAACAAACTAACACATTAACAGGTATAATCCCAGTAATGAGAGCAATAATGATAATTTCAATAAAGTTATGTGATGAGGTGGGGCTGGGTGGCCACTGTAGATTACATGGGCAGAGAAATTTCTCTGAAGGGGTGACGTTTGAATTGAGATTTGAGTGACAGGAAGGGGCTCACTATGTAGAAGTTAAGCAGAGGTAAGTTATTCCCAATGTCCTAAGAATGGGCTGGAGTTTGGAAATAGGAATAGGAAGAAAGCTCTCTTGCCAGATTGCTGTGGGGCAGAGGGATTGGTGTGGCCAGGGGATAGAGAGGTGACAGGCCTGGACACACAGACCTTTGATGAGCCAGGCTTTTACATTTACCTAAATCTGAGAGGTAACCCTTGGAAGATTTTAAGCAGAAAAGTGATAGGGTCAGATTTGCATTTTTAAAAGATTGTTGCATAAAAAATGGAATATGGAATAAAGGAGGGAAGGAGGAGGCAAGTCAGGATGATGGTTACAAGAGAGGTGGCTATAGGTACGGGGGAATATGGAAGGATCGAGGATATGTGTTGGAAGTAGTGTCAACTATACCCCCTCATGAATGAAATGGGGAGGCAGGGGGTGAGGAAAAATGAGATCAAGGCTAGATCTCATTCTTGCTTAAGTGAAGTACCATAGGTTTCTTTTCCTATCCCATGTCTGACCCTGCACACCCACAGATCTGTTTCCGCCAAAGCCTCTCCCAACTTGTTCTCCAGGAAAACAAAAACTGTAGTTGCTCTGGCTGGACACCCTGATGAGCCTGATTGCTCTCTCCCCTGCACACCTCATACCTACTCCAGCAACACATCTAGTCAGCTTTGCATTCCAAATATGTCAATCATCTATCTGCTTCTCTCATGTCAGATGCTAATTACATGGTCCAAACGAGTCTCCTGCGGCATCTGGACCATTTCTACAGCTTCCTAGGATACCTTGCCCTCCATTCCTGCTTCCACCCAACATTGTCAATCTGAGAAGCAACATTACCTTCCTAAAATGTAAATCAAAACTGACAAGTCACTGTCAGTTCAATTAATTTCACATTACAGCTTCTACAGAAGCCAGCACTCTTTGCATTTGCATAGTCTTAAAGGAGCCATGCAACCTCACCTGTCTACCTGATTGTTTGAAAGCATCCCACTACCTGTTGTGACCTGCCAGCTGTGGGTTTCCTTTCTGTCTTAAATCATGCCCAGCTCCATCCTGCCTAAATGTTCTTGTTCTTGCCATTCCTTCCAATGAACTTCTCTTCCTCCATATATGCACAGTTCTGCCTTCCCTCATCAATCATATTGCAACTCAAATGTCCCACTCTCAGATGGGTCTTGCCGGAGTGCCCCAGCTGAAGCATTTCCCTTGCCACTGCATGTTTTGGTTGGAGAAGTGAGTGTAACTCTTGGTCCTGCTATTCCTTGCTGCTTTGTCATGGAGCTGGCCTTGAGTACTTTCCTCTATCACTTTTCCTTGAAGAATCCTCTATATAGTATTCTAATACATGGATGTTAGGTCTTAAGTGATTATAAGGGATTTAATCACAATAATCTATGATAGCTCTAACACACAGGTATGGTGAGATACCTTGTGTTTTCTTCTTGATTAATAACCCAGGACGAGTAGTCAAGTAGCTCATAGCCCCCGAATTAAAGGCCTGGCCCCTAACTGGCAAGACATGGCTTTCTGCGGTTCTTTAGCCTGGGACTGATTAACTGAGTGCTTTAATGTAGTAGGTTTTGTCCCTCTGTGGACATTGATGTTCTTTCTTTTTTCCTGGTAATTTCACTGTCTTGTGTGTTGAACATGAGTGAAATGATTGAGGTTCTACAGGCAGAGAAAATCCACTTCTGGACCACTGGGTAAAGACCCCAGGGAGACATGACCTTTACCAAGTTTTTCCAGGGGAAGATACAAGGTGGTGGCAGAAATTAAACTCTGGGCCGGGTGCAGTGGCTCACGCCTGTAATCCCAGCACTTTGGGAGGCTGAGGCAGGCAGATCACGAGGTCAGGAGTTTGAGACCAGCCTGACCAACATGGTGAAACCCTGTCTCTACTAAAAATACAAAAATTAGCCGGGCATGCTGGCATGCCTGTAATCCCAGCTACTCAGGAGGCTGAGGTAGGAGAATTGCTTGAACCCAGGAGGCATAGGTTGCAGTGAGCAGAGATAGTGCCACTGCACTCCAGCCTGGGTGAATGAGTGAGACTGTATCTCAAAAAAAATAAAACAAAGGAAAAAAAAGAATTTAAACTCTGTGTGAGACACATCCTGATTTGAATCCTTCCTTCTTTTGGCTCTTAGCTGAGTGATGTGATGTAACTCCTTTAGTCTCTCAAAATCTCTGTTTCCTCCATGGTCATGGGCTCATTTTTTAGGACTGCACTGACGATCAAATGAGGAATCACATTCAGAGTGTCTTTCACTTCTGAGCACAGGGAAACTTGTGGGGCGAACCCATCTTCTGGTTACTCCAGGTCATGACTTGCCTGAGGCTTGCCACTTCTCCTCACCTCTCAGGTACAGCTATCATAACTGCAGCACAAAATTCCAGCGTTCCTCTCTGTGGAAGGCAGGCCCCTGACTTTCATCAGGAGGTGGGTGCAAACACCATGGCACTGTCAGTTCCGATGTTGCATCTTAGCCCTTCTGTGATCTATAGGAGAATCCACGGTGGAGCCTTATCTTTTGTCATATGAGCCTGGGAGCCATGTCTGACTGTTATGCAATTGCCTTTTTAAATAGTCATTGTGGACTCGTAGGGGTGGCTCATGCCTGTAATCCCAGCACTTTGGGAGGCCAAGGTGGGGTGGATCACTTAAGGTCAGGAGTTTGAGATGAGCCTGACCAACAGGGTAAAACCCCGTCTCTACTAAAAATACAAAAATTAGCCAGGTATGGTGCGTGCCTGTAGTCCCAGCTACCGGGAAGCTGAGGCAGAAGAATCTCTTGAACCGGGAGGCAGAGATTGCAGTGAGCTGAGATCATCACTCTGCTGCACTCCAGCCTGGGTGACAAAGCAAGACTCTGTTAAAAAAAAAAAAAAAAAAAAAAAAAAAAAAGGTAATTGTACAGATTCATCTGCAACGAATGCATGGATGCCTCTGTTACCTTCTGTTTGAGGAGCTCTATCCTGGGTGACTAGCGCCTTTGCAGCCTGTGTGATTCTCTGCAGGTGGAAGTGTGAGGGTATTACCCCTCTGAAAGGATTCAGCCTGTGCCTGGCCTGTTCCTTCTGGAGAAGCCCCAGAACTGGGGAGTGCAGCAGGTTCGTGGGTCCTCATTTCTTCCATGCAGATGCCCAGCCTGCTGGCCCTGTCAGCCGAGTGCCATTAGGCACAGTTTGTCCTAGGTGCTGTCCGCATCCAGGCTGAGTTCCTATAGTTGCTTTTAAAAACAAGAATAAAGTAGAATTTTAGCAGAATCCTTTAAGGTATTCTTTCAGGAGTGGCAGGAATGGCAGTTTGCAGACTGATTATTTTGATTATTTGAATTTATTATTATTATTATTATTATACTTTTTAAGTTTTAGAGTACATGTGCACAATGTGCAGGTTTGTTACATATGTATCCATGTGCCATGTTGGTGTGCTGCACCCATTAACTCATCATTTAGCATTAGGTATATCTCCTAATGCTATCCCTCCCCCCTCCTCCCACCCCACAACAGTCCCCGGTGTGTGATGTTCCCCTACCTGTGTCCATGTGTTCTCATTGTTCAATTCCCACCTATGAGTGAGAACATGCGGTGTTTGTTTTTTTTTTCCTTGCAATAGTTTGCTGAGAATGATGGTTTCCAGCTTCATCCATGTCCCTACAAAGGACGTGAACTCATCATTTTTTATGGCTGCATAGTATTCCATGGTGTATATGTGCCACATTTTCTTAATCCAGTCTATCATTGTTGGACATTTGGGTTGGTTCCAAGTCTTTGCTATTGTGAATAGTGCCGCAATAAACATACGTGTGCATGTGTCTTTATAGCAGCATGATTTATAATCCTTTGGGTATATACCCAGTAATGGGATGCCTGGGTCAAATGGTATTTCTAGTTCTAGATCCCTGAGGAATCGCCACACTGACTTCCACAATGGTTGAACTAGTTTACAGTCCCACCAACAGTATAAAAGTGTTCCTATTTCTCCACATCCTCTCCAGCACCTGTTGTTTCCTGACTTTTTAATGATCACCATTCTAACTGGTGTGAGATGGTATCTCATTGTGGTTTTGATTTGCCTTTCACTGATGGCCAGTGATGATGAGGATTTTTTCATGTGTTTTTTTGGCTGCATAAATGTCTTCTTTTGAGAAGTGTCTGTTCATATCCTTCGCCCACTTTTTGATGGGGTTATTTGTTTTTTTCTTGTAAATTTGTTTGAGTTCATTGTAGATTCTGGATATTAGCCCTTTGTCAGATGAGTAGTTTGCAAAAATTTTCTCCCATTCTGTAGGTTGCCTGTTCACTCTGATGGTAGTTTCTTTTGCTGTGCAGAAGCTCTTTAGTTTAATTAGATCCCATTTGTCAATTTTGGCTTTTGTTGCCATTGCTTTTGGTGTTTTAGACATGAAGTCCTTGCCCATGCCTATGTCCTGAATGGTATTGCCTAGGTTTTCTTCTAGGGTTTTTATGGTTTTAGGTCTAACATGTAAGTCTTTAATCCATCTTGAATTAATTTTTGTATAAGGTGTAAGAAAGGGATCCAGTTTCAGCTTTCTACATATGGCTAGCCATCCCTTGTAAGTTGGATTCCTAGGTATTTTATTCTCTTTGAAGCAATTGTGAATGGGAGTTCACTCATGACTTGGCTCTCTGTTTGTCTGTTATTGGTGTATAAGAATGCTTGTGATTTTTGCACATTGATTTTGTATCCTGAGACTTTGCTGAAGTTGTTTATCAGCTTACGGAGATTTTGGGCTGAGACGATGGGGTTTTCTAGATATACAATCATGTCATCAAATAGGTTTTCATCACGTGTGATTTATTTTTCATGCTGGCATGAAAAATCTGTTTACTCAACTTCTGCAAATTAGCCTAGATCACATATCAGTTCCATAAAAAAAAATCATTCACTTCAGTAGCAGTCACAACAATGACTAATTAACGCCCTATTAGTTCTCTCAACAGAAGTTGTGAAATTATGAGTCCTAGGAGACTCACCAGGCAGTTGTGGTTTGTGGCAATATTCCTTTGTCTTTTTTCTCTCTCTTTCTAAGTTTTCAAGCTAATGGTAGCTCAGGCATCATCTGCTGAAATGGAAAAGCACAGGGCATCCTTTGGGGAGGTCTGTGGGCAGACTGGGTCTCTCCAGGGGACACTGGGGAAGATGGGAAGGACAACTTGGGGCCCATCAGCTCTTGAACAAATGCTCTGTGTCATAGAGTGATTGAAGTGGAAACCAATGATAAATTGGAGAGAGGAACTCACGCTTCACAGCCCCCTGATTTTAATGTTCCGTGTGGAGTCACTGCAGCACGCTGCATTTCCAAATTAAACAAAAGGAGAACCTCTCACACACAAGCAAATGCAACACATTCTCTGGAGTGATGTCTGTTATCCAGAAGGTTTGCGAGCAATGTCCGCAACATATGAGAACCTCACTTTGAGGAAGAAGAAATTTACCTTAAAGCCACTGTCACAGGCTTTCCTTTCCTCCCATCTTACATTCACATTAACAAACTGAACGGATTTAAGTGACATTATTATATTTTTCTTAAGTGAACATATTTTCTTTCTACTGCTTCACAAACCAGATTATTATAAGAAAAAATGGTAGTAATGGGTAATAGGGAAGCTCTACTTATATTTAATATTTCCCAATCACTAGCAACAATAGTAGTTATTTTATAGGAAAATATAATATGGTTGTGGGGAAAAGATTTATAGGTAATACAGAAAAAGAGCTTTTGTTACCTCCATAAAACAATAGCATGGAACAGATTTAATAATAACAGAGATTCAGTTCTCAAGATCAATAATTTCATTTTCCATTGTTGTACAGTATTGTCATCTGGGGGTTCACAGCCACAGAGCCCACATTGAGTTACTAACAGAACTTTGTTTATAGACCAGAAAAAGTCTTGAAACTCACAACCTAATTTACAACAACCTCTTCTAGTAGCAATTTACTCAAATCTGTCCAAAATAATATAATATGCCTAGAAGGAGAATGACTTTCAGTTCAGTATAATGTGCAGAAGCAAAACTCTAGCTCAACTCCGTGACATGCTAATGTGTCACCCCCTGCTGCTTCCAATCTACCTGTTGTCCCCCAGGAGAAATAAGGAACGGCCACTGTCTGGATGATGCCATTTAAACTTAGGGGGATAAGAACTTAAACTTTTCATTGCCTTCCTCCTCCTCAAAATCCTACTGATCCCCAGCCGCAGAACCTGCCAAAGTCCTCACGGTCCATCTCCCTCTAGGACAATCACAGAGAGACAGGCTCTCAGGAACACATCTGTGAGATGTTCACAGTCTATAGTAGTGCTTTGCTTTCTTTACTTCAAATGGACAGCACAATGGTGGATGTAAAATTTGATTTGAGTGATAGAAAGTAGCATTCCCAAACCCTATTTGTAAATACTGTGTTTAGCAGAGGAGTGAGTTCTTATTGCTTTCTAAGAATGTTATGGAATTTATATGGCATTGAAATGTGCATCAGGATCAATTTAAACAGAGCTCAGGGTAGCTGAGACTTGTGTGACAAGCAGCACATTGTTGAGAAGATGAATCCCTGAGACACACAGATCTAGGTTCAAATCTGAGTCCTGCCCATTGATTAGTTAAATGACCATCATAGAATAGATTGATTTTATTCCTCTATAAAAATATAAAAATGATATGCAGTATTGAAACTTCAAAATTGTTGGAGAGTTGAAGGATAACAATATATGTGAGACATTTTGCAAAGCATCAAGTAAATACCAAGACTTAACAATGCCAATGTCTTCATAGTTAACAGTGATTCTAGGAAGTAAAGACTAATACCAGGTGTTATTCTAGGATCAAATAAACACAATGCAGTTCTACAAACTCCCGGGATGATATTTCAACTTAATAAGTGACTTCTTTCCTTATAAAGCTAATTTCATGACTACTTGAAAATTAAAAATTGAAATTCTTTTCAGTCCAAGATGAATATGATGTAGTCTTCTCTCAAAATGAATAAAATATCCTGTGTAAGTCAAGATCCTTCTAAAGCAGGCTTGGAAAGGCACTCTGTTAAAATGTTGAATTTCCAGGAAGTAAAAATAATTTCTTTTTTGTTTGTTTGTTTGTTTTTTGAGATGGAGTCTCACTGTGTCACCCAGGCTGGAGTGCAGTGGCCTGATCTTGGCTCACTGCAGGGTCTGCCTCTTGGGTTCAAGTGATTCCCCTGCCTCAGTCTCCTGCATAGCTGGGACTACAGTCATGTGCCACCACACCCGGCTAGTTTTTGTACTTTTGGTAGAGAAGGGGTTTCACCATGTTGGCCAGGCTGGTCTGGAGCTCCTGACCTCAGATGATCCATCCACCACGGCCTCCCAAAGTGCTGGGATTACAGGCGTGAGCCACTGTGCCTGAACAATGTCTTTAAATCAACATGATTAAAAATGAAAGTAATTTTAGAACTGAGCTTTCTTTGTTGTTGTTTTTACTAACAAACAGAAAAATTTACTTTTATGGGGTATATTTCCGAATTTAGATAATTGTGTAAAGTTGTGTAACCATCACCAAACTTTGTACTGGCTTAATCCTCAAAAGTAAACCCCAGATAAAGGGCATATAAGACATTTTATTAAAGAATTATCTTCTTCTCAATATAAATACATTTCTTATGATTTATCCAGAAGAAAAGGAAACAAATATGATTACTGATGATTCATGAAAGGAGATATGATAGGAAAACACACAATGCTGGCATGCTGGCAACTGCAAATCCTTACAGCATTTTCAGTGACTGCACTTGCTTTCATATGGAATGTGCAGAGAAGCCTGTCTCAGTATGAGCCTCATATCTCCCAAATTCCCAACAGCCTTGCCCTCCAGCCACAGAACTTAAAAATTATGTAAGGAGGCTGCTCGGAGCTCATTTAGCCGATGCCAGAGGCACAGATTCCGTCTCTTCATATGGTCATGAAGCCTCTGCTGGAAGGGCTAGGGACACATTTCCTTGAGGAAGTAGTCAATTCAGTGTCAGTCAACTCAAAATGCCTGAAAACTTTACCTGAAAATTGCCTTCCTGAAAATTCTTGCAGTTGTTTCCAGGCCTTTCTTTGGGATCATAGAGTATGAATGCATTGAATTTTCATAAACTGAATTCCACAGCTATATTTCCCTTTCTGAATTTCTAGGTTCTTTAATTTTTTATATTAAATGATTTAAAGCTTACATTTTTCATTTGCCACAGGGAAATATGAGGAGACCTAGATGACACCGCACACCCTGTAGGCTGATTGAAGAAGAGAAATTCCTAGCTTAGGGATCCTGGGTCTTTTATAATAGGCCATAAGCCTGCCTACTCTTTGCTTGAAGGGAAACATAGTAAGCACGTCTGCCCTCTGTCACTGTCTTCCAAAACTTTTCGCTATAGAAGTATTCTGGAAAGGACAATCTAGAATAAAGCCAATTATTATCTCTGTTCACAAGACTTTCAGAAACTCAAGAAACACATAGACAATTGGCTTTCAACGTTTGGTTTATTTCAAATGCTGAAATGGATTTCCAGCTAATCAGCAGACATGTTTACTCACTTCACCTCCAGGCAAGTTTATTCTACTTTAGTCATATGTTCTTTCCTCTGTTTACACAAATGAATGCAGAGAGTGATAATCCAAAATATTTTCCTTTTCATTAAATGTATAAAGATTGATACTCTCCCAACTCCAGATAGATTTTATTGTTATATTTTAGTATTAACAATATAAATTCAGGAGAACAGTCAAACCAAGGACAGTTATGCTGAACACCCAGAAATAGGCAAGTTGCTTATTATTACTGAGTTACATCCAAAAGTTCTAGGAACAAAGGGTGACATAGATATGTGTTGAGCAGAATTCCCCAAACTCGAGTAAGGGAACTTTTTTAAAGTTAAGACAAAATGGCAAGCATGTGTAGTACCAATATGTAAAAGACTATCTGAAGAATCTAAAGACTTACTCAGTGTAAACATCCTCCAACAATGTTTTAAATAAAATTCTACCATCTTAACTGGTAATTACTGTCACCAGTGGCCGAGAAGCCCAAACAGAAGGGCACCAACAGGGGGTCCACATGTGTGGGTCCCTTTGGGGTGGCCTCACCATCAGAGATCTGATTGTGTGCACTGCTTCAATGACACAACCACAACGTAAAAGTTAAAGAATTTTTAGTACTTACAGACCCTGAAGGCTACATAGAATGCAAGGATGCCTCCCCACCCAACCCCCACACACACGGACGTCAAGGAGCACAAACACAGAGAGAAAGTAGGGATCCACTGGGGCAAGGTTTTTGTTGGGTGAAGGGTGTAATACAAACAGGTTTCCCTAGGAAAGCTTTAAGTGGTAGATTAAAAACTAGCAGGTACTAGTTCTAGGAGACCATGCTGTGACTGAGAGGTTGTCCCTTTAAGTTGGCAGACAAGTATCTCAATGGCCTGTTTAAAGGCAGTGTTGGGAAAGTGGGGAGCCCAGTCTGCAAGGTGGAAGAGACGACTCCAAACTGTATCTCTGACCACTGGTTGCAGCCATTTGTGTGGGGTATAGTATAAAAACTGTCAACCGTGACTGAGCCTTACTTCTGGCATGAGAAAGTCAAACATATTTAAAAATGGATACTGAGGCAACACAAAATTATAAGTATTCACGACAAATACAGATTATCAATTTAAAAGGAAAGGTTGTCCTTTATATACATAAATAAATAAAGATAAATGAACTAAAAATACAACATGATAAAGGTTTTATAGAAATTATAATTTTGGAAATTAAAAATTCAGAATTTTGTAGAATTCTTGTTCCTGAGAAGATTCCTTGTTCCCACAGAAATAGATAAGCTGTAGCTTTTAGAAGTTCTTGATAAGAATTCAAATTTTATTTTTATGGAACATAAGGTAACCCTGACTACATGTGAAACTAGTTTGTGTAAGCTTTAACAGACAGATGACCACTTTAGCGCAAACTGTGATGAAAGGAAGATTGCAAATAGCACATCAAAGCACATCAAAGTTTCAAATCCCTGTGTCTGAAGCAGGGTTCCGTGTTATCTTCCAATTCTGATCTACTCATGTCTGCAAAGTTCACATATGAGTTTTTTGTGTTTGCATTTCTTAAAGAAATACTACTCAAAAATGAGAACCAAATAATTAATGAGAGTGAAACTTTTACCCTCCTGGCACCCAGACCCTCTTGTTAGCATCACAGAATTAGTGGATTAAAGCTTTTCGAATTTCAAAAATATCCTTTTATGATAGCAAGTAAGCCCTATTATACATGCAAAGTTTAAGTTCTCCAAGACTGTTTTATTTTCAAAATCCCCACTTTATTCCCTTAATTTTCGCTTCACAGCAGCAGTTGGCAAAGGTTCTGATCATTGCTGTTTCTCACAGAGTGGAAATGAGACGTTGCCAAGTTCCACACAAGGGCAGGCATAGATGTTGTTTGAAGTCGAATCTCCACCAGGCACACCCATGACCCAGGACCTTTCCACTGTCTCTAGAAGTCTGAACATTTCAGGAGCATCAGGGATGGGGCTACTGAACTGCATTTTCCATTTATCCCTCTTAGCTGTACTCTGAGTTCAAAAGGAGGGAAAATCATTGTGATCCATTTGCCTTTGGGAGTGATGGTTTGTCCCACCCCCCCCAGCTTGGTTGTCCTGATGCCCAGAACTCACATGGAATTTCAGACATTGGACATTCTGGTCTACTATCCCTAACTCCTTCACTTTAGACAAAGTAATAGCTTATTTCCTGACTGACATCTGAAAACCTATTTATGATTTTCTCTCCCACAACTCATCTTCCAAAAGAGCCCTTCATTATGGACAGGGTGGCATTTGCCTTGAGTTATTTCAATCCCTCACTCTGCCCATCATCTCACGAGGGCCCCTGGGGCCCAGGATATTGCATGCCATTTTTCTTTGAGGACCTTTAACCTGCACTGTATTGGAAATGTAAATAATTCTCTCTAGGACATTGAAATATCCCCAGAGCTTCCTTGCAATTCAGGAATTGGAGTGTTATGGAATCTCCTAGCAAAAAGAAAATATTACCCGTGGAATCTGATTTCCAGTTCATGTCTCAGTCCGCAGATTCTGCCAATTACTCCACATTTCCTGAGCTTCTATCATGTGACTAAAACTAATAGGCAGGTCTATGATCATTCAGAATTTTTCAGGCATCATTAAGTGCTGGATTTTCTCTCTTTATATATATGAGTTTTCTGACATTTTATTTCAACATAAATGCATAAATAAATAGCTCTTTTGGATCATTCTGGGAAAGAGAATGATATAACAAATTTTTTTCATTTTAAACAAAATAACATTTTACTTGCTTTATATTTATCATTAAAAGTTAATCATATCTTAAAAAAAGGGCAATTATTGAAATGCAGATTTTTCTCATTTTCCCCAAATGACTGGTAGCACAAATGGAATGACTGAATGGCCGGCCGAGTGGCTGCCTTAGGCCCACCATTAATGAGGCTACAACCTCCCCTCACTCCTGCTGGCCCTCTTCCCTCCATCTCCCCTCACTCCTACTTTGGCAATTTATTTATTCCAAAGTACAGGATCCAAAAAAAAAAAAAAACCTCCTAGGCTGCCAATTAGGAAGCAGCCTTTCTTTGAAGGAGTATAAAAGTCCAATTCATTACATAGATTACAGCAACTGTTAATACCCTCCAGGGTGTTTTCGGAGGATTGCAACCTGGACTCTTGTTTGGATAAAGAATTGCTGGCTTATGTTGTGAGCTTATCTCAACAACTGTGGCATTAATCCTGTCATGTGAAGTTAAAGCCATCTCTCTTCCTGCCCTTCCTAGGGAGGGGACAATAACTATACAGAGATAATGGCTTGGCATTATCAGTGAAGAATGACCTGAGTTCAGACATAATCATAACAGGATGGGATGGTGATATTAAGTATATGTGGCACTATCGGTTTTATGATCATCTAGTTTTAAGAAAGTAGAGTGTTACAATCTTGAATTTATAAAAATAATTTAAAACATTATTCATACTATGAAAAACTTTCTAAGAGAGAGAGAAACGGAGAAGAGACATTTACCTTACAATACTGACTCTACCAGTGCAATTTAAAAATTTTTTCATTGTAATTATAACCAAATTCCTATGTGTGTGTTCATTTTACACATATTAATTGCTCTTAAAAAGTCTGTTCTTTAATGTTTGTATATGAAATAAGATGCTCATTTTTCCCCGACAGCCTGACATGTACTAAACACTCATCTGTTGTTGAGCAACTGAATTGTTATCACCAAGTTTTCATTGAAGTTGCACACTGCATCCTAACTTCCTTCCTAAGATAATACACTGGCCATGTTGTCGCATGTGGCTTTTTGTTGAACTAATCCTTGGTCTTTTAGTGCTAAGGTCCATCACCAGTTGTCAGGTTTAAGCGTTTTGGAAAACAGAAAACACAAAATGGAATGTGTGAGTTAAAACATAGCAGAGATGATGTTGGGAAATCAGTTGTACCAGCTGTCAATTTGTCATGGTCTCCTCTCCAAATATGCCCTTATAGTCTTATTCTGTGATGTGGCCTGGCCCCCTGAGTATTTCTCGCTCTTCAGCTCACCTCTTCAAGTCACTAAGTACAGGTCTGTAGATCTGCATCCATACTCACGCTCTAGCAAGGCTGTGGCCCCTCCTGGCCTGCAGAGTACTCACTACCAGGCTCAGCCAGGAGTGGACTGTGGGCCAGCTCCGACTAGGGGCTATCCAGCCACTTTCATTACTTTCATGGCATCCAGTGAGCTGAAACCATCCCCTCTCCAACAGAGTCTCAGCCTCAGAGGAACTTGGTGGGGGTGTGCCCATCAGACCAGGATTGCTCCCTTCTTGGTACGCCTAGGTATCCTTTCCGGTTTTTTTTCACCTCCTCTCTTTTGTTTGTTTGTTTTAGAGACAGAGTCTAACTCTGTTGCCCATGGCGGAGTGCAGGGATGTGATCATAGCTCACCTGCAGCCTCAAACTCCTCAAGTGATCCTCCTGCCTCGTCCCCGAGTAGTGAGCAGCTGGGACTACAGGCACAGAAGCGTGTACCACGACTATGCAGCTAACCTAATAAAGTTTTTTTTTTTTGATACAGGCTCATATTGCTAAGGCTGAACTCCTGGCCTCTAGCCATCCTTCTGCCTCAGCATTCCAGGGCAGGGCAGCAGGGATTATAGGTGCTAGTTACTGAACCTGGCTTCATCTCCTCTTAATAATCTCTCTATAGATAGATAGATGACAGATAGATAGATAGATAGAAATTATCAATGTGATAGATAATTGCATAGATAATTTCTATAGATAAGTGTATAGATAGATAATTTATATCTGTCTATAGATATAAATATATATAAATATGTCTACATCTATAGATATAGATATAATTTATATCTATCATCTATCTAAACACACACATATGTATGTGTGTGTGTGTATGAATGTGTGTGTGTATATATCTATATCTATATCTATATATATGCATATATTGCCCTCCTCGTTCAAATTACTGAGTGGTTTCTGTCTCCCATATCCTAAATGACACAAAAACACTCATATACTTAGCTCTCTGATATGATTTGGCTGTGGCCCCAACCCAAATCTCATCTTGAATTGGAGTTCCCATAAACCCACAAGTCATGGGAGGCAGCAAGTGGAGATAATTGAATCATGGGGGTGGTTTCCCTCATCCTGTTGTCGTGATAGTGAGTGAGTTCTCACAAGATCTGATGGTTTTATAAGGGGTTTCCCCCTTTGCTGGGCACTCATTTTTCTTCTCCATGCCACCAGGTGAGGATGGGCGTGTTTGCTTCCCTCTTCCCAATGATTGTAAGTTTTATGAACCCTCCCCAGCCATGCTGAACTGTGAGTAAACTAAACCTCTTTCCTTTATCAATTACCCAGTCTTGAGTCTGTCTTTATTAGCAGTGTGAGAACAGACTAATATACTCTCTTATTGCCCTTTCAAATACACCCATCAAAGAATGCTTATTTATATTTACCAAAAGGAGTAGAATGTCTAAACTTAGGAAAAACTTGTTGCATATTTGTTATTTAGACAGGGTTGAGCGTTGATGCTGAACTGGTACAAATTTCAAACATCGTAACTCCTCAGGTATCTAGGCCCTTTGGAAGTCTGAGACTGCACAATTGAACTGTCATAAATAAACCTCAAAGAAAAACAAACAAAAAATACAAAAAGCAAACTTTGCTATAGGACTTTCCCTTAAAACTAGTGTTGGTGGGAGTGTAAATTAGTTCAACCATTGTGGAAGACAGTGTGGTGATTCCTCAAGGATCTAGAACCAGAAATACCATTTGACCCAGCAATCCCATTACTGGGTATATACTCAAAGACTTATAAATCAATCTACCATAAAGACACATGCACATGTATGTTTATTGCAGCACTGTTTACAATAGCAAAGACTTGGAACCAACCCAAATGACCATCAGTGATAGACTGGATTAAGAAAATGTGGCACATATATACCATGGAATACTGTGCAGCCATAAAAAAGAATGAGTTCATGTCCTTTGCAGGGACACGGATGAAGCTAGAAACCATCATTCTCAGCAAACTAACACAGGAACAGAAAATCAAACACCACGTGTTATTACTCATAAGTGGGAGTTGAACAATGAGAACACATGGACACAGGGAGGGGAAGATCACACACCGGGGCCTGTCAGGGGGTGGGCCACAAGGGAAGGGAGAGCATTAGGAGAAATACCTAATGCCTGCGGGACTTAAAACCTAGATGATGGGTTGAGCAAACCACCATGGCACACGTATACCTATGTAACAAACCTGCACATTCTGCACATATATCCCAGAATTTAAAGTTAAAAAAAAAAGCAGAGGTTTCTTAATTTAAGGTAATAAGACCAAAGAATAGATATTTTTCTAATTAACCTGAATTTTATATAAGATGAAGAGCAGGCACAGGCATGGAGGCTCATGCTTGTAAGCACATTGGGAGGACGAGGCGGGTATATTACCTGGGGCTGGGAGTTCTAGACCAGCCTGGCCAACATGGTAAAACCCCTTCTCTACTAAAAATATAAAAATTAGCCAGGCATGGTGGTGCATGCTTGTAATAGAAGCTACTTGGGAGGCTGAGACACCCGAATTGCTTGAACCTGGGAGGCAGAGGTTGCAGTGAGCTGAGATTGCGCCACTGCGCTCCAGCCGGGGTGACTGAGTGAGACCCTATCTCAATAAAACAAAACAAAACAAAGCAAAACAACAACAAAGGTGAAGAGCATATATTTATTTTAGTTTTTGTAATTTAATATATTTTAATCAATTGCTAATGACATTTTACATTAATTTAACCTTTGCATGTGCCAGACATGATGCATTAGATGTATGTCCTCATTTATCTAAGCTGTGCTAAGAGAGAAGAGATATTTTCATTCTTTGCACAGATGGTGAAGCTGAGACTATAGGAATGAAGAAGCTTGACTCAGGTCACACACATGAAAGTGGTGGAGCCAGGCCCAAACCAAGGTCTATCTGACTCTATGACTGTATTAGTCCACTCTCATGCCACTATGAAGAAATACCTGAGACTGGGTAATTCATAAAGCAAAGAGATTTAACTGACTCACAGTTCTGCAAGGCTGGGGGGCCTCAGGAAACTTACAATCATGGTGAAAGCACCTCTTCACAGGGTGTTAGGAGAGAGAATGAGTGCGAGCAGGGGAAATGCCATACATTTATAAATCCCTCAGATCTTGTGAGACTCACTCATTATCATGAGAACAGCATGAGGTAAACCACCCCTGGGCCCTTCCAAATCTCATGTCCTCACATTTCAAAACACAATTATGCCTTTCCAACACCAATCATGCCTTCGTAACAGTACCCCAGAGGCGTAACTCATTCCAGCATTAACTCAAAAGTCCAAGCCCAAAGTCTCATCTGAGACAAGGCAAGTCCTTTTCCCCTATGAGCCTGTTAAATCAAAAGCAAATTAATTATGTCCTAGATACAATGAGGATACAGGCATTGAATGGGTATATTTACCCATTCAAAATGGGAGAAATTGGTCAAAACAAAGGGACTACAGGCCCCATGCAAGTCCAAAATCCAAAAGGGCAGTCATTAATCCTTAAAGTTCCAAAATAATCTCATTTGACTTCGTGTCTCACATCCAGCTCACATTGATGCAAGAGGTGGGCTCCCAAGACCTTGAATAGCCCCACCCTTATGGCTTTGCAGATTACACCTACACTCCAGGCTGCATTTGCAGGCTGGCATTGAAGTGTCTTCAGCTTTTCCAGGTGCACAGTGCAAGCTGTCAGTGGATCTATGATTCTGGGATCTGGAGCATGATGGCTCTCTTCTCACAGCTCCACTAGGCAGTGCCCTAGTGAGGGCCCTGTGTGGAGGTTCTGACCCCACATCTCCCTTCCACACTGCCCTGGCAGAAGTTCTCCATGAGGGTCCCACCCCTGTAGCAAACATCCAGGCATTTCCATACATCCTCTGAAATCTAGGTGGAGGTTCCAACCTCAAATCTTTACTTCTGTGTACCCACAGGCCCAACACCATGTGTAAGCCACCAAGGCTTGGGGCTTGTACTTTTTGAAGCAATGACCTGAGCTGTACATTTTCCCCTTTTAGCCACAGCTTGGATGCAGGGCACCAAGTGCTGAGACTGCACAAAGCAGCAAGGCCCTGGGCCCAGCCCATGAAACAATTTTTACCTCCTATGCCTCTTTGCCTGTGATGGGAGGGTGTATTAATCTGTTCACATGCTCCTGATAATGACTTACCTAAGACTGGGTAATTTATACAGAAAAAGAGGTTTAATGGGCTCGTAGTTCTACGTGGCTGGAGAGGCTTCACAATCATGGTGGGAAGGAAAGGAGGAGCAAATCATGTCTTATGTGGATAGTAGCAGGCAAAGTCAGAGAGCCAAGTGAAAGGGGTTTCCCCTTATAAAACCATCAGATCTCATGAGACTTATTCACTACCTTGAGAACAGTATGAGAGAACCACTCCCATGATTTAGTTATCTCCCACCAGGTCCCTCCCACAACATGTGGGAATTATGGGAGCTAAAGTTCAAGGTGAGATTTGATGGGGGGACACAGTCAAACCATATCATTTTACCCCTAGCCCCTCCGAAATCTCATATACCTCACATTTTAAAACAAGTCATGTCTTGCCAACAGTCCCCCAAATTCTTAACTCATTCCAGCATTAACTCAAAAAGCCCATTGTCCAAAGTCTCATCTGAGACAAGGCAAGAGCCTTCTGTTTATGAGCCTGTAAAATCAAAAGTAAGTTAGTTACTTCCTGGAAACAATGGGGGTATATGCATTGGGTAAATACACCCATCCAAGTGGGAGAAATTGGCCAAAATGAAGGGACAGAAGTCCCATGCAAGTCCCAAATCCAGTGGGGCAGTAAAATCTTAAAGCTCCAAAATAATCTCTTTTGAATCCATGTCTCACGTCCAGGTCATGCTGATGCAAGAAATAGGCTCCCATGATCTTGGACAGCTCCATCTCTGTGGCTTTGCAGGGTACAGCCTTTCTTCCAGCTTCTTTCATGGGCTGGTGTTGAGTGCCTGCAGTTTTTCCAGGTGCACAATGCAAGCTGATGGTGGATCTACCATTCTGCGGTCTGGAGGATGGTGGCCCTCTTCTCACAGCTCCACTACCCCAGTAGGGATTCTCTGTGGGGTCTCCAACCCCACATTTTCCTTTCACACTTCTCTAGCAGAGGTACTCCATGAGTTCCCCACCCCTGCAGCAAACTTCTGCCTGGATATCTAGGTGGTTTCATACACCTTCTGAAATTGAGGCGGAGGTTCCCAAACCACAATTCCTGACTTCTGTGCACCCACAGGCTCAAAACCACGTGGAAACTGTCAAGGTTTGTGGCTTGCATCTTCTGAAGCTATGGCCCAAACTGTACCATGGCTCCTTTTAGCATGTCTAGAGCAGCTGGGATGCAGGGCACCAAGTCCCTAGGATGCACACAGCAAGGGGGCCCTAGGCCTGGCCAGGAAACCATTGTTTTCTCCTAAGCCTCTGGGCCTGTGATGGGAGGGGCTGTTGCAAAGTTCTCTGACATGCCCTAGAGGCATTTTCCCCATTGTCTTGGCAATTAATATTTGGCTCCTGGTTACTTATGCAAATTTCTGCAACATGCTTCAATTTCTCCTCAGAAAATGTGTTTTCCTATTCTATCACAACATCAGGTTGCAAATTTTGTGAACTCTTATTCTGTTTCACTTTGAAAAGTGAATGCCTTTAGCAGCACCCAAGCAGCACTCTTGAATGCTTTGCAGCTGAGACATTTCTTCTGCCAGATACCCTAAATCATCTCTCTCAAGCTCAAAGT